>NC_000001.11:156934587-158184587 GCF_000001405.40 Homo sapiens
TATATATCTGTGTGTGTGTAACTGAGTTCAGTGTCTTGTCATGTTTTCTCCATGGGGGTTGTACAACTTAAGTTTGCCCAGTCCCTAGTTCAGTGAGTGCACAGCTGAAGCTCTGGGAGGGAACAGGCAAGATCTGGGTCTGGGGGTGAGAGGGCTCCCTCTGGTTCCCACTATCCAATCCTAACCAGTCTTACAGGGAACAAACACCGTACCTTTTATCACAGCGATTCCAAGAAACACACACACCACCACTGAAGGATATTTAACTTTTCTTAAAAAAAAAATCTTAACCATGAAAGGAAGAAAATAAAAGAGTATACATTATCTTAACAGCAGAACAGTCATTTCCATATCTATATTTTATATATTATATATATATTTATATATATATATATGTATATATACACCTAGCACAGTGTGTATATTCTATTCATCAGGGAGAGTTGGGTGAGGACGTGGTGATGGGGCCAATGCTGCGGTGGCCCCTTGGATGGTCCTGGGTGAATTCAGGGACTCGGCATTCAGACCCCTGTCCCCACCTCCTGGGGCCCAGTCCTCAGCTCCGTACCTGCTTCACTGGTTTTCTACAGGGACAGGGTGGGGAAGAGGGGGACATAGGTGGGGTAAGAAACCCCCATGATCCCCATCTTGTGAAGATGAGAAGTCCAGGGAGGGAGGGAGTAGCTTGGCAGCAAGCTGTGGAGGGCAGGCTCTGGAGCCAGGTGGGATGGGGAGCCAGAAGACCTTCCCACTCACAGGGACAGGAACACTCAGGCCTGGCTCCCGCTTTAGGCTCGATCCTGGAACTGGGTTGTTAACTAAGGAGATACAAGTGAAACCCCTCTTCCCTAAGCAGCTCCTTCCATAACTGCCTCCAGCACTTCAGGAACAGGAACAAAAAAGGTCAAAGTTATTTACAATAGCAAAGATGCACATACGATACATACATATTTATAGGAAACCAAAGTGACAAAGAGGGGAGGGGAGGCACCCACCTCTGCCTGGGGTCTTATGGAGAAAGAGGGGAGGAAGAAAGTGCATTTACACAGAAGCCTCCTCCTTTCACTTGCATGTCTGAGGGCAGCGCACATACAGGCGTGCGCGTGTACACACATATGTGGGGTGAGGGCAGACCATGGTGAGTGGGGGCCTTTCGGATGCAGTCAGCATGCTTAGGAGACATGAGGCCTTGGAGGGTTGGGCTAAGGGAGGGAAAAGACACTGAAACCTGACTCCGACTTGAGCAGACCAAGCAACATGCGGGTCTCCCCCCGGGCCTTGGCTGGATCCTAGTTTCCCTAACTGCCTCCTCCACAGGGAGGAGTGTTGGGATCCCCCCTACCCTGTGCCCCGGTCTCAGGCCAGTCCCTGAAGGAGGAGTGGGGACGCAGAGGATTTGGTGGTTTGTACGGTTATGGTCCTGGTGACGCGGCTGCGTCTGCTGTGCTGTCTTCCAGGGGGGCGTCAGAGCCTGTGGGAGGAGGATGAAGGTGAGGAACTGGCCAGCCTGAGGTGACCGCTTCCACATGTTTTGTCTAGAAAGTTCAGGCTCACGAGAACAGATCCTTCATCACCTTCCTTCTCCTCCAGAAACCCCAGTTTCTCGTAGGGCTTGAAAAGGGCTGTCTACTGAACTCCACTTTCATCAGCGCCTAAAGCCCTTAGGTCAGGTAGGTATGTGCCTTGTCTTCCTGAGTTATGACATAGCTGTGTCCCTGGCCCACCCAGTGTGGTTCTGAATCATTTAATCAGCACGAGTCTTAGGCCGACACCATGGTGTGCACCTGCAATCCCAGCTGCTTTGGAGGCTGAGGTGGGTGGATCACTTCGGCCCAGGAGTTTGAGACCAGCCTGGGCAACATAGCCAGGCCAGCCCTTGTCTCAAATAAATAGAAAAAAAAAAAAAAAAAATATATATATATATATATATATATATATAAAATTAAAAAAAGAACAAGTCTTAGAGGTGAGAACAGGCTCCTCCTGGTTTGTTACCTCCATAGCACAAGGAAAAAGAGGGCTCAGTGCTAAGCTCCCCATTTTGCCAGGGAGCTTCTGTGGGACTTCCCTAAAAAGATCCCTCTCTGAAGCTGAGAGAATGAACTCGTTTCACTCAAGGGGAAACCACTCTCAGAACCACCATCTCTCACTGCTTAGTGATGTGTCCTCACGAGTTGGCAGACTTCTCCCCCAATGGTAGGAACCGAGAGGGACCTGGCTTCACTCACCATCCTCAGGGCAGGGCCCCAGTTCATGGCTGTTCCTGGAGTCAGAAGCTAGGGGCTCCTTAGCGGGAGGTGAGAGGGAGCCATCTGTCCATCTAGCTGCTTCTGTGTGGAAACTGCCCACAGGCGTGGTGCCACCAGATGACTCTCCCCCAAGGGACTTGAGCAGCTCTCTGTGGGCCAGCTCCATATCCTGGAAGAGTCGGCGGGGGAATGTCTGCTCGAGTCCTTCTATTCCTAAGGCCCCTGGGGAAGGGGTCTGTGCTGGGCCTTGGGGAGGAGGGTGTGATTTAAGGGTGGCTGGGCGGGCTGGGGGAAGATCCCTGGGCCAGGACAGGATCTAGGGCTCCCGCGAAGACACACATCTCACTCATGGGGAATGGTTTTGGGGTGATGGACTGAAGGCCTGCAGGGACCCAAGCCCTGCTTCCCTCACCTTGAGCCTGTTGAGCTTGAGAGTGAGCTGCTCAATGGTATGGAAGATCATGCCCACGTCCCTGAGGGCCAGGCTTGGAGGAGAGCGGCTGGGGCGTCTTGGATCATCGTTGCCTCCCTGCAGCTGAGGCTGAGGCTCTGTCTGCCCTGCAGGGAGGCTGTCAGGCTGAGGGGGGCTCATGGGTGCCTCTGAGTGGTCGGTGCTTGAGTCCGGGGGTCCTGATGGCATGCTGACATAAAAGCAGTTCCCTGTCCCCACAGTAAGAGAATGAGATCAGGAGGCAAACAGAGAAGTCGAAGCTATCCTCCCGTTCCTGTGGGATTCCCCAGCCACCTGACAGAGCAGGCCAGGCAGTCCTCTCCAGACAAACTCAGAGAACGTGGGCCTTGCTCACTGTCTGCCAGCCCCCTAAAAGCCCTGCTCCCGAGACCTTCTAGATGACACTTGCTCAGTCTGGCCCCAAGCTGGGGGAGATGCTGAGCGATGAACTCAAGGGAGAAGTGGCAGAGCTGCAGTGTTTCATTTGGGGAAATTGGAGTGGCTCCCCCTCCTTGAGTAAACAGATTGTGAGCTGGTTTCAGGCTCTTCTGAAAGGAGCAGGCAGCAGCCCTCTTGCCCTGCCTGACTCCAGCTCTGGATGAACTACAGCCCTGCCCTGCCCCTCTTCCATCCATGCCACGATCCTCTGGAGGTCCCTTGACCCAACCAAGGGGTGTCAGAGAGAGCTGGAGGAAGGACGTGGAGGGTTCCTGACAGGCAGGAAGCACAGAGAACCACCGCGGAATCTGGGAGGCTCTTTCAGCCGATTTCCACAGTGACACTGGAGCGGCGGCTGAGGTGGGGAAGTGGCTGCTTGCATATCAGGTGAAGGACACTAGGTCCCCACCCCCAGGCCAGGCTTCCCTGCCCCTCCCACAATTGCACACAGGCATTTATCCCTGCCATTCTGAACAGGAGCCTGGACAGGTGGCTTCTTAAGGCTGGATGGACAGCCAGCCTTTAGAACCAGATCTCCCCGTCTTTAGAGCCAGATCTTCCTCCTCCCCATTCCAGGCAGCTGAGGGAGCTTGTGGGTGTGTGTGTGACCATGGGCAGGGGTCCGACTCTGCCCTCACAGGTTCCACACTCCAGTCTTGGCCTGTCTTTAGCTCCAAGGAGAAAGTTATTACCCGTAGCCTTTGTTCCGCCTTCCACTTCAGGTGGCCCAGGCTCTGACTGGCCACTCTCTGGTAGTGCAGGGACAACCTTGCTGCCTGCCACCTCAGCTGCACCGACACCACCACCACCAGGAAGAGGAGAGACCAAAACACAAGGAAAGGGAAGGGAGAGAGAACAGGAAGGAGAGAGGGCAGGAGGTGGGGACAGGGGGAGGAGAAAATGGGAAGAACAAGGTGAACACAAGATCATACACGATGACATCCCAGGCAGTGCAGAGAACTTTCCACCAATTCACCGAGAGACAGAGAAGGAAGGTCAGTTCCCAGAAACCCAGGAGACAGGTGGCCCTTGGGCAGATGGAATGAAAAATGCTGCTGGAAGGGAGGCAGAGTGGAATCCCAGGGGAGGGCAGGCCCACTAGCGTGGAACCCCATCCCATGTGTGCCCCAGGCTTTGTTCTACTTTTCTTGCCACCCTCTCAGACCAGCCCACTCTTCCCGGGGTGGGGACCTTCCTCCCTGGGCTCATCTATTGGCCTCCCTGTGAGCTTGTCTTGGCTTTTCTTGTCTCAAGGCCGTCCATGGTGTTTCCCAACCCGGGGTGCCCTCCCTGCCACCTTGTTCACTCCCCACATCCCTCACTCGCCAAATGTCTTCCCAGCTTTGTCCTCCACCCCTTCCAGTCCCAGCTGCCACCTCTACTGCCCTTGGAGCTGTTGCCTGGCGTGAGGGGCTGCATGCACCTGCCCTGTCTTTCCCGGCCTGAGGCTCCTGAGAAGAGTGGCTCTTTTCCCTGGGAACAGGAGATCAGTGAGGAGCACTAACAGAGACTGGTACTGGTAGTTGGTTTGTGCCAGGCAGAAAGAAATGTCCTTATGTGCTATAAAACAAAGTTCAGAGATGATTCAGAATTTTGTCTAAAGCCACACAGATATTAAGTGGCAGAGCTAAGCTCTGAATCTCGAATGTCCAACTCCAAAGCCTGCCTGATATCGGCGTTGTCTCCTTCTTCCAGGACCCAGCGTAGGTCTCTGCTCACACGGTACCCAGGGGGAGTATAGGGAAGGAAGCAGCTGTTCGGAAGACTTATCTCACCTAGCAAGGGTGCTTGTCTCCCCACTGGACACTCCCATTTATTTTACCTTTTCTCACAACTTTGTAACCTCCTGCTGCCTCTGTGCTTGAAGCATCTTCAGCCAGATTCCTGTCCAGTTCTGGAGACTCCCATATCCCAGAATTTCTGGTCCTTGGGGGTAGGTGTTCCAGAGAACAGAGACCCATGTCTTCCTGCTCTGGCCGTTCCCCCTCCAGCCCTGCAAGCTGGGTGTTGTCCCCTTCACCCCCAGGGGGTGCTTGCCCTGGGGAGCCTGGGTCCCAGGGGTGAGAGGTGACGCTGATGACAGAAGGTGTGGGTGTCAGGTCGTCCTCGGGCTCCTGGGCAGCCTGAGTTTCCATGGTGTGACCTGGCAGCAGGCTCCACAGGATCAGATGTCGCAGGTTCTCCACTGGAGGGGAAACAGGGTGATGTCTTCCCAGCATGGGACTGCACACCACGCCAGAAGGATCGTTGTACTGCCCCACTGACCCCAAGGTGGTGACCTCAGGCACAGGTGAAGCTGGAGGGCTCTGGCCAACTAGCTGGTGGGGGTTGGGTGGGGAATGACATCTGTCTCCGCATCCATCTCTCCTCAAGCACACCAGGAAGAGCCTTCGGGAAGGTGGAGGGTGCAGGCGCCTGCCAGTTCACACTGGGTGTGCGACTGGGGACCAGGGGCTGACGGCAGGGCCTTGAAGCACTCACCATCTTCCAGAGCGGAGTCAGCGAGCCCTTCCATGAACAGAGGGCCTGGGAAGGCCAAGTGGATGGGGTTCCTTGTCCTGATGCCCCTGTTCTCTCCATCCAGGGATGTGGAAGGGCAAGGCAGGACACCCAGTTCCTCTTCCTCTGCACTGCCCTCCTGCTCAGGGTCCTCTAGCAGGACCTGGTGCTTCCCTTGGACCCTCTGCTGGGACCCAGTGCCTGTTTCGGATGAGAGAAGATTGTAAGGCAGGGAAAGGGAGAGGGCACGTATGGGAGAGCCTATGGGCAGCTTTGGAGCCAAGGGGCTGGGAACACTGACTTATTCTACAGTTGTTTACTGAGAACTTCCCATGGCCAGCACTGTCCCAGGCTCTTGGCATACAACAGTAAGCAAAACAAAAAGATCCCTGCCTATGTTGAGCTTACATTCTAGGGGAGGGACATACAAAAATAAGACACTTCAGTCAATTATGTAGTTTGTTAGAAGGCAGTAACTTCCACCGGAAAGAAGAAAACAACAACAGGGCATGGGGCTAGGGGCTGGACAGTGCTGGCTACAGTATTAAACAGATTGGGCCAAGAGGACACTGGAATGAAGACGTGAAGGAGGTGTGGCGTTAGGAGGAAAAGCATTCTAAGCAGAAGGAAACAACAGGGACCCAGCCAGGAAACCCGAGATTTCTCCTGAAACCCAAGACCCCAGGTTATTTCTCACGCAAGCTCTCAATGAGAATGCTGTCCCCTCTACCAATCCCATCACAGTAACTGCATCTTAAGCCCTTTGAGCTCCCCAGCCCCGCCATGTTTTCCATTCTCATTGTTGCAGCATGTATCTCCCTCCCCAACAGTAACCCCTGGCTGGAGGATGCAGGGCCCGTGGATCCCGCCAGACTGCTCGTCTTCTTCCACAGCTGATGCCGTCACCCAGAGAGGCTGGGTGGGAATTTCTGGTCAGGTGAGCGAGTTCACCCTTTCTTAAGTCTGTTCAGTCTGCTCTCCTTCCTCTTCCAGACTCTTCCTCCCGCCCTGTTTCTTCTCTACTCTTTATCAAAACCTCACACCCCGGGCCCTGATGGACTCTCCCATCGCCCCCATACTCACACCCAACCTGTGCCTACAGAAAAAGGCCTGGGCTGGCTCCCACAGGACAGTTCAGGGCCCTTACCTCCAGGCAGCTCCTCAGGTTCAGGTTCACCATGGAACACGTCTGAGTCATCCAGTTCTACCCTGAGGAAGGAAACCAACACAGGATGAGATCCCATGAGATTCCACCCTGGACTCATGCATTAGAATGGGCAATGGAGTAGGATCCGAGAAGGACGGTGTGGGCCTCTTCACCTGGCTGGTCTGCTTGGCAACCCAGAGAGGAGGGGGGCTGCTAGCTGAGCTTCTCTGGTCCCTTGCTCTACATCCCCCTCACCCTTCTTCAGGCTCAGCTCTATTATAGCCAGGTGGCAGGCTGTGGGGGAGCAGACAGGGACAAGAAGCAGGGACAGGGGGCATGTTCCTCCATCTGCCAGCACTTGGAGCTGTCTGCTCCCTGCTAGCATTTCCCTGTTGTGGCTGTCTACCCACGGGGGCGAAGGGCTTAAAAGCAGCAGGAAACAGGAGGTTTGGAGTGGAGAGAGTGCAGGGTCTGGAGGGCTAAGCACTGCACCTGCTGGGTGTGGGGCCCTGCTGGGCTGGCTCCCGGGGACCTGGGGGTGGAGGATGGACGGGCATTGGGGCAGCTCCGGGGTGCCTGGTGGCATTCCGCACGGCCTCTTCTAAGAGCTCCATCCATCTGTTGCTCGGCAGGAACAGAGAGGACTGTAGTGAGAGCAAGATAGCAGCACGCACCACCCCGTACTGAGCCCACTGGAACAGGGCTTCCAGGCCCTAAGAACCCTCTGCCTGGCAGGTGCCCACCTCCCTGTACAGTCCTCCCTGGCTGCTCCCTTGCGGTTATATTACTTGCAGCTACCAAATCCTGGACACCAACCCTCTGTTACACTCTGTGCAAAGCATTCTATGTTTTCCCTCTAAAGTAATCCTCTAACAGGTAGCATTAGCCACATTTTACAGATGAAAACCCTGGAGTTGGGAAACAGTCTGACTCAACCTGTCTCCTTCCACTGTACCATGCCACCTCTGGCAGCTGCTGTCAAAGAACATGGGCTGGGTGGGAGGCAAATGCCTGAGAAGGATGCATGAATCTAATCTGCCTAATGGTGAAGGGAGTAGGGCAGGAAGGAAAGAAGCAGCAGCAGCGGCTGGAAGACTGCCAGAAGCTCATTCTCCCAGAAGCGGGCCTGGTGACCAGGTCGGGGGTGATGACCCCTCCCAGCTTCTCTACTTCTGTCCTACCTCCCACTTCCTTCCCAACCCCTTGTCCAGGGACTGCTTTGGGGCCCAAACCTGGCCTTGCTACCCACTGTCCTCATAAACACCACCCTGGTCCGAAAGGGACCACAGTTACGGGTAACCCCTCAATCAATTCTCACGTGTTCTTGTCTGATGACGTCAATGCAACCAGCTCATAGATCTGGGGTGGGCCCAGCTTGGAGGTGCAGATGATGAAGAAGGCCCGTTTATCTGTGTGAGGAAAGGAAGGTAGAAGGGTCTGTACTAGGGATGGCAGGTGTGACTGCAGCCTGGGCCAGGGTGACAGAGTGGGACTCAAAGCCCTGACCCTCAACGCAGATGGAGAGTGCAGCACGAGACAGATGTGGATCTTCAGGACCACTTGGAACCCACTTACATAAGGGACAGAGGAAATTCCAGGACCCCTAATGTCATCTTCCACAGCCACCCCCATTCCTCTCCTGCTCTAATAACAGTGATGGCTGATAGGTGTATGGTGCTTAGGAGTTATAAAACTTTTTTTTTTTTTGAAACGGATTCTTGCTCTGTCACCCAGGCTAGAATGTAGTGGTGCCATCTTGGCTCACTGCAACCTGCGCCTCCCGGGTTCAAGTGATTCTCCTGCCTCAGCCTCCCGAGTAACTGGAATTACAGGTGCCTGCCAACATGCCTGGCTAATTTTTGTATTTTTAGTAGAGATAGGGTTTCACCATGTTGGCCAGGCTGGTCTTGAACTCCTGACCTCAAGTGATCTGAGTGCCTCGGCCTCCCAAAGGGCTGGGATTACAGGCATGAGCCACAGTGCCTGGTCAAGGGTTTATAAAACTTTTTCATACCCGTCATCCCTTTTGATGCCCACAAGAGGTAGGGTAGGTATCACTCCTATCTTACAGACGAAGAAAGTGAATCCAGAGAATTTTGCTCCAGAGCCCTTTCTCACACACACTACACTTCTCATTGAAATGTCCCTGTCCACTGGACCCAGCTCTGTACCGTGGGTACTAACATCTTCTGTAACCAAGCTCTGCCCAAGTCACTCTGTAGCAGAAAGGCTTGTCCTACTCATTCTGCCTAATCCCATTCTTCCCAATCCTGCTCAGACACTCTCACCCATCCTGGGTGTGCACATCCCATCCAGCACTGTGCTTGGGGACTGCTGACCACCCCTGTGCCAGGTTGTCTGTCTTCCTCTTGGTCCCCATCCTAACCCTCATCCTACCCCACTTTGGGCCAGTCCTACCACTTAGGCTGGGTCAGGACAGGAGGAAAGGAACACAGGTGGACAGGTAGGTCCTGTAAAGGCTCCAGACTGGCCCTGCCTCACCCAGCACTTGCTGGACATGGTCCCTGAGCCCCAGGCCAGCCTGGACCATCTCCCCAGGTACCTGTGGCCACAGAGCGGATGAGCACAGCATTGAGCTTGAGCACGGGGCTGAAGGTCTGCTTGCTGTCTGAGGAGCCCACAGCAGTCTTGCTGTGGCACTTCAGCAATAGCTTCTCATCCTGTTTCTGTAGCAGCACTAGGAGGTCCTCCAGCAGCAGCACGTGGAGGTCTGGAGGGGTATGGTCATGGGAAGGTGTTCCCTGGTGCCTACTCATCCCTCATGAGCACAATGCAGGGCCACAGGCTCTTGGAGGCTCTAGGAAGTCCTGGGAGTCTGGTGACCCCATTTCTCTCTCTGATTATTCCCTTCCCATGTCCTGAGCTATCACCTCCAGTCATGTTTCCATGCTTGGGAAAGACAGAAGAGCCCAGGGAGGCCCACCCACTACAGGTTCCTGCTCAGTCCCAGTCCCCTGGCACATACCCAAGGTCTTATCCTTGCTGATCCTCCAGGTCAGGGGTCCCTCATGGATCATTTTTCTGGTTGTAAGATCCAGGCTCTGTTAAGGAGACACCATTCATTCATTCATTCATTCATTCATTCATTCAAGTGTTTGAGAGCCTACTGTGTGCCAGACATTGTGTTAAGGTGCTGGGAATTGGTAAATAAGAAAAAGTCCTTGCCCTTACTCTCTTGTGCGGGATGAAGACAAGCAAAAAGGTAACTGTGAAGTCATGTGCCATGTGGCAGCAGGGGGATATACCAATGGCTCTGACTTGGGTCTCCCACCTGCCCCTACCACGTGCCAGCTACAGTCCCAAGAAGATCACATACTGCTTTTCCTGCCCATGCCTCCAGCTCTATTCCCTCCCAGAAGATCTCCACCTTACCTCCAGTTCTACCCCATCCCCTGCTCTCTCAGGCTGAGTTCCAACATCTAGTCTTTCTTAGGTGGGGCGGCCTGCCTTGTCCATCTAGGGACAGGGTGACAATAGCAGGGTGTGTGTCTTCTGGGGCTCCATTGTGCCACCCTATCTGGTCTCTGTCTCCTACCTCTAAGACTCTCCAAGCCCTGACCAGTGTTCTGCTCCTAAGGGTACCCACAAAGTGTGAGGGGTTGACTGCTGCAGCCTCTGCCTCCTACCTTGAACTCTGCTGCCAGGGGGTTGCTGGCCCTCTCCAGGGCGGTGGCATCCAGGCGTTTCTGGTAGCCCTCTAAACGGTGGCGGTTCTCTGTTTGTTTTACCGCTTCATTCACATACTTGAGAATCTCCCGGCACTGGTCCCGGGCCCGGCACAGCTTCTCATGCTCAGAGGTGCCACCTACCAAAATGGACAGAAGAGATGGTTGGGGCTCCTGCCTGAGAAGTCCAACATGGCGCCAGCTGTTATCTGCCTATTCATCCATGGCAGCTGGCTTGCTTCAAACCAGCAGGCGTGGGTGGAGGGGAGCCACCCTTGCCTCACATGAGGACCCCAAGTGGTAAGGGTAACTTTTACTGAGCATCTTCAGGTCTCAGACAGATCACTGCTTTGAAGACGCTGATAGCTCCTGGGAATCCCTGCCTCTACTACAACCAGCTCTACAGATGCAAGGGACAGAGACTGTGGTAAATGGCCACAATTATGCCTCTAGAAAGCCTGTTCAAATCAGATTGGGGTTCCTAACACCTCTCTGTCCTGACTCCAATGTCTGAAATTTGGGGGTAGTGAAAGATGCCCAGGATCCCAGGGAGAGTGATAACCTGAGGCTAGACCCTCTTGTTCAGTCTGGTCCCCTGCCCCTCTAGTGTAACCACATAGGCTGTGTCTTTTGTGCACTGCAGGGGGCATGAATGGGGATAAAATCCAGCCCCATGCAACCAGAGGGACCCAGGTGCCCTTGAGTGCCAGCCTGTGTTGGGCACCGGATGCTTTCCTTGGATTTGCACAAAGGCCCACACAGGTGGCCTTCGATGGTGGCCCCTACTCCTCCCACTATTAAACACCTTATATTTTCCAAAGGACATTTACAATCATTTTCTTCTCTGAAACACCCCACAACAGAAAAAGGACGAAGACACCAAAGACCACAAGGCACAGTGACTTGCTAAGGTCACAAAGCAGTGTCAGAATGAGGGTCTGGCACGAGGCCCACTGCCTGTGATGCCAGCCCCTCCCCAGGTGCTACCCTCTGTGTGCTTGATGATGCTCTCCAGCAGCAGCGGGTACTTGGTGAGCCGCTGCATCTCAGAGATGATGAGGTCTCTCAGCTGCAGCCGCCGACACTGAGGGTGGCTCTCAGCCTCCTAGACAGCAGGAGACACAGAAGGGAGGAGATGTCAGCGTGGCTGGGAGCTGGCTTATGGGCTCAGGGCCAAGATGGGTGTGAACATGACAAACAGGTCCTAACGCCAGATGGATCACTCAGAAATGGCAGTGGAAGCTTCTTCCTTAAAGATGTAGAGAAGGGTGTGTGGTGGCAGGGAGACACCAATCCAAAGGGATATGGTCAAAACAGAAGGGCAGGCATATTGCTGCCATTCTATAGACAAGGAAACTGAGATCCATCTCAGGACACACAGGTGCTGGTGGGTGAGCCAGGCCTCTGACTGCTAATCCAGGATTCTTTCCAACAAACAGAAGTCTCTTTGTCTAGAGTGAGTCAGTGCTTTTGAGGAGCGTGTGTCGAAGGGTAGAGGGAGTTGCTGTAGACAGGGATGATGTGGCCAGAAGGAGAGAAGTTCAGGAGATCCTTGGTGACCTTGATGGAGATGAAGGAAGGCCAAGGCATGGCCAAGGACGCACCTGCATGAAGAGCTGGAATCGACTCTCCTTGCGTTGCTTGGTCTTGATTAGCTCTAGGGCTATTGACTGATAGGAACAGAACTGTGCAGCCACTTGCTGGAGTTCCTCTCGGGCAGGGCCATCAAACTGAAGAGGCAGAATGGACACGGGGCCAGGCATCAAACCCCTGCCTGGGACCAGACCCCTGCCTTTGCCAAATTCTCTGGCCTTGGGTAATGAGACCCTGCCTCCCCCAATCTCCTCCTTGCCAAGAGGGAGAAGTTTGGAGCCATACCCGGGCCAGCATGAGGTCACTGATCTCTTTGATGATGGGGCCTTCCTCCCGGAGCTTCTTCATGGCTTCACACCAGGAATCTGGGGCAGGAAGAGAACAAATAGAAATGCCTGGGGTTGAGCTCAACTGCCAGAACCTTTCTGACAGAGAGAAGTGAATCTCTGACAGCAGTGCCATGGGAAGGGTCTGGAAACCATTGTACTTTCGGGGTGAACTCCAGTGCTGGTTTCAGGCTGTCCACAGATCTTTTTCTCACCAGGGATTGGTGGGAGGTTACCTACTCAGGGAGGTCCTGGCAGTGGGGCCAAAGTGGAACAGGAAGCTGAAGGGCAGCAGAAGAGGAGTCTGGAGGGGCACAGGCTCCTTACTGTGAATCTCTATGAGTTCAGGCAGGTTCGGGAAGAGCCGGGCCAGCTCCTCCCGGGGCATCAGGTTCTCCTTCTTCATTCGCTGGTAGAAGATCAGGTCCAGGACCCGGAGTGTGCGCAGGTGGGAAGCTTCAGTCACAAACAGCTCTGAGCGGTGGTTGTGACAAGGAGGGTAGAAAGCCAGGGAGAAAACGGATCAGCAAGTATCTAGAGTCCCTGACCTGGTTCCCACACCACTCTATTTTTGGGGGAACTGAAGTGCCAGTTTCAGATCATACAGCAACTTTTCTCTTACTCCAAGGGCCAGAACTGAGGGGAACCTTATAGCAACAGGCAATGTGGACCTGCTCCAGCACACAGGGGCCCCCCACCCTATTTACCTCTTTCCCACCCTTGTGTCTTAGGCATTCTGGACCTATTCCCACACGTGTGAGCGGAGCTGGGGGCAGTGGAGCACGTTCTCACCATTGATGACCTCTTGCCGGTCAATCTCCCGCTGGGTTAGCCCAGCCACCACATCCTTGCCCACTGTATGCTGCCAATTTTGGGCATCTGGCTCTGGCTCCAGGTCAGACAGCTGGCCCAGATCATCCTCTAGGAGGTGGGGAAGGAGGGTATCTGTGCAGAACCCCAAACTGGGGGACTCAATGCTCCTGGGGGAAAACAGGCAGCTCAGCTTCATTTAGGAGGAAGAACTCACACAGAGGGTTTGGCCCTCCCTCTCCTGCCCGACCTGCTTGCCCCATGCACATGGGAAACCAGTGGGCCCAGAAGAGGAGACAGCCACCCAACCAGCCCCTTGCAGGTGAGAGGAGCAGCTGGGTGTGGATGGGACACAGAGACACCAAACAGAGGCACCACCGTGCCCATCACTTACCTGCGGCCCATTTTGGGAGTGAATGGAGGGGTTGGGTTCTCAAGAGACCTGTGGAGGGAATGTCAACTCTCAGCAACCCTCTATCCTTGCCGCCACCCCTGAGATGTCCATGGGTGCAGCCGTTGTAGCCCTGCCCACCTGGTGGAGAGGCTGGAGGTAGAGGACGAGGCTGACTGGTGCAGGCGAGTAGCCTCCGCAGCAGCATCCATGTCAACATCACTGCGAGAGCGGGGCACGTTCTCTGCCTTTCGAGACCGTTTCATCTCTTCCCGGCCCTTGAGGCTTTCAGAGCGGCCCAGGCGAATCTCTGAGCGTGAACTGGGGGGAAGGGACAAAAGACTTTGGGACTTGGGAAGTCAGTGGGCCATGCTTACATCCTGGCTAACTCTTACCTGTGGCTCCATCTCAAAGATGCCTCCGTGCCACAGGTTCTCCTCCTGAACATGGCCAAAGCAGCTGGATGGCAGTGGAAGCTTCTCAATGACAGACTATTTTTGCTGCTCTACAAACTCCTCCTCTCTCCCCAGCCTAGCCTGATGGATGGACAGTCATCTTCCTCTGGAGCTATTAGGAAGGGATCCTAACAGGAAGATGAAATCTGGGGCTAACAGACTCTGAGTTGTAGTGTGTCCAGAGGCCTGAGACACCATGCTTCTGTCAAGAAGGTGGTAGACATCATCGTCCCTCAACAGGGAACACAAGGTCCCAGCTCCCTGCCCCTAGTGGCCAGTTCACGTTGCCTCTGCTTTGGAACGGGTCAGCTCCCACCTTTAACTCTGCCTGAGGCGAACCTCTTTTAAGAGGTCTTAAGAGGAAAGTGGAGTCACTATATTCACAGCTCATTTTAGGATTTTCCACACTGCCTGTCAGAAAGTTCTATCTGCTGCTGGATTCTTAGCCTTCCAGTTGTGATGTGGATGAGTTCCATTCTTATCTTAACAATACTGTTCCTAAGATTCCATTTCCTCTCAAGAGCAGACAGGCTTGTGCTTAAAGGGGCCTTTTTACTGATAGGCAGGACCCGCTCCTTGGCCTGCCGTGCTTGGCTACTGAGTGTCTCTGGGGTTTGATGAGATGCTGATGACTGGGTGTTGCGGTGTCGAGTCCTGCAGTGCATCAGCCCAAGACAGCTGGCACCTCTGACCCCTAGCTGCCCCAGGATGGTCACCCCACCTCCATGCTGTGGCCCTGTTGGGCTGGTTTTCTGATATTATTAGTAATCTACATCCTGCTCTGCTTCTAGGACCACAGGAGGCCTGGAAATGTCTGCAGAGCTCTTAATAGCACAGCAGGTTGCTGCAATGAGGAGCTAAATGTCTCGGTCTCCATTCATTGTGCCCAAACTGCCAGATGATCCAAAATGGAGCTCATCTCCTAGGGTCCTGAGGGTTTTGTCTGCAGGGTTAGAAAACATACTGCCCACTGATCCCTTATTGAATTCACCCTCCAGAATTGTGTTAGAACAATCCCAACCCAGACTAACTCGGAACACTTTTCAGTGTCCTAATGGGTCACTGTACCACCACAACAAACACCCAGTGGAGTTACTGGGGCTGCAGAGCTAAGCACCTTCCTTCAAGCACCCAGAAGTAAGTAATGCTCCTCACCAAGAAGTGAGGCATATCATCTGTCTTTGCCCCCAAATTCCTAGGGTATTGCCTTCTAGAACTGGGGCATCTTATACCTGTTGAGTATCTACAACAATCTCTGACCCACCATATTGCTAATACTATTTCTTCTGAGATTGCCAATGAGTTGATAATCATCAAACCCAAAGGCTTCTGCTTAGAGTAGCTTTAGGATCCTAGCAAGTGTCTTAGGGCAAATTTACCTAGCAATGCCAAGAATGCAACTTTGTAAATGGTCTCAAATATTTTCTCAAAATGTTGATGTCTTATAATCTTAAAATATTTGATATATCTACGACATCATGTGCTTCCACAGGAATCACATAATTTGCGTATTTAACTTACCCATTAATGTTAGAACTCAACCTTCCCCCAGTACAAATCTAACCTTTGTCTCCTGTAAATCTGTCAATTCTCATGGCAGCAAAATCTTTTAACACGTGTTAAGCTGAAAAAAGGCTTCATATAAACAGAAAGGAGTAACCTGCATTCAAGCAGGAAAGGTTGGCTTATGGTTTGATAATTAGTTATTTCAAAGGCAAAATAGGCCAGGTGCAGTGGCTCATGCCTATAATCCTAGCACTTTGGGAGGCTGAGGCAGGAAGATTGCTGTGGTTGGGAGTTCGAGACCAAGCTGGGCAACATAGTGAGACTGTCTCAAAAAAATAAAAATAAAAATCAATTAGCCAGGTGCAGTGGTGCATGCCTGTATCCCTAGTTACTCAGGAGGCTGAGGTGGGAGGATCCCTTGAACCCAGGAGTTTGAGGCTGCAGTGAGCTATGATTGCACCACTGCAATCCAGCCTGGGTGACAGAGAAAGATCCTGTCTCTTTAAAAAAGAAAAAAAAATCCCCAAAACAAACAAACAAACAAACGAAGGCAAAATGGCTTGAATATCCACGCTGCTGCATACTGACTTGCTTTCATGCCTGCCTATACTCCAGCTCAGTGGCTCTGAGGCTTGACTGTACACAAGCATTATTTCCCCCCACACAAGACCATATTACTCTACCTGTTTAAGTCACCTTTAAGGGTGGTGTTGGTTTTTAAGTGTTGGCTATAGAATTTTAGACATGACTTGACTGCTGTCATGCCACAATCAAGAGCAAGTAAGTCCAAGAACAAGTTTTCATACCAGATGGGGACTCTAGTTAGAACCTGACCAAAGAAGAATATGAGAGATGCCAGTCTCAATTCCCCTTTTTCTTCTTGAAAAGGGAAAAACAGTCCATTTGTAATCAATCCACTTTGCCTCTCTTTGCTGAGGTGGACATCTGATGCCTATAGTTACATCATTTGTCTTTAAAGTACCCAGCAGAACCTCATCTCTGGCTCTCTTCTTCACATACAGACAGGAAACCACTTTCTTTTGCCTGCCTGGGTCTTTTTTCCCCAGGACTCCCTCTTGCCCCCACTATAGTCTTCCTTATCCTTGTCACTTAGGGTTTCCTGATTAGCTGCTTTTTATCACCTAGCTCGATCTTGGATGAAGGCTACTGAGTAGTCAGGTGATAAATCCAAAGGGAATTTGAAAAGTGTGTAGTTCTTGGGCTGGAAGTCGGGGATCTGCTTGCTCTTCCACTGGCCTGTTCACTGGCACACAATGTGTCTCCTGAAGATACTGGGGGTGGGGAGGAAGTTCTGTAAAGGGAGCCTTAGAAGCTAGTGGAGAGGGGTCAAGTAGCTGGAATTAAACCCTAGCATCAGCCCTGCCCATGACCCACTCTTCGAGCAGCTGGCGAGTCCCATCCAGCCAGTGCTACCTGTCACTCTCCAGCAGGTCCTCAGGAAAGCTTCCGGTCGAGAGTCGTTGTGTCCCAGGTTCTGGGGCATCATACTGCTGGTTGTTCTCAAAGTGCTGAATGATGTTCCTCACATTGCCTGGTTTGACTAGAAGCAAAAAGAAAATGAAGGACACTAGGCTTGCTGTTCAGGGATGGCTTCTCAGGCTTGGACTTCCCCAGATCCCAGAAGACAGAGCAATGAGCAAGCGTGGATGAGAACAGCACTGGACCAAGAGTCAGGAGATGTGTTCTGGTCCTGGCTCTTCTATGAATATGCTGTGTGGCCCTGGGCAGTCACACTACCTTTCTGGGTTGATTCTTTCCTCATGCGCAAAATGAGAGGGTTTGGAAGTATATTTTCCATAAGCATTCTTTTGGCTCTCACATTATTATAATAACGCTTCTGCTTGAAAGTCATGATTAGGTTTTTCCTAAAAGCCACATACAGGTTAAAAAACAGCCAGGAAGACCAAAGCACATCTACATGTAATTTGGCCATGTTGCCAAAATATATCAGACATTTCTCAAATTTAAATGAATTTTAGAGTTCTTTATTTGTTTTTCTCTGCCTCTCCTTCCTGTCCTTTCTGCCCTTCTCTGGCCTTCATCACTACAGAATCAGACTCTTTAGTACCGTAAGAGGTGACCTAGGAGGAACAGAGGAGAGACTTCACTGGCATTCAAATTCCAGCCCCCTTTCAAAGCTAAGACAGAAGAGAGCTGTTCCTGTTCAGACAGAGAGGGCAGATGGTAGAGTGAAAAGGCACAGGTAATGCCAACTACAGCCCCTGGAGAACTCAGACCCAGAGTTCTGTGGCTCTCAGCAGGAGGGAAGAGAGATAAGGAATTCACCTTCAAGTCAACTAGCTCAGTTCTGAGCCCATCCATATTAGAACAGGGGTGGGCTAGAAATGCTGGCTGCCTGAGACCAGCGGAAAGGACAAGGGGAAATGGGGAGGCAATATCAACAGCCCAGGGTCTGGGCCCTGATCCTACTTCAGAGATTCTGACATCTACATATACAAACTTACAAATCTGTCTCAAAATCTGACTTTCATAAGAAAACTTCTAAGTCAGAGAGAACAGAAAAAAATTTAGCTGCTGTCTTCACAGTTTACAACTTGACAGCCTTTAGGCAAGTGGCTAGGGAATATTTTTCTAAAACTGTGTAAGTAGCTGTGGGTGCACATGACAGGAGTAGGGCTATTACCATCACTCTCACTTTGGAGATTAAGAGCAGATCTGCCTGTCCCAGCCTGAACGTGCATCTGGGCCTTGAAGCCATGCAGATGCCAGGGCCAGCTGGGCAGCCGCAGCCCTGAGCCGCCCTGGCTGGGTGATGATGTGGGAGCCTGGGAACATCCTATAACTGAAAGCCGGCAGGCTGAGTCCACTCTTCCCTTTCCCATGGGCCACTTGGAAAATGCACAATTAATGTTCTAGATAGAGTTATACCTTAGCTGTGGCAAAATACAGGCGTAGCCCTGAGATCTGGTATAACTGAATGACCCAGAGTAACAGGGGAGAAACAGGTAGAAGGAAATGCATTTTTAAAAAGAGCAAAGTGGCGAGGCACACAATGCCTCATGCTTACAATCTCAGCATTTTTGGAGGCCAAGGCAGGAGGATCACTTGAGCCCAGCAGTTTGAGACCAGGCTGGGCATATAGTGAGACCCTCTCTCTACAAAAAATAAATTAGCCAGGTGTGGTGATATATGTCTGTGGCCCCAGCTACTTGGAAGGCTGAGGTGGGAGGACTGTTTGAGCCAGGAGTTCAAGGCTGTAGTAAGCTATGACTAGACCACTGCACTCCAGCCTGGGCAACAGGGCGAAACCCTGTCTCAAAACACAAAAACAAAAACAAAAAAACCTGAGGACTGGATTTCAAGGCCATTCTTTTTTTTCCCCTTGTTTTATAAACTTTTTTACATTAATTCCTTATTTTTACTGCTTAAAATGGCATACAGTCTAGGAATTTAGTAACTTTTAAACTAATTTGGAAGATAATATTTTTAATTGTCACTTTTACATAAAATAAATTGCAGTAACAGAATAGTTTCCAGGTTGCATCCCATTGCTGTCTCTCTCTCTCTCTCTATATATATTTATTGTAGAACCTAGAAAGTGTTAATCAGTTGCACGCATATGGACCTTATTAACAGGAAATGAACTTGCTCAATTCTGTGACAATTCACTGTAGGCTCTAAGCTTCTTGTGGGTTAATGTGTATCACATTAATGTTTTAAATACATGGATTCTGGAAGATACTAGGTCCTCTAAAATACATTTAGGGTCATTCTTTTTTCACTGCTGTGGTTATACAGTGCTGGCAGTCAAACGTCAAAAGAGATGGAGGTGCTATACTGAAGGGCTTAAGTAGATGATAAGAACAAAAATATCCAAGAGAAAAACTGTTGGAGACCCATACTTTACATAAAAAATAAAATCACCTTCAAAACTGACATTTTAATTATTTTAACTGAAAACAAAAATCTGAGGCACTGACCGGGCGCAGTGGCTCATGCCTATAATCCCAGCACTCTCGGAGGCCAAGGCGGGCGGATCGCCCGAGGTCAGGAGTTCGAGACCAGCCTGGCCAATATGGTGAAACCCCATCTCTACTAAAAATACAAAAATTAGCTGGGTGTAGTGGCACATGGCTGTAGTCCTAGCTACTCGGGAGGCTGAGGCACGAGAATCCCTTGAACCTGGGAGGCGGAGTTTGTAGTGAGGCAAGATCACACCACTGCAGTCCAGCCTGGGCCACAGAGTGAAACTGTGTCTCCAAAAAAAAAAAAAAAAAAAAAAAAAAAAAAAAAAAAAATCTGAGGCACTTCTGCTTCACTGTAAGACCCTTCAATGTGTGAGGGTTCCCCTCACTTATACAGAACTCTGGATTTTTGGACCCTCATCCTTGGAGATGTGACTGAATTATAGAGAAAAGGCCTCAGGCTATGGAAAAACTGCCAGAGGAACCAGAAGTCTAGTCTTGGCCAGAACTACCAGAAGGAGCTGTCCCTGCAGGAGAAGGGGCCTTGCCCCCTGGAACTCTGAGTTAGGAGACAAGGTCTCGTACCTGGCATGAGGGTGGTGCCCTCCCCAATCCCCCACAGGGTTTGCAGCACACAGCAGCTTTAGCAACAATGAGCAACGCATAAGAGAAATGGAGAGAAGAAAGAAAGGGAGGGAGGAGGAACAGGATGGGAGATGATGAGAAAGAAACAGAAAAGACAAGATTTGGGAGATGGAAACTCAATGCTAATGCAAAGACAAACCCAAATAAAATGGTCCTTTTACCTTCCACAGGGGACAAGGGAATATGAAATGCTAAAAGAAAAACAAACAAAAACAAAAGTAAACCATGAAAAGTCAATCAATGTTTTAAGAATCAAAATAAAAATTACATCAAGCCAAAAAATTAAAAGGTAGTGGCGAAAATCAAGGCTGATCTAGAAGAATCTCTTTCCGTTTCCTGCAATGCAGCAATTTCAGAAAGGGAGGCCAGCCCACCCCACTGCCCTTCACAGATTCCCATTGATATTGGGGGGCTTAAGGTACTGACTGGGAGGGGCCAGCAACAATTTCCAGACAAATGACACACGCTGGGAAGAGATCAATGATAGGATCAGTTGAGTTTTGGGTTACTGATGGCATTAGGGGAATCTCTGGGTCCCAAACTTGCCCCCAACCTGACTAGTTCTACTTTAATAGTGACTCAACCATCCCCCGCCCGCATCTATACTACTGTAGTCTTGTGTGCTAGGACCAATTATAGACCCTTGGATGAAGGTGAAGGGGGCATTTTCTGTCCACAGGGCGATCCTTGCCGAGGGGAAATGTTTCTCACGTGGTCGTTTGGTAGCTAGAACTGCTCTGGGTTCCTAGACTAAGACCCAGGGACCGGCACGGCTTCCCTGGCTCGGAAACATTCACCTGAACCTCAGAGATCCTGCACTGGATTTGGCAAGGGGAGAAAGTGGCTGTGGTCTGAGTTTGGGCCTGTGGCTCCCAGAAACACAGGAAGGCCCTCTGCCAACATACTGGTACATGAAAGGGCTGAGGTCCCTGCCCAAGGAATGCCCAAGGCTGTTGCTCCCCAAATACTCACTGCTTTGAGAAGAGCTTTTGGGCTTCCCAATGTATTTGAGGATAGGGTTTCGCTTCTTGTCCTCCAAGGCATCCTTTTCTTTCTTGGAATTGCTGCTCTGCTGAGACAGGAGACACTGGTGTTTGCAGGAGGTCCTGATACCCAGGCGTGGCTGCTAATCAATTCTGCCACTGTCCCCCAAGGCTGGCCCTCAGCAAGTAACTGGAGAGCTGACTCTTGCTGGTACCCTAACAAGCATGTTCGCCTCTGGCCTGGGTTTGGAAGAGACTGAGAGCTGCTCTAGTCTGGGGGTCCTCACTGACTCCACATCCAGGTGGAGGGATGTAGCCAGAGACCTGCAAAACGGCTTTCCTGACCTACCTCAGCACAGAGAACTGCATCAAGAGGAGATATTTTCCAGGACAGCTCTGTTACCTTCTTTTTATTTTTTTTCAGACAGAGTCTCACTCTGTTGCCCAGGCTGGAGTGCAGTGGTATGATCTTGGCTCACTGCAACCTCCAATTCCCGGGTTCAAGCAATACTCGTGCCTCAGCCTCCCGATTAGCTGGGGTTATAGGCATGCACCACTATGCTGGACTAATTTTTGTATTTTAATAGAGATGGGGTTTCACCATGTTGCCCAGGCTGGTCTCGAACTCCTGAGCTCAGGCAATCACCCGCCTTGGCATTCCAAAGTACTAGGATTACAGGCATGAGCCACCATGCCCGGCCCTCACCTTCTTGGTCTTAGGGAAGAACGGTAGCCACTTGTCCTTGTCAGGAGCAGACTGGGCCTTTTCAGCTGTGTTGGAAGGTCGTGCCTCTCGAAGACGGATCCCAGCATGGCTCATGTAGGTATTGAGGGCGAAGTCCATGGGGGCGCTGTAAAAGAGGAACAGTGTCCTGAATCAGAGAGCTCAAGTTATCTTCCCTGTGCCAAACAATCTCTTCACCACCACGCAGTGGAGTGGGGAAGGGGTAGTTACAGGTGAAAGTATTCAAAGAAAAGTCTAGAATAATTAAATGGGACAGCAGGCAGAAGCTGGCTAAAAGTCTGGGCTGTGACCTTCTCCACACAGTGAGCCCACAGGTAACCAAGAATAAGACTTTTCCCAGGAGAAGTCTTATTCTTTCCCTAAGCAGAACTCTTCCCCATGAGCAGATGATGGTCAGTGGAAGAACATGCCAATTCCCTAAAATGTAAGTAAATAATTTCCTGCCTGGTCAAGCCATAGGCAGATGTGGAGGACTGGCTGAGGTCTGCAGCTGATACTCTCAGGCATATGTGCAGGGGTGGGGAGGCCAGGGGAAAGGAGAAATGCCAAGCAGCCTCTGCCAAGGTACACTGCCTTCACCATCCTCCCACCCCAGTACAGAGAAAAAGAGATGGAAAAGGAGCTGTCAGGTGGCTTCCAACTGCCACAAATGAAAATGTCCAGAGCTCTGTTTAAAAATGTCCTTGTACCCACAATTTGCTGGATGGATGATGACCCACTCTATGCATTCAATGCAGCAAGGCTTCAGCTCTGTCTGTATTTCCCTCTTAAACAGACTCCTAACCCCATTTTCTCTCCCTTATTAATGTGTATGCTCAGGGAATGCAGACTCATTTTAACCTTGGCTAATGAAAAACAATGAGATAAATATATAGGCTGCAAAAAAAAAAATTCTAACATGTGCCAAGAAAGGAACTATGCTGCACCCCAGCTCCCCTCTGCAGATGTCACTAACAGGCTGATTCCACGATTACTGTTACTACTTGAGGTAGTTTAAGGGAAAGACGTGAGAAGAGAGACAAAGGGCTCATCTGGGTAGAGAAGCTGCCACCAGGTATGGGACTGTGAGAAGCGATGGCAGCTTGGTGTCTTCCCACTGAGGAGCAGACCCACATCCCCAGGCAGTGATCCCTGAGCATCAGGGGCGTGGGCCTCATCACCCCTATGTTATGGTCATACAGACACCTGAGTGCTAGACTTTCAGGAACCACGGTCCTTCATGGTTGTACAACATGAGGGACTCCCCTGTGATTGTCAGAAATGGAAAGCATAGTAGCTCAACCCCACTCCTTCCACCTTGAAAGCTGCAAATCCACATCATAGACTTGCTTACCTCCTGTCTTCCTCATACTTGGACCTGGAATGGAAGAAAGAACAGATGACTCAGACTGCAAAGACAGAGGCTGGTCACCTGGTTAGAGGCTAGGAGGAGGGTAAGTTTTTCCTAGATGAAAGGAGGGTTAGTGGGGGAAAAGGAGAGAAGTACGTCTGATGCACAAGTATTTGGTACATAGCAGGAACTCCATAAATATTTGCCGAGTTGAAATATCAGCCTTAGCAGAGACTGCATAGGTTTCATCTTCTTTGCTATTTTTACCCTGTCCTTAAAGTGCCTGGCTGTGCCTATGGATCTGACTTGTATGGAATGGCTTAACCAAGGTCACATAACTACTTAGTGAGAAGCAGTAGTAGGGCAAAAAATTGCTTCTAAGCCTGAAGTGTCCCCATAAAGTCTGTGATACTGGGGCTTGCATCACAGGTGCCTATGACACTTTCGAAAATGGCGCTAGAAAAACATAACAAAAGCGGCTGTGCCAGAAGCACCTTAGTATATTGCACTAGTTCAGTTTTCTGATGTGGATTAGTAAAAGATGGTTCAATTTCCCCTAAGCCAGTTCTAGCTGCCTCCTGAAGGAACTTTATCCACTGGGCACACACATCACTGGCCTCACTCTCTGTGACAGATAAGATCTTAGAGGCAGGAAGGGAGAGAGGTCAGGAGGAGGGCCAGCAGGGGAAAGCAGAAAGCTTACCACATTCCTGGGGCCCGTGGTCTGTCATAACCACCAAATGACTATCAGGAGCTCCAGGCTCTGCCACACCCTTGAACACCTGCAGCCCTCAGCCTGACCAATGCAGCAGGAGTGCAGGACTCCCCATCTTTCAGGGGCAGGAGAATCAGGCAAGAAGTGGAAGAGGGGGAGAGGTTGAAAGAACAGACCCACAAAATATGTCAACCTGCTTAGGATGTTCAGTGGGGTGGGAGGAAGCTGAAAGACTCACAAAATATCTCCAAGGGCAGCCAGCTGCTTCTCAGCCACTTGGCGCTCTCGGAGAGGGTCCCCATCCAGGTCCAGCAGGTCATTTTCACCATACAGGCTGCCCAGCCCCAGTGTGCGCTTCGTTCTAAGCCAGATAAACACAGGGAAAGAAAGAAATATACACAAATACTCAACAGATGGACATCCAGAAAGAACAAGACAAACACATATAACAAGAGATATGTGCACGTCCCAGAGGGAAGGAGCCAGGGCCAAGAGGCGGAGGTGAACGAGGAGAGAGGTGGGAGGTCAGCTCCTGGGCCAACCTGTAGTCGTGGATCTGCTCTTGGATCTCAGGCATGGCTGCCTCTTGAGCTTCACAGAGAACACCACGGGCATCTTCGCTGTTCCGCAGGCGCGAGTCTGTAGTGGGAGATCAGAGAAAGCAGAGTGGATGGGGTACTGGGGGTGGAGGGGGATCCCTTCTGCTGAGCATCTCAAGGCATTTCAGCTCCCTATGACACTGGGAGGAAGGGCTGGCTTTCTGCCCTGTTAGTCTAAAAGGAGAGGAGGCCTGGACCTCTCAGGTCATTCCTGAATTCAGGACTGGATGCTGATATCTAAAGTCCAAGGCAAGGACAAAAATATTTTCTGGATGTTCTGTGCTCCATTAAGAGAAGTATTAAAGTCCCTCTCATTGGATATGTCTAAGTACCATTCTCTGACATCCAAGTGCAGACCTCTGAGAGGCTTGTTCCCCTCTACTGCTCCAGAAGCAGCTCACAAGGCTAAAAAAGGCAAGCACTTCACACTCCATGAAACCTGAGCTCCCCAGTAGAAACTGAAAGATGTCTCTCCTCTAGTCCCTGCATCTAGCTCCACCCAGGCTAGGCTAAGTCCTTGGGAGCTGTGTTTCATTCTCACTCTGCTTTTGAGCAAGCTCTGTTTACCCTATGCCTGGGCTTTCCTCCCCGTCACATGTGCCCGTAAATCATCTCTTTCTAAATGCAGCTTCCAATTCCTGTCCTCTAAAAAGCTGCCAGTGATTAGCTTCTCAGGCTGACATCACCTTAGACTGCCTCTCCTTAATTCTTCTACTCATGATTAGAAGGAGAAGGGAGACGGGCACCATCTAGCCTGCCTGGTCCTCACTCTGGACTCGCTGCTGTCAGTATTAGTTAGGGAACTTATAAAAACAAAAATAACCCCCCCTCCCCCCCCCCCAAAAAAAACAATAAGAAAAACCACTCTGGAGATTCCAACTCTGCAGGGAGGATGGAGCGAGGCCCTAGTTTCTGTATTTTTTGAGTTCCCCAAGGGATTCTTGACAATCAACCTGGCTGAGGAATCCCTAATCAAGTCTGTTTCCTCTTTGTTCAGATAAGCCAACGGAGGCCCAGAGAGGTCATGTAGAAGGCTGGCAGACATGAACCCAGGTCTCCTAACTCCAAGTCCAATGTCTTCCCATGACAAGCTCCCCCCGGCAGAGTGAGCGCCTAGGCAGGGTCTGTCCCATTTGCACCTGTCCGTAAGCTACTGTGCAGTGTTCTGGAGCAATCATCCCATGGGTCTTTTCCTCTATTACAGGACGGTTGCCCAAGGACAGGGACTATGTCCCTTCTGTCCTCTGGAGCCTCCTGAGAGCTCAGGACAAGAAAGCTACCAAGAAGAGACTTACCGACCAATGAGCCAACTTACCAATTTCAGCCTGTAGCATCTCAGGGATCTTCACTCTCAGAGGCTAAAAAACAGAAGTGTGGAGCAGAAGCAGTCAGGTCTGCACACTCCAGGGAGATGAGCAGTGTGCAAGGCGAGGAGGGCTTGGCCACATGAACTTCTTGCCTTTTCGCCTACATCTGCCTACCATCCTTCTCATCACTCTCCAACTGCACACCTGAATTCTAGGCTAGGGTTTTTGGGAAATGGAGTCTGAGGCTACAGAGCAAGCTGGTACTATATTCTGAGGGCGGCACAGGCAGTTTTTTTCACTCTTATTTCCAGGCCATTAGAGCGCATGGGATGGCATGTTGTCCAAAAAGTGGACCTGTGCTGACTTAGCAGCAAGGGAAAAGGAAAAGCCTTCATTAGGCTATTTGGTGGACTTTCCCTCCCGCTCACTCCCATGGGAAAGCTAGCCTTGTGTCACCCAGCCTTGCAGTTAGCATGGTGTTCTGGCTTTTGCTACACAAGTCCCTGACACCTGGATACTGGAAAGGTTCCATAACAACCAACAGAGAACAACTGGCAGCTCTAACCTCCCTACTCAAGACCCATTTAAGAGGGCAAATATAAAACTCTTAAGAAAAACCAATTTTCTCCAACCTCATTAACCCTACTAGCTTACTGCCAAAAGAATAAAGTCACCTTGGAATTAGTCTAGTTGATCAGATTAGAAAGTCTGGGATGGCGATTGCCCTTTGCAGGCAGAAATGCTCTTGCCAGCGGGATCCCTGACATACCCCGGGAACTCTGTCCCAATGCACAGCGTGCTGTCTATCCCAGACACTCTGGGGCCTCCCATCTCTGACTCCTGCCTTTGGGCAGTAATAGCAACTCAGACTGAGCTTCAGAAACCTGGGTTCTCCTCTTGCCTCACGGATCTAGGTCATCTGATGTCTCTAGACCTCTGTTTCTTCGGCCTAGGGATGGGCAAGGCAGGGAGGGTTGGGGGGAACCAGGGCACTGAATGAGGGGAGAATAGGGAGAATTTGGTACAATCTCTTCCTCCAAACATTCCAGAGACAGGCAATGTGTATTCTATATGTGGAACAACAGAGGTACTGTGAGATTTTTTGAGAGTGGCGCTAGGAACAGAATCCAGGAATATTAATCTCTCAGCCTAGATTTCTCTTTAAGAACCTGTCTCTGTTTGGCCTGGATGTTTTGCTTAATTTTCCCTGCCTCTGAGTAGTTCAAAGAATATGATAAAATTATAATCCAATCTATGACTGCCTTACCGCATTTTTCTCCAGGAAAATATTCCAGATGTCTTTCCCCAAGCTTCGGGAATCCTTGGGGCTTGCCTGCTGATAAACTTCTGCACACAGGTAAAAAAGCTAGGAGGAGAGAGAACTGGGTTAGAGCAGTGGTTCTCCCCCAGCAGTGATTTTGCCCCCTAGGGGACGTTTGGCCATGTCTGGAGACATTTTTAGTTGTTACAACTACTGGGCAAGTGCGGTGCTACTGGCATCTAGTGGGTACAGCCCAGTGATGCAGCCATATTTCCCCAAAGGCACAGAACAGTCTACCACAACAAAGAATTCTCCAGTTCAGAACAGTTGAGAAAGCTGGGGTCAGAGTATTTCAGAAACCTGTGGTAAAATAATCCCCACCCCCTTTCCCACGGGCACATCTTCAACACTGATCACTCCTCAACTCTGTATCCTCTCCACACGTGCTATTTCACTTGTGTCTTGTGCTGGTTTACGTCTTGTTTCCTAAGGGTTCATGTTTTATTTCTCTTTGTGGTGTGCCCTGTCTTTATTCAGGAATGCTTCTGGCACTTGGACATGCACACAGGTGTTCAATGAATACCTGTGGATGGCTGTTCATTCTGGCTTCTGATGGTATCCCCAGAAAGACAAAACAGCAGCCCATGCCCCAGGTGAGAAGTTTATTCTGAAGAATACAACCGCAACTCCTCTACTCCATCTGCCCTCCCGTTCTAAGCAGTTGAGCAGAATAAGGAAACTGGGAAGGTTGCTGGCTCTGAGCACTTTCCCCGGCACTTTGGTCTCCATCCCTTCACATTCCTTCTTGTCATCACCTTCACACGGAAGACCCTTTAAGCCTTGCCATCTGCAAGTTTTCTCACAGGGCCACTCTCTCAACTCCCTAGTCGGTCTGTATCTACCTTCGTTTAAAAAACGAAGGAAGAGGCCGGGCGTGGTGGCTCATGCCTGTAATCTCAGCACTTTGGGAGGCTGAGGTGGGTGGATCATGAGGTCAGGAGATCGAGACCATCCTGGCTAATACGGTGAAACCCCGTCTCTACTAAAAATACAAAAAAATTAGCCGGGCATGGTGACGGGCGCCTGTAGTCCCAGCTACTCGGGGGGCTGAGGCAGGAGAACAGCGTGAACCTGGGAGGCGGAGCTTGCAGTGAGCTGAGATCGCGCCACTGCACTCCAGCCTCGGCGACAGTGCGAGACTCCGTCTCAAAAAAAAAAAAAAAAAAAAAAAAAAAAAACTCTAGGAAGAGCAACTTCTCCAAGACGACTTCCTGAACTGATCAAGAATGAGTTTTCCTGGCCTTGCTCTCTTGCTCCTCCCTAGGCAGCTGATGTAGTTAGTTAGCTGTGTCATACAGTGAAAAATCCCCTCTCCATAGGTTTCATCTTCTTGGCTATTTTGTCTGTCCTTGAAATGCCTGACTGTGCCCATGGATCTGACTTGTAACAGCCAGGGAGCAGAAACAGAGGCTAGAGGTCCTCTCTGCCCAGTACCAGCAGGCACTCAATCAAGACAGATGATTCTGACTTACCAGTGGACTGGGGTCCGCCTGAGAGAAGATGTAACGTAGAAAAACCCCCAGGTGAGCTGGCCGAGACTTCAGTTTCTCCAGATCCTGGAATATGATGTCGCTCTGGAAGGCAGAAGGATGAGCATGGTGGGAAGCCGGGCACAGCAGCACAGCGGGTTCCAGCTTAGCTCCCATGTGATTCCCCGTCCTGGGTTCATAACAGGAGGCTCCCCGCCTCAAGTTCCCTTCACAGCTGATGCTAGTCAAACTGCTTCTAGTCAAGAGCAGCTTGTATGACAAAAAAAAATGATGAAAGGAGAAAACTAGGAAACCGTTACCTCGTTGTTGAAATAACCCGGGTCATAGTCTTCCTCTGGGCCAATAATTAAAGGCTTTGGGCTTTGATCTACACCCTGGGGGAGAGAGTCAAATTGCAGAGATGAGAGGTTATAGAGGACAGAGGATTCAACCACCTCAGTGAAGTTTGTTTAGTTGCAGCACAGCACTCACAAAGCCACCCGGGTCTGGTGAACGTTGGCATCTCACTCCCGCCCCCAAAATCAGAGCACAGATGAAATGATTTCCACTTGCAGGAAGTCAACTGCTTCTGGGTGGGGCAGGGCAGATTCAGAGCAGCCTGGTCACATGACATATGAAGATGGGAAGTAGGAGAAAATGCTCTCTTCCTGTTTGCAAAAGATCTGGGGTGGGACTGTCAGTCAACAAAATAAGAGCCAACAGCTCCTGCTGGACTGCTGGGTTGGGGGCTGTTTTACTTAATAGAGTAAACAGCCACCCCTACCCCAAACACACATCCTCCAAACCTAGTGTCTACCACAGTGCTACTGAACAGTTATTCTGTGCCTAGTAAGTACTGGTGGCTAAATAATGATCGGAGAGCCTACTAGTAGATCTCTGCCTCTCTGAACAAATGGAGATGCGGCTGATCTTTCTCTAACACCATTTGCATTATTTTGTTTGCCCGCTCAAGAATCTGTGTTAGATCCCCATTACCTGTCTAAAATCCAAATTTCTTAGTCTGGCTTTCCTTTCTTTCCCCCTTACGCTAATTTAAATAAAAACCTAATCTTAATGGACATGCCATGGATTAGGTATGATAAGACTTCATATTGCATAAACTTCTCAGATGCTTCACTGAACAAATTTTTCTCCTAAAGGTTCCTTGAGCTTTCAAAGCTTTTCTACTAACTGTATTTCTCACTCAATTTGATATTTTTCATTTCCAGTGATTCCCCAACAAGGTCTCTGCTTCTGGAACCCACTCAGCTTAAATGTGCCTATTTTAACCCAGACCTATGATACCCTCCTAACCCACTTTCTTAAGGGGCTTTTCCTGACAGTTCCTCTCTGATGCTCCTCACCCCTTTTTTGTTTTCCTGGATATTTATGGTCTCTATGCCCAGAATGACTGAGTCACAGAACATGAGCGGCCCAGAAGGTATCTCAGACACTAGAGTCTAACACTCATTTATAATTGAAAAAAGTGAGGCCCAGACAGACTGACTGGTGTGCTCAAAGCTGCAGAATCAGGCCTGATGTGCTGTATTTGTATTTCCCAGACACATCCTGAGTATCCTCCTCTCCGAAACACCCTACTCTCTGACCCTCTTGGGGTCTGAGAGCCCCAGAAGGTGGTGGGTGAGCACTTCTGGCTCTACTGAGCTCTCTGGTGAAACCTGAAAAGCACTAAGCTTTTGCTTGTTTACGGGGAGGATTTTTTTTAAAGTCTTTAGAAATACATATTCTTTCTGATTACAAAAGTAGAATATGCTTATTATTAAAAAGATCAAATGTTATAGAATGACATAACAGAAAGTGAGAGTTCCTTATGCATCCATTTCCCTGCTGCTGACAGTTTTATGGAAAGTATAGGTTTTCTTCCTATGCTGTTATTAACATTTATTACTACTAAGAAACTGGAAATTATACTCTATTTGCTCTTAACACTTGAAAATACCAACTTAGTTTTCAGAAGATGAAAAAATTTCAGAAGGAAAACAAGGGCTCCAACACTATTGACCCCACACCTGCTTCTATGAGCCACCTGAAGGAAAGCCTTTCCTAGAACAGGATAGACGCCTGAACCCCTTAGCAAACTGAACTTGGTCCTTTAGTTCTACAAAGATAGGGGTATAGAGAGGGCAATGAAAGAGCGGCTAGGATAGGAAAGAGCTCCGTGTTGGGGACCAGGAGAACTAAATTCTAGTTCTGACCCTGCCAGTAACAAGGCTAGCCCTTGAACATTCCCTTAGACCACACGAAGATTCTAATGGCCAACTTTTTTCCTGATTGTGAGAATTACTTGAGATTTTTTGGTAAAGATCTGGCACAGCAGCTGGTACACTAGGCATTTTAATACCTGTCCGATCCTTTTCCCCACCTTTCCCCTCCACATTGTAAGAATAACCAAACTTTATACAATGGGTAACACTAGAGTATCATATGTTGTCATCTTTTTTAAATTCTATTTTTTGTGAATTTGGCAGCCCAACCAGAATAGGTTCAGAGAGGCTTGGTCACATGTATTCTTCTTTTGCACAGTAGCTCTTGATTAGAATTTTCTTTTGATGCCTGCATAACTCTAGATTTATAAAAAAGTATGTTCACTTAGGCCATGATCCTCTCTTCTACAGATCACACTGTGAAACTTCAGCTTCAAGAAACTTAAGAGCTCTGTGTCCTGGATAAGTCCTCCCCTAAGATGCCACTCAGAAGACAATTTTGATTACTCCCATTCAGTCATTCATTCACTACACATTATGAAGGTGGCTACTATGTGCCAGGTGCCTACAGAGATAAAGCATATAAAGTTGAGGTAAGCCACATAGGGAAGTAACAGCAGAGGGATAAATGCTCTAAGAGAAAAAAGATGCTGCTTGGAACCCTGAACTCCAAGGTGAGAGGACAAGTTTACTAAAATCACAACACCACCAAAGAGAGCTCAGTGAGTAGGATTATCGTTTGCTCTGTTTTCTTCCTTGTACCATTTCTCCCTCATTATCCAAATTACTTTAGAGACCCCATCTTCTGAAGACCTCCTCCTGGACTCAGTGATTAACAGGCTCCCAGAGTCAAAAGAACTCCAGAAAGTAGCTTTCAAACTTTCTGTTGACCATGACTTCTAATAAATATGCTTTCACTGCAACTCAGCACACACATATGTAATTAAAACAGAAGTTTCACAAAATACTTTTATTACATGTGATGAATTCTGTTATTTTCTTTTCCATGCTATTAGATTCTACTTCATTAAAACAGATGCTGCTCATGACCTTCAATACTGAAACTATGACTCCCCAAAAGATGACAACCCACAGTTTGAAAATACCACCTGTTTAACTCCTGACACCAGTGTTTTCCAGCATGGGAAGTGGAACTATAAGGATTTTAAGTGAGATGATTTTTGTTGAGGGTCAAAATGATTTTAGGTGCTATCTGGACATGGCATTAAATAATACTGGCTCATATTGTAAGAAAGTTAGTTTCTTTTCAGTTCTCATTCCATCCTTTTGATTAACCCAGGAAAAATTTCAGCCTGGTGCCTGCATAGCTTTAATACCTTTAACCAAGGCAGAATTGCCCTCAAGCTTAATTAAAGCCTTTGACAAGCAATAGAATTGATCTAGAGTTTATTTTTCGGGTTGTTTTAAATTTTATCTCTACTTTTTGAGCAAGTTACATCACGTAGTTTAAAATTAAAAGGACACAAAGGGGTAAAGATAATAAAAAGTCTTCCATCCACTTCGTCCTCAAGCCAACTAATTCCCCTCATCAGAGGCAATAACCATCAGTTTCTTAAACATTCATCCAGAGATGTCTTAAGAAAGAGGCTCCTTTTCCTCTTTTTAATATAAATGGCAGCTTTCTTCTACACTGTCTTATATCTTTCTAGGTAGAATTTAACAAACTTGGTTCTAAACTTATATTTAGTGTTACATTTACTCTACATTTACAGTGTATCATGATGCTGGTTTTAATTTAAGGTAATGACAGATTTCCTTGAGATGAATTTAAGTTTAAAGAACTTAAACTTGGCTTAAAGAAAAATATTAAGTAACATTATACAGGTAGAACGTTGAATATTTAGATGTCTAACAACGTCTGAACGTTGTTAGACACGGTTAACGGTGTCTGAAAAACAACAGGCAATTCTCTGGCTCTCAAGTCCATTCCATTGCCAGACAGCCCAGCTTCTTTGCAAGCTGTTTGCATTAAGTCAAAACCCATCTTCCTGAAGTCTCTCCTGGATCTAGCTCCACCCTTGAGAGCAGGGCCTTTCAAATCAGGTTTTGCAGAACCTTAGGGCTCCATGGAAGTGCCCTTGAGGGCAGGGGGAGGTTGATCAGTAAAGGTCCTAGGGGAGCTGAGTTTTTTTTTTTTCTTTTCTATGTTACGGTTCCAAGTAATAAGATTTTGTTTGAGAAAAGGATTTTGCTAAGGAACGGGGAAACTGAAAATTAGTATCCTGGAGAAACACTGCCTAAACCTATTTCCTATTCTGTATAGACAGAAAGACCAGCTATCCGCTCCTTAGCTGTTACTCCCTACAGATGCATTCACCCACTCTCCACATAGAAATGGAGCCAGCCTTACTTTCATATCTCTATTTATGCCATGTTCTCTTTCTTTACTATTTGCTCTCTATGTAAGTGACTGTCTCAAAGTTTGGGTTGCTGAAGCAGGGGTTTAGTCTGATGATCCAAGACGATGTACTGGTAACACCCATGCCTCCAAATCTCACTTCTGAGAAAAGGAAAACTGCAGGGTGGCTCCAGATCACTCACCTGGTCACCGGTTGAGGGGACTGCTGCATCCGAGCCCTGCCGCCTGTGGTGCTGGGCCACCCTGGCCATGATCACAGGGGAGGTTCGAGGACTGTCTAGCCCAGGGTCTGACAGTACCGAGTTCCGATTCATCAATGACTAGAGAAACAAAGAATTCTGTGAGAAGGAACCTTGTCCGGAAGACCCTCAAGGCTCAGCTCATTTGGTGTTGGTGGTGATAACCATACTTATAACATCAGCTAAGAGAAGTGCAGTACTTGCTCTGTGCCTGGTATTATACTAAGCCCTTCATTACACATTATCTCATTCGATTCACACAGTAGCCCTTTGAGGTAGATACTATTATTCGTCCCATTTTCACACAAAGAAACTGAGACTCCAAGAGGTTATGAGACTTGCTAAGTCAGAGAGCTAGTCATGAGGTGTATCCTGGACTTAACCCAGGCAGCCTCAACTCACAGCACACACTCTTCATCACCAACTCTGTGGCCTTCCAGATAATGTCAACTGTAGATTCTTTAGGATCCCTGTCCCACTCCACTTTCTTGGTGACTTTCCCACATACCGATCCTTTCACATATATTTCACCATTTTCCCATGGACAGGGCAGTAAGAAAATAAAATTCCAATTGTGATCTAAAATTAGGTTTTTAACATCTTTTCAACCACATATTCACATATTTAATTACTCTGGCTAAGCAAATATTTTGCTAACTTCATTACTACTTCTTCCATTCATTCTTACTTTTGTATTGCCGTTCATAGTTTACATGTGCAAACTGAGAACACCTGGAAGAGATAACCTTTGAGGTCAAAACCTGAAATTCTTTTAGTCATTCCAGAAAAGACAAGCTATTTGGGAAGAAAAAGATCCACAGCAAAAAAAGACTACCACTTCTGAATAGGTTGGGTTCACTGTATTAATCTAAGACGATGTTATTCCTGGACAGGTGGAAATATGTTTTTGGTCAAGTCACTGTTTTAGATTATTTCGTCTCTGCTCCCTCACTCTCAAAGGCTTGCCACAGTTAATGCCATGGCCGCCCTCTCCACCCTACTCTTTATATAACAGAGTTGACAATGATAAAATGAAAGCCAGATTTGATAATCTTGCATGTTGGATGCATCTGAAATTTCTGCTTTGGAACCCAGAGCACAGTGATTATATCCTTGGAACTAGAACGATGGAAGAGGCACACAGAGGCCTCAGTGCAGCTGGTAGGCAGCAGAACTTGGGTCAAGGGAAGGGACCCCGAATGCACGTTCTGAATGGGCCTTGCCCTGCTGGGACTCACCTCACTGAGGGAAGGAAAGCGTTCTGTCCCAGAGTCCAAGCCACTGTCCCCCTCCTGGGAATCCAGAGAGAGCCGGCCTGAGAAGAAAATAGTTTCTATAACACAGAAGGAGCTGTGGCCTAGGGGAAAGAGAGCCTTTATTCTGGGCACCTGTGTGCAGGGCAGGAAGAGGGAGCTGCCACCTTTTCTTTCACCAGTTTCCCTTCAGCTCTCTCATCCCATGACCTCTAGACTCGGACACTTCCCGGCACACCTCCCCTCTGCTCTCATCACATCTAGCTTTCACCTGTCTATGCACCTGGGCACAGGCCATGTCACCTCCTGAAATAAGACTCCATAACTCTCTCTCACAACTAGTTTTGCTCCTCAACTCCTTCCCAACCCTCTTCTGGTCACCACCCATTTCTTCTTACAACAAATATTTGCTGAATTCCTTAGTGCCAGGAGCTGTCAGGCAAGCTGCTGTCTGGACCATACTCATTCTGGTATCTTACTAGCCCTTATCTATCCCGGCTATTGGCTATACACTCTATTCTACTGCCTAAGTTGTATCCAGCTTCCCTGTGTATTTGTACTGCTTTCTCCCATTATTTCATTTCTCAGAGGGCAGGCACTATATATTTTCTTTCCTGGAATCTGCCCCATGGGGAGGGTAAACAGGTAAGAAACCTGGACTAGAGATATGCCAGAGAAAAAAGGGGTGATGGGGGACTTACCTTCTGATGGTCTCTGGCTGGTGTCACCATATAGTGGAAGTATGTCCTGAAACAGAAAGGCCCACAGGGTGGGCAAATTCTGTGAGCCTCTCCCCCTACGGTTTTCTTTCACCAATCAGTGCCTTATTTGCTTACAATTAGTGGCCTCTTCCGCTTCATTGCCTCAAAAATGCCCAGCTAGAAGAGATATTGCTTCATTTGTACAGTTTGAGGATGACAATGACCCCTAATGGTGGAAAGGGAGCTTTACCATTACTGAAATTCTAAAAGCTAGCTTTATCCAATCACCCTGGACCTCAAAGCATCTATTGCCTTATTTGGATACAAGAAAGAACTTCTTAACCATCAAGAAGTATAAAAAAAGACTCAAGCAGGTGACCGAGGGAAGATATAAAAGGTTTACCTTTGGAGATCTTTGAGGAGGATGGACAGGCATTGGCCTGAGACTGACTGAGCTAGTGGGATGTGAAGGAAGCGATGTTGATAGTGCTTTGCTGTTTACAAAGCACTTTTCTATGTCACATTTAATCTTTCAATGGCTCTGGCTTAGGCATGTTACTCTCATGTTATCAATGAGGAAACAGAAGCTCAGAGATCTTAAGTAACTTGCCCAAGATACACAGCAGGTCAACCCTAAGGCCAGGGTTGGCGCTCAGACCTTCAGATTCCAAGCTTAGTTTCTCAGACTCATCACCTCATAGCACAATCAACAGTGCAGTGGCAGCAGCAAACATGTACAGCCCCTCTGTCAAAGGCATGCTTTAACTCTGACAACACTGTGATCTCCATTTTATAAATGAGGAAGTTAAGGCTCCTATGGATTAATTAACTTGCCCAAGAGTCTTTAAGCTGATGAGAAGTGATGCTGGATTTGAATCCAGATGGTCTAAGTCCACAACCTGAGCTCCTACCTATCAGCCATGTAATATGAGAAGTCCTTCAGAAAATGAAGCAGTTTAAATGTATTTGCCTATGTTTCCCAAACTTTTTTGATCTGGATATCCTAAAAGCAAAAGTAGATCATCTTTAATTAATTCCTATTGGCTTTGTCAAATGTTATTCTTGGAGACCTTAAAGTTTCTGGAGAGTTACTTCTTATTTACCCCAAGAATTAAGGCCTGATGGAGAGCAGTAAGACACTAATAGCAAAGTCCCTGAAGAGAATAGATAAAGAATCATCTACTCTCTGGAGTTTTCCATAAAGTGTGGTTATCTGCTGATACAGATCCATCTCAACAGACTGGGGGTCTTTTATGTAGTCTGACTTTAAAAAGTACTTGTATTTCTTTGAGAAGACTCATTACTTGAGTATAGGTGGTGGGAAAGGGTACCAGATGAAATACTGGGTAAAACCAGTATAGAAATGTACATACATCCACTATGAAGAACTACCCAGAAGGGAAGAATAATTCAGAGACTAACACTGACAATCTGTTTATTTCATATTTCTTTCTTTCCATTGCCTATGTTGTTGGAGGGCAAGAAATAGGCTTTTTCTTTTTATGGTATCCCAAGTGTCACTACAATGCTCAGCCTCTTTGGTGCTGACCTTGGTTTCTTTGTAAAATACTAAACACTTACTAGTTCAGCCTTGAGGTCCTGGCATAACCCAAGAAGCCTTCTGTCCTTGCTTTTTCCCTCACTCTACCCCCAGTTCTACTGCATGTGCCCTTACTAGAGCTGTGCCTACATCACTCACCACTGAGCCACCAGTCTCCTGCTGGATCTTCAGCTGTAACTGAGTGACTCGCCGCCGGGCACCTTCGATCTGCTCTTCCAGTAGGCTGGCGGGGTTCCGGCTATAGACCTCACAGATACGCTAGGGATGGGTGAGGAGGAGAAGGGGGAGGGGAAAAGGCAGAGGGGTGGTTAATAGAGAATGGATGACTCACCAGTGGGGAGAATAGGCAGTTATCCCAAAACAAAGATGAGAGAGAAGAGGTCTCTGCCTCCAAGTAGATGCACGGTATTTCAACATCATTCAGGATCAGAAAAAGATGTAAGTGATGAGAAAAAGAACACAGGAGACAACCACAGAAAGAAGACAAACACAAAGGCCTGTCCTAATCTGAGCCATTCTTCAAGGTCTGCCTTAAGTCCCACATCCCAAATGAGGCCTTCTTCAGCTACCACTCAAGTATGAAATATTTGATTGTCCAGACCAGAACATAAAAAAGTGCTTAAGAGGGAACCTACACACAATGGAACCACAAGAAATGAGAGGAAGCAGTGTCGACTACAACAGCCAATGCCTGTGCCAGTCCCATCCTCAGGAAGCTCCTGGAGAGCAGGTACCATCCTAGCCACTTATCTAGCACTCCTCAGGGCTTCACAGTTAGGGACACCTGGCTTTGACTTCTGGCACCTCCACTTACTAGCTGTATAGACTTGGGCAAGCTTGAATACATCCTCATTGATAAAATGGAGATGACAATACCCGCCTCATGGGACGGGTGTAATAGTGGAGTGAGATTATGTATATGAAGTGCTTAGCAGAATGTCTAGCGCAAAGTCAGATACCTGAATACATGGCAGCTATTAACATTTCATTACAAAAGGAGATGCTCCATAAAGCTTGTTGGTAAATAAAGACATTGGGTTCACATATTATCTAGGCTCATCTGGGGCTTCACTACTACCTGACAACCATTTTACAAATTCCCCATACTTAATATTTCATCTTCTCCATGCCCATCAAACCCCAACCCTTCTCTAGCCTTGGCAGATAATACCATCTGGTAAAAACCTTCCCAACTGTACTCCATTTCAAAACATCTTCAGTCATCTTTTTCTCCTGGCTCAGAAGAAAAACTATGTCTAAATCTTTCAAAAAGTTAACCCTCTGACTGCTTTGGGCTCTTCTTGGGCACTGTTCACATATCTTCAAAGTCTCCTTTTTCCAATGGCTCCTTCTCTCCATCCTACAAAATGTTCGAGTTTCCTGATTTAAAACAAAAACAAACCACCCCAACAAAAGTCTTTCAATCATTTCTGATGATTCTTCAAGCCACTGCCCCATTTGTTTCCCCTTCTTTTCACAGCCACTTTTTTTTCTTTTTTTGTAAAGGGATATGAGCCTGTGGTTTTCTGATTTTATTTTATTTATTTATTTAAATAGACACAGGGGCTTGCTATGTTGCCCAGGGGTCTTGAACTCTTGGCCTCAAGTGATCCTCTACTTTGGCCTCCCCAAGTGCTGGGACTATAGGCATGAGCCACCATGCCCAGCCCACAGCCAAATGTTTCAAAACATTAGTCTACAACTAGGGCCCTGCACTTCTTTGTTTCTAGTTGCTCATCAACATATACAATCTAGTTTCCTCCCATTACTGCGCAGGCTACTCTTTCAAAAATCAAATGTAATAGCAAGTGGTGTGATTATTAGAGGTTGGTGCCATGTGCTGTAGAAGCACCTATGTCCCAAAATTCCATCCTCAGCTCTCTCCTCTCTGTACTGGTGTTCTGGGTGATCTCTTTCGGTCATCCAGTCCCCAGTTTCAACTATCACCTTCATACTGAGGATATCCGAATCTCTGTTTCAACCCAGGCTTTTCTCCTAAGTTCAGCCCTGTTATCTCCATATGCCTGGTGGCTGGTTTTTATCTGAATGTCTCATGGGCACCTTACACTAGTATACCCAAAGCTGACCTTCATTTCCTTCCCCTAAGCTCTGCTCCTCTCCTCTATCTCACTCTGTCACTGGTATCACCTGATCTACCCAGACACACAAACTTGGAGCCATCTTTTATTCTTTCTTCTCCTTCACCAATGGATAAGTTCTACTGATTGGCCCTCTGACAAGTCTCCCATTGCTATCCTCTCCTTTTTGCTCTTACTCCTGCTGTTCTTGTTAAATCTGTCATTATTGCTTATCTACTGCAATAGCCTCCTCGATGGTTTCCTTACATTTAACACACTTCTCCAAAGAACACTGGTTTGAAAATGTCATCAGTCCCCCACTCAAAGTTCTTTGATTAATTCCCACAGACTTCAAAACAAATTCCAAGCTCCTCATGGTATTCATGGCCAATAACACCTTCCAGTCACAAGACTCACTGCATTTTTTCTTTTTCTTTTTCTTTTTTTTTTTGAGACAGGGTCTTGCTCTGTCACTCAGGCTGGAGTGCAGTGGTGCGATTATAGCTTTGCAGCCTCAAACCCCTGGGCTTAAGCGGTCCTCCTACCTCAGCCTCCTAAGTAGCTAGGACTGCAGGCATGCACCATTATGCCTGGCTAATTTTTAAAACTTTTTTAGAGACATGGTCTCACTATGCTGCCCAGGCTGGTGTTGAACTCGTAGGCTCAAGTAATCTTCCCACTTTGGCTTCCCAAAGTGCTGGGATTACAGGCATGAGCTACCACTCCTGGTCCCACTGACATTTTCAACGTTCTATTAACAGCAGACTGAATCCAACTCAAGCATCACCTCACGAAGCCTTCTGATTATTGCATAAATAATTATGCTTTGTTTTGGACTTTAAGAGCATTAAAATTTTTTTAAATTGCTATAGAGCTGTAATTCATATGACATAAACGTCACCATTTTAAAGTGTACAACTAAGTGGTCTCTAGTATATTCACGGAGTTGTGCAGCCACCCCTACTACCTAATTCCAGAACATTTCCGTAACTCCAAAAAGAAAGCTGGTACCTGTAAGCAGTCACTCCCAATTTCCCCTTCCTTCAACCCTCTGGCAACCACTGATCTACTTTCTGTTCATGAATCTGCATATTTCGGACACTCCATGTAAGTGGAATAATACGACCTGTAGATTTTTGTGTCTGGCTTCTCTCACCTGGCATAGTGTTTTCAGGGTTCTTCCATGTTGTAGCATTTATTAGTACTTCTTTCTTTTTTATGGCTGAGTAAAATCCCATTGTATGAACAGACTATATTTTGCTTATCTATTCATCAGCGGAAGAACATTTGGGTTGTTTCTACTTTCTGGCTATTATTAATAATGCTGGTATGAATGTTCATGTACAAGTTTTTGTGTGAACCTATGTTCTCAATTCTCTTGGATATATACCTGGGAGTGGAACTGCTGGGTCATATAGTATTGCTGTGTTTCATGTTCTGAAGTACTGTCAAACTGTTTTCCAGAGTGCTTGCACTATTTTACACTCCCACCATCAATGGCGGAATAGATTAGCACAGTGAATATGCAGACAAAACATAAACAAGTATTGTTTAGATTTCTCCACATCTCACAACGCTTGTTATTTTCCATTATTTTGGTTATAGCCATCCTAATAGGTGAGAAGTGGTAGGTCATTGTCATTTTGATTAGCATCTTCCTGTGAATAACAATGCTGGGCATCTTCCCATGCTTATTGGCCATTTGTATGTCTGTCTTCTTTAGAGACTGTCTATTCAAATCCTTTGCAAGTTTTTAAATTGGGTTGTCTTTTTATTGCTGAGCTTTTAAGAGTCCTTTATATATTCTGGCATTAGATCCTTATCAGATACTTGAATTGTAAATATTTTTCCCCATTTCTTCTATGGGTTGTCTTTACTTTCTTGATAGAATCCTTTGACATATACAAGCTTTAAATTTTGATGAAATCCAACTATTTTTTTGGGGGGAGGTTATGCTTTTGGTGTCATATCTAAGAAACCACTGCCCAATCCAAGGTCATGAAGATTTACTCCCACCTAAAATTTTTTCTAGGAGTTTTACAGTTTTTAAAAATAGTTTTGGCTCTTACATTTAAGTCTTTGTCCACTTTGAGTTAAATTTTGTTTACTGTATGAGGTAAGGGTCCAAATTAAGTATCTGTATGTAGATATCCAGTTGTCCTAGCACCATTTGTTGAAAATACTATTCTTTCTCCATTGAATTGTCTTGGTACCTTTGTTGAAAATCAATTGACCATAGATGTATGGGTTAATTTCTGGCATGTGAATTCTATTCCATTCATCTACAGGTCTATCCTTGAACCAGTATTATACTGTCTTGATTACTCTGACATTTGCCAATATATAAATGTTAGCACTTATCATAATATAGTATATCTTCATTCATTCATCCATATCCTATGGAATCACTAACTCATTAAAGGAGAGGTTTATCTTTGTAACCATTCCAACACCCACCCCTAACATTACCCCCATCTACTGCTCCAACACACACACACGGTATCTAGCATATAGCAAGGACTCAGTGCTTGTGAAATAAATACTTGTATTTTCATATCTTTGTGCCTTTGACCTATGCTGTCTTTTCACTGGCATTCCCTCCCTCATCTCTTTTGCCTACTAAAGTACCACTCTTCAAGGCCCAGCTGAAATACTATCCTCTCTGTGAAGTGCTTCCCCATATTTCCCATTATTAATTAATTTTTCTCTTCTTTGTTCTCTTATTGTAAGCTCTTTGTTCCTCCCACTCTCCCTCCTACTGTAATTTGAATTTCCTCCATTAGATTTTAAACATGTTGAGGGGAGGAACCATCTAATCTTTTTTATTTCTATATAGCCTAGAAACTAAAACAGTGTTTTATATATGGTGGCACTTACATGGATGGCTATAATAGGAATCTGGTTATTCCACTCCAGTAAATTAATCTTCTTACTGTTCTCTGTGCACATCACTTCCTAGGCCTGTAAACTCTCTTCATCCTTCACCCAAGTGCTCCCCACCTCTTTCAGTCTGGCCCAGCACTCACCTACCCATCCCTTTCTTCCCTCTTTTCCTTCCCTTCCTTGGAAATGTCCCAGATAAACTCTGTTGACTTTTTTTTGTGTACATATTCACTATCCTAATCTATTACACATGGAGAATCCTATTCACTTTATTGGTGAAATTCTGCTTTAACAAATTCTACTGGCCAATGACAATTCTTTAGTGGTCCGGAAGTTTTATTTTTTGAGGTTTTACTGTGATAGGATATTGCCTGTAAATTAAGTTGTGTACATTGGCAGGCTGCTCTGATAAAGTATTATTTCACTCAGGCAATGGCCAGTCTACCCTTGGCAGTGACCTTACCTGTAATTCTTTTTCTTCCTGCCTCAGCATATTCCTGAGGATCTGGGTGGCATGTTTTTGAACTTCGGGATCCTAGACATGGAAAATATGGCAATATAAGAGTTAGGGACTAACTCAACAGCTTAGCTCTCTTCTATCTGCTGGTTCCTGGGCAAGGACAGCTATGAGAATAGAGCCTGGATCATAAGTATGTTTTATTCAGTACCTTGCCGGAATGCAGTAAACACAAAATCTTATTTTGAGTTTATGCCTCAATTTGGCTGTAATCACCTTTGGTATCAAGTTGCTCTCTAAAGTCTCCCAGGACTTGTGGGCTCAGTCTTCATTCCAACTGAAAAGTCCTGTTCCCTATACTTGTCTGCATCTTGTCCTCTTTTAACTCTTCACATAGGTGTTTCTTGCTTCTAGAGTTCTCTTTCTACTTGTTTTTTTGTTTTGTTTTTTCTTTGAGATGGGGTCTCACTCTGTCACCCAGGCTGGAGTGCATTGGCACGATCATGGCTCACTGCAACCTCCACCTCCTGGGCTCAAACAACCCTCCTGCCTCAGCCTCCTGAGTACCTGGGACCACAGGTGCATGCCACCATGTCTGGCTAATTTTTTGTATTTTTGGTAGAGACAGGGTTTTGCCATGTTGCCCAGGCTGGTCTCGAACTCCTGAGCTCAAGTGATCCTCCCACCTTAGCCCCACAAAGTGTTGGAATTACAGGTGTGAGCCACTGCGCCTAGCCTCTACTTGTTTTTGTCCTTTTCTGGTCCCTCCCTCTACTGAGTGGGCTCTATATTTTGCACCTCAAAGCAGGCTTTTTTCTCTAGGAAGCCTTTCCCCCACTCCTTGACTTTATTCCAAACCCTGGTTAACACTGACTGGCAATGGTCTTAAACAGATGCATTCTGCCCCTGCCTGAAGTGTACACTCTCTCTCTGATGAGGAGCACTTTTAGACAGCATCCTTAGAGTCTTCTACACATTTAGGAAACACACAATGTTGCTGTGTGATAAAACCTCATATGCATTTGCATGGAAGGAGGACACTAAGGCATGGAACAACTGTTATTGTGCAGCCTTCATTTTTGTTCAACTCTTTCAATGGTCTTTCATATGTCTTTTGGCTTGTCTCTGTTTACCACAGCCCCACTGGATTTAACTTGCTTTCCTCCCCAATGCGGAGCTTTTCAACAGGACATTAGGGTGAGGAAAGAAAGCCAGGAGGATTATTACCTGCAGAGGTTTGGGTCCTGTGATGCGTTGTGGAGGTGGTAGAGGTGGAGGAGGTGGTGGTGAGGGGATCACTGACGTGATTCGGGGAGCTCCTGCTGGGGATGGGTCCTGCTGGAGCCCAGAGATGCCCATGGATGAAGGTGAAGAGCCCAGGAGGGTGAGTGCGACATAGGCGCCAGCTAGAGGGAAACAGAGAGAGACTTGTTCCAGGAGTGCTGTTCTGGAGAGACAGTCCAGCTATACAGGAGGGGGCTGTTCTCCCTTGTCCTGTCATTAAACTCATTATTCTGTAGATTAAGTTCTCCTCACTTTTAATGCCCCACCCATTCTCTAATCCCTGCCTTCATGCCCAAGTACTACTTCCTGCCCTTCCTTCATGCAGAGACCTCAACTAGAATTCCACTCATAAATATCTGGGAACACGCCCCACAGGCTGCCTCAGCAGCCTCTTGTTTCCCCCTTTATCTCACTAAAGTAAGTAGCCAGTGTCACACTCTGAGCATACTGCCCACATGGCACAGACCAGGCACTCAGATTCTAGCCCTCTGCTCTCCCCAAACTTCCCACATTCTTCAATTCTTTCTTCAACATTTGTTGTTTCTATTTGAATATTTGTGCAGACTCAATTGTTGGGCCTTCCTGGCTATAAACAGATTATTGTTGCTTTTCCCTGCCAAACAGAAAACAAATGAGGAAGAATGTCCATGAATGGCAGAGGGAATTGAAAGGTATTTGAGGGAGACCTGGTCTCAGTAGGATATGGTCTAAATAGGTGTGGCAAAGATGAGTGTGGGTAAAAATGAAGATGTCTCATGAGAGCCTAGTACTGTCTCCACTTGAAGTAATAGGGAATTGTGGCCACTTAAGTGGATCACTCCATGTTACGATTAAAGATGTGACTTTAGCTGCCTCACATATCTACAAAGGAAACCTCCTGGAATGCCAGGCCTGACCTTTCCTCCCTCCTTTCCTCCCTCTCGGATCATCTGCTTCCCTACTTTAGTTGTCACCTCTCTCCAACTCACATTTGATCAGCTTTACCACTTCCAGGTGTGAGCTATTGGTCACCATGGTGCCGTTGACCTGTTGGAGGGACAAACAGTATTGAGTAATGGTAATGAACAGCTAGGGGATCCTTCTGTAAGTTCAAAATGCCACTTTTTTTTTTTTTTTTTTTTTTGAGATGGAGTCTTGCTCTGTCACCCAGGCTGGAGTGCAGTGGCCCATCTCGGCTCACTGCAAGCTCCACCTCCTGGGTTCATGCCATTCTCCTGCCTCAGCCTCCTGAGTAGCTGGGACTACAGGCGCCAGCCACCACGCCCAGCTAATTTTTTGTATTTTTAGGAGAGATGGGGTTTCACTGTGTTAGCCAGGATGGTCTCGATCTCCTGACCTTGTGATCCGCCCGTCTTGGCCTCCCAAAGGGCTGGGATTACAGGCGTGAGCCACTGCGCCTGGCCCAAAATGCCATGTTTTTAGGAAGCCATTTTCCAATGCTCTTTAGCCTCCTCTGGTCACTTGTTTACTCAAGTCACACTATGAATTTGTTCTGTTTGTATCTGCTATTTGTTCTGTCTCTCCAGCTAGCCTATGAGTTTTCAAGGACAAGACCTGTGTCTTCATTCCTTAATTTGTTCATTCATTCACTTATTTTTGGTATACACTTTTCTAACCATTTGCTTCACACACATGTGAATGTCCACTGACCCAGTGTGCTTCCTCATTACAGAGGACTAAGAAGTCTCTGCATCTAGGATTTCCTTAATGCACCCCACTATGTTGCCCAGGCTAGTCTTGAACACCATTCTGTCGAAGAAAGGTCTGAACGACCAGGGCAGGTTATAGTAGTTCAGAATGGGCAAAGACCCCAGGTTGGCATTATATGGAGGAAAGAATATCAACCTGAGAATTGAAGTCTTGGATCCTTCACTAGTTACTAACCCTCCCTCTTAATCTTATTTTGGTCATTTGTGAAATAAGAATAATAAAACTTGTTCTAGAAGCTTGGTTGCTTTAGAGTCAAGAAAGGCCTAAAATGTAGAACACAGCTATCCTCCTCCTCACTCTCTCTCATGCTATACCACTGTGCTCCCTCGTATGGTACCACTCCTAACTCAGTGGCTGCCTGGCAGTTGGTATCAAGATGAAAGTGTGCAGGATGGGCCAAGGCCAGGAGTGCCCTGCACATCTATTTCCACTGCTGGGAGTGGGAGTGTGTGTTGGGGTCACTCACTTTGATGATCCGGTCGCCCTCTTTCACACCGGCCTTCATGGCTGCACCTCCTGTAAGGAGAAGGCCTGGTCAGCAGTGCCCAACAACCTCTTCCACTGAAGCTACACGAAGGTCCCTGTCAGATCACCTCTCCTCTGAAATTTCCTCTTATTTCTCTGTGTTAAGTATCTCAAATTCTGGGTGTACTTCCTATTCTACTCCAGTGACACAACTACTTTTAAGCTAGAGTGAACTATATAAGGTCCCATCTCCTGCTCTTCCTTTCACCTAAATAAGATGCCAGACTTCTGATAGCCAGGCCAAGGCAGGAGCGAGGCAGGGCCAGGCTCTGGGAAGAGCACGTGTGCTTCATTCGAGTGTATCTGGATATGTTCCAAGGTCAAATCAGTTATATTCCGGGGGGGGGGGGGGAAATGAGTTTACTGTATGAAACATAATTGTTAAAATAATAATTAAGAGAAATTCAGAGAAAAGGATTAAAACAAGAGTTTCCTAAGTCCTGAGAGGTTCATAAAGATATTCTCGGTATTCACATCATTAAAGACAACTGTTTTCTTTCTTTTAAAAAAACTGTTTTAAGCCATTTACAGTTTCTCCCCTCCTTTTTTTTTATAGACAGCCTTGCCCTGTAGCCCAAGCTGGAGTGCAGAGGCGTGATCTCAGCTCACTACAGACTGGATCTTCTGGGTTCAAGTGATCCTCCCAACTCAACCCTCCCAAGTAGCTATGGAACTACAGGTGCATGCCACCATGCCTGGCTAATTAAAAAAAAAAAATTTTTTTTTTTGTAGAGATGAGGTCTCACTGTGTTGCCCAGGCTGGTCTTGAACTCCTGGGCTCAAGTGATCCTCCTGCCTTGGCTTCCCAAAATGCTGGGATTATAGGCGTGAGCCTCCATACTCAGCCCAGTTTCTCCCTTTAAAATGGACCAAATTAAGAGCTTCTGATGGTGACTGACTGTGAGGTGCTCAAAAGAACATGCTCTTGACTTTTGCAACTTGTCATTCAACTGGAGGCTACAGTGGTTTTGACCACAATATGGTTTGTTTGTTTGTTTTGAGACTGTGTCTCACTCTGTCACCCAGGCTGGAGTGCAGCGGTGCGATTTTGGCTCACCGCAGCCTCAACATCTTGGGCTCAAGTGGTCCTCCCATCTCGGCCTCCGAAGTAGCTGGGACTACAGGCATGTGCCAACACATGCTAATTTTTGTATTTTTTGTAGAGACAGGGTTTCACCATATTGCCCAGGCTGGTCTTGGAACTCCTGAGCTCAGGCAATCCTCCTGGCTTTGCCTCCCAAAGTGCTGGGATTATAGGCATGTGTCACCTCGCCCAGCCTCACAAGATAGTTTTAAATGACTTATATTCCTAGTTTAATTTACATCCAGGAAGCACAAAAAACACTAAAGCCAAAACAAGTTAATGAGAAGCATAAAAATTACATATTGTACATTTGCCCCAACGTGATCATTAAATCTTTAAGTTGCATTCCTCTGATCAAAACAAAACTCCCACAAAGCCCATCTAAATGTTTCTACTCTAAAAAGAAAAATTCAGTGATGACTACATTCCAATTTGGCTTTTCAATACTGGGACTCAAGACTACCCTCAGCTAAAGTGTGCTATTTATGGAAGAGTACTTGCAAATAGCTTGAAATTCCCTCTTATACGTTCATTTAGAAACTAACGTTAAAGACAACAGAACTATCTTGCCTGAATGTATGAAACACGTGAGGTGACTTCTAATAACTTAGTGTTTTTTTTTTTTAAACTAAACTCTTCAGAGTTAAGGAACTTGAGCAGAAATTCTCAGACTTCAGCAAGCCTGAGAATCACTGTGGGAATTTTTAAAAAGTGTATTTCTTGGACCTCTTGCCAGAAAGCAATTCAGTGCTTCCGAGGTCAGCCCCAAGAAAAAGGATTTCAATCATCTTGGGCTTAGGTGATTCTAATACAGGCAGAACACAGACTATACTTTGACAGTGAATTAAAGAAACCTAATATGTATCTGGAAAAGATAACCGCTGCTTTGTTACTCTTGTGACTTCAATGCCAATCCAAATGAAGTCTCTTTTACTCTCCTCCCCAACACACACATGCACACAGGGATGCATGCATGCACACACACACAACTCTCACACACACAGACTCTAGAACTCATATTCTCCCTGTAAGCCATCTTTTCCTTCTTTCTTCTCTGGGTCTGACTCTGCTCAGCCTAAGAGAAGGAAGAAGGTAAAGGAGAGCTGAACCTTGACTTCACTGGAGGGGATCCCATACACATTTTCTGTACCAGATAGACCAGCAGAGGAAAAGTACAAGTTACTGGCAGTTCCACTAACTCTGTCTCACCCTAGTCCAGGAACCCTGAGAAATAAGAGAAGCAAATAATAAAACTATCTTTTTAGAGCTTCACCCCAGGATATGCAAAACAAACCTCCCACTGATATAAGTTTACTCCCAAATATAAGAAGCCATACTTATTTATATCCTTATATGATCCACATACTCATTTTGGTCATACATTTGAAATTCTCTTTTCACCTTTCCTGTGAACATATCTCATATCTTCCTCCAAAATCAATGCAAGTATATTTTCCCTCCTGCTCTGCACTATCAGGAAACCTGCTCCCAATCCCTTCCTTGTGCTCTTGTTTAAGCCAAGCCTAGGATGCTCCATGTCACCAGCCCAATGCTACTTACTGCACTGAAGTTCACTCCTTTTAGGGACACTTCTTTACCCTTTAAGGACTCTCCCACACCCACTGCCTTTCTTTTTTTTTTGTTTTTTGTTTTTTGTTTTTGAGACGGAGTCTCGCTCAGTCACCCAGGCTGAAGTGCAGTGGCACGATCTTGGCTCACCGCAAGCTCCGGCCACGGGTTCATGCCATTCTCCTGCCTCAGCCTCCCGAGTAGCTGGGACTACAGGCGCCTGCCACCACGCCTGGCTAATTTCTTTGTATTTTTAGTAGAGACAGGGTTTCACCATGTTAGCCAGGATGGTCTCGATCTCCTGACCTCGTGATCCGCGAGCCTCGGCCTCCCATAGTGCTGAGATTACAGGCGTGAGCCACCACAGCTGGCCACCCATCGCCTTTTTGATTGTCTTCCTCAGCCTGGACCACCAACAGTGGTTCCACTACCTGGCATATGCTAGAGTTTTGACTGTTCACACCCCTTCTATACACAATTGGTAACTTGATGGATTTGGCTATGATGCCCACCCACTCTTCACTTCCTTCCCACCAAATTCCTATCCTGCTGATTTGCTTTTCATTTCCATCTTTCAAACTACTTCTAAAATCCTGTTTCTTTTAAGAGGGCTTCCCAAATGATCACAAGGAAAATGACTATGCCTCAAATCACAAACTACTCAAACTTCCAAACACCATTTCCCCTGACATCACATCCAACATATATCATTCATCTGTTGGTAATTTATTATTTAATGTTAATTGTATCAGCAAATGTGCTCTGTAATCATTTGGACCATTGTGCCTGTCTCAGGTTATAAACCTCTGTAGAAAGTGACCATCTGTGCACTTAGCCAGGTAATGTGGAGGTAAATATGAAGAAAGGGGGCCTTTGATTCCTCCATGGAATCTTGTGACCCAGTATGAGGGGCTCCCTTCGATGGCAATCAGACATCTGCCTGATGATGACCTGACAGCTATTCTGCTGGTTTTTCACTTTCCAGCTAGGGAAGCGAGCATGAGGTGCAATCTCTAGAAATTCTGCCTGGGGGCTTAGCATTGAAGAGGCTTCCCCACGCACCCATGGAGAACCAGTTCTAGAGTAATTCATTCATGCCCCACAGGAAAGCACAGGTAGAATGGCACTGTCACATACATGGTGGCTTTGCAAGAACTGTCCACCGTGGGCAGGAGGGATGCAGCACTCACCAGGCCGCACAGACTGCACCAGAACAATGCGATCCCCACTGACTGTGAAGCCGAAGCCATGCTGGTCCTTTTGGATAATGACACAGCGTTGAACGAGACCTGGAAGGCGGAGAGAAAGGTTGAGTACGCAGTGTCACTGGGAGGTTAGTGTACACATGCCAAGACCAACCCAGGGAAGCCCCAGTGCCTTTCTTCTTCAAGAAGCCTTTTCACACTAAACAAATTCCCTAGACTATTCCTGTCTAAACACTATTGCAATGACACGCCTCCCTTGGTGGTTGGCAAAACCTATAACTTAACTTTGTATTCCAAATAAGAAACTACCCTTCTCTGAGGTGCTAAAATGCTTGTCTCTCACAAACATGTCTGTCCCTTTTGGTGTGCCCGGGTGAGACTGGTCAAAGAAGGGGTAGGACCAGGTCTAGCCATCCTCCTGAAGACTAATATTACCAATAAGGAGCCTCCCAGGATTGAAGCCCAAGTGAGCCTAGAAGTTACATGTTAAGTGACATCCAATGAATGCAGCAAGTGGTATACCAATGCTTGTTGATTCTTTTTATAGAGCTGGATAACTCATGCAGGGTGACTTAGGAGTGGTCTCTTGCCAAATCTAGGGAAGGACACATGACAAGAAGAAAACCCTTTTATTTCTGAAATAAAAGGGTTTTCTTCTTGTCATGTATCCTTTAAAAAAATACAGAATTAAAAAACAAAAAGAAACAGAGGTTATCACTACCAAATGTCTCCATTCCTGTGAGTGTATACTAGACATCGTACATGTGTATGAGTATGTGTGATTGCATCCTGCAATGATTAAAGCGTGGGTTCTAGAGTTAAAACAGAACTGGTTTCAAGTCCCCAGTAAGCTTGCGAACTTGGACATATTTCTTAACCTCTCTGTGCCTCAGCTCCCTCATTTGCAAAATAAAGATAATAAAACCTAGTTTCTATGTTGATGTACGGAGGCAATTTATATAAAACCCATTAACACAATGCCTAGTATACATCATGTGCTTAACATAAACACTAAGTTGCTTTACATTTGGAGTATACAGATCTGTCTGTATGAGTGTACATCTCTGTGTCCATGTGGGTTTTCTTTTGAGACAGAGTCTTGCTCTGTCACCCAGGCTGGAGTGCAATGGCGCGATCTCGACTCACTGCAACCTCTGCCTTCTGGGTTCAAGCAATTCTCCTGCCTCAGCCTCCTGAGTAGCTGGGACTACAGGCACGCACCACCACACCTGGCTAATTTTTGTGTTTTTAGTAGAGACGGGGTTTCACCATGTTGGCCAGGCTGGTCTCAAACTCCTGACCTCAAGTGATCTGCCTGCCTTGGCCTCCCAAAATGCTGGGATTACAGGCATAAGCCACCACGCCCAGCCATGTGCCTTTTTTTTTTTTTTTTTTAAAAAGAGATGGAGTATCACTATGTTGCCCGGGCTGGAGTACAGTGGTTATTCATAGGTGTGATCCCACTACTGATAAGCATGGGTGTTCTGACCTGCTCCATTTCTGACCTGGGTCAGTTCACCTCTCCTTCGGCAACCTGGTAGTTCCCTGCTCCTGGGAGGTCATCATATTGATGCTGAACTTAGTACAGACACCTGACTGGCATAGCACACTACAGACCAGAGCTCTTCGGCTCAAGCGATCCTCCCATTGGCCTCCCAAGTAGCTGGGAATACAGGCATGTGCCACCATGCCTGGCTGTTTTTGTATGTTAATGCCCAAGGAGGTTACCTGTTGTCTCAGAGGCATCCGAAGGCTGGCGATGGTGGGAAGGGGACTTGCGCTCTGGTGCAGAATCTCCCAGAGAAGACAGGCTACTTAACCTGGAGAAGGAGTAAGGAAAGCATGTCAATGAGCTCAGCAGGGGGGATCAGCCTTGTAGTAGATGGAGGCTCTGTCAAAAGGGGCCCTGAGTCTTGGATAATGAGAGACCAACCTACCCGCCCTGTAACCCAATCTGGTAGGACATTAGCCATGTGTACACCACTGGTAACACCACCTATCTGGAATCCTGGGCTGGCAGGGCAAGCATGATCTCTTTAATACCCAGCAAGGTGTGAAGGGAAATAACCCTTCCTGGAGTTAGGCGACAAAGAGACAATAGCAAGAAGGGGATGTGCACACGTGTACATGCTTGTTGGGTCTTACCAGGCTGCAATGGGGCTGATGGAACAGAACGGAGCAGCAGAGAAAATGAATGCAAGAAAAAGACAGGGAAAAAACAAACAGCCAGTTAGTTTTAGGCAATGATTTGCAAAGGAAGGGGAGACTGGAGGGAAGGACGAGGTGGGTCAAACACATACAGAGGTCTGCATGAGCACAACATGTGGCTGTAGTGGTGGCAGCAGAGACAAGCTCCCCATTTAGCTTCATCTCTTTGTCCCTCAAAGTTCCACCTCTCCATAACAGTGATCTCCAGGAGGGTAAATGGGCATGAGTATAAGCCCGCTGGGTAACTGGCAACTTGCACACTTTCTAGAAAAGACAGTAGAGGAACGGCCCAAGCCTTTGAAAATTCCATTTATCCTTTGGGTACCATGGGAGGACAGGAATCTGGTCTGTTTGGCGGTAGTATTCCAACCCCATATTCAGCTCCAGTCCCTCAGCCAGCCTGAGGCACCTCGCCTAATTAGAAACTACTAAAGACCCCAAACCTTCAAGTGGTACACATCACCAAACCAAAGGATTCACTGCTTCATCTCCTCTTCAACTAGGACCCTCACAGGAATAGAAGAAATTTCAATAACTGCTGTGGCACTCCTTTTTGGAAAAGTGTACAAGTTGCAAGTTCCTGAATCAATAGTTGCTGCCCCTCAGAAAGGGGCAATTCCTATCCTACCTATAGCAAAAGACTAAGTAGAAGGCTACTCATGGAAGCACTGTGTGTGATGGCAAAGCACTGGAAATAATCTAAATGTTCACAATGAGTGACTGGTTAAATAAATTACAGTAATACAATGACACAGAACTCAGTCATAAGAAAGAATGAAGAGGCTCTTTATACATGATACAGAATATCTCCATGATATGTTACTGAGTGAAATAAACAAAATATAGAATTATTTGGACAGTTTAAAAAAGTGAGTAAAGGAGAGAATAAAATTATGTGTTTATATATGTTTAAATATTTATTTACATATCCAAAAATATCTAAAATATCTCTGGAAGAATACAAAAGAAACATATAACACAGTTGTCTCTGAGGAGGGAAACTGGGTGGCTGGGGCACAGGAATGGAAATGCAGGCTTTTATTATATTCTTTGGTACTTTTAATGTTTGAAACCATGTGAGGGTACAAGTAACTTATAAATATAAAGGAGTGGGTCTTCGTTCCCCCTCACAATGGCACCCCTCTTACCTGGACAGGTGAGACTGCTTTTTACTGGCTGATCTTTGGATCAGAGAGAGAAGGACATCAAGGAAGAAGAGAGCGTGGGCCCAGGAGAGAGCAACGCAGGACAGGAGGAAGAAAGAGAAAGAAAAACAAAACACGACATAAACCAGACAAGACACTAGGGATGGTTGGTTCGAAGAAAAACCACAACAGAGCCAAGAGTGACCCAGGGGAGGCACCTGGCCACAAGGTGAGCTTACTAACAGCCATCAGCTTTCTAACATCCAAATTTACCCATGTCATTTTGCTGCTTAAAACCTTTTAGAACCTCCCCACTGTACTTGGGAGAACAGTCATCTGGCCTCAGCTAGGCCATTCGCCACAGCATCTAACAGGAAGTATAATGCCTGATGCCCGGGGAAGTGCCCTTTGATGTTTTCCACAGCTCCCAGTATCTGTCCTTCCTGCAGCTCAAATACCCAACTGAAAATGCGCTGTTCACTTGTCTGTAAAGCCGTACAGACAGGCAAGGTTGGAAGGTCCATGAAAGCAGAGAGGGTCTTGCTGCTGTGTCCCCAGTGCCTGACGCAATAGGGAGGGGCTCAGTCCTATTCTTGGTCCCTGCTCTTTACTGTCCTCCTTTCACTTGCTATGGTTTCTGGCTTCTGTCTCTGCCTATACTGTTCCTTCCTCCTACATGTTCTGCCTACTTTATTCTCTATGACTGCACAGGGCTATCCACGCTGGGCTTGAACTCCTCCTCCTTCCTACCTAAAGAGAAAGCCCATCTTATCTTGGGACACCTCGGGCCTTCTTGCCTTGTTCTTGACCCCACCAGGAAGCTGGTTTCCTATGCCCATATTAAAGCCTAGAAGGTGCATCTGAACCTGAGAACCTGATTTGGTTTGCATTTGAGCTGAGGCATGAGCAGTTCCACATAATCAAAGGCAAATGAACCAAAAGGTCCATGTCCCTGCTGTCAACAATTGTTAGGGGCATGGACAAAGACCATTTCAGCAGTAACCAAAAGTTTCTCTAAAATAAAATCAGAGGCTAGGGCAGGTATGTGGGGGACAAGGAGATGGCAACGTAAGTATACTTGCAACAGATGCAAAAAAAATTTTTTTTTCTGAGAGCTTAAAGGAGAGAAAACTACCATTGAACTGAAGGAGGAAGAAATGCCTATGGAAGGCAGGCCTGGTGGATAGAATCAATGGACAGACTATTGTGTCAGCTGGGTTGTGAGTCTGAGCACATATTTGGGAGGAAGACCTTGGAAGGTTAAAAATCTGAGAAACAAGGAAAGGAGAGAGGAGGGTAGTTTGGCCTGAAATGGAGGCTGTCATAGATAGAAAAGATTTTAATGGTGGCCCCTCCCTTTTCCTGAGGACATTCTCATCAAAATTTGGCAGCAGAGCTCAGATTCTGCTCAGCCTAAACCTGGGGGTATGGAGGCGGCCCTGAGGAGTGGAGAATTTCCCCCCAAATTTGTACTCTAAATGGCACCACTGAGACAGATTTTCTGACCCAACTTCTCAGTTATCCCCTACTGCCAGTCAAAGAAACCTTTAGGTTCTTTATAATCGTTTCCCAGACTCGCTCCTTTCTTTACATAATCATTGACACTCATCCCTTGAAGCCACATGTCTAGTGCCTCATGCCTGGATTACTGAAAAAAACCTCTTTTCCACTCTCCAGTCCATCCAGCACTCCACCACCACAGACTAACTTACTCAAATACTACTCCCTCAGGCCCTCTCATCAAGAACTTATCATTTCTCTCCTTATTATCTACACAATCAGATGTGCCTCCAATAACTTGGTATTAAAGGACTTTCATCCTGTGGACCCAAACGTCTTTTCAAATTCGTCTCTGATTACTTGCCTACTACCTACCTCTACTGGATCCTAAGCGATGCTATACTCATTCCCACCTCTGACTTGATGGTTGCCATCCCTTGTCATCTCTGTCCATCTCCTACTACTTTTTCAAGGTCCTGATCAAATGGCATTGACTCCACAAAGCAATCCCTGACCACTGCAGCACACATTTCATTTACCCCAACATTTTATTTTGAAAAAGGTCAAACTACATTAACATTGAAGAAGTAGCATGGTGAATATCTACATGCCCTTCATTTAGATTCAGCAACTAACATTTGTAACATTTGCTTTATCTATGTTTATACATTTTTTCTCACTTGAAAATTGTAGACATCATGACACTTTACCCCTATTTTAGCCTATATCCCCTAAGAGCATTGAAATTCTTCTGTATAACCACAATGCCATCAGCACACCCAATGAGTCTGATACAATATTATCTAATATACAGTACACATTCAAATTTCCCCAACTGTCTTATTAAGTTCTTTGTAGCTATTCCCCAATTGCCTCAGTTCAGGAGCCAATCAAAGATCTCGAATTATACTTACGTCCTGTCTCTCAGATTAATTTGATCTAGAACTCTCCCTACTTTTCTTGGTCTTGTCTCTCATAACACTGACATTTTGCAGAGTCTAGGCCAGTAATCTTGTTGAATGTCCTACAATCTGGATTCATCTGATGCCTCCTCACAGTTAGATTCATGTTAAACATTTTTAAGAGACTATTATATAAGTGATGTTGGATAGCTTGCCCCATTTTGGTGACGGTAGGTTTGATTACTCAGGTAAAGTGGTATTCCTGAGATTTTTTCAATGGTAAAAATCTATTTTCTCATTTGAATTAATGAGAAATCTGTGGGATGATATTTTGAGACTGCATAGATACTCTGTTTTCCAACAATCTCTCATCCAATAGTTTTACTATCCATAGATGATTCTTGCCTAAAGCGCTTATTGCACTGGTGCCTGCAAAATGGCAATTTGCTAATTCTATCATTCCTTCAACATATATTAGCCAGTAAGCTTTTATAAAGAATGTCATCTCATCCCTTTTCTGGAGTAGTGCTATGAACTCACAGATCCTGTTTCCCCCGCAAAGTAATAATATATTATAGTCTATTACCCTTTAAAAAAAAAGTTTAAAATGTTCCAATTTGACCAGTGGGAGCTTCTGAAAGCCAGCTCCTGTGTCCTTTTAACATGTCACCATCTGTCTTTGATCATGTCCTTGCTTTCTGGCACAAAAAGATACTCCATGCTCACCTTGTACTTCCCCTATGCCAGACCTGGAATTAAACATTTCTCCAAGGAGCCCTGTTCCTTTTAGCAGGAAATGCATTTACAAACAAGATCTGACTGCTAGGTACTCATTGCTGCTGAGCTGTCCCTCGTTCCAGGCCCTTTTAATGGACAGAGTTAGAAAAATTTATTATAAATTTTTGAGTTCACACTGGTATCTCCAATTTGAACTCAACACAACAGGGTTCTTCATCTTCCCCATTCCACATTTTGTCTTCCTTTTCTCATATTGAGAACCCCGTTCCTAAACAATACCAATATATTTACTCACTGCTCTATTCAATATGCAGAAAAGATAGTTCCTGGAGTTACTACATCAGTATCACTAGTAACAACAAACCTATGAAGTTCAAGATTTTCTTGCAGTTTTGTTTTGTCCTCAGACTGTATCCCAGTATCATCAGTAATGTGTGTGAAAATTTCTGGGTTAATCCACTGGGTTTTTTGTTTGTTTTGTTTAGTTTTTTGAGACAGGGTTTCACTCCGTCGCCCAGACTAGAGTGCAGTGGCACAATTACAGCTCACTGCAACCTCTGCCTCCTGGGTTCAAGTGATCCTCCTGCCTTAGCCTCCCAAGTAGCTGGGATTACAGGCACACACCACCACGCCTGGCTAATTTTCGTATTTTTTATAGAGATGGGGTTTTGCCATGTTGCCCAGGCTGGTCTAGAACTCCTGGGCTCAAGTGATCCACCTGCCTCGGCCTCCCAAAGCACTGGGATTACAGGCGTGAGCCACTGTCCTTGGTCTTAATCTGTTTTTATGTTATCAATTTGAGATATATTTATGTTTCTTTTTATATTTGTACTGAATTTTAGGGTTTTCTTTTTTTCAAGCTTATTTTTTTTTTTTTTTTTTTTTTTTGAGACGGAGTCTCGCTCTGTCGCCCAGGCTGGAGTGCAGTGGCGGGATCTCGGCTCACTGCAAGCTCCGCCTCCCGGGTTCACGCCATTCTCCTGCCTCAGCCTCCCAAGTAGCTGGGACTACAGGCGCCCGCCACTACGCCCGGCTAATTTTTTGTATTTTTAGTAGAGACGGGGTTTCACCGTTTTAGCCGGGATGGTCTCGATCTCCTGACCTCGTGATCCGCCCGCCTCGGCCTCCCAAAGTGCTGGGATTACAGGCGTGAGCCACCGCGCCCGGCCAAGCTTATTTCATTTTTTGAATATATCAAACATTTACATGGTTGAAAAATCAAAATGAAATTTTAAAAGTATATTCAGAAGTGTACCTATTCTTTCTCCCCATTCCCCAAGTAATCATTTTCATTTGTTTTTGGTTTCCTTGCTGTGTTTCTTCTTGTAAAACTAAATAAATACCTATACATATTCTTATTTTCCTTTCTTCCTTACACAACAGGTAGTATCATCCCCTTTTTGCACTTTGCTTTTTTCACTTACAATATCTGTAGAGTAACTCGCAGAACTCTTCCTCTTCTTTACAATGCAGCCCGCATTGGCGCACACATTCTCCCCTCCTCCAAGGCTCCCTGTGGCCTGGTGCGTCAGTCCTGCCTATTTGCTGGAGGGCAGAGGTTGCAGTGTGGACTTCCCGGTATGCCTGAGTGCAGCACAAGGCACAGAGCAGGTGCCTTCTAACTATGCATCCACATGCTCCTCACCCCAGCCCACAGGGTGGGCGACAAAGCAAGGAGATGCTTGGTGACCTTCCAGAGAGCCCACATATCCTTTTTGTTGGTCTGCGGTGTGTCTGTGTGTGAATGTGTATATATATGTGTGTGTGTGTATATATATATATATTTTAAAAGTTAGTTGCTAAGCAATAAAATACAGATTTCTGACTTCTCTTGAAAGGTCAGTCAGAAGTTCTGGCATCCTCGAGCTTACGGTCTCACATAGAGACAATCAGCTGAAAATGAGTGGTGGCAGCCCTCTCCAGATGGGCATGTCTTACCTTTCCCAGTCACCACTGCCCACAGCTTACACTGCCCACTGCTTCACTCAGACCCCTACAAAGTATACGAGTTCGAACTTAAGGTGGCCAAACAGGACTGGCTTCTGGAGTTTAAAGAAACAAAGAGAAGCAAATAACATCACGTCCTTTCCATCTGTCAATGGGAGGTTCCTGGTCTACTCACCCTTACGCCTACCCCATCACAAATGTGTAAATGAGGACAAGGCCTAGAACATCCACGTTCTGTGGTAATAATGATAAAGTTCTTACTACTTACCACGTGCTGTGCTAAGCACTTGATATAACCTTATCTAATTCAATACTCACAAAAGTCTGGTGAAACAGGTAGTACATCCCCATTTTCCAGTGTGTGAACAGAGAGGTTAAATAAATGAAGTTAAGATGTGCATAGAGTTGGTGTGACTTCAAGGTCTGTGCTCCTAAATAAAAAATTATATGACCTGTATATGCCACATGTAGATTTGTTTGGTCTTTATTTTCTCTTTTACATACATACACACACATTCCAGACATATACACATATATACATCACATGTGCCCACACACATATAATATATACATATATGACATGATTAAAGATATATATAATACACATATGCTATATATGTATATAAATACATAATACACATACATAAAATAGATGGATAGAGAAAGATAAAAAAAGCACACTATACACAGGCTGAGCTAGGTTTTCCTGAGTCTGGGGCAAAGTAATATTCCTGGGCCCTTCCCTAAAGACAAGAGCAGTAAACCAGGAAAGAGACAAGAGACACCCTACCAGGACCTTAGCTCCAGATAAAGTCCATACTTACTGAACTCTGACCTGGTCTTACTGGTTGGTTTCCCTTATCTCCCAGGGTGGAGTTTTCAGCAGGCTCCTGGCACCCTAACTTTCTATGGATTCTGCCTCCGGGTAGAATTTTCCCTCTGGTCTGAGGCTGGCAAACACACCGTCCTAGACCTGCACATCCCTACAGTAAGGGCTATGAGGAAAGACGGCTGTTTGCAGACAACCGCTGCTGATCTATAAGCATCAGTTCCCTCATCTCTTAAACTAGAGAATAGACAAATGGTCTCTGGCAGTGCACCAGAGAAGGTTCACTCCTCAGTTGGATCACTTTCTAGCTATCCAGCAGCATACGAATCACTTGAGGCCCCACCCTTAGGGATCCAATTCAGCAGGTCTGTGGTGTGGAATCTATTTCAACAAGCAGCCCAAGCCATTCCTTATTCAGAGGACCGTAACTTGGAGAAACTCTTGAAACAAGTCCCTTAATTTATGAGTCTATCATCAGTCTATCATCTTTCTTATCTGCAAAATGAACACATATTGATATCATCTGTTAGTCTGTCATCTCTTTTAGACTTTAAGCCCCTGAGAACAGGGACCATGTCTTATTCATCCTTGTATCACCAGCTGAGTTCCAGCACAGTGCCTGGTGCATAGTGAGGGTCGCTCCAAAAATGTTAGCTGAAGGACCCATATACGTCCTTTCTTTCTTCCAGGGCTGATGTGAGGGCAAAAAAGATAATATTTATTAAGTGCTTTGAAAGTGTAAAGCCCTCTGCAAATGGTTTTATTGTGTGTTTTTTTTTTTTTTCAGGTGTACAGTAGGTGAGCTATGCTTGAAAAATGTCAGGTGTGAGGGGAACAGAACTAGAAAGAGTGAGTGAAAAATACCCCCAGGGTGTTCAAATTCTAGGTAGGGCAGGGCCAGTAAACCTCACCTTTCTACTTTCATGAAGGTCTTAGACAAAAAGAGATTTTAGGATTTGTTTGACTATCAGAGCAGACAACTTGGCAGACAGGTGTGTGTGGAGAAGGGAGGCAGAGAACTCGTGTGTTGAGAAGGTTGGTTAGCTTGGTTCCACATCGAATATTCAGCACACAGGACATGTGGTATGGTTTTAAAAGCACAGCTTTAGGAGTCAAAATACTGGCACAAGCTCAGGCTCAGCCCTTTCTTGGCTATGTAGTCTTAGGCAAGTCATCCAACCTCTTCAAACCTTAGTTTCCCAATAACAAATGTAGGTAATACTACCTTTCTCAAAGGGTAATTGCGAGGACCAAATCACCTTCACTGACACCTCAAAGCTACAACAGTCAAACTGCAATCAATCTCCCCAGCCCTGCTCCTGATCAAATGTTTCCTCCTCAGTAAAACACTGCCGTGCACTTGCTCACGCCAGAAATCTGAGATTATCTTTGACATCTCTCTGCAAATCCAATCAATTGACAAGTCCTACTGATATGACCTCCTAACATTTCTGAAATCCACCTACTTCTCTTCTCCCCCTCTCTGCCACCACGCTCATTTAAGAGACCATCATCTCTCACCTAGAAGAACTGGCCTCCCCATGTCTACTCTAGCCCCTACCCATTCTTACACACAGAGTGATCTTTTAAAGAGAGAAATTAGAGGATATACACCCTTCCGTGGTTTCCCACTGTCCTTGCATGAAGTTCCAAATCCTGCACATGGCTAGCAGGTCCTTGGGTGAGGGCTCATGCCTATTCTCAAGCTGTGTATCTGGTCACCCTCCCTCTCACTCACTGTATTTCAACCTCAGGGGCTTTCTCTCCCCACCTTGGCCTGGGGAACCCACACTCATTCCTCAGCGTTCAGCTTAAGTGTCCCTTTCTCAGAGAGGCCTTCTCTGACACTTAATGTGTTGAGTTTCCCTGAAATTTACCTTTGTAATGTGCCTAACTCAATAGTAACTACACTATTGTTTGGGTGCCTTTTCTTCTTCTTTTTTTTTTTTTTGAGACAGGGTCTCACTCTGTTGCCCAGGCTGGAGTGCAGTGATGCAATCACGGCTCACTGCAGCCTCGACTTCCTGGGTTCGAGCTCAAGCAATCCTCCCACCTAAGCTCCCTGAGTAGCTGCCCAGCTTGTTTTTTTTTTTTTTTTTTAAATAGAGATGAGCTCTGACTATCTTGCCCAGGCTGGTCTCAAACTCCTGGGCACAAGGGATCCTCAGCCTCAGCCTCCCAACGTGCTGGGATTACAGGCATGTGCCACTGTGCCCGGCCGGTTTGGGTGCTTTTTAAAATGTCTGCTCTTTTCCCATTTAATGATAAACTTCGTGTATGTTGTTCTCATGCATACTTGTCCAGAACACAGGACATAGTAGATATTCAATAAATATGTGTTGGAAGATGAAATCAGATACAGGTAACAGATCTTTAGACATCAAAATAAGCCTATACTTATCACAGCTGTTGAGAGAAACATTTTTGAGTGACCTCCACAATGCATATAAATTAGGATTAAATTCATAATTTCATAGGTTTAACAAAGACTAATAAACTAGAAGGGTGTTAGCCTCTCTATGGACTTAGGCGGAGAGTACCACTGGTGACCCTGTAAGAACTATTTAAGCTCCTAAATTCTTCAATGCCCCAGATTGCTACAACTGAATTCTGCAAATAAGACAGTGAAGCATCAACTAAATAAGAAACTGCATGTTAAAGTGTGTTGGTAGTTACAAACTAGATTTGGGGAGGGGATGGACAAAGAAGAAATCAGAGAGGAGGTGGACTTTAACCAGAGCCTTGGAGGAAGGGGAGAATTCTGACAGGTAGCTATGCTGTGGAAGGACATTCTAGGGGAGGAAGCAGCAGAAGGCAGAGGGAGGACACAGGGACTCTGGGGAGGCTGTCAATGCAATATGGGAGAAAAGGGGATGGATCTCACAACAAGGAGTGTAACAAGAGATAAAATTAAAAAGAGGCGGGCGGATCACGAGGTCAGGAGATTGAGACCATCCTGGCTAACACGGTGAAACCCCGTCTCTACTAAAAATACAAAAAATTAGCCGGGCGTGGTAGCGGGCGCCTGTAGTCCCAGCTACTCGGGAGGCTGAGGCAGGAGAATGGCGTGAACCCGGGGGGCGGAGCTTGCAGTGAGCCGAGATCACGCCACTGCACTCCATCCTGGGCGACAGAGCGAGACTCTGTCTCAAAAAAAAAAAAAAAAAAAAAAGACAAGGGTCTCCATCCTGATTCTGCCACTTACTAGCTGGCTGAGCTTAGGAACCTCTCTCTCTATTTTTTTTTTTTTTTTTTTTGAGACAAAGTCTTGCTCTGTCACTCAGGCTGGAGTGCAGTGGTATGATAATAGTTCACTGAAACCTCCAGTTCCTGGTCTTATCTGATCCTTCCGCCTCAGCCTCTCAAGTAGCTGGGATTACAGGTCTGCACCACTATATCTGGCTAGTTAAAAAAAATTTTTTTTTTTGTAGAGATGGGGTCTCCCTTTGTTGCCAAGGCTGGTCTTGAACTCCTAGGCTCAAGCAATCCTCCCGCCTCAGCCTCTCAAAGTGCTGGGATTACAAGTGTGAGACACCATGCCCAGCCAGGAACCTCTCTTAAACTCTCTGAGCCTTATAATTCACCTGCCCTGCCCTACCTATCTCACACAGCTGCTGTGAGAATTAAGTGGGATAAAGTATGTCAAAAGGTTCTGCAAATACTAAAGTAACATATCATTGCTAGGGAGTATGATGGAGGGAAAAAGACAGGTTATGGAGGGCCTTAAACGGTATCTAAGGATTATAGATTTGATTATTTACAGATGGGGGAGCTGTTGAAGGCTTTCTCGAAGAAGTAATAGGATCAGGTTTAGCCTTTAAAAAGATAAGTCTGACTGCAGTGACTAGAGTGGCCTGGAGGAGGAAAGGCTGGAGGCCCAGACACCAGCTGCGGCAGAGCAGATGTGCACCTGAAAGACAGCGATGCGTGGAATGCACTAGAAAGCACAGGTGAGGGACAGACTGCTGAGAGTGGGTTACTAGGAGCTGACACTGGGAGTACCCTCTAGCCCTGCACTGTCTTAACAGGAACCCCAGGTCACATGTGGCTAAGAGCACCAGAAATGTGGCTGGCTCAAATTGAAATACACTGTATAAAATGCACATCAGATTTAAAGTTTTAGTGAAAAAAAAAAGAATGTAAAATATCTCAATAACTTTTTATATTAGAGTATTTTGAATATATTGGGTTAAATGAAATATATCATTAAAAATAATTTCACCTGTATTATTTTTTTTTTTACTATGGCTACTAGAAAATGTTAAATTACATGTGGTTTGCACTATCTTTCTATTGGACAGCACTGGTCTGGCCTCCTTTGGCCACAGCTGCACCACACTTCCACCTTCTCTCCAGTGGTGAGACCTCCTTGCCCTTCAGAACAGTCAGAGAAAACTAGAAGCCTGCCCAGTCAACCCTCCAGGAACTTCTGTCTCCCACAGCACCTGGTATATATTTCTGCAAAAGCACCTTCCACATTGTCGACCTCTCTCCTTGTTCGCTGGACTGTGAGTCCTAGAGTAAAGAGGCACAACTGTCTCCCAGAAACGAAGCAGAGCCCGGCTCTGAGGGCACCATCTTCACCCCTTAGTAGAACAATCCAGCACTGCCCTAGGCTGTGCACCCTTTTCTCCACTCAGAACCCAACACCCCATCAGCCTTGCAGGCTCTATCAGCATAGGTATTGGCACAAGCTCACATCGGACTTATCCAATTTGTCACATATTTCTCAGAAAAAGCTCAATGCCGAAGCTATGCCCAGGAATTTACATTGATATTGAGGAGCAGTGTGGTGAAGTGTGGAGTTAGAACAGGCCTGGCTCTGCCTCTGGCCATCTATGGGACTGAGAGCAAACTATTTTCTGCGAACCTCAGTTTTCTCATCTACAAAATGGGAATACTAGCCACCTATCCTATCAGGCTGTTTTAAGAATTGGTGTAATGTAAGTACAGTATCTAGTACAATGGCTGGCACTCTGCAGTACTTTAAAAATGGGTGCTATTCTTTGCTGAAGCCCTAAGTCAGACACAATTAGTAAGCTACTGCCAAAGCAAGCACATCCTGCCTTGAAACACAAAATCAAGTCTTGAGTTATCTAATATAGATGCAACCATTTTACAGATCTCCTAAGATCTCCTAGATGATCTACTGCCGAATATTATGTTTAGCCTATATTTATTTGCTTTTGTCACGGAGTCCTCCATCAAACTTATGTTCAATGAAAAGAATAGCATCTCAAGACATCAAGAGGAAGCCAGGAGACCTAGATATTGGTGCTAATTCTGCCATTTACTAGCTGTGCAACTCCAGACAACATAAAGCAACTTTCAGGAAGATCCAAGATCTGATTATTAGGAGTAGAAGTCAGGGGTGGAGAGCAAAGCCACAGGAAGGGAAATCATGGAGGCTGCCCCAGCAGGAGGGAGGGGGCGGGCCCTTCTGACAAGAGGACAGGACTGACAGCTGGCAGCCTAGACATCTGGGTTCTAGACCCACTCTGCCCTTATCTTTTTATATATCCTTGAAAAGGGAGAAGAAAATTACATATAATAAACATGTGTTACAGGCATTCATTTAATCCTGACAACCTGGTGAGATAACAGTGTTATTTTCCTTTACGGATAAGGAAAATGAGGTTCAGCTAAGTTACATAAGTCGCCCCAGGCCATACAGCTATTAAATAGTAGAGCCAGGACACAAGTTCAAGTGTGTCTGATACCAAAGTCCCAGCTTCCTCTCCCTGTGCCTTGGCCCTATCATCCCCACGACGAGGGAGCTGAGCTAGGTCATCTCACGTCCTTTCTTAATTCTGCTTGATTCTTTGTCCCTTATAATTCTTCTTCAGCGTATCAGGTCTTGCACCCAGGCAGAACTACATCCCTAGCCTGGAAAGGAAAGATTCTCTCTAAAGAATAAAGGGAGGGCAGGCCACAGCCAAATTCATTTCAACTGGAAAAGAAACAACAGACACCATCACCAACCATGATCTAGAAGCAATTCTGTGTCTGCATTGGTGATATCCACAAGATGAAAAAGTATATTTTCATTTGAGTTTCCTGGTTTTCAACAAAGGGCAAAGGAGATGAGCAGAACCTAGAACCTACAAGATAAAGAACAAGCATCTGTCACAGGGACTTGCCAGGGCCGAAGGGAAAGGCCTCCATCTGTGGAATGAGGTTTCCTCCTCACCACATCGTAGCCACTGTGTGGCACTGGGCAAGCCACACCACTTCTCAGTCTCAGCTTTCTTAACAGTAAGATGGGAAGACCAAGCCTTGTACTTTTTGCAGGGCACTGTGATAATTAAATTACTTGTCATCCTAAAACCACTCTACAAGAGTATCTTTTTAAAATTTTTTTGAGACAGTCACACTCTATCACACAGGCTGGAGTGCAGTGGTGCGATCTCAGCTCACTGCAACCTTCGCCTCCCAGGTTCAAGTGATTCTTGTACCTCAGTCTCCTGAGCAGCTGGAATTAGAGCGTGTGTCAACATGCCAGGCTAATTTTTGTAGTTTTAGTAAAGATGGCGTTTTGCCATGTGGGCCAGGCTGGTCTCAAACTCCTGACCTCAAGTGAGCCACCTGCCTCGGCCTCCCAAAGTGCTTGGATTATAGGTATGATCCACCGTGCCCGGCCCTACAGGCATATCTTGTTTTACCTAATGTTTTCCTGAAAAGATAAGTAAATATGTTCTGAAGTAAATCATCATGAAAGTGATAATACCTTAAATATAAATTCTCAAAAGACTGGATTTTCTTCAAAGAAGGCATACTTTATACCTTGTATAAACGGAGTTGTTACTTGAGTCGACTTTTGATTATTGGCACAAATAAAGGACCAACCATGAAACAGGTACCCAGGATAATGGCCAATCCAAGAAGTCTTCATTTTGCTTTTTAAAAGTGTGTCATTTGGCCCAGAAGATTCACCTTTCTAATTTACTTTCTTAAGGTGGATTTTAAATTAGCTCCCTTTCCCTGAGTTCATACCAACATCGATAGGAAAGTACTGGGTGGCAGAGGAAAGTTAGTGTTCTACTTTAAAACCACTGAGGTTAAACCATCAAATGGGTAACTTGTGGAAGTAATGGGAGTTGATGGTATGAGGTCTGCTTGTCTTTGCAATCCCCTTCCTTGGGCAGGCTGTAGGCAACCTGTTCTTCAGCTGAGGTAACTGCAGGTAGATGCAAACTGAGTCATGGCAACCTAAGCTCCCAGCTGTAATGGGGGGCAGAAGTGGGAGGCGGGCCAGAGCTTCACAGGCTGAGTCCATACCCTCCACATTCCTGGCTGGTGACTTCAGGAAGCCCTGCCAGAAGTAGAAGAAAGAAGGGCGTGCAGACAGGGGAGGTTATTCCAGGTCCCCCTGGAAATTCCTGTTCTACCCTTCGAAAACCTGTGCGGAAGCTCCCCTCCTTGAGGAAGCCTTCCTCAATGAACTCTCGAATGATGACACTTCTATTCTTTACATCTCCTGGCCCTTAAGCATCTGACTTATGCTATCATCACAGATCCCTGCCTGTGTACTGCTTTTAAAAGAAACTCACGTATTCTACCGTGTGATCTGTTTAATAAAATACCTGTTCTGAAGGAGAGACTTACATCTTCTATTTTTTTGTTTCTTTAGCACCAAGTCTCCAACAACCTAAAATGGGTCTCTCAACCCATAGACTGAGCTCTACAAAGTATACTTGATATACATAGTTGGCTAGGATGCTGACAGAAGGCCAGCCAAGAGAAAATCAGAGTCAAGTTTTCCAGTAGCCAGATCCCTGCAGCTCTCGCCACAGTTTCATCACCCAGGATCCACTCTGGATCTCTCTGTTGTTTACTCCATTCCCTCACATTGACTAATGGGCCTTGGACCACTAGAACATTAGCCACTGTGTTTATGACAAAGACAACCCCAAGCAACAAACTCAACATGTAGCTGCCTGATAGGAGGTGCAATAGGCAGGCCACAAACCAAAAGAATGCCCATTGGCTCTGGCTATGCAGGCACTTTGCAGATCTAGATCACACAAATGGAGGGTGCCCTCTCCACTGGGGGAGATCCCAGACCATTCTGTGGGAGGAAAAGTGGTTTTTAGAGCAGTGGCTCCTACCACTTCCAGCAAGTGTTGCTGTCTCTTACACTCTTTCTACTGAATTACATCTTTGATACTGAGGGGCTTGCACAACAGTGAAACGGGTGTTAGGAAGACAAAAATTATTGGCACTGGGATATGGGCTTATAATTCCCTCTGTAGGTTTACAAAAATGGTAGGCATTTGTCCTACAGCACTTAATTTGACTCACAATTCACGCAGCACAGTTTAAATAAAGTATCCTAAAGGTTTGAATATTTGGATTATGGTCTTAGTTCTAGGCCTTATATTTCTCCTAAGCAAAAAGTGTGGTTGCATGTGCATGTATGGGATTGGGAAGCGGGGCGGTGAAATGATGGGAGAGAGGAAGAGATGAATGAACCATGTGGTCCCTGCAGTTCCTTTCCAGGACCTAGACACATATAATGATTCTATCCAGGCACAAATCACATGATAATGAGGCTTTATTACATCAATAATGGACCACCTCGAACAGGGCAATACTAGCATTTCAACTGGGAAACTGCTAGTCCACAAAACACAATCTCCAGGAAATGAACCTGGATTGGCCAGGAGAGAAACAACAGCGACTGAGCAATCAGTTTGGATCTCATTCTCCATCGAGTGAGGCACATAAGATACACTCAACAGAAATTTGTTGAATGCTGAATGACCAACCTTGAAATTCTAAATCCTCCCAAACTCTAGTGCTCCAAACAGCCCAACCTTGCCCTTCAGCCCACTTTTCTAAGGCTGAATTCAAGTAGTACTGTCTCTAGTAAACTTTCCTAACTAGTCCAACTTACCCAATGATCCTTTCAGTAACTAAGTCCATTTCTACTGCATTTTGAGTCCATACTATGCTATTTGGCACTTGTTATCAAATCATTTCATCCATATTGTTCATATCTCACTCCAACTAGATGATAAACTCCTCACAAGCAGAAATCCTGTCACATATATTTTGTTGATAAAGCCTGCAATAACTAACACAGTGCTAAGCATATACTCTTAGTAAATTCTTGTGACTGATTGATAAATGGGAACTCATGATGATAATAATAATAAGAGCTAGCAAATTCTTAAAGCACTTACTGAGACAAGAATGTAGGCTCCTGAGTTCCCCTCCCAGATGTAAATGCTGGCCCTGACATTTATTAGCTGTGTGACTTTAGGCAAGTTACTTAATCTCTTGCCTCAGACTACTCATCCATAAAATGGGGATAATAATAGAGAGAATTCATAAGAATGTTAGGATTCTATTTCATGAGAGTGTTAGGACTAAATTATTTAAAACATGCAAAAAATGCTCAGGCCAGGGCCTGGCACTCAGTAAGAATTCCTTATTGATTGATTGTTGATTATTCATATTAGCCATTCTTATGTATTACATTTAATCCTCACAACAACCTCATGAGTTGGCACTATTAATGTTGCCATTTTACAGATAAGAAAATGGGCTACAGAAAGGCTGAGCCACTTGCTTGATTTCATGCATCCAGCAAGTGAGATGAAGCTGGGATATGAACCCAAGCATTTTAACTTCAGAGCCTTTACTCTGCTAATGCTTTGCACTCTGTCTAGAGAGAGTCCTCACCATCCATTTGACTTTGCCATAGATACATCCTTAACTTATGCCAGTGTTCTAAAACCTCAGATCACAAATTCAGGAGGGCAGGGACTAGGGCTGCTTGAGTCTATACTATGCCACTTATTCGAATTCCCCTCATTCAAATTCAGATTCTGCTAACATACACTAAGCATCTGCTGAGTAGCAGGTGTTGTGCCAGATAGTATCTCACTTAACCCTCAGAACAACTATGAAAATATGTTTCATGAATGGAAAACAGGTTCAGAGAAGATAAAGGACTTGCCTGAGGTCCCAGGGTTGGTGAGAGCCAGAGCTAGGACTTGAACTCAGATTCTCTGATGCCAAATCCAACAGCCAGCCTCACTAAGCCAGCCTGGCTCTGAGTGTTTCCTGACACAAGCGAGTAAAATGCAGTGCAGACAACTATTTATACGTCTGCTGGCCAAATGCACAGGCTTTAGAATCCTGATGCTGACACTCACTGGGGCCATGACCTCAGGTAACATATTTAACCTCTTAACCCCACGTTCCCTTAGCTATAGCAGAAGTAACTATTACACGGGATTGTTAAGAGATTAAATGGTAGAATTCATTAAAGCGTTTAGCACAGGGCACACATTAAGTGCTTAAAATATGTTAGCTATTATTTTTATCACCACCATGGGAAAAGGGGGGCTTAAGTTGCTCCCTTGTATTCATCTAGCGTTTCTCTACCTATGACTTAAGGGACATCCTTGTTAGAAAAGACACATATTCAAATCAAATCACTGATGGAGAAACTAATGTCTAAAAAGATTAAATCACTTGTCCTAGGTTTGGGACACAGTTGACATTCTAACTTTAACCATACAACTCTTTACCAGGTCCTGCTATCTGCCGCCTCTCTGAACTTTTCAAAAATGTCTAGCATTTCAGAGCATACAACCTCTCGTTCAGTTCCAAAGGAAGGCCTTATATTCCTACCACTATCCTAATCGCTCCTTTTGAGCTTTAAGGATTCACTCTGCTCCCCAACCAAAAATGGGGGCTGGGCAAGTTGCTCCAAGTGGAAAATTCAACTCCATCCCAGGCGGAAACCCCAAATCTCTGCTGTACCAGCAGATTTCCAGGACGTGCTGGCTCTCAGAAACCACAATTACAGGCAAGCTCAAGGCAGGGAGTAATTAGGCCCATACCATCAGCTCAGCAGTCTCCTGGCCTCTCCCTCCAGGGCTGACTCCATCTTTCTACTTCTCCCAACCCCCCTCACCAAAACCCCATCTGAACCACTGCATAGCCGAGAGAGATGCAATGGGAATTTCCATCCTTTCTCTCTTCCAGCCCCCATTCCATTTCCAGGAAACTGAAGACGGGTGGGGTGAGGGAGGAAAGAAGCCATCTCATGGATACAAGTAATGTTGAATGGCAGTAAGAGCTGAAAAAAACTTTCACAGAAAGAGAAACATTCTTGGGGCCCCTCCCCTCATTCCCTCCTTTACATCCCACAAAGATGACATCAGGAAGGAATTCCCTGGGTGAGACCCCCCAAACGTAAAAATAAAAGGAATCCTGTGAAATAGGAAACAACAACTTCAATCTCTCCAGAAAGGGAGAGCCTTGGCTGGAGACAGGATGTGGAAATGATGACATCCAGAAGGCCAAAGGAATCTAGGACTCTAACTCTTACTCCCAAGATCATAGAGAGGTCCTGCAGAAAATCTACCCCTCTCACAGCTCCTTCTAATCTTGGCTAACAGGAAGGAATGCCAGGCCTTGCCTTCGTTTCTAAATATGCTGCTCTTCTATTCTGAAATGTAGGGCTGATGTTCCCATTATTTCAAACTCCAGCACACTCACACTTTGTATAGTACTTCCCTTCTTCCTTCCTGTGTTACTGCCCGTTGCTTGGGCAGTGGATTTGCTCAGCTTGGTTTGATGACTGCCTTATACCCACCATTAAAAAGAGAATGCTGTCCCTTATAGCTCCCAGTGGTCTCAGGGCTGGCTGCATCCCCCCAACCCCCATAATGTTGACCGCCTTCAGAGGGTCTGGGTTCCCTGGAATCACCTCTAGGGACTTTCAGGAGGTGAAGCTAATGTTGGATAGTGCAAAAGATGGATGGAGGGGCATCTCAAATAGGAAGTGGACTTCAACATCCTAAAGGTCTTTTGAACAGCGACAGCTCAGAGGTCAGAACTGAAGGTTGTCAGGGCAGTTTCTCAAGGCCATTCAGAACCCCCAGAATTCTGGTTGACAGAGCAGACTGAGAAATGCCCCCAAACAGTTCTGGTACTCACCCAATTCTATCAAAACCTTACTTAAAACGCATTAATCCCATGAAGCTTTCCTTGATTTAGCCTCTCCTAACTTCAATCCTCACAAATTTATTCTTGTACTGCTACTTAGTCTCTTACAACAAAATCAAAGTGAAAAAGTCAACACAAACCCATTCAAACCATTTATTTCAAGTTATATTTCACACATTCAGTATGACCAAAAATATGAACTTTCCCTGGAGTTCATTCTAAAGAGACCTGATTTCTATATTAAAGGGCACTTGTTTTGACACCCTTTTCTAGGTATTCTTAGATCAATATACTTCTACATCTCTGGTTTCCCCAACTAAGCTGCAAACTCCTTGAAAGAAAAGAGTATATCTCCCATTTTTGAAATTTTGCATTCTCCTCTGCTGGCCAGTTGGATGAAAAACATGTTTTTGCATGGGCATGTGCGTATATGTACATACACATAAAACATTCACTGTAAAATATAGGTTTCTACACACAGCATTCTTCAATCCACTTGTGTGGCAAATCAGTTGACAATTGATGGCAGCCAGGACATCACAAATCTATTTTTTTTTTTGGTAGAGATAGGGTCTTGCTATGCTGCCCAGCCTGGTCTTGAACTTCCTGGCCCTTCAAGGGATCCTCCTGCCTTAGACTCCCAAAGCACTAGGATTATAGACATGAGCTACTGCACCTGGCCCACACATCACAAATTTAAAAGACTAGATAGCCAAAGAGAAAGTGGAGCTATCCAAGATGGAATCACACAATCATATGGGCTAAGAATCGGAGGGCCAGTTTAATTAGATGACTGCCAAGATTCCTTCCAATCCTGAAGTTGACTCTGATTTGAAGACAGAGCGGGACTGTGAGAGGGAGTGAGAGACCTAGGATGTATTCCACCAAAAGCACCTAATCATAGGGTAGAAATGGGTAGAATCTAGTTTCTCTCTTTCCTGGGCTTAGAAAAAAAGGGTTCTGAGGACAAGAAGAGAATTGCTCTCTGATCCTGTGTGCCCTCTGGTGCAGAAGACAGCTCTGGCCTGGGGCTCAATACTTTGGTTCTTGGTAACAGCATGGGAAGTCAGGCAGATCTGGCTTTCCAGACAATTGGATAGGGCTCAGGTCAGAAAGGCAGAGACTGAGAAAAGTTTCACCATCTGCTGGCACCTCCTTCCCTGGATCACACTGAACCTTTAACGATTTGACTGGTATGTGATGCCACCCCCATAATACACTAAGTGTAATGTGCCAGGAGCCTGAGCCAGAAGATGAAGGGCCCCAGTGAAGCACCCTGAGAACAGCAGCATGAGCTCTGTGCCACAGGCCTAGTGAGGGGTGGCTCCTGCAGGGCCAGGCTGGCTAAGGTTGGTAGCCCTTTCTAACTGACTTGTGTCAGAATCTCTCCCCTCAAGGGTTCTGCATGCTCAGGCAGCACAGAGTTAGGGGGAGGCGGCAGAGGTACCAGGACATGACTGACTGGGTAAATGAAGAGAACTCCTCACCTGTGTCACACCTGTTCTCCACATACATTTCAGGGTACAAGGGAATGACAGGATGGAAAGGAGGAGAAAAAACAGGAGAGTTAGAGATAGAATAAATACAGACATGAGATGAAAAAACAAAAACAAAGAAGTAGGAGGAAATGTGGAAGTTACAAAAGAAAGGGAAGAGCAAGAGAATGAGAGAATAAAATGGCTGGGGATAGATGGTTATATGGAAAGATGTGGAAAAAGGAAAGAGAAACCAGCAAAAGAGAGTAAGAAGCATTGAAAAGGGGAGAAAGGGCATCACAGTATTTAAACATCAGATCGTCTTAGGGGTTGGTACAGATTCTAAGCCAGCCAGACTTCCCAGACTCAGGCAGTACTGGCAGCAGGGGTGTTCAATGGAACTTCTTATTACAGTCCTTAGGCTGAGATTTATAAAAGGGCTGTGAAATCATTAATTAGTGTAGAGTGTCTGGCACAAAACAGAATGATGGGGTTGTGCGGCGGGGGGAGGAGTATGTGCACACAGAAGTGAGTTGTCAGCATCTGGGAGGAAGAACAAGGCTACCGTACGATTTTTGGTTAAGGTGCTTTCCCTAGCAGGGTCTCAGTTTCCAATCTGGCCACACAGAATTAAACATTCTCTCTCCCTTCTTGACACAAATACCACCTAAGGTGATCTTTTCTCTGACCGCCTTATCTAAAATTGCAATCCCACATTCCTGATACTTCCTGTTCTGTCTCTGTAACCATATTATCTAATACACAGTAATATCTAACAAATAACTTTCTTATTTAATTTGTTTAGAATGTAATGTAAGCTCCAAGAAGGCAAAGGTTTTTTTTTTTTTGTTTTTTTTTTTTTTGTCTCTTTTGTTCTCTGTTACAGCTCCAATGTTTACAAACAGTTCAGTTCCTGGAACACCGTAGATGCTCCAAAAATGCTTATTAAATAAAAGAATAAGCCTAACTGCCTAACTCTATTTAAACCTAGCCCTATTCAGTTCTCAGTTGCCCAAGAAAATGTAGAGGGAAACATTTCATATAACTCAAACTCGAAAATAATGCAAATCTACATCTCACAGAATTATAAATGATAAAGGCTAGAAAGAATCTCAACACTCTCATTTCACAGACAAGGAAACTAAGGACTACAGCCTTTGTTATGGACTGAATGTTTGTGTCCCCCAAAATCCCTATGTTGAAGCTCTACCCTCCAATGTGATGGCATTTGGAGATGGGGCCTTTGGAGGGTAATTAGGGTTAGGCTAAGTCATGAGAGTAGGGCTCTCATGATGGGGTTGGTGTCCTTCTAAGAAGAGACATCAGGAAGCTTGCACGCACGCACACACACACACACACACACACACACGAAAGGCTATGTGAGCACACGGTGAGAAGGCAGCCGTCTACAAGCCAGGAAGAGGGCCCTCACCAGAATGTGACCATGCTGGCACCTTGCTCTTAGATTTGTAGCCTCCAGAAACTACCAGAAATAAATGTCTGCTGTTTAAGCCACCCAGTCTATGGTGACCCAAGCTGACTAAACCAGACTTTAATTGGATTTTCCCCCAGTGGCAGAGTGAGAACTAGAACCCAGGGCTCCTATTCCAGGAGGACGGTGAACTTTGTATTACACAAGGCCTTGGAATGTGTTTATGTATCAATGTAGGGGTGTTGGCCATTCTGGAAATAACAACACTAGAAGAAGCTGGAAGAATGGGTTCAGCATCTCTATCTCACCCTTCATTCAACTTCTCAGAGCTTCTTACTCTAAGCTGGGAGCCAATGGTATCACCTTTGAGAGGGATCCAAAGGGAGCTGTTCTCCTAAGTCCTACTTCATTCCTTCACAAGGTGGGGAAAGAAACAAAAGGCAAGGCATGGATTTGTTTTCAAAGGCTTTTCCTCCTAGCTATTGTTGAACTACAAGATTGCACTCAGGAGTAGGGGTTAGCAGAGATGCTGATAAGGTCCATGGGAAGTAAAAAGTCAGACTGCCCAGTATATCACCTGTAGATAATTAAGAATGAAACTAAATAAATCCTAGGGGGCAGTTTAGTATGAATGTCTCTGCACATTTTTAAAAACCCAAGTGTCTCTGTGTCACATCTTAAAATCATGACTTTTAGGGGATCTTCACCTCTATGAAAAGTCTGCTTATCCAGTATAAAATGGACTTATACTTAATATGCTTCCCAAATGACTCAGAGATCTTTGTATTTATGACCATATTTACCCTTATCAACAGTTAACAACTATTTACTGGTACAGAGAAATGCTTTGACATTTGAGGCATATATTAAGGTGCAGGCATGGTTCTTGTCCTTAGGAAACATACAATCTTGAGGAGTTAGGAGACACAGGCAAAACAGACTTAAGTTTGTGCAATGTACAAATAAGAGAAGTTAAGTCCAAATCCACAAAGTGCCAACTGTACACAGAATGTACTGAGTAATAAACATAGTCATCAGAAAATGGAACTCATCAAGGAGAGCTATCCTAAGGTTGGTGGTACTGAGCTAGGCTCTTAAAGGGTACCCACAAGGGATGCATACTTATCTTTTATTTCTCCTGGATTCTAAACCTGACTCTGAACCATAATTTGATCTAAACACAGGACTCCTTACTAACACAGATTCATGAGCTAGTCTAAGCTAGCTGGAAAACTTCTATGGAGGGTAAAGCCAGTCTACCTGGCTGGAAACGCTGAAAGACACTAAGATATCCAGGACCTGTAATCTTATTATTTGCCACTTCATTCCAATGTAAAAAGGCTCTCATTCTCCTCACACACTCGATTCAATATGCATCAGCTGAATCTCAATCTGAACCTCTCTTGCTTTCTTCTCAACATGAACCTGCTGCCTGGAGCACCTATCAAATTCAATCTCACCCTTCCCTCAAAAACAGATGAAAACCCCACAGCTAACATCATACTCAACAGGGAAAGACTTGCCCCTAAGGTCAGCAACAAGACAAGAATATCTGGGCTGGGTGTGATGGCTCATGCCTGTAACCTCAAAACTTAGGGAGGCCAAGGAGGGAGGACTGCTTGAGCCTAGGAGTTTGAGACCAGCCTGGGCAACACAGCGAGATCCCATCTCTATAAAAAATAAAATAAATTTTAAAAACACAAGAATGTCTGCTCTAGCCACTTCCATTCAATGTTGAACTAGGGAGTTCTGGCCAGGGCAATTAGGCAAGAAAAAGAAATAAAAGGTATCCAGATGGAAAAGGAAAAAGTAAAACTCTCTCTTTTCACAGATGATGTGATCTTGCATACAGAAAATCCTAAGGAGCCCACACAAAAAAATTAGAACTAAGCTGCAGGATATAAGATCAGCATATGAAAAATTGCATTTCTTTTTTTCTTTAAGAGACAGGGTCTTGCTCTGTCACCCAGGCTGTAGTGCAGTTGTGTGATCGTAGCCCACTACAGCTTCAAACTCCTGGGCTCAAGGGATCTTCCCACCTCAGCCTCCCAAGTAGATAATTAGCCTGGCTAATTTTTATTTTTAAATTTTTTGTAGAGATGGGTCTTGCTACATTACCCAGGCCAGTCTCAAACTCCTGGCCTCAAGCGATCCTCCCATCTCAGCCTCCCAAAGTGCTGGGATTATAGGCATGAGCCACCATACTTGGACTGAAAAATTGTATTTCTATACACTAGCAGTGAACAATACAAAAATGAAATTAAGAAAACAATCCCATATTAATAGCGGCAAAAAGAATAAAATATCTAGGAATAAATTTAACAAAATAAGTGCAAGACCTGTATACTAAAAACTATAAAATATCACGGAAAACAATTAAATGAAAAGACATCCATGTTTACAGAGTGGAAGATTTAAGATAGTTAAGATGGCAACATTCCACAAATTGATCCACAGATTAAATGAAATCCCTATTAAAATCTCAATTTTTTTTGAAATTGAGAAGTTGACCCTAAAATTCATATGAAAATGAATAGCTAAAACAATCCTGAGAAAGAATCAAGTTGGTGGACTCATAATTCCTGATTTCAAGATCTACCAGAAAGCTACAGTAAGCAAGTCAGTATGCGACTGGCATAAGGATAGACATAGATCAATAAAACAGAACATCCAGAAATAAACTCTCACATTTAGGGTCAATTCATTTTGACAACAGTGCCAGGACAATTCAGTGGAGAGGTAATAGACTTTTCAATAAATGGTGCTAAGACAACTGGATATCCACATGCAAAATAATGAAGCTAGACCCCTGCCTCACATCATATACAAGAATTAACTCAAGAATTAACTCAAAATGGATCACTGACCTAACTGTAAAACTCTTAGAAGAAAACATAGGAATAAATCTTTGTGACCTTGAGTTAGGCAGTGGTTTTCTAGATATGACACCAAAAGCATACGCAAAAAAAGAAAAAATATATAAAAACTGGACTTCATCAAAATAAAAAACCTTTGTGCTTCAAAGGATGCCATCAAGAAAGTGAAAAGACAGCCCAGAGGATGGGAGAAAATATTTGCAAACCACATATCTGATAAGGGACTTGTAACCAGAATATATAAAGAACTCTTACAAATCAACAATAAAAAGACAACACAATTAAAAAATGGGCAAAGATCTGAAAAGATACTTCTCCAAAGAAGACATACAAATGGCCTATATGCATATGGAAGAGGCTCAATATCATTAGTTATTAAGGAAATGCAAATCAAAACAACAATGAGATACCATTTTACATCTACTAGGATGACTAGAACAAAAGTAATGGAAAATAACAAGTGTTGGTGAGGATGTGGAGAAATGAGAAGCTTAATACATTGCTGGTGGGAATGTAAAATAGGGCAGCCACTTTGGAAAATAGTTTCACAGTTCTTCAAAATGTTAAACACACATATGCTATATGACCCAGCAATTCCACTCCTAGGTATATACCCAAGAGAAGTGAAAAGTGTTCACACAAAAACTTGTACATGAAGGTTCATAGTAGCAGTATTTACAAAAGCCAAAAAGTAGAAAACTACCCAAATGTCCATCAACTGATTAACAGATAAACAAAAGATGGCATATCCACACAATAACATATTAACTGGCAATTAAAAAAAGAACGAAATCCTGATACATGCTACAACATGGATGAACCGTGAAAGCATTATGCTAAGTGAAAGACGCCAGTTACAAAGACTTCATGTTATATGAATCCATGTATGTGAAATATTCAGAATAGGCAAATTCATAGAGACAGAGAGTAGATTAATGGCTAACTGGGGCAGGGATGAAGGAGTGGGGAGCAGGAAAGGGAAGAGCATAGGGTTTCCATTTGGGATACTGAAAAATTCTAAAACTAGGATGTGATAATGGCACAACTGTGACTATACTAAAAATCACTTAACCATATAATTTAAATGGATGAATTTTATGATATGTGCAATATATTTCAAAAAAACGATAACACAAACAAAATGAACAAAGAACCAGCCCTTCACTTCCATGCTTTTCTGGTTTTACAGATATGAAGAAAACGTCCTTCCTAGTACTCTCATAAGAGATTCTCAGAAGACACTACTTTCCTTACTGTCTACTCTGAATGGGTAACTGTTGCCCATATATCCAAAGTAAGTAGTTTCTCTGTCTAGGTATTAGTTCAGTATTTTTGCTAAATCATCTGTGTTGACTCTGGATAAAAAGAGTACCTACTTCACAGCATTGCTGTTGAGTATTGAAAAACATTTAGAACAGTGCTTGGTGTGTAGTAGATGCTATATAAGTTTTAGTTGCAATCATCATCACCGCCATCCTCATCATTTCTTGGCCATTCATTCAACAAAATTTACTGTCTAATGTACATGAAGAAACATTATAGCTAGGTCTCAGGGAGAAAACTAAAATAGGGCACAAGCCAGATTTCCCTTCCTTGTCTGGTGCAAAGTCGTTGCAGGTCTTTAGATAAGGGTACTTTTTAGGGGGCGTTGACAGGGCAGTGATGTGGAAGAGGAGGTATATGAAGTTGACAGGCTAATATTCAGGTGGACTCCTCATCTTTTGCTCTGCTGTCTAGTCCTGGATGCCTACAACTGACTACCTCTGCCAGACCTCTAGCCACTATTGCTCTATTGTATAGAAATCTGGTTTACTTGCAGGGCTGAATTCCATTTCCCTTCCATCATGTACTTGGGTCTGTCCCCAACTGCTCATAACTCCCCACTATCACTCACACACACACACACACACACACACACACACACACACCAAGAACCTTCTCCGGTGGGTGGGTTTCTTTCAAAGGCAGTTTAGGTTTTCCCTGTGCTGCTGTATGTAGCACAGCCATGTCTCACCATGCCTACTCCTTGGATGCCTGGCAAAAACTCCTGCTTATTCCTCAAGCCCCTATGAATTCCTCAAACATTAATGCTTCTTGGTGAAGCATTTCCCTACCTCTCCCCCAGCATGGCTGCTCACACCTTCCTTTTGGCCCCTACTTTACTTGGTATTCTCCCTCCCTCTATTACAACACCTTTCATTCTGTATAGCAAATCTCCATTTATGGGTGTCTCTCCTTCAACCCACTTTGAGTTCCTTTTCTTCCCTTAATTTTCATGACTTTCACTCCCATCCCCACCTCCACTACTCACACCCAGAACTACATTTTGAATCTTGACATTGCTCACAATACTTCCACCTTCAAAAACACAGGCTCCAGTTTCCTCTCATACATTTGGTCTCACCACATTTGCTCTTCTTGGTGACATCACCAGACCCTGGTATTTTCCTCCCAGGTATCAACGTCCTCTCAGCTTCTCTTCCTTTTCGCCTGAATTCCATAGCTGATCACCTACGGCAGCAGTCCTGATTCCTTTGTATCCCCAGTCCTCCCATCAAATTTGTCCAACAAACTAGCTCTGGAGAAAAGCTCCCATTTTCGGGCTTTACTTCTACTTTGTTAGCTGCACTCAGCTAGGGAAAAATCACACTGCTGTGTGATCTAACATGCAGATTCAAGGTCTCCAGCCTTGCTGAGGCCTTTGGTGCCTCCAATCACGGTTTTATTAGTGTTTCCATGACCTTTTCCACCACAACGCTAAAACTTTACAGCTCTCCTCAGCCTCCATATTTAAAGCCCACCCTCTCCCTATCATTAGATTGTATTGCCTCTTACCACATAAAAATAACTGGAGCCTTTAAGCACTGTTCTTCTTCAATTTCCTACCTCTACCTACAAGCTCCTCACACTCATCTTAGCCTTTTCCCTCTAGTTCAAGCTCAAATCTCACTCATGCCTCTCCTAAATCTTCAAGATCTAATTGTATTGGCTCTTTCTCCTCAGCCCAGAAATTTATTCAATTCTCTCTCTCTCTTTTTTTTTCTCCTCTTTTTGAGACAGGGTCTTGCTCTGTTGTCCAGGCTGGAGTGTAGTGGTGCCACTGTAGCTTACCGCAGCCTCAAACTCCTGGGCTAAAGTGATCCAATTCTCTCTTAAAGGAAAAAATATTTCCTTGACCCAACAATCCCCTCTAGCTATTACCAATCAACCAATCTCTTTTCTCCACTTCTCATCCAGACTCCTGGGAAGAGTCGTCTACATCGACTGTCTCCAGTTTCTCACCTCCCACTTACCCCTCAATCCACTGCAATCTGGCTTCTGCCTCTAGAACTCTGATGAGATTGTTTTCAGTAAGATTACCAACAGCCCCTCAACTGAGAAGTTCAGAGCATTTTCTTTTCCAGATCTCATCTCACTGGACCTCTCTCTGCATGCAACAATGTTGATTCCTCTTGCTTTCAGACTTGCTACTTTATCCTACCCTTCCTTCTTAGGAGACAGTGCGTACTCTCCTTTTAACCAACTTTTGTAACAATGCGGACTCTCATTCTTGTCTTCAGCCTTCAGTCTCTTTTAGATTTCAGGCTCCATATGGAACTCTCTAGGGGACAACACAGCCAACAGATGCTCAAACTCAACACACTGACAAACTCATCTCCATGCACCACACCTCTGTCCTCCTCTCGTATTCTCTCAAGCCCCAGGTAGGAATTCTGGCAATCAATCTTGACTCTTCCTTTTCTCTGACCACATAGCCAGTTAAACAATACATCCTGGACAATTTGATACAAATTGTCTATGCTTCTCATTTTCCCCTCTACTTCAGGAATTTCAGAGACTGCTTGATATAGTGGTTAAGAGGACAGAACCTAGGGCCACACTGCCTAGATCTGAATCCTAGTTCTACTACTTACCAGCTGTGTGATTTGGGTAAGGTGCTTAATGCTCTGTCTCATTATACGCAGCTATGAAATGGGGACGCTCACAGGCTGTTATGAGGATTAAAGGAATTATTATGTGCAAAGTTCTTAGAACAGTGCCTGGTACATAAGTACTATATGAGTATTTATCAAACAAACAAGCAACCCCACTCTCCTCCCCTGGCTGGGTTATCTTTACCCTGCTCCTAACTCACAGGGCACATCGCCATCACTGCATTCATCTTGCACTGTGGTCATCTATTTAATGGTCTTTGAGCTACTTGAGGCAGGGATTGTCTTATCCATCTTTGCAGCCTGAAGGTCTACTGCCATAATTACACTCTAGGTCCTCAGTAATGCGCAGTGTGTGTCTGCTAATGGTCACAATATCCTGAAGGGCCTTACTGCATGCAGCACAGGCATGTGTGGATTAGTGCCTCTTTCCACTGGAGGAGGAAGCACTGGGATGGAAGGTCAGCCATGGGACTCTTGGCGACCTGGCCCAACGAGCATGTCTCCCAGGGGGAGCCAGATACACTCATTCACCCAATCAAAAACATTTACTGAATTTCCACCAGGTGCCAGTCACTTTGCTATTATGGTCCCTGCCCTCTGGGAATTCTCAACTGAGGAGGGGGAGAGATACCTTTTCACAATATGGGGATTGGAAGAGTGATGTGATGACTACTGCAGTCTTAAAAATAAACCAGGAGTGTGTGGATATCTCTAAGATTTTAATCCGTAATGAAACAACAAAAGAACAGTAGGAAAAACGCTTGCCAGGAGTCAGACTACCCAGCCAATCACAAATAAGACCTAAACCCCCAGGTGTCTATTGTGAGGACTGAATGAGGCACCCATAGCACCCATTACAGGCCTGGCACATGGTCAGCGAGCAACAAAAGGGAGCTACTTCTAATATTACTGTTTTTATTTATTTTATCTTTTTATTTTTTTTGAGACAGACTATTGCTCTGTCTGCAGTGGCACGATCTTGGCTCACTGCAACCTCCGCCTCTCAGATTTAAGCGATTCTCCTGCCTCAGCCTCCCGAGTAGCTGGGATTATAGACACCTGCCACCACACCCAGCTAATTTTTGTATTTTTAGTAGAGACAGGGTTTCACCATGTTGGCTAGGCTGGTCTCAAACTCTTGGCCTCAAGTGATCCACCTGCCTCGGCCTCCTGAAGTGCTGGGATTACAGGCGTGAGCCACGGTGCCCAGCCTAATATTCCTGTTTTTAAAATTATTTTTCTCTGTTGTTAGGTTGTTTGGCGTCTGTTCATTTTGTGTGTGTGGTAACAGTATTGTGACTGTATTTTTAAGCGTTTTCATCTTTTAGAGATACATACTGAAAAATTTACAGATAAAATGTCTGTGATTTGCTTCATAATCTGATGAAGGGTATGTAGGAGTGTAGACAAAATGAAATTGGCATGAGTTGATAACTGTTGTTCCTTATCTCATCCTACTCTTGTTTGAAATTTTCCATAATAGAGTTTTTATTATTTATTTATTTATTTATTTATTTATTTTGAGAGAGAATCTTGCTTTGTCATCCAGGCTGGAGTGCAGTAGCACAATCTCAGCTCACTGCAGTCTCCACCTCCTGGGCTCAAGCGATCCTCCCACCTCAGCCCCCAAGTAGCTGGGACTACAGGCACACCCCACGACATCCAGACTAGTGAGATTTAAGGCTAGAAGCTAAGGCTGCTGCCATACCATTAAGATTTAAAAAAGAAAATAGGAAGGAGAAGAACTATTGATAAAGATGTATTCCTTTCAGGCTCCCCATAATAATAAAGCAAATATGGACAATCAGGATGGCGAAGAGGTGGAACTTCCCCAGATAGCTCAGTTTAAATACTTTCTTATCAATGACCTCCAAGTATTCCTCAGGCAGTCATACCCTTCCAGAACAGCAGGGTCTGCAGAGATCATCTCACTGCCCAGATTCTGAATGGTCCTGCCTCTAAATTCCCAGCACACTCTGTATCATAACTACCATGGCACTTATTACACTTACTTGTTAAATTATAATTATTTGTTTGTATGTCCGTCTCTTCCATGAATCACTAGTGTCTGATACAGTGGGTACTAAATGTTCACTGAATTAATAAAGAAATGGAGAAGGCCGGGCGCAGTGGCTCATGCCTGCAAACCCAGCCCTTTGGGAGGTCGAGGCAGGTGGATCACGAGGTCAGGAGATCGAGATCATCCTGGCTAACATGGTGAAACCTTGTCTCTACTAAAAATACAAAAAATTAGCCGGACGTGGTGGCACGCACCTGTAATCCCAGCTACTTGGGAGGCTCAGGCAGGAGAATCACTTGAACCCAGGAGGTGGAGGTTGCAGTGAGCCAAGACCGCGCCACTGTGCTCCAGCCTGGGCAACAGAGTGAGACTCCGTCTCAAAAAAAAAAAAAAAAAAAAAAAAAGAAACGGAGAAGAGGATTTAATAATTTCTTTTGTTTTGATTTTTAAAGAATTTCTGGTAAGAGAGAATCTAACATCTGCTCCAAAGGTCTACCAAGAAGTTCTAAAATCCTGATATTCTCCAAAACTCATAAAACATACAGATTGGAATGAAGAGGTAAAACTGTCATATTTCCAGACAACATGACTTAGAATCAAGCAAGCTGATTCTAAAATCCTAGAGAATTAACAAAAAAGCTATGAGAGAATAGGTAAATTTAGCAAGGTTTCAGGATATGAAATCTATATATAAAAATCAAGTATGTTTATACATACCAACAAAAATAAATGAAAATTGATAATTAAATACTACCAGTTAAAATAGCCTCAAAAATATGAAATAGGGATAAATTTGATAAGAAATGTATAAGACTTGACACTAAAAACTACAAAACATTGCTGAGAGAACTTAATGACCTAAATAAAAGAAGAAATACATGGTATTTATAGACTGACAAACTGAATGTTGTTAAAATGCCAATTCTCTCTGAACTGATCTATGGTTTCTGCACAATCCCAATCATAATCTCAGAAGGCACTTTTACAGAAACTGACAAATTGATTCCAAAATCTATATAGAAATGAAAAAGACCAGCCGGGCGCGGTGGCTCATGCCTGTAATCCCAGCACTTTGGGAGGTCAAGGTGGGCGGATCATGCGGTCAGGAGATTGAGACCATCCTGGCTAACATGGTGAAACCCCGTCTCTACTAAAAATACAAAAAAAATTAGCTGGGCGTGGTGTCGGGCGCCTGTAGTCCCAGTTACTTGGGAGGCTGAGGCAGGAGAATGGCGTGAACCTGGGAGGCGGAGGTTGCAGTGAGCCGAGATCGTGCCACTGCACTCCAGCCTGCTGACAGAGCAAGACTCTGTCTCAAAAAGAAAAAAAAAAAAAAGAAATGAAAAAGACCTAGAATACTAAAACAATTCTGGAAACAGAAGAACAACATTGGAAGACTTGATTAACTGATTTTAAAACATATTGTAAAGCTACAATAATCAAATCAGTGTGTTTTTGATATAGATCAGTGGAACACAGTAGAGTCTGGACCACACATATACGATCAATGGATTTTCAGCAAAGATGCCAACACAATTCAATGAGGAAAGAATATGATTTTCAAGTAATGGTGCCAGAACAACTGGACCTCATATGCAAAAAACAGTAATAAATTAACCTCAACTCTTCTCTCACACACTACACAAAAAGTAACGAAGAATAAATCACAGATTTAAATGTAAGAGCTAAAACCATAAAATGTCTAGAAGAAAACAGAGGAGGAAAATCTTAGTGGCTATGAAATTGGCAAAGATTTATTCATTAAATACAAAGAGTACAAACTATAAAAGAAAAACCTTATATATTGGATTTCATCAAAATTAAGAACTTTTGTTCCTCAAAAGACAAAGCATTTTACTGTATGCAAATTTAAACAAGTTTTAAAAGACACTGAAAATGGATAAAAGACCCAAACAAATACTTCAACAAAAAAAGGCATATACATGACAAAATGACACATAAAATTATTATTAGTCATCAGGGAAATGCAAATTAGAACCACAATAAGATGTTACTATGTATGTACTAACATGGTTAAAATTAAAAAGACTGAACTTACCAAGTGTTGACCAGGATATAGAACAACTGGGAATAGGATACACTGCCAGTGGGAATGTGAAATTATAAAACCACTTTGAGAAACAATTTGGAAATTTCTTATGACATTAAACACACATTTATCATATGACCCAGCCATTCTTCTAGGATTTAGAGAAGAAAAATGTAAACATGTCTGCACAAAGACCTGTACATGAATGTTCACAGCAGCTTTATTTGTAGCAGCCCAGATGTCCATGAACAGGTGAACAGATACACAAATTACTCATAAAATGGAATACTACTCAGCAATGAAAAGGAACACACTATTGATAGACACACCAATATAGATCCACTGCAAAATAATTGTGTTGGTTGAAAAAAGACAAGAAATGAGCATATAGTGTATGATTACATTTACATAGAATTATAGAAAATGTGAACTGATCTACTGTGAGAGAAAGGAGGCAAGTAGTTGCCTAGGGAAGGGAGAGGGGAGAAAAGAAGAGAGATGCACTTTGGGAGGCCAAGGCAGGCAGATCACAAGGTCAGGAGATCGAGACCATCCTGGCTAACATGGTGAAACCCCATCTCTACTAAAAATACAAAAAAATTAGCCAGGTGTGGTGGCGGGCGCCTGTAGTCCCAGCTACTCGGGAGGCTGAGGCAGAATAGCGTGAACCTGGGAGACGGAGCTTGCAGTGAGCCAAGATCACGCCACTGCACTCCAGCCTGGGCGACAGTGCGAGACTCTGTCTCAGAAAAAAAAAAAAAAGAAGAAGAGAGAGACGGATTACAAAGGAACATGAGGAAACTTTTGGAGGTGATGGGTATGTTTTTTATCTTGATTGTGGGGATAGTGTCACAGATGTACATGTATGTCAAAACACATCAAATTATATACTGTAAGTGTGCACATTTATTGTACATCAAATATACCTTAATAAAGTGATTAAAAGAAAAAACAGCATTAAGAAAAAAAATTATTCTGGGTCCATATTAGAAACTAAACATTCCCTTACTCAATTATAGAGATGCAGGTACTCGCTCTTTTTAGTGGTAATATAAGGCTGTCCCAAAACATTCTGTTTATTGTCCAGGTCATAGTGCTGCTAGATCCTAAAATGAGGCTATGGTCTTTGAATTTAAAATGGAAGAAAATCACAATATGTACATACAGTCTTGCATTTTATCTGTTTGTACATACATATGATTATTTAATCAATTAATGCATAGGCAAGTTCCAAACACACATATTAATGGAGAAGCAACACAAATAATCAGCAAAGACAGATAATTTTTACAAAGCACACTTTCATTTGCCTTTGTAATATAATACGGGGTTTTGTTTTGCAGCAGATATATTCTTAGGGATGTTGGGCTTTGACTAACATTAAAATGAATGGTCATTTTTTTCCTATTTTATACTAGAGCAAGAGCTAAGGAGTTCACAGCAAGGATAAATTACAATGCTGATATCGATAAAGCAACTGCATTAAATGTAGGCATTGAGAATTTAAAAGCATTCATTTGAATTCAAAAGCCAGCAAAATGTTATATACTTCCAGGTAAATGTCTGTCCATGTGCTCCCCACCCACTCTTCCAAGCTGCCCCAAAGAGCTTTTCTGGATATCTAAATGTGAAATGTGTAATAGCCTGTGCACACATCAGAAAAGGTGGAGAAAGCAAAAGATTTAATGTTGAGATTCTGTCAGTAAATTCTCAGCAATTACAGTCTCTGACATGCCAGTTGCTCTGTAGGAAGATGGGAAAGAGAGTGATGTGATGGGGTACACAGTACAGGCTGAAGAGAAGAACACAGAGATTTCAGGCCAAGTGGATCCTTGGCCAACAGAACCTGTCCTTAGATGCTTTCAGGTGGGCACTATAGACATGCATCCTTCCAATCCTAAAGCCTTTATCAAGTATGTGTCAAGTATTTGAGGATGGCAAATGCTGAACACCAAAAAAGAAAGCAGAATCACAGGCATGTCCTTGCCCTGTAATGCTCCTGAATCAAAAAAGAGACAATGACAAGGATATATTTAAAATCAAAATAATAACCATCAAGGATGTAAATTTCATTATCACCTCAAATGGATCCAATATTAAGTCCTGATTAGGTGGTCATGTAATGAGAGCATTAACAAGACCACCCTCTGGAAGTTTTCAGTCCAAGACAGTAATGATGGTGTTTCATAAAAGGAAATCGTTTAAATAAATGGAATCAACTGTGGGTTATAGATGCTAAACGAGAGGCCAAATAAAGCAGTGGAAAAAAAGTTAGACTAAATTCAAAAGTCTTGCATTCCTGTTCCAGTTTGACACTATGTGGTCACAGGCAAACAACTTATGCCTCAGTTTCTTCATATGGACCCTAATCACATAGGGTTGTTTCAAGGATCCAATAAGACTCTATTTGCAAAAATCCTCATCAAAATATCAGCAAATTGAATCCAGCAATATGGATAAAGGATTCTTTACCATGACCAAGTGGGATTTATCCCAGGAATGCAAGGTTGGTTTAACATATGAATCTCAATTTGTGTAACATACTATATTAAGAGATTGAAGAACAAAACCATGATCATCTCAATAGATGTAAAAAGAGCGTCTGACAAAATCCAACACCCTTTTACAATAAAAAAATTCAGCAAACTAGAAATAGAAATCCTCTACCTGATGAACATCATCTATAAAAAAGCCAAAGCTATCATACTTAATGGTGAAAAACTGAATGCTTTCTCCCTAAGATCAGGAATAAACTGAGGATGGCCACTTTCACTACTTCTGTGCAACAATGTGCTGAGTCTAGCTAGGGAAATTAGACAAGAAAAAGAAATAGCCATCCACGTGGGAAAGGAAGAAGAAAAACTTATCTCTATACATGGAATGATCTTGCATAGAGAAAATATAGGGAATCCACAACAAAACCTATTACAATAAAAACAAAGTCAGCAAGGTTGCAGGATGCAAGATCAAGATACAGAATTCAATTGTATTTCTATACATTAGCAATAAAAAATCTGAATGAAATTAAAAATAACAATTCCATTCACAATAGCATTAAAGAGAATACAATACCTAGGAATAAATTTGAGAAAAGAAGTGCAAGACTTGTACACTGAAAACTAAAAACCATCATTTAAAAAAGTAAAGACCTAAATAAATAGAAAGACATCCATGTTTATGGGTTGGAAGGTTTAAAATTGTTAAGATGATACTACTCCACAAAGTTATCTACAGATTTGATGCAATCCCTATCAAAATCTCTGTTGATTTTTTAATAGAAATTGACAAGCTGATCCTAAAATTCATATGGAAATATAAGTGACCCAGAACGGCCATAATAGTCTTGAAAAAAACTCAAAGTTGGAGAACTCACACTTTCTGATTTCAAAACCTATTACCAAGCTTCAGTGTAGTACTGGCATAATGACAGAGATCAATGGAATGGAACTGAGAAACCAGAAATAGGCCATCACATTTATGGGTCCACTGATTTTTAACAAAGGTGCCAAGACAATTAAATGGAGAAAGAATAGTTTTTTCAACAAATGGGGCTGGGACAATCAGAAATCCATAAGCAAAAGTACGAAGTTGGACCCCTACCTCATACCATACATAAAAATTAACTCAAAATGGACCATAGACTATATGAGTTAAACTATGAAACTCTTAGAAGAAACATGAGAGTAAATCTTCGTGACTTTTGAGGTAGGCAATGGTTTATCAGACATGACACCAAAAGCATAGCAACAAAAGAAATTAGACATAATTAAAATTAAAACGTCTTGTGTGTCAAAAGACACTATCAATAAAAGTGGAAAGACAATCCATGAGATGGGAGAAATTATTTGCCAATCATATGTCTCTGACAAGGGTCTAGTATACAGAATCTATAAAGAACTCTTAAAACTCAACAATAAAGGGACGAATAACTTAAATAAAAAATGGGCAAAGGACGTGAACAGATATTTCTCTAACCAAGATATACAAATGACCAATAAGCACATAAAAAGATGCTCAACATCATTAGTCATTAAGGAAATGCAAATCAAAACCATGAGATACTACTTTATGCCCACTGTCCAGCTATAATAAAATGACAGATAATAGGCCAGGCACGGTGGCTCACGCCTGTAATCTCAACACTTTGGGAGGCCAAGGCGGGCAGATCAGCTGAGGTCAGGAGTTTGAGATCAGCCTGGCCAACATGGTGAAACCCCATCTCTACTAAAAATACAAAAATTAGCCAGACGCAGTGGCATGCGCCTGTAATACCAGCTACTTGGGAAGCTGAGGCTGAAGAATCATTTGAAACAGGGAGGGGGAGGTTGCAGTGAGCCAAGATTGTGCCATTGCACTCCAGCCTGGGCAACAGAGCGAGACTCCATCTCAAAAAAAAAAAAAAAAGATAATAACAACTGCTGGAGAGGATGTGGAGAAACTAGAACCCTCACAGATTGCTGGTGGGAATGTAAAATGGTACAACCACTTTGGAAAAGTTTGGTAGTTCCTTAACATGCTAAACACAGAGCTAACATATGATCCAGCAACTCCCCTCCTACATATACAACCAAGAGAAATAAAAACATATGCCCACATAAAACTTATACACAAATGTTCATAGCAGCATTATTCATAATAGCCAAAAAGTAGAAACAAGTGTCCATCAACTGATGAACAGATAAATAGAAGGCGGTATATCCACATAACAGGATATTAATTGGCATAAAAAAATGAAGTATTGATACATGCTACACCACAATGAACCTTTAAAGTATCGTGCTAAGTGAAAGAAGCCAGATACAAATGACCACATTTTGTATAATTCCGTTTATATGAAATGTCCCAAATAGGCAAATCCATAGAGATAAGGTAGACTAGTGGTTGCCTGGTGGGACTGTAGGGAGCGGGAATGAGAAGTGACTGCTAATGGGCTTGAGGTTTATTTTTGGGGTGATGAAAATTTCTGGAATTATAGACAGTGATAATGGGTGCACGACCTTAGGTGAATCTCATGGCATATGAATTATATCTCAAAAAGCTGTTATAAAAGAAGAATATACATGAAAATTCTCAAACTATAAAACTCCAAGTGCTGCACATACACAAGGGATTATTATGATACAAAATAAATGGCTATGGATTGTGAAGTCATGAAGGTTAGATGAAGTAGCAATTAAATCAGCCAACTCGCTAACCTCAAAAAACTTGTCTGCAGGTATAGGTGGTGCCCAGCCTGCTATGCTATGTAAATATCTTTTAATGTATTTATCTCTTGACTTGAGGGTCCATTTATAATAATCTCCTTTTCATCTCTGACCAAAAGCCGTATTAAAGATAAAATGAATGGGTGAAAGGCAAAAAAAAAAAACAGAAACCTATCTTTTTCCACAGTTAAAGAAGTTTGTATCTATGCCATAGTCAAAACAACAGATTTTTAACTCCATAATTATGCCCATCATCTCTTGACTAGACTACTGTAATAGCTTAATAGTTCTCTCATGTTTTCTCTTGAACCCCTTGTGTATTCACAATACCAGGGAAAACCTTTTAAAATGTGTGTTAGATATGTCACTCCTCTGGCACCTGGAATGACTATTACTTTCCTATTTTTTGAACACATACCTCATGTTAAGTATATTCTTATAAATTAAATCCCCACAACCTCTGTCTAGCACAGTGCAGGCACATCAACTTAGGATCAATGAACATCTCTTGCTGAAGTCAATTAATTGCCAAATAAGACTTGCAAGTAAAATCAGAGAGAAGGGGAGATTTGTTATCTCTACCAAACTGATGGTACAGACAGTAAGCACTCCTGCTGTGGGCTGTGGTGCCTTTACTCTTCCTTTCAAGTGATGTACTCTGCTGCTTCCAGGTTCTTAGGTCTTTTGCAGGTGCCTTTCCAACAGGCCTGAGGTTCCCTAAAGGCAAGTACTACTTGTCTCCATTATCTTCCCCGATGCATGTCGAAGATAAATAAGCACACAATACAAAGTAGGTGTAGATGCTGACTGAGACAATGGTAGCTGAAATGAGACAGGGCATAAATCTGGTAGAGAGGGAAAAAGGACCTTGGATTCCAGGAGGATCTGTGCTGCCAGCTAGTTACCTCATTCTTCCCTCCTCAGCACCCCTCCCCACCACATCTTCCTGAACATGCGGGTTCCTAGCCTGAGTTGGTAATCTTTCTGCCCTAGCCAATTTATTTTCTAATCTTGTAGCTTTCATATAAAGGGCTCTCCGTGAGATTGATGATGACAGTCTGGGCAGCCACACAGATGAGCGGGCTCCCCTGTTAATTACTACCAGGGAGGGAAGGCACTCTATTCAAGGGAGGATAGATCAAGGAGCTAAGTTATATCAGAAGGGGGCAATTTCAAAAGCTGGAAAGATCTGTCAAAAAAGTGTGTCCTATGGGAACCCAGGCAGAAGGAAGGAGAGGAGAAAAGGGAAACTAAGTCACTTGGAGGGAGATGGCTCCTTCTTCATGCCCAGGTTCTTCCTTACAAGTCTGTGATGAGGGTAGGTATAACAATAGATGGAAACTGCTTTGAAGAATAAAAACACTGTATAATGCTTGGTACTGCAAGGATTATTGTATTAAGTGGATTCTTATCCTTTGCCTGGTTTATGTCCTGGTTCTTGCAACAGCACCCTAACTACATTCACCAAATATTTGATCATCAAGACAGAAAATAAAATGAAGCCAATTCTCAGTGAAGAGTCCCTGATGACGTAAGTATCATTCTGCAGTCAGCGGCAGATACCAGCAGAGTCAGAGGCAGAGACAGCATCAGTTTTGCATCTGCCTGTTCTCTCCTCAACTGAAGAAAAGAGAACTTCAAAGTTACCACTTTGGGAGATTCTTTTCTCTACCTTCTGTAGCTACCTTCCTGTCCTTTTGCCCATTCTGTGCTTCCTATTTTATTAAGCACTATTTCTCAGACCATCCTCCTAGAACACACACACAATTTCCCCTAATGGGAGTGCATTTTTTCAAAGTAACCAAGCTCATAGGGCGCCCAAGCAACACAATCTCCAGGGTAAATAATCAAAGAAGCAGAGGCAAGACCATGTGAGGAAAACAAAGCTCTGAGTCCCAGATCACCCAGATGATTATAATAGAGAAGGTAGGGCTAGAACTGTAGAAGAGATTTCATCAAAGTTCAGTACCCTCAACAAAGACTAGAAGGTAGAAGGCAATTTCCGAGATCCAGTGGGGCCAAGCCAGAGGCCTTCCTCAAGCAAGGGGAGGAAGTCCAGGATTTAGGGTCAGAGCATAGGTTCAATGCTATGTGATTTCAAGTACCAACTCCCGTGAGCCTCAGCTTTCTCACTATTAAGGAGAATAATAACTGTAACAGCTATGTTTCAGAATCCCTGTTGTTAAAGCACTTTCCAAAATCAGTAAAGTGCTGAACAAATGCTAACTGTTATTATGGATCTATCCTGACCCACTGTCTATCAGTGTCTATCAATCTTTATGCCTAGATGTGATAACATGTGAGAAAACAAACGGGTGGAGAACTTGGCCTTCCCTAAAGTGCAGCATGGACCAGAGTTGGGGGTCAGTCTGAAAAAGTGTGAGAATTTTTAATGCCGAGAGAACCAGTCAACATTTGATCACTAGCTGATTAAAGTTATTGGAAAAACCCTAATTGGAGATTTTTAGTAAACTCTTTCAGGTAGCTGGTCAACATTACTTAAAGAGTACTGTCTAGGCTGGCTGCAGTGGCTCACACCTGTAATCCCAGCACTTTAGGAGGCCAAGGCAGGAGGATCGCTTGAGCCTAGGATCACTTGAGACCAGCCTGGGCAACTTGGCAAAACCCTGTCTCTACAAAACATACAAAAATTAGCCGAGTGCGGTGGCACATGCCTGTAGTCCCAGCTACTCAGGATGTGGGAGGATAACTTGAACCCAGGAAATCCAGGCTGCAGTGAGCCAAGATCAAGATCACGCCACTGCACTCCAGTCTGGGTGACAGAGTGAGACCCTGTCTCACACACAAAAAAAAGAGTGCTGTCTGGTTGTGGGTACTGTGGGAGTATTGACAGATACAGAGGCACAAGAAAAGATAATTGGATGTCATATAAAAATCAAAAGGGACCTACATGGTGAGAGCTATAGGAGAAAGAAGAAACCCACATCAAGGAGAGTTAATAAGGTAAGACCTCACTAGTAAGTTAGTTTTGAACTGGTATTTGAAGGAGAGGAGGGACAAAAATTAACAATAAAGGAGTTAAATAATTGTGGCAAATGAATTTTCCAAAAGTAACTGCAACAGTAGTTCCCATCCCTGATGCTCTTTCACAGCCTTGCCACTGCCCATCAGGAGGTAGAGTCTATGTCTTCTCCCCTGATCCTGGGTTGGCCTTTGTGACTGCCTCAACTAACAGACCCCCAAGGCTAGCTCATCAAGACATCACCTCTGCAAATGTCTTGCGATGCTTGCTCTGAGAGCCTTCATCTTCCTTTTAAGAAGTCAGCTACTCTGAGGTCGCCATGTAGAAAGATAATCTAGAGATTCCAGAGAAAGGGTGGTGGGAAAGAGAAAGAGAGATCCCTGAAGAGCTCTAGCTGTTTCAAGCCCCAGCTGTTTGAGCCCTTCCAACAAAGGTGCCAGAGTGAAGAAGTCTCTGGAAGCCCAGCCCTATCCCTATATGACTACAGCTGCATGAGAGACCTCATGTGAAAACAACTGCTTGGCTCAGCCCAATCAACCGCCAGAATTCTGAGCAAAATAAATGATTAGAATTACGTTAAGCCCCTGTTTGGGAGCAATGGATAAACTGAACAATACTGATCTGTGCAAAGGCTCCAAGATCAGGACAAGCAAGTCACATCCAGGGGATGGGGAGCTGGCTTGTTAATTGGAGACTATAAGACATGAAGTAATGATATAATAATAATAGCTGACATTTATTGAATTCTTAACTACATCAGGTATTTTGCTAAGCACTTCACATGCATTATTTTTATTTAATCTTCAGAGGAACCTCATGAAAGAAATACTTTTTTTCTCATGTTCCAAAGGGAAAAACAGGCGTAGAAAGGTTAAGTAACAGGAAACCTAGGTTGATTCAACATAAAAGTCATACCCCTAATTACCAGACTGGACTGCAACATGATGGCGAGTAGAGCCCTAAAAGAGTGACCAAATTACCAAAGATCAAATAATACTATATTTGAATCGATCTCAGAGATCAAATCCAACTTTCCCACTTTACAATTGATAAAACTGAGGCCAAGAGAGGTTAAATGACTTAGCTTAAAATTCTATTCATTCCTCAACAATAAAAGCACAAATAACCCCAATTTTTAAATGGGCAAAGGATTTGAGTAAACATTTCTCCAAAGAAAATATGCAAATAATCAACATAAAAAGATGCTTGGCATCTTTAAGCATTAAGGAAATGCAAATCAAACCACCGTGAGATACCACTTCACACCCACAATCCTAGCTATAATCAAAAAGAAAGTGTTGGTAAAGATATGGAGAAACTGGCTGGGCGTGGTGGCTCATGCCTGTAATCCCAGCACTTTGGCAGGCTGCAGTGGGTGGAGTGCTTGAGTCCAGGAGTTCGAGACCAGCTGGGTAAAATGGTAAAACCCCATCTCTACCAAAAATACAAAAAACTAGCCAGGCGTGGTGGCATGCACCTGTAGTCCTGGCTACTCAGGAGGCTAAGGTGGGATGGTCACCTGAGCTGGGGAGGTCAAGGCAGCAGTAAGTCAAGATTGTGCCATTGCACTCCAGCCTAGGCAACTGAAGTGAGACCCTGTCTCAAAAAAAAAAAAAAAAAAAAGAAAGATATGAAAAAACTGGGCCCTCACAGATTGCTGGTGGAAATGTAAAATGGTGCAACCACTTTGGTGGTTTTTGTTGTTGTTGTTGTTGTTGTTTTTGAGACAGAGTCTTGCTCTGTTGCCCAGGCTAGAGTACAATGGCGCAATCTCAGCTCACTACAACCTCCAGCTCCTGAGTTCAAGCAATTCTCCTGCCTCTCAGCCTCCTGAGTAGCTGGGACTACAGGCACCTACCACCATGCCCAGCTAATTTTTGTATTTTTAGTAGAGATGGGGTTTCACCATGTTGGTTAGGCTGGTCTTGAACTCCTGACCTCAGGTGATGCACCTGCCTCGGCCTCCCAAAGCACTGGGATTACAGGCGTGAGCCACTGTGCCCGGCTGTGCAACCACTTTGGAAGGCAGTTTGGCAGTTCCCCAGAGTTCCCATATGATCAGCAATTCCCCTCCTAGGTATACACCCAAGAGAAATGAACACATATGTCCACACAAAAACCTGCACACAAATGTTAATAGCAGTATTATCCACAATAGCCAAAAAGTGGAAAAAACCTAAATGTCCATGAACTGATAAATGGATAAACAAAAAGTAGTCTATCCATACAGTGGAATATTATTCAACCATAAAAAGAATGAAGTACTTATACACACTAAAACATGGTTAAATCTTTAAAATATCATGCTAAGTGAAGGAAGCCAGACACAACAAACCACATATTGTGTTATTACATCTACATGAAATGTCCAGAATAGGCAAAACCATAGAGAAAAAAGTAGATTAGTGGTTTTCAGGGGTTAGGGGAAGGGGGCAATGGGGAGTGACTGCTAATGGGCCAAGGTTTCTTTGGGGGTGATTAAAATGTCCTAAAATTAGACAGTGATGATGGTTGCACAACTCTGTGAATATACTAAAAATCACTGAACTGTACACTCTAAAGCAGTAGATTTTATGGTATTGTATATCTCAATAAAGCTGTTAACTAAAAAAATTGTACCTGTTTTTCAATAAAACTTTACCGAGCATCCATTTACTACACAGTCCCAGGCACCATAGTGTACACAAAGATAGGGCCCCTGAGTAGCTTAAAAGATGCTGCACTGCTAAGTGGCAGAGTGCTGAGCCACTTTTGAGGAGATTGCATCTTTCCCAGCCTCACTGAAACATTACCAGCCCCAGCGTGCCACTCTCCCCACCATTAACCAATGAGGAGGCAAAGAAGAGGGACTTATCCTCTTCTTAGACAGTGAATGCAAACCTCAGGTCCTAAAGGGGCCATGGACAAGGAAATTGTATTGGGAAGAGACAGAAAAACTTGGGGGACTTGACTCCTGATTTACCTATCTCTTTCCTAGTCAGGCAAATTTCACTGTCTTTCACTACTGTCAGGCAAATCTGATGTCTGGCTCCCTTAAGAATTACACATTTTTACCACCAAGCCTTGACAGGGGTATAGGAAAAGAGGAACAGCACTAGGTTAGGGCTCAGTAGGCACAGAATAAAAAAAAAAATCCCAACTCCATTACTTCTTAGTTTCTGGACCTTAAGCAAGTTACTAAAGCCTCCCTGAGCATGCTTCCCTATCTATAAAATGGGAATGAAAATCCTTGCCCTGGACCACCTCAATGAGATAATGGACAAGACACTTTGCCAAATACATCTTGTAGTGCAGAAATACCAAGAAGCCTCATCATCACTGCACTCTTATCTGGGTCCTCAAGCTTCCATTCTTCTCTTGCCATGAATTATGCCCCCGCCCCCGCCCTGGCCCACTTTAAAAACTGACTTCTCTTCTTGACTCTAATCCCTCCTTTAATCCTGTCACATCTTTCCTCCTGCCTCTCCCACAGCAGTTATGAACCCAGGTCTTATAAAATTCATTTATATGATGGATCACAATAATAATAATTTTAAACACTTGCTTGTTGTCTCTCTTGCTCCAGCAGAGTGAAAGTTCCAGTGTATCCCCAGTGCCCGGAATGCTGCCTAACATTTAATATGTATTCAGTAAATGTGCTGAATGAATTTTAAAATTCCCATAGGCCACACCAACAAATGGGAAGGAGGATCTTAACAAGGGAGTGGTCTCTCCCCCCGTATCTTGCCCAGTTCTTTCTCAACCTGCCAGGCCTCAAGTTCAGGATTAGTAAAAGGATGTGTCTCCAGGCATGAGTTCCAGCAGAAGTGTAGCTATTAGCCCTGAACTAGGCTGAGCTAAGAGAACTAGGATTTCTTCTGGGTTTCCCATTACTTAATTAAATGATCCTAAGGCCTGAAGTGTTATTTAGGAAACCCTATGGCACAAGAATTGCCAGGCCATGTCATGTACCTACCACTATCCTCGGACCCACATCTGCATCTCAGACTCAGAGCCATTGGTCTGGAGAACCTGGAGATGATGAGAAACGGCCCACTAATGCACAGGGCAAAAAGAAAAGCAGGAGAGGAGGAAGAGGCTCGAAGGTCAGGGGGCTCTCAGAAACCACAGTAGTGTGGTCCCTGAACCCAATTTCAAGGGGAGTGGCAAAGGCCCTAGAACAGAACCCCAGAACTGCATGGGATCCCTACTCCCACCCCTTGAGCAGAGAAGCCATAGTGGTGGTGTGGACTCCTGCAAGGGTAGAACAACCGATCACTCTGTGGAAGCATGTTCTGGAGCCCTAAGCTCTTTGAGTGCAGTAACCACGTGTTAAGAGCTCTAACAACATTCTAAGAGGCAACAATGACATTCCAAGGATCCTTACCACTGGAAAATTCAGAACCTGGGATCAGTTTGAGAAACCATTTTAGGAAATTTATTCTCTCACTTAATCCAAAACTGAATTATTGAAATTATATATATTTGATTTTGACATTTACTATAAGCTTTGACATTTCTCTTATGTATGACTCTTCTGGGCTTTAATTTTGAAATTACAAAAAATCCTGTAAGCCCACCATCCTTAAAGATCTCTAGTAGACAGGATTTATTTGCACCTATGTCAGAGGTAGACAGAAATGGGGTAAGCAAGGTTTCCCAGATGGGGAGCTTACGTTAAGCTTACAAAGTGACCAGTCTGCTCCAAGGTATTCACCAGCCACCGAAGCAATTCCCAGCAGAGTAGAGCCACTGACAAGTTTTGAAATAGACAGTGAACAAAAGTTCTGTTCTGAGAACATAAAAAGAGTTCGTTAAGAGCACAGATGTCATAAGGCAGTGGCTCTGGAAGCACAGAATGCCAGTATTGGCATCATCTGGGAAGTTGTAACAATGCAGATCCTCAGGCCCCAAACTCAGCTCAAACACACTGAGTCAGAACGTTTTGGGTGGGGCCCACAGACCTGTATTTTAACAAGCTCTCCAGCTGATTCTAAAGGATTCTAAAGATTGAGAACCTCTGACCTAGGGCAATACATCCCTACCTTGAAAAAATTAAAGTCCTACCTGACAGGACCAGGAGCGACATTTTTTTTTTCCTTTCTGATGAAACTTCATGAAAGAATTGACTAGACTATGTCCATCACCATTTCTTCACCTCCTATTCTCACTTGGACCCACTAGAAACTGGCTCCTTCCCTTGCTACTGCCCAGAAACCACGCACGGAGGCCATGAACATCCTCCCAGTTACTAAGTCCAGGCATTTCTCTGTCCTTTTCGTCCATGACCTCTTAGGAGAACTTGACATTGTTAATCACTCCCTCTCTTTACTTTGGAGGTTCCTCACTGCCCTGGTTGCTTCTGTCACTCCCTGCCAGTCTCTTCTGCACCTCCCTTTTAAATGTATGCCTCTCATCTTCCTTCACCTCCCTTTTAAATGTATGCCTCTCAGGGTTCTGTGCACAGCCCTTTGCTCTCTCTACACCCTGCCCCTGGACAGTCTTATGCTTCTGCTGCTCCGTCTAGGTGTTGATGACCTGCTAATGTGATTCTCTATCCCCTCCTGACCTCCAGCCCAAGCTCCAGTTGTCTGCTGAACATCTTTCCTTGGATCTCCCACAGGCACTTCAAACACAACATGTCCAAAGGGATGCTGACTCCTCTCCTCCTCTCTCCCTCAACCATCTTATGTTCTTCCTCCAGAGTTCCTTTTTTTTTATTGAATAGTACTATGCAGTAGCCCAAGAGAAGGGTAAGGGTATCATCCTTGCCCCACACTCTCCTTCATGCCTCCGCATACCCCCATATAATCAACTTCGTAACCTCTGATCTCTCATTTTTCTCCCTCTCTGAAGTCACTTCCGTAGCAGAGACCACATTCATCTCTTGTCAAGGTTACTACAAAGGTCTCCTAACCCATCTTCCCTCTCTCCACCCTTTCACTTGTTTAATCCCATGTCTGCACTGTAGCCATGGTGATCTTGCTTTTGTGAAAGCATATCTGATCATGTCACCCTCTATTTAAAATCTCACAATGATCTTCCACTGCCCTCAGGATCAAGTCCAAAACCTCTAAGAGCATTACACGGTCCTCAGGCCTTGGCTCCTACTCATTTTCCTTTTCTCCAGTTTCATTTAATTAATGGTTCTATGGTCTCACTACAGATCACAGCCACTTGCAATTCTCACACCACCATGCTCTTTCTTGCTTGAGGCTTCTGTACCTGCTGTTCCCTCTGCCTAGACTTTCCCTTACTCCAGCCTAGCTTTTATTTTTTGGCCTCAATGTAAAGGTCCTTTCCTCCACCAGGAAACCTTCTTTAGGTGTCTCTCCCAGTGCTTCAACTGTTATCACAGGAGTAAGTTTGGGTGCTATCATACTTACTTCTGTCTCCCTCCACAAAACCATAAGCTCCTTAAGGGCAAGGTATGCAGCATATTCTGGTTGAATCCTTGATGCCTAGCACTACGATAAGTGAAGATTTGTTAAACAGACCAAGCTTCTTATTTGAGGGATGGCATGAATGTTTCCCAAACCTGAAACCCTGTTCCTGTGAAGACACTGAAATCCTAGTGGTATTTTTCCCCTCTCCCTGGGGCTCTGAAGGGAAGAGGGTCTGTGGTTCTAGCTGCACACAAGGTCCCATTCACATAGCTATTTACTACACTCTCTCCAGCCACCTCCCCCCAGAACAACAGTGGCCTTTCTCTGCAGCAGCAGTCTCTTGGGGGGAAGTTTCTGAAGGCCCTGCTCTGGGAAATGAATGGGGCCAGCCTGGGGCAGGCGGGACAATGGCAGGGTAGGCCTTGTGCCCATCAGACTCCTGCAGGGAAAGGCAGCCCGGAAATCAAGCCGCCATGGGGAAATCCCCAGAACTCTGAGAGGCTGAAGGCAGGCAACCCCAACAAGGCTGCTCTGTCCCTGCAAGAAATACCAAGTACCAAAGACCTAGCACCCAATGAGAACGAGAGGAATTTTGGTCTTAGTTCCTGGCAGGAGTGTTTAGAGCTTGCTTTCTTAAAATCCCTTGGTTAGGCATGGAATGAATCAGCAGTGTCAAGAATGAGCTGTGTTCGAGTCAGGAAAGAGCACATAGGGAGTATACCGTGTCTAAAGAGAACTAAGCTGGGCCAAAGAAGACAACCCAGAACAATGAGGAGACACTGCTCTTGAACCCTTAGGAACAGGATAAAACACAAGAACCATATAAAAGAACCAACATAACAGTCTACCACGTGCTAGATATTCTGCTAGAACTTTTACACAAATTATTTTATACAAGCAAATAAGATAAAGTTGAATTGCTGTATGTATGTGCAAAAGGAATGCTGAATAATATAAAGGTGTAGGGTTTGGTGATATTAACCAGCAAAGACTTCCTTGAAGGAAATAAGAGTAATGGAGTTGGGAGAAGACAGAGAACACTGATATAAAGGTGTGCAAAGAGGGATGTGGGCCCAGGAATGAGGCTGGTCTACCCGAAGCAGGGCGACAGGGTACAGTAATGAGACCTACGATTATTGAGATGTGGGCTAAACTGAAGAAAGAAGTCATGAATCCCAAGCTGGGGAGCTTGGGCTAGGAAGGAAAGACATTGTGGGTTTCTAGCAAAGGATCTGCTTTGGGATGAGCGCTTAGGCCCCTCATTTTTAACTACTGTCCTGTGTTTGTTCACTATGGTCCCACAGCCATGCCTGTCTGTCCTTAGTTGAGAATCAGCACAGGACTGAGGGTAATTCAAGCATGGGTATTCTAGTGGCAGCTGAGGAGAGTTTAGGACAATCTGGGGTCCCTGCCAAACCAAATGCCCTAACAACACTCACCGTATGTTTGGCACCATGGAATTCACAAAATGCTTTTTTTTTTTTTTCTTTTTTGAGATGGAGTTTCGCTCTTGTTGCCCAGGCTGGAGAGCAATGGCGCAATCTCGGCTCACCGCAACCTCTGCCTCCTGGGTTCAAGCCATTCTCCTGCCTCAGCCTCCCGAGTAGCTGGGATTACAGGAATGCACCACCACGTGCGGCTAATTTTGTATTTTTAGTAGAGACGGGGTTTCTCCATGTTGGTCAGGCTGGTACAAATTATCCTGATCACATAGCTAGTTAGTCACTCAGCTGGGGCTCACTTAAAGTCCTATATTCTCTACATTAGTCAACTAGAATGATTTCCACATAGATGGCCCTCCAGCCCCAGAGTTTGGGTGGCTATGTGGGAATATATATATATACAGGAATATATATATATAGGAATATATATACAGGAATATATATATAGGAATATATATATGGAATATATATATGTATATATTTAGGAATATATATAGGAATATATATAGGAATATATATAGGAATATATATATATGAATCTATATATAGGAATATATATATATGAATCTATATATAGGAATATATATATATGAATCTATATATAGGAATATATATATATGAATCTATATATAGGAATATATATATGAATCTATATATAGGAATATATATATGAATCTATATAGGAATATATATATGAATCTATATGAATATATATATGAAAATACATATATGAATATATATGAATATATATATGAAAATATATATATGAATATATGAATACATATATGAATATATATATGAATACATATATGAATACATATATGAATATATATACATATATATATATGGCTGATTAATCAGGATCCATCAAATACATGCTAATCTCCTCAAACCATGACCCAACTTCCTAAGGGATCTCCCAGAACTGACTACTCACTTTTTTTTGTTTGTTTTTTGTTTGTTTTTTTGAGGCAGAGTCTTGCTCTGTCACCCAGGCTGGAGTGCAGGGGTGCGATCTCAGCTCCCTGCAACCTCTGTCTCCCGGGTTCAAGTGATTCTCCTGCTTCAGCCTCCCAAGTAGCTGGGACTACAGGCGTGCACCAACACATCAGGCTAATTTTTGTATCTTTAGTAGAGACGGGGTTTCACCATGTTGGCCAGGCTGGTCTCAAACGCCTCACCTCAGGTAATCCACCCACCTCGGCCTCCCAAAGTGCTGGGATTACAGGCGTGAGCCACCACGCCCAGCCTCCTGCTTCTCTTAAAAAGCTGTATTGAAGAGCTCTAAAACTATTTGGTAGAAATGGCCTAACCTAAGGGTCTAAGGAAGGTTAAGTATCCACTGTATTCAGTAAATTGCTAGGTATCAATGGCAGACAAAATGACTTCTACTGAAGATCCTAGTCTATCAATAGCACTACCCTTCTCCTAGTCCACCAGTCTCATAAATTTGGGAATAAAATTTGATTCAGGGCAGTGCACGGTGGCTTACACCTGTAATCCCAGCACTGTGGGAGGTGGAGGCGGGCGGATCACCTGAGATCAGGAGTTTGAGACTAGCCAGGCCAACATGGTGAAACCCCGTCTCTACTAAAAAATATAAAAACTTAGCCAGGCATGGGATCAGGCACCTGTAATCCCAGCTACTCAGGAGGCTGAGGCATGAGAATTGCTTGAACCTGGGAGGCAGGGGTTGCAGTGAGCCAAGATCGTGCCATGGCACTGTAGCCTGCGTAACAAGAGCAAAACTCTGTCTCAAAATAAATAAATAAATAAATAAATTTGATTCAGTCTTAAAATACTGGTTAATTCTGCTACCAAAACGTCTTGGGAATCCTGCCACTCCTCTTTGTCCCCACCATAACCGTTCTGATTCAGAAGCTCGTTATCTTTTCCTAAGATTGCTACAAAAACTCCTAGGCTTCCTAACCCCAAGCTCTCTTCTGCTCTATATATTAATATCAGAATTCTCTCTTTAAACACTATGTTTATCACCATATAATACATAAACCTTCCCCGGCTCCCTTTCTACTACCACATAAAGTCTGAATCCCTTCATTCTCCCTACCCTACCCATCTTATCAATCTAATTTCTCTCTGCTCTACAATAATCTTAACACTTGGAGACCACACCATGTTGGTGCCACCCCAGACAGAACCTTGCTCGTGTTGCTCCTCTAGTCTGAAATGGCCTCTTCTCTTTCTTCGACCTGAATAATTCCTAACTACTCTGCCTTTGACTATTCTTATTAGCACCAACCTTGCACTCTTCTCTAAATGTACCTTTTGGTGTACATAACGATTCAGCAATTATGTACCATCTTTTTATTTTGTGTTGCTTTGTTAATAACATTTCCCAACAAGCATTTAGGCTTGAGGCCATGCACGGTGGCTCATGCCTGTAATCCCAGCACTTTGGGAGGCTGAAGTGGGCGGTTTACTTGAGGTCAGGAGTTCGAGACCAGTCTGGCCAACATGGTGAAACCCCCGTCTCTACTAAAAATACAAAAAGTATACCGGGTGTGGTGGCAGGTGTCTGTAATCCCAACTACTTGGGAGGCTGAGGCAGAGAATCGCTTGAACCCAGGAGGTGGAGGTTGCAGTGAGCCGAGATCACGCCACTGCACTCCAGCCTGGGTGACAGAGCAAGACTGTCTCAAAAAAAAAAAAAAAAAAAAAAAAAAGAATGTAAGCTCTATGTTCTCCTGTACTATCTCTCAGAACACTGAGAACTGCACTGAGCCATCTGATAAATATTTCAAGTCCAACCAACCGTCAAGCGCCACAGATCACAGGTCATCACCAGGAGGGCTGCTAGATTGGTTCCCTACATGATTTGAGGCCAGGCTGTGACTGATGACTACAGATCCCATCACACCACTTTGTAGTGGCTGCTCCCAAATACTGGAAAGGAGCAGGGTCTGGAAAGCAAGACTCTGAAATTACTTCACTCTAACTTTTCAAAGCCCCTTTCTCACATATTCATGTCTTAGTTTGCTATTCTTTAAAATGAGGAGGAAAATCTTAAGGAAGTCAACAATGGTAATAGAGGGATACTAGTGACTTTAAGGCCTACGCTGAAATCACAATAGAAAGACAATAAAATGGTTTTAAATTGTGGCAGAGGAAGTTTCGTATCCAAAGGGATTTCTAATTGTTGAACTAATGGAACCATCCTCCAGAGATCACTGAAAATGGGAGAGGCCTTCAACCTGTCTTTACTAGGTTAAGAGACACCCTATTTGGAGTCCAGAGTAAAGGGCAAGAGGATCCCTTGAAGTCCTGCCAGATTTTTGTGATTTTTTCCTGAAATCTGTCCAATTGTTTTAGTACAATAAATTGGGGTATTCTTCCAGACCTTAAGAACACCTTCCAGGCCTGGCGTGGTGGCTTGCACCCATAATCCTGGGACTTTGGGAGGCCGAGGTGGGCAGATTGCTTGAGTTCAGGAGTTTGAGACCACTCTGGGCAACATGGTGAACCTCATATCTACAAAAATTAGCCAGGTGTGGTGGCACATGCCTGTAATGCCAGCTACTCAGGAGGCTGAAGTGGGAGGACCACCTGAGCCTGGGGAGGTCAAGGCTGCAGTGAGCCATGATCATGCCACTGCACTCCAGCCTGGGCGACAGAGTGAGACCCTGTCCCAAAAAACAAAAAACAAAACCACCTTCCAAATCCTATTCCAATTCTATTAGGGGCCATGGATTTCTCAGTTCCTCCCCATGTTTCCATGTCCCTGTACTTCCATCTTCTCTCCCATTTGATCAGGCAGCTTTGTTCTCTGTTCTTTTCAAGCTTTCATTTTCACTGATTTTCAGGAAAGCCAGACAATGATTTCTGAAAAACCATTTGGCCCACTGAAAGGACACAAAGCATTCTGGTTTCAGAGGCTGAAAGAACGTAATAGCTAAAAGGAATCAAATCTTAGAGGCTGGCTAGCCTAATTCCCTCATTTTTCCAAATAAGCAAACTGAGGTCGAGGGCAGGTAAGCACCTTTGCAAGGTCATTCACCCAGCTGCTAACAAAGCTGGCTCCATCATCCACGTCTACTAACTCAGATGTTGTGTTCTTTCCTCAGAACTCCAAACCTCCTTTCACAAAAGATCTAACATGACTTTTTATGAAGTTATACTTTTTTCTTTTTGAGACCAGGATCAGCAACTTCTTCAGTACGGTTTACCCCATGGGGCAAAGGAGTGATCTTGCATGCCACTAGCAGGTGTATGCTTGGGTCTTTTATCAATATAGTGATTGACAAAAGAAGGAACACCACAATCCACAGCAAAAAGAGTTTCCAAGCCACGTGATATATCTTTGAGTTAAGCTTAAAAAATAATAAACCAATAAAAATGAATTTTTAAAGGCAATGCTACTATGAAGAGGTGAAACAGATTCAGTCAATATAGATTAAAATAACTCCTCTTACGTTTATAGAACTCAACAGTTAACAAAGCCTTTTCACAAACATCAGATTATCAGAACATTAAAGCAGCAAGAAACACTATACAAACTAGAGTTTCTAAACTCCATTCCACAGAGGCTGTGAGCTTCCAGAACTCCTTTACCTTTATACTAACTAGGAGATTAGCTATGTGCTGTTCACAAAATCTTTTTATTTTTGATGAACTCGTATTGTCATTTAATTTTTCTTATTTCTTGTCTATTAAAAAAGCTAAACAAATACATTAATAAAAGGGCACTCTTTCAGAAATGTTTTTGAGTATCTGAAGTTAAGCTTAGTCTGCTCCTTCTCATAATGGTGATTAATTGCCAAATGTTTCAGCTGCAAATCCATTGTGTCTCTCATCTCACACCCCTAGATGGGAACAAGGGTACATTTTGGAAAAGACTCAGCATTTCCGGGACTTATCATACGTAGCTCTGGATCCCTGTCTCCATTCTGGGAGGCCAACCTTCTAATCTAGGTAGAAACTCAGCTAAATGTCTGGGGACTTCTTGGTCCCAGGAGTCAATAAAGACCAGAAGCCAAGGTGCGAAGAGACCCCTGACAGAGAACAGTTGCTGGGTCTAGATTTATTTTGAATTAGGAAAGTCATACGCTTTTAAGACAAGGAATGGCTGGAGATCACAGAACAAATCCTTTCTATCCCCATCACTAACAGACATTTAAGGTGAGCCAAGGTAGATGAAGTCTCTCTCATTCATCAGAGTTCCTGGGAAGGAGATTCAGTAACCCTTCTCTTCTCACATTCTTCTAGTACCCTATCTATTGGAAAAATACTCCTTCCTCCTGACCCCATGCACTTCTACAACAATAAAGCCAGTTCACTCTGCTTAAATTCTTCAAAATGATATAAAGATTTCAGTCACCTTGTTTTGTTTTGGGATACTTAGCTCAGAAAGTTGTGCACGAAGCTAAATCAAATCTGTGAATTTACCATCTATAATTTATATAGAGTTTACAGTTTAGAAAACAATTTGAAATACATTATCTCGTTTGATTTGCTCCTTTCAATAGGCTTGTGAGAGAGATGAAACAAACATTATAATCCTCAAATGACACACCATATAAAAATGTTTGAGAACTGGATTGTACTTTATAGAAATGAACTACTACTGCTTTACATGAGGAAGCCAGAGGAGGCATGTGACTTCCCCAAGGTCACATAGTTAAGGGGAAAGCCAGGACTCAAACCACAAACTCTTGGCTTAAAGTACTTTGGTTTGATCCTCACATGAACTAACTTTGGGCAGAGGAAAGATGTTTCATGGATGCAAACCCCTAACCCTCCTGTCCATCTCAAAAACATTTGCCATGGGGGAACCAGGCTAACAGATATAGATGGCTTAGCAAAACTCATGACCACTCCTGTAAAAATAATTTAGTATCATTATCTCTGTTTGCAATAGCAAACACATTTTTAGAAACTCTTGAAAGGAATATATATTAATGGGCAGTAAGTTGCCCATGGACAAAAACTGAAAGGGACATGAACAGCTACACTTTAGCCCATCTTTCAGTAACAACTGATTAACACTGAAAGATAAAGAATAGTTGCAAATACTTTATGCTTTCTATGGACCCAGGAGTCACTCTTGAACAGGGTGCTACAGGAGATGAAAGACTGCCAAGTAAATATTCCAAAATTTTCTTACTCTCAGCTACAATCTCTTTCCAAATACATAGTCCTTTATTATGTCATTTATTTTCTAGAAAATACACATTACCTAGGAAACCTTCTCTAATTGACCTTATTTGACTACATTTGAAATTAACACGTGAATGTTGAAACAACCCGCAATGAAATAATTTGTACTTGCTGATCTGTTCATTCACTCTAACATTCATTTGTCAAACATTTCTTGAGTACTCACCTCATGCAAGACACTAAGCTAGGCACACAGGATTTCATACAGGCAAACCAAACTGTCCCTGCTTGTGAGGGGCTTACAGTCTGGTGTTGCTTTATGTGGTCTTCAAGAGTCTTACGTGTTTCCCAGTCCCCCAGTTGCATGCTCTCTCTGTGAGCAAGTACTGTACACCTTAATTTTCTAAAACTCTCCTATAGCACCTTACACTAGGCTCTCTACACAGCAAACTGATAAACTGAAAGAATACTAGACTCCATAATCCGCAGCGTATTATTCCTTTCAGTGTGATTTAAATCTGTAAATTATTTAAAATCCATAGAGTCTTGAGGCTGATGTTGCCCAAAGTTACAATTGAATAAGCCTACAGTTAAGGGAGTAAGATTCAGTGCAGCTAGCTGGGGATGTCTGAAGGGGATCTGAGTCCTACCACTCTTAATGGGGAAGAGAATCAGGCAGGGTGGAGGTGAGGAATACCCTTACCCTGCAAAGCTGCACTATCTTACAAGAGAAAATAGTGCTTTAACTATAGGACTTACAGGTATGAGCCCCAAGACTGAACCCCCAAGGTAGGAGCCCCAAGACAGAAAAGTAGAAGGGAAGACCTTGACTGCTGACGGGCACTTTACCCTACTACCAAAGAGAAAGGAGAAAACGGTGCCCCACACATTCTACAGGACCAGTACAGAAGCCTAGTTAGACATGATGGGGCAATGAAAGAGCTACAGATTCAGACTCAGAAGACCTGTGTTTGAGTCTTTGAGTCCAGATTCTGCCACTAGCCAGGCAAGATGGCACTGGGCAAGCCAGGTAGCCTCTCTGAGCCTCAGTTTCCCCTTCTGTGAAACATGAATAATAACCTCTGATGCTTCTGTCTACCTCACACAGAACCACTGTGAGATTCAAATGAGATATGTTCTACGAAAGCACTTAGGAAACTGTAATGTGCTGGGCAAATCCTGAGATTTTTATCTATGAGGATATCCAAACCCCCAGGAGTGTCTCACATCAACCCAGGAAGGCTCACCGCCTCCTCCTTCTTGCACGCCCCCAAAACTTGGGTTCCCATCTTCTCAAATCCTTGCATTTACCAGAAAGAGTTCACCATCCAAATCTTAAAAAGGCAAGTGCACTAATTCTCAAACTCCAAGAGGATGAAAAGGGAAGAAGGGCAGCCATGTAAACCATTCCAATTCCTCACCTTGACACACCTCAGTTCTCCCTTTCCAAGGGTCAAACTGCAGAGAGGCCAACAGAAAGGAGGAAGGAGGTCTGAACTGGCCGTACATCCTTTGTGGCTGTCTGCCTCCTCTTCTCCACTGCCAAGTCAGTTCCCATCTAGGGACTGCTGAACTAATCTAAATGGGACTCTGAGGCAATACAGAGATTAGTGCTTGAGAGAGAGAGATTATATGCATTTTAGGCCACATTCCACAACCAAAAGGAAATTATTATTAGCATGGATAACCGAAGGTGGACTGGGCATGGAGGGAACAATTGCTCCCTTGCAAATATTCTTCCCTATCTCTCCAATAATATTTTTTTCCAGGCCCAGTCCTTTCATTTGCTTGTTCAGTCCTTCAACCACCCATCTATCCAGTTAGGATGTGTGCAGTGCCCACAAAACACACCCCCCACAGCAAGGTTCTCATGGGGAGAAGCGTTGAGGAGGGGTAGGGGAGGGAAGGAAAAGGCAGACACCTTACAAAGTTGTACCAATCATTTGGAGGTAAGAATTGCAACCACACAGTAACATTACCAGTGATAGAGGTGGCTGGGCAGACTCTTGGGGCAAGGGGTGTCATGTGTTCAGACTCTGAGGGCCAGTGCTGCTGCCCAGCAGGCCTACGAGCCCAAAACAATTTCTTCTGGCTCCAGGCAGAGGGAAGGCCCATTTTGCAGAGTCAAGCTTATTAAGAACAGCTTGGAAGATTAAACCTAGAGCATCAGCCGGTTGGCAGGTCTCAATTCAAACTCTAAGCTTGGAGGAGAGGAAATTCTAATGTGATCTATGCATTTTGGGACCATGTCAGCTACTGGTAAAAATCCAGACTTGCATGGGTGCAAAGGATGTTTCTGTCCCATCATTCAGGCCAAGAACATCCTCTTCATTTCTAGAAATGGGATCCACCCCGTCACCAAGCCCCACCATTCCATACCAACCAGCCTGGTGGAGGCCCACGCCTCTGCCAGGGCCCTTCTCCCAGCAGCTCCAACACCTAAAGCCAGTCCCCCTAGTGCAACCCTAGGAGCTCACAAGACTGGCTTGCCCCCACCTGAGACTAGCAAGTTGGGTGGACTCAAATTCAGCCTCTACCCTGGCAAAAGTCAAAAGCCACTGGAAGCACATCCTCCTCCTTTCCCTCTCCTGGCTTCACTGTTTATTGCTTATATTCAAAAGACGCTGAATCAAGAGCTATGTTTTTGCACATAACCACATAGGCTGACAGTCCCCAGAGACTAATGCTCCTAGCCCACCAATTCCCATAGCCCACCCAGACCCCTATTTTCAACCATTTATTAAAATGCAACACCACCCCTCCCAGTCTTTCCTTTAGTCAATGTTGAAAAATCAAATTATTAGCAAACCTACCTGTCTATACTCTGGGGTAACCTTACACTCATGGTTTCTCGGTGTCTCCACGGTTCCAGAATCCTGTAGCTTTGGTGTCTTGATCAGGATTGAATCGCTTGCAATTTTTGAGCAAGGTGAGAGGAGGGCCTCCCAACTTGAAGATAGAATCCTTTCTCCTCCAGCTCTCAGGACCCTGGTAACTGATGCTCCACTCTACTTCTACCAGTGAACATGATTTCCTTTCTCAGCCCCTCTTCCCCTCCCCCGCTTTAAAAAAAAAGAAAAGAAAAGAAAAAAGAAAAAAAAAGGAAAAGAGGAAAAACTACGACCTTCTCAGAAACCAAAAACCCAGCCACGAATCTCTTCAAGGTTAGCACTATGGCCAAAAAAAAATGAATCACAGAAAAATGTGCCTTCAAAATATCACTGTTAACTGCAAAGTACAGATAAAACCATCCTTTAAATCCAGCTTTCTCAGCTGTCCTTCTGTTGGCAAGAGACCCTCTAGCTCAAAGGGGGAAAGTAATTTTCTAGTCTCCAATGCTTAATATGACAACAGCAAATATCTTTGAGGAAAGGAAAAAAAAAAGGATTAATAAATCCGAAATGGCACTTGGAAAAATTCTTTCGGCTGATTTGTACAGTAAAATAATAAATAAAACCATACAATAGTATGTACACAACAGCACTCCTTCCAAGTCCAGTGCAACCCTGGGAACCAAAATTTATGGACTTCCTTAAAAAAAAAAAAGCTTTTACATTAAATGTTTTGAAATTCTTAAATGAGCCAATTGCACCAAAAAAAAAAATAAAATAAAAATCAAAGAACACCTGAAATGCAATGCTTTTTACCTTTAAGATGGTAGTAATGATAACAAACCAGAGATAATCTCTGAAAATATTCTCTCCTTTTCTTTTTCCTTTAAACTTGCAGGTTCCTCCACCTACCCCAGCCTGATTCTCAGACCCAGCCTACGTTCGGCCTTTTTCTGAAAGACAATTTCCTGAGTTAGTTCTGCTGTTGGGCTCCTCCACATCCAGGCTCCGAAATTTTCTCTTGCCTCAGCCTCCATGAAACGGAGATTTCGCTTCCTCCCGTTCCCCCTTCTCTCTCCCTCTCTCTCGCCCGGCCAGAAAGACGGCTCCCTTATTATTCGTTCGGATTATTATTGTGGATTTGAGTTCGAGGTGGGTTTTTCTTCCACACCAGACTCCTGGAAAATCCGATCGCCTGTCTCCTCTCGGCCTCTCCTTGCCTCCCTTTCCGCCCCTCGCCTAATCTCGCAGGCAGGAGCCCGCAGTGCCTCGCGCAGGACGCCCGGCCGGGCCTCGGGCTCCCGGCGCCGCTCGCCCCGCGCCCGACCGCCGTGTTCCGGCCTTCGCGGCCGCTCGGGACGCCAGGCTCGGCGCACAGGGAAGGCTGCGGCGGCTGCGGCAGGCCGGCACGAGCGGGCGTCCGACTGCCGGCGTCGCGGCCGCGCTCGCCTCCTTCCGGGCCCCTTCCCCCTCGGTTCGCCGCTCGCTCGGGCGCAGGCCCGGCCGGCCGCCCCCCTTCCCTCCCTCCTTCCCTGCGAGCCTTTCTCCTTCCCTCGCTCCCGCGGGGCGGGGCCGCAGGCTCCTCCTCCTCGCTGCGCTGCCCGCCGCCCGCCGGCCTTTCCCCTCACGCCGCGGCGGCCGGGGGCGGGGGCGGGAAGCTGACCGCCTTTCCCTGCCTCGGTTCCCGCGGCCGCGACTCCCGCCGACCGGCCCGCCCCTGTCCCGGCCTCCCTGCGCGCCCTGCCCCCCACAACCCTTTGCCGTCGCTCCTCGGCCGGTCCCCTCTGCGGCCCCTCAGTCGCCGGCCCTGCCCCTCGGCGCGGCCTAGCGGGTTCCCATCTCAGCCGGATCCCCGGCCCGGCCCGCGGGCGACCCCGGCCCTGACCCCGCCAGGCACCGCGCGCCGTCCCCGCCGCCGCCACCGCCACCGCCACCCCTGCCGCCTTTTCGCCGCTTTTCCTCGGCTGCTTTTCCCCCTTTTATTGACTTCTGCTCGGGAGCCGACCTTTGTTTCCTACCCCCTGCCCGCCCAGCCACCGTGCCCGCGCCCCGTGCCCCTGCCCACGGGTGCAGGTTTACCTCTTTGCGTCCACCGGCATTACCCCGGCGCCCGCAGCTGCGGCTCACCCTCTCTCCACCTCTCTTCTGATCTTATTTTTCAAACATTTGTTGCGGCCTCCTTCGTGGTGTCAGTTCTTTTAACTGTTTCCTCCCGTTTCTGTGGTCCTTCCCACTTCTAATACCACCGACTTAGGGGGAAGACCCTTCGCTGTTTCCTCTCGGGTTGGGTTGGGCATCTTAATAGCAGGCTGTGTGAAGTGTCTTTGAACTCTATGGAAGAGCCTTTCCAGAGCAATTCTATTTTCATAACCCCCTCTCATAGAATCACAGTTTCTAAATCTTTACAAGTAACGTGACATTTGTCAGAAGGTGCCGAGCGTTATGATTAAAAATCATTAAGGCCGAGGCGGGGCCTGAGGTCAGGAGTTCGAGACCATCCTGGGCCAACATGGTGAAACCCCCCCCCTCTACTAAAAATACAAAACTAGCCGTACGTGGTGGCGCGTGCCTGTAATCCCAGCTACTCGGTAGGCTAGGGCACGAGAATCGCTTGAACCCGGGAGGCGGAGCTTGCAGTGAGCCGAGATTGCGCCACTGCACTCCAGTCTGGGCAACAGAGCGAGACTCCGTCTCAAAAAACTAATAATAATAAAATTTTTTTTAAAAAATTATTAAAATAAAAAAACTCTCACTAGGATTGGGGAGTGGACTTTGCCTTCTTGCCTAGGTAAATGCCATTGTAAAATACTCTGCAGGCAGTGGGGTGTTTGCATAAGTTCTCTCCTTTCACACTACCTGGATTGTTCTGGGAGGGGGTGGATATGTATATGTAAATTATCTATACACATTCGTGAGCTCTGGAGTGACCTCACCAGTGTTAGAAGTGGTAGATATGCAAATTGCAAGAGGAAAAAGAAACGAATAAGCATCAGTTGAAGACCTACTATGAACCAGGAACTTTCCCTTTAATGTATATCAGGTATAGGTTGGCAAATAAAAGAACCTGCTTCCTTCACCCTGTCTCCACCAACCCCTAGGCCAGAACTCCCCAAAACAGGTGATCTGCCCAGCATTTGAAGCACAGTCTAGATTGTTGCTGACTTAATTGTGTCTTTCTTTCCCATACTACCCGCAAAAATGATGCTCTCAAATGTGGACACTGCTCTGTGGTGACAGACCACTGGTTGCCACACATTTTAAAATAATGTTTTCTTGGCCAGGTGCGGTGGCTCACGCCTGTAATCCCAGCACTTTGGGAGACCGAGGCGAGTGGATCACCTCAAGTCAGAAGTTCGAGACCAGCCTGGCCAACATGGTGAAACCCCGTCTCTACTAAAAATACAAAAAATTAGCTGGGTATGGTGGGGAGCGCCTGTAATCCTAGCTACTCCGGAGGTTGAGGCAGGAGAATCGCTTGAACCCGGGAGGCAGAGGTTGCAATCAGCCAAGATTGCGCCACTGCACACCAGCCTGGGTGACGAGTGAAACTCCATCTCAAAATGATAATAATAATGATAATGTGTTCTTAATATATGTAATATTTTTAAAGCAAGTATTTACATATATTTTATTACATATCTTATACAACATTGCCTAGTGTAGAAATATTAAAAGGTTGAAATTTAAAAATGAACATTTTTTAAATCATGCTTTTTGGTGAAAGTTAATTGCTGTCATAACTGGAAAAGATGCTTGCCAAAGATAGGTAGATTCAAACAGAAGAAGTATGCCCTTGATTGCATTTATTAAATCATGATACTTATTTTCCAATCCCATTCATCAACAATGCAAAGACTTCTAATTGAAATTCAACTAGTAAATTTATATCTTAAGTCAATCCTTCTTGAATGATTGGAAGGTGTTACATTTTTATATTCTTAACAAATGGGTTCCAGCCATTAAGAAATTTCATTTAACTTTAAAAAATAGGTTTTCAAATTCTGTTTCCTAATTTTTCAGTGTGCAAAGGTTTTGATAGGTGAAACCATTGTTTTTGGTAATTAAAAAAATCACAATATTGGAACCATTTCCAGTCATCCGTCTTCAAAATACTTTTTCCTAAAGTATGTGTTTCTTTAGAAAAGCAGTGACTTCCTCGCTCGTAGATAGACTGTCATCTTAACCTTGAAGGGACAGCTTGAAGGGACAGATTAAGCGGTGTTTTTGTTGTTTGTTTTTGTTTTTGCAAGTAAGTGCTAGGTAGCATACTCTTGACAGCCATTTCTCATCATAGAACACTGAAATAAAACTGTGCATCTCCTCCATGTTCAGTATTTCATTTTAGGCTTTCCCCAGGAGATTGTTAATCTGCACAGCAAAGATTTTCATGGTCATTCTCTGTCATTACAAAGAATTGTAAAGTTTGTAGCAGTTAACAGGCTTGTTTTTGTCTGGTGGGTGGCGTACATCATGAAGAAAATGAACGTCAATGGTGATGTTACCTCTGGTTCTTGGAACCTCCTCATATACTGTGTGTGACAGATGACTTCTGACATAGTGACTGAGTGAGAATGCCATGTCATTAGTGTTAGTAAAACCTAATTATTTTTGCTATAATTAAATACTATTATGAGTGCATTCTTTTTTTTTTTTTTTTTTTTTTTTTGAGACGGAGTCTCGCTCTGTCGCCGAGACTGGAGTGCAGTGGCACAATCTTGGCTCACTGCAAGCTCCGCCTCCCAGGTTCACACCATTCTCTTGCCTCAGCCTCCCGAGTAGCTGGGACTACAGGCGCCCGCCACCACGCCCGGCTAATTTTTTGTATTTTTAGTAGAGATGGGGTTTCACTGTGTTAGCCATGATGGTCTCGATCTCCTGACCTCGTGATCCACCCGCCTCGGCCATGAGTGCATTCTTAAGTATTTTCCTCAAGCATCTCCTTGAACACTCCACTTTGAAGATTATGAGGGTGGCTTTAGTAAGATAGAGTTCCCTGAAGTTAGTTGGCCATTTAAGTAAACTGCAAGTCTCAGGTTAAAAAACAAAATAGATTAGATTGTGTCCTAGACAGACTGGGTTGTAGGAATCTGGAGGCAGCTGGTGATCAATGGAAAGAGCTAGACTAGACTAGGAGTCCGGAGAACTAGATAACTTTGTGAACTGCCATCTGCAGTTTGTAAGGATTTAATATGAACAAGCCTGGGCTCTGTAAGCTATAGAGTGCTGGGCAGGAAAATCAGGATAAATCTTAGGGAGCGTTACCTTAAAACAACCTTGTCCAACCTGGGGCCTGCAGGCCACATGTGGCCGAGGACAACTTGGAATGCAGCCCAACACAAATTCATAAACTTTCTTAAAACATTATGAGATTTTTTAAAAGCTCATTAGCTATCGTTAGTGTTAGTGTATTTTACTTGTGGCCCAAGACAATTCTTCTTCCAGTGTGGCCCAGGGAAGCCAAAAGATTAGACACCTCTGCCTTAAATGAACATAGTCCTTTGAACTTTTTTCCCACAGAACTCTATCAATAGATGAATCCTTTTCTCTGCCCAACATCCTGGGGAATAGGTAGGGCACTAGTTGTTATGTCTTTACATTAAGGTTAAGGAAACTATGGCACAGAGAAGTTTTAGGTGATCTGCATGAAATCCCATTAATTGATAGATTGAGGCTAGAATTCATACCTGATTATCTTTAAGTAGTGAGAAGCAAAGAAAAAGGTGGGTAGGTGGGTATGGTCAGCTTTTATTTCTGGGAGAGATTCTAGAAACTCAATGCTTGATTGAATAGCTGACGGAGAGCAGTGATGAAAAACCTTGAATGGTTCACGATGTGAATTCTAGAGAAGCAACTTCTCATCCATGAGCAGACATCTCCATCCCTGACTGGTGTTTCTTTTAAAGAGATGAACTCCAGGTTACTGTCATTCTCCTTCTAGGGTGCTGTTAAGGGACAGACCTGGCAAATTAAAATCACCACTGGAGACATAGTGCCATTGTTTCATTGACGATCTTTCACTCCTCTTAAACCTTTATCAGTTGGGAAGATGATGTGAGAGGCTTAATTAAGATACTGCTTACTCCTAAGGGTGAGAAAATTCTGTGGTTTTTTCATTAGCTGATTTTGATTTCTCTAGAATACTTCTGGGTAGCCAGAACAACCAGTCCTAAAATCTCTGTTACAGATGTCATTTCATTGTCACTCAGAATATTATGTTCATTTAACCTGTTGAATTCCCAATAAAATTTTAATATCAGGTAATAATCATACCCAAAACATATATAGTGCTTGCTATGTAAATACTGTTCCAAGCAAACTACAAGAATTAACTACTCGATTTTCTCAGCAACCTTTTGAAGTAGGTACTATTATAATATCAACCTTATTTTCAGATGGGGAAACAGAGGCCCAGAGAGGGAGAATAACTTGCCCAGAGTCAGAGAGCTGGAACCCAGGCAGTCTGGCTCCAGGGTCTGTGGTTGGCTTTCCTTTTATTACCTGTGCTGTCTCCTTGTCACAGGCACCATGCCAGGCCCCGGGGGGAAAGTGATAAAACCAAAGAACAATGAATTTGGCAGAACCTTCTCAGAAAGATGGGAGAGGTGCAGAGCTTTTTGAGGAGAAACTGGGGAGGGTGGAGCTAGAAGCAGAGTCCATTGGTTTATCTCCTCAACCCCCCAGAGACTTCTTTTTCCCATGGGGCAGTGGACCAGCAATTTTTCTCTTAGTTCTTTGCCTTCCCTCTCAATGTCCCTTGAGTTTTTTCCCCCAGAGATTTGGCCCTCATCTCTCTTGAGGATCTCAGGGAATTTATTGGAGAAGGAGCTTCTCACCTTTACTCACAGTGAGAGGTCTGCATTGTTTGCAGGGTCACCTTCCAGGTGTGCCCTTCAGCGTCCCCAGCTTGCTACCTTCCTGTCTGTGGTTACCTTAGAAACCAGGCTCTCCCATCATACTCCAAGTAGCTGAGACAAATTGAATAACAGAGAAGGTGCCAAGATAAATTGTAAAGAAAAAAATGTGTGAAAGAGAACCAATTTTAGACTGAAGGCTAATATTTTGGGAAGTTGGATGTGTTGTGTGTGTGTGTTTCTTCCAAATAAGACAAAGTTCCCAGGATCAAATGTGAGAAACAAAAAAGGTGAGATGCCAAGGGGAAGATAATAAAAAACCGCCCAAATCCTGCTTTTAAAACTGAAAAATATTGTGAGGTCAAGACAGGAGGATTGCTTGAGTTCCGGAGTTTGAGACCAGCCTGGGCTACATAGAAAGACCTCATCTCCACTAAAAATCAAAAAGATTAGCTGAGTGTGATGGTGCATACCTGTAGTTCCAGCTACTCTGGAGGCTGAGGCCGGGAGGATCGCTTAAGCTCAGGAGATCAAGGCAGCAGTGGGCTATGATCATGGCACTGCACTCCCACCTGAGTGACACAGTGAGACCCTGTCTCAAAAACAAAACGAACAAACAAAACTGAAAAATATCCTTTTAAAAGTTAAAAGAAATTTATTGACATGCAATAAATTACACATATTTAAAACGTATAATTTGGTGAGTTTTGACACACACACACATGAAACTGTCAGCACAATCAAGATAGTGAACATTATGCTGAAGAGTTTACTGTTGCTTCTTTCTGATTATTTCTTCCCAACCCTTCCCACTGGACACCCTTCCCTATTCTGGTCCCCAGGCAATCACGGATATACTTTTTGTTTCTATAGATTAGCTTCCATCTTCTAGAATTTTATATAAATGAAATCATATAGTATGTATCTTTTTTAATGACTTGTACTCAGCATAATTATTTTCAGATTCATCTGTGTTGTTGCTTTTATTTATTGCTGAATGGCATCTTTCACATTTCAATTTCTGATTACTTACTACTGGTACATAGAAACACAGTTATTTTTGTATATTGATCTGTATCTTGCAATCTTGTAAACCTATTTATTAGTTCTAGTGGGTATTTTGTAAATTCCATCAAATTTTCTGAGTAGATGGTTATGTTATCTGAGAATAATAACAGTTTTATTCCTTTCTTTCTAATCTGCACTCCCTTTATTTCTTTTTCTTTTTCTTGTCTTATTGCACTAGCTAGAACATCTAATGCAATGTTAATAGAACTACTAAGATAAGACATCCCTGCCTTGTTTCTCATCTTAGGGGGAAAGCAATTGTTTTTTCACAATTAAATATGATATTATCTGTAGGTTTTTCTTAGATTCTTTCTATCAGGTTGTGGAAGTTCTCTCCTGTTCCTAGTGTGCTGGGAGCTTTCAAAGAATAGTTGTGTTTTAATGTACAACATGAGGACTATAGTTGAAATTGTATTATATTAGGAAATTTTGTTAAATAAGTAGATTTTAGCTACTCTTGTCATACAAAGAAAATACGTGAGATGATTAATATGGTAACTTCCTTCACTATAGTAATCATTTTACTCTCAATATGTATCCCATAACATCATGTTATAAACCTCAAATATACACAATAACATTTGTTTTTTCTAAAAAAAGAATAGATGTATTTTATCAAATTCTTTGTTCTGCGTTAGTTGACATGATTATGTGGTTTTTCTTCTTTAGCCTGTTGATATGGTGAATTTTCAGTGTTGAACCAGGCTTGAATTTTTGGGATAAATTCTACCTGGTCATGATGTATTAATCTTATTATACATTGTCGGATTTGATTTGCTAAAAATTTGTTAAAGATTTTGCATATGTGCTCATGATACTCATGATAGATACTGGTCTGTAGCTTTTCTTTTCTTTTCTTTTTTTTTTTGAGATGGAGTCTTGCTTTTGTTGCCCAGGCTGGAGTGCAGGGGTGTGATCTCAGTTCACTGCAACCTCCGCCTCCTGGGTTCAAGCAATTCTCCTGCCCCAGCCTCCCAAGTAGCTGAGATTACAGGTGCGTGCAACCATGCCTGGCTAATTTTTGTATTTTTAGTAGAGATGGGGTTTCACCATGTTGGCTAGTCTGGTCTCGAACTCCTGACCTCAGGTGATCCACCAACCTCGGCCTCCCAAAGTGTTGGGATTACAGGTGTGAGCCACCATGCCCAGCTGCTTTTCTTTTCTTATAATGTTTTTGTCTAGTTTCAGAATAATGCTGGCCTCATAGAATGAGTTGGGAAGAATTATCTCTTCTTCCATGTTCTAGAAGGCTTTGTGTGGAATTGGCATTATTCCTTCTTTATATGTTTCGTAGAATACCCCAGTGAAACCATTTGGATCTGGAGTTTCCTTTACATAGGAAAGTTTTAACTAAAATTTCAATCTTCTTAATAGATATAAGAATATAATAGATATACGAAATAAGTCTGTTTGTGTTATCTATTTTGTCTTGAGAGAGCTTTGATAGATTCAGTCTTGCAAAGAATTTGTCCATTTCATCTAAGTTGTTGAATATCTCAGTATACAGCTGTTTATAATATTCCTTTACTATGTTGTTAATATGTATAAAATCTGATCTCTTCCTTTATTCCTGATATTTGTAATTTTTTCCCTAGTCTGACTACAGTTTTATAAATTGTATTGATCTTCTCAAGTACCTTTTGGTTTCATTGATTTTTTCCCTAATTTTTTCTGTTTCATTAATTTCTGCACTGGCATTTATTTTTTCCCTTCTTCTGCTTACTTTGGATTTCATTTTGCTTTTTTCCCCCTAGTTTCTTAAGGTTAAAGCTGAGGTTATTGATTTGAGTTTTTTTTCTAATATAGACACTTTTACATTAAAAATATCTCTGTAAGTACTGTCTTACCTACATCCCACAAATTTTGCTATGTTCTGTGTTCATTTTCATTCAGTTTAAACTCATGGGCCAGGTGCAGTGGCTTACATCTGTAATCCTAGCACTTTGGGAGGCCAAGGCAGGAGGATTGCTTGAGGCTAGGAGTTCAAGAACGACCTGGCCAACATAACAAGACTCTGTCTCTATTTTAAGAAAAGAAAAAAGAAAGAAAGATAAAAAAAAGACCCCATGGATTATTTAGAAGTGAATTACTTAGTTTTTAAATATTTGGGGACTTTTCCAGGTATTTTTCTGTTATTAATTGCTAAGTTAATTATATTGTGGTTAGAGAACATACTTTGTATGACTTGAATCCTTTTAAATTTATTGAGACTTGTTTTATGGCAGTGAATCTGGTCTATCTTGGTAAATATTCCATGCATTCTTGTACTGTTGGGTGGAGTGCTCTAATAAATGTTAGGACAGTTTGGTTAGTAGTGGTGTTCAAGCCTTTATGGCCTTACTGATTTTCTCTCTATTTGTTTGATGAATTAGAGGGTGAGAGAGAGAGAGAGAGAGAGAGAGAGACAGAGAGAGAAACACAGAGAGAGAGAGAGAGAGAGAGAGAATGAGCTATTTAACTATAATTATGGATTTGTCTATTCTTTCAGTTCTATCCATTTTTGTTGCATGTATTTTTGAGCTATGTTAATAGGTGCCTACATGGTTAGGATTATTACATCTTCTTCATGAATTGACTCCTATATCATTATGAAATGACTCTCCTTAACCCTGATAATATTCTTTGCTCTGAAATGTACTCTCTGATATTAATAAAGTCACTCCAACTTTATTTATTTATTTGTTTATTTATTTATTTATTTTTGGGGTGGAGTCTTGCTCTGTCGCCCAGGCTGGAGTACAGTGGCGTGATACCGGCCCACTGCAACCTCTGCCTCCCGGGTTCAAGCAATTCTCCTGCCTCAGCCTCCCGAGTAGCTGGGATTACAGGCCTGTGTCACCACACTTGGCTAATTTTTGTATTTTTAGTAGAGACGGGGTTTCACCATGTTGGCCAGACTGGTCTCAAACTCCTGACCTCAGGTGATCCGCCTGCCTTGCCTCCCAAAGTGCTGGGATTACAGATATGAGCAACCACTCCTGGCCATTAATTTTTTTGAGATGGAGTCTCCCTCTGTTGCCCAGGCTGGAATGCAGTGGTGTGATCTTGGCTCCCTGCAACCGCTGCCTCCTAGGTTCAAGCGATTCTTCTGCCTCAGCCTCCCAACTAACTGGGATTACAGGCATGCACCACCACACCTGGCTAATATTTGTATTTTTTAGTAGAGATGGGGTTTCACCATGTTGCCTAGGCTGGTCTCAAACTCCTGACCTCAAGTGATCTGCCTACCTCAGCCTCCCAAAGTGCTGGGATTACAGGCATGAGCCACCACACCTGGCCCCACTCCAACTTTCTTAAAATTAGAGTTAGCATAGTATATCTTTTTCCACTCTTACTTGTAACTAATATGTGTCTTTACATTTAAAGTGGGTTTATTTATTTCTTTTTTCTCTTCTGATGCAAGGGAACTATTCATAAAGTGGACGATATGGTTTGGCTCTGTGTTCCCACCCAAACCCAAATCTCATCTTGAATTGTAATCCCCACATGTTGGGCGAGGGGCCTGGTGAGAGGTGACTGAATCTTGGGAGCTGATTTCCCCCTTGCTGTTCTCATGATAGTGAGTGAGTTCTCATGAGATCTGATGGTTTAAAAGTGTGTGGCAGTTCCTCCCTCGCTGTCTCTCTCTCTCCTGCTCCACCATGGTAAGACATGCTTGCTTCCCCTTTGCCTTCTGCTATGACTGTAAGTTTCCTAAGGCCTCCTAGTCATGCTTTTTGTTAAGCCTGAGAAACCGCGACTCAATTAAACTTTTCTTTATAAATTACCTAGTCTCAGGTAGTTCTTTATAGCAGTGTGAAAATGGACTAATACAGTGGGTTTTTAGTAGGCAGCACATAGTCATGTCTTGCTTTCTCCACGCCCCCAGTCTGACAATCTCTGCCTTCTAATTGAGTTGTTTAGTATATTTACAGTCAGTGTGATTATTGTTTTGGTTTGGGTTTCAATCTACCATTTTGCTATTATATTTCTCTTTGTCCATCTGTTCTTTCTTCCATTTTTTCTTCCTTCTTTTGGATTGAGTGTATTTTACTGTGGTAAAATATATGTTATATATGTTATATATATAAAACATATATTTATATATATAACATATATATCTATATATAAAACAGATTTATAATTTTAACCGTTTTTAAATGTGCAATTCAGTGGCATTAAGCATATTCACAATATTGTGTAATCATTATGCTATCTTTTTCCAGAACTTTTTTCATTTTCCCAAACAGAAAGTCTGTACCCATTAAGCAATAATTCCCCATTTCCCCTTTCTTGTAGCCCCTGGTACCTCTAATCTACTTTCTGTTGCTATGAATTTGCCAATTCTAAACATCTCATATAGAGATGGAATCATATAATATTTGTCCTTTTGTATCTGGTTTATTTCACTTAGCATAATATTTTCAAGTTTTATCCATGTTGTAGCACATATCAGAATTTCATTACTTTGTATAACTGAATAATATTTCACCATGTGTATATTAATTATTCCACATTTTGTTTATCCATTCATCTGTTGATGGGCACTTGAGTTGTTTCCACATTTTGGCTTTTGTGCAAGTACATGGTTGTCTCTGTTTTCAGTTTTCTTGGATGCATACCTAGGAGGAGAATTGCTGGATTATATGGTGGATTGTATGGTAGTTCTATGTTTAACTTTTTTTTTTTTTTTTTGAGACAGGGTCTCACTTTGTCACCCAGGCTGGAGTGCAGTGACATTACGTAGCCTACTGCAGCCTTGACCTGGGCTCAAGCAATCCTCCCACATCAGTCTCCCAAGTAGCTGGGACTACAGGTGTGTGCCACCATGTTCGGCTAATTTTTAAATTTTTTTTTAGAGATGGGGTCTCACTATGTTGCCCAGGCTGGTCTCGAATTCCTAGGCTCAAGTGACCTTCTCACCTCAGCTTCCCAATGTGCTGGGATTACAAGTGGGGGCCACCGTGCCCAGTTATGTTTAACTTTTTGAGACACTACCAAACTGCTTTCCACAGTGGCTGTACCATTGTACAGTCCCACTATCCACACACAAGGGTGCAAATTTTTCCACATCCTTGCCAAGGACACTTGTTTTCCCTTGTTTTGAGTGTGAAGTGGTATCTCATTGTGGTTTTGATTTGCATTTCCCTTATGACAAATGATGTTGAATATCTTTTCATGTGCTCACTGGCCATTTGTATATCTTCTCTGGAGAAACTTTGCCCATTTTTGAATTGGATTGTTTTGTTGTTGATGAGTTGTTCTTTATTTATTCTGGATATAATTCCGTCAGATATATGATTTTCAAATGTTGCCTCCCATTCTGTGTGTTGGCTTTTCACTTGTGAGTGTCATTTGATGCATTGAGGTGTCTAATTTTGATTAAGCCCAATTTATCTATGTTTTCTTTCATTGCCTGTGCTTTTATTATCATATCTAAGAAACCATTGCCAAATCCAAAGTCATGAAGATATTCCTGTCTGTTTTCTCCTACAAGTTTTATAGTTTTGCCTCTTAAACTTAGTTTTTTGATTCATTTTATCTAATTTTTATATATGGTGTAAGGTAAGGGTTTTATCATGAAAAGTTGTGAGATTTAGTCCAACTTCTTTCTTTTGCATGTGAATATCTATTTTTCCCAGTCCTATTTGTTTAAAAGATTGCCTTTCCTCATTGAATGGTCTTGATATGCTTGTCAAACATCAATTGAACATATATATGAGGGTTTATTTCTTGGGTCTCTATTCTATTCTATTGGTCTATATGTCTATATGCCAGTACTACTGTTGCTTTGTAGTAAGTTTTGAAATTGAGGAGTTTGAGTCATCTTTGTTCTTTTTTGAGATTGTTTTGGCTATTTGGGATCCCTTGAAATTCCAAATAATTTTATGATAAGTTTTTCTATTTCCACCAAAAACCCTGAAACAAACAAACTCCCTTGAGATTTTGATAGGGACTGCATTGATTCTGTAGATTGCTTTGGGTAGTATTGGCACCTTAACAATATTGTCTTCTAACCCATAGACATGGGATGTCTTTCCATTTGTCTAGGTCATCCTTAATTTCCCTCAGCAATGTTTTGTAGTTTTTAGTGTATAAGTCTTTTACCTCCTAGATTAAATTCACTCCTAAGTATTTTATTCTTTTTGATTCTCTGAAAAATAGAATAGTTTTCTTAATTTTATTTTGAAATTCTTCACTACTAGTGTGTATAAATACAACTGACTTTTGTGTGTTTATGTCCTGCAACTTTGCTGAATTTTTTTTCCCAGAAAGGTATAAAGTTTATTAACATCTTAAAAAAAAAGAGAGAAAAAAAAAGATGGGCCGGGCACGGTGGCTTACGCCTGTGATCCCAGCACTTTGGGAGGCCAAGGCGGGTGGATCATTTGATGTCAGGAGTTTGAGACCAGCCTGGCCAACATGGTGAAACCCCATCTCTACTAAAAATACAAAAAAATTAGCCAGGTGTGGTGTTGCACACCTGTAGTCCCAGCTACTCGGGAGGCTGAGGCAGGAGAATCGCTTGAACCCGGGAGGCGGAGGTTGCAGTGAACGAGGATTGTGCCACTACACTCCAGCCTGGGCAATAAGCAAAACTCCATCTCAAAAAAAGAAAAAAAAAAAAAAGATGGAACAGAACACAGCTACTGAATATGATATATTTCCTTATTTATAAATTTTACTATGGGAGGGACATTTTAATCAGCATTTCAAATAATCAAAGGAGTAAAATTTTTTTCTAGAAATATCAGTATTTCACTCTCCAGGTAGAAGATTAATGAAAACATTAAGTGACTGCCCCAGTTAGAAGAAGATAAACTAATACCTTAAAAATATATAAGAAAAGGAAGGGTACTTGCTACTTAAACATGAATTTTCACAAAATTATCCTTGTGACTAATTCAGACAATCTATTTGCTTAGAAAAGCTGGCAAAAAAAAAAAAAGCACATTACATGAATATGCCTTCATTTAAGTACGTGCTTTCAAGCTGATTTAAAAAGAAAAGTTGAATTATGGTTTCCAGAGCTTTAGGAGTCCATCTTCACTGTAGGTAGCAATCAGGTTCTGATGAGGGTGATGTGCAATACCAATCACATCCTTCTCGTGCACTGTCAAAGTTCTTTCCAGTTTGCCAGTGGCTGTACTGAAACAGTAGAGCACAAAGTCCTCCCCTACACAGTAGATCCATTCACCACGGGGAGAGAGGGCACAGAAAAGTCCCCACCTTCTCTTTTACCAGAACTGAAGTTTCTGACAATCTGCCCCTGCATGTTCATGATGACCACTGTGTTTGATCTGTTGCACACCACAAAGTGCTCAGGATTTTTAGGAAGTAGAATCACACTGTTGACGGTAATATCTGTCCCTGCAGTGCTGCCCAGGGATTTAAAGGTATCTGAACATTCTGTGGTCTTCATATTCCAGATCTTTACAGTGCCATCAGAGGATGCACTAATAATATAATGTCCATCTTGTGTAAATGTTGCTTTGTTAACAAAGGAGGAATGGCTACAAAATTCCTTCAGGGTTTTCCCAGATTTTAAACCATGAATTCTAATTGTCTGGTCAAAAGAAGCACTAAGGATCTGACTGCTATCCTTAGAAAAGCTTAGACACGTGACACCCTTACTGTGTGCCCTCTCATATCTCCTTAAATATTGTCTACTCTGAATCTTCCATACCTTGATTTTTCCATCTTGGGCCCCAGTTGCTAACATTTCTGTATCTCTGCTGAAACACATGCAGAGGACAGCATCATCCATCATCATAAAGTTATCCTGGGCCTGGTACTTAAGATCCTTTCTGATTTTTCCAGTAGTAAAGTTCCATACTTCAGTGAGTCCATCAACAGACCCAGTGACCAAATAGTGACCATCTGGAGAAAATCGAGCACACTCCACTTGTGATTTCTGACCAAACTTAATATGCCTGCTCAGTTGTGTAGGAAACTTTTCTTCTTCCACATCTTTGACAGCTGCTTTGCCTCAAAACAAATCTATGGTCATACCAGGAGGAAGCAATCCCTGATGCTGCTGCCACTTCAGTGCCTGTCCCAGCAGTGCCATGAGACGAGATGGAGGCACCACGCTGACTTCACCAGCTAAGGCCTGGGCAATTGCTGCTCTTCTCTTTTCTTTGCTACTTCCATCTGGGTATGCCTCACGAGGATCAAAGTAAGACCTGGCCAAAAGGTTCTCCAGATGAATATATTGCTCTGGCTATGTTTGTTTTAACATGATCATGGGATCAGTCTGTCTCAATAGTGACTTGGCAGCACCCAATTCACGGAGCTCTATCAATTCCAGAACAATCTGTTCATAGAGGTCAATGAGGGTTTTGTCTGGCAATTTCAGAGACTGTATAGCCTGCAACACAGTATCCCAATGGCCACTGTTAATGTCAGCCACAAAACTCTCAATGCTGTCCACAGCATTCAGAGACACAGTAGTCTCCTCCTGCAAGGTGGCTAATGCCCGATGTAAACCGTTCTCCTTCAAGTACTGCATGATAAGGTGGATCACATCCGAAGATTCAGTTTTGATCAACGTAGCTGTATCTCTCTGGGAGCAGGCCCCAGTTCTCCCCTGAATTTGTTTATTCATTCTAACTATTTCTGTGTATGTATTCTTTAAGGTTTTCTACATATAATGCCATATCATCTGCTAATAGAAATAATTTTACTCCTTCCTTTCCAATTTGGATGGCTTTTTTTTTTTTTTTTTTTTTTTGCGTAATTGCTCAGGTTAGAACTTACAGGACTATTTTGAATAGAAGTGATGAAAGTGGAAGAATCTGTCTCATTCCTGACCTTAGGGGAAAGCTTCCAGTCTTTCACCAGTGAGTATGGATCTTTCATATATGGTCTTGATCATGCTGAGAAAGTTTCCTTCTATTTTTGGTTTATTGAGTGTTTTTATCATGAAAGGATGTGAGATTTTGTCAAATGCTTTTTCTGCATCAATTGAGATGATCATGGTTTTTAAAATTAATTCTATTAGTGAGGTATTTTACATTGATTGATCTTTGTATGTTGAACCATCCTTGCATTCTGAGAATAAATCCCACTTGGTCATGGTGTATAATCCTTTTAATATGCTGCTGAATTCAGTTTGCTAGTATTTTGTTGAGAATTTTTGCGTCTGTATAAGGGATATTGGTCTGTAATTTTCTTGTGGTTTCCCTATCTGGCTTTGGTATCAGGGTAATGCTGGCCTCATTGAATGAGTTAGGAAGTATTCCTGCCTCTTCAATTTTGGGGAAGAGTTAGAGAAAAATTTATACTAATTCCTCCTTAAATATTTGGTAGAATTTATTAGTGAAGTTATCTGGTCCTGGGGCTTTTCTTTGTTGGAAAGTGTATTAGTCTGCTTGGGCTGCCATAACAAAATACTACAGACAGGGTGACAGAAACAACAGACATTTGTTTTTCACAGTTCTGGAGGTTGGGAAGTCCAAGATCAGGGTACCAGCACTGTTGGGTTCTGGTGAGGACTTTCTTCCTGGATTGCAGATAGCCGCCTTCTCACTGTATTCTTACCTGGTGGAGAAAAAAACTAGAGAAAGCTCTCAAATCTCTTCCAATAGGGACACTAATCCCATCATGAGGGCCTGATCCTCATGACCTCATCTGAACCTCCCAAAGGTCCCCATGTCCAAATATCATCATACTGAGGTTAGAGCTTCAACATATGAATTTGGTGGGACATAAGTTAGTCCATAGCAGGAGGTTTTTTATGACTGGTTTGATATCCATATGACTTACAGGTCTATTTAGATTTTCTATTTCTTTTCGAGTTAGGGTAATTTGTGTGTTTCTAGAAGTCTGTTCATTTCAGCATGGCTCTCCAGTTGGTTGACATACAATTGTTCATAGTATTCTTTTATAATCCTTTTTACTTCCGTAAAATTGGTAGTAATGTCCTAACTTTTATTTCTGATTTTAGTATTTTGAGTCTTCTTTTTTTCTGTCAACCTAGCTAAAGGTTTGTTAATTTGTTGATCTTTTCAAAGAACCAAGTTTTGGTTTCATTGACTCTCTCCATTTTCTGTTATTTTCTTTTTTATTTATGTTCACTCTACTCTTATTATTTCTTACCTTCTGCTAACATTGGGCTTAGTTTGCTCTTTTTTTTCTAGTTTCTTAAGATATATGGTTATATTTTTAATGATTTATTTTAATCTCTCTTATTGACTTATTAGCTATAACTTTTTGTTGTGCTATTATAGTACGCATTAATTTTTCTTTACTACTATCAAGTGGTATTATTCTACTTTGCATATAATATAATAACCCGTAACAATACCCTTCTATTTCTCTCCTCCCAGCTTTTGTGCTATTGTTAACATATATTTTACTTCTACATTTGTTGCAAATTCTACATTACATTGTTATTCTTTTTGTTTTAAACAGTCAATTGCCTTTTAAAGAGATTTAAATAATTAATATAGAAATCTTTGTATTTACCCACATACTGACTATTTCTGGTGCTCTTCATTTTTTTGTATAAATCCAGATTTTCATCTGGTATCATTCCTTCTGCCTGAAATACTTCCTTTAACATCTCTTATTGTGTAGTGTCTGCTGATGATAAATTCTTTCAACTTTCGTATGCCTGAAAATGTTTTATTTTATTTATTTATTTTCTAGACAGGGTCTTACTCTATTACCCAGGCTGACTGCAGCGGTACAATCACGGCTCACTGTAGCCTCGACCTCCTAAGCTCAAACAATCCTCCCACCTCAGCTTCCTGAGCAGCTGAGACAAGAGGCATGCACCATGCCTGGCTAATTGTCTTTATTTCTTGTAGAGATGGAGCCTTGCCATATTGCCTAGGCTGGTCTTGAACTCCTGGGCTCAATTGATCCTCCCACTTCAGCCTCCCAAGATGCTGGGATTACAGGCATGAGCCATCGTGCCTGGCCTGTCTTTTTTATTTATGTATTTATTTATTTATGTATTATTGAGACGGAGTCTTGGCCTGCCACCCAGGCTGGAGTGCAGTGGTGCAATCGCGGCTCACTGCAGCCTCTGCCTCCTGGGTTCAGGATTCTCCTGCCTCAGCCTGCTGTGTAGCTGGGACTACAGGTGCACACCAACATGCCCGGCTAATTTTTTTGTGTGTTTTTTTTAGTGGAGACAGGGTTTCACCATGTTGGTCAGGCTGGTCCTGTCTTTATTTTTGAAGGACATGTAGAGTTAAAGGTTTCTAAGTTGACAGTTTATTTTCTTCTAATAGTTAAAAGATGTTGCTCCGCCATCTTCTAACATGCATTTTTTTTTTAAATAATGAGAAATCATCTTTATACCCTATCTTTATTCTTCTGTATGTAATGTGTATTTTTTCCTCTGGCTTCCTTCAAAATCTTCTTTTTATCTATTGTTTTAAACAATTGGATTATGATGTTCTTAATGTAGTTTCTTTACTTGCGGGTTCATTGAGCTTCTTGGATCTGTGGGTTATAGTTTTCATGAAATTTGGTAAATTTTTGTTATTTCTTCAGATATTTTTGTCTGTTTCCCTCATCTCATTCCTCTCCTTTGGAAACTAATTTCTGTGTAATAGGACACTTGAAGTGTCTCACAGCTCACTGAATCTCTTTTTTTTTTCAGTCTTTTTTTCTCTTTATGCTTCATTTTGGATAGTTACTATTGCTATTCTATAAATCCATTAATCTTTTCTTCTGCTATGTCTAATTTGCTATTAATCATATCCAGTGTATTTTTCATTTAAAACATTAGAGTTTTCATAACAAGAACTTCAATTAGGTTCTTTTTACATTTTTTTGTATGTCTATGCTTAATATGCTCAGTCTTTCCTTTAGCTTCTTGAATGTGTGTAATACAGTTAAAATAATTCTTTGTGGGTACTAATTCTATCTCATGTATCATTTCTGGATCAGTTTCAGTTGACTGATATTTTTCCTATTGTAGGCAATAATTTCCTTTGCATGCCTGGCATTTTTTTTTCATGGATATTCTTTCTCAAATTGAGGAAATTTCTCTCTATTCCTAGCTAACTGAGAGTTTTATCCTTAATAGATGTTGGATTTTGTCAAATGCTTTTTCTGCATCTATTAATATGATCATGTAATTTTTCTTCATTAGCCAGCTGATGTGATGGATTATGTTATTTAATTTTGGATTTCTTTTTTATACTTTAAGTTCTAGGGTACATGTGCACAATGTGCAGGTTTGATCCGTAGGCATACATGTGCCATGTTAGTTTGCTGCATCCATAATTCATCATTTACATTAGGCATTTCTCCTAATGCTATCCCTCCCCCAGCCCCCCAACCCCCGACAGGCCCTGGTGTGTGATGTTCCCTGCCCTGTGTCCAAGTGATCTCATCGTTCAATTCCCACCTATGAGTGAGAACATGCGGTGTTTGGTTTTCTGTCCTTGTGATAGTTTGCTGAGAATGATGGTTTCCAGCTTCATCCATGTCCCTGCAAAGGACGTGAACTCATCCTTTTTTATGGCCGCATAGTTTTCCATGGTGTATATGTGCCACATTTTATTTATCCAGTCTATCATTGATGGGCATTGGGTTGGTTCCAAGTCTTTGCTATTGTGAATAGTGCCACAATAAACATATGCGTGCATGTGTCTTTATAGTAGCATGATTTATAATCCTTTGGGTATATAATCCCCAGTAATGGGATTGTGGGGTCAAATGGTAATTCTAGTTCTAGATCCTTGAAGAATTGCCACACTGTCTTCCACAGTGGTTGAACTAATTTACACTCCCACCAACAGTGTAAAAGTGTTCCTATTTCTCCACATCCTCTCCGACAAAGTTATTTCCTGACTTTTTAATGATTGCCATTCTAGCTGGCGTGAGATGGTATCTCATTGTGGTTTTGATTTGCATTTCTCTGATGACCAGTGATGATAAGCATTTTTTCATGTGTCTGTTGGCTGCATAGATGTCTTCTTTTGAGAAGTGTCTGTTCATATCCTTTGCTCACTTTTTGATGGGGTTGTTTTTTTTCTTGTAAATTTGTTTGAGTTCTTTGTAGATTCTGGATATTAGCCCTTTGTCAGATGGGTAGATTGCAAAAATTTTCTCCCATTCTGTAGGTTGCCTGTTCACTCTGATAGTAGTTTCTTTTGCTGTGCAGAAGCTCTTTAGTTTAATAAGATCCCATTTGTCTATTTTGGCTTTTGTTGCCATTGCTTTTGGTGTTTTAGTCATGAAGTCCTTGCCCGTGCCTATGTCCTGAATGGTATTGCCTAGGTTTTCGTCTAGGGTTTTTATGGTTTTAGGTCTAACATTTAAGTCTTTAATCCATCTTGAATTAATTTTTGTATAAAGTGTAAGGAAGGTATCCAGTTTCAGCTTTCTACATATGGCTAGCCAGTTTTCCCAGCACCATTTATTAAATAGGAAATCCTTTCCCCATTTCTTGTTTTTGTCAGGTTTGTCAAAGATCGGATGGTTAGATGTGTGGTGTTATTTCTGAGACCTCTTGCTTTTCCATTGGTCTATATATCTGTTTTGCTACCACTACCATGATGTTTTGGTTACTGTAGCCTTGTAGTATAGTTTGAAGTCAGGTAGTGTGATGCCTCCAGCTTTGTTCTTTTTGCTTAGGATTGTCTTGGCAATGCAGGCTCTTTTTTTGTTCCATATGAACGTTAAAGTAGTTTTTTTTCCAATTCTGTGAAGAAAGTTATTTGTAGCTTAATGGGGATGGCATTGAATCTATAAATTACTTTGGACAGTATGGCCATTTTTATGATACTGATTCTTCCTATCCATGAGCATGGAATGTTATTCCATTTGTTTGTGTCCTCTTTTATTTCCTTGAGCAGTGGTTTGTAATTCTCCTTGAAGAGGTCCTTTATATCCCTTGTAAGTTGGATTCCTATGTATTTTATTCTCTTTGTAGCAATTGTGAATGGGAGTTCACTCATGATTTGCCTGTCTGTTTGTCTGTTAATGGTGTATAAGAATGCTTGTGATTTTTGCACATTGATTTTGTATCCTGAGACTTTGCTGAAGTTGCTTATCAGCTTAAGGAGATTTTGGGCTGAGATGATGGGGTTTTCTAAATACACAGTCATGTCATCTGCAAACAGGGACAATTTGACTTCTTCCTTTCCTAATTGAATACCCTTTATTTCTTTCTCTTGCCTGATTGCCCTGGCCAGAACTTCCAACACTATGTTGAATAGGAATGGTGAGAGAGGGCATCCCTGTCTTGTTCATGCCTGGCAATTTTTTACTGGATAATAGGCATTGTGAGTTGTACTTTGTTGGGTGCTAGATATTTTTGATTTCTTATATATATTCTTGAATTTTGCTGTAGAATGCAGTAAAGTTTCTTAGAAACAGTCTGAACCCTTCAGATTGTTCTTTTAAACTTTGTGAGGTAAAACCAGGACTACATTTATTCTAAGGTTGATTTTTTCCCCCTCATTATTGAGGCTAGACCTTTCTGTGTACTCTGCCTTACCTTGTGAATTAAGAGATCTTTCACTCTGGCTGGTGGGAACAGACACTATTGCTGGCCCTGTGTGAGTGTCAAGGGTTATTCTTTCTTTTTCTTTTTTTTCTTTTTTTTTTGAGTTGGAGTCTTGCTTTATCGCCCAGGCTGAAGTGCAATGGCACGATCTCAGCTCACTACAACCTCCACCTCCCAGGTTCAAGGAATTCTCATGCCTCAGCTTCCTGAGTAGCTGGGATTACAAACATGCACCACCAAGCTGGGCTAATTTTTATATTTTTAGTAGAGACGAGTTTTCACTATGTTGGCCAGACTGGTCTTGAACTCCTAACCTCAAGTGATCCACCTGCCTCGGCCTCCCAAAGTACAGGGATTGCAGGTGTGAGCCACTGTGCCTGGCCAAGCATTATTCTTTCTAATCCTTTCAGGAAGTTTTTTCCTCACTCTGAGGAAATTTCCTCACGTACATTCATTGATCTAAATTCAGCTGAGTACTCAAAAGAAACCGGCCCTGTGCAGATCTCTGGAGTCCTCTCTATGCAGCAGTTTCCTTTTTGATACTCTGGCCTGTGAACTCCAGCCACCTTGCCCTCCTGGACTCTTAATTTTGACTCCTCAACTCGGGGAATACCACAGGACTCCACTTGAGTTCCCCCTTCCTGTGCCTTGGCCTGGAAACTTTGTCCAGGAAGTAAGCTGGAGCAATGTAGGGCTCCCTGCATTTGTTTTCCACTTCTCAGGAGTCGCTGTCCTTCATTTCCTGGTATCCAATGTCTTGAGAACAATTGTTTCATATATTTTGTCTATTTTTTTTAGTTGTTTCAGTTGTTTTCAACTGAAACAACCGAATCCAGTTCCTACTACTCTATCTGGGCTAAAAAGAAAAATTCTGCTTGCCCTTTATTTTCAAACTTTAACCCTACTCCTATACTTAAAATCTGAAAAATTTTCGCATTGGTGAAATTTTTAAAGGAAGGCTGTTCATGTTACCCTTTTAGGAGGGAGGCTTTTTAGTCTAATGATCAGCTCTTGAGCCCTCTGTCTGGATTTGATTCTTAGATCCTCCAGGGTTCAAGATTCAAGCCGTGTGATCTTGGAAACGTTAACTAATTTATCTGTGCCTGTATCCACATTTTAAAAGTAGTTAATAATAACAATAATACCTTGCCTATAGAGCTGGTGTAAAGACTAAATGAGTTAATACTTGTAAAGTGCTTGTACAATGCCTGACACATAGCAGGTGATTATTAAAGTTGGCTATTTGCATAAATGAAGAGTGCAAGCATTGTGTAATGAGACAAGCTTGGCTATTGTTGGATACAGATTGGTGGGAGGTCATGAGAAATGAGGTTGGTAAAGGAGGATGAGCACAGTGGAATAAAGTTTGGAGACTGGGCTAATTTTTGTTGAGATTGAATGGACCAATCAGCATGGGAAAAAATGTACAACAGGGCCGGGAGTGGTGGCTCACACTTGTAATCCCAGCACTTTGAGAGGCCAAGGCTGGAGGAATGCTTGAGCCCAGGGGTTCAAGACCAGCCTGAGAACATAATGAGTCCCCATCTCTACAAAAGAAATGAAAAAATTACCCAGGTGTGATGGCACACACCTGTAGTCCAGCTACTCCATAGCCATGATCATACCACTGCACTCCAGACTGGCACAGAAACTCTGTCTCTAAAAAAACAAACCAACCCAGTAAACAAACAAACAAAAAATGAGCAACCTCTTTCATAAGGGGTACATATTCAAATAAGATGTCATTTACCAATCAGTACCAAATTTTCAAAGCATTAGAAAAGTAAAACTATCTAATGTGGGCAAGAAGTGTTCCATGAAATAGAAACTCTCATTGAATAAAGTAGAAACTGATTTTTACTCTTTGGGGGACAATTTGGCAGCATGAATAAAGAGCCTTACAGTGGATGTATCTTTTGCTTCAATAATTCCTCAAGGATGTTTATTGCAGCATCATTACTTATACTAATACAAAATTGGAAAAATTTTTGATAATATAAAATAATTGAATTACAGCCTAACTGTATTCTGGAATATTATCAGGTATGCCAATTTTGTAAAACAAAACCAGGAACACAAACATATTCTTACACCCCCACACACACCCCCCACACATACACATAAGACTGTGGCCGGGCACAGTGGCTCACGCCTGTAGTCCCAGCTACTTGGGAGGCTGAGGCAGGAGAATGGCGTGAACCTGGGAGGCAGAGCTTGCAGTGAACCGAGATCGCACCACTGCACTCCAGCCTGGGCAACCAAGCAAGACTCCGTCTCGGAAAAAAAAAAAAAAAAAAAGATTGTTAGGCAACATGCCAACATAATAACAATATTATTTCTGGGTGATGGAATGACAAGAGATTTATATAGTCTTCTTTACACTTCTCCATTTGTTTTCCTCCAGGTTTTCTGCAATAACCTGTATTAGTCCAATAATAAAAACATCCAATTTTTAAATTATTTTATTTTTTATTTTTATTTATTTATTTTTTTTGTGATGGAGTCTCGCTCTGTTGCCTAGGCTGGAGCATAGTGGCACAATCTTGGCTCACTGCAACCTCTGCCTCCCAGGTTCAAGTGATTCTCCTGCATCAGCCTCCTGAGTAGCTGGGACTACAGGAGGGCGCCACCATGCCTGGCTAATTTTTGTAGTTTTAGTAGAGACGGGTTTTCACTATGTTGGCCAGGCTGGTCTCAAACTCCTGACCTCGTGATCCACCTGCCTCGGCCTCCCAAAGTGCTGGGATTACAGGCGTGAGCCACCGCGCCTGGCCCTAAATTATTTTAATTTTAAGAGAGGACAGCAGGGAGCCAGTAGGATTATCTGGTGGAGATGGGAAAAGGTAAAGACTACTTCATTCCAGCAGCAATACGTAAAGTGGGATGGATAAGGGCCCAGATATTCTGACTACCACTTTTTCATGTACTTGGATGAGTTTCACAGGAGGCTTTTATGGAGTCCTGTCCAAGGACTTGCACCCATAGTGACCTTTCCCACTGTGTTTTCAGAGGAAAGTTGCAAGAAGCCACTATAGCCTGTAGCTCTTTGCTGGCAGGCTGGGCTCCCTGCTTGGTGGTTTTTGAAAAAGCACAACAGCTGCAGGGATAGCCCAGCATGTGTGCCAACCTATTCTGATGCCTCACTAATCCTCGCAGCTGGAGAACACACAGCAGTCAGACTGGAGAGATTAGAGATTCTCAACCAAGATCACAATGATTCCAACAGTGGGAGAGACTGCCTTTTTGAGAAGTGGGTTAGCATTAGGGATAGAAGTGGGAGGCGAGAAGCTGTGCTGCTGGATAGGGTGAAGGGTGAGGTTGAAATTGGAAGTCCTAAAATGAGTATGTGTGGTGGAATAATGAAGATTGAGGAAGAAAAATTAAATGGAGTGGACTCATGTAAAAACGACATTGGATGAAGGGGAAGCTCTAATCAATCTGAGTCAGTCTTGGCTTTTATGGACAGGAGAGGAAGAGATCCTTGGCAGCCCAAGGCTTTCCTAATTCATGTTAACTATAGGCCTACATCATGGTGTCAGTGGTAGGAAACAGAAAGAGGTCTGCCAAGAACTAGGTATCTGAGCAGAGCTGAGTAAATGGTGGATATTGAGGCTTGGGTAAAAAGATGGACAGTGAATAAAGAGAGCTTCCTGTTGCTAAGTAGATACACCAAGCTAGGTAGGCCAGGCTAGCACAGACGACAAGGAGCACATAAATCAGGGTCCATGGGGTTTAGAGGGTGAAGGCCAGCCCATGAGCCCAGGAAACACAGGGACATGGCTGAGGAGTGACTGAAAAGCTGAGCATTGACACATGGGAACCCCAACAGAGTGTGAGCAGCAGATGTAGGGAGTGCCCTGCTAGAAAATGGGGAGCACCCTCCAGGCTGTCATCGTCTAGATGGGAGCTCGTAGATTTTAGAGCTCTAAGATTGCTCAGAGATGACCTAATTTAATCTCGCCTTTTTTTCCAGAAAAGAAAATGGAAGCCCAAAGCCATGACCATAATTCTTCCATCCTCTTTGAGACTCTTTTAGTCTAGCAACATGACCCTCTGCTCCTATTTGTTATATAGAAAATTGACATATAGGGATTTGGTCACATCTAAAATTCTGGCACCTGACTCAGTTCTCCTATATCTTGTGGATCCTGCCATCATCTTGGATGGCTTTCAGGATCAGTGTTAATGGCTGTTCAATGTTCAAGCTTTTTTGTCCTTTGTCTAGTGTTCAATTTCTTTTACTTTTACTCTATGTCATCCACTTACTCTTATGCCGTATCATGGAGTTTGTTATCAACTGATTCTTCAAGCCCAATATCCCTGGCTATGACTTCCTTCCCTATCAACACTTATCTCTCTCTGCATCTGTTCTCTCTCACTAAAATCAACATTCCCTTCACTCCTCCAATTTCTCCAGTCTATCGGTCTATACCTATGATCCATCACTTCTCTTATTAATACCCCCAAACCCATTGTTCCTTTATAAACTTCAACCCCAGAGCAGTACATCTGTCCTCCTTTTCCGACCCTGTATCTGTGTTGGCGAGGACTGCTGGACAGTCAGTTACCCAACCACGGAATTTTATACCAGTACAAATTCATGATCTCTTCCCTCTGCTTGATTCCCTGTGATCCTGTGTGTTTCTGAGAGGTATCAACTCCTCCCCTTTCCCCCATAGCAACTACTATAAACTTTCACCCCTTGCTTCAAGTGTTCCCCTCCACAAGTCTTCTTATTTGTTTTATGAAAATAAAAAAGATGAAGTTATAACTCATATTTAAAGCTCACCCCCACCCCTAAGGTTCTCTGTAAACCTCTCCACCTTACTTTTGTCCTCAAGTCTCAGTGAGAACTTGTGCTATAAATTGTCATTTTGTCTCCTGTATCTTTATCTTCTCCCTTTCTACTGTCTTTTTCCTCTGACATATTTATGCATCTTTTCCATTTACAAAACATGAAACCTACCTAACCTCTGGCGCCTCTTCACAACCAAGCTCCTTGAAAGAATAATCTACATTTTTACCTCCACTGCTCATTTTTCTTCAGCATGTTTCAGTCTGGATTTCTTCCCCACTGTATTTCTGAACTGCCCGGGCAGCAGTCTCCAGTGGCTGCCATTCTGTCAGGTCCAGTGGATATATTTTGGTGACCACTGGACTCTTTTGAGACACTTGACACCATTGATCACAGCCCTTAAACCCTGCCATGGCTTTTGTGACATAACCTTTTATATTGATAAAATGGAGGAATGAATATAATATTTGGGGAGCATGGGAAAAGTGATAATTAGGTTGAGTCTTTAAAAAATAGTTAGGGCTTAATCATTATTTTGGGGAATTTAAGGCATTCTTGGCAGAGGAATCTGCCTGTGCAAAGGCTAGGAAGTCTGGGATAAAAAGAGTGGTAGGGAAGAAAAATATTTGTAGAATTCAAACATATAGTTTAATGGGAAGGCAGTGGAAGAGGAGGTCTACTGAGGTTAGATTATCGAGAGTCTCACAGATGATTTTGAGGAGTTAGGATTGGGTCAGGAAAGGCATCTTCAAGACAGTGAATTCTTTAAAGTCTTTTTTTTTTTTATTTCAATAGCTTTTGGGGTATAAGAAGTTTTGGTTACATGGGTGAATTGTATAGTGATGAAGTTTGAGATTTCAGTGCACCTGTCAGCTGAGTATTATACATTGTACCCATTGTACCCTTTGCTTGTCCCCCACTTCTGAGTCTCCAGTGTCCATGATACCACTCTGAATGCCCTTGTGTACCCATAGCTTAGCTCCCATTTGTAAGTGAGAACATGCAGTATTTGATTTTCCATTTCTGAGTAACTTCATTTTGAATAGTGGCCTTCAGCTCCATACAAGTTACTGTAAAAGACATTATTTTGTTCTTTTTATGGCTGAGTAGTACTCCATGGTGTATATATACCACATAAGGAAGTAAATTCTTATAGTAATGGAGACTAAAGAATTCAGAACAATCTTCCTACTGAGAATAGTCATAAAACTGAATTAAATATTTAGAAAACATAAAAAGCAATTAAGATAGGAATTAATAGGCCAACATCTAGGAGAAGATGAAAATCTAGTGAGACATGCCCTTCACTCAAAGTTGTATTTGCCCTGAGAGCCATTTCCAATCTTCCAAACTAAGCTGTATTTTTGGTGATGACGTGGGGCTAAGGTGACAAAAATAAAAACCCAAGACCTGCCAAAGGTGAGGCTCTGATAAGACACGTCCATTTTAAACCAGAATCTCAAAGGGCTACACCCTTAGGTGTAGATCAAAACAACAAATATGTTCAAATCTATGAATTCCTAATGACAAAAACAACGGCAATAAAGCAAAGTAAATTGGTTACTTGGAGGATGCTAGGGAACCAGTTTAATTTTTTTTTTTTTGAAAACTGGTAAATACAGGAAATAATCATATATGTATTCTGTCTTTCCTATATAAACTGCACTACTGGGTAACTAATAAAAGATGAAGGGGACCAAGAAGCAGCTTCTCCGCTCCTTCTAGGATATCCGCCTGGTTTGGCCCGCCTGCCTCCACTCCTGCCTTCACCATGTCCATCAGGGTGACCCAGAAGTCCTACAAGTTGTCCACCTCTGGTCCCCGGGCCTTCAGCAGCCACTCCTACTCGAGTGGGCCCAGTGCCTGCATCAGCTCCTTGAGCTTCTCCCAAGTGGGCAGCAGCAGCTTTCGGGGTGGCCTGGGTGGCGGTTATGGTGGGGCCAGCGGCATGGGAGGCATCACCGCAGTCATGGTCAACCAGAACCTGCTGAGCCCCCTTGTCCTGGAGGTGGACCCCAACATCCAGGCCGTGTGCACCCAGGAGAAGGAGCCGATCAAGACCCTCAACAACAAGTTTGCCTCCTTCATAGACAAGGTACGGTTCCTGGAGCAGCAGAACAAGATGCCGGAGACCAAGTGGAGCCTCCTGCAGCAGCAGAAGACGGCTCGGAGCAACATGGACAAGTTCGAGAGCTACATCAACAACCTTAGGCAGCAGCTGGAGATTCTGGGCCAGGAGAAGCTGAAGCTGGAGGCGGAGCTTGGCAACATGCAGGGGCTGGTGGAGGACTTCAAGAACAAGTATGAGGATGAGATCAATAAGCGTACAGAGATGGAGAATGAATTTGTGCTCACCAAGAAGGATGTGGATGAAGCTTACATGAACAAGGTAGAGCTGGAGTCTCGCCTGGAAGGGCTTACTGAAGAGATCAGCTTCCTCAGGCAGCTGTATGAAGAGGAGATCCGGGAGCTGCAGTCCCAGATCTCAGACACATCTGTGGTGCTGTCCATGGACAACAGCCACTCCCTGGACATGGACAGCGTCATTGCTGAGGTCAAGGCACAGTACGAGGACCGCCAGCCGCAGCCAGGCTGAGGCTGAGAGCATGTACCAGATCAAGAATGAGGAGCTGCAAGAGCCTGGCTGGGAAGCACGGGGATGACCTGTGGCGCACAAAGACTGAGATCTCCTAGATAAACCGGAACATCAGCCGGCTCCAGGCTGAGATTGAGGGCCCCAAAGGCCAGAGGGCTTCCCTGGAGGCCGCCATTGCAGATGCACAGCAGCGCGGAGAGCTGACTATTAAGTATGCCAACGCCAAGTTGTCCGAGCTGGAGGCCGCCCTGCAGCGGGCCAAGCAGGACATGTTGCGGCAGCTGCGTGAGTACCAGCAGCTGATGAACGTCAAGCTGGTCCTAGACGTCGAGATCGCCACCTACAGGAAGCTACTGGAGGGCGAGGAGAGCCGGCTGGAGTCTGGGATGCAGAACATGAGTATTCACACGAAGACCACCAGCGGCTATGCAGGTGGTCTGAGCTCGGCCTATGGGGGCCTCACAAGCCCCAGCCTCAGCTATGGCCTGGGCTCCAGCTTTGGCTCTGGCGCGGGCTCCAGCTCCTTCAGCCGCACCAGCTCCTCGAGGGCCGTGGTTGTGAAGAAGATCGAGACACGTGATAGGAAGCTGGTGTCCGAGTCCTCCGACTCCTGCCCAAGTGAACAGCTGAGGCAGCCCCTCCCAGCCTGCCCCTTCTGCGCTGCCCCAGAGCCTGGGAGGGAGGCCACTATGCAGGGTAGCACTGGGAACAGGAGACCCACCTGAGGCTCAGCCCTGGCCCTCAGCCCACCTGTGGGGGAGTTTACTACCTGGGGACCCCCCTTGCCCATGCCTCCAGCTACAAAACAATTCAATTGCTTTTTTTTTTTTTTTTGGTCTAAAATAAAACCTCAGCTAGCTCTGTCAAAAAAAAAAAAAAAAAAAAGATGAAGGGGAATTTATCCTTATAGGTGTATTCTATCTAATAAATCAATATATGATGTAATTGGGATATCAATATTATATAACTTCCAGTGAACTAATGGATTGACCATAAATTAGCATAGAGAGACTACTATACACTCTACACAACACTATCTATGAAGTTATCTTACTAAAAGGATACCATTAAACTGTAATCATCAAAATGCAGACTATGGGGTCTCTGTAAGACAATCAGCTTTCTTTAACAAATGAACTGCCAGAAAAAAATTATATTTATATTTTTATATACATGTGTGTATGTATATACATATACATATGTGTGTAAAAATCACACACACACAGAAAGAGAGAGGGAGAGTGAGCAATATGGAGGGTGAACCTATAGATAAAAGGATTAAAAAGATATAATCTGATCATAATGTGTGCACCTTATAAATACTGGTTTAAACAAACACGTTGTTTTTAAAAAGCAAATGACATTTGTGAGACAATTAGAATTTCGTACATGGGATATTTGGTGATTTAAGGAATTACAGTTAATATTTTGTATGATAACAATATTGTGGTTATGTTACAAATAAAGAATTCTTCCTTATCTGTAAAGACACATATTGAAAGAACCACAGAAATTTTTTTAAAAAACGATTAGAGAAAAAGGACAAATTACTTTCTTTTTTTTTTTTTTTTCTTGAGACGGAGTCTCGCCCTGTTGCCCAGGCTGGAGTGCAGTGGCTTCATCTCGGGTCACTGCAACCTCCGCCTCCCGAGTTCAAGTGATTCTCCTGCCTCAGCCTCCTGAGTAGCTGGGACTACAGGTGCCCACCACCATGCCCAGCTAAGTTTTGTATTTTTAGTAGAGATGGAGTTTCACCATATTGGCCAGGCTGGTCTTGATCTCCTGACCTTGTGATCCGCCCACCTCTGCCTCCCAAAGTGTTGGGATTACAGGCGTGAGCCACCGTGCCCGTCTGAAAATATCTATATTAAATAGGATAATGTTATGTGTTGTAACAAGCAAATCCCCAAATATCAGTGCCTTAACCACCATAAATGTATTCCTTAATCACCTAACAGTGCAGAGTGGGTAAACACATAGCATGCACGCAGCCCTTCCCTGCTTATTTATTCAGGTACCAGGGCAGGCAAATACTCTCCATTTTCAGCACACTGCTTCCAAGGTGGCCCTAAGAGTCATCTTTCCAGCCAGACAAAAATGGAAAAACCACAAAAGTGAGGTTTGGCAGTGGAGACCAGGGGATGTGTAATTAAAATATTTAGGGTTCCCAACCAGGCAGGGTGGCTCACACCTGTAATCCCAGCACTTTGGGAGGCTGAGGTGGGAAGATCACTTGAGCCCAGGAGTTCAAGACCAGCCTGGGCAAAAAAGCGAGATCCCCATCTCTATAAAAAATAAAAATAAAAATAAAATTAAAACCTGAAAATATTTAGGATTCTTATACTGTCTGGGAGGGAGCAGTAAAGGTACTTAACATTAGACAACAACATTGGGCAAGTTAAGAATGCAAGTCGTAATTTTGAGGTCAACCCATTATAAGACAGAAACTGTGTATATAATTTCTAAATTAGTAGAGGACAAAAAAAGAAATGAAACAATTTGTTAAAAATTCAAAAGAAGAAAAAAGAAACATAAAAAAACAAGATGGTGGATTGAAACTAATGTATTATCAGAAAGTGATTTCCGAGCTTATGAGCATCTAGGAGTTGTAGGATATACGGAATCATTTCTTTTGCTTGGCCACTGCCTTCGAAGTTGAGTTGCCCTTTTCATCCTGAAGGTCACTCTTACAGCCTAACTTCACTTGTGTGTCCCCCGTCTGAGCCAGCCAAAGGCATTCCTTGGCTAGTCCAATTCCTCTTGGGTTAGAGAAAGAGCCCATTGAAAGGTATAAAGCAGGGGTCACAAATGAGTGGTCTGTAGGCTTGTTTGGTTTGGTCTAAACAGTGTTTTAAATTGGAATTAGGGTCAACATTTGCAAATGGGGAGATTTCATATAAAAATCCCAATAATTGGAAGACTGGTCAACATGGGGTTCATGTTACAGATGACTACAACCTGTTGGATTTTGTAATAACTGCTCCCTTTGGAACATAGCATGTTCTCTGTTTGCCTTAGTCTCTTTCATGTTCCATTGGGTATGATATGCCTGACCCTGTAGGCCTTTGAGTTTGAGACCCTAGAGCAACCTCATATGGATCAAATTTTCCCAGGCTCTCAGACATTTACCCCTAGTTCTCTCTTTCTCACACGAATGGGCATTATGTATTGTGGGTTAGTAATAATAATAGCTGCAGTATTGGGCAGGCATTATATACACATCTCATGTATTAGTTATGATAACACAGTGAGAATAGATTTCAGGTATTAAACCTATTTCACCCATGAGGAAAACAGTCTTGAAGAAGTTAAAGAACTTTCCCATAATCACACACATAGTAAGCGGTGGAACTGAAATTTAAACCCAGGTCTCTCTATGCATTTGGAATAAATTTCAATCTTCTGCCCACAGTCAAAGGGACACTGCATGATCTGGCCCTAGCCTTTCTCTCTAACCTCATTTCATGCCTCTCTTTCTGGGTGTTCCCTGGTTCTGCACAAGATTATCTCCTTGTCATCTTTCATGTCTCTGCTTAAATTCCATCTCCCAGAGAGACCTGTGATCATTCCAAATTCACTCTCCCTTCCTCCTCCTTCTTCTATCCAAGCAGTATGTTGGAGCTGGCTTGTACTGGCTCATATTGGCTAATGAGAGCAATATGGTAAATTTTGTGGAATTTGGCAAACCAATTGAAGTCACATTGGTAGCTTGAAATTGGTCATGGTGGGAGTATTTACACCATGAAAATCAGCAAACATTTCAATTTTGTGTTCTCCCCCAACTCTTTTTGTTTGCTTCATATCACTTATCACAATTTGAGATTATGTGTTTAGTTTTTTTGTTGTTAGATAACAATACCTTCCAGGGGTTTTGTGATAATTACATGGTTTATATCTATAAAGTTCTTACAATATTATCTGACATATAGTAGACACTCAGTAAATGTTAGTTATTATACTTAATTTCATGAATATAGAGTCTATGTGTATTTTGTTCATTGTCCAGTGGTTTGCCAAAGCCAGCTTGTACTGGATCACAAGGGCCGATTGTATACATCTCTTCCCAGTTCTACATTCACTGATATTGACTGTGGTGGGAGTATTTACACCATGGTAATTGGTAAATGCCTTAAATCAGGATTTAAAAATTTCTGTTTTGGGAGATCAGGGTCCAGCATGCCATTATCTAGTAGAGTGACTAGGATTGAGTAGACACCCCATAAATACTTGTTGAATTAATAAATGCATGACATTGGCTGGGTGCGGTGGTTCACGCCTGTAATTCCAGCACTTTGGGAGGCTGAGGCAGGTGGATCATCTGAGGTCAGGAGTTCGAGACCAGCCTACCCAACATGGTGAAACCCTGTCTCTACTAAAAATACAAAAGTTAGCCAGGTGTGGTGGTGGGCGCTTGTAATCCCAGCTACTTGGGAGGTTAAGGCAGGAGAATTGCTTGCAGGAGGCGGAGGTTGCAGTGAGCCGAGATTGCGCCATTGCACTCCAGCCTGGGCGACAAAGCGAGACTCCAACTCAAAAAATAAATAAATAAAAATAAAAATAAATAAATAAATACGTGACATTAAAGTCCATATGTTTAATCATTTCATTAGGGTCTTTTCAGCCATGCCTTGAACTGAGTAGGACTGAATGCAGAATTCCTTAATATAGAAGACCCTTTCTACAGATATCCCTGGGGTGTTAGCACACATTACCTGGCTGCTCTCCAGAAGCAAACCTTAGCATTCGTCCCCTCCAGTTCTGGTTTCTTTGAAACATTTGACAAAGAGGAAGAGAGATGAGAAGTAAGAAGGCCATCATCCTGATGACAGGGTTTGTTTCGAGTTCTCAGAGTCAGCACCCGCTATCTCTGTGTGGAGCCTGCCATTGGGCTGCTATTTGGATTTTGCAGCCTTGAGGTTTCTGTGAGGATGCCAAGGTGGATGAGGAAAGGTCAGCAGACCCAGTGTGCATACTAGACTAATGAGAAAATGATGTGTGGAATTGAAGGGAGATGTTTGAGAATCTGTGGCAGAGCCCCTGGTTGTGTGGGGGTCCCTGAGAAGGTAGGCATGGGGCATGGAAAGGGAGGATAGGAAGTAGGCAGGATCTTGTTGAAGAGGGTGCTATTATAAGGCCCTTTAGGGGAAGGTTCATGTGTGGGACTCTCTGTGTTAGAAGCAGGTGTGAGATCATGTGTCAACATAGCTGTCACTTCCCTTCTTTCAGTCTCCTTTATTCTGTAAAATGATAGTGAAGCTTGATGCTCCCCTGGAGGGTGTGTGTTGGAGAAAGATGCGGATGGAGAAGGGAAGGTATCTTTGTCATTATAATTATTAGTACAGGTATAACACAGTAGCTTCACCACAAAATGTCATTCTTGCTTACACCTTCCAACAACAGTACATGCTTTTACAATATTTACTTTTTTTTTTTTTTTTCAGACAGTGTTGCTTTGTTGCCCAGGCTGGAGTGCAATGGCGTGATCTCGGCTCACTGCAACCTCTGCCTCCCGGGTTGAAGCATTTCTCCCACCTCAGCCTCTCGAATAGCTGGGATTACAGGTACACGCCACCATGCCTGGCTAATTTTTGTATTTTTAGTAGAGATGGGGTTTCAACATGTTGGCCAGGTTGGTCTTGAACTCCTGACCTCAAGTGATCTGCCCATCTTGGCCTCCTAAAGTGCTGAGATTACAGGCGTGAGCCCCCATGCCCTGCCTACAATGTTTACTTGATCTTCCTACTTGATCTTGTGAGGTAATAATGGTGGGCAGGAAATATTTACTTTAAAATTTTTAAATTTTATGTAAGTAATATGGTATTGTAGTTTTAAAATCGTAAGTATAAAATATATGCAGTGAAAAATCTACTTCTCTTCTGTCCTCTATCATCCATTTTCTTCTCCCCAATAGGTAACCTCTATTGTTCTTGTTTATCTTTTCAAACATTTTATTTATTTATGTATTTATTTATGTATGTATGTATTTTTGAGGTGGAGTCTTGCTCTGTCACCTAGGCTGGAGTACAGTGGCATGATCTCAGTTCACTGCAGCCTCTGCCTCCTGGGTTCAAGTGATTCTCCTGCCTCAGCTTCCCAAGTAGCTGAGAGTACAGGCGTGCACCACCACACCTGGCTAATTTTTTAATTTTTTTATTTTTAGTAGAGATGGGGTTTCACTATGTTGGCCGGGCTGGTCTCGAACTTCTGACCTCAAGTGATCCACCCACCTTGGCCTCCCAAAGTGCTGATATTACAGCCGTGAGCCACCGTGCCCGGTCCTTTTCAAGCATTTTAGTACCTAATCAAGTCAACACAAATCTATATATGTATTTTCCCCCTTCTTAAACAAATAGTAAAATCCCACATATACTCTTCTGCTCCCACTTTTTTCTTTTAAGACAAACTTGAGAGGTAATTCCACATCAGTACATAATAAGCTTCTGCTTTCTTTTTGACAGTGCATAGTGTTCCGTTGTATGGATGTACCATTATTTGTTTAATCAGCACACCAAAGGTGGACATTTAGGCGCTTCCGATATTTTTCTTTTGAAATCATGCTGCATCAAATTTCCTTGTGATTTTGCACCTGTACCAGTATATCTGTATCATCTCTGTTTCATAGTTGGGGCAGCTGGGGCTCGAGGTGATGAAATGACATGTCTAAGATCACAGACGGTCATCAAAGCAAGTTCTACAGCCCAGCCACCGTCAGAGTTTCTCTCCAGTACAGCATGGAGCCTGGATTTTAGTTCAGCAGCCCTTGTTGCGTGTTGCCATATGCCAGACCCTATCTAGGCCCTATCTAGAGCTTGATAGGGCCTCGTCCCTGCCCTGGGGCAGCTTACATTCCAGGGTAATTTGCACACGATGCAGTCAGTGCTATGATAAAGCTAGGCACAGAGGAAAGGCAGTTGACCCTGCCTGTGGTGTCAAGATGAGCTTCTGGGCCGGGAAATATTTAGGCCGGGTGTGGTGGCTCACGCTGTAATCCCAGCACTTTGGGAGGCAGAGGTGGGCGGATCATGAGGTCAGGAGATCGAGACCATCCTGGCTAACATGGTGAAACCCCGTCTGTACTAAAAAAAAGTACAAAAACAAAAAAATTAGCTGGGCGTGTTGGCGGGTGCCTGTAGTCCCAGCTACTCAGGAAGCTGAGGCAGGAGGATGGTGTGAACCCGGGAGGCGGAGCTTGCAGTGAGCCGAGATCGCGCCACTGCACTCCAGCCTGGGCGACAGAGCAAGACTCCGTCTAAAAAAAAAAAAAAAAGATGAGCTTCTGAGCAAACTCCTAAAGGATTAGGAGGAGTTAGCCTAAGAAGACGGCAGGCATGGCCTGTCAGTCGGAGGGATGAGCAGACATCCAAAGCACAGAAACACAAGCGATTTGGTACCACCAGGGTGCCAAGCGGGTGTTGGGAAGTGGCTGCAGAAGTGTGTCTGTGAGTGCGTGGGGTCCAGTGATGAGCTCCTGGATTCCATGTTGTAGGGAGCTTGGGCCTGGCTCTTTAGGTCTCATCTGAAGTCCATGGACTTTCTAGGAAAATGTTAACTTTTGTGTCTTACTTTTAATGATAATATAAAAAACAAATGAGATAATCATGGTTTGGATCATCTGGGTGGCACTTTATAACCTGTATTGCCAAATGATTTCAGTGTCTGCATTCGTCTTTGTGTTTGTGATGAGCTGGCACCAAGTAGTGCTGCTTTAATTGTCTCAGCTAATTAGAAAAGAACAGAGGAGGACTTAATATGTAAATGATGCGTTTGAGCCTGGAGGAGGCCAAATGTCCTCCCAGCAGGCTGAATGAACAAAGGGTGAGCAGAAGTTCCAATAGAGAAAAGTGGTGGGAGAAGTGAGTCATTGCACAGCGTGCCAAACTCCAGAGACCCTGAGCTGGAACTCTCCATTCCACGATCGCATTTTGTGCAGCAATTAGTTTCAGCAAACATCATCTGTCACAATACATTAATGTTTTTATTTTAAAATGTATTGGCTTTATAGTTTTGTTTCTATTTAATTGGTAAATTGCCATTGCTTTTATAGTTTTATGTGCCATAAATATATATTTATACCTAGTTTTATGTCTATATCTTTTTAAATGACATTATAGTACATATAAATTATCATCACTAGGGGGATAGAGAGATTTTTTTTTTTCCTTTCAGGGGAGCCATTGAAGAGTTTTAAGTTAAATGATCAATATGGAGTATGGATTGGAAAGGGACAAGATTAGACTATCTGTAGGGCCTAAACTAAGTCAGTGTAGAGTTGTCCAGGAGAAAGCAGATTTCGGAAATGTTTAGAAGGTGAAACTGATCGGATCTGGCAACCTACTGGGTATAGGCGGTGGGGGAAAAGACAGCATGGGCTGACACCCTGGTTCCTGCTTTGGTATAATTGGATGTATTGTGGTGTCATTAACTAAAGCAAGGAACAGAAAGAAAAGGAGAGCGGAAGGCAGCACCAGGTGTTGAGACAAAGAGTTCCATTTTGGACATGCTAAGTTTGAGATGCCTATGGGACATCCAGGCAGCAATGCTCAGTGGGCATTTGGACCCATGACCTTGAAGCTTGAGCCAGAGGTCAGGGCTAGTCATACAGATCTAGGAGCAGTCAGCATTTAGGTGGTGGTTAAGGCACAGAGAGAAGCCCAGATGGAAACTCTCTAGGAAGGATGTGTAAAATACACAGAGCTGTGGACCAGTGTTCTGGAGAACCCCAAAGTCGAGGATACAGAGGAATGCCCAGAAATGAGTTTGAAAAGCAACAGTCTTAGGAAAGAGAGAATTGGGAAGGGATGGATATTGGCAGCTAATGGAACAAAGGGCTGTCCATGATGTCACAACCAGAGGACAAAATAAGATAAGGACAAAAATGTGGTCACTGGATTTAGTACTATGAAAGTCATGGAAAAAAACACGGCACCACTCTCCTTCCTAAGCCCCCAGCACAACCTTGGAATCCTTCTTGACCATGTGCTTCCTAGTTGCGTCCCAGTCAATTAACTGGAGTTGGCACAAGAGCTAACACCTGCTTGACTTTCCTTGTTTGGTACAGGTGGAGGGGTTACATCACTGGGTCAGGAACAACCCATTCTTGAGACTAGAAGTAAGGACTGGCGGAAGGAAAGGAAGCCCTAGTAGGAAGTACAGTAGACTTTGTTTTTTTATTTGTTTTGTTTTGTTTGTTTTTTTGAGACGGAGTTTTGCTCTGTCGCCTACGCTGGAGTGCAATGGCGCTATCTTGGCTCACTGCAACCTCCACCTCCCAGGTTGCAAGCCATTCTCCTGCCTCAGCCTCCCAAGTAGCTGGGATTGCAGGCATCTGCCCCCATGCCCAGCTAATTTTTGTATTTTTTAGTAGAGACGGGGTTTCACCATGTTGTTCAGTGTGGTCTTGAATTCCTGACCTCCGGTGATCCACCTGCCTCAGGCTTCCAAACTGCTGGGATTAGAGGTGTGAGGCACTGCGCCTGGCCAAGGAATTGCAGTAGACTTTGGAGATGAAGGGAGTGGGATGTGGGTGGGGGAAGATTTAGAACAGATGCTGAGAGCTGACCCAGGACTAGCAAAAGGCTTGTGAGGGCCAGATGAGGTTGGAGAGGGAGGGGTTTATGGTAGCAACAAGTCTTGCAGTTGGGAGATTTTCTCCATCAGTTCACAGCAAGTTGATGGTAGGAAAAGTGAGTGTGATTGACACTCAGGGGTTCATACATAGGTTTTACTTTTCCTGATGACCTGGAACAACTCTCCTCAGGGGCCTTTGAACCTGCAACTAAAAAATAAATGGATGGACTGGACGATATCCCTGGCTCCATTGCTAAGTCCTGGCAGTGGTCCATGGTATCTGAGCTGCGTGGGTCTCATGGCATTAGGATGCCCAAAGACCCAGTCTCACCTGTTGCTTGCTTTCTTCTGGCTGAACCCTCCAGGTATTTATGGTGGTGGTCACTCAGTTTTCCCCTGTGGTTGCCCTGCCTGGTCTGAGCCTCCGAAATGTTTGGGATAAAACAATGAAATAATTACGAACAGTCAGTAATTAGCTACAGCATTACAATTTCAAATGAAATTACAGCTTTCAGCCCAAGTAGCCAGAGGGGAGTTCTATAAAAGTCATTTATTTTTTCAATGCTAAATGAAGTAATTGATGGCTAGCCTGGTGATTGGAATATTTTCTTTCCCCTTTTCCTCAAAATCTTCTGAAGAACTCTGTCCCCTTTTTGCTTCCTCTTTCTTCACCCATCCCTATTTCCTCCCTCCATCCTCACCTGGCAGTCATATTAATTTAAAATATCTTTTCTTTTTCTTTTTTTTTTTTTGAGACGGAGTCTTTCTCTGTCACCCAGGCTGGAGTGCAGTGGCGCAATCTCGGCTCACTGCAAGCTCTGCCTCCCGGGTTCACGCCATTCTCCTGCCTCAGCCTCCCAAGTAGCTGGGACTACAGGCGCCTGCCACCACGCCCGGCTAATTTTTTGTATTTTTAGTAGAGGTGGGGTTTCACCGTGTTAGCCAGGATGGTCTCAATCTCCTGACCTCGTGATCCACCCGCCTCGGCCTCCCAAAGTGCTGGGATTACAGGCGTGAGCCACCGCGCCCGGCCAAAATATCTTTTCAATATTGTGTTAGTGAGGTGGTCCTTGTTCCTAATTTTAAAACAGGAGAGGCCAAATTATAAGTAGCAAATGAGCAGAAAAACGTTCGGTTGCCCTCACCAGCTATTTGAAGACATACCAAAGAGGACAGTGATGACATAACCGTACTCTTATTGGTAAAAGTGGCCAGAGGGTAGAGAAAGGCCACAGCTGCTGAGGTTCCAAGAGGACTTGTCTTTTGCTGTTGGCATCAGAGGCCGGCACTTGAGCACAGACTGTGGAGCCAGACTGCTTAGGTCTGAACCCTGGCTCTGCTGCTTGCCAGGAATGTGGCCTTGAGCAAGTTATTTTACCTGTTTAGACCTTAATGTCCTCATCTGTAAAATGAGATTAAAGGCCGAGTGTGGTGGCTCTTATCTGTAATCCCAACACTTTGGGAGGCTGGGGCAGGAGGGTCTCTTGAGGCCAGGAATTTGAGACCAGCCTGGGCAACATACTGAGATCCCATTCCTACCAAAAAAAAAACTAAAAAAAAAAAAAAGGGATTAAAATAGTGCAAAGCTGTTATGAGTATTGATTGAGCTAATGTATGCAAAGCACTTAGGACAGCATGGCTTATAGCAAATGGTGTATAAATGTAACTTTTATTTTTTGAAACAAGGTCTTGCTCTGTCACCCAGGCTGGAGTGCAGTGGCATGATCATGGCTCACTGCAGGATCTGGGAGTACAGACATACACCACCACCCCTGGCTAATTTTTTATTTTATTTTATTTTATTTTATTTTTTTGTAGAAATGGGGTATTACTATGTTACCCAGGCTAGTCTTGAACTACTGGGCTCAAGTGATCCTCCCACCTTGGCCTCCCAAAGTGTTGCTATTATAGGCATGAGTCACTGTGCCCGGCCTAAATGTGATTTCTTAAAACTGTGGTAATCTTTTGGAGGATAGTTGGGCAATATGTATCCAAAGCCATTACAATGTCGTAATTTTTTTTTTTTTTTTGTGATGGGGTCACGTTCTGTCACTCAGGCTGGAGCGCAGTGGTGCAGTCATGGCTTATTGCAGCTTCAATTCCCAGGCTCAAGCGATCCTCCCACTTCAGCCTCCAGAGTAGCTGGGAAAATGTCATAATTTTTGACCCAGTAATTTCACTCCTGAGAATTTATCTTAAGGAATTAATATAAGGAAAGAAAAAAAAAGATTATAACCACAGACAAAAGTTTCAAAGCCATTTTTATCTGTAAAGCAAATAACAAGAAACAACCTAAAAGATCACCAAAAGGGTAGTGGCTAAATATATGTGAATCAACATGACAGGATATTTGCTATGGTTAAGATGATCAACATTAGCTGCAAATAACTGGTGAAGTGTTTATTAAATAATTAGATGGAAAAAAGTGACCACAGAATTGTATATGTGTTATGATAACTTTATAAGCACATATCACCTGGCTTTCTCCATTGGGGAATTACAGATGGCTTCTTAAGATTTATTTTTAGGCATTTTAAAGTACGTTGATTTCAGGGCCAGACGTGGTGGCTCACATCTGTAATCCCAGCACTTTGGGAGGCGGGAGGTGGGCAGATCACTTGAGGTTAGGAGTTTGAGACCAGCCTGGCCAACATGGTGAAACCCCATCTCTACTAAAAATACAAAGAAAAAAAAATTAGCCAGGCGTAGTGGTGGGCTCCTGTAATCCCAGCTACCTGAGAGGCTGAGGCATGGGAATCGCTTGAACCTGGGAGGCGGAGGTTGCAGTGAGCCAAGATTGCGCCACTCCAGCCTGGGTGACAGAGTGAGATTCCATCTCAGTAAAAAAAAAAAAAAAAAGGTTGATTTCTAAACAACTCCTGCAGAGCTGCCCCTCCTGGCTGCTCCCCTACTCCTCCCCACCCCCATCCACCTGCAAGCTCGATTGCTTTCTGTGCAACGTACTGACTTCTGTCAGGCTACCTGTGTGACACAGCACAGATGAAAGTGTCTTAAGGCAGGTACTCTGCTTCTCAGCACCTGGCAGTGCAGTGTTTGGCACACAGTAGGCATTTAATCAATGTTTGTTGAACTGTATATACAGTCATGTGCCGCATAACAGCGTGGTCCCATAAGATTATAATGGAGCTGAAAAATTCCTATCACCTAATGACATTGTAGCTGTTGTAATGTTATAGTGCACCACATTTTTCATGTGTTTGTGGTGATGCTGGTGTAAACAAACCTATGGCACTGCCAGTCATATAAAAGTATAGCACATACAATTGTGTGCAGTACCTAATACTTGATAATGATAATAAATGGCTATGTTATTGGCTTATGTATTTACTGTACTACACGTTTAAATCATTATTTCAGTGTTCTCGTTCCACTTATTCAAAAAAATTAACTGTAAAACAGCCTCAGGCAAGTCCTTCCGGAGGTTTTCCAGAAGGTGTTGTTCTCATAGCAGATGAACAGCCCCTTGCATGTTATTGCCCCTGAAGACTTTCCCGTGGGACAAGATGTGGAGGTGGGAGACAGTGACACTGACGATCCTGACCCTGTGTGTAGGCCTGCACTTGTGTGTGTCTGTGTCTTTGTTTGTTTGGTTGGTTTGGTTTTTGAGACAGAGTCTCACTCTGTCACACAGGCTAGAGTGTAGTAGCGATCACAACTTACTGAAGCCTTGACTCCCAGGCCCAAGCTATTCTCCAACCTCAGCCTTCTGAGTAGCTGGGACCACAGGCATATGCCACCAGGCCCAGCTAATTTTTTTTTTAAATTTTTTATAGAGAAGAGGTCTCCCTGTGTTGCCCATGCTGGTTTGGAAGTCGTGGGCTCAAGTGATCCTCCCACCTTGGCCTCCCAAGGTGCTGGGATTATAGGCATGAGCTACCACTCAGGCCACATGCTTGTGTCTTTTTTTTTTTTTTTTTTTGAGATGGAGTCTCTCTCTGTCGCCCAGGCTGGAGTGCGGTGGCACTATCTCCGCTCACTGCAAGCTCCGCCTCCCAGGTTCATGCCATTCTCCTGCCTCAGCCTCCCGAGTAGCTGGGACTACAGGCTCTCACCACCACGCCTGGCTAATTTTTTTGTATTTTTTAGGAGAGATGGGTTTCACCATGTTAGCCAGGATAGTCTCGATCTCCTGACCTTGTGATCCGCCTGCCTTGGCCTCCCAAAGTGCTGGGATTATAGGTGTGAGCCACTGCGCCCAGCCCATGTGCTTGTGTCTTAATGTGTGCGCTTGTGTCTTAGCTTTTAACAAAAAAGTTTAAAAAGTAATAAATTTAAAAATGTTGTTAAATACAAAAAAGCTTATAGAATAGAGATAATATCCTTACATATAAGGATATAAAGAAAAAATATTTTGGTACATCTGTGCAGTGTATTTGTGTCTTAAACTAAGTGTTACCACAAAAGAGTCTAAAGGTTAAAAAAAAAATTAAAGCTTTTAAAGTAAAAAAGTTTGGGAGGCCAAGGTAGGCAGATCACCTGAGGTCAGGAGTTTAAGAACAGCCTGGTCAACATGGCAAAACACTGTCTCTACTAAAAATACAAAAAATTAGCCAGGCATGGTGGCATGCTCCTGTAATCCCAGCTACTTGGGAGGCACGGGAATGGCTTGAACCGGGGAGGCGGAGGTTGCAGTGAGCCGAGATCGTGCCACTACACTCCAGTCTGGGCCACAGAGCAAGACTCTGTCTCCAAAAAAAAAAAATAAAAATAAAAATAATAGATGAATAAAATAAATAAAATAAAATAAAAAGTAAAAAGGTTACAGTAAGCTAAGGTTAGTTTATTATTGCAGAAAAAAATCTTTTAAATCAATTGAGTGTAGCCTAAGTGTATAGTGTTTATACAGTGTACAGTAATATCTTCAGGCTTCATATTCATTCAACACTCACTCACCGACCTATCCAGAGCAACTGCCAGTCCTCCAAGCTCCATTCATGGCAAAATGTGCTCTACAGGTGTACCATTTTCTACCTCTTGTGCTGTATTTTTACTGTATCTTTTCTGTGTTTAGATACACAAGTACTTATCATTGTATTACAACTGCCTATGGTATTTAGTAACATGCTGTAAGGTTTGTAGCCTAGGAGCAATAGGCCATGTGCAGCCTAGGTGTGTGGAAGCCTGTACCATCTAGGTTTGGGTAAATATACCCTATGATGTTTGTTCAAAGATTGCCTAACAATGCATTTTTTCAGAATGTATCCCTGTCATTAAGCAATGCATGACTGTTTATTTTTATATATTTAATTGGGAAGACATCCATGAAATATTGTGTTATGGAGCAGCATGTATAGTATTATCCATGTCTATTTGGGCACAATCAGGATTGCCTCAGGCAGGTCATTCACGAGGTATTCCAGAAGAAGGCGTTGTTATAGCAGATGACAGCTCCATGCATGTTATGGCCCCTGAAGACTTTCCCGTGGGACAAGATGTGGAGCACTGAAATCTTATGTATAAAATATTTATATGGTGCTTGAATTTTTTTCTTCCCCCTGGGTCAGGGTCTTCATTAGGGAATGAAAGGGGGAGGACGGGGATTGTCCTCACTCTCACCAACAACTCAGGACAGCAAATACTTTGCTTTTGTTTTTGTTTTTAAATCTCCAAGGCGGGCCGGGCACGGTGGCTCACGCCTGTAATCTCAGCACTTTGGGAGGCCAAGGTGGGCAGATCCCCTGAGGTCAGGAGTTTGAGACAAATTTTGTATTTGTAAAAATACAAAAATTAGCCTGGCATGGTGGCCCACGCCTGTAATCCTAGCTACTTGGGAGGTTGAGGTGGTAGAATCACTTGAACGCAGGAGATGGAGGTTGCAGTGAGCCGAGATCATGCCACTGCAGTCCAACTTGCGAGACAAAGTGAGATCGTGTCTCAAAATAAACAAACGAATAAATAAATAATCACTCAGGAATAAATTTTAAAACTTTTCTCTTCACATATATACTCATTTCTAAGGGATTTTCAATTCTGTAATTGAGTGGTCATGGTGAAATGGAAAGAACATTAAGTGATAATTAGGAAATGTATGTTCTACATTTGATTCTTCTCTTGTTTGGTTTTGAACAAGTACCTTCTTCTCTCTGGGCCTGTGAAGTTACGGGACTTGAACTTGATGCTCTCAAAGGTCCCTTCTGATTCCTAACAGTGCAGCCCGGGAGCCTGACTCCCTGAAACTCCCGAGGCCCAGGTGTGTATCTGCACGTGCCTTTGGTACGGTGGAGCCGAGTGCCCAGGAGCAGGGCTGGCAGGTGAGCTGACTCTGCTGTGTCTCGGCCCGGTGTCCACTGTCCTGGAAGAAGACTGAGCATCCACAGCATTCTATCCCCAGATGAGGCTGACAGTCACAGTCACAGATGGCCAGAGGATGTGCTGTCACCTGGTTGCACCAGAAACAAACAGGCTGCAGAGTGTGTTGCTACGTTAGACCTATACGCCTTTGGTGGATAGTCCATGATTTGCTAAGGGGGTTTGAAATGGGAAGGTTCTCACAAAATGCTTTTATTCTGCAACTCTCTTCCTCCTCTCAGAGGATTCCAAGGTGGGCATCACCCCTTCACCTCAGAGTCGGCTGTGGGCTCTGCACCCAGCCTAGGCCGGGGCTCTGAGCTCCTCTCGACCGCCGGTACTGACTCTGGCCACCAGAGGGCACTCTTGCCTTGTGGAGACCAACAGTCTTCTGAGTCCGAGGAACCTGGTTCCCATCTTTGCCAGAACATCTGGATTTGCTGAAGCCTTTCTCTACTTAAGTGGTTCTCCACTGGGAGCAGTTTCTCCCCTCTCCCCAGGAGACATTTACCAATGTCTGGAGACAGTCTGGTTGTCCTAACCGGGTGGGGGAGGGTGCTCCTGGAATCTACTGAGTAGGGGCCCCAGATGCTGCTAAACGCCCAGGAATGCACAGGACAGCCGCCCACAACAAAGAATTATGCAGCCGAAAATATCAACAGTGCCAAGGTTGAAAAAGTCTGCTCCACTCGAATCTATTGCCTAGACGCAGAGTGCACCATCTGGAAATGTAAGTCCTCCGGGGCTGAGCTTTTAGTCTCCCAGTTTCACCTACTCCAAAGAGAAATTTTAGAAGAGTGACCTCGAGGCATTTCCCATTGCCTGAGACGTGAGGGTCACAGATACCACAAAGCACTGAAGAGGCAGTGGGGTCTGGCAGAGGGGCATGTGAAGATCCCCATGAAGGAGAACAATTCTGTCCCAGGAGCTGGTCTCTCTGAACAGGGCCCAAACCCCATGACAAAACCATCCAGTTCCTTATGCTGGAGCAGACAACACTAGCTCTTTGTCTCCCAAAACTGGGCAGGGTGATGGGAAAGCCCCTGGGAGCTCGTCCTTCCTGCAGGGCCAGGGATGGGCCTGTGGCTTTGGGGGCAAGTGAGAAGCAGTTTTCATTGTAGCGCTGGGAACTCTCAGGAGAGAAACTCTGTGGTCCCCACTTTCTTGGCATCTGACATGAAGGAGGGAGACTGAGATGAAGAACTCTCATAGATCCTTTCTCCTGGCCTAGATCCAGCTTGGAAACCCAGGACCTGTGTGCTGTGTCCATCACCACCTTCCTGAGGAGCGAGGGCCCATCCTGCCCCACTCTGGGTCTCTCCTTTCCCAGTTCCATGTGTGGCCCTGTGGCCATGCATATGCCACTAAGAAGGGCTGAGAGGCTGCAGAAGCACGTGCTCAGGGCGTCCTTGAGAAGGATGCACCAACTCCTGGGGCTGAGGAACAGGGACAAACATTGAGTAAAGGGGCCCTCTGTGCCACACGAGTCCATGCTCCATGTCATAGAAAGGGAGTGGGGACAAATCCTAGGCTTGTAATTGGCAGCCTAGAGACAGTAGGGTGATGGGATCAACAGTCATGGCTCCTGGGGCACCCCTCTCTGTTGGCATGTCCTTGTTTGGGCAAAAGACCCTCTCTGTCACATGTCCCCTACTTTCCAGGCACCTGATGCCTCACTGCTGCTCTGCTTGGCATTCTTAGGGCCTGGGGTGTAGAGGAAAAGGGGCCCCTGACAGCATCCTCCTCCTCCTCCTCACCCAACCCTTCTGCTCCAAGGTGGTCCACAGGGATCTGAGGGCCGTTCTTTAAGGACCCCTGCTGTAGTCTGAAGTTCCTCCCTTGAGGCGGGTTTCCCACTGTGCCCAGGAAGCTCCTCATGCCCTGGCTTCCTTCCAGCCTTTCTGTCTGAGAGGAGATGCTGGCAGGAGGGAAGAGACTGGCTGGTGGGATGTGTAGCTCCACTCCAGGCCTCAGGTCCTCCTCCAAACTCCTGTTCGGGCCTTTTCCCATCACACCAGTCCAGAACGCAGGAGGAGCACAGTGGGAGGATGGGGGTCCACTGCAGGGGGGGGTGGTCAGCCAGAGGACAGTTTGCAAGGGCATTTTATTCATGGTCACAGTGGAGTATTACAGAGCAGAGAAGGCCAGTGTCTCCCCACCCCACTTGCCTGGGTCCTGGGGAAATGGAGAGAGGAGGAAGTGCCTGCATGGGACAGGGGTTTCCAGGGTCTCAGAAATCAGAGGGATGGGAGAGAAGTTGCATGGAGGGGTGAGAAAGGGACTGGAGACCTTAGCCTGGAATGGGGAGATGGGCCCCAGACAAGACTCAGGGAACACAACCACCCCTGTCCTCTCCCCAGGCTAGACCCTTAATTTTCCCCCTTATGTGGGCAGGATGGAAATTATAGAAACTTTATTCTCGTCTCCCTGAAGAAAAGTTGAGATTAGGAATGTCCCCTTAGTCTGCTTAGCAATATGGTGAAAGAGGAGGGGCACCCTGTCTTGGTTTTTCCCATTTCCACATTCACACCTTCCCTGCAATGCTCCCCACCTTGGGTCCAACTCCACCCCTTCAAATCCTGCAATTTCAGCCCATGTCCAGCCAGGGGAAGGGGCTAACCCAGAGGCGGTGGGCAAGAGGAGAGATGGACTTTGGAGGACTCCTCCCCAACTTCCCACCTTCCTCTCTAGTTAAGGAGGATCCAAGGGCCACACTGCTTTGAGGTTCTCCAGATTGGGGGAAGTAAGGCTTTCCTCCCCAGTTTTGAGTCTGCGGGTCTCTGGGCAGAAGACCTCCCTGGGATCCAGGCCTCCCTTTGCCTCCATCATGGGAGCAGGCTTTACTTCCAGCCCCTCGGGCCTGAGGGACAAGAGCCAAAGCCTCTCACCCGCACCCTGTCCCAGCCCTGCCAAGAGAGGAAGCCCTGGAAAATGCCAGGCCCCTGGGAGGCTCCTAGGTCCTGGGAGCAGGATGTCTGGCTTAAAAGCCCCTGGGAGCTGCTGCTCTGACGGGAGAGGAGGCAAGAAGGGCCCCGAGAGACAGGTCCAGTTGGAGGGCAGAGGGGGCGGGAGGGGAGGAGTGAAGGAGGCAACACCAGGCAGCTCGCCTTGGACGCTCCCCAAATGGCAGCAAAGGCCCAGCCGGCAGGGGCCTGGGGCAGAGCCAAGTCCTAGAGAAAGAAAGAGAGAAAGGGTCAAGGGAGCCCAACCTCTCGCAGATGCTCCTTGCTCCTCCCATTTCCCAGCCCTTCTTGTTTCTTGCTTGGAAGTCTCTTCCTCGCCCCACTGCCCTTCCTTTTCTTTCTGTCTTATTTTTTTGAGAGAGAGTCTCTCTCTGTCACCCAGGCTGCAGTGTAGGCTTGAACCCCACCTGGGTTCAAACGATCCTCCCACCTCAGCTTGCTGAGTAGCTGGGACTACAGGTGCGTGTGCCACCATGCCTGGCTAATTTTTGTGTTTTTTGTATAGATTGAGTCTCGCCATGTTGCCAGGCTTGCCCTTCCTTTTATGCTTTTCTTTTCTTTTTTCTTTTTTTTCTTTTCTTTTTTTTTTTAAACAGAGTCTTGCTCTGTAGCCCAGGCTGGAGTGCAGTGGCGTGATCTTGGCTCACTGCAATCTCCGCCTCCCGGGTTTAAGCAATTTTCCTGTCTCAGCCTCTCGAGTAGCTGAGACTACATGTGCATGCCACCACATCCGGCTAATTTTTGTATTTTTTTGTAGAGACAGGGTTTCACCATATTGGTCAGGCTGGTCTCGAACTCCTGACCTCAGGTGATCCACCTGCCTTGGCGTCCCAAAGTGCTGGGATTACAAGCATGAGCCACCGCGCACAGCTCCTTTTCTGCTTTTCTTTAGGCCTCATCATAAATATCACTCTTTGGAGAAGACTTCTGAGACTCCTAGCCTAGGCGAGAGTGCCTGCTGCCTGCTCTCATCCCTCCATGAACCTCTCCTCCAAGGGCACTCGGCTGAGTTAGGGTCATGTAGTCATTTGTGTGCTTTTTATTTAATGTCTGTGAGCCCAACTCTTTGGGGGCAGGGGCTGTAGTTGTTTTATTTTCCCTCGAATCTACCCAGTCTGGACATAATCAGTGCTCAAGAAAAATGTGTCCAGTGAATAAGGGAAGGATATTCTCTGCTATATCTCAATGGATCCATTCTTCACTCCCTGCCCCTGCAGCAAGGGCCTCCAGTCTAGCCGGGCAAAGAACTGGTTGTGTGGCCTTGGCCTTGTCATTTAAATTTGCAGTCCTCTGTTTCTTCATCCATAAAATCCCCTCTCCTAGCTTGGATTAAGCTGTGTCATGGGTAAGAAGAGGCCCTGCAGAGTGCATGACGGGAGGCCCAGGGCAGGTATGGGGAGCCCCAGCCTCCTTCTTCTCTGTCTCACTCTGGTCCATAACTTTCCACCTCCAAAAAGGCTTCCTTCTTCCTGCTCCTTCTAATCCTGCCTCTTTCCCTCTCCAACCCTGCCAGGGCCCTACAATAGGGCCTCCCAGCTGGGGGCCTTGGAGATGACTATATAGAACTTCACATCACTTTCTGTATTTCGAAAAGCCTAACTGCAATTCCACATTTTTCTTAGCAAGACCACATCATTTAACTAAAAGAACAAGCATCAACCCAACTTAGTCACATTGGTTGGGCTGTAGTGAATAAAAACTGGAAAAACAGGCCAGGTGTGGTGGCTCACGCTTGTAATCCCAGCACTTTGGGAGGCCGAGGCGAGCGGATCACCTAAGATCAGGAGTTCGAGACCAGCCTGACCAATGTGATGAAACCCCGTCTCTACTAAAAATACAAAAATTAGCCGGGCGTGGTGGCACGCACCTGTAATCCCAGCTACTTGAGAGGCTGAGACAGGAGAACTGCTTGAACCCGGGAGGCGGAGGTTGCAGTGAGCCAAGATCACACCATTGCACTCCAGCCTGGGCAACAAAAGTGAAACTCTGTCTCAAAAAAAAAAAAAAAAAAAAACCTGGAAAAACAAATTAGTTATTACTTAATATGTCCAGTGTATTTGATAAGAAGAATATTTCTGAAGTCAGATCTATGTAGGGAGAAAACAGTGACAGTGATCCTCTAAAGAACAAGTGTGGAGGCCCCTATCAGAACACCCTCTCTCTGGGTCATTGTCCTTTTCCTTGGGTCCTTAGATGAGGTGGAGACTGCTGTTGCACGGGAAGGCTGTGTCCCTCGGGGCTCCTGAGGGCATGTGGAAGAGATATTTTTATTTCTAAGAGTCCTCCTCTCATTCTCCAACAGGTTCCCAACCTTTCCCAGCACTGGCCCTGCAGCTCCCTGCCTCCGGCTCAATAGACCTGGCACTCCCGGAAGCAGCTTCCTTTCTTGGCACCAAATGCTCTGAGTGAGGGGTGGAGGTGAGGGGCTGGCACAGGCTTCTGGAATCTCAATCTAGAAGTGGGGCATGTGGCTGCTTCCAATCTTCTGGTGACCTATACCTGCTTAGCATCCCTTAGGGCCAAAGCATAGGCAGGGCATGTGTGTTTGCCTGCAGAGGGGAGGGAGGTGCAAAATAGCCCACTCCAAGTGGGGCTTGGGAGGGAACACTTTTTTCTTTCTTTCTTTCTTTCTTTTTTTTTTTCTACCACTATCCACCTGGAGAGGGAACACTTTTTTCTTTCCCTTATAGTTTCCTAAAGAGAGAAGCTCTCTGCCCAAGGCATTCCCAGAGCTGGGACGGGGTGGGTGGGGGTGGAGAAACAGGGAGGACTGTTCAGGTGCTATTTAGCTCCAGGCTGCCAGACCAGGCCCAGCGAGTCCCAGCAGGCCCTGGAGCACCCCACACCCATGGCCTCAGCTGCACTCCCAGGGGTGCAGAGCTTGGGCCCCCAGCAGCTCAGGGGTGGGGTGAAGGCCATGGATCCTTCTTCCATGAAATTGGCTGGAGTAGAGGGGCAATTCTTTGACCTCTGCACAAGAGCCTTGGTTTGGCCAAGTGTCTCTGTGATCTTTTTCACAGAAAATCTGATACTGTCAGTTCCCAGCTCACAGCCTCTGTAAGAGCTGATGTCTGCCTCCATTTCCACCTCTTCTCCCACTCATTGGCCATGTGTTTCTGCACTGGCCTTCTCCCAGTCTCTCTGTTCCAGGGCCATTGCATGCACTATTCTCTCGCTCGCCCTCTGTTCCAGGGCCATTGCACACACTATTCTCTCGCTCGCCATGCTCTCCCTACTCCCTCTGAGCTAAGCTGACACTCACGTATACTTTGGGTGTCATCTCAAGTGTCACTTTGTCAAGGAAGTCTTCCCTGATGCCCTCGGCACCCTGCACTTCTCCTCTGCAGCAGTTAGCACAGTTATAATCACTTATCGATCATTAGTTGAATATCTGCACCCCCCTTGCCTATAAGTCCCATAAAGGCAGTGTTGCTCACATTGGCTTCCTAGCCCCTAGGACAGTGCCTGGCAAATTAAACAGGAGGTCATTAAGCATCTGTTGAAAGAAGAAATGAATGAGTGAGTGAATGAGTGAATGAACCCTATCTTCCCAATCTCTCTCCAGCTGAGCCTCCTTCTTCATCCCATGGCCGTTGTCTTGGTTACCGCCCCATCATCTCCTGCCTAGATTATCTTCAAAAGCCTCCCAACTCCAGTCTTATGCTTCCTCCAACCCAAACTCTACACACACACAGTCATCTTTATAAAATGAAAGTCTGGCAGGGCGCGGTGGCTCACGCCTGTAATCCCAGCACTTTGGAAGGCCGAGGCAGGCGGATCACCTGAGGTCAGGAGTTCAAGACCAGCCTGACCAACATGGAGAAACCTGGTCTCTACTAAAAATACAAAATTAGCCAAGGTGGTGGCGCATGCCTGTAATCCCAGTTACTTGGGAGGCTGAGGCATGAGAATCGCTTGAACCCAGGAGACGGAGGTTGCAGTGAGCCGAGATTGTGCCATTGCACTCCAGCCTGGGCAGCAAGAGCAAAACGCCATCTCAAAAAATAATAAAAGAAAGTAAAATAAAATGAAAGTCTGACCATGGATCTCCCTCCCAGTCCCTCCTGCCCACAGGAGAAAGTCCTGCTCCCTTAGCATGGCTTGTGCGGCCTCTGTGGCCTGACACCTGTTTGCCTTGCCAGCCCTGTCTCTCATCCGTCCTGCTTGTTCCCACCGCATCGCAAGACTTGCTCTCCAACAGCAAACTACCAGCTGTTCTCCAGATTTGCTACACTTGTTCACAGCTTTTTGCTTTATAAATGCTATTTCTGACTGGGTGTGGTGTCTCACACCTGTAATCCCAGCAGTTTGGGAGGCTGAGGCGGGTGGATCACCTGAGGTCAGGAGTTTGAGACCAGCCTGGCCAACATGGTGAAACCCCGTCTTTACTAAAAATACAAAAATTAGCTGGGCGTGGTGGTGCATGTCTGTAGTCCCAGCTACTCAGGAGGCTGAGGCATGAGAATCACTTGAACCTGGGAGGCAGAGGCTGCAGTGAGCTGAGATCCTGCCACTGTGTTCCAGCCTGGGCAACACTGAGACTCCGTCTCAAAAAAAAAAAAAAAAAAAAGAATAAATAAATGCTATTCCCTCTGCTTAGGCATCTTTTCCCACCTCCTTCACCTGCCCCAGTGTTGTGTCCTCTGGGAAGCCCCAGTTCCTTCTCTGGGCCTGAATGCACAGCACCTAGTGCTTACCTGAATGCCAGCAGCAGTCGCTGGCAGTAATCCCATCTCTGCTCCCCACTAGGTTCTGAGCCTCTTGAGCCTTTCATCTCTGAACCCCCGCACTTAGTAAATAGCTGGTGTTCAATAAATGTTGGTCGAATGAATGAATGAGTTACATAGTATCCCTTGTCTCATGCCCCCTCAGCCATGTACTCAGCCAGGAGGGCCCTCCCTCCTCTGGCTAAGATCCCCCTGGGCCCTCCCAGCCTTGAGCACTCACGGTAGACGCTGCTGCTGCTCCCCTTCTTATCCCCAGAGGTCTCTGGTGGCCCTCGGGGGGTCTGCTGTCCTGTCAGCTGCTCCACCATGGCCTGATGGGCAAATAGCATGCTGTGCAGGAGCTGAGGGGTGAGAAGTAGGTGCGAGGTGTGATGGGCTCTCCTTGGCATGTATCCTCCAGTACAATCTGGTACTGTTAGCCAGTTGCTAAAACAATGAAATACTCTCATACCGATTTTTTTTTTTTTGAGTTGGAGTCTTGCTCTGTCACCCAGGCTGGAGTGCAGTGGCGCCATCCTGGCTCACTGCAACCTCTGCCTCCTGGGTTCAAGCGATTCTCCTGCCTCAGCCTCCCTAGTAGCTGGGATTACAGACATGTGCCACCATGCCCAGCTACTTTTATATTTTTATTGGAGATGGGGTTTTGCCACGTTGTCCAGGCTGGTCTCGAACTCCTGACCTCAAATGATCCGTCCACCTCGTCCTCCCAAAGTGCTGGGATTACAGGTGTGAGCCACCACGCCTGGCCTCTCATACCCATTGTTAAAAGCCCACTGCCACGGCTGCCTACAGTCTCAGATGCCCTGGGCCCTTCCCTCTGATCCACCCCTAAAGGAGTGGCGACTAGGACAGAAGGAGCCACCCTTTCTCACAGGTGGGTCCTGTACCACCTGGATTGTTAATACCCCTGCCTCTGGGGCACTCAGGGTCTAGGATGCAGGAGGAGAAGAAAACTGGAGGCTGATGGGCCCCAGAGGCAAAGAGGAGGGTGGGGAGCCTCCTGGGCAGAGGGGTAGGACCTGGTGGAGCCCTGAGACAGGGGCCACCTCCGCTCTTACCTCACTCTGCACACCCACGGGCACCAGCGCTGGCCGACACAGGGCAGGGGCCCCCAGCAGCAAGTGGGGGGATGGCGGCGCCCGCACTTCCCACAAAGGATAGTTGACTACGATGAGCTTGCTGAAGTTGAACTTGTATGTGAACCTTTTGCCTTTGGTCTTATGCAGGATCCTCTTATTGTAGTAATATCTGGAGAATTCGAAGTTGAGAATAGAGTTGGCCCAGCAGTCAGAGAATAGAGTCAGGGACCCAGTCACATTCTCCTCCCTAGCCGGGCTGACCCTAAGCTGTTCCCCGAGAACCACTAGGCTGCTCACCACAGGCCAGGACACTTCCCAAGCCTTGGAGGGGTGGGAGTCAGCAGGGGTACCAGAAACCACGGCCCTTTTCCTTGAAATCCCCCCTCTTTGGCCATGTCAGCCGCCTCCTCTCACCTGAGGGCCCGGCTCAGCTTGTCATAATTCATCTGTGGTTTGCATTTCCTGCGGCCCCAGAGGCGGGCCACCTCATCTGGATCCTTGATGACAAATTCCCCGTACTCTCCCTGCTGCCAGGCGATGACATGGCGGAACTCTTCCTTCTGCAGCAGCTCCAGGATGAAGTGCCACAGCTGGATCTGCCGGGAGCCTGGGGACGACTCGGCTTTGTAGGCCCAATCAGGGAAGGCCAACCCTGGGTGGAGAGGGGAGAGTGAGGGCTCTGGAGGCCCTGCCCTAGGCCACCGTTGGAGCAGGGGGTAGGCCCGGCCAAGAGGCTCACCTGAGATCCAGTTGCCGGGGTTGGCTGGGATGCCCTCAGCCAAGCAGCTGCAGTGCATGGTCCACTCCGGCGAGATGGGCTGTGTCTGGGCCTTGGGGAAATGGTCACCACTTAAGAGGAAGGGAAGGAAGGAGGCAGAGGGGAGGACAGTGAAAGAGGAAGGAAAAATGGAGGGAAAGAAGGAAGGAAGGGAGAGGGTCAGGAAAGAAAGAGAGAAAAGGGAAGGGACAAGAGGTTGCCAGTGAAGGGGAGAAAAGGGAACCAGAGGCAGCAAGCTTCCCCATACCCAGACAGGGCCCAGCCCCCTCTGGGGACCTCCCCGCTGCCCAGGGCTGACTCGGACTCAGGGCTTCCGGCTGAGCTACTTATATAGATGGAGAGAAGTGCAAAGGGTCCTATATCCTGCCCCTGCTGGGGGATTTAGACAGAGAATGAGATCTCTTCTTAGGGCTTAACAGGATTGGAGTTTTTCCCAAGAGAAGACAAAAGGAAATGTAATTAATCATGGGCTCATTCTAAATCTTGAGTGGGAAGGAGGTGGCATATACACATACCTGTGCCTTTACAGTATTTCTTTTTTTTCTTTCTTTCTTTCTTTTTTTATTTTTTTTGAGACAGAGTCTCACCCTGTCGCCCAGGCTGGAGTGCAATGGGGTGATCTCGGCTCACTGCAACCTCCGCCTCCTAGATTCAAGCAATTCTCCTGCCTCAGCCTCCCGAGTAGCTGGGATTACAGGTGCATGCCATCACGCCCAGCTAATTTTTTTTATTTTTTATTTTTAGTAGAGATGGGGTTTCACCATGTTGGCCAGGCTGGTCTCGAACTCCTGACCTCGTGATCCGCCCACCTCGGCCTCCCAAAGTGCTGGGATTACAAGTGTGAGCCACTGCACCTGGCCGCCTTTACTGTATTTCAAACAATTTGACATTTGAGAAGAGCAGGAATTTGGTTTTTTTGTTTGTTTGTTTGTTTTTTTGAGATGGAGTCTCGCTCTGTCACCCAGGCTGGAGTATAGTGGTGAGATCTCGGCCCACTGCAACCTCTGCCTCCCAGGTTCAAGCGATTCTTCTGCCTCAGCCTCCTGAGTAGATGGGATTACATGTGCCCACCACCATGCCCAGCGTATTTTTGTATTTTTAGTAGAGACAGGGTTTCGCCCTGTTGGCTAGGTTGGTCTCAAACTCCTGACCTCAGGTGATCCGCCTGCCTCCGCCTCCCAAAGTGCTAGGATTACAGGTGTGAGCCACCGTGCCCAGACGAGCAGGAATTTTTATGGGCTTTTTTTTGCCAGTCCCAAGGGCCTGGCGCAAAATAGGTGTTCAATAAATGATTGCTGATCGAATGAATGAATGGTAATGGACTTATAGATAGTGTCTTCTTTGTTGAACATCTGTATCCCGCTCAGAGTGTCAGCTCCGAGATCAGCAACCCTAGCTGTCTTGTTCTCCTCTGCTGGCTCCCCAGATCCCATCGTAGCACAGGACATCGTACTCAAAGGTGCTTTATAGATATTTGTTGAATTGGTGAACCATGGACAGGAACCGGGAATCTTGTGGTTCTCCGCTGAGAAGGGTGGGGAGTTTATGGAATGAGCCCTAGTGAGATAGACTTGCCTGATATAGGAAAAGAGAACAAAATATCTAAGCTCTAAAGCCTTCTGGATGGAACAGAAAGCCTTCTGGATGGTGCAAAAGGCTGGTTTCCACTATAACTAATGGAAGATGAAACAATATGCAAAGGGACTGGGAGAGGCTGCCTTGGGGATGCAGCACATGGGAACTGCTCCTGGTGGGCCAGGGCATTGGGAGGTTCCTGGGCGCTTAGGACTGCCTGTGAACAGGGTTACGTGACCCGGGCCTGGCTCTCCATCTCTGGTGGAGTTAGTGTGCAGTAGTCTCAGTGAGAACTTATTAGGCTGTGAGGTCTGGAGGGCGTGTGAGGATTTGTCTGGAGGGCATGTGAGGATTTGTCTGGAGTTGCTTCCTCACTTTCCAGAGGAGGCTCAGACAGGGAAAATGACTTGACCAAAGACAGGTGGTGAGTTAGCTGCCCTGCCCCCTGACTCCTAATCCATAGCACTTTCTCATATACTGAGTTGCCTTAAGACTTAAAAAAAAAAAAAATCTATGTTGGTGATTTTCAGACTCTAATGCGAATAGGAATGATCTGAAGGTCTCTTTAAAATACGGATTCTGATTCAGTGGGATTTGGGGGACCTAAGACTCTGTACTTCTATTATTTATTTATTTATTTATTTATTTTTTGAGACAGAGTCTCACTCTGTCACCCAGGCTGCAGTGCAGTGGCATGATCTCAGCTCACTGCAACCTCCAGGTACAGGCAATTCTCCCACCTCAGCCTCCCAAGTAGCTAGGACTACAGGCACCCATCACCACGACTGGCTAATTTTTGTATTTTTAGTAGGAATGGGGTTTCATTATGTTGGCCAGGCTGGTCTCAAACTCCTGACCTTAAGTGATCCACCCGCCTTGGCCTCCCAAAATACTGGGATTACAGGCGTGAGCCACCGTGCCCAACCAAGACTCTGCACTTCTTTTTTTTTTTTTTTTTTTTTTTTGAGACAGAGTCTTGCTCTTTTGCCCAGGCGGGAGTGCAGTGGTGCAATCTCAGCTCACTGCAAGCTCCGCCTCCCGGGTTCACGCCATTCTCCTGCCTCAGCATCCCGAGTAGCTGGGACTACAGGCACCCGCCACCACACCCGGCTAATTTTTTGTATTTTTAGTAGAGATGGGGTTTCACTGTGTTAGCCAGGATGGTCTCGATCTCCTGACCTCGTGATCCACCTGCCTCGGCCTCCCAAAGTGCTGGGATTACAGGCGTGAGCCACCGCGCCCAGCTGACTCTGCACTTCTAACAAGCTCCTAGGTGATGCTGCTGCTGCTGGTCTGCAGACCATACTTTGAGCAGTGAGAACCCATAGAACCCATGGGATGCAGCAAAAAGAGGCTGTGGATATCAGAAAGTCAGGGAACCCTAGACACTTCAGGTTGTAAGAATCCTGGCACCTCCCACTCCTGGCACCAAATCATCTGGTCTCTCGCTCTCCGTTTCCCAGGGAATGCTCAGTGCCAGGGATGTAAACTGACAGACAGGCAGTTAGGGGTGGGAGCTTGGAGGCACACATTGTGGCCTGAACTGAGAGTGTCTCTGGAAATTAAGGTGAATAGGGCAGTGAGTAGATCCAAGCTCACCTGGAATCTGCATGAATAGGTTATCCTACTCATCCCTCTGTCTCTAAACTGGCAGCTGACATTCTGGAGTCTTCTCCCCTTTCCTCCCCTGAAGCAGATGCCCCCACTCCTCTTCCAACCTCCTTTCCTTCCCTGTCTACTTGGAAATTCCTCCTCAGTCAAACCTCAATCTGATTAGGATCTCTTCTGCTTCACCTTAGGAAAATGGGCTGGGAAATGGGGCAGGGTGCAGAGGTGAGTTTTGAGAGATTCCAAGGTACGACTGTTCTCTGGAGGAAGCTGATAGAATTTCCTATGGCTCCCCCTGGCACCTGCTGAGTCTGATGGTGTTTTCTGGTCTGAAGGATGTGAATGAAACCTTAGGGTAGATTTAGGATCTGGCAAGAAGAGAATAATAAACCCCACCACTGACCAGACACTCAGTGTGCTCTGCACTACTTTAAGCGATTGAAATAGACATATACTGAAACCTCACAGGAGGTAGCAGAGGGGTTGCATAACTTCCCTAAGGCCATACAGCTCTTAAATAAAAGAGGGGAAAGCAAGACCTTGAGTCAAGATTTATAGTGTTCGGCCATCTAGGTAGGCTCCCAACACCCCCTCCCCGACTCCCCCAAAAGAAAAAAAGCCTCAAAATACAAAACCAAAGTGGCATGAGTAGGCAAGGTCAAGTCTCCAAGCTTCCTGATGCCAGCAGTCTCCTCCCCAGCCTCTCCCGTGTCTGTGAGAGTCCCTGGTGGATCCTTAAGTCTCTGAGGAGCTTGCCAGCTCTGGGTGTGGAAATCCTTGCTGCTGACAAGTCCTGCCAAACGCCTTCCCTCCATCCTTCCTTTTCTACATGAGCCTCGGAGCTGACTGGGGAACACTCAGAAAACACCAGGTCTCAGTTCTGCCTTCATGTCCAAGAGCTGTTCTTGGCACTTAACCTTAACTCCATGCGCTTCACTTTAATCCATGCTCTGGTGGTGATGCTCCCAAGGCTGGGGGAGGTAGTCCCATTCCGTCCCCACCCCGCCCCTATCTTCCAGGCTCCCACTCCTCCCCTCTTGTGCTGTGGGCTAGACACACAAAGCTTGGGGAAGCTCTAACCATGGGTTCTGCACAGCCACTGATTCCCCAAGACCCCCTATGGCAAGATCTTAGAGGAGAATGAGTATTGAAAACCATAAATCAAAAAGGATCATAACCCAATCTCAAATGATCAAAGTGGCTTCTCTTAAGCACTTTGTGTTTCTTGAAGGGTTGTAGCAGCCAGCAATTAGTATTGTCATCACACCATCATTCTGATTACTAATAATATGATTAACCCCCTTGGCCAGTGTAAATGTTCATTACAACACATGTATGTTTTAGGTCATTACTTAATAAAAGCAATACAGATGCTGAAGATAACAGTAGAGAGTAAGCCTTAAGCTAGGGCTTGGAGCCAAAGGAAATGTCCAAAGCACAGGTCACCTTTTGAAGATTTTAGTTAATATGAATTGAGCCCCTATCATGCTCCCAGTATGGGGTTTAACATGTTTTCCTATGTTACTTCATTGACTCTTCACAATAACCCTTCGAGATGGGCATTATCTGTTTTGTATGCTAAGGAAATTGAGGCTCAAGATTAAGAGACTTGCATAATATCCTGGCCAAGTGGTGGAGCTGGATGGGAACAGGTCTGTCTGACTTCAGGCTCCAAGCTGTAATCAGTCAATCAGGGCAGAAAAGTTGAGGATGAAACTTCAGAGCAGAGAGGTGAGGCTGATGGGAGGCCCTGGGCCCTGAAGGAAGCACTTCTAGTCTAAACCCTCCATGTGGGCTCTTTGCTGGAAAAATTATCCACAGAGTCCCCAGAAAGCCAGAGGACAGCCAGCCAAATGGGCAGAGAGCAATACAGAAAGGATGAGAAAGACAAGAACCTACAGAATCTTAAAAAAAAAAAAAAAAAAAGTCAGAGTGTTCAAGACCAATGCCGCATGTATACAAAGTGGAAAGTTGCATCAAAAGTCCCTTTGTTGTTGGGGCCTTTTAAGGGGCTGAAGTGGATTGACTGCATAATCAGATTGATTGGACAAACCAAGTGTTTTCAGTGACTGCTTGATTGATTCAGTGGGAAAATGGGACTGTGTGTAAATACAAAGGCAGCGGGAAGAGATGGGCCATGTGAGTCAGCAAGAAAGAGAGTGAATCAGAGAGTATCAGAAAGAGAAAGAGTGATGCAGAAATCAAAAGCTGTGGACACAGGTGAGGTCCAGAATATGGCCCAGGGGATGGAAAGATCAGAGTGGAGAAACCAGCTTAGAGGAGCGACAGTGCAGGGAGAAACCCCTTGGAGACATTGCGTTGGTGACCTCCAGGGGGTATTTTGTGCTCGTCAGCCCTGAACAAACTGCATCCCCCACCCCTACACCAAATCCCCAATCTGATTAGAAGCTTCTGGTCTCTCCTCTTGATCTCAGCCCCAAGTGGAGAGTGGTTAGTCCTGAGACCTGCTTTAATGCTATTAGTTAAAGCTGCTTAGGTAGGAGAGCAAGAGGGGCTGGGGGCCTGGGAGGGTCAAAGCCAGTCGCCTTTTTCCTTGGAGAATTTGGGGGAAGGAGAGGGCTAGATACCCTTCCTTCATGTCCCCTTAACTTCTCTTTCCTTCTCCCCTGACCAAGGGATATGCTGGCAGTGACCCCAAGGGCATCTTTTCTCTCCCTGCCCAGGCAATAGAGAGGACCCCTTTTTGATGCTGGGTGCTGGGAATCAGCCAGACGAACCCTGTCTCCCTCCTGCAGCCTCAGCTCTTCCTTCTATCTCCACAGCTGGGAGAGCCTCCCCGAGTGGGGTCCAGCAGCAGTCCTGCTTCTCCTTCTCTTTCCTCAGTCCTCAACGCCCCTCCAGGCTCCCTCTCGACTGCTGTCACTGCCCAGTCCCCTCATACAGCCTCAGATCTCTGCCCAGCCCCTCCTCTTAGTCCCCCTGTCCCTTGCAGATGCCTCCAACTCTTGTCTCTTGGGTCCCTGGGGGCCGTGGGATTTAAAAGTTTTGTGTAACTCCGTGGAGCAGAAATCCAAACCCAGACACTCCCATCCCCTGCCCCTCAGACCTGTCACGATGGGCAGCTGAAGGTCGGGGGAAGGTCATCCCCTGACACACCTTCAGGGACCCAGGGGCTCGGGAAGGGACGAGGGTGTCTGGAGACCAGCTTCCAGCTCCGCACCCATCCCTCTGCCTGTCAGGCCCCGGCCGGTCTCCACTTCTCTCTGTTTGACCGGTTTATCTTTCTTCACCTCATTTGCTCCTTCACTGTTCTCTCCTCTTCCCTCCCACTTTAATTCTTTTTCCTTCTTTCCACTTCCCACCCAGCAACCTTCTCTTGGCCTTTCTTCCCCACCATTATTGATTTTGCCATGTATTTTTCCACTCCTGTCTCTCTTCTCCCCTGTCCTCTCCTCTGCCAGTTTCTCTTGGTCTCTCCATTTCTGCCTTTACTTCCTGTGTCTGCCGATCCTATGGCCTCTCTTTGTTGCCCTACCTATCCTGCCCCTTGGAATGCCCATTTCCCTCCTCTGGAGTGTTGCCTGTCTCAACACTTCTTTCCCAGCCTGGTGCTCTCTGTTTTGCTGTCTCTGTCACTGTCTCCTGTTGTTGCTTTCTGTTTCCTTGTCTGTCTTTCCTCTCTTGCCCCCCATCTCTCATCCATGCTTTGGAGAAGGAAACTGACCACAGGCCTCCCAGCTTCCCTGCCCTGCCCTTATAGCACCACCACCCCACTCCCCTACTTCCTCCTCAGATCCCCCCTGCGCCCCTCGACCTTCCCCTAGTGGCAACCTCATTCCCATCAGCTGTGCCTGGGGGAGCCCCCTGCCTGGACACCCCCTGATCCTTCCCTTTGTCCCCCCAACACAGAGACAAGAAATCCCCTCCAGCAGGCGATGACGTGGCAGAGGAGCAGGTCAGAGGCAGAGGAAGTGAAAGCTCCTAGCAAACAGCTGAGCTGGATGAGCTGGCAGGGCCAGCATGGGGCTGAGTAACTGGGACCAGGACAGCAGCGTGAGAAGCAGGCATCTGAGGCCATTCTCCCCAGCTGGGGGCCTCTGATACCTTCTGACTCAATCCCCAACCCTCAACCCTCATGTCCACTTCCAGCCTCAACCCCAACCCCAATCTTAACAAGAACCTTCAACTTCCACTAAGCCCAAAGCCTCATTGAAGGCTGCATCCATGCACCCTGGTCCCTGTGCCCACTGGAGCCCCACTGCCCTTGGGCAGGACCAGAAAGGGGCTCGGAGGTGGCGAGACAGCAGCACCACTCTCCCCAGCCCTTCTCCTCTTGTCTCCACTGGGAAGGAGTTGGTGAGACGAGCAGGACTTCTCTCTGCCACGGGAGCATCATCTCTGTGTCTCTCCAGCCTCACAAGCCTGGATCTGCCCTCACCATCACAGGGGCTCTCGTGATAAGCAGGAGACTTCACGTTCTCAGACTTTAGGCTTCTTCTAGTTCCTTGAAAAGGATCCCAAGAGTCTGAGGAAGGGAGGGAGGTAGGAGTGGGGCAGAATCCTCTCATCCCATCAGAGGTTTCAATTCAGAACACCCCAGCCCGGATCAGGTGGGAGCACAATCCTGGTGGCCCTCTGCCCACCCCTGCTCCTTCCCGTCCTCATGCTATGAGGTCCACACCCTCACCTGCCTCCCTCTGCCCAGTAGTAGCCACCAGCTGATTGTCAATCCTCACCCACTGATCTTCAACCTCAGCCACAGGGATGACAGCAGAGAGCTCCCTGAGACACAGAACCCTGGGGCAGGGAGATAGCTGAGGCCAGCATTCGGTCAGCCCCAGGATCCAACTTGATCCATTCATCCCAAGAGTTGTATCTGCCAATAGCTGACCCCAGCTGTGCCCCATCTTGGGGGAGGAGAGCCTATTGGTAGGCTGGACCTGCTGTCATTATGATGTCCTTCTGCAGGTGCCAGGGTTCTCTCTGGCCTAAGTGCCCAACACCTGGCTCTGTGGCTGTCCCATACCTAGATGGAAGAGCCCTGCCACCTCCCACGCAGCTTCAGTGTGACCCTTGGGTTCCCCTCTCCACCCGGTGCCTAGCTCTCTTTATGTCTCCCCTTCCTAATTGCCCCACGATCGGCTCCACCATTGAGGTGGTGGACAGAGAAGGGCTCGTCCCTGCCGGCTGGCCCCAGCTGCAGACCTGCCATCGGAGTCCCTTACCTTGGATCAGCAGCCAGGTCCCCGTGCTCCTCCGACTGGCTCCCTCTGGCGCTCTCCTCGCCCAGCAACGACCCCCTCCTCGCTCATCACACGCGTTAGGGTTACTTAAAATGAGAGCGGGATCTCCAAGCTCCCAGGGGAGCCGATGTGGTTTTCAGACAATAGCATTAACCCTTCGGGGGCTAGCAACACCACGGCCTTGAGCCCCTTCCCTTGCACCCCCACCTCTTTGGGGGTGAGGTGGGAGGGAGTATCTCTCACTGGGTCCTTTGCATCCAGAGCCTGCCTCTGGGGAAGATCAGACCTAAAACATCTGACCCACCGGGAGACTAGGGAGAGGGCTACCCCTTCTTTAACGCCAGGAAAAGGGACGCTGACCTATTGGGAAGGCCTTCTGCTGTCCACCCTTCCTACTTTGTCAGCCCTTCTTTTATGCAGACTTCTGTGGAGATGGAGTCCAGATCTGCAGAAGAAACACCCTTCCCAATCTCTGATTCTTAACACCATCTCACTCCTTGTTTTCTCCTCTGAGCCCCAGACCATGCTCTGCTCACCATGGTAGTGCTGGATCTTTGCAATTTGTAACTTTTCTTCGTAGTCTCCAGTAAAATGATACTAATCATTTACCTAATCTCTTTTCCCTAAGGATTTTAAAGCAGCGATTATGTCTGTTTCCTCTTAGAGTTGTAGAAAATGATTTTTTCCTTTTTTAAAAAAATTAATGTGACTTGAAGTTAGACAGCAGGAAGAACTTCCAACTAAGGGATAAACCAGGCAGGAGAAAGTGATGACGGGGTCATCAGAGAGCCTGCTAAGGAAATATTACAAACAAGAGAAGGGGTAGGAATCCAGAATGTTCTGGGAGGGGATGGAGGACGTGGGTAACTGACCTCAGGAAAGGCTTTTCCAGGGAAGCTGGAGGAGGGACGATACTGAAGACCAGGGCCTCTGTCGTTAAAGTCCTGGGGATCAAGTGACCCTGGAGCCTGTCGGCCCTGTCTCCAATCTCCCCACTCACCATCGGGGAGAAGATTGATGGATGTCATTGGGGGAATCAATATGATTTTCTTTTTTTTTCCCCTGACTCTGAGATACCAAGTTTCCCCCTACCCTCCACTCTCCTCGTTACACAGACCCTCCCAACCCTGAGCTGATCGAGATGGGACTGGAGGGCCATGGAATTAAATTCTGGGGGTTGTTTTCTGGCTAAATCAACCGAAGCTAACATGATGGAAAGGTGAGAGAGAGGCTGACTGACGGAGGAGACAGGAGCTGGGGGCCATGGAGAGAGGGTCCTGGTCAGGGAGAGCCAGGAAGGACTGGGCTCCAGGCCCACTAGGGCAAAGAGGAAAGGGGCTACAGGGAGGAATGGCACAGAACACTGTTCCATGGAGTTGGATGGGTGGGTGGGGGTGATATTAGCAAGGACGAGACAGACTTGATCTCCATAAAGGACAGAGATCTGTGGCAAGAAAGACTGAAGTTAGAGCCAAGATGCGGTAACCTGGGCATTTCTCGTAGGTGTCATTGGTACTTCCTCATCTGGAAAGCTTATCCTGCCCCTTGCTCACCTCCACCCCATCCTCTCTTCTTCACTGAAGAGTTTCAGGATCATTTGAGTTAGCTGCAGAAGATGCCAAGGCCAAGGAGGACTCCATTAGGAAGAATGGCTCTGCCCCTCCTCTTCAGGAAGGCCCTGCCAAAGAGGGGGTCAGAGCAGAACTGAAGTGGGGGAACAGGAGCCTAGACCCAGGCACTGGACTCCCGGGATCATTTGGACCTCCTCTTGCCTCTATAGGCTTTTCTAGGGGGTAATATCTGAGAGACCTCCAGACAAGGAGGCTCCAAACTATTGTGGGGGTCCCACTTCCTGCGACCATCCCAGCTCCCAGCAAAGTCTCTCATAAGGCTATCTTCAAGTCCTTTTTTTTTTTTTTTTGTAGAGATGGGGTCTCAAACTTCTGGCCTCAAGTGATCCCCCTGCCTTCAGCCCTCCAAGTAGCTAAGATTACAGGTGTGCGCCACCACCCCCGGCCTCAGGAGCTGCTTCTGAGTGGGGTTTTCACTCTTCTGCTGCTCCTTCCACTGTCCCTACCTGCTTCCTCTCATCTTCTAGAGCTGGATAAAGACAGTTCTTCCTGCCTGCTCCCTACTTTCTGTCCAACTCACACTTCAGTGGTTGGCCTTTGTAGACTAGGCTGGGCATGGACGCTAGGCGCTTGGCTCAGACCTTGGCTGCTAGAATGGCAAGCTAAGCCTCCTCTGCTTCATCCTCTAAATATAAGCAGATGGCTTAGCTCCCTAGCAGTGGGTGGAGGAAATGGCAAATGGCCGTGGGTGGAGGATCTCCTGACCCAACAAAGACCGTTCTAGATTATGAAGCTTTCTGCGTGCATCCTAGTGTGTAGCACAGTGCCTGGATATGGGGGCTGCTCTGTCATGACTGGGAAGTGAATAAACCAAAAAGTACCTCATGCTTCAATCAGCACCCCACGCTCTAGCCAGCCCAATTGCCTGGACTCACAATAGGCAGCCTCGACACATTTTATTTTATTTTTTTGAGGTGGGGTCTCACTCTGTTACCCAGGCTGGAGTGCAGTGGTGCAATCTCAGCTCACTGCTACGTTCGCCTCCTGGGCTTAAGTGATCCTCCTATCTCAGCGTCCCAAGTAGCTGGGACTACAGGCATACACCACCATGCCCAGCTAATTTTTGTATTTTTGGTAGAGATGGGTTTTACCATGCTGCCCAGGCTGGTCTCAAACTCCTGAGCTGAAGTGATCTGCCTGCCTTGGCCTCCCAAAGTGCTGGAATTACAGGCATGAGCCCCCATCTTCATTTCCATTAACTGTCCAGCTCCCTAAACTCCCTGACAGGGTGAACAATAGTGGGGTTAGGCCAAATGGATGGGGGTGGAGCTGTCTCTGTCTGGGGACAGGAACCTGGCAGGAGGCAGCCCTTCTTGCTTTGGTGCTTAGAGCTGGCTCTGGGTGTCTGTCAGCATCCACTTGGGCTGAGGGAGGCCAGGGAGGGAATGGGAACAGCTCCTCTCCTCAGCTCTCCTCCCAGCCCCTAGAGATTAATGGCACGAACTCAGGCGGGAAGGGTCCTCTCATAGGAGGAAGCCAAAGGATATGCTATTTGAGCTTCAAGTAGACTTTTCCTGTTCTAGTTAGTGACGCTTTTTTCATACTTGAGTAACAACCAGCACAAGTGACTAAATTCAGAGTCTATTGACTTTGTATCAAGACCTCACCACCCCGAGTGGGTTCTCTCAGGCCTCGCTGAGCCTTTGTAACCATCTGACATTAAAATGGGCAGCACCAGAGGACACAGGGATGGGATCAGACCTTGGGGAGTGTTTCTCAAGGAGCTGCACAGGGTGGAGGGGTGGAGATGACAAGATGGTGCCATTGCCTTCCTGAGGAATAGGAAGAAGCCAGGAAAACAGGCTCATCCCTTCTCCTCCACTGGCTCCTTGCCCTTCAGCCAGGGATCTGGCCTGGGGTCATGGCAGCCAGTGGAGTAAAGTTCAGGGGGCCTGGCTGATTCCAGGAAGGTCTGTCTGGCCAGTCCAATCGTGTCGGAAGAAGAATACCCACTCATAAGCACTCCTTGCCGGCTGTTGGAGAAAGAGGGCTCATTCTCTGCCATGCTGATGGGGCCCAATGCACCCCCATTAGAGGGGCAGAGGCCAAAGGCAGGGGCCAAAGTGGTGACTGAGACTGAACTCAGAGGGAGGGGAGGGAACAGGGGCGCTCCTGCAGGGAGGGACAAGGCCCCAGGTGGCCAGAAAGGGGACAGGAAAGGAGGTGCCAGGTAAGCACTGGGAAGGAGGAAGAAATCTGATTTAAGGAGACAAAGAAGAAGGAAAGGGGGAAGATTAGAAGAAGTGATGAGGCTGAGGGAAGAGGAGAGGGACCAGAGAGGGCAGGAGGAGGCCTGGCTGAGGCAGCCCTGGAATGCTGCATCCGGAGGGATGCAAGGGCTGGGGGAGGGCAGGGGAGGAGGCGGTGTGTGAGTGTGCGGAGCCGGTGGCTGCGGTGTCGGTGGAGACTCTTCATGTCCCATTAGCGGCAATGGAAGGTGACATGTGGGGATCGATACCAATCGAGGCAACAGACTCCCAGTAATAAACCCATTTCACTCACACTTCTCCACCCCCCAAAGCCCAACCCCGCGAGAGGGAGTGAGAGCTTCCCACCCCCGACCCGAACTCCAGAGAGGCTGTGCTCAGAACGGTCCCCAGCCCTGGCACCGGGCAGGGTGGGGGTTCTTGCTACCTGGCCCTGTGAGTCCCAGGCCCAGTTCTTCCTTCTTTCTAGGGGTAAGGAGGAGCTAGGGCCACCTCCCAAACCCTGGGGCTATTTCCAAGGCAGAACAGGGAAAAGCTCTGGAATTTGTTGATCAGCTCACCCTGTGGGTGCAGGTGAAGGCTTCTTTGTACTCCTGGGTCTATAGAAAGACGTCTCTCCATGTGTGCCTCCGTGTGGGAGTCTGAATGCGTGTCTTTCTGTCTCTGTTAGCAGGTGTGCGTCTGTGTGTCTCAGGATTTGTGTGTTCTGTGGCTGGCTGTCTCTGTAACCACGTATTTTTGTGCGTAGGTGTTTGTGTCAGTTTTTGTGTTTCCAGTGTGTGTTGGTGGGCTGTGTGTGCCTGTGTCCATGCACACCTATCTCTGAGAAGGTGGGTATGTGAACCTGGGCTTGCTGTGTGTGAATCTGAGTGTGTGAGCCCATGTTTCTGGGGGTGTCTGCTCTGGGTGCGTGGGCTGTGCTTTGTTTCAGAGACTGTGTGGGGGTGTCTCTCTCTGTGTGTGTGGTGGGGGTTGTGACTGTCTTTGTCCCCTGTACTTGTGGGAAAATGCTGCTGGCCTCTCAGTACTGGCACCAAAACCCTGCCCCAACCTGGCCCCTTGAGCTGGACCTCAGACAATGTCCTACCTTCCAGGTGGGGTGCTCCGCTGTCCTGCTTTGCCTGGGACTGACAGTTTCCCAGATGCAGTACTTTCAGTGCTAAAACTGGAACAGTCCCAGAAAAACAGGGCAATTGTTCCCCCTCCTTCCAGGCATAGACGTGAGAAGGCCAAAGTGAATGGCAGTGCGGGTATCAGGGAAGGAAGGATGGCAGACTAGTAGGGTGAGGAGAGTCGAAGGAGTAGATGGAAAGGTTGAGATATTTGAATGGAGGAGGAACGAGGAAAAAAAAGGCTGTGAGAGCAGCAGGAGGAATGATAGTTAGATCAAAGGGGGAACTTCCCCAGGGCACAGAGGGGAACTCTGGAAACTAACACAGGAAGGAAAAGAGATGGGCTGTCCCCCGCCCTGCAAAACTCCAGAGGGAAGTCGTGCTGGGCTCTGCAGGGCACAGCAGCAGACAGGGTGCTTGCCTGCGTGTGGCTGCTCACGGCTTATGCCTGCCTGCCTGTGGCTGGTGGGGTGCACCCAGACAGAGCACCTGTGGGGCTCCCACCCTCTTGCACACCCCACGCTGCTCTCTCTGTCTCCTCACTGGATGGGGATGAGAGCACGGCTCAGAGATGGGACTCCCTCAGTGCACAGTGTGAGGGTGTCTGGCTTTGTGTCCTTCCCTCTCTCTGCTTGGTGGGCCACCTTCCTCAAAGACGACAGACTGGGCCCTGGATGGCCCTGGGTGATGGGCCTGGAGGTCAAGAGGCTTTGGGGAGGGAGAGCTTGTTTATGGTCTCCCAGAGTCTCTGAACTCCAACAGGAGGGTTGGAGCCTTCTCCGTCATGTTTACCATGGAATTCCCAATCCCATCTCAGTGCCTGGCACATAATGGCCCCTCAGGAAATGTGTCTTGACTAAACTCATAGCTTTGCCCCTGCTCCTGAGTGCTTTAGTCATCCTCTTCTCCGGGAGTGAATGACAAAGGGGCCCTTTTAGTTCTCTGGCTGTGCCTTCTCTCAGCCACATCCCTCTAATCCTTCCTGCTCCTGTCTTCCCTGGGGTCTCCTGCACTGGGCCTCACAGGTGAGCACCTGCAACTCTCATTCCTGCAGAAGCCTCTGGAAAGTCAGACACAAGCTGGCTCCAGCGGAGGGGCCTCCAGCCTCTGCTGTCCCTTGCTGTTTTGTCTCAAGGCAGCGTCTTTCAAATTGCCCTGCCACTGCCCTTTGGAGCCTTTGAGGAGTTTGAGGGGTTGTCATAGCCATGAAGATTTAAACTTTGGAGGTCACACAAGGTTTTAAACATCTGTTTTATAAACTGAGTTCTCAGTAGAAGTTTTGAAGACAGAGCTCCAGTACTAAAAATCTGTGCGGCCTGGCCTGCTCCTGACATTTGCAGGCGTCTGTGCGGGAGTGGAAACAACACTGCTCCCGCTCAGGAGGATGTGCCTAGGGCAGAGGCTCGAGCACTCCTGGATGGGGCTCCCGTCATTTGGACAGGGAATTGGAGGGTGCCAGAGACCCAGAGTGTGTGCTAGAAGGAGGAACGTGGCTCCACGTGGGCCTGTCCCCTTGGCCTTCAAGAGCTTCACCTGGGCTGGGGCACTGGCTGCCCTGGTCTCAGTGTGGTATCCTTTGAGAATGACAATTTCAGTATGCACTCACTCTCTGCCTCTCTGTGCCGCTGGTCTGTGAGCTGGTCCAGGGCTGCGTTCTGGAAGACGGTGAGAGAACTGAATCTTGTCCAGGATCCCACACTGTTGACTCTCCCTTGGAGCCCTCCCCTTTTATCTTTTGTGTAGTGCTCTTGGCTGGTCCTCAGATGGGGTCTTGTCTCTTCCCTCAGTCTGGGGGCTTCAGGGAGACAGGAGCTATTGCTTCTCAGATGACGAGCTTCCTGGAGGAACTGCATCTCCTTCTTTGGATTGGGGGGGTGCCTGGAGGAGGGGCTGAGTCCCCTTCCCTAGTCCTCCTTCCTCCAGGTGGAGGCCAGGTGTGTGGCCTGAGCACTAGGGGTTGGGGGCTCTTGGAGAATGGTAAGGGATGGGAGAGTGAGGGAGCTGGGTGGGAAGGACACATGCCCAGGGCTGCAGACAGGCAGAACCCAACAGGCATGGTGCTTAGTTCCAGGGGCCCCGAAAGAGCAGCAAGAGGGATGGATGCTCTTCACGCTTCGTGAGGGCTGGCCAACAGCCAGGCATGGGAGCTGGGGCGCAGGATTGGGGCACGGTGAGAAGAGGCTCTAGGCCTCTCGGGTTTGGGGTCACCCCTGGATTCTATTTCCCTTGTTCTTTTCCGGACCTCTGAGAAGCTGGGATGGGCAGACATTTCCACTGTCTGGAGCCAGGAAGGATTTCTTGGAAGAGAATAACTCAGGGGCTCAGAGGGGAGGCAGGTCTCTCCCTCCCTCCCACCCTTTTCCCCTTCCCCCAACACCAACCCAGGGCAGGCTAACCAAACTTTATATATATTCTGAGTTAAGGAGCCCTGTGTCACATTGATAGGAAAAAACAAGAGAGAGAGAAGGGGAAGCCAGGAGAATGCAGAGCTCAAATGAGAACCGAGATAAAGCAATTACCTGATCAATACGGGTGAAATTGAGTAATCTAGCAGATCAATACCATGGGCAGGAGGCTGGGGGGTGGGTGCTCCCTGCTCTCAGCCCTGCTCCCCTGCCCACCCCGGCTGCTGTCCCTCCTCCACTTGCTCCATCCCCCTCCTTTGGGAATTCATCTCTAGATCTGCCTTCCACCTCAGCCTCTGCACTCCCATCCCCCAAGGTCCCCCCTGCTCCTCCCAGCCCCCAACCTGTGCTCAGACTGCCACCCCTACTCAACTGCCGCCTCAACTCCCCTCACTCACGTCCCTCTTCTTCCTTCCCAAACTGATCCTACTCTCTCAACAGCCCCACTGAATTGATGACCCCTGCCACTCCATCCCCCAACACACACACTGGGCCTGCAGCTCAAGCCAGCTGGAGAGCCAGCTGCCCACAACTGTGTCCTGGGCAAAGGTGTTGGGAGGTGATCTCACTCCCTACACCAGGAAAAGAACTAGGTTTGCAGGGACCAAGTCTTCCCCTATCAGCCAGACCTGACTGGAGAGACAGATGCACCTCTTATTTCACCCTGTTATTGGTAATACAACCTATCACACCATTTATGAAGCATTGATGACATTCTAGGCATGGGCTGAGCTGGGCTGTGGGGGCGGGGAGCTGGGAGGAGGCCCCTGGTTCCTGCTGATGCAAAGGCGACAGTCCCCACAGTGAAGGGCACTTGTCCATCTGGGGACTGCTGGTGTTTAGAAGGGGATCTTGGGGCTGCGGCTTTTTCAGAAGGGGACTGGGGTAGAAGGACAACTTCCCCAATATTGTGGGAACACCTGAGTTCCTGCTGGCCGAAGTGAGTACCAAAAATTCTTTGGCAACCAGAAAAGTGACAGCTTGCTCGGAGATGAAAAGCAAGGCTTTGTCATGTGGAAAGAGCACGAAATAGGATCATAGCCCCCGATTTACTCCTGTCCTCTGTCACTGCTGGAGTAGAATCACAGCCCCGATTTACTCCTGTCCTCTGTCGCTGCTAGACTGGAAGCTCCTGGCTGGTCAGGAGTGTGTTGATTTGACTTTATGAGTACAGAACTGGGCCTGGCATCCAGCAGGCACTCGGAAACGTTGGATGAATGAATGAACGACTATCGTCACCTGGCCGCAGTCTGCCTTGTATTTCAGTTCATTATATTGGCTTGCTTGGCCCCAGGGAGCAGGGACCTCCTATGTCTCCCAGCCACAGCCTGGCATCCAGCAGCCCTTCAGCAAATGTTTGTTTCATGTAATGAATGACTGCCTGAACATATGTATGGGTCTCTGTCTCTGGGCGTTGAGGTTGTTCCAGGGGAGCTCAAACCGGCAATGATTCCACAAAGTTCCTTAGATAAATCAAGGGCCTCTTTAAAGCAGCTCATTCCCCAACCCCCACTTCCAGCTGTCTGTATCACCACTGAGAGGCAGAGAGGTATTTGAGAAAAGACATGAACTTTGGAGTCAGAGACACTGGGTGAGTCCTGGCTGGGTTGCTCACTACCTGTGTTGATCTTGGGCAATTCACTTAACCTCATTGACCTTTGTTTTCCTCATCTGGAAAATGGGCATAATAATAGTACTCTCCACAGAAGGTGATTTTGTGGATCAAGTTAGTTAACACAAGTTAAGTGACAAGAACATATAGATGTTCATGAGGGTAGGAGGAGTTGGTTAGCAGAGAGGCAACATTTTTCAACATGTGCAGATGAAGACTTTTTCCAGCTGGGCTACAAGTGGGAGAATAAAAACAAACTTTCCAATACCTGTTTTATTCTGAAGATAGATTGATGCCTACATACCTCAGTTTCCCCTTCACTTCCTTCCAGTTAGTTACGGAGGGGGCAAAAGTGATGCAAAGAAGACACTTAAATTCCAGAACACTCACTAGATTGACCGCCCTCCCTGCCATCATCTGTTTGTGCTGCTCTTTGAGGGAACCTGGGAAAAAACAGAAGGCAGGCTTAATGACTCTCTGTAACAGAGGGTCCCTCCCCTGCAGCCAGAATCTGGTGCTGACCTCTGCCCCCTGGAGAGAGGGGTCCTTCCATCCTCCTCTCCCTGGTGATACCCTGCAGGACTCCAGGTGAGAGGCCAGTGGCTTCCCCCCTCACTGGCCCTTAGCTCTTTGGGACCCAGGTTGTAAGGCTTGGACTGTCTCCTAGACCAGGCTTTGGGCTGAAGGTGGGATGGAGTCGACAACCTGATAGAACTGAGACAAGCTAGAAAGGCCTGCTGCTGCTGGGTCCCAGACTTTCACTTCCTGTTTTGGCTGCCTCTGCAGGGCTTATGGCCCACTCCCCATTGTCTCTAGACCAGATCCCAGATACTAGAGCCAGGGGTCTGGAGACAGTGAGGGGGACCCCCTCATCCCCAATTCCTCCCCACCTCTGTATCAACCCGGGCCCAGCCTCCACTGTCAGTCATGGGGGAGTCAGGTGGGCTGACCTGCATTCTGGGAAGGCTTTCTCCTTCCTTTTTCAGTCCCCCTGGAGCCTGTTTGGCCAGAGCTGAAGGGCCCCTCCCCTGGGCCTGCTCACAGGTGCTTGTTCCCCCTCCTGCTGTGTTCTTGCCAGGGTCTCAACACTCCAGGCTGGGACACGTGGCCTGACACCTGGAGAAACACTTAAGGTTGGGCCTTCCCCCTCCTCTTCCTATTCTGCATGTCTGATTCTTAGACGCTGCTTAGAACTGTCTTCACCCTCGCCTCAGAGATACAAGGCAATGGGGAAAGTATGTGATCTGGAGTCAGGAGACCTCGGTTTGAATCATTAGGATAAGCCACCTGCTCCGGGCCTCACTTGTCTCATCTGTCAGACAGGGATGGTGGTACCAAAAAAAGCCAATGTGAAGGCACAAAGCCGCAGGAGGGTAAAATAACCATGATGATGGGATGGGACCTCACTTAAACATTGTGGTCACTTCACTAAATGCTTTATGTGCATCATTTAATCCTTGAAACAGCCCTAAAACATAGGGAAACTGAGGCACGGAGAGGTTCTATAGCCCACCTGAGGCCTCACAGGCAGTAAGTGGCAGGGGTGGGACTATGGGATTCGAGCCAGTTCTAGAGCCTCTCTGTTCTCCAGGGAGGCAGCACAGCCATCCCGGGAGAGGAGAGGCACAGGGACACGTGGGAAACAGCAGGCCTCCTTGGGGTTTCCTGCTGTCCTCCTGCTCATCCTCTTTCTTTTTCTTTTTTTTGAGGGTGGGAACAAGAGGTGGGTGAGTGAAGTTGGAATTAATGAGTCTGCCTGAATCCTAGGGAGGGGGCAGGAAGGGAAAGCCCAGGTGGGGCTCTTCAGGATTATAGGTGTCTTGGAAACTGGGAGGCCAGGGGAGCACCCTTAGTGGAGGGTTCCCTATAATTTCAGTTCATTTTTCTCTTGCACATTCTGCTTGAGTAGATCAATACCCCACAAATATATCCTGTGTGTATCCTGAGGGGAGGCAGGGTTGAAGGAAGGTGGGAGGGAGTACAGTTGCAGATAGACGGGAGGAGAGAGACTGAAGATAGAGGAGAGGCGGGGAGCCATGGTAGACCCAGGGGCCAGGAGGGTGGAAGAAGGCTGTGATCGAACAGGGGCCTCAAGGCACAGCTCCTTGGGCAGGTGGCCCCTATACTGGGGCTGGGAGCTTGACACTATACCCATGTCACTCTCCCCTCATCCCTTTGCCCATCCTTATTCCAAACCTGCATCTTCTATTCCAACAGTCACACCTCCTTCGTATGTCTCTTGTTATTCACTTGTTAAACATTTATCAAGCATCCTCGGGCTCCAAGCAGTGTGCTAGGCACTGGAGAAAGGCCGTTGAATTGAACGCTGCGCTGGCCTGGGGCTTCTTGACTGTTCTGTGAAAAGCCAGACAAGCAGGCAATGACAACACAGTGTGGTGAGGGCTGTGACAGGACACGCAGGAGTGCCCCCTGACCTTCCAGGAAAGGCCGTGGAGGTGATGGCATCTGAGTTGAATGCCGCATGGTAAGATGTAACTGGTGAAGTGGGGGAAAGAAGGGTGTTCCAGGCAGAAGGGACAGAGCCGATGGGCAGTTTGTCAGCATGGCAGAGAGGCCTTGCAGCAGAGTGGTTAGAGCACAGGAACTGGGGCAAGAATTCTGGGCAAGCCAGTTAGCTCCTCTGATACTCAGTGTTCCCACAATAAAATGGCAATAAACACAGCTCCTACCTCAAAGGGTTGTCATGAGGCTTACATGAGTTGATACAAGTGGGTCCTGGCACAGGACAACTGCTATATTCGCACTGGCTGTTCTGGGCACAGCTTAGGCTTTGTGTAGTGTGGGAGAGAGTGTGTCTGCATGGGTGTGTGGTGAAGGATGAGGCTGGAAGGGAAATCAGGGGCCAGGTTATGAAGGGCCTGCCGAGCTGCTAAAGACTGTAACAGGAAAATCATGGTGAGTTGGTTATTCCCTAACTCACCATGAAGGGCTCTGAGGCTTACCTTTCCCCTTTGTCCTCATCCTCCAGGCCTCATCTCTTTCCTTACTTCTTTTCCACATGCTGTCACTCTTTTCCTTCTTTGCTCAGAATTCAAATAATCACCATCCAATTCTAAGCACTGAGTGGCCAACTTAGGCTGGCAGAACCAGATGTCTGGGATTCTGGTCTCAAAACTATGTGCAAGTTCATTCCTAAAACGGGCCTCCTTTTGCTTTCAGCAATGAGGAGGGGAGAGAAGCAGGAGGCTCTCCCAGCTGGAGGGTCTCATCCAAGCCCATACCCATTTTCTTGACTTGGTTACTTCAGGACGTCGACCAGTCAGCCCGTTACTTTTCCTTTTTCTTACCTAAATGAGTTGTCTTTTTGAGCAGAGATACTGACAAGGTAGTCACAGTTTCTCAGGGCGGTGTCCTTCGATGGTCCTCCCTGGCTCAGCCCGCTATTTTGTGAAATACCAGGGATGGCCATTGCTAGAATAAAATGCAACCCTTCATAATCCATCCCAGTCGGCCTCTTCAGCGACGTCCCTCACCACTCAATTCCCTACTCACAGCGCCCTTTAATAGAGGCCAAATTGAACACCTGGCATATTGGGACCTCCAGAAAGTCACTTTGCCTATCTCCCACGGGTGAAATGAGATTACTGTCTGGCTCCATTTTTCTGAAAGTGTGTTATGATATTCAGTACTCCACCATTATCCCCTCCTACCCCTCTGGATTCTTGTCATCTACTGGGAAATACTGTTTCCTTAGTACTGGTTTGCCCTTAAAAAAGTGTTTTGTACTTAAAACACCAAAACACCCAGTGAAACCACCTTTACTGAGATATAATTTACATGCCATAAAATTCACCCTTTCAGAGTGGTTGTCATTCAGTAGTTTTTGTTATATTCAAATAGTTGTCCAACTACCACTACTAAGTCCTGAACATTTTCATCACCCTAAAAAGGTAATCTGACCTGCTAATGGTTACTCCCCACTTTTCCCTGGTAACCACTAATCTGTGTTCAGTCGCTACAGATTTGCCTATTCTGGACACTTCATGTAAAAGGAATCACGCAATGTGTGGTCTTTTGTGTCTGGCTTTGACATGTACTCTTAAAGAATCTTCACAATAATCTTGAGATAGAAATTTCCACCTAACTTGCGTCTCTGGCTTCAGTTAGTTTTAACTGGTAGCAGCCATTCACTCAAGAAAATGGAAAATCTCCAGAACTGTTAAGAGACCTATTTCCTTACTATGTTGGTACCTGTACAATAGGAATAACAATGCATGAGGGTGGGGGAGCGAGGACGGACTTGGCAAATTCTCTGGCATGACCACCCCAGCACAGTGTATGATGAACAACAAAACCAACTCTCAGCAAACATTACTTAAAAGTATTTTTTTATTTAATTTCTGAGGTAAAATACTTTTTTCTTTCAACTTCCATAACAAAATACAGAGCTATCAGATACCCCTGGAAAAAATATGTATATTATACATATATTTCTATAACATTACATCATATATATATAATATATATGCAAAAATTTGAAGACTTTATAGAAAGCGGAACATCTAAAAGGCACTGCACAATGGAGTTAAGATTACTTACATTTTATGTACATATACACACTTTACTCTGCTCAAGCAGGTAACTAGTGAAGTCACCTTTCACATGTAAATGTCTCATTCACAAATCCCTGCATCACAATTCTATAACTCAAAGAATGCTTAAATATCTCAAAACAAATTAACTGGTAACTTTTTATCCCCCTAAGAAGAAACCAAGAATGGAACAGTTCTTGAAAGATTGAATCAAAGTTGTCTTCTAAACAAAATAAAAATGTACGTTCCATTACTGTTTACAAAACAAAAAGCACAAACATAATTATGGAATAAATAAAAAACAAGGGACAAACAGCCAACTGACTCTACCCACTTGGTGAGAAGTGATATACTTCAACTATTTTTTTAATGCTTCTGAAAGTTTCTTGGCCCACAGAGGACTAGGGTGCAATCATTCCCTGTGTTAGTGAGTTGGGTTTAATGCAGCTTCAAAATTAGGGTAAAGGGACTTGGTGAAATGTTTACATTAAATATTTCACTCCTACCCATTCTTCAGGAAAAAAGGTGAGCTCAGCAAGGCTGGATGCCATTAAGAGATATTTACTGTTTTCTTTTTCTATAGCTAAAAAAGCAAACTTTACACGAAGAAGCTCTTGATTAAGGAAATTTCAATAGATTCATATTTATAAAATTTTAAACATTTGGCACAGCAAAATTTGGAAAAAATGGGGGAGAAAAAATAGGTCTGGTTGTTGTCCCCCTTTTTCCACCTGCTGCTGGACAGTGATGAGATGCTCACAGAAGAAAAAGGCCTGGCTTTGTACCAGGCTGGCGACAGGTGCTACCAGGAGTGGGCTGAGGGGAGAAAAACTATCTCCCACTCTTTTGGCCCAGGCAATGTCAACGACTTCCACATTCCCTGGCCCACTTCCTGAGCAACCCCAGGTTCGGCTCTGTATAAGGACCCTCCCCTCCCAACCCCAACCCCAGAGTGCAGTGCAAATCAACCAACAATTTACTGGTGGAATGGCAATCAAAGGAAACAGTTAAACACCAAACAATTTCTTAAAGCCAAAAAATATTTTTCATGGAGTTGAACATTTTTCGAGTGTGTTTTTTTCAAGTGTAAAAGCAGTGACATTTTGTTCAAACAGAAGCAGCATCTAGGAATTCTGGCACTTGGGTTCTAGGGGGTTACAGGTATGCATCATGGATTCTTCTCCCTCGTATTTAAAAAGGCCTCGTGTTTCTATTCCTGAGTTCATACCAACACCTGCTAGCTCTCCCCTCTAGCGGACAGTGGGTGGCCAGCCAGCCTCCCTGGTTAGATTGGGCAATGCCAAGCAGACATCCCTCATTCACCTGCTGGGCTTGCTTTCTGATTCAGAGGTAAGTCGAAGTGCAGAGAAAGAAACTTACAAAAGCACAACCACCAAAGGCAGCCTGAACGGGGAGCCCTGTGCAGACTGAGTTGCTGGAGACTACCCTCTCAGTCCCATTCCTGGGGAAAGGTAGGTCACTCATGGAATTTGAATCAAACATGGGGGAGGACACCTGCCAAGCAATAGTATGATGGACTCAAGTCATCCCAGGCCATCTACTGTCTCCCTCACCTGCCCTAACCTTTTCTGAGTCCCTCCCTCTCTTGTGCAAGCACTGTAGTTTAAAAAGGAAAAAACACCCCCCACCATTAAAAGACAACCTTCAAATGTTACTCAGTATATAAAGTTTGCTTAGGCTAAGGTGGAGTCAGAAATGTCTCTAATTGTAGACACCATCTCTGTGCCACCCTTCCTCTCATCGGATATGGAGTGATTTCTTCTCTCGCTGCTGCGACGCAGATCTGAGCCACAGTCAGGTACCAATGTACACGACATAGGCACATGTGCAAACACAAAGAAGGTGGGCTGCTGCTTCTTTCTCTCTGCCCCTAGTCCAGGCTCCTTTGCTTCACGTAAGATTAACACTTTCCCATTCCTCTGAAGTTGCTGGAAGGACATTTCCCAGGAAGAAACAATTCCTCACTGCCTATAAACTGTAGTCTCATGTGGGATAGTCAATTGAACATGAGAATCAGAACAATCTGGGCAAATGGGTATGGCAAGAATGGGAACACCACAACAGGACAGATGCCAACTCTCATTCATGCCAGGCCTTTTGGCATCTGGGTGCCTTCTGTGTCTTCTTTCCACCTCTTCCTTCAGTCTCAACATCCACTTGTACCCCCAGCTACCTCCCATGTTTCCAGGTATCATTGGCTCTTAACTCCCACAAGCCTGCCTTTTGGCTACCCATCCCAACAATATCAAGAGGGAATGACTAAGTATCAGCTAGAAACTTAGCCATGTCTCAACATTCCTGGATTATCTGAAAAGCTGTCGATGCCCTTTTACAGGTTTATGGTGACAGACCCGTATCATCTTAAAGTATGTTCATAGTTAAGGCTTGACTTAAGAAAATAAGAGAACCAGACATAATGGAAAGACCTCTTCAATAATGTTGTCATGCCTCTCAGTGAACGTGCTCACAGTCACACTTGGTTTGGCTCCCCAAACCCACAATAGAAAAGGAAAAATGAGTATTTTGTTTTTCATCTGTTTTGTATTTAAAGGCATTGGGTTACTTCCTCCTGCCCTCTTTTCTTCCCTGAACAAGAGTTTACAACTCCTCATGGCTTCTTAATAGGTGAAGTAGGTGAAAAGTCTGAGAAGCTCACAGCAGGGTTTGCCGTCCCAACTATGCAGCTGAGAGGTCGCCAGCTCCTGTGCCTTCCCAGCCCCACTATAATTGGCAGTATGTTTGTTCATGTTTCCTGAAAACATTTTCTTTAAAAAGGAAAAGAAAAAAATGCCAAACAACACCAACCAAAAAAAAAAAAAAAAAAAAAAGAAGGAAGAAGAAAAAGAGCAACATCCAAACATTCCCCAAGCCCCACCCCAGTAAGTCTGAGATTATCTTATTCCTTCCCTGAAATAATTATAAAGAAGCATTTCAGGCAAAATACTTAGTATTAATGGTCTCTTACTGCTCAACCTCCCAACCATGCCCTTTTCCCTTTTATGTGTATCTCTTGGAGTAAAATAAATTCATTAATGGCTTTCCACATACAAATACAATAGAAAAGAAAGAAGTCTGGAACCTGACTATCATGGGACCAAAAAGTATCTTGGCCCTTTGGGAGTTTCCTTGTCAGAAAGTATAAGCCTCAACAGGAAATAGAGGCTCCTTCTCCTTTGAGTTCAATACCCTCCCTGTGTCCTACTCACCAGGAAAATAAGTGTGTTCATATCCCACCTAATTTACAACAGAAGATAACCCCATCCCATCCCCAAAACATAAAAATACAAGTCTATGCCCCTAGAATGATCAAACCAGTTTAACTCCCTCCCCCCCACCCTGAAATCTTGCTACATAAATACATGTATGTATTTGATTATAGTATAAACAGCTCCTAATCCACTTCCAGTTCTAAGCATCAGCAGCTGCTGTTGCCAAGCCCTGGGGTCCTGACCCATTCCAGAGAAACTTGCCACTCTTGCTCAGCTCTCGGGCTTCAGGGTCATCATTCCAGCGCCGCTTCAACCGAAGCTTGGGGGGCATCAGTGCATCTTCTTTCTTCTCAGGTGCACTGGGCTCTTTGCCAGGCCTATCCTCACTGTCTTCAGTCACCTCCAGAGGTTCTCCACTTGGGGTGCTAATGGGCACAGAGGGCCAGATGGGTGGTGCAGCAGGACGGGCAAAGATGGTGCCTTTTTCCTCTTCAATGGTCCTGCTTGGCACAGTGCCCTCTTCTTGAGTGTGCTCCTCCTTCTCTCGTGCCGACTGCCTGAGGCTCTCAGGATCCTTTTCAGAGGCAGGTTCCACCTTGATTCTTGGGGGAATAGAAGCCATGGTGGGCGTGGTGACTGGTGCTGACTCCTCGCTGCTCTCAACCCTCTCCCGGTTCTTCCGCCCAACTGGTGGGGGCTGCAGCTTGATGGAGAACTGAGTTGACTCCTCAGGATGCATTTGGCACTGCAGTGGTGGAACCATGAGCCCTGGGTAACGGGGAAAAGTCCGAGGACTCAGATGGTAGTTGAACACAGAACAAGCTTGAGAATGAAGGTAGTGTTTCATTTCCTCAGGGTTGAAGGAGAAGCAGCTGCTGCTGGTGAAAGGGCTCAGGCCTGGTGATGGGCTATAGGAGAAGATGGTGGGAGTCAGGGAGAGGGCTGGTGAAATGGGGACATTAAGGACACCTCCGCGGCCAGGGATTGGAGAGACAGCGAAGGGACTGTGGGGGTCAGGGTACATCCCTGGCCTAGCAAACAGAGGAAGCATTATGTCAGGCTTGCGTTTCTGATGGCCAATCCCTCCTCCACCAATGGCATTCCTGGAGGACACGGGATCCACACCCCGGCGCCAGTCAGCAGCTGAGCCATCCTCCAGCTCTGAAAGCTCAGTCTTTCTATCAGTACCATTACTGGACTCCTGGCCAGAAGCAGTTAGGGAGCTAGCAGAGAACCGTCCCGGCTGCACATCATTGGTTGGAGAATGGGTGTCCAGAGGTGGGAAATGGAACCGGGAAGAGGCTGTTGGCACTGGTGGTGCACTCTGAGGAACCACACCTGTGATGGTGGAAAATACAAAAGCCTGCATCAGAGGACTGCTCATTCATTATCATCACTTATGCTAACTAAGTGCAAAATATTTAGTAGTAACAGGAAACAATCATTCCAACTGGACTGAATCCCACAGTTCTCCAACTTCCTAGTAACTACTGCTCAGCTGCTTCTACTCAACTTGTCATCCTTCTCTAGGCTCTTCACTGTCTTCACAGTACTCCTTACTGTCAAAAACATTGTAATTGCTTATCCATATTCTACAACCTAAATTCCACATGGCAGGGACTTCCTATTGTTCACAACTGTACACCTCACAGTTCAGGGCTTAACGGTTGTGTACTTCCTGTACACAATAAATATTAAGTGGAATGAATGAATGGGTACAAGAGCCTTCTCCTCTGCAACTCTAAATATTGTGTATATATTACCTGTTTCAATTTTTAGCTCTGCAAATAGTCTTATTTCCATAATTTTGGCCATATATATATATTCGTGTGTGTGTGTGACGAGGTAGAGGTTTACTGAAATATAAACATTCGAGAACATTTAAGATAGAAAATAATAACAACATATAGATAGTTGCTACAAGAGGACATCTGATGTTTACTCACTGCCTAGACTACCCACATGCTATCCCATTTTTCCTTGTTGGAATACAGATATATTTCGAGATGGGATATGGGGAGGGACAGAGCTGCCCTGGCTGACTGTAGGGAGGGGCAGAGCTGCTCTGGCTGACTGTGCGGAGGGGCAGAGCTGCCCTGGCTGACTGTGCGGAGGGGCAGAGCTGCCCTGGCTGACTGTGCGGAGGGACAGAGCTGCCCTGGCTGACTGTAGGGAGGGACAGAGCTGCCCTGGCTGACTGTAGGGAGGGGAAGAGCTGCCCTGGCTGACTGTGGGGAGGGACAGAGCTGCCCTGGCTGACTGTGGGGAGGGGCAGAGCTGCCCTGGCTGACTGTGGGGAGGGACAGAGCTGCCCTGGCTGACTGTGGGGAGGGACAGAGCTGCCCTGGCTGACTGTGGGGAGGGGCAGAGCTGCCCTGGCTGACTGTGGGGAGGGGCATAGCTGCCCTGGCTGACTGCACCTCCAGAGAAGCTCTGCTTGGGCCAAGGCCCCATTCCTGGATGCACCGCTTCGCCGCATATAAAAAGCAAACAAACCAAACCAAAAAACAAATCAACAAAACTGGAAATGACATGCATGGAAAGTAATGCATTAAAAACTCAAAGATAAAACTCAAAGACCCTATACCTCACATACACTGACCATGTTTTAGTAAAAACAGTTTAATTTTTAAAAAGGCTACACATTTGTTAAGTTCTTATTACCAAGTGTTTTATCATTCCTGATATACAATCACTGCTTCACAGAGATTCAAATATTTTTCAATCTCTCCAAATCTATATTCCTCTAACAAATTCTACTGAATGATCTCCATCTCCAACCTGCTTTCAAACATTAAGGAGGCTGGGAGAAAATCCAGGACCTACTATTCCTTCTTCCAAGTTTGCTTACTAAAATGTAAAGCTCTAAGTGATAACATACACTGTGCTACTTATGTCAACTTTTTTTTTTTTTTTTTTTTTGAGACAGGGTTTCACTCTGTTGCCCAGGCTGGAGTGCAGTGGCACCATCTTGGCTCAATGCAACCTCCACCTCCTGGGTTCAAGTGATTCTTGTGCCTCAGCTTCTGGAGTAGCTGGGATTACAGGTGTGTGCTACCATGCCCGGCTAATTTTTGTTATTTTTAGTAGAGACTGGGTTTCACCATGTTGGCCAGGCTGATCTCGAACTCCTGGCCTCAAACGATAAACTTGCTTCAGCCTCCCAAAGTGCTGGGATTACAGGTGTGAGCCACTGCGCCCAGCCCATCAACTTTAGTGGCTCACAGTTCTCAACTTCCCCAGTGATCCTCCTGATAAGACATGAAAAAGGTATGCCATCTGAAGTCTCAGGGACCTGTGGGTTCCTCGGAGGTGTCAGCAGTTTCTATAATAATGTCAGCAGGGTTCTCAGGCAAAGGTGAAGAAAGAACAAAGGAGAAGAAAAAAATAGAAAAAAACAAAATTTTAAGTATAGTGATCTAGGAGTGGAAACAAAAAAGGTACACAGATATGGGATGGTTATGAATTGCTCCCAATCAGCTGGTGCCTTCTCCTCTTGGTCTAGCAGACTCTGGAGTCTGCTGGTATTCGTAAGACTGTAGCTTTCTGGGTGCATGGGACTGAGTAACACTATGCCAGAGCCTCATTTCCCAAACTAATGTTCCACAGAAAACTGTTCTGCAGGACTTTTTTTTTTTTAAGCCACTGATTTAGAGAGCAGGACGTCTGGCTTCCGAGCAGGAACCTTCATATTGCCAGTGATGAAAGAGAGAATTAAATACGGGTGATATTGAGAAAGGCAAGAAGATTTGTGTTCAGAAGTGTGCCCAGTGCCACACTGTGGAAAAGGGAGGCAAGCACGAGACTGGGCCTAATCTCCATGTCTCTTTGGGTGGAAGACAGGTCAGGCCACTGGATTCTCTTACACAGATGCCAATAAGAACAAAGGCATTACCTGGGGAGAGGATACCGATGGAGTATTTGGAGAATCCCAAGAAGTACATCCTTGGAACAAAAATGATCTTTGCCGACATTAAGGCAGAAAAGGGCAGACTTGATAGATTATCTCAAAAAAGCTACTAATGGATAATAATTGGACACTGCCTTATTTATTGCAAAACAGAAATGCCTCATGACTTTTTTATGTGTACCATAATTTAACAGATCTCATAAACCAGAATCCAGATCATGAATGACTGACAGATTTTTGTTGGGCAGTCCTGATTTAATTAAGACTGACTTGAGATTAGATGAATATGTTTGGCTTTTGGAATTTTAACGGTAATTCCGATTTAGTAAATGCTATCTATCACTGTTTACCCCTTCTAAATATATGACTGGACTTCATTAGTAATGTTCAACTTTTCACAAAGATGATGAATGCCATCTTAAAACTTAATGGAGAATGGTTTTATATTTAGATTTACATAACTAGTTATGTGAATATATTTAAATACTGGGGAAAGTCCTTCACTGTCTTAGAACCAAGCAAGATTCACCAGTGTTTTATGTTCATTTGCCTCTTAAAGGCAAGGGCTGAAGATAAGGCAGCAATGTCTACTTTATATTTTTGGTTTTAACAATAATAGCCAATTTAATTAGAAATCTGTATCTAAAGTGATTTCTTTTACTTATTGAAAGGCATTTTAGTGGGTTTATGTGTAATATCAAATAAAGATTTAACACTTCTCACATTTTATAGGTGATCTATAGGATCAGATGCTTTAAAAATAGTAGCAAGTTAAACTTCACTCTTGAATTCTTTACCATCTAATTCAGACTAAGTTATAATTTGGGATTGCCTCTAAACAGCCATTCAGAAACATAACACTGTAGAACTGCTGTGTATTTGTGATTGGAAATGGTGCTTTTGCCAATTTAAAAGGAATTAAGTAGAGGAAATATAAACAAATTTAAAAATTATGCATGATTATAAGACTTAAGATAATTAAAAACAAAATCACAGACTGGAAAAAAAATAAAGCCACTGATTTAATTTTAAAATTAGGAAGAACAGATGGATGACCTTGCAAATGATTTGAGTAGAGCCAAGAGGGTCCCAGGCCAAATGTATTCTTCTACTAGCTTATTACAGTGGCTACAATTCTACCCTTTTTGATTCTTTTGGATCTTGACTTTCAATTAAGAGTACATCTACTCAAAAGCAAAAAGCCACTTCTATGTATTCAGAAGAAGGAAGTATAATGTGCAGGGAAAGGTCTTGTCTCCTAAGCAACTTAGAAATGCTTGGTTAAATCTAGTTTTGTTTTGTTTTTTTTTTGGAGACAGAATCTTGCTGTCGCCCAGGCTGGAGTGCAGTGGCACCATCTCAGCTCACTGCAACCTCCGCCTCCCAGGTTCAAGCAATTCTTCTGCCTCAGCCTCTCAAGTAGCTGGGACTACAGGTGCGCACCACCATGACTGGCTGATTTTTGTATTTTTAGTAGAGACAGGGTTTCACCATATTGGTCAGGCTGGTCTTGAACACCTGACCTCGTGATCCGCCCACCTCCGCCTCCCAAAGTGCTGGGATTACAGGCGTGAGCCACTGTGCCGGCCCAAAATCTAGTTTTTTATTAAAAAAGAAAAATAAACTGGAGGATATCTCAGTCTTTACATACGTTAAGGTATACTGTAAAGGAGACATAATAAGCAGTATTTTCCTGATGTATTTAGGTGGAGTAATGGGAGGTGAGACTAGAAGCAATACTGGGAAGCATTGCTTCTAGCATTCTGGAACCCTTATCTCTGATTAACTGAAGTAGCCCTACTTTTATATGTTGAGATATCAAACCTAAGATTTTGCTTAGAAAAAAAGTTTGCTGCTAAAAAAGAAAGTTTGAATACCATTGCTTTAGAAGTCCACCTCCATGAAGTCACCATGAAATTCAAGTACTGGGGTTGAAAAAACTGGGTCTGAATCTCAGTTCTGGCAGCTTCCACCTTGTAGCCTAGTACAAGTAGCACACTGGAATCTTTGACCCCCTCTGGCAAAATGGAATTCATAAGGTCCTTGCCTAGGTTCCAATCTTGGTCCTACCACTTACTAGTTATGTGCCTCTGGACAGCTTGCCTCTCTGTGCCTCAGTTTCCTTACCTGTAAAATAGGTCAGCACAGGGCCTATTGTTATGACGATTAACAGTTAATATTTGTAAAGCCCTTAGAATAGTACCAAGCATAGCAAATTGCATGTCATTGTTAAATAATTTTTTTATTAATCATGGTACAAAATTTAAACCCTAAAAAGACAACTGTCATTCGAATACGGACTATGTATTAGATAACAGAATTATATCAATGTTAAACATCCTGGGTGTGGTAATGTTATTGTGGTTATGGAGGAGAATGTCCTTGTTCCTGGGAAATACAAGCTGAAGTACACAGGGACGAAATGTCATGATGTCTGCAACTTAATCTCAAAAGATTTAAAAAGTATATATAAATAGAAAGAGATAAAGCAAATGTGGCTACAATATTAACCATTAGTGAATCTAGATAAAGGATATATGGGTGTTTACTGTCCTTCTTCCAGTATTCCTGTAGGTTTCGAGTTTTCCCAAATAAAAATTAAAAAACTGGGGTTGGTGGGAGTAGAGAGGCATAGACTGAGCGGTATCAAGTCCATCCCTGAACTGGTCTGTCCTGCCCCATCCTGACAGTATCTTCTGTATCTTTCCAATGTTTCTTATGCAAATATAAGAAAATATTTTAATAATGTGTTATACAGGATGCTTTTCATGATAAAATACACAGACCAGAATACCCCAACTGTCTCAACCCACCTTGTGGACATGATCTCAATGGCCTCCAGGATCTAAATCCACACAGCTCTATTTAGAGTACTTATCACATTTCACATTGTATTAAACCCGGCATATCTTATCTCTCCTGCTAAACTGTAAGTTCCGTGAGGTAAAGAACTCCCATTATCTGTTGAACAAATGAATCACAACCTAGAGGAGGAATGTATGATCTATTAAATAAGGGCTAGACTTCAACAGCTCGATCTCTCAGGAATTGTTTCCCTAGAAACTGTTCAATAGATAACTATTCAACCTACCCTGATCAGTCTTTAACTTTGCTGTCGTTTTCCTAATTTTATCATTTGTAAAATGTGGATATCAAGACATTCACTTCACTGGGCTGAAAAGTTGAATAACGTAATTCACAAAACTACTAAGCAAAAGTACCTCCATAAAGCAGATGTTCAATAAATGTTACATTCCTTTGTTATCATAAAGTTACCTTAAACAACATTTGGCCTCTCTGGTCAAAAGTTCTTTAAAAACTAATGACACCAGTTCTTTGCAGTTGTCTATACCTAGGATGTGAGCAACCAGGTAGTAGAGATAGATGTACTAAAAGAAATGTACACAGTTTTGCTTTCCTTGTGCTTTATTGAGACTGAGTCTCGCTGTCGCCCAGGCTGGAGTGTAGTGGCATGATCTCAGCTCACTGCGACCTCTGCCTCCCAGGTTCAAGTGATTCTCCTGCCTTGGCCTCCTGAGTAGCTAGGACTACAGGTGACTGCCACCTGTACTTTTAGTAGACATGGGGGTTTCCCCATGTTGGCCAGGCTGGTCTTGAACTCCTGACCTCAAGTGATCTGCCGGCCTTGGCCTCCCAAAGTGTTGGGATTATAGGCATGAGCCACCTGGCCCGGCCCCTTGTGGCTTTTTGATTAGGATCTTGAGCTTGGGTTAAAGATCAATGTTGGTTCAATCGCCTTCGGGCAGAACAGGTGTGCTGGGCCACTATTGTTAGGTTTCTAGATCAGATTCTTCACAGAGTGAGGATCCAGGTTTCCTTGCCCTGGAAAACCACATTACTTCCCAGGGCTTATGAATGCCCCATTCTAGGTTGTCCAAGTGGCTGAAGTTCTGGATTTTCAATAGATAAAAATGGGTCAAAGACAGAAGAACAAGACGAATGAAACATTTTTTTGGGAGTGGGGTGAAGGGGTATGAAAACCAACAAATTCTTTAAAATTGTTGGTATATACATCTAGATTCCCAATTCCTCTAGGCATACAAGGAAGGGGCAAGAGTGAGAAACAGAGGAAGCAAGATTTGAGTGGCGAGTACAGGTCTGATTTCCTAACGCCTCTCCCTCAGGCACAAGGAAAGAAAACAGGTTGTAATTAGAGAGATGCATTCCAATACCACTTTTTTTTTTTTTTTTAAATGCATGCCCCAGGGACAGGAGGGAGTGGTTACAGAAGTTGAGATGAAACTGTAATGATAGCAGAGTCAAGCTAAAACTGCCCTAACTTGTTGTGTAGTAATTACATATCTGCAATGGATCTCAACATTATGTTCTCTCAACCACACCCCCACTAATTTTTCAGGTTTCTTCCAGCTTTTCTGAGAAGTTGTATTACTGCATGATCAGCATTCTTTGCCTTAGCATACAAGGCCACAATGACAGAGTACTTACTGATGGACTGGTCAGAAAACAGTTAAATACAATCTACAGTAGTCCTTTCTTATCTGAGGTTTTGCTTTCCACTGTTTTAGTTACCCACAAAGGTCTGAAAATAGGTCTGTACAGTACACAAAGATATTTTGAGAAAGACCACATTAAGTTTATTACAGCATATTGTTATAATTTTTCTATTTTATTATTGTCATTAATCTCTTACTGTGCCTAATTTATAAATTAAACGTTATCACAGATACATATGAGTGGGGTTAAGGGAAGAAAAAACATCATATATATGAATGGAGTTTGGTACTATCTGTGGTTTGCGAATCTACTAGGGGTCTTAGAACATATACTGCTCAGATAAGGGGAACTACTGTATTTTCTTGGGCAGGAGTATGATTTGCATAAGGAAAAAAATCACAAACAAAAAACCACACAACAACAAAGTCTTTTGAGAGACTGCTTTCAACATCAAGAGAGAATGTGGGGAGCTGTGATGGAAAGCTATAACCAGGAAAGTCAAGAGGGGAAGCCCTACTGCACTTAACAGGAGAGAAGGTCAAGTAACCCCAGAATCTTTTTCTCTGAGGATTTGCTGTTGCAGATCAAAGACACTGCTTTTCACTGCAAACATGTGAACCTCCCCCTTCTCTGATCAAGGATGCTGTGGTTTTGATGATATTCACTTGATAAGGGAGAGCTTGGTAGTTTCACAGAAAATCGGAAGTGTTTGTAGAAACAGGTTCCCATCTATGAAAGAACCACTGGGCTGGGTGTTAAAACTGAGTCCTGAACGTAAAGATCATCACAAACCTATGAAACATCATTCCCAAACAAGATAGCGTAATAGTATCTAGGAGATTACAAACAATATGCAGAAAAGGGAACCAACCAAATAAACCAAAGAAATCTATCTTGATACTGAATAGCCTATAACTCTCCTTATAAGTGAGATGACTTGAGTAAGAACATTGAGGCAATCCAAAGGATCACATTATTTTAGTGTTTCTAAAATCTTCCTAAACATGCCATGTCTTAGATTTGGATTTTTAAAAATTCTTTTCAATTCAAAATTAATTCCCTACCAAAAGAGTTTGTATCTTACCACTTGACCGAATGTTGATGAATGGGTAGTTGGGCATCACCAGCTTGTTGAAGTTAAATTTATAGGTAAATCTTTTCCCTTTTGTTTTATGAAGGATCCTCTTGTTGTAATAGTATCTGTAAAAACAGGAATACATGTCCATTCGTCTTGTAGCTACTGACAGCTTTCAATACACTTAGGTAGCCACTGAGACCAACAATTCTTGCTCTGAGTATTACTTACAAAAATCACTACCAATCTTTCGCAGCCTGGCCCTCCAGGTAGATCTAGGAGACCTAACAGCTTAATTTTCTTACTCAATTTTCAACTCAGCTCGTTTTTGCCTAGAGGTTTACAAAGACAACTTCACTTTAAGATTCTGAACACTTATCCTAGCCCCAAACATTTTCTTCTCCATCTCTCTACAATTTCGATTCTACAGTCCATTTCCGTCCGGTTGCACTGCATGTCACTAACTGCTTAGTTTTTCTTTTTGGTCTTGCCCAGGTGGGGGCAGACAAATCACTAGGGAGACCTGATGTGGTTAGTCTGGAGGCCTAAGCTCAAAAGACAGACAAAGGAATGTACAACTGTTTTATGGTGGCAGGTCAAACAATGGCATGCCCTGATCTGGAAAACAGCAGCTAGTGTGGCCCGCCTCACCTTCAAAGACTCAAAGGGATGTGAAAGAATACAGCAAAGCCACTGTACAGAGTTTACATTTCAGGTCAGGAGAACTTCAATTATCTGGAACCTTTAGTCTTACATCTATGCAGTAGCAGAGGTCATAAACTGCCTTCTAGCCCCTTGAGGGCTAAAGGACTATGAAATGTAAGACCGACAAGGGGAAAAAAGAACCTGAGAAAACTTATAGTGATCAATCTTTAGACATATTGCAGCAGGCTATGGACAACCTGAGCTCACAGACACAGTTCCGGAATAGATAGGTCAGTATCACTGAATCTTCCTCCCGTGACTTGCTTCATCCTTTTCTAAGTTTCTTTCAGGGAAGCCCAAAGAAAGAAATTCTAACAGATTCTAATAGAGAAGTCTAAACTAATCCTTTGGATTATAAATGAACTCCAATCCATGTTTCACCATATACTCTCGCCCACTACAGAGCAGAATCAGCTGTCTGTCAGGATCCAGTGCCAGCCACATTGGAATCCCCTCCTACGTATAACCAAAGATATGCCTTTTCTCCTCCTGTGCCTATGCTACTCACATTCAACAGCTCTTCTACTCCCACTTTAAAGTGACACATTATTCACTAAGATAGTGTAGTCTTTTATTACCTGATACCCTTTTTATCTAGCATTCACCAAACAGCTTAGTCTCCTTCCAATCTGTTAACACAGATTTGGGAATCCTTTTCCTTACCTGAGGGCCCGGCTCAGCTTGTCATAATTCATCTGTGGTTTGCATTTCCTGCGGCCCCAGAGGCGGGCCACCTCATCTGGATCCTTGATGACAAATTCCCCGTACTCTCCCTGCTGCCAGGCGATGACATGGCGGAACTCTTCCTTCTGCAGCAGCTCCAGGATGAAGTGCCACAGCTGGATCTGCCGGGAGCCTGGGGATGACTCTGTTTTGTAGGCCCAGTCAGGAAACTGATACCCTTTCATGTGAGAAGGTCAAGATTAAGCTAGTTAAGAGGTAGGTACATACATACCAGCAACCCCAACTGCACATTCCACTGCTCAGAATCTAGAGTGCTTTGCAAACATGCTGTAAGTACTCTCAGTCAGCTGGGCCTAACCACAATGGGGAGAGGAAAGCACAGAGAAGTCACCTATCCTTGTGGCAATCATTAAATCTGATAAGAGTTGGGCAGCAGCAACCAGATGTCCTAAGCTGACCTTTTCATACATTACTAAATACACCTACTTTCTGTGAGGACATAAAAGTGCTAAAGGGAACAAACAGGAAAGATAAACTAATGTTTCAGGAAAATACAGCTGAAAACTCCTTTTCCCTAAGGTTGGAACTGTGTCTCTGACAGCAAAGAGACTCTAAAGCTTAGGATATGGGTGTGGTGACCAGACATGTTAAATATACATCCATAGGAAACAAGCCTACAACTGTCCTGCCAGTATCCACCTAGCCAAGAGAGTGTCAGTCATGGTCTGACATTTGTGAACAGAGCTCAAGTGGAGAGGACAGGAACCACTGAGGGAAGCTTCCAGGTACATCAGAGATGATTAACTTCTGCTCACCTCCACCTCCTTCTGGCTTTTCCACGATGCTACAGCCGGCTTTCATTTTCACCCGCCTGCTGAGAGACACAAGCCACACAATTACTTTAAGATGCTATTTATTTAGTATCCTCTCAAAAGTTTTCTGGCAGTCTCTCCCCAAACTTCCTTTCCCCTGTTCTTCTTTCCGTATGCAACTCTCTTTCTTTCAAACATGTCACCTCCAAACTGCTACTCCCCAAGTTATCAAATGATGGGCCTCAGGTCATCAGCTTCAAAAGCCATAATTATCTCTCACCTGACTTTAAACCACAAAGTGTAAACACTGTCTTTAATATTTGTTTTCCTCCTCCTGACCAACCCTTCAAATGTAAAAAAATAAAAATAAAAAAGGAAGGTACAGTGAAATGGGTCCAAAAACGCAGCCAAAACAAGTCAAACAGTTTGTCTTCTATTACTAGACAAGCCCACATGCCAAGATACACAAGCCTGAGTTCACCAAGATGTACCAGTTTAAAGGATGAAAAAATCCCAAATCCATCTGATTCCCACTCAAGAATGAACATCTGATTTTGATTTATTTTACTGAATTATGTGAGATAGAAGGAAGATTCTTCCCAGCCACAAACTGCTCCCTCCCCCTTGAAAAATACCCTGGGATACAGGAAGTAAACACACCATATGTACATTTACTCTATTCAAAAAACACACACAAACTCTCAAAAATTTTTTGAGAAAAATTATACATTTTCTCCATTTAACAGGAAGGGGTGAAAAGCAGGCATTTCTGAAGCCCTTCTGGCCAGTGAGTGGAAGGAGTCTTGCTGCGATTTGAATTCATTCCATCCAGATTTACAGTTCCTCAATAAATTTCCTGTTCCTCCCAGCAAGGAGCTTTGTGTTAATCACTTAGCAAAAAGGAGGGAGGGGTGAAACTGCCAGAGGGACATGGAGGGAGGGCAGATCTACCCTCGCTGTTCCCCAGGGTGGATGACAGGCCCTCAGCATCCACATTAGCAGGCATCTGGAGAGAATGCCTAAGTGGCCCCCGCGTAGGGACAAATTCCTTATCTTGGAAATTTCACCTAACCTAGGATTTCTCTAGATCTTTTGAATATTTTTTCTCACCAAACACATTAAGGAGACCAGCAAGTGTCAGTCTACAAAACTACTAGCGGCCGAGGACAAGATAAACACCCCAAAGGAAGGAGCAGACAAGGAAAAACACACACACACACACACACACACACACACACTCTCACACACACACGAGATACATAATAACGAGGCACCGGGGCTGAGGCAGGAGCTTCCTCTTCCACCTTAGTGACAATGAGGGAGGAAAAACACGAATTTCCCCACTGCTCCAGGAAGCTGCCCTGGACTCTTAACTCCTAGGATGCGCTGTCAGATCGCGAGGCCTTTTACCCTGCCACAGAACTCCCTCCAACCATCACGACCCTGGGGTCCAAATCCCGTTGCAACGATAACCTGACAAGGAAACCCTCTCTTGACACTCCAGCTCTCCAATTTTCCCCATAAAAGTCCCTTTCCCAGGAGCCCTGGGGCGCCTCTGCACGCCTTTCGCATATTCACTGCAAGGACACTTCCATCCAAGTAGGGCCACTCGTCTCAACTCTGCAAACCACAGGACCCCTGCCCTTCCTCTGATCGCGACCACTCCCCGAAGAGTGAGGCATGCACAGTCTGGCGCTGCGGGTTTCCCGCAGCAGCTCCGGGTCCTGGCTTCCACAGCCCCCAGAACCTCCTTGCCATTCACCTCCCGGGCCGGGCTTCCCTTAACCGTGGCCTCAGGGCTGCGCGGGGCCACCGCATGAACGCTGCCCTGGGTCCCTGTCGCCCCTCAGACAGACACGGGATCCCACCCTCCCCCGCCCCCCGCACTGGGTGAGGCCCAGCTGGGTGGGTACGCGGCCTGGCGGCCGGCCCCGATTCCAGGGACGCCGTCCCCGCCAGGGTCCCGGATCCAACCCAGACACCCCGGCGGCCGAGGCGAGGCCGGGACTCACCTCTTCCCGGCACGGTCCGTCTTCGGTCCGGTCTCCTCCGCGGCGTCTCCGGCTCCTCCTCATCCACCCCAGCAGGAAGTGACCTCCTCGGCTGCTTTCGTCACTTCCATCCTCAGCAGAGAGGGCGGGGGAGGAGGAGGCGCCCTCCCGCCGGTTCCCAGCCTCACCTCGCCGCACCCAGCAGCGTCTCCCTTTCCTTTCTCCTTTCAGCAGACGCCGACTTCCGCCCGCACTCCTCCCCCTGCGCGCTCCTCCCGGCCCGCATCCCGCGCATCCGCCCCGGCACGGCCCGTGCGTCACGCTGCGGGGGCACGTTACGCACGCTCGTGGCGGGCGGCCGGCCCGGTCCGCTGCTGGGCCAGGGTCCTCCAGACGCCGAGGGGTGACGCGGCGCGAGGGGGTGCTGAGCTGCTATACGCTTCCCCCGCCAGTCCTGCGCCGTGAGGCAGAACGGACTTTGCGGGGCGAGGCGCTGCCCCGGGGTCCCACCTCCCGGGGGAGGGGACCTCGCAGACCCCACAGGAAGGCCCAGGCGCCGGGAAACAGTCTCTCCCACACAACAGAGAGGCGGCCCGTCTTTCTCCAGAAATGGGCCCTGCGACCTCCCAGAGTGGGGATCCCTCACAATGGGAAGACGGGACCCGCAGACTTCAGACGCAATTTCCCTACCCTTTAAGAAAGGGCCCTTTCATATACGTATGAAAGAAACCGCAAAGCTTTCTCTGAAGCACGTCGCTTTGGCATTTCCTCCCTGGGAAGACTGGGGGGCATGACCGCTTCCCCGCTAGTTCCCACCCCACTGCATTTAGTCTTAATTCGTCCCAGTCTAAGCAGCTTGCAAGTCCTCTCCCTAAGTCATTAAAACGCGTGTCCCCTTTTGGTTTTACCTTTTGTTCCTGCTCGGGCAATTTGTCTGTCCAAAGCATGATTTTTTCTTCCTTTAGAGGCTCATTAAGGATAAAGAATCTCAAGCAGTTCAGCTTTATCTGCAGTCCCACCCCTGTAAATCTGAGTGGTGTCCAGGCATAGTTTCACTCCAGAGGCAGAAGAAAGGGAGTAGTGAGGATCAGTAAAGGTTAAAGAATTTAGAATAAATACGAGCGTGGGGGAGGTGAAGAAGAGAGATGGGATTGAAGGAGAATTGAAGATCAATTTTGATCAAATGGATCAAAACTTTGTACCTCTGCTCTAGTAAGACCTTTGCACCGTCTCTGCCACATGGGACTTGGAGATATTAGTTGTTACAAAAATTGCTTCCAGTTTTGAATGTGCTACTAGTCACTGTGTAGCTCTTGATAAATTAATTAGTAAATTGGCTCCCTCTGGCCTAAAATTACCTTACCTGTTTTTTAAAAAAGATAACATTGTTGTGTCTTTTCTAGTTAGAACTTCCTACTCTGTAGGTGAACAAAATAAGGAGCAGAACTTAAACACCATAGAGAGGGTTACCGATACCTGCAACTAGTCCACTAGCTCTTTGTAGGAACTGTCTATATATTCTTTGCATCTTGTGCATGGTACCTAGAACGGCAACTTACATGTAGATATCAGATGTTTGCTAGAACATTCCTTTAAAATATTGGGGTTCGGCTAAACGGAAATTAAGTCCTTGTGCCTTCATCTACTAGCTTTGTGACCTTAGTTAAGTGACTTAACTTCTCTGTGTCAGTTCCTCATCTATGTGAACATAATACCTACAGTATCTACTGATGTGATTGTTATTAGATGTGTTAATACATGTAGAGTGGTTAGAACAGAGAATGGTATATTTTAAATATGGCAGATGAAAAATGTTGGCAAAGATAATAATCATAAGAATCATTCTTATGAGAATCCTCAATTTCTCATACCACCCATGCAAATCTTAGTAATTGTTACAACTCAGAAACCAGGGTGATCGGGAATGAGTAGTTTCTTCTGAAAGTCTGAAATTGCTCATCTTTGGCTCATAGCTCAAATGGTCATGGTTAGAGCCAGCATGGTTGACTCCAAGGAGCCTGTGCTCTACAAAGGGCCAGGAGTCAGAGTATAGGGACTCTTTCTGCATATTTTTACTCAAGCCAGACTCCTAGGGTTCTCTGCTGCTGCTTCTCTAATTAACGTCACAAAGGATGTCTTGAGTAAACACAATCAACAGAGATAAACAAGTCTCTCTACCTGGCTGGAGTCTAAATTGATATATTGAGAAATGTTTATATTCCAGCAGAACTCAACATTAAGTTTTTACATTAAGAGTCTAATCACTGGCCTGAAACTCTAGAGGTGAATTTGGGTTTGATGAAGGCAACTGGAGATTACCTAATAATTAGTGGGTCTGAATAAATGAGTTGTGGCTGGGATCCTCTCTTGTGGTGGTAGGATCTGGGGACATTAGGATGGCCAGGGACTAATGGCGCAGCATACCCAATGCCCCTATCCACCATTTCCTTCACCATGGCACTGCTGCCTTCTCCATCTGCTGCAAACAGGTTTTCAAAACGTGGAGATTTTTCATGTTCCTGAAATAGGGAGAGCATGAGCTTTCTGAAAAGCGTGGGGGTGGAAACACTTAAGACACTTAGCATAAAAGTCAAGACAGGTTGTAATCTCTCTTGAATTTCCACTTGCTCAAAGCTGTCTTTGTCCACTGACATTACCTTCCTACCCCCTTCCCGCCCATCTTTACAATTGTTCCATATGTCTAGAATAAGTTTCTGTTCTAAATCTAATGCTCTCAATTCCACTGTCACCACAGCACAGCCATTTCACTGCTTCTTAAATTAAAAAAAGAGAAAGGAAATAATTTCTAAAAGTATTTTTCTTCGGAAAAACCCTTTCTGGATTGTTGTGTGTGAGCGTGTGCATTTCTTCCCTGGCTTGTGCTTCTTTATTGACCCCATTTTCATTTATATGCTCCACACCCTAAACTAACCTGGACATGTATATGATGTGAATGCTTTCCTCTCTACTCTTGTAGTAGATGACTGTCTTATTCTACCATCTGTATGTCACAGAAGTATTTGTTCTTCCTAGTGGGTTTGTCTTAGATTGCAGGCCCTCAGGGGTTACAGCCACAGTCAGTAGGTCCTCACACTGCCCAGAGCAGTTCCCTGTCATCATTTGAGATGTCTCATGATGATAATTTCCTTCTCTGCTATCATGTATGCTGATGGGCTGATGCTGATGAGCTTCTGTCTCCTCCCTCAGTCTCCACTAAGTCTCCCAGTAAAAGGCTGGTGACCTCTTTCCCCCAGTTTGTTTTCACTAAACTTGGATTCAGAAGACCTGAGTTTCAGTCCTAGTTCTGTCCTTTGCTAACTCTGTTCTCTGACAAGCCACTGACCTCTGAGGTCCAGCCTTCTCATCTCTAAAAGGGGACGCTATTGATGTCCCTGATAAGGACATAAATGAATAGCAGCTGTGGAGCACTTGTAAACTCTGAAACCCTTTACAAAGCTCAAGGATGTTGATTACGCTTGCTGCCATCCCAGACCTCGCACTGTTCTTTAATACCAACAATTCAAACTTTACAGCAATTTTCACCTCATTTCGCAAGCTTTGAGTGGGGATTTAATGTTTTAGATTTGGGTAGGAATCTAATTCTCAGGACAAAATTCTTTTTTAGAATTTAGGTTCTGGAAGAGTTTCTTATCTAGGCACTATTTTATGAGGCCTAGCTTGAGGCGATACATTGTAATTACTCTGTGCTTCAGTTTCCCCATCCAGAGAATGACCATAATAAGGATTTCCAGAAGGAAAAATAGTATAACATTAAAACATTATTGATGAAATAAAAGAGTGAATGGCAAATATGAAATTGATTTATTCTCACCCTTTGTGACTCAGTTTCCCCTTCAGTAAAGTGAAGATAAATTCTTATAAGAAAGAAAACTTTATTATTTGCATTTTACCACAGTGGACTCCAGTAGCTCATAAGATCTTGTGTTTTGGTTTATTTTTCCCATCAACTCAAGGTTGTTGTGAGGATAGAGGAATTAATGTCAGTAACATGATTGGGGATCCCCAGACTAAAGGTTAAATGAGTCCAAAGCAGAAGTAACTTTGCCCAAAGTTACAGCTCAACCAGAAGGAGCAGAGAGTCTGACTGTTTACTTAGCAGTGACTTGGGGACTCAAGGACTCTCCCCAATTCCACGTCCATCACAGTCCACAAATACCCCTTCCTCTCATTTCCCTTTTTCAGGTGTTGGTTCCCCTCTCTCAAATCAGTGCAAAGGAGAGGGTAGTGAGAGATCACGAAGGAACAGAATGGGAGACAGGATTAACATGAGGAAATGACCATTTAAGCTATTTTGCTGACCCCGCCACCCCCACCCCTGCCTTCCCACTGGCAGCCCAGGAGAAAGATTCCCCTGACCAAATGTGACTGCCAGAATCTATATATTTCTGAAGGCTTGCTTATTCCAGGAACCCTGCTAAGTTAGTTGGAGCAGAGAGCTAGCTTCTTCTGGTCTTAACCTATCTAGGGTGTGTTTTCCAAGGCCTGGCATTTGTTCCCCACACTTATAATACCAGCAACCTTGACCTGTTTACCACATAAACCTTTTTGCTTTCTTTTGTATTTATTCACTATTCATATCCGGCTCTCATTGTGTTTTCTTTATGACTGTCCATATCATTTGTCATCCTAAGAGGGCAGAGGCTGTGCCTATCATTATATAGTGACGAATAAAAATGATAATCACTGTACTAGAGACATAGGGATCATAGTCTAACAAATGCAAGTAATGGAGTGAGGCTTCAAATCAAGTTAATTAAGACTGTTACTTTAAGAATATCTTAGAATAACTTTGCTTTAATAATTACTCATGTATTTATGGACTTGTAGAATCTTAGAGGTGGAGCGAATGTCAGAAGTCATCTATCTCATCCTCTTATGCAGTTGCCACCAGCCTTTCCTTGAAGCCTAATGATGATGTCATGACTTTGCCCAGCAAACTAGTCAATGTTTTTCATCATAAAATATATCTACAAAGAGTATATAAAAATGTATATGGATCAGTTGAAGGAAAATAATAAAACAGTTCAGTACCTACCAGTCAGGCAAATAATCAAAATTAGCATGGCCCAGAAGTCTTCTTTTGCCTCTCTTGGATTTCAGCCAAGTTCAATGCTTAGATCACCCTAATCTGTAGAAAGTTCTTTCTTATATGGAGCTGAAATGTGTTCCGTGGACTCTACACATGACTCCTGATGTGGTGCTGTGATTAAATTTAATGTAATTAAATTTAATGTTTCTTCCAAGTGACAACCCATCAACTGTTTGAAGACAGGTATTATGCCAGAGTTGCCAGAAGAAACATCCTCATCCTTAGTTCCTTTCCTCTTCTAATGTGGCTTCCATAGCCAAACACAATCCTCCACAGACCTGGTCTGACTAGCAAAGTAGAGAGTGAAACTCTTCCCTCCTTAATCTGGGCTTTTTTTTTTTTTTTTAAGATGGCCTTGGATAGGATTGACTGTTTCAGAGATCATAGTACACTGCTGAGTTGATAGTCAAACTCCTCATGGCTTTCTTATGAGGACTGTTAACCCAGGTCTCTTCTGCTAAGTAGATTTTAAACCTAAATGCAAGACTTTACATCAATTACATTAATTCCTGTCAATTTTATTTTGTAAGTTTTCTCTGTTATTCATTCCAGCCTGTCTATATCATCTTAATTTATTAGCATGTATTATTGTATAATTTGACAGACTACTTGGAGCAAGCATGAAAACAACTTCTGTGGAATACATTAAAACACCAGTGTTAAATTATCCCAAACGCAATCAAATATTTTCAGAATGTTTCAGAAGTCACTGCAGGATGGTGCAGTGTCTCATGAATTATTGTGCCTTTGATCTGTGGGATGCCAGTCACTAGTGTTGCAGGTAATGAGATTCCAAATAGCAGAGTGCTTAGTGCATGAAACTCTGGCAGAGAGTTAAAGCCACTGTGGAAAGCAGAGAACATCAAAGTAAGCTAGTCATTATGTTGGCAGTGGGGAGAGGGGAGTGGGAGTTCATGTACAGTAGTTGGAAATCATAAGGAACTGGGAATCTATCATATTTTGGCATCAATTCAGAAGGCGGAACTCCTAGATACATGTATTGCCAGGATATATTTCTCTCAACAATAGATTATTGTAATGGGCTTGGCTAATGTGCTTGCAATAATGTGTGAGGACCGGGTTCATTGGCACAAGTTTTAAAAACTCACCATCATGATAGCAACAGGTCTTGATTTCATAGCAAAAATTTGGGCTGCCAATACTTTAAGGAAAGAAGAAAAACTCAAAACTTGTGAGGAAAACACCCTAGCATGCACCTCCTTCCCCTGGCACTTAGGAAAGCACCTGGGGCACAGAGAACAGGCCCTGCAGAAGCACAAACACACACAAGTGCCATCTTGTCCAGCTTCTCATTATGCAGATGTTGGTTGCAGACCAAGTCTTCTCCTGCCCCTGCATGCCAGTCTGGTCCAGAACGGCACTAGTTTCTCTTAAGTTCCATGTGGAAAATATTTTGCCCTGAGACTGCCCCTGAAGCCCTGAAACACACATTGAACCTGAGTGTTTTAATTGAGCCTCATTACTTGAACTGTGTGTGGGAGGCATGGGACCCTTGGGTCTGAAATAAGGCCAGAGAAGACTCAACTCTCAGTTACACAGTTTGTCTTACGGTGCCAAAATACACTGCTGCTGGGAACCCAGTTACTTGTGGTAACTCTGATTTTTTTGCCTCCCCTGCTTCTCATTTACTCCATGTAATTCTCACATTATCTGCCTGAGTCCTCTCAACTTGATGCGAAGAGAAAAGTGGGAATTCAATGCAAATCATGAGAATCTCTAACATTAGGAGGGTAGCCAGAATTTGGGGAACAACCAACTCATTTACTTGCCCTCACAACCAGTGACACTCATTAGTTAGGTGCTTGGTTCTTCCCTATTCTGTAGAACATGGAAGGTCAGATATGTGGGGTTTCATGGAGCAAATGTGACTCATACTAGAATCCAGCAGTGCTTTGTGTGGATTTGTGATTTGCTTCCTGCAATTCCACAGAACTGAAATCAAATACCTTTTCAGACAGTTCAATCTTATAGTTACTCATGTATCTTTATTTCTCAGTTGAAATTGCTGTCAGTGTTAACAGAGCAATATGGGCCTATTGGCCAAGTTCACTAAGATCATTCTTTTTTTTTTTTGAGACAAGGTCCCACTCTGTTGCCCAGGCTGGAGTTCAGTAGCATGATCTCAGCTCACTGCAGCCTCGACATTCTGGGCTTAAGCCATCTTCCGACCTCAGCCTTCTGAGTAGTTGGGACTACAGGCATGCACCACTACAACTACACCTGGAGATATATATATATATATTTCTTTTTTTTTTTTTGTAGAAATGAGATCTCACTATGTTGTTCAGGCTAGTCTTAAACTTCTGGGCTCAAACAGTCCCCCCTCCTCGGCATCCTAAAGTGTTGGGATTATAGGTGTGAGCCGCTGTGTCCAGCCAAAATTATTCTTTGTTAGAATAGAAATGGCTTGGTGATATAAATACTCGCTGACATACCACCTTTGCTAGTACCAACAGAACAGAAGGGCTGCCCAGTTCTGAATGATGTTTTTCTAGAAAATGCAATAACTGCTTAGATTTGTATAATTATATTTTTCAAAGCATTTAAAAAACATTTTAATTATTAATTCATCCATTATTTATTCATTCCAGAAAAATTCATACAGCAGCTACTGTGTGCCATTCATCATGCCAGATTTTGGGGAGACAAAGCTTACAGAATTTGGTCTCTTCTTATTGTAATAACAGTTCTATTAGCAATACTCCCTGCAATCATTTAAGGTGTGAACCATAGCTTTAAATAAAGTTAAATATTAAAGGTGTTCATATGTTATGCAAGCCAAACATATGAACAGAGTAAACATATGGACCGAGTTTAGTGTAATCAAATATAACACAAACAGGTTCATCTAGTTCATTAAATTCTATCTGTGCATTCCTTTAACAGATACTGGTTGAACACCTACTATGAACCAGGCACAGTGCTTTGCTGGGGGTACACAGATGATTGAAACACTGGTCTCCGCTTCAAAGAGCTAATGGGAGAGGTAGACCCATAAGCAGACAACTATGACTCAATGTGGGAGCAGAGTGCAACAGTTTGGTAACCTACCCAGTAGTCACTCCCAACCCTTTCTGGCTTCCAGAGCCCTCTTCCCGTTATAAAAGTGAGAATGCTTTCCTATCTTTCCTTGTAACCAGGAAAAGGGCAGGTTACCAAATCCTGGTCAGTCTACTGGAAGGATTTTAGCAAAGATTTTTCACCTGAAAACGGAGAGGAACTCCTATCCCTGAATCTCCTTCTGTTATGGGCTGAATCATATTCTCTTAGAATTCATATGTTCAAGTCCTAACTCCCAGGACCTCAGAATGTGACTGTATTTGGAAATAAGGTATTTTAAAGAGGTAAAGAGGTTAAAATAAGGCCATTAGGGTGGACCCTAATCCAGTATGACTGGTATTCTTATAGGAAGAGGACATTAGAATATGGACATTCAACAGAGGGAAGACCATGTCAGGACACAGTGAGAAGAGGCCATCTATAAGCCAAGGAGAGAGGCGTCCAAAGGAGCCAATCCTGCCAACACTTTGATCTTGGACTTCTAGCTTCCAGTACTGTGAGGAAATAAAATTGCTATTACTTAAGTTACCCACTCTATGGTACTTTGTTATGGCAGCTTTAGCAAGCAAATATACCTTTCCTGGTTTTAAATGTTGTCAAGTTTGGAGTGGCTGCAGCCATCCTGCAGAAGGGCTGAGAGAATTGCAGAGGTGCTGACTTAGAACCCAGATATCACTAAGCCAACCCTGGACTCATCTACTTTCAGACTTCTTGTGAAGAGACAATAAGTCCCTATTGTTTTAGTTACTTTAGGTGTGGGAGTTCTGTTACTCACAACCACAAGCGTCCCAATTGATACAAGCAAGGATAGAGACATTGTGGTATTGCAGGGACACCAAGAAGAGGTGTCTAGATGACAATTAAGCTTGGGTCTTTAAAGATGTTCAGCAATTAATCAAATAAAGAACTGCACAAAGGGCATTTCAGGTGGAGGGGAAAATAACAAGAGCAGAGAACACCAGATATGTGACAGAAACTTAGTTACAAGCCTTTGGGTGCTGTAGGAGTTCAAGTGTGGAGCCAAAAGTGTCAAGAAATGAGGCTGCAAAGGTTGGCAGGAGCTGGATAGTGGAGTGAGGCCTCAGTTGCTGCTAAGAAGCTGTGACTTTTTCCCTATCGGCTTGGTCAGAATTATGTGAATGGAAGATAAATTTAAGGGGTCAAAATTGGAGGCAGGATTCTAACCAGAACTTCTATGAGCATTCAGGAGAGAGAGGAGGGAACAGAATCAAGGCAGTAGAATAGAGAGGGGAGTGACTGATATTAGAAAATTCACAAGGCATTTTTTGAAGATGTTGCATATCAATATTATTGTGCTGTATGGCAATTAGGTGTAAAAGGTAAAGGACAATAATTTATAATGTAGCTGAGAACAGAAAGCTGAACTTTATCCTGAATGCCACACTATTTTTATAATTTTTAATGAATACTTTACAATAATGTACTATCCACTTCCTTGTTTTCTTCCACAGAGTTTACTAGACGTAAACTAACCTTTTCTTGATGACTCATGGTCATCGTTATGAAAAAGGGAGGCATGATGGTGTAGAGGAAAGGGCAAAATCATGGTGTAGAGGAAAGGAGCTTGGGTTAGACATCATGCAGTCTGGGTTTATTCCCAGCTTTGCCACTCGCTAATCTGTACGGTCATGAAAAAGTCACTAAGCCTCTCTGAGTATTTGTTTCTTCCTTGGCTGCCTGTTTTACTGTGTGGGAAAGGGCTTGCTAGAGCACCAGGCACCATACAATGAGATGTTAGAATACTTTTTCTAAGATGAAGTGGCATATAACGCAATGCTTGTCTACTTTTGAGTCCTATTGTCCTTTGCTCCTAAAGCAAATCTTTGAGGTTGTTTGCTGTCTCTTTGTTCTCAAAATGCTTCCTTCTCTAGAAGGCCTTTCACTCACACCTCACCTTGCTCTTCAAGGGCCGTGGGCTGGGAAGCCAGAGGTCAAACTTCTTAAATATTTTTTCCAGTGTAACCCAGTAAGGCTCCGTGTGGAGGCCTAAGGACCTGGCTTTGGTTCAATTCGTGTCAGTTATTTTTGGTGCTTAAAGGCCTTTTTCACTTCCGGATTTGGTGCTGCATTCCACAGAATTGAGGTTGTCAGAGCTTAACTTACAGTTAAGCGGGTGTAACTATGGTGCTTTTATACTGCCAAATGAACTATTCAGTTTTAATCCTTCCTGTTGAATTATCTCTTTTATCTCTCTGTAACCAGCTTTCTATGATATCATGGACAGATCTATCCTCACCACCACCCACACACCATGCCATAAATTAAGACAAAAATCTTGACCATAAGTTTTCAACAGAGATTTCTTGCGTTCCCTCTTTTAAGGATTTAGGGTCCCTGAGTTTCCTCCTCCCTTCCCCTGCAATCTAAAGAAGTCCTTGACAGCATTTTGAGGGGCTTTCAGCCCCCCAACACTGTTTGTGGGAGCCTAGGATATAAGGCCCAGGCATAAGAACATGAGTAGTTCATTTAAATCATAGTAGATAATTACATGAGAAGATGTATAGCATCGTGCTTAAAGCTTGGACTTTTGAATTGGACCACTTGAGCTTTGATGTGTTGCATATCTCTCTGGGTACTAGTTTCCTCTTCTGTAAAATAAAAGTAATACTTTCTGGCAAGGAGTCAATGTAATAACGCATATAAAGCACTTAGCACAGACCCTGGTACAAAGTAAGTGCCCCTTAAATGGAAGGTGACCATATTGGTTAGAGACACCAGTCATGGGAGATAGTAAGGCTTACGGGGGAAGGATCTGGATTCCTTCAGACAAAAGGAGAAGATGGAAGTTGTTTGGAGATGGAGAGAAGAGGATCTCAGAAGAGGGTTAGGTGTTTGGGTAGAGTGGGTTCTAGACAACAGGCTAGATTTTGGATTATCCATTGAGGGTAATTTCTGGGTTCTGACCAGGCCAAGTTAGGTCTGGGATGTGGAAAGGAGAGATACCTTGGGAGACTGAGGTGTTCACTACCTTCTTTAGTGACCTCAGCCAAGTCTGAAATTTCAACCATTACATCAAGAAACTCTAGTCTTCATTACCCCAGGTATCCTCCTTTCTCTCTCATACATCTTTCCTTCTGAGTCCCCATCAAGTTACCTTGTGTGGTAGGTTAAAGATAGCATAAATTCTTTGACATGCCTCCCTTAAGAGGTGGGATCTATATCCCCTTCTCCTGAATTTTGGCTGGCCTCTGACTGCTTTGGCCAGTAGAATACAGCAGAAGTGACATTGTATGAGTTCTGAGCCTAGACTTTAAGAGGATTTACAGCTCCCACCTTGCTCTCTTTTAATTCTCTTTAGCTGCTAAGAAGTTTGATTTCCCTACTAGAGAAAGCACATACACAGACCCTGAGACTACATGGAAAGGGGAAAGTACCCAGCTGAGTCCAGCCTCTCGCCACTTTAGGCAAGGTGGAAGACATATAAGCAAAGCCATCTTGGGCTGTGCAGCCCAGCTGAGCCACCAGCTGAATGCCACTGTGTTAGTCCAGTCAATACCTCATGGAGCAGAAGAATCACCCACTGAGCCTTGTTCAAATTCCTGACCTACAAAATCATAATTTACAATAAACTGATTCCTGTTTTAGGCAGCTAAATTTTGGGGTAGTTTATTATGTAGCTATAGATAACAGAACAAAATGACAAAGTAAGGTTTATTTACAGTTTTTTGAGTGGGTACAAGGGAACTTCGGGGATAAAAAGGGCTCCCCATGATCTCCATCAAAATATTTTCAGAGATAACTATTGGAATGAGGAGTACAATCAATCACATCATTGTTACTAATGAAAGGCCCAATGTTCAATTGACCTGGGAAAGGCAATTGACTAAAACTTACCTCACTCCTGTAAGAATGGACTCTACCATTCAAATTATTTCAGGTTTAAATGAAAAAATTTAGGAAAACATTTGGGGGGCCTCCTCCCACTGAATAATGGAAGAGGGTAGAAGGGATGTGGGATAAAAGAATTGGAAAGAGGACTGCAGAACAGTTTCCAGAAATTGACAGTTTTGCTTAGAACCAGAGTTCCATTTTCCTTCAATCATAAGTGGAAAAAAAATAAAATCTCTGCCCCAGGTATCTTGGAGGGGCCAGCCATACACACAGCCTGGGGTGGGTAGGCACTATCCTCAAAACTCAGAACCAAACTCAGAAAAACTGAATTTGGAGAAGTTCCTTGCTCAGGAGCTGGAATTCAGATGCCGGCTCTCCTGGCTCTTTTTCTGAGGGATTTTTCTATTGCATTGTGGTGTTTCCTTCACCCATGTTGCCAAAGACAGAAGTGCTTATAAATAGTGATTATCTTGCAGTTCTCTGGAACTCCAATTCTCAGAAGTTCAACCTTCTTCTCAGAGTGGTAACCTTCTGTCATTTTGAGAAGGTGAGAAAGGGCAGGCGTGTTCCATTATCTTTGATGAAGATGGAAACTAAACATGGAGAGGCGGGCTTGGACACAGCTCATGCTTCGGAGAGAGGCGTACTGATGTGGCGGGCAGAATTTCAAAGGGTTCAGTTGTCTGGCCTCAGGCATTTACCTTCTAGATGGAGATATGGCATCTGCTCCCTCTAAGCAGGATCCGAGCAACTGCAGTATAATGCTGCTCCAGAATCAAGGAGAGATGGGGTAGAGAAGGTACTAGCCAAAGGTGGTCTCGCAGAGGAGGTGATAGGCATGAGCTGGGAAGGAAGAGTAAGGAAGGATATTCTAGGAGGAAATGCTTTGTGCAAAGTTTCAGAAGCAGAGACAAGCAATGTTCATGTTCAAGACATGATAAGAAAATTGCCTGAGATAGAACACAGGCCCTCGCTGAGGAGGCAGGAGAGGTATGATTAGGAAATTAGAGGGAGGGAAAGAGTGATTAATAATGAAGGGAGGCCTGCACTCTTTGGGCCTGTTTCTTTCTGTGGATCTCTGGACCTCCAGTAAGAGTCCTTTGGTCTCAAGACTAAGCCTCTAGCTCTTCCCAGTTCCATTTACATTCCTAACTCCCATCTGTATCTCCTGTCTCAGCAGTGATCACTGTAGCACTCATAGTAGCCACCATCTGTGGAGTGCTAGCCACTGCATGAAGCTCTTTCCCTACATTTCTCTTTTGGCCCTCCTGGAAGCACTAAAAGGGGGCCTGCACTTTATAGATGAAGACTCGGTGAGACTGAGGCAGAGCTGGGAGCAGGTTGAGAGATTTGGTAACTTGCCCCACGAATCCCTCATCAATCATAAGTGGCAGAGCCAGGAAGGAGCCCAGGCTGTTCAACATTAGGCTGTGTTTTCACTGTAATCTATGTGGGCTTTGGCTTTGTGGATGTATGCAGGGCCAGTTACGTAATGTGTGGGGCCTAGTGCAAAATAAAAGTCTGGGGTCCTTTTTTCAAAAATTATTAAGAATTTCAAGATGAAGACAGTAAGCACAGGTCTGAGTGCAGGACCTTGTATGACTGTATGGGTTGCTAGCACATGAGGCTGGGCCTGATTGTGTAGGTCACTGGAGACGCGGGAGGGTCAGACACACTTGGCTCAGTGCTGTCAGCAGCCCCTTATGCCCCAGCCCCACTACTGGCTCCCCTCTCCTTCCTTCTAGTAAATCTCTCAGCACTCTCCTATACGGAGGATAGGAAGGAAGGAAGGCCAAGGAATGGGTACTGCCAGTGGGGAGGGGTGGGCACAGCAGCCCTTTGGCTGATCTGTCTTCAAAGGACCCTCAGTCCCAGAAGCCCAGCAGGGAGCTGCCTTCAGCTCACATTTATGCTGCATTCGGGGTAATATATTGTATAGATATGCCTCCATATAATAAGATATGAGCATGATTAATAATCTGGGAATTCCTGGCTCTGCAATGCCCTTTAAGTCTCTAATTTATCTAAGGTGACTGAGTGCTAGCACTCTAAATGTTGAGAGGAGGAGGCAAAATAAGTAAAGGGAAAGTCAAGGTTCTTGCCCTCAAAGAATTTTTGCACTCTGATTGGGGACACGAGATTTCTAAACATTAAATAATTAGAAGACAAAGCCAAATAATATTTAATTACACTGTCAATTAAATATGACCAAGCACCAAAATATATGTCACTTGCTGAGTGCTGTCTGAAGGAAGAGAAGCTAGGGCTGGCTTGAACAGCATGCAGGCAGCGCTTTGTGAGAAGGTGGTATTTCAGCTGGGTCTTGAGCAGTGGGTAGGAATTGGAAAGGGGGATGGGACAGTTCAGAGGTGGTGTGTAGAGTGGGTGGGAGTGTTAACAAAGCAAGAAGGCAGAACACAGGGTGATTGCATGGGTCTGGGAGGTGACTAGATGGGCTGAGCTGAGGGTGGATGCTGGGCAAAAGAAAGAACTCTGGAGTCAGACTCAGGTTTAAGTCTGGCTCTGCAGAGAACTAGCTGCCCAAACTTTCACGTTACTTAACCTTTCTGATCCTCAATTTCCTCACAATATAATAGTATTTGCCATTCAGGGTTGTTCTAAGGATTAAATGCAAGTAAAGCAATCAACATAGAGCCAGGCACAAAGTATGCTAAGAAAAGTTAGCTATTTACAGTTATTTTGCAGATAAAATTCCACCGGTGAGTAGGATCAGATTATAAAACAACTATCTTGCATTAAATCCTGGCTCCAATCCTTACTAGGTGAGCTAGCTTGGGCAATGTATTTGACCTCTCTGAACCTCAGTTTCTTCATCTGAAAATAAGGATGATAATGTCACCTCCACTGTGGGGGTTGTTGAAAGGATTAAATGACACTATACATACAAAACACTTAGGACAGGCATTGGTACATAATGAAAGCTAATAAATGTTAGATATTATGACAGCCAATCCCCCCCAAATGCAGCAAGGATTTTTTAAAAAGTTTTTTATCATTCCCATATTGTTGTTGAGGAAACAAAGGCTCAGAGGTTGAGGAACTTGTCCAAGGCCACCCAGCCAGTCCCCATAGAGCCACAGCTCCATTCCTTCCACAAAGGAGAAACAGAAACAATCCAGCCTTCCTTCCTCAGCCTTCAAATTGAAATCCATCCCTCTGGTTGCCAGAGCCCTCTGTGTTTCTAGAATAGCGCTTATTATGGCCTGACTTACGCTCAGATGAGTCCCTCCGGGGCAAGGCTGGTGTCTTACTCATCTTTTGTGTACCAGCACCTGACATCAGCCAGCCCCTGGAAGGGGCTTGGAAATGTTTGTTGACTTGAAATGAAATGAGGTGATTGGGGTCAGAGCCCCGGCAAAGGCAGGGCTTGATATGACCCTGTATCTGATGTGTCAGAGGAAAGAGTCAAAGATGTCTGCAAGGTTTCAAGTCTGGGTGACAGGAAGATGGTAGAACTGTTGGCAGAGAATGGGAAGCTGGGAGAAGCAGATGGCCTGGGTTTGAGAAGAAAGTGGGGGGAGGGGTCATGCAAAGTTCAGATCCAGACAGGTTTTGATGGAGAGATGAGGGCCATGTAATCAGGATTCTGTACTGTAAACATCCAGCTGGCAGTTCCCCACCCTGGCCTGTGTGCTGGCTTGTGACCTGACATTCAGGTCCCTGCCCTGGAGTTGCTCCTAATGGGAGAGACCTGAGCCACACCCAGGAAACCATAGTGCTTAGAACACTTACACAGCAACCTATCAACGCCCAGAACACAAAGAGTATTTGGTTATGGTGGTGAGGATGAGGAGCCCTGGAGTGAGTTGTGGAGAGGGTCAGTCTCGGGGAACTTCTTGGAGGAGGAAGAGAAGGAGGCTTGGCTTTGGCCAGGAAGGGAGCATTAGCAGCACAGGAAGGGATGAGAATGAGGGTGGGGTTTGCTCACTGCAGGGAAGATGGGGCTTCCTGCCCTTGGCTGGGATTCTGGGCATGGTCCCCTAATCCATCAGCAGGAGTGCTGGAAGAGGAGTAGTCACAGCTGCTGCGAGGGGCCTGTGATGAGATCTCTAGGGAAACGAGGACAAGAATAACCATTCTAATGCCCAGGATGGCTCCATAGCTCAGCTGCCTTCTTATCTCCGTGCCATGTGGACACCTCACACTCCCAGTCCCTTGTTCATCCATTTCCCTCCTTCCCACGCCCTCAGGCTGTGGGAGGAGAGCACTGCCACCTCCCAGCTGTGTGTGGGGACAGTGGGCCTGGCCACCTGTCTCCTCCTTCACCTCGGCCCCATCAGGGTCCCTTCCTTCTGGGCTGGCAGGGCCCACTCTGTTCCTGACAGACAAATCAGCAGTCTTCCCTGTCTCCCACCACCCCTCTCCCTCTGCTTTGCCCCCAGCCCTCACCCTCTCCCCTGAGCTGACTGATAGGGATAAAACCCTGATACTCAGGAAGAATGGAGGGGGTGAATGCTCTCTTGGGTTTCTGGCTCCTCAGTCTCATCCCCTGGTATCCCCCAGCCCCCTCCCTCACCTCCCAGCTCCTCCTCTTTGGTGGCCACAGCCCCAGCTCTTCCCTTGACGCCCCTCAGGCCTGCCCTCCACCCCTACCCACCTCTGCCTGCAGGAGGGCACAGCAGCACTCCTGCCCTGGCCTGGGCAGCCCTGTCCTTGGGGCAGGGCAGCTCAGCTTCTGGGATTTCCCCAGCCTACAGCCAGAAGGAAGTCTGACTTGGAGAGGGGAAACCTTACTCTTGGCCTCTGTCCAGCTCCTGACAAGACCAAAGTTCAGGGGCGGAGCTGGTTTCCCTGGTCAGCTGGGGACTCCCACTGACCTCTACTTATCAGGATTCGGGGTTTAGGTCTCTGGGCCTGGAGAGCAGGTCAGGGGCAGGGAAACGAGGGGCGGGGGAGGGTGAGAGCTGGAGGGCAGTGTGGTGAAGGAGCTGCCGTGCCAAGGCCCCTGCCCACTTCCCCCAGGCCTGGCTTTTCCTGTCCCTGAACCATGTTGAATGGTGGGGCGGGGGCTCTTGGGACTGTCTCCCTCTCCTGAGCTGGGCATGTGTGCAGGTGGGCGTGGCTGGCTTCACAGTGTCTGCATCCTCAGGGCTGATAAGGGGCCTGCAGCAGCACCACCCTCTCCAGCCCTCTGGGGAACCCCAGCTGTGGCTCCAGAGAAGAGTGGGTTTGGGGCACAATGCACCCGTGGTCTCATTTCGAGACATACAGGGGCTGGAAAGGCGGGGGGCTGGAGGCTGGTCTTCACTGGTGCCTCAGTTTCCCCTTCCCTGGGGCCGTTGCTGGGGGAAAGTGATAAATTCTATGAATGGGGTGGTGGAGGAACTGCCTCCTTTTCCAGGGGCTCTGGCCCAGCAAAGGCTTCACAGTCAACACGAGCTCCTCTATCTCCGCGCTGTCTCTCCTCTGCCCTTACCCCTGGTTGTCCTCTTCACAGGCTCCAAATGGGCCCCTGGGGACCCCTCAGCAGCCAACACAACAGGGAACCAGCAAGAGCCAGCCTCCAGGGAGGACGGGCAGACAACACTGGTGACTCTGCACATTCCACACCCCGCCCACCCTGCCCCCGGGCCACCTTTCCCGTCCCCTGTCCTTCCTCTGTCCTCAGACCCAGGCTGGGGTCTCTTTTTCAGGGCTCTTCTTGGGGGCTGGGCTCTCCCGCCCCATACTCAGGGCAGAGGGAAGAGAGAGAAACTGAGGCAAAAGGGGGTAAGCACGGGTGGGAAACACTGACTGGGCTGGAGTCAGGGTCCGAGTCCGGTGGGGGCCGCAAGCACTCCAGAGCCGAGGACCGGGAGTTTCTGGGGAGGGAGAAGCTGTGCAAGGGGCCAGCGCCCCCTGGTGGAAAGTATTGTAGCGACAGCCACCGCAAGCTGGGTCGCCGAGGCTGGCTGTTGGGGTCACGGGGGCTGTCTTTCCCCTTACCACTTGGGGGTGGTATTAGTAGAGTCCAGAGGAAGAAGGAGCACAGCCCTGCACAGAGTCCAGGCAATATCCGCTTTAGCAAGAGCTGGATTTAAGAAGGACTGTCCAGGAGTCCTTTTCTATTCTGGTGCCCCTTGGGGGAAGTTCCTCCACCCTGTCCATCTCATTTTCTTATCTGTCCAGCGAGTGGTAGGTTATCATGCCATCTCCAAGGCCCTTCTGGCTCTGGCATCTGGAGGTTCTAGGTCAGGAAGGAGCTGATGGTTTAAATTACCTCTCTGGTATGGGAATTTCCTTCCGCCTTGCCTGTGCTCACATCTGCTTCAGCCACACTGGCCTCCTGTTCCTGGAACACACCAGCATGTCCTACCGGAGAGCCTTTACATAGGCTGATTTCTCTGCCTGGGAAGCTAGTCCTCAGATGCCTGCTTGGCCCTCGTTTACTTCCTTCCAGTTTTTTCCCTACTCTCCATCTTCATGCAGCCTGTTCTGACCATTTGATGTAAAATTGAAGCCACCCCTGGCTCCAGGTCCAGAACCTCACCACCATGTACCTTTTCCAGAGCCCTTGTCACATTCTAACATACTGCATCATTTCCTTATTTGTTAATTTGTTTAGATATGAGGTCTTGCTATGTTGCCCAGGCTGGTCTCAAACACCTGGGCTCAAGCAATCCTCCTGCCTCTGCCTCCTGAAGTGCTGGGATTACAGGTGTGAGCCACCATGCCCACCTTCCTTATTTATTATGATTACAGTGAAGTTCTTTTCTCCTTCTAATAGGATGATCAGGGCAGGGAGTTTTGTAGGCTTCCTTTATAGATATACTTTAGGCACCTGGGACAGTGGCTGACACATAGTAGGAGCTCATTAATTATATGTGGAGGGAATGAGTATATCACTGAAGAGGATCTGGGCTGGAGACAGACAGGCCCACCCTAATAGCTCATAGTTAGCATGTAGGTATGATTGTGCTACTGTGACAAAAATAGGGTTTGATTGGAAGTGACCACATTGCTGCTGAGGTAGGGCAAGTGAGAAGAAGGTGAGGGCGTGTAGAGGAGAGCAGAATATAGCTGGCTTCCGTCCTTTGCTGTATCAACAGACTGGCACCCAGTTTACCGAGACATTCTCAGCCTGATCCATGGACCATCAATTCTGAGAGATACTTCTTGAGAAAGGAGGAGAGAGGAAAGGTCAGATAAATTTGGAAAGTGATACAGACCAGATCCCTTCTGAAATATTCATAGTCTCTAGTCCAGTAGGAAAATCAGCTTAAATTCTTTAATATGGTGTTTTGCAATATGTATGTCCATAGGGTTCTGCATTTCCAAATTCCTTCCTTTCTTTTCTTTTTCTTTTTAAGCTGAGCTCCTGCTAAATTAGTATTCTGACTCATCAGATACTTTGGGAAATGCTGACTTACAAGATGAGGCTTAACTCCCGAGCATGGCATTCAAAACCGTCGTGGTTTCTTCCAGTGTCTCCAGACTAGTCTCAAACATGCCCGATGTTTTCCCCATCCCACACAGTTCCTATTTGTTCATGGTTCTTTCAGCGGCCCCCTGCAACTCCCACATCCCCATCTCCAAAACTCCTTCCTGGCCCAGATGGAGTGCCCCTTTCCCAACCCTGCCTGCGGGTACTGTCTACACCCCTCGGTGTGCTTTTCCCATCCCCCTGCTGGGTCCCAGTTGCTCTTTTTCCACCTTGGTTTGCTGCCTCCTGGAGCTGCTCCTTCCAGGCATGTGTGAGGTCTGCTCACTCTGCTTCCCCAGGGCCCACTCCTTGAGCGGCTTCAGTGGATGCAGGACCCACGCAGTTCTGTGGCTGCAGAGAGGGAAGGGACACCAGCTCATTGCCTCTCACACTCCAGAAGGGGGCCTTGCTGATACCTCTGTTAGCACTGACCTCTGAGTGTCTTTAGTATCTTCCTCTCTGTGGATCCTTCTGTCCTTTCAAAAGTGCTGAGCAGTTGCCGTCGTACACATGACTGGATTTCTCCAATGGACAAATAGTCAATGATATGTATAGATAATTCACAAAGTTGAAATACAGCTAGTTAAACTTTTGAGAAAATGTTCTAACTTACCAGTAGTCATGGAAATACAAATTACATTTGATGCAACACTGTCAATAATGTGTATCAAGAACTGTAAGAATATGCATATGATGTGCCTCAGTTACCCTCACTGTGAATAAATCCTAAGGAAGAAAACAAAAATATTGGAAACACAAGGCACTTTTAAAAGGCCTTTTTAAATGTGAAAAATAACAGACAGAAAAGTACATAATAAAACAAGTGTAAAGCTTAATGAATTCTCACAAAGCAAATGCCCAACATAAGCACCACTACCTCACAAGATGGATACCACCGGCCCCTCGAGGCACTCTGTGTCTCTTGCCAATCACAAGGCCTCCCTGCCTACGCCCTGAGAGAACTTCTGCTTGTTTTTGTTTAGAGTTTGACCCCTTTGGCACACATCATGAACACGATGATTTGGCTTTGCATGTGTTTGGGATTCACACATATGTGAAATCAAGTGTTTGTGTTCTTTTGTCTCCAGTTTCTTTCACTCAACGTTATGGGAGCCTTTTCCACAAGTCCTGGGATGCAGGTGCATTCTGCTAGTGAAGTTAGGGGTTGAATCGCCGAGTCACAGGGATTATTAGTGATCATGTGTATAAGCCCCTAACACAGTGCCCAGTAAGTGGTGGGCACTTACTACATGTTTCATTCTTTCCTCTCCCCTATGGAGAAGGGCCCATCTCCATCCCTGGAGCAGGCTCCTCCCGCTCCCGTACCCAGTACTGACTGGCTTCCCTTCCTGCTTCCACCACTTCTTGCCCCCAACCTGGTATCCCAATCCTCTCTTCCCAGGCTGCTGAGGACAGGGCTCCAGTCAGTGTTTCATCCCCTCCCCTGTGTACACAGCTCAGCCACTCCTGCGAGGGCTCCTCATGATTTGCTTTCAGGGACAAGAAAAAGCCAACCCAGGCTGTGCCTGCTCCTGTGCCTCCCACCCCTCATTCTGCAGAGGCCCTTTGTAGCAGAGACAATGGCTGCTTCAAATTTCAGTCCGTCTGTCTGTACAAACAAATGGAAACTGTTTAATATGTACTTCACAGGAAGATGAATACTCAGGCCTTTTTTTTTTTTTTTTTAAATTTTGGAAAGAAGATGAGCCCAGGTGAGCTGTCCAGGGATGGGAGATGTAGGGATGAGAGGCATGGAAGCTGCCTGGCTTGGGCAGGGGCAATGATGGGCAAGACTGGGGGCCTGAGAAACAGCCTTGGTGCATTAATCCCCTCTCTCTTTCATGCTCTGCCTTTTAAAAAAAATCACCTTTTGTCTCCGATGCTCATTTTCTGTGTCTTGTGCCATTTTGCAAGATGGGTCTTTTTGTGAACACCCCTGTTGTGTCTCAGGTTCAGGAAGAATTCCTGAAAATTCATATGGACTAAGGAACAGGCTTTACTGGGGAGACTTACCAAGAGAGGTTGGTAAGAAGAGAAGAGGATTGTGACCCTGCTCCTGTCATCATGCCATGGAAAGGCTTGGCTGGGCCTTGGGGATTTGCTGGACGCACAGACAGTGGGCTGGGTTCCAGAGGAGGGACCCTGTTCCCAGGTTGCTCACCTTTCTTACAGGGCCAACGGTGAGAGTACCCTGTAAGTGTGTTAAGCCTTTTCTGTGTGTTATTTTTCACATTTAAAAAGGTCTTTTAAAAATACAATGGGCCGGGCTCGGTGGCTCATGCCTGTAATCCCAGCACTTTGGGAGGCCGAGGCGGGTGGATCATGAGGTCAGGAGATCGATACCATCCTGGCTAACATGGTGAAACCCCGTCTCTATTAAAAATACACAAAATTAGCCGGGCGTGGTGGCGGGGGCCTGTAGTCCCAGCTAGTTGGGAGGCTGAGGCAGGAGAATGGCGTGAACCCAGGATGTGGAGCTTGCAGTGAGCCGAGATCGCGCCACTGCACTCCAGCCTGGGGGACAGAGCGAGACTGTCTCAAAAAAAAAAAAAAAAAAAAAAAAAAAGCGATGGATAACTTTTGAGCCTTGCATTTCCAGTATTTTTGTTTTCTTCCTTAGGATTTATTTGCAGTGAGGGTAACTGAGGCACATCATATGCATATTCTTACAGTTCTTGACACACATTATTGACAATGTTGCATCAAATGTAAATTGTATTTCTATGACTACTGGTAAGCTAGAACATTTTCTCAAAAGTTTAACTAGCTGTATTTCAATTTTGTGAATTATCTATACATATCACTGACTATTTGTCCATTGGAGAAATCCAGTCATGTTTAGGATGGCAACTACCCGGCAAAGGGACAGACAGGTCACTGACTCCAAGAGTTCGGGTTCAGTGTCAGCAACTAATAAGGTAGACGTCTGGGAGAACCAGCTGCCCAGCACAAGGGACCTGGGGGCATTTGTAAGTGTTTGGGCCTGGGAAATAGAGCTGATTATCTCATGGAAAATTGTCTGTGGGTGCAGACTCTCCCAGGAGATGGAAGAAGCCCTAATACCAGTTGAGTGTGTCCATGAACCCCAGATTGAGCTCCAGAGCCATTTGTGCCCAGTTCTGCTCCTGGCTCCCTAGGAGTGCTGGAGATGGGCAAACATGTTTGCTACATCTGTGGATTAGTCTGTGCACTCGGGTTTGAGGGAAACATCAGGACACACGGCCTGCAGTCCCTGTCCCCAGTCCTGAGCCTGCACCAGGTTCTTGGTCTCCATGTGTTGGGGCAGGTGCCAGGGAAGGTGCTGACAAGCTTAGGTTGGAGTGGCGGGAGGAACCTTCTCTGTGAGAGCCCAACAGAGGTCGGGACCTCTGGGACCTGGGTGGTCAGAAGGCCGGGAGCAGAGTTCCAAGCAGGCAGAAGCCTCTGAAGACATACTGGAACCTGGAATTCTTTCTGAGAGAAAAGTATACTCAGCCCCTTGTCTGCAGCGATGCCCTGTGGGAAGAATTCTCCCTGTTTGAGGGGCTGTGTCACCCTCTGGTGAGCTTGGTTTCCAGAGGAGAATTGTCTCAATTCTACAGGCTTCCACCCTTAAAGCCTTTGCGTGCTGTGTCGTATCACCCCCTGCAAATGTTTACTTGGCACCTGCTACCTGAAGGGCCAGTAGGAACCTAAGACACAAAGTTGAAATGATTGTCCTTGGCCTCAGGGACTTCGTTTCCTATGGAGGCTACAGTCCCTGCCCCTAGCCCGATGGTGTCCAAAGTCGTGGTGAGAGTGGGGGTGTTAGTTCTGTGCTCTTTTGTATTTTCGTCCTGCAGATCTGACCTGTGACACTGGGCTTCTCTCCCCATCCCTGGATCCTGGCTGGCCTTAATCCCAGTATGCTTGGCTATGGCTGTGCCTCCCTGCGTCGGGGTGCACCTCTCTTCTCCATGCCCCTCTTTCCTGGCTTCATCTTGCTCTGAGTTGTCAATGAAAAGAATCAAACTGTGCAAAATATTGGAAGAGATTTGTTCTGAGTCATGTATGAGGACTGTGGCCTGTGACACAGCCCCAGGAGATCCTGAGACCAGTGCCCAAGGTGGTTGGGCTACAACTTTGTTTTACATGTTTTAGGAAGACATAAGACATTGATCAATATGTGTAAGATGTATACTGGTTCTGTCCAGAAAGATGGGACAACTTGAAGCGGGGGCTTCCAGGTCATAGGTAGAGTCAAAGATTTTCTGATTGGCAATTGGTTGAAAGAGTTATTATTTAAAGACCTAGAATCAATAGAAAGGAATGTCTGGATTAAGACAAGGGATTGTGGAGACCAAGGTTTTATCATGCAGATGAAGCCTCCATGGAGTACGCATCAGAGCTCTTATCAAACCTAAAAAGGCGCCAGACTCTTAGTTAATTTGCTCCTGGATCAGGGAAAAGACGTCGAGAGGGCAGAGGACTCTCTACAGAATGGGAATTTTCCCCACAAGAGACAGCATTACAGGGCCATTTCAAAATATGTCAAAGAAATATATTTTGGGGTAAAATATTTCAGTTTCTTTCAAGGCCTGCTATCTGTCACATGATGCTATACTAGAGTCAGGTTGGAATTTGGTGTCTTATGCTACGCAGAATCTGTTTTGTTAGTCTTAAGATCTCTGTTTGAATGTTAATGCTGGTCAGCTGTGCCTGAATTCCAAAGGGAGGAGGGTATAATGAAGCATGTCTAACCCCACCTCTTCCCATCATGGCCTGAACTAGATTTTCAGGTTTACTTCGGAATGCCCTTGGCTGAGACGGGAATCCATCAGTTGGTTGGGGGCTTAGAGTTTTATTTTTGGGTTTCAGAATGGATGCTCTACCAGAAACCTGCTGCTACTGCATTCTGCTCTCACCCTTGCCATCGGCTCCTGCTGCCAAACATCAGCCTCCTAGTGCCTGCCATGGGGCCCAGCAGCCCTCCCAGACCCACAGCAACCCTCTGGACACTGAATCATGCAAAATGGAAGGGGGTGGTGGTGGGAGTCAGTTCTCCCCTCCTCAATCCTGTTTACTTCCATCTCCTGTGCTGAGACCCCCATCATTGTGAAGGTGGATCTGGGGACAACCTCAGGCCATGGGCTCACCCAGTTCCCTTTTGGCCTTCCCCTGCCAGACTGTTATGCTACTGGGAAATTTTTAATGTATGAGAAGCTCATTCTGCTCTTTTTCTTTTTTTTGATTTCTTGAGACAGAGTCTCACTCTCTTGGCCAGGCTAAAGTGCAGTGGTGCGATCTCGGCTCATTTCAACCTCTGATCCCGGGCTCAAGCAATTCTCTTGCCTCAGCCTCTGGAGTAGCTGGGATTACAGGCATGTGCCACCATGCCCTGCTAATTTTTCTATTTTTAGTAGAGACGGGGTTTCACCATGTTGGCCAGGCTGGTCTCAAACTCCTGACCTCAGGTAATACACCCACCTCAGCCTCCCAAAGTGTTGGGATTACAGGCATGAGCCACCGCTTCCGGCCTGCTCTTTTTCTTTTTAGAATAATTCCAAGGCTGTTGCTTTGGCCAGCCTCTAGCAGCCCTCAGGACACTCAGGTGCAGACTCAGGAGTGTTCACCCACACCCGTGGGATCGGCCCCTCCAGTTTACCTGTGCCTTAGCCTCCACTGGGGCAGAAACCTGGACCTCAGGGCCCCTGAGCTACATTCCTTCCCATTCCTGCAGCCCCTTCCCCTCCTGGTGACCTGTGGGCTGCACCTGCCCCCTGCAGGTGATCCTGCTCTCCTCCTCCAAGATGCCTTCCTGCTTTATTATTTCGGTTTTCACATGGGCTGCTGTCACTCCCTGACAAAAGAAAATGCTTCTTAAGGGCCTCTGTACTGTAGCACTCACACCTGGCACTGACATTTCTGCTTCCACGTTCCCACTAGCCCCCGGGGTCTTTTCAAGGGCAATGACTCTGCATCTCGGTCTTTGCATCCGAGCGGTGCTGGCACAGAGTAGGCGCTCATCACACGTTGGTCCTTTGCTGACCTGATGGCAGAAGGCCTCCTTGCAGGAAATTCCTAGCGGCAGTTTGGTCTTCAGCCACGAGGTGGCACTAGTGCGCAGGTGCTGCCAGGAGCAGGATTGGAGGTGGCTTTGAGGGAGGTTTGGGCAGGGGTTGCAGCAGTGCTGAGGGGTGGTGGAGTCTTTCCCTTTCTCTTTAGAGTGACCACAGGGCAGATAGGAGCGGTTAGGGCCAGATAAACTGGGAGCGGGTGGCAGGTGGAAGGCTGAGGCAGCCGTCCCCGTGTAAACATGTGACCCCGAATTCAGTGATCAGGAGCCAATTTCCAGGGCGGAATGGGTTCAGGTGAGAATCACGGTGGGATCCCGATGTAGGAGGGGTCTAGGCTCAGGATTAGGGTGGTGCTCCCGAGGTTCACGTCTGAGATTCGGCTGGGTGAGAATTATTTTGGGCTGGGATTGGGTGGATTAGCACTGGTGCGGGGAGTGGGGTACCCTTGAGGGGGTCTGTGCCTTAGATTTGAGTTGTTGAGGTAAAACAGCCTCAAAGAGGAGAAGGGGGCAACCTTGCTCACCCTCAGCCCCGAGACCGACTCTGGGAAGTGGGGGCCGATTGCCTAGGGGAGGGAGGATGCAAGACAGGTGTTTTCCTGGGTCTGGGAGGAAAACGTCCAGCCCTGGGGAGGATTTTCAGTCCCTGGATGCGGGGCCTGCTTTGAAGGACTGAGAAAGGATGCCCAAGCCAACAGCAAAGCCGGCTCCCTTAGTTTTGTCTCCGGCACCGTTTCCACCCTCACTTCCGCACCCCTCGGAGCTGGTGTTCTTTTCTGTAAAGTGGGCATGGCCGTCCCTGCCTCTCAGCCTGAAGTGGCGGAGGTGCGGCACTTTTGAACCTGGACGGACTTTTTGCCTGGCGGCTGCCTGCTGGGGTTAGAATCTTGGCTTCCCCTAGCTGGCTGTATGACCTTGGGTAAGTCAGCTAATCTCTCTGTTCCTCAGATCTCTTCCAAGCCCAAGGAGGTTAGTAACAGGATGGACCCGAACAAGCCTCAACAAAGAATAGCCATTTAAAAAATAATCTAACATTTATTAGTTTAAATCTCAAAAAATTAATGACACAAAGAAAACAAATTGTGCCAAGTATCTCTGGCTGATAACTCCTGATGACAAAAATCATGTAATACACATATGATTATAAAATTCAGACATGGTCCAGGCATGTTGGCTCACGCCTGTAATCCTAGTAATTTGGGAGGCCGAGGCAGGTGGATTGCTTGAACTCAGGAGTTTGAGACCAGCCTGGGCAACATGGTGAAACCCTGTTTCTACAAAAATACAAAAAAATTAGCCAGGCATAGCGGTGCACACCTGTGGTCCCAGCTACTTAAGGGGCTGAGGTGGGAGGATCTCTTGAACCTGAGAAGTCGAGGCTGCAGTGAGCGAGACTGAGCTACTACACTCCAGCTTGGGCGGCAGAGCGAGACCCTGTCTAAAAAAAAAAAAAAAAAAATCAGACACATGTTCACTTGCTGCAATAAAAGTTTCCCTTCCCTCTTGTTTCCCATGGCCCCTCTCCTCAAGGATAACCTCTCTCTCTCTCTCTTTTTTTTTTCTACAATTAATAGAAATGGCTGCGTTTTATCAAATCTAGTGTGTACCCTTGACATTATGTGATAAAATGGCACTACATCTCTGTTGTCTTTAAAAAACCCATACCATAGTCCAATCATGAGAGAAACATCGGACAAATCCCAACTGAGGGACATTTTCCGAAAGACCTGACCAGTACTCCTCAAAACTGTCAAGGTGATCAAAAACTCAAAAACCAGGAAAGTCTGAGAAACTGTCACCGCTAAGGGAGCCTCAAGAGACTAAATGTAATATGGCATCCTGAACGGGATCCTAGAACAGAAACAGGACATTAGATTAAAACTAAGGACATCTGGGTAAAGTATGGGCTTTAGTTAAGAGTAATGTATCAATATTGGTTCATTAATTCTGATGAATGTACCATAATAATATATTAATTGAGAAACTTCACAATTTTTCTGTAAATCTAAAACTGTGCTAGCAAGTCCATTAAATTTTTTTTATTCTTTAAATTTTTAAAAAAAGTTCTATTCCATTACCACCTACAAAGGTCTGTTAAGATTAATGAAAGATTTATAACCTAAAGTTGCAAAATGCTTCCACAAAATGAAAGACAAAGTAACTGGATCCAGAGCAGACACTGTGGGTGGACACTGGGTTTCATGCCCTTTGGCCTCAGCCTGGCTCAGGTGGGCATTGCTAGCAGGAGCGTGCCTGTGGGGTGGACCTGCTCACCGTTCTCAGGTGTGTTCAGCCTGGGTGAGGTTTAGAGCAAATCAAGAGAGACCTGTGTGGAGAGAAGACAACTTCCTTGAGGCCTCTCCATCCCCCCATCCTCATCCTCTACCTCTGTTCCTCCCACACACCCTGCATCCCCTACCATACTCTTTCCTATAAGCAGCAGCCTTCAATATATACATAGAGATTTTGATTGTAAAAATATTTGCCTGCCTGGATCCAGAGAAGCTGCAGTCGACCCCAGGTACCACAGATATGAAGGGGACCAGGGCTTTTTCCCACCAGAAATGGTTTTATTCACAGAAAAAGTGTCAGATACCTTTTAAGTGGCCCTTCAAGATGGACTTCATAAACTGCTTTCATTTCAAAGCGTCTCATGTTGTTCTTCTGGGGTGTTAGACTATGACAAATGCGTATAGGTGGGGATACCGGTCAGCATCATCTCTATCACTCTGAGAAATTACATTTGAAAGAAATCTCCTGGAAGGTGTGATTACCTTGACCAGACAAGGCCATGGAACACATCCAACCTCATGAGATACACCTGCTAACTGGTGTGGATTTAGCATTAGGGGACTCCAGGTCTGCTACACAGAGGCCTCTGATGTTGCCCAGATTCCGCTTTAACCACCGATTCCTGCAGGCTAGTGGCAATATTTTTCGAGTCATTAGAGCTGAGGTTCTTTCCTCTGGCATGATGCCAGCAGACAGTGGCATGGAGCAGACGACCAGGAAATTGATTAGCATCATTGAAACCCCGCTTGGCAATAACTCTTCAAATTCCCTAAAACATATTCTGGAAGAATTGCCCTCCAGAAAATAAAAAGGTGAGAGCCACAGTTGGAACTGAAACCCCAGGAATCTTCAAAGTGTGTGGGCAGGCCTGGTACTGCAGGAGCTTGGCTGCAGCTTGGGGGCTTCTAAGGGAGCTGGTGTGAGAGGTCTTGTCCTTTTTTAAGGCCAAACAAAACAAAGCAGCCAAACAGGGCTCTTTCCACCTCTTTGCTGTGCTGTGGTATGTCTCCCATCATGACTTCCATGGACTGGGGTCCCAGAAGCACTTGCTTGCCACAGTTTATTTTGTTTCTGGGTTAGATGGGACCCATGGCCTCCCCTTTGCCTATTAGCATCTCAGTGCAGCCATTCTTGCCTTTGGGACAAGCCTCAGTTCTTTATAAAGAGCACTGGCTTCTATCTGAACAGACCATCCCACCCTGTGGGCTGCCCAGCAGGTAGGCCTGCTGCTGCCGTCTGGTCGTTAAGTGTTCAGGGGGACCTTCAATTGGGAAAGGCCTGAAGCTGGCCTCAGTGGCACAGTAATTGGAGGCTCCCAGCAGCTGTGCAGACAATGCTGCACATTCCAGGGCAAGATACTTCATAGGAGCCTCCTCCTCTTGAAGCTGTGACATGTGCCTGTCTTGTGGGCCAACAGCCCCCCGACTCACTGAACAGATTCCCTGACCACTTCTTGCTGTCTTCCTGCAAAATGTGGCTTCCCTATACAGTTCCCCATACAGCTGAGCACCACAAAAGTGACAGGGTCCTGCTAGTCCCTGGGGAGAAGCAGATGCTTAAGACGAGGCACTGTGCCACCTGATGCATGTCCTTCCCACACATCGTCATCACCTGGCCCACCCTAAACTCAAAGTCGGCTTGCTAGAGCCATTCAAAGCCCCTGATGGGGGGATGAGGAAGGAATAAACAAAGAAAAGAGTGTTCTGAACACATAGGGCAGACAGCTAATTTCTAATATACCAAAGCTCTTACAAATGAATAAGGAAAAGATTAACAGCGCCCTAGAACAATGGGGAAAGACTGAAGACTCAAGAAATACAAATGGCCATTTAATATATAAGAGAACTGAAAGTTTGCTAATTGCTGTAGACCGAGTGTTTGTATCCTCCCTTCTTTCATAGGTTGAAACCTAATCCCTGATGAGATGGCTTTTGGAGGCAACTTTGGGAGGTGATTAGGTCATGAGGGCAGAGCCTCATGGATGGAATTAGGGCCCTTAGGAAAGACGGCCCAGAGAACTTCCTTGGCCCTTGCCCGTTTCCCTGTTTAACACCTCTCCCACACTTGACTGCACATGGTGTAGGCAGGAGCACTCACGCCGCGCTCATCCTGGTCCCCTGGCTGTGCCTGGCACAGAGGCTGTGCTCAGTGAGTATCTGAGGAATGGATGTGGAGTCAGCCCCTGTGAACCGAGACTCCAAACAGAGCCCGATCAATTTTCAGTTCTGCTTTTGTAAGTCAGCAGTGGGAACAGGGTTTTATTTGGAACGAGAGCTCCTGGGTAAGAGAGGGGAGAAGCCTCACACACAGACCTGGCCGGCCTCTGTGGAAATGATGTCTGGACATGCCTGAGTATCTGTCACGAACTGTGGTAATAAGAAGGAACATGGGCCTAGGAGTGGCAGCACTTTAAATAAAATAAACTTTATATTTTATAAAAGTTTTACATTACAGAAAAATTAGGCAGATAGTACCGAGAGTCCCACAGACTCCACACCTAGTTTCACCTTTTATCAACATCTTATGCTATTAACATCTGTTACAATTAATGAACCGATATGGATACATTCTTATGAACTCAAGTCCATACTTTCTTCAGACATCCTTAGTTTTTACGCGATGTCCTTTTCTGTTCCCAGATCCCACCCTACACATCTCTGTAGGCTCCTCTGGGCTGTGACAGCTACTCAGACTTTCCTTGTTTTCGCTGACTTTCGTGAGGGGTACTGGTCGTGTGTTTTGAAGAATGTTCCTCAATTGGGATTTGCCTGATGTTTCTCTCATGATGAGACTTGGATTTTGGGTCTTGGTTTTTGGGAGGAAGACCACAGAAGAAACACCATTTTCATCACGTTTTATCACAGTACATACTATCAACAGGACTTAATCTTATGTTGATGTTGATCACCTGTCAAAGATCGTGTTTGGCAGGTTCATCCACTGTCAATTTACCCTTTCCCCTTCCTTTACATATTGTATGCCTTGGAAAAAGTCATTCCATGGAGCCCACACTGCAGGAGTGAGAGTTAGGTGTCGCCTTCTTAAGGGTGGAGTATCTTCATAAGGTTTGGAATTATTCTCCACAGGAGATTCTTTCTTCTCGTCCAATTATTGATTCATTCAATTATGCATTGATATCATAGGAACTCATTGATATTTATTTTATATTTTGGGTTATTAATCAATACTACTTTATTTTGTGGCTCAAATAGTTTCCCATTGTGGCCATTGGCTGCTCTGTAGCAGGCTCCTGTCGTGTCTTTTTGTTGTTGTTCAGCACTTCCTTACGTTCTGGTTCTGGCACTACAGGACGCTCTGAGCTCACATTGTATATTTTGTTTCAGTCCCAGAATCAACAATCAGCCATTTCTCCAAAAAGGTCTAGTTCTTTTTGCAGGGATTGGCTTTAGAAACCAAGATCTAGACACAAAGTGTGCTTGGTTTCGAGCAGTAGGAGTGGAGAGGGGGATTTTCCATCTACAGACACAGATGCCACCTAAGTCCATAAGGTCTTATCATTTGCCTGCTTTGTTGGACATGAGCAGACTTTAAGGGCACAGATGGGTCAGAAATTCATCACAAACATCTTTAGAAGGGAATGAGAGTGGCTGAAGTAAAAGCCACTGAAGGAAATGTTATTTGGTCCTCCCAAAATATGAAAAAGTTAATGAATTCAGCAAAGAAAACATAGAGTCTGTTGTTTGCTACTGGACAAGCTCAGTAATAGTTGTCCTAGTGCAGATGTTATTGTAAAGGTGCGTTGAGAAAAGCAATCAAGATTGTATTGGGAGTGTAGGACAAGAACAAGCGCTTTGGGGCCAGAGTGACCTAGGTTTGAATCCTTACTGTTATTTATCTGTCTAGGATGTTGGACAAATCACTGCTTCTCTAAGCCTCACTTTCTCACCTGTGAAGTAGACATAATGATCATAATGTTTGGGGTTTTGTACATAGCAGAGCAGCTCCCTTGCTGTGATCTATTGAAACTCAGCCCTTGACACAAGGGTTTGTAAAAGAAAAAAGAAGAAAAGAAATAATAGAGTTGTTTGAGGATTCATGAGATGCATATCAAGTGTGTAGCCTCAGCCCCTGGCACATAGTAAGTGCTTAATAAATGTCAACTGTCTGATATATGGCCGGGGGCCCCTAGGCCAGGAAACACCTAAGCAGATGTCTGAGGCCCATAAGGCCTGTTGGACACCTGCACATATTATGTTAGAAGAACAGATTTTGGCTTTTTGTAGAGACTGCTTTAGGAGATGGCTCAAAACTAATTTAAGCCCAAATACAGGAACACCCAGGCAGAGCAATTAGCAGTAGATATTTTTCCTAGATTGGGGTGGGGATGCTGCTTTATTGCTTAGATTCTGATAAATGGACCTGTTTGTTCCAGTCTTTTAGATAGAAATGTATAATTTACTCTGCTTATCCATTTGCTTAGGTTTAATGACATTTCATTCTGATGAGTGAAGAATCTACTGTGTTTACGGAGGGAAAAATGCCTTATAGATATACATTTACATTTTTCTTTCATTGTAAATGGATTTTAGTGGCTCCTATTTTAAAATACAAAAGTGAGATGGCTGAGGAATTAGTGGGGGTATCTCTCCTCAGGTGTCTCCTATCCTCAAGGAGAGGTTTTTTTTTTTAATTTAAAAATTTTAGGAAGGACAGGGTCTTGCTCTGTTGCCCAGGCTGGTCTTGAACTCCTGGCCTCAAGCAGTCCTCCCGCCTCTGCCTCCTAAAGTGCTGGAATTACAGGTGTGAGCCAACGAGCCGGCCAATAATTTTATTCTGAAATAAAATTTGGTAAACGCAGAGCCACGAGGGGGCGCCCTGGACTCTGGCCTGGTGGTAAATCCAGCACCTTCACAAAGGAGGAAGGATCTCCTAGATGCGGGGTTTGGAATGAAATAGGATCATTGGCTGAACATCTGCCGGGCACCTCACTGGGCACGCACAGGGCCTCACTTACTCAACGCAGACACTCCCTGAAGTGGGTGCTTGTGCCCCATTGTGATGAGCTCACAGGCTCAGGCAAGTTCAGCAATCTGTCCAGGGTCACTAAGGTAATAAGTGGGAAATGAGATTCAGACCCAATTCTGTGCAGTTCTAAAGCCTGGGCTTTCCCAGGCCAGCTGACTAAGGCTTCGGCCCATGTGGGGAGGGCTTGATACCTGGAAGGTGCTGGTCAGCGCGGAAGCGAGGCTGGTGGGCGCGTGTCCTCGGGACGAGGGTCACAGGCATCTGCCAACCAGGGAGGTGTTTGAAGCCGGGGTTAGGGAGTCTCGGGATGTTCCTGAATGTGGGACAAACAGTCTCTCACCGTGACCATCTCGGAGTCTGTGTCCAGCAACAGCCCTTGTGGTTGGGAAGAGACTTTGTTAATGGGAAGAGGGTGTCCTGATTCTCTGGCTTGGTACCTGTTCCCAGAGATGGGTGACTTTTATTGTAAATGAGAGACTTGGCATTCTGCTTTGTATATAATCTCGACTTAATTTTGTCACCATGAATGTGTCACTAGGAATTATTAAATTTGTAAGAATGTAAAGTTTTTGAGCCTGAAGCAATGAGGATAAGACGGTGGACTTTGAAAATCTCTCTCTGAGAGGTAGTGTCTTGGGGGAATTAGTGCTCCTGAAAACAGGGATGAGAAGCTGTGGCCCTGGGGAGCTAATGGGGGGTCAGGAACCAGGAAGGTGATGTTTATCAGGATGGGGAGAGAGGGCTGGAAGAGCATCAGGAGCAAGATAAGGGCAACAAACGCTTTCCGAGCATTAATCTGAGGTTAAAATTATCGTCCCCATTTTACACATGATGAAACTGATGCTTAGAGAAGTTACATAATTTGATTAGGATCAAACAGCTAATATTTGGCAAGGCTGGGACCTGAACCTGGTTTTCCAGATGCCGGTACCCAGTCACTTTCCATAATGCCAAATGGCTTCTCAGAAACTCAACACCTCTTCCCTAAGTGCTTTCCCTGTTTTCCTCAAATCCAGGAACTGTTGGTCTTTTGGGCAATTCTGAGCACAGCCACTAAGTGGCGACATTGCCCGACTATGGCTCAGCCCTGTTTCTCCGGGGAAGAATAGGGGAGGGGAGGGGAGGGAGTCGGAGTTGCCCTGTTGTGTGTTGTGCTGTGTGTGGGGCTTTCTTCTATCTATTTAGTCCTCCCAGCAACCCTGCAGAGGAGGTATTATCTCATTTTCCAGATGAGGCCATTGAGGATCTGCTGGATGACAGAGCTTAGCGGTAGAAGCAGGAATGGAATCAACGTCCAGTTGGATTCCAAGTCCTGTCTCCAAGCATGCTGGGCTCCCAAAGGAAAAGCCTTTCTGTGCCCTCAGACTACACAGTCTTGTGGGGAAGTGGACAGTGGGGACCCCACGTGAGTTTTAGGCTGGGACAGCCCAGCAGTGAAGGAGGAGGCTGGGTGAGGAGTAACCAAGCCTTAGCTTTGGTGATTGATGGGAAGAATTGGGTTCTGAGGTGGAAATCAATTACAGTTACAATCTGCTGTGTGGATCCCCTAGAGTGCTGCTCTACTGGAGACCAACATTCCATCCCTCAGCAAGTTTCTCCTTCTGCTTGGGAAGAGGCTGTGTTTTCTTCCCGATGAAATGGTTGGCTGGTGTTGAGGGGCCATGCTATATGAAAAATGTGTCCTGCATATTTAATTATTAGATCCACTCACAGACAGTGTGTGCTGGAGCCAGCTGGAGCCGGCTTGTGAGCTGGTTTTGTGCATCTCCTCCCAAATCTGTGTTCATAGTCATGATGTTGGTGGTTGTAATTAGACAGAGTGGGAATATTTACACCATGGAAATTAGCAATTACTAGAAACCAGGGCTTTTTCCTCCTGTGGAGCCAGTGGTTAAACTGCTACCTGCTCACTGCTGCCCACCAGGCAGCAGAAGGTGCACATCTGAGAGGCAGGCGAGAGCAGAGAGATGGACCAGGGGCACCATGGATTTGCGGCTCCCATGTCATACTTACTTTGGGATCTGAGTAGAATTGCTGCACATTTAAATGGATATTTTCCCGCCTCTCATATTTTTTTGCTGAGGGCAAATAACTGCATTTGAGAAGTTCAACCTGCATTTGATGCGCCTCCTCTGGCAAGCAAGATGGCTGATGCTGGAGTGTGTCTTGGGGCCCAGCCCTGAGCTGGAGCCCTGCAGGCTCCTAAGGAGGTGGGCACCACACAGCCAGGGTGGGCTGCTGTGTCAGCTATGGAACAATAGCACACACCTGACTGCTCAGGGCTGCCTGAGAACATTTAAGGGAGAGGAGCTCTCCTTCATTTTACCACAGAACGTGGGCCCCTTGTGGGCTGAGATGTCTGTCAGAAGGGGAGGTGCTGAGTGAGGCTGTGCTCTCTTTGAAACCACCTAGGGGCTCAGTGACAGCAGCAGGTGGTGACTGGACAGGAAGGGAAGTCTCCTCCAGTGCCAGGCTCAGGTGTGCTCAGTAAATATGTGCTGCATGACAATCAGAGCAGGCTGCCGCCTGTAGCCTAGATGGAAGCTGCTTGTCTTGTTCCAGAGCATACATGACACCCTCAGGGTCTTCATGGACAACAGCTAAGAGTGCTGGGAGAGCCCAGAGCACCTAATTCACCTGGGGCAGGTCGGGGACGGCTCCCCAGGGCCAGGTGAGCTGCATGTGGAAGGGGCAGCAGACGTTTGATAGGGGATGGCAGGGAAGGCTCTTACTCAGGCACTGGGTGCAGGTGGGCAGACTGGAGGCTGACGGGGCATCCTTCTGTGGTCCATAAGGAATGGGGCTAACCCCTGTAAATGAGGAGTTGTTTTCCCAGTGAACAGCTCCTGCTGGGCTCTCCCTTTCCTCTGTGCCCCATCGAGAGGGGGCTCAAAGGTCTGTGGGCACGTTCTGGGGTTGCAGTTGGGATCTGCAGAGACCACAGGCTTCCCTGGGGGGTGGAGCAGCTGTGACCTGAGTCCCTGGTGGGTTTGGAGGTTGGACTGGGTGATGTGGCCTGTCCTCCTCCTCTGCTGGATGAAAGAGAGATTCTGGAAACCAAGAACTGAGAAGGAACTCTTGAGATAAAGGAAGTCCTGCAGAAAGGCACCTGTCTGCTGTGGTTGGAGTGCGAATGTCACCAACACACTGACGTTGGGCGGGAGCTGGCCCTACCATAGGCCCAAGCTGTCTCTCCATCAGTGGGGCCTTTCCCAGGTTCAAAAGGTAACGTAGTTGGCATGATTGAGGTGGCGAAGACTAGGATGAAAACACCTTGTGAAATGAGACCATGAGCCCCGAGGGAGGAGGGCAGGGCTGGCCACCTCCACCTTAGAGTATGAGGGTCCCCAGTGAGACCACCGAGGCTTTTCAGGCCAGCATGTGTGCAGGGCTGTGCTGGGCGTGAGGCAGTGCAGGCCTGTTTGTGACTGGCAGAGTGTAGACGGAGGTGGCTGTGGTTGGTCCAGGGCTGCCTTGGGGCCCAGAGGCTCTGGATATGGAGCCACAGGCCTTGGTTCCTCTTCCTGGGGGTGGTATGAGGGAGGTGAGATGCCGCCTGGGACAGGCCTGGCCTCCCTCTCCCTTGGTGTGGCTCCTCAAGGTCTGAAGTCATCCTAGTGTGGCAGACTCACTTCACTGAGAGGGGACTTGAATTTGGAAAGACCATTGGTTTGGGAGGCCAGGGACCTGGTCCGAGGCCTGGCTCTGGCCAGTTACTCACTTTCCACACCTTGGGTTTACCAGCTCATCTCTTTGCAACCTCAGTTTCCTCATCTGTAAAATGAGAAAGTGATCATAATGATACCCATGTGCCCCTCACAGGTGACATGCCCCAATGTGACCATGGGTCAGACTCTCCCCATTCTTACCCCATGGAACTTAGTTCAGGGCAGGCACCTGTCTCATTGCCACGGACACAGGGGCCCAGTTCAGTGACCTGAGCATAGGACCTCTCATCAGCTGCCTTTGGGGGCTCCTGACCCCCAGAATATTTTTCTCTGGCTGCTCAGCTTCATGAGGTGAAGGTAGTTTCCAATTGTCTCACAAAGAATGGTGAGGCTTTTGACATTTTCTCTTTTTTGTTATAGTAAATAAATTACATAAGATATATTAGTTCCTTATGGCCTTCATACCAACACAGGTCAGATAGAGAATTTCATATTCCGTTTTCCATTACATCTTTTAGTGGCAGACGACAGCATCCTCTTTAGCTTTTTTCTTTAGGAGAAAATGTATTATGAAAACATACATTTTAGTTCCATGATTTTTTGGTAGAATGAAAGAAACAAACTCATGCCAGAGATTCCAGAAATGGTGTCCAGAGCCACAATGCAGAATTGGGCTGTGGAGAGAGCTGCCGCCTGTGCCGTGGACAGAAAGAAAACTGCAAGGTCAGGGCTAGGCGTGATGGCTCATGCCCATTATCCCAGCACCTTGGGATGCTGAGGCAGATGGGTCACCTGAAGTCAGGAGTTCAAGACTAGCCTGACTAACATGGTGAAACCCCGTCTCTACTAAAAATACAAAAATTAGCTGGGCCTGCTGGTGGGCACCTGTAATCCCAGCTACTTGGGAGACTGAGGCAGGAGAATTGCTTGAACCCGGGTGGCAGAGGTTACAGTGAGCTGAGATTGCATCATTGCACTCCAGCCTGGGCAACAGAGTGAGGTCAGGAGCTGCTGGTTGTGACCATGCCATTGCTGCCAGCCTTCCTTGCCCAAAACATGGCCTGCACCTTGCCTCCACCCCCATGTAACTCAGTCTCAGTAAAAGTTCTGTGTATGTGAAATGACCTGTGGGACCTCAGCTGAAATGTGTCTGAAAAATGTAGTTTTGAGCTTTTCATCTCCTGCAGTACAGGAAGGCATCCTAGGTCAGGGGCATAATGGGTGTTGGATGAGCCTGTTTATAAAGGGAATGTGCCAGCTTGCCCTCAGAGATCTGCCTGAGCTTGGTTTGATCCCTGGCCAGGGCTTGACACAATGAAGCCTCCCTATGCTTCTGAAAATGTCCAACTTTACTGTCTCATAGTCCCCCACTTTCTTTCCGTCCCAGTCTAACCCTTCACACCTGCACCCACACCTGCTGTCTTGGCTCTGTTCTGCCCTGGTTTCCAAGAAAAAACCCAGTGGATCCAAGAAGGTGCTTGGTCATTGACTTCACTGCAGCTCTGGGTCTATCTCAGGGAGGCATCAGATCTCATTGGCCATAGACAGGCTTCCCCTCTTTGCTGTCACTTTCATGTCTGCCTCCTTCCACAGCCTGAGTCCTGACACAGGACCACCCTCCTGCCTGTGATGCCCTCTGGGCTGGGTGACTCAGTGACCCTTCCTCTAATTAGTTCTCTGAGGGAGCAGCCCGGCCAGGCTTGGTTCCCGTCACGCTGAGATCCTGAGGGTGAGCGCAGATGAGCTGCCCAGATTTTGATTCCACATAGGAAGGATATTCTAACTCTAGAACTTGTGGACTGCCTTTTGCAGTAACTTCCCCATTACCAGGTAGGGGAGTGAGAATCAAACCAGTCTTGAATATCTTCTCTCCTGGGAATCTGTGGAGCAGTTCTGGGTGAGAGCACAGAGTGCACTCAAGGTGACGTGCTTGGGGACACACAGTGGGATGGGAGAGTGGCTGTGATGTCAGCGATGAGTCCTGAGCTTGTGGTCAGGAGTCCAGACCCTGTGCCTTGATTAGCTGTGTGACCTTTCACAGGTTCATAAGCCCTCTGAGGTTTGGGTTTCACATCCATTAAATGGATTTAATACCCAGAAACCTACCTTGAGGTGGTCATGGGGTCAGGCCTGCAGCTCCAGCCTTCGGGGTGTTCTGCCTGTGCAGCCATCGGGGAAGACCAGGTGGGGAAAAGGAGGCGGTGCCTTGGGGTTAGGAAAATGATACTGCTCCCCCAGGGTAACGGAAGGGGGAACTCACAGATGTTGTGGTGTATCTAGGTCTGGAGAGAAGAGGCTCAGCAGGAGGTGGAGAGTTTAAGGCAGCTGAGGCTGTGGCAGAGGGAGTATGCAGCTCTCTGTCCTGCAGGAGCAGGGCTGGGAGGAACTTACAGGGGAAGTCATGGTTCAATCCAGCCATGGCTGAATGGCTTTCTGTAGACTGTCAGCTTCTGTGGGGGTCTGTCCTTACCCTGAGTGTATAGAAAGGTGACTAGCACTAGTGGGAACTGAGAAACCATATGGCCACCAGCAAAAGGTAAATGCCAGGATTTGCAATGGGGATGTGGGGAGTTTACACTATCCACGAGAACTTTGTTCTTTTGCCCATAGCTTCTTACTTAGGCAACTGACAGTTGAAGTTTTTGGAAAATCTAAACAGAAATCTGGCTGGGCACGGTGGCTCATGCCTGTGATTCCAGCACTTTGGAAGGCCAAGAAAGGTGGATTGCTTGAGCTCAGGAGTTCAAGACCAGCCTGGGCCACATGGCAAAACCCCATCTCTACAGAAATTAGCTGGGAGTGGTGGTGCCTCAGTTACTTGGCGGGGCTGAGGCGGGAGGATCGATGGGCCCAGGAGGTTGAGGCTGCAGTGAGACAAGGTTGCACCGCTGCACTCCAGTCTGGGTGACAAAGTGAGACCCTGTCTCAAAAAAATAAAAAAGAAGAAATTTAATTTACTAAATAAGGCAGTGACAAAGGAAAGCCACTGAACTCAGGAGTGGCATAGCCCAGCCTTGCTGTAAGAGGGTGACTTCTGTGCCTGACCATAGGCTGACACTGGTCACCAGGGCCACCTGGGGCAGAGCTGTGAACCCAGGGAAGCATCAGGGGAGGGTGTGGGAGGGAACACCAAGCTGGCTGTGCCCGCAGGGACGGGACAGTCTAACAAACTGCCAGGAACATCACAGAGTGAGGTTGTACTTTCATTTCTTCTGCAATTACTTATTGAGTGTGTGTGGTACTGTAGGGACTGGGAGGGGATGAAAGAGCTGAATGGCTTTCTCTAGACTGGTGGCTGTCTCCCCAGTAGTAACTTGCTAGCCCCACCCTTAAAGTGGGGAAGGGCTCCTGTGCTCAAACTTGTCCTTCCCTCTTGCCTTCGTTTCTTCCTATGTTTCTTCTGCAGCTGAACAAGCAGCAGGCAGCCTGCCATGGGGCCCTGCTCTGGGGCCAGTCCCTCTGCTGGGACTCAGGGCTCCTGGGATTCATCAATCTCCTCCTCAGTGAGTGCAGGGTTCCTGGGAAGGGAGGGCAGTTGGGTGGGGCTGGGCTAGCTGGGTCTGACCACTGGGTGGGCTGTTCAGGTTCCGCTGTCTTTGGGCCACAAAAAGAGAAAACCACTCTGTTATGATTTACAAATGCAGCATATTTGGTTGGAGCCCCAGGATAGAAATAACAAAAAGTCCTTTTGGTGGTGAGGAGGCTGGGAACCCTGAACTAGGGCAGTCTTGGTGGTATTGAGGGAACCTTTACCAGGGAGGTGGGGCCGCTTCTGCTGCAGTAGGAGGGTGGCCTGATACTGCCTGGAAAGAGGGATGGAGACAGACAAACTACCTGCCTGGAAAGAGGGATGAAGACAGACAAACTACCTGTCTCCTGGGGAAGAGAGGGTGGGAACAATACATTCCCAGCCAGGAACTCAGAGGTGCTCTGACGGTCTTTGCAGCTGTCCTGTGGAGGAGGGGCAGAACTAGAACCCTGCTGTCTGAACTGGAAGAAGCTCCTCTGTCCTGGGCTTCTCCGTTGAAAAAGGAGAGTGAATATGAACTCCCCTGCCTGGGCTTGGGGCTCACAGGTCATCACAAAGGAGAGGACACTTGGAGGTCTCAGGTTTATCTTAAAATTGTTTGTGTAATTTGCAATAGTTTTCTTTTCTTTTTTTTTTTTTTTTTTTTTTTTTTTTTGAGATGGAGTCTCGCTCTCTCACCAGGCTAGAGTGCAGTGGTGTGATCTTGGCTCACTGTAACCTCTGCCTCCTGGGTTCAAGAGATTCTCCTGCCTTAGCCTCCTGAGTAACTGGGACTACAGGTGCCCGCCACCACACCCAGCTACAGTAGAGACGGGGTTTCACCATGTTGGCCAGGATGGTCTCGATCTCCTGACCTCGTGATCCGCCTGCCTCAGCCTCCCAAAGTACTGAGATTACAGATGTGAGCCACTGCGCCTGGCCAAATAGTTTTCATTTAAAATATTAACCAGCATTTATCTTTGCCTAAAATGAATACCACAGGAGGATCCCTTTATTGTCCCTGAGAGTTGCCTTTCCCTCCACCCTGAAATGCTGCTCAGGTCCTGGAGGCCGCAGGTGAAACCATGTTTATCACAGCACTGTTGTAGGGAAAAACCCTGGAAAAAAGAGGAGGTGCCCATCAATTCATGAATGATTGACCAAACTGAGGAGTATCTGTACCATGGAATATTATGGAGGCTTACAAAAAGAAATAGTTCAGTTTCCTGGAAGGAGTTTTAAATTTTTTTGAAGTATGAGGTATGGAATCCTAGCAGCAAGTTCAGGAAATGAAACACAATGAAATCCTTACTTTATAAAAGGAAAAGCAGCTTCCAAAATTTAAGGGTTTACATCTTTACAGTCACATGTTTTTAAGACTATATTGGCAATGTGGAAGGAATCAGTAGATTGCTAACATGGGCTACAACAGAGCATGAATTTGGGCAGGAAAAATGGAGGGAGAAAAAGCAGAGAACACAGGGAATTAAGCAAAAAAGGAAACTGAAAGAAAGACTGTCCTAGTCTAGGCTGTATATCACATTCATGACTCTATTTAAGATTATATGTTTGTATATACAATGAAATTAGGTCAAAATTAATGACAAAATAAGACATAGTAAAGATGAATTTTTGTGGAAGTTTTATGGTTATAATTTTTTTTGTTTTAATATTCCAGCCAATACTTGAACTTGCAGGGAATTATATGAAATTGAGCAGATTAGAGAGCATTTGTAAAACAGGATGTCTTGAAAAAACAATGGGCTTAGAAATAGGGCTACGTCCTCTTTACATAGGTAACCTTCTGTAGTCAGCAAAATGTAGGCGTTCTCCACTTCTACAATGTTATTTACCTGGAAATATGTTCAGTTGTATAGAGTTTTCCTTGTAGGCATGGGGGTTGGAAGATTTCTGAAGATACAAAGAAAAATAAAGAAAGAATGGAAGGAAGGAAGGGAGGGAGAGAAAGAAGGAAAGGACTTAGAATTTCTCATTTTAGGGGTAGGAGATCCGTGTCCAGACAAAGAAAGTGATTCTCTCAGGAAATTACTGGGAAAGAATGAAATTGGTTGTCCCAGTGGTGTGGTACTGAATGAGACAAGACCTCTTGCTGTGGAATTTGGTCAGAGGCTGTCCGCAGAAGGAACATCATTGTGAAATTGCTCTGCGTCCTTGCAAGAATCCCGAAGCTCCATAATTGGATGCATTTTTCCTTTGGTTTCTGGATAGTCCTTGTTCCAGTTCACCCTTGACCCAGGGAGGAAGATGGGGATGAAGCAGTGATGATGTAGTGGAAATGAGGAATTTGTCCTCATCATTCTTAAACTCTAACACCCTTCCTGAACATGTGTTTGGATGGGGAAGTGTGGAAGGGAAGGAGGGAGCCTGAGGGTGGCTCAGCTCACATATAATTTCCCAGAGACAGAGGCAGTTGCAGGTGAGGGTGGTCCTTGACTTCTGGGGAGCCCCTGACCATAACAATAACAAGATTTACTGAATGCCCACCCAGTGTCTGCCAGCAGGGAGTTGGAGGAGAAAGGGTCTTTGCATTAGGGGCTCCAGACAGAGACATGAGACAATGGAGATGGTACCAAGAAGCGCAGTTTGGGCATCAAACATGAATTGTTGGTTTGTGAGTGTGGTGATGGGAGCTATGTCAGACAAATGGACTATATATATATATATATATATTTTTTTTTTTTTCTTTTTTGAGACAGGGTCTTACTTTGTCTCCCAGGCTGGAGTGCAATGGTGTGATCTTGGCTCACTGCAGCCTCGACCTCCTGGGCTCAAGTGATCCTCCAGCCTCAGCCCCCCAAGTAGCTAGGACTACAGGTGTGCACTACCATGCCTGGATAAAAATGAACAATCTTTTATGCTGATGACAGGATTTAAAATTTTATACAGTTTAAATGAATGTTTAACTCCACCTTGTAAATGACCACCTGCTCCCTGGCTTGTTTTTTCTTCTTCAGGATTAGCATCTCTGTAGATCAGAGAGCTCCTGCTGCCTTCCTTCCCTCTCTGAATCTTCATCTTCCTCCCTGCTATGCTCATCATCCACCTTCTGGGGCAGATCCTCCCTGGCAGCCTGAGGGCTGAGCCTCCTCTCTTTCTGGTTCCCAGTTCCCTCGTCCAGGAAGTGGGGTCTGTCCAGGCTGCCTGTTTAACCCTCTGCTAGCCAGAAGTCCCTGCTCTGCTCAGCCACTGAAAGTAGCTGCTTCCCCTTTTCAGGAGAGGGCAGTTGGGGTGGAGACCCCGGCAGCTGCTCAGGGCCTGGTGGGCTCAGACGACAGTGCAGCTGAGCTCCGGGGAGGGCAGGTGAGGATGGAAGAGCTCATGGGCAGCGTCCTGCAGGGGAGGCCCTGGGCTGGGGGAGGAAATTGGGCTCCAGGTGTGGCTCTGCCCTGTGTGACTCAGGACAGGTCTACCCCATAGAGAGTGCCTACTCTGTAATAAAAGCAGGAGCTTGGACAGATCATCCTTGAGTCCCCTCTCAGCAGTGAGGTTCTGGGATTTGGTGACTCCTGTGGCTCTATCAAGGTCTCTGCTCTGTCTCCCCATCCTGTCCTGTCCTATCCTGTGGCCTGACGGGCACTGACAGCCAGTGAGCCTATTTCAGGCTTCTTCAGAGAGAAGGCCCTGGGTGTCCCTGTGGCCACTTCCTCAGCCCTCAAGGGAGGAAGGGACTCCTCCTCTCTCAGTCCCCTCCACGTGACCCTCTGCTTTCTCTGCCTCTGCTCCTGAGAGGGGTCTTCGGGGTCAGCCCTCACTCAGGAAGGCCTGCTGCAGCTGTGGCATTTAGAAGCCACTAATACAATCCTCAGCCAGACCTTTTCAGTTTCTGTCTGCTCAGCAGAAAACACTAATTTCTATTTCACTGGTTCCAGGCAATGCTGCAAGAAGTAAGACAAACACTGTTTTGGCCAGAATTATTCCTGAAAATCTGTTAGGAAAGTGCCATACAGGAGACTGGAGTGTTATCTCCCAGCAAGTCTAATGAATGCCCACATTTATCCAGGTGGAAAAAATGGCTGTTTCTTTGAGCTTCAGATTAAATAGAACACTTTATTATTATTATTATTATTTTTGAGATGGAGTCTTGCTTGTTGCCCATGCTGGAGTACAGTGGCATGATCTTGGCTCACTGCAACCTCTGCCTCCTGGGTTCAAGCGATTCTCCTGCCTCAGCCTGCTGAGTAGCTGGGATCACAGGCGCACACCACCATGCCTGGCTAATTTTTGTATTTTTAGTAAAGACAGGGTTTCGGTTTTACCATGTTGGCCAGCCTGGTCTTGAACTCCTGACCTCAGGCGATCCACCTGCCTCAGCCTCTTAAAGTGCGGGGATTACAGGCCTGAGCCACCACATCTGGCCAGAACACTGATGTTTAGTGTCCATTTTTATACCAAAATTGTACAAAATACTTAGACATTACACTCCACAAGAACCAGGACTTGCTCTCAGAATTGCTTCAGACTTGTTGTACTAGCTTTATTCCTAAAATCAAGGGAGTATATTGGATAAATTTTACTAAAATAGAAAGTTCTGTGGTTCTCTCATTTGTTCTTGCTGAGGAAATACTCATGTTTCCTGTTTCCATGCCCTAGGTGTCTGCAGCACAACAGCCAACACTTCTGGAGCACATGGCCCTGCAGTGAAGGATTCTGGAGCTCACATTTGTCTGAAGGGGATCCGAGGAGGTTCTGTGTTGTTGAATGTGATTGAGAAGCTCAGAGTAGATGTAGACGCCGAGCTGGAGGAGGTTGTATGGACTTTGGGTACTCTGTCAAATCATACACAGGTGCTGTGAGTCCACAGGGGGGCCGACTCTCCAACCTGGGTCGGCCTTGAGGAAAAGTTCAAGCAGAGGGTCCATGTGCCTAGCGTGTTGTCTCTGAGGATTGAGAACCTGGCCCCTGAAGACAGTGGGCAGTACATGGCCATGATCCATTTAACTGGGGGACAATTATCTGGCCAGGTTTTCTACCTCACTGTCTATGGTGAGTGACACCCCTCCCTCCCCCATCCTCTGGCTTACCTGCTTTTTTTGTCCCTAGAGTGTCACATAGGCCCCATGCAGGGTTCCATTCAGACACCAGTCTTCAGACTCCATTTTCTCCACTAAAATAAGGCACATGAGGTCCCCAGAGATACAGAGCAGAGCTGAGATTCACAGCAGGAAGAAAATCTCTTCAGTGTTTTGGGACAGGAAATGGAAATTCAGGAAAATAGCAATTTTTCCAATAACATTAATCATCCTATATACGATTAACATTAATTTGTATAGTAGTTTTTTATCGCTAATGTAACAAACTACCAAAAATTATTGGCTGAAGGCAACACAAACTTATTATCTCACTGTGCTGTAGGCTAGAGATGTGACACAAGTATCCATGAGCTAAAATGAAGGTGGTGGCAGGGCTGTGTTCTTTCTCAGGGCTCCGGGGAGAAGCCATTTTCTTGCGTTTTTCACCTGCTAGTGGCTGCTGGCGTCCCATGGCTCATGGCCATCTTCCTGTATTTCCTAATAGAACACTGATGTTAGTGTTTGGGAATTCAGAATCATCTCCCTATTTTAAGGTCAGCTGATTAGCAACCTTAATTCCATCTGGGAACTTAATTCCCCTTGCCTTGCAGCTAACTTATTCCCAGGTTACCAGGATTGGTCCTAAACATTTTGGAGGCCACTGTTCTGCCTACCACAGTTGGGAATCCCTGTGAATGAAGTCCTCCCCTCTCACTCAGCCCCAGCCCAGGGCCAGCCTCAGTCACATGAGCCACCACAAATCTGGCTCTCAAAGCCTCCGTAGGCGTAGGAGAAAGTTTACACTGCGACACTTCTTAGGAAACTAGTTTAGCCAACTCTTTCTTTCCCTAAAGTTCCTCTCTGCATGGGGGAATATCCTGCCATGGAGAGAGTGGCTTTTGCAGCTTTAGGTCCCATGTGATTTCTCAGGCTGGCCTGTGAATCATATTCCTCTCTTCTGTCTGCACCACAGGTTCAGTAGCATGTTCTTTTGTTGTTGTTGTTGTTGGTTTTGAGACAGGGCCTTACTTTGTCACCCAGGCTGGAAGGCTGGAGCACAGTGGCATAAATACAGCTCACTGCAGCTTCAACTTTCTGGCTCAAGCGATCATACCACCTCTGCCCCCACAAGTAGCTGGGATTCCAGGAGACCGCCACCACACCTGGCTCATTTTTGTATTTTTTCTAGAGACGGGGTTTCACCATGTTGTCCAGGCTGGTTTCAAACTCCTAAGCTCAAGCAATCCGCCTGCCATGGCCTCCCAAAGTGCTGGGATTACGGGCGTGAGCCACGGCTCCCAGATCCAGTGGCACTTTCTAACCACATTCAGAGTCATTGTTTCTATTCGTGACCACTGCATCCTCCATAGACACGTCCACTTTTGGGAGCATGGGCCTTTCTCTGGCCTCCCAGAGCTGACCTGATGTCCTGTCCCTCAAGGGTTGTGCGGTCCCCAGCTTGGCCTCAGCTGGGGATGCAGGTGAAGGAACCTGGGCCAGAATAAGCCCTTATATCCCAGACTTTTTCTTTCCTGGAAAGACCCTAATTTAAAAAAAAAAAAAGGCTCTGGGAGGGTTGAGTCCAGCTTCTATTTTCTTTGGGACAGTTTTAAGACCTATTCAATCTAGGAAACCAACATGGAGCTGAACTCAGTGGCTTCCCTTGTCATTTGCTCAGTATTTGGCCTTGAGCAAATTGTGTTTTATCTGTAGAATACACCCACACCCACTTTTCCTATAGGGAGCATGCCATGGCTTTAATGAGAAAATGATAAGAAAGTGTGATGTGCAATGTTCTCCACAAATGTGAGGTGTCTTTCTTCTGTCTCTTTCTTCCCCAGAGCCTGTGCCTCATCCTGAGATCCTGGCCAAGTCACTGTCTATCATACCAGGCTTGTGTAACATCACCCTGGATTGTAGGGCTCCAGGAGCCACAGAGGACCTGAATGTGACTTGGGAGAGCAAGGACCTCCTCAGAGAGCTGGAGCACAGAGAAACACGAGGACCAGCCCCTAACCCCTGGATCCTGGCTGTGGACCTGCCCCTGAGCCAGCGGAACAGCAATCTCACCTGTGTGGTCAGCAACTAGGTAGATCAGAAAGATGTAACCTTACCTTGGGGAAGCCTGTGTCAAGGTGAGTGGTGAGTGTAGCCTGCAAGATAGGAGGGGCTTCCTGAGCTCAGGCAGTACTGGGGTTTAATGGTTCTGGGCTCTATTCTCCACCATGTGCATTAGCACCACCTTCCACCTGCTCACCACACACAGCAGTGTGGGAGTCACATCCACCTTGCTTCTGCCCTTAACCATCTCTCCCACCGATGCCCTCCTCCCCACAACCCCACCATGTCCTTATTGGTAAAGGCAGCAGCCTTCCGGGAGCTCTCCCACTCCATCCATCCTCCACTGGGCATCCAGAGTGGGCTTTGAGAAAAGCAGGACAGCTTGTGCCATTGTCTGTGTCATCTGTGGGAACCTGATTCCAGCCACTCTCCGTATGATTCAGAGCTTAGATGCACCTCTGTCCACGTTGCTAGCCTCATCTGCTCTCTTCACACCAAACTGCTTGCTATAGTTCTCTGAATGTATCCTGCCATTGCAAGCTTCTGGGCTTCTGCACATGCTGGATTTTCTGTATCAGCCATCCCAAGTCCTGTGTCCTTCACTTCTGCTTCATGGGGTGAAGACCATGTAAAGGCCCCATGTTTGGTTTAAAGTTCTGTTAATAAGTTTGAACAAGGGCTTCCTATTTTCATTCTGCATAGGGCCTTTTCAGTTATGTATCCAGTCCTGAACTTAGGCAGCAATCCTTTAGGGAGCGTCCATGGCACCCCACACAGAGTAGTAGTGGTGGGGTTATGTCTTTGCTCTGTAGATGGCAATGCCCTCAGGCAGAGGCCACCATCATGTTCTCCTTTGAATCCCTGTGCCAAGTACAGCTTCTGGCAAAGTTTGCTCACAATCAGTGTTCATTGGATGAATGAATGACTTGGTACCCTGGTGCAGTCACATCTTCTCTAACCTTTCCTCCAGGAGCTGCCGGAGAGCTCTGATGTGTCAGCATCCCTTTAAACCACCCGTTACCTCCTCCCCTGTCCTCCATCCTGGAGTGTTCAGTACTTAGCGTGACAACAAGGCCCTCTGGGCACAGACTCCTGCCCCCTCTGACTCTCCTTGCCATGGTTCCTCCCTGCCCTGTTCCTCTCCTGCTGCAATGGGGTGCTGGCAACTCCCAGGGCTGGTGTTTTGACACAGTAATTTCCTAAGTGTGGTGCTCCTTCTTCCTGGAATGCCCCACCCTGAATATCTGAGAAACTCTTACTCCCGCTTCAAGCCTCAGTTTAGCCAGCACCTCCTCTGGGAGGCCCTCCCTGATGACCTTGTACAAGGTGTAAACCTCTATTGCAGCTGCGATCCCTCTGTCTGGCAGTTGGTATTTTCTGTCTTCCCTCCTGTGTGCTGGGCTGCTGTGGACATCGTCTTGTGCATCTCAGCATTCCTGGCACCAAGCAACAGCTCTTAACCAGTTGAATGAATGGACTTGTCATGCTCCTCCCTCTGCAGCTTCTGCACCAGGCTCCTTCCCACTGCTCCACCTGCTTTCTCCCTCTGTCTCCTCTTGGCAATGGTTATGTCAAGTTATTTCCTGCCTTAGCCTTTTTCACTCTCTGTCTGGGAGAACAGGTTCATGTAGACTGGACACGGCTCTCCTTCGCGAGATATTCTTGGAGTCATTGCATTTGTGCTGTTGATCCTGGGAGCTGGGCTATACCTCTGGAAGAAATGTGGGAAGAAGAAGAAGAAGAAAGATGAAGAGGAAGAAGAGGAAGAGGAGCAGAAGGAGGAGGAGGAGCGGGAGGAGACAGGAATAGGCAGGTTGCATTTCTCCATCGAGGCCCAGATATCTCCCCTCCCCCACTAGAATCTGGGTTCTCTTTCTCCTGAAAGAATGTCATTGTTTAGCTATATGAATAACCCTAGATATAGCATCGAGTTAACATGTCCAAGATATTTGTTACTGGAAAAAACTGAACAGCAATGCATGGTATGATTTAATTTTTGTAAAAGTGTATAGATAGGTAGATAGAAAGATAAGCACAGAATAAAATCTATACTACATGACAGATTACCAACAGTGGCTCACTCAGAGGTGAGGAATTCCTCAAGGTTTGCTTCTTTTTAGTTTATATATATAATGTAATATTTTATGTTATTTGAATCTTTTACAATGCTCAGTCACTGTGAAGTCAAAGGAAACAATTAAGACAATTTTGTAGCTTAATTCCATTTAGCTAATTAATCCCCATCTCTGTGGATGCACCTCATCTTTTCTGCTGACTGTGACATGGGGTAAAGACCAAACTCTATTCCACCCCATGCAGACACCATATACCTTTCCAGTTGCCATGAACAAATGAGAACAAATTCATGTAAAACAAAGCGATTCATTCTTTATACACATCTGGGAGGGAAAGCAGCTCCAGAAAAGGCCATCTCTCAGGATGAGGGCAAGGGCGGGATTTCCTATAGGAAAGCAACAAAGTTTCAGGAGGAAAAGCAAATCAGTTAAATCAGTGCCTGACTTGTCAGAGAGCATTGGTTGATGTCTGACACTCAGCTTTAGGCATGGCGGAGCCCCAAGTACATTTGTGAAGTTTGGGCAGTTGTGTTCCCATTCTCCATCAAGCTGTTGCTGTTGTCGTTGTTTTTATTCCCACCAATGTCTGGAGCCCCAGGTGCCCTGGTTCCTTCTTGGGGCCTTGACTGCTTTATCCTTACCTTCCAGATTCAATCTTCAGCAGCAGGCAAGTCCTCAGGCTGCAGCTCAGGGCTCGGGAAATTTCCTTCCTCAGCCCATGCCCAGGAGCCTACACCCACCCTGTACCTTTCCCCCATGATAGCCCTTTCTGGAAAACCTTTCCCTGTACCTCCACTTTGGAATTAGGGTGCAATAAGACCACATACTTGCCACAAAAGGTATATAGTTTTTTTAATTGTACCTATGAAGCAGCTTTTCTTTCCTTATTTTATTTGTATTGTGCAGTAGTTGTACATTTTTAAAAAGGAAAAATGGTGCAAAACAGCAATCCCTTGCCCTTCCTTCTCCACATCTAGACTGGCTCTTCAATGAGAGTCACTTTCAACTATAGCCTTTACGTCCAAGTTTCTCAATAATGTGCTGATGTTATTATCTTCAGTTCAATTTTAGGCACTAACTATTGACTTTTCATTATGATAAGTGAGGATTTTCCTCTCTCACATGTCTTCCCTCCTTTATCCTCCATCCAACTAATATAGATATGTGACATTTTTGGTTTAAATCAATAGTATTTATAGTCTACAATTCTACAAACAGCTAAAATTATTTAGCATTTTTATTGTAGGCCAGACACCATTCTAAGGTGCCTTACATCCAATTACTAATTTAACATGTCACCATCTCTATCATATATTATAATTATCTCCATTTTACAGATGAGGAAATTGAAACATCTCTTGGTAATTTGTGCAGCGTTCTGAATCTAGGAGGTGGCACAGTTGGGATTAGAAGCCAGGTAGTCCGGCTCCAGCATCCATGCTTTCAACTGCTAGGCAATCCCCAAACTGAAGCCTGCTATTGGGAGCTTACTATTGTTCTTGCTGCTAGGGATACAGAAGTGAACGAGACAAATACCCAGCTCTCATAGAGCTTGCATTTCAGGAGGACACTGGAAATGAACAAATGCCCAAGTAGAGAGAGAAGGTCAGGTGGTGGCCAGTGGGTGGAGATGAAGCAAGCGGAGGGAAGCAGGAGGGCAGCTCTTTTCTGTGGATGCTCAGGGAAAGCCTCTTTGGAGAGGGAGCATTTTAGGCCTGAGTCGAGTGTAAGAACGATTTCAGTGAGCAGGAAGAGCCTTCCAGGCAGAGGAAAGGGCATGTGCAGATGCCTTCAGCTAAGGCTGGGCTGAAGTGCTGCAGAAGCAGTCACAAGGCCCCCGTGGCTGGAGTCAGTGATGAAGGGGACCTTGAACTGAGGTGGGAGAGTGGCCTGGGCCTTCCTGTGTTAGGGTTAGGGAACTGAGATAGCTGAGGTGGGAGAGTGGCCTGGGCCTGACTGTGGTGGGGTCTGGGAACCGGGAGAGCTGAGGTGGGAGAGAGGCCTGGGGTCATATCTTGTTGGTCCTGGAAAGCCAAGGTAAGGGCATGGATTTTTTTTTTTTTTCCAGATGGAGCCTCCCCCTGTCACCCAGGGTGGGGTGCAGTGGCACAATCTTAGTTCACTGCAACCTCTGCCTCCTGGGTTCAAGCAATTCTCCTGCCTCAGCCTCCCTAGTACCTGGGACTACAGGTGCGCGCCACTGCGCCTGGCTAATTTTTGTATTTTTAGTTGAGACGGGGTTTCACCATGTTGGCCAGGCTGGTCTCGAACTCCTGATCTCGTGATCTGCCTGTCTCCACCTCCCAAAGTGCTGGGATTACAGGCGTGAGCCTCCTCTGTGCCCGGCCAAGGACATGGATTTTATTGTCAGTGGGACGGGGGTGTTGACAGAGGATTGTGAGCAGCAGAGGAGGATAGTGTGACATTGATTTAAAGGCCCACACTTTTGGCGTGTGTTGAACCCACTGCTTGGCATCCAGGCTGGAGCCAGGGAGGCAGCTGAGGAGGCCCAGCAGGAATCCAGGATGAGACACTGGTAGCTTGGCCTAGAGTGGAAGTGGTGAGAGGTGGGCTAATTCATGACACATTTTGGAGAGTCAACAGGATTTGCTGTCGGGTTGGATGTGGAGTATGAGAGGACAAGGAGTCCAGGGCGACCCCAAGGATTGTGGCCTGAGTGCTGGGGGGATGATGGTGCTGTTTACCGTGGTGGGGAGTGCTGGGGAAGGAGCAGGTTGGAGTGAGACTTTGAGATGCACCAAGGCCTCCAGGGGAACTGTGCAGGCATTTGGGCATATGAGTGTGGGCTCGGGGGGAAGGTGAGCGTAGGCAGGGGAGTCATGAGAGCAGGGACCGGGTGCTGGAATGGTTAGAGGGTGTGAAGACAAGACTGAGAAGGAGCAATCAGTGACACAGGAGGAAAGTCAGGTGAGTCTGGCATCCAGGGAGCCAAGTAAAGAGAGTTTTTCTTGAGGAATGGAGTGATGCATTGTGCCCGAGCTTGCTGAGGGTCCAGCAGGGTGATGCCCGAGAGCAGCCCGCTGGAGTCAGCTGGGGGAACGCATGGGGACCTCCCAATGGCCAGCGAATTCTGTGGATTCAGCATCATTCTCCTTCCTCAGAGAAGGCGTCCCTGATCCTTATGCCTCCTCCTCTGCCAGTATCTGCACTTTCCCCTCTCTGTATTTCTCATGATAGATAGAAATTTTGGCATTTCCTTGTTTAATGCCTCTCCTCCACTCGACTGCACATGGCATGGACAGGAGCACGCACGCTGCACTCATCTGAGTCCCCAGTACGTAGCGCTGTGCTTGGAACACAGGCCGTGCTCAGTGACTATCTCAGGAATGGATGTGGAGTCAGCCCCCATGAACGGGGACTCCGAACAGAGCCCAATCAGTTTTCAGTTCTGCTTTCGTAGAGTCAGCAGTGGGAACAGGGTTTTTGTTTGGGACCTAACATTCCTGGGTAAGAGAGGGGAGAAGCCTCACACACAGACCTGGCCGGCCTCTGTGGAAATGATGTCTGGACATGCCTGAGTATCTGACAGGAGCTGTGGTAACAAGAAAGAACATGGGCTCAGGAGTGGCAGCACTTTAAATAAGATAACCTTTATATTTTATAAAAGTTTTTCATTTACAGAAACATTGGGCAGATAGTACCGAGAGTCCCACAGACTCCACACCTAGTTTCACCTTTTATCAACATCTTATGCTATTAACATCTGTTACAATTAATAAACCGATATGGATACATTCTTATGAACTCAAGTCCATACTTTCTTCAGACGTCCTTAGTTTTTACGCGATGTCCTTTTCTGTTCCCAGATCCCACCCTACATACCTCTTTAGGCTCCTCTGGGCTGTGACAGCTACTCAGACTTTCCTTGTTTTCGCTGACATTCGTGAGGGGTACTGGTCAGGTGTTTTGAAGAATGTTCCTCAATTGGGATTTGCCTGATGTTTCTCTCATGATGAGACTTGGAATTTAGGTTTTGGGGAGGAGGATGACAGAGGTAAAGTGCCATTTTCATCGCATCATTTGAGGGTGCATGCTGTCATCGTGACATTACTATTGATGCTGACCTCAACTATCTTGACAAAGGTAAAGCTTGCTGAGTTTCATCCATTGTAAAGTGACTCGTTTTTCCCCTCTTCCACACTGTTCTCTTTGAAAAGAAGTCACCGTGTGCAGCCCAGACTTAAAGAGTAGGGAGTTAAACTTTACCTCCTTGAGAGTGGAATGTCTTCACACATTACTTGGAATTTTCTGCACAGAAGATTTTTTCTCCATTTACTTGTTTCCCATTTATTTATTCAATCAATCATTCCCCTTTTTTAATTTCTTTATTTCTTTCTTTATTCAATCAATCATTTATTTGTATCAGTATAAAGTCATTGATATGTATTTTATGCTTCGGGCTATAATCCAAAGCCACTATATTTATTTTGTAGCTCAGATTGTTCCAGTTTGGCCATTTGGTGCCGTGTTCTTTTGACACAGCCTCATCACTGTGTGCCTTTTTTTTTGAGGACTTTCTTACTTGGACTCTCCAAGATGCTCCAGGCCCATCTTGTATATTTCCTGCTTCAGTTCTAGAAGCAGCCATTTCTCCCAGGAGCTCTAGTTTGGTTTACTGCGGAATTGCTTTAGAAACCAAGATCTGGGCAAGAGGGTCCTTGTTTTCAAGCATTAGGAACGCAGAGAGTGATTTCCCATCTACAGGCAAGATTCCACCTAAGTCCATAAAATCTTATCATTTGCCTCCTTTGTTGGATATGAACAGACTTCAAGGTCACAGATAGGTCAGAAATTCATCACAAACATCTTTAGAAGGGAATGAAGGTAGTTAAAATAAGTCTGCTAAAGGAAATGTCATCTGGGCCCCCAAAATATGAGCAAGTTGAAGTATTCGGCAAGGAAAACATAGGAAGAGTTTGTTGTTTGCTACCAGACAAGCTCAGTAATAGTTGTCCTAGCACAGACGTTATTGTAAAGGTCTGTTGATAAAAACAATCCAGATTGTACTGCAAGTGTAGGACAAGAACAAGTGCTTTGGGGCCAGATTGATTTGGATTTGAATCCTTTCTGTTATTCGTCTGCCTGGAAGCTTGGATAAGTCACTTTGCTTCTCTAAGCCTCACTTTCTCATCTGTAAAGTGGATATACTGATCATGCCTACCTGATAGAGTTGTTTGAGGATTCATGAGATGCATATCAAGTGTGTAGCCTCAGCCCCTGGCACATAGTAAGTGTTTAATAAATGTCATTTGCCTGAAATATGCCAGGGAGCACCTGCCCAGGAAACAGCTATAGCAGATCTGAGGCCACAAGGTCTATTGGACACCTACACATATTATGTTAGAAGAGTAGATTTTGGCTTTTGGTGGTGATTGCTTTAGGAGATGGGTCAAAACTAATTTAAGCCCAAATACAGGAACACCCAAATATAGGCAGAGCAATTAGCAGTAGATAATTGGGGTGAGGATGCTGCTCTATTGCTTAGATTCTGATAAACAGGTCCTCCTGGATCTGCCCACCCTACAGAGAATGGGGACAGTGGACTGCCCTCTTTTCCTCTGCACATTCCCTGGGCAGAAGGTCCAGGGGAAAGAAGAGGTGGACAGAGAGCAGAGTGTTTACATGGGTGGGATAGGCAGAGGCCAGCTCTCCCTCCAGGTCAGGGTCTCCATAGATGGAAGTGTTCAGCCCAGGGGACAGCTACCTCTGTATGGGAGAGGTTCTTCCATCTCCTGTATAGGGAGGTTTTGAGGAGTTTGGCAATAGTAGCCAACATCATTTGCGGGGTCCCACCAACTCTGAAGGCCAGTGGAAGAGAAAGCATCTACTCCTCAATGGAGCTGGCCCCCTCAAGTGAGGGTCCTGGCAAGAACAGGGCTGCACTCTCTAAAGAAATCCCAGCCAGGAGGGAGGGGCCTCTGCCTCATTATTAACCTGGTCTTATCTCTGATGGCTATTTTGATTGGTGAGGTACTTGGCATCATGCTGTGCACTTGAACTCCATCCCAGAGACTGCGACCCTGGGGCAAACATTCAGTTACCCCATGGTTTATTCTACTGCATGTGTGAATTAATTGCCTTTCTTGTTTTGTGAGAGATTTGGTCCTCAAGTGTATAATTTACTCTGCTTATCCATTTGCACATGTTTAATGGTATTTCTTTCTGGTAGGTGAAGAATCACTGTGTTTGTGCGGTGGGGGGCAAGAGTGTTAAAACTATATTTACATTTTTCTTTATTGTAAATGGGTTTCAGTGGCTCATATTTTAAAACGTAGAAGTGAGTTGGCTGAGGAATTCGTGGGTATCTCTCCTCAGGACTCTCCTTTCCCCAAGGACAGTTTTATTTCGAAAGAAAAATTGGAAATGCAGAGCCACGAGGGGGCGCCCTGGACCCTGGTCTGGTGGTAAAGTCAGCACCTTCATAAAGCAAGGATCTCCTAGATGCCGGGTTCAGAATGAAATAGGAGCATTGGCTGAACATCTGCCGGGGACCTCACTGGGCACGCACAGGGCCTCACTTACTCAACGCAGACACTCCCTGAAGTGAGTGCTTGTGCCCCATTGTGATAAGCTCACAGGCTCAGGCAAGTTCAGCAATCTGTCCAGGGTTACTCAGGTAATATAGTGGAAAATGAGATTCAGACCCAATTCTGTGCAGTTCTAAAGACCCGGCTCTCTCAGACCAGCTGACTAAGGCTCATCTAGGGAGGGCTTGATACTTGGAAGGTGCTGGTCAGCGCGGAAGCGAGGTTGGTGGGCGCCCGTGTCCTCGGGGCAGGGTCACAGGCATCTGCCCACAAGGGAGATGTTTCTAGCCGGGGTCACGGAGCCTCGGGATGTTCCTGAATGTGGGAGAAACAGTCCCTCACCCTGACCATCTCGGAGTCTGTGTCCACCAAGAGCCCTTGTGGTTGGGAAGAGACTTTGTTAATGGGAATGGGGTGTCTGGGTTGCTGGTTAGGTGCCTGTCCCCAGACAGGGGTGTCTTTTATTTTAACATTATATAACATTATGTGTTACATACTGTTAAATATATTGTATAATAACAGTATATATATACTGTTATATAACATAATAAGAGTATTATATATGTTATATAATATACAATGTATTATATTGTGTATATATGCAATAATGAATATAATAAAATGTTTTCTGTTTTTAGACTCGAAGTACTGAGGATTTCGAGAATATCTCTCAGGGTGATTTTAGGGGAATTTGTCAGTGCTTCTGAAAATAGGATTGAGAAGATGTGGTCCCGTCCCAGGCGTAACTACTGAGGGCGTCAGGAACCAGTAAGGGGATGATGGCAGCGGCGGGCGGTCCGAAGCGGCCTCTGCCAGGGCCCCCGCTGCGGTGGGGTGCGGGCGCGGGCCGTGGGTCCTCGGGTGCGGACGCCCAGGCGAAGGGTCCCCGGGGCCTGCCGCCCTGGAGCCCGCCCCTGGGAGCTGCTGCGGCTGGGCCGGGCGGGGTCAAGCCACCCGCCGGCGGGGGAACTGCACAGTTGGGCACGGAGGGACCCCGAGGCGGAGCTGGGCCCAGGGCTGTGCCGCACTTGTGCACAGAGTACCGGCAGGCACCAATCGCCCGGCGGTGGCCGCACTAAAGGGGCCCGGGGCTGAAAGCGGGAAGGGTGCCCACTTCCCGGACCTGGCCAGCCTCGCCCACCCTGCTGACGGCGCCAGGTTCCTGCGCCTCCTGAGCTGGAGATTCAGCTCGTCAGGGCACCTGAGGTTGCGTCTCCAGGATCCACCCTGCGTCTGGGTGACCGCCGAGCTAGGTGCTCCCGGCCGCCGGTTCCCGGGCCCGCAGTCCGCTCCCGAAAGCACCCCCCTGGCAGGGTCTCAAGCTGGACGAAGGGGAGCCCCAGGTCACCCTGAGCGCTGGGGCCGCAGTGGGAACTTGCGGCGATGTCACCCCTGCCCTGCATGTCAGCCCAGGCCTGGCGAAGGCCTGAGCCCCGCCCCAGGCTGCACAGCGCAGCAGGAGCGGCTGCGGGAGCAGCGGTGACGGCAGTGGGTCGCCTGTGCCCCATGTCCCCAAGGCAGCTGACTGTGCCATCCCCACTTTCGCAAGCCGGGGCAGGACCAGCTCCCAGGCCGGGAGCCTCGGCTGCTGCCTCGATCTGGCTCCCTGCGGTGACCTGGGAGCCCAGGAACACCTGGCCAAAGGCGCAGCCGGGACTCGCGGGACTGGCCAGCGTGGGATTCATTTGTGCGGGGTTGGTCTGGGCCACTGTGCCACCTGCACCTAGACTGCCTCAGCTGTGGGGAAAGGCAGAGAAGGGGCACTGGGGTGGGGGTAGGGGGTTGCTGCACTCTGCAGAGCCAGGGACAGGTGGGAGCCCTGCCCCTCCGGAATCTGCAGGGTGGGAGCTCCCCAGGCCAGCTGCAGCAGCCCAGGTTGTGGCTGTGGGCCTGGGCATCATGGTGCTCTCCTCTCTAGCCTGTCCTCTCCCACTTCCTGGCACCGCTCTGATCTTGGAGCCGGGTTAGGGTGAGCTTGGGGGTTGTTGCAGCTCCACAGGGTGTATGCTAGGGCAGTGCTGATGCCCTGACCCCCTGCTGCCTTCATACCCCCAGACTTTGGGTGCCAAGGAGCAGGGGAGGGAGGCTGAGATGGGCAGCTAGGCATTGGCCTGAGGCCTCCTTGGCACCAGTGGCCTAGGTGCCATGGGTGGCTGCAGGAGGTAGACAGGCTCCTAGGCAGGAAGAGGCAGGTGTGGGTGAGGCCCCACTTTCAGGACAGGGAAGGCCTGAAGGCTGGCAGCTGGGTTTCCAGTCCCACTGACCAGAGTGGGGACTAGTGGTGCCTTGTCTGGGCTTCCCATGGCTCTCCATGGGCCAACTGGCATGCACTTCCTTCCCTCTGAGCCCCATAATAGCTCAGGGCTCAGCCAGAGTAGAGGAGAGGATGGAGAGGCGAGGATGGAGAGACAACTAGATGACCAGCTACTCTTTGCAGAGCCTCCTCTTTGCTGAGAGCTGTAGATTGGGAGGACCAACTGCAGACCAGGAGCTACCCTCTGCTGAGAGGTGAGCACTTGTCCGGATGACCTGCCTACAGAGAAGAGCTACCCACTGCTGGTCTCTGAGGTCTGTGCTGTTCTAACACTTAATAAAGCTCCTCTTCCTATTGCTCACCCTCCACTTGTCTGCATACCTCATTCTTCCTGGATGCAAGACAAGGCCTCAGACAAAGGCGCCACTGACCACAGAGGTTTCCAGCCAGAAAAAGCAACACCCCACAGAAAAAGCAAAACCCCAAAGATCCTGTGACAGTGATATTTATCAAGATAGGGAGAGGGGGCTGGAGGAGGGGTCAAGAGCAATAAAAGGCAAAAAACACTGAGTGTTTATCTAATAAGGTAGATGTTATTTTTCCCATTTTACATATGAGGAAACTGAGATTTAGAGAAGTTACGTAACTTGGTTAGGGTTAAACAGCTAATATTAGGCAAAGCTGGGACCTAAACGTGGGATTTCAGAGGCCAGTGTCCAATCTTTCTTTATAATAGTGAGTGGCCTCTCAGAAAACATGGACTTGATTCTCACCAGAAACCCAACACCTCTTCCCTAAGTGCTTTCCCGGTTTTTCTCAAATCCGGAAACTGTTGGTCTTTTGGGCAATTCTGAGCACAGCCACTAAGTGGCGACATTGCCCGACTATGGCTCAGCCCTGTTTCTCCGGGGAAGAATAGGGGAGGGGAGGGGAGGGAGTCGGAGTTGCCCTGTTGTGTGTTGTGCTGTGTGTGGGGCTTTCTTCTATCTATTTAGTCCTCCCAGCAACCCTGCAGAGGAGGTATTATCTCATTTTCCAGATGAGGCCATTGAGGATCTGCTGGATGATAGAGCTTAGCGGTAGAAGCAGGAATGGAATCAACGTCCAGTTGGATTCCAAGTCCTGTCTCCAAGCATGCTGGGCTCCCAAAGGAAAAGCCTTTCTGTGCCCTCAGACTACACAGTCTTGTGGGGAAGTGGACAGTGGGGACCCCACGTGAGTTTTAGGCTGGGACAGCCTAGCAGTGAAGGAGGAGGCTGGGTGAGGAGTAACCAAGCCTTAGCTTTGGTGATTGATGGGAAGAATTGGGTTCTGAGGTGGAAATCAATTACAGTTACAATCTGCTGTGTGGATCCCCTAGAGTGCTGCTCTACTGGAGACCAACATTCCATCCCTCAGCAAGTTTCTCCTTCTGCTTGGGAAGAGGCTGTGTTTTCTTCCCGATGAAATGGTTGGCTGGTGTTGAGGGGCTGCAAGCTGACTTGTGAGCTGGTTTTGTGCATCTCCTCCCAACCCTATGTTCACAGTCATGATGTTGGTAGTTTGAAATTAGACAGAGTGGGAATATTTACACCATGGAAATTGGAAACACTAGAAACCAGGGCTTTTTCCTCCTGCAGAGCCAGTGGTTAAACTGCTACCTGCTGACCACTGCCCACCAGGTAGCAGGAGGCACACACCTGAGAGGCAGGTGAGCCCAGAGAGATGGACCAGGGGCGCCCATGGATTTGCGGCTCCCATATCATACTTACTTTGGGATCTGAGTAGAATTGCTGCACATTTAAATGGATATTTTTTCCCTCTCTTTCATTTTTTGTTGCCGAGGGCAAATAACTGCATTTGAGAAGTTCAACCTGCATCTGACGTGCTTCCCCTGGAAAGCAAGATGGCTAAGATTGTGCTGTCTGTGAAGCCACCTAGGGGCTCAGTGACAGCAGCAGATGGTGACTGGGCAGGAAGGAAAGTCTCTTCCAGTGCCAGGCTCAGGTGTGCTCAGTAAATATGTGTTTCTTGGCAAGCAGTGGGGCTGTCACCTGTAGCTTAGCTGGAAGCTGCTTGTCTTGTGCCTGCATATTCCTGATGCCCCCAGGATGTTTACAGGCAGGGTTGGGACTGGGGTGGGGCAGCACGACCCCCACTCTCAGATGCCTGCTCTGCGCCAGCATGAGTCTCAGGGTTTCGGGCTGAACTGTGTCCCTGCAGAATTCAACTGGGGATGGAAATTCTAACCCCCAGTACCTCTGAATGTGACTGTATTTGAGATGGGGCCTTTAAAGACATGAGGAAGGTAAACTGAAGTCAAATGGGTGGGTTCTAATCCAATACACCTGGTGTCCTTATAAGAACAGGAGATTGGGAGATTAGGCAGGTACACATGAAGACTAGGTTAAGATGCAGGGGGAAGACAGCTGTATGCTAGCCAAAGAGAGAGGCCTCAGAGGAACCCACACTGCCAGCACCTTAACCTTGTTCTTCTAGCTTCCAGAAGTGTGAGAAAATAAATTTATGTTGTTTAAGCTTCCCGGTGTGTGTTCTTTGCCATGGCAGCCAGAGCTGAGCTGACTAATATACTGAGAGTGAGGGCCTCCCCGCCTCACCTCTTCATGGGGCCTGGTCTTGCATCAGCAGGGGGTGGGCAGAACCAGAGTACCTGGTTACATCACAGATGATTGACGACTTGCTAAGAGTGCTGGGAGAACCCAGAGCACCTAATTCACCTGGGACAGGTCAGGGCTGGCTCCCCAGGGCTACCTGAGCTGCATGTGGAAGGGGCAGCAATTTGACAGGGGATGGCAGGGAAGGGTCTTACTCAGGGAATGGGTGCAGGTGGGCAGGCTGGAGGCTGACTGGTGTCCTTCTGAGGTCTGTAAGGGATGGGGCTGATCCCCATAAATGGGGAGTTGTTTTCCTAATGAATGGCTCCTGCTGGGCTCTCCCTCTCCTCTGTGCCCTATTGAGAGGGCCCTCAAAAGTCTATCGGCACATTCAGGGGGCCGCAGGTGAGATCGCAGAGACCACAGGTTTCCTTGCGGGGTGGAGCAGCTGTGGCCTGTGCCTGGTGATTTGGAGGTTGTGTTGGATGATGTGGTCTATCCTTCCCTGCAGGACAGAAGAGAGATGCTGGGAACCAAGAACCCAGAGGGAACTGTCATAATAAAGGAAGGCCTGTGGAAAGGCGCCTGTCTGCTGTGGTTTGGTGTGAATGTCACTGACACACTGAGGCCAGGCAGGAGCCCTGGCTGGGAGCTGGGCCTTAGCACAGGCCTGAGCCTTATTTCTCAGGCTGCGAGAACAGCTGAGGCTTCTCAGACCAGCATGTGTGCAGGGCTGGGCTGGACACGAGGCAGTGCAGGCCTGTTTGTGACTCACAGAGTGCAGAGGGAGGTGACTGCAGTGGGTCCAGAGCCGCCTTGGGGCCCAGAGGCTCCAGAGATGCAGCCACAGGCCTTGGTTCCTCTGCCTGGGGGTGGTGTGAGGGAGGTGAGATGCTGCCTGGGACAGGCCTGGCCTCCCTCTCCCTTGGTGTGGCTCCTCAAGGTCTGAAGCTGTCCTAGTGTGGGAGACTCACTTCACTGAGAGGGGACTTGAATTTGGAAAGACCATTGGTTTGGGAGGCCAGGGACCTGGTCCCTGGCCTGGCTCTGCCAGTTACTCACTTTCTACACCTTGGGTTTACCAGTTCATCTCTTTGGAACCTCAGTTTCCTCATCTGTAAAATGAGAAGGTGATCATAATGATGCCCATGTGCCCCTCACAGGTGATGTGCCCCAATGTGTCCATGGGTCAGACTCCTCCCAGCCTCACCCCGTGGAACTTAGTTTGCCCCTCACAGGTGATGTGCCCCAATGTGTCCATGGGTCAGACTCCTCCCAGCCTCACCCCGTGGAACTTAGTTCAGGGAAAGCTCCTGTCTCATTGCCATGGGCACAGGGGCCCAGTTCAGTGACCTGAGTACAGGACGACCTTCCATCACCCACCTTTGAGATCCCCTCCCCATCAGAATAGTCTCAGGCTACCCACCTTCGCAAAATAGAGACGGTCTCCAATTGTCTCATACAAAACAGTGAGGCTTTGTCTTTTGATATTATATGAAATAAATAAGACATACTAGCAGATCATATTACAATTTTTAAAAAAACCCTACAAGCAAAAGACCTAAAAAGTTCAATGAAGTGTGATCCATCCATGGGTCCTCTGTGAGTCTCCTGAGACTGTGCATATGTGGAGTATTTTACCTCTGCTCAGTCAGTATTGTTGAGTTGAGATGAAGGTTACCCGATGGAGTGTTCCCGTCTCCTCTGCTGCTCGGCCTCATCCTGATCCCTTGTGGTGGTTGGTGTATGTAAGGTGCAGCTCTGAGCCCTGGCCACAGAGGAAGGTCACCACCTCCTTGAGAATGGGGTCTGTTCCAACGTTCTGGAGCCCTTCTCTTGAGGGGCCAGAATTGTTCTGGCTCTTCTGGTCAACCTCAGGCCACGGGCTTGGAAATGTCGTGTTAGGTCTGGAGAATGGAGACAGAGAGCATGGGGTAGGGGAGGAAAGAGGTGGCCCAAATAGACTCAGTGTAACCCCACAGCTGAAGCCCATGACAGACGCAGGCCCTGGGTGTGCTCCCAGCAGGGGACGTTCTTCAGTGTTTGTTTGTTAATGATGAATATTTCCTGCCTTTGGGTCACTTCCCCACTTATTTCCACCCTTTTGAACTCTTGCGCTGCGTTTCCAACCATTGGTGGTCTCAAAGGCACCTCACACCCAGGCCCCTTAGACTAACCATGCCCTTTCTCCCTAGAATTGTTAAAGGCTGAGCACCCTCTCATCTTGATAGCTGAATGTCCTTCTTGCCTTTACCCTCATAACCAATCCTCTGCCGGGTGATCCTGCTGCAGCAACATCTCATTCTCTATCCCCTCACCTCTACCTCCATTGCTGCCCTCACTTAGTCCCTCATCTCTTGCCTGGATTGTTACAGTGTCTCCTGTCTGATCCTATGGCTCAAGCATCTCCCAAAAAGCCAGGCTGCACTGAACAAGCCACCTAAAGCATCCTCTGATCCTGCCTCACCCCTGTTCAAACAAAGTAAGCGATTTCCAGTTATCCACAGAATGTATTCTAGATGTCTCAGCCTGGCATTTAGCAACATTTACAGCCTTGCTACTCAGAGTGTGGTCCTCACACCAACTGCATTGGCGTCATCCAGGACCTTATAGTAAATGCAGAATCTTAGCCCCCCTCCGAATGACTAAATCAGAATTGCAGTTTTTAGAAAATTGCCAAGTGAATTGTATACACATTCAAATTTGACAAGTGCTGCCTTACAGTCTGATTTCTTCTTTTTAAATATGTACATATGTAATCATATATATATGTATGTATACATACACACACACACACACACACACACACAAAGTCATACATGTATGTGGTTTTTAAAAACATACTGAAAATTCTCAGTCTCCTGCTGGTCCCAGTTTCTCTCCCCAGAGGCAACTGCTTCTGTTATTATTTCTGCCTTCAGTTTTTCTATGATTACTGCTCTGTTTCTAGGTAATACTTTTAAGGCTGTTTCTGGAGTTTTCAATCTGGAATATCATCCAATGCCTTCCTGCTATTCCAGGAGGCACTTAGCTCAATCTCATTACCCCCACACCCCTTCTACTCAGCTCTGGAAGTGGAATTGTTCCTGACTCTGCCAGTTTTTCTCACCTGTCTGGTGATCTTTCGTCATCCTCTTATATCTAAATAGAGCCAGGTTGTTCTGTCAGGCTCCACTTTAGGGGGCAGGGCAGGGAGCTGGCGATTATGCTGGGGATCCTCTAAATGTCAGAATGAAGTGTTGATTCTAAATCCTGGCTATTGTGAATAGCGCTGCCGCAAACATGGGAATTGCAGATATCTCTCAACATACTGATTTCATATCATCTGGGTATGTACCCAGAAGTGGGATTGTTGGATCATATGGTAGTTCTGCTTTTCATTTTTCTGAGGAATCTGCATACTGTTCTCCATAGTGGCTGTACTAATTGACATTTCCACCAACAGTGTAGAAGAGATGGATGCCCCAATTACACGAATGTAATTATTACACATTGTATGCCTGTATCAAAATATCACATGTATCTCATAAATATATACACTTATTGTGTACTCATAGTAATTAAAAAGAAAAAAAATTTAAACAATGAGGGGGGCTTTCCTGAGTCTCCATTACCCACACCAGCTGCCCGAGTTCTCTCCACTGTATATTCAGGGATTTTTTCCTTTTTGTGTTTAAAGAGCTCTCCGTTGTTTGTGTCTGAGGAGGAAATGCCTGACTTCTGGAAGGTCGGTGTCTGGAGCTGGTGGTGGGTGGGGGTTTACTACATCATACATGGACCTCCCACAAAGCTCCCTGTCTCAGCCCCACTTCTCACCCAACCCTGCATCCCACCTGGCCTCTCTGAGCTCAGAATCCCTGCGGGTTCCTCTGGGCGGACAGCTCCAATCCCTGCTGCACCCCTATTTGTGTATTCTAAGTCAGTGATTCTCAAACTTAGCTGTGCATTGAGCACACTGGGCTCCCCTGGGTCCTTAAAGGAAAACTGTTCCCTGGGCACCACCCCAGAGATTCCGATGTGGTTGGTCCAGAGTCTGGCACTATCTTTCCAAGCCACCTCTTCCATCTCTCTCTGAGATTCCGGGCCTCTCTGGTCTGCTCATTAGCTGCCAACCAGTCTCACCTTCATGTTGTTATTTAAAAACTAAAACAACATACATGTACTATATTATTTTTAAGGAGCTTGAGGAAGGATGAGAGACACATGCATGTGCTTAGAATTAAGCCTGGTAGGTTGTGGAGCTCAAGAAAGGTTTCCTTCCCTTTCCACCACTCACCTCCACACTGCAGCTGACCCTTAATCTTGTATCTGCAGACCTCATGCTTTCCCATAGTCAAGGGCCATACCTCTCTATTCTTCGGTAGTGTGTTGGGCTGGGCTGCGACTTCCTAAAAGTCCTCCATCCAAGGCTTATTTTTCTCAGGACCTCCAGGACCCTGGGAAATTATCTCTATTCCTTGACCATCCGGATATAGGTTCTGCCTGACCATGGGTGTTCCCTAACAGGGATTAAGTGGGTCACAGGTCAGAGGTCAGAAGTCTGGCTGATCACTGAAGGGTTCACCTTTCATACTTTGATGTCTGAATGAGTCACTATTTATACCTGTGGGGGAAGCTGTGGGAGCAGGTCATGCTGCCTTGTTGTCTTCGTGGGATGAGACGGGAAGACCTGGGGCTCTGGTCTCAGCTCCACATTAAGGAAGGATATCTGAGGACCCTAGGGTAAAGGGTGGCATGGGGAAGATCTTACCAAGTCCCCTCATTGCCCCAGTGTCTTCACGGTCTAGGCATACCCCGGAGCTCTGGGCTTGTCCAGATCTTTTCATACACAGTGTGGACTGCTGGAGCCAGCATGGGGCTCTGTGCATGGCAGCTTCTCTTCTCCATGTCATTCTACAATTCTGGTGGGGTTGAGTTGTGGGCTTGGTCAGCTTCTAAGAATTATGCAAAGGAGCCAGTCAGGCTCTTCTGTACTGTAAGTTCCTTGAGGGCAGGGGCTTGTTTTATTTTTCACTCCCCTGCTGCCATCCCCAGCACATGGTAGGCACTCAGTGCAAATATGTGGGTTGAGTGCTGAGTGGGGGAGTGACTAAAGAAATGATGAAGTAGAGACTGTTCAGAAGACAGCCCCCAAGTGAGCAGGAGGAGCTCAGGAGAGCACTGTGGAACATTCATGTGCAGATTGGTGACTATAACTCCTTTTTCAAACCAGGTGTTCCTGCTGTGTAGTCCTGGGAAGGGAAGAAGGTTGATATTTTATGAAACCAGGGCCTGAGGATGCAGCTCCTTTGTAAAAGCTCCCTCTCCCTAACCCACCCTGTATAGTCTCTTCTATGGGTGAGCCCTTAGGCTCACAGGGAAGCATGATAAATGGCAGTAGTGACCACAGGTGTTCATCCTTCTCATAGGAAGCTGACCGTGGATTATGTACTCAGAGGTGGTAATCATCTGCAGAAAGGGGATGTCTGGCATGCAGAAAAAAACAATAGACATCCATCAGCCTGCATGGGCCATGCATGTCCAGCCCATCCAGGGAGGGAATCTGTGTCTGGGGAGACAAGCACTCCAGGGCTGGGGGGTGTCCTGAGGGTTTATCAGGCCTCACTCCTCAAGTCCTCCTCCCCTTCTTGGATTTTGATGAGCAATCCAGCCTCCCAGGCTCCTTGATGCTGGAAACAGGGTGTCCAAGTGCCAGTCCCACATTTATGTCTCGGACAATGTGGCCATCTCCAAATATTGGCCCAACTTCTGGACTTGCAGGTTTGAAGACTGTAACAAGGATATGGTTGTTCACTGAGGTGGGGACCTTCTGATTGCACCACATGAATAGCCTTAGTGCTCCTCAGTTCCATTACTTTCCTGAGTCTTCCCAGTCTTGCCTCTACCCCATTCTCTGCCATCCCATTTCCATCACTCTTCCTGGGAGATCACACCTCTCTAAGGACAGATGCTTTCTAGTTCAAAGTTTGCATTCTGGTCTGCAGGGTTGCTCACTATACAGGTGAGGTGACCATTCAGCTGGGTCAGAGGAAGGCTCATGTTTAGCTTCCTGGAGTTGGGGGCTGGCACCAGTGTCCCTCTCTGCTCCAGCTTCCTTGGGAGGACCTTGCTCAGCCAGGTCACAGTTAGGTTCTCTGTGGCCCCTGGAGTCCCACACTCCAGGCTGATATTGTATCAACCTGATGTATTGGATGATGAATTAATCAGAATTTGAGGATTAGGTATGGGTTCTGGGGCAAGAAAGGAAAAAGAGAAATGGAGCTTCAGGATTGGAGGCTCACCTGAGTATCTCACCCACTCTCACCTATGTGAAGCAGCAATGTGAGGCTGCCCATTCTCTGAACATAGGCCTGGGGAAGGAACCAATCCTCCTGGCCCAGGGGTTCTGACTCTTAGCCCAGGGGCAGATGGTTGAGGCCCTTCCCACTCAGAGAGGGAACCCGGAGCACCTCACCACTCATCTACTCTAAGGAGCAAGGTGAGCATCACTTCCTGGACTTTCCCCAGGCTGCCCTGGCCCCTCATCACACCTCCCATGCCTCCTTGGCTATTCAAATTTCCCTGCTCAGAGATTTTCCACGACCTCTGTGGGAGATTTGAACCTAGAATGCATACCCCTCCTAGCAAGCGTTAGACTAAAAGGGTAAAACAAAGACACTTTAAAACATACTAATAATTACAAAGTTAATCACCTGTCTAAAGGAAACTCAAAGATGTTCAGGGAAAAAAATTTTAATGAATTCAAGAACAAGGAAGAAACGAGATATAGCAATGATCAAAGAAATAAGTGAAACTCATGGTTCAATACAGATAATTAATATATATGATTATCTATATCTATATATCTACCTATAGCTATATCTATATATGCAGTGACCACAATATGGATGGGTTGAAAACACAGTCTGAAAACATGTCAAAGTTCTTGTTTTGTTCAGAGAAAGAAAAAAACTGATTATCTTTAAATGCTAAAGTAAAAATTTAAGTTTAGTTAACTAGTAGGATAAAAGTATAAGATTGTATAACTTCTAAACTGCTGGAGAAGTTTAGATAGAAGAAAACTCTATTAATATAACAAAAGGCAAGAAAAAATTAAGTATATTAAATAGAAAACATTAAATAAGATGCCAGGAGTAGGTCCACACGTGAAACATTGAACTACATTACCCAAAGGATTATAAATTGTGCTGCTATAAAGACACATGCACATGTATGTTTATTGCGGCACTATTCACAATAGCAAAGACTTGGAACCAACCCAAATGTCCAACAATGATAGACTGGATTAAGAAAATGTGACATATATACACCATGGAATACTATGCAGCCATAAAAAATGATGAGTTCATGTCCTTTGTAGGGACATGGATGAAGCTGGAAACCATCATTCTCAGCAAACTATCGAAAGGAAAAGAAACCAAACACCGCATGTTCTCACTCATAGGTGGGAATTGAACAATGAGAACACATGGACACAGGAAGGGGAACATAACACATTGGGGACTGTTGTGGGGTGGGGGGAGGGGGGAGGGATAGCATTAGGAGATATACTTAATGCTAAATGATGAGTTAATGGGTGCAGCACACCAACATGGCACATGTGTACATATGTAACAAACCTGCACATTGTGCACATGTACCCTAAAACTTAAAGTATAATTAATAATAATTAAAAAAAAGAAATGGAAATACATTTGAATGCATTATATTTCCCTACTAAAAGGCCAAGACTTGCAGATTAGATAAACCCAGTGTGTGCCATATGCATTATCTGATGACAAAGAATGATTCAAAAGAAAGAGATAGAAAATGATAGACTAGAAAAATGTCAGCAAAGATTGTAAGTGTGGCACTAGTCACTACAGACTAAACAAAATTTGGGATTAAAAAAACATTAAGTGGGCCAAAAAGAAATAGTTGAGCTTAATATGTACCTAACAACATGGTTTGGAAATGTATTTAATATAAATGTCACAAAGCAAAACAAAACAGAGACAAACAAACAAAAAAGCTACTGGAAATACAATGATAAATGACCAAATCCACTACTACTATGGTGAATTATTTTACTATGTTGGATAGACCTAAGTAAACTATAGAGGAGGCTGTAATACAAGTAAAAACAGACATTAATAACCAGGTGACCCATCTGCTAGGTAGCTCTCTCCACACTCATGTCCAGTCCTCGCTCTGTCCTTGTATTTATCTATGGTGGAGTCTGGAAGGTTAAATCCTCAGTTTCTCAGTCTTTCTTGAAGTTGGAGTTCTGACCAATGAAGTAAGGGGAATGGCCATCTTGGGACTCCGAGGCCACAAGCATGAGGATAAGCGTAGGTGTGCCCAGGACGGTAGAGCAGCAAGATGGAGAGAGCTTGCGTCCCTGACCACAGGGCTGAGCAGCTCAGCCAACGCCAGCAGATGCTCTCTCTCGACTTCTTGTGGGGAAAAAAGAGTCAAACATATTCCTCACATATACACATAGATAATAATAAAAAAGAAGTATTCAATCAGCAAAATGAAAAGTTGATTTCTTAAAAAAGACTAATGAAAAGAAAAAATATTGATACATCTGACTAAAAAATCAAAATCATAAGCAAACGACATTAGGAATGAGAATTGGGACATAACCACACATATAGAAAAGATATTACAAGTAAGAAAACAGGCCGGGTGCAGTGGCTCATACCTGCAATTCCAGCACTTTAGGAGGCCATGGCAGGAGAATTACTTAAGATTAGGAATTTGAGGCCAGTCTGGGCAACATAGTGAGACCTTGTCTCTACTAAATAAATAAATAAATAAATAAATAAATTAAATTAAATAAAAATTAGCTGGGCATGGTGGTGTGCGCCTGTAGTCTCAGCTACTCTGGAGGCTGAGGCCAAATCACTTGAGCTATGGCTGGGTTTGGATCAGCACTCAGGGATCCAGGGCCCTGGTCAGCCTCTGGCTTCCATTAACCTCTGCTCTGAGATGGTTCTCACAGTTCAAAGCACCACATTCTCACACAGCCACATTCAGAGGCAGAAGTCTGAGGGCAGCGTGGGGCCAGATTTTCTCTCCACCCTCTGCTTTGGTTTTAACTGTCCCACAAATTTCATGTGTTGAAACTTAATCCCCAATGTGGCAGTATTAAAAGGTGGAACCCTTAATAGGTGATTGGGTCATAAGAACTCTGCCCTCATGAATGGATTAGTTCTTTCATGGATCAGTGGATTAAGGGGTATTAAAGTAAGTTTAGCCTAAAGCTTTCTCCTTACATATTATAGGTTCGGCTGAAAGGTTTCTCCACACATGGTGAAATGTAACCTAGCTGGCTGTGTAAACAAACTATAACCTACTCTTGTACCAATCACAGAGTTTTGGCCAATCACAGACGGTCAACTCCTCAAACTGTGTTCATACAAGTAGGCATTAAGCTGCTTTTTTGAACATGATAGGTTACGGCTTAAACAATCCAGCTGTTTCTGTACCTCCCTGTCTATCACTTTCCTTTTTTGGTCCATAAATATTATCCGATCATCTGGCAGCCCCCGAGCAGCTCTGAACCTATTCTGGTTCTGGGGACTATCTAATTGTCAATGGTTCTTTGCTCAGTTAAATTCTGTTAAATGTAATTTGTCTAAAGTTTTCTTTTATGATGGGTTAATGGATTAATGGATGATCATGGGAGTGGAACTGATGGCTTTATATGAGGAAGAGAGACCTGAGTAAGTACACTAGTAGCTCACACTCAGGCCCCTTAGACTAAGGCTCCCCTTCCTTCCTAGGGTATCTAAAGCCCCAGCACCCTCCCAGCTTCATAGCTGGATGTCCTTCTTGTCTTTACCCTCATAGCAAATCCTTCGCCAAGTGATGCTGCTGCCCCAAGATTCGGCATGTGATAGCCTGTGCCACCTCAGGGCACGACACAAGATCCCCACCAGCAAGAAAGCTCTCACCCAGTGTGCCCCCTTGACCTTGGACTTCCAAGCCTCCATAACTGTAAGAAGATAAATTTCTCTTCTCTACAAATTACCTAGTTTCAGGTATTATGTTAAGAGCAACATCCTGATAAGAGGAAGAAGGGTATCTTAGTCCATTTTCTGTTGCTTTTAACACTATGGACTGATGAGGGAGATCAAATATATGGGTAACTAGTGTCCCCAAAAAAGAGATAAAAATATGGAGAGGAGAAAATATAGTAATCAATACCATCAATTTCTTCCCCCAGTGGCATTCTCCTTCTTACTGATAGAACCCTTACTGGTTCAGGTGTCAAGAAGAGATACCTGGTATCAGGGATGAGGTGGGCATGTGACACTAGTCCGGCCCACCTATTTCTTACAAAAGTTTGTAAGAAAAAGTTTACTCAGGGCTGCTTTGAGTGCTTGCAAATGCCAGCACCAGTCTAAGTACTGTCAGTGTATTAACTCATTGTCTTGTTCAACAACACTATGCTGGAAGGCATTCTAGTTACTTCCATTTTCATAGATAAAGACACTGAGGCACTAGGAGGCTAAGTGCCTGTTCAAGAGTCTGCACAGCCAGAAAGTGGAGTTAGGATTGTAACACAGACAGCTTGGCCTCAAAGCCAAATTTCTCATCCATTAAGCTGTAAGGCTCACATCAATTTGCCCAAAGGTCAATTCATCTAAAACCAATTTGCTGAAAGACAGTTTACCAGAGAATCCATTTCATGAATGAGCAAATCACTGAATGACCAATTTGCTAAATTTATAAAATATTTATTTCTATCAATAATTGATAAAGTTTAGAATGATTTGAATCAGATACGTTATAAGACCTTTGGGAAGAAAATGTTCTGGCTTCAGACTTCTTCTCTGGCTGTCATTCACCCCACCTCCTCCCTGTTGGTCTCCTCCTCCCTCTGCCCCTCAGTCCCCCGCTTTCAGGAATCAGCAACTCTAGCTTCTTATGAACTGACTTGTCTTTCTTTCTCTTAGCAGGGAGCTGGGTAGAGAAAAATCAAAGTGCTTAAGGTGCTCTTAGGAAGAAACAATGGAAACCTGTCAACTGGAATGACACAGAAATCTTTAAAAGCTGTTTAAACTATTCTGTACAATAAGAATTTCTTTAAGCTTTATTCATAGTTAAAAGACAGGATTTTTGGGTAAATGGATAGCTTTGATAATTTTGATGACTTGATCATTTTCTGACTTGGTGCCTGGCAAATTGGCCCACTTCTGTCCTACAGCACCTCTGAAAAAGGCATGTCAAATCCAAAAGTCCCTGCTCCATAGCTGTGAGGAACATATCTGACTTTCAAGCAGAGGTATGGGATTCTATTTTTGTGGTAACCACTTGCAATAGTTGATAGCAGTAACTCAGTAAATACTCACTATGGTAGCAAACACCTAGGGAATAACTTTTTTGTTCTATGATTCTACTAATAAGTAGATAATATGCATTGATTGGAGATTTCAATAATGCTGAAAGGTTAATTTTTTTCAGGTTAAAAAAAAACAATTTTACAGATCTATTAGTTGTTACCTGGCAGCCTTTTGGTTAAGAATAAGGTTAACTGTCTTGAACTGGTAAACAAAGGCTTTAAATTAATCAAGTGTTGTACAATAGATGTATGTGAATTACCATTCTTTGTATTAAAGGTTTTTTTTAAAAAGTTATAGAACCTGATGTGAAGCCCATTTTTCATCTTAATCTCAAATCAATTACTTAGTTTTAGCAGAACAAAAACACTCATCACATTACCTTACATTTGTAGGTTTGAATATTAGTTTAAATAATCATTGCTTCCTTGTTTTATTGTTTTGTTTTTATTTATATTACATACATTTTTTTGGTTTATAATATAAAACCTATAGGCACAAGACATTTATACAGTGTTATGTTTGTAGATCTTTAAGTAACATTTTAATAAAAATAATTAAAATCAACACAGTAATAAAAACTCTTTAAAAGAACGATTTTTACTATAGTAAATTTTTATTGAATTATTACAAGAAGTAAGGAAAAAATAAATCCTTAATAAATAAATCCTTAACAAACAAAACACAAATACCCAACTGACAAAGTAAAGCATAAAAACTACAGGAGAATGCCATTTACAAGTAATGATGCAAAATTCACAAATAAAAATATTATCCAACAATAGCACATTAAAGGAATAATACATCAACTGAGGTGTATCCCAATAATGTAGGAAATGTTCAATAATAGGAAATTAATGTATTATTAATACACAAAAAGAAAAAAATATGATACATTTGCAAATGCAGAAAGGGAGAGGATAACATATGACATTTTGTTTTTGATAAGACTTTTGATAAAATTAGAATAGTTACATACTTTCTTTTTTAAGTTCCAGGGTACGTGTGGACATGCAGGTTAGTGTCATAGGTAAATGTGTGCCATGGTGGTTTGCTGTATCTATCAACCCATCCATCACCTAGGTATTAAGCCCAGCATGCATTAGCTATTTTTGCTAATGTTCTTCCTCCCCCTACACCATTCCCCAACAGGTTTCAATTTTCTGCAGAACGTAGCCAGTTCTCCCAGCACCATTTATTAAATAGGGAATCCTTTCCCCATTGCTTGTTTTTGTCAGATTTGTCAAAGATTAGATGGTTGTAGATATGTGGTCTTATTTATCAGTTCTCTATTCTGTTGCATTTGTCTACGTGTCGGTTTTTGTACCAGTACCATGCTGTTTTGGTTATTGCAGCCTTGTAGTATAGTTTGAAGTCTGGTAGTGTGATGCCTCCAGTTTTGTTCTTTTTGCTTAGAATTGTCTTGGTTATATGAGCCTTTTTTGGCTCCATGTAAATTTTAAAATTGTTTCTTCTAGTTCTGTAAAGAATGTCAATGATAGTTTAATGGGAATAGCATTTAATTGATAAATTACTTTGGGCAGTATGGCCATTTTCATGATATTGATTCTTCCTATCTATGAGCATGGAATGTTTTTCCATTTGTTTGTGTCAGCCTCGATTTCCTTGAGCAGTGGTTTGTAGTTCTCCTTGAGGAGGTCGTTCACCTCCCTTGTTAGCTGTATTCCTAGGTATTTTATTCTTTTTGTACCAATTGTTAATGGGAGTTCACTTATGATTTGGCTCTCTGCTTACCTGTTGTTGGTGTATAGGAATGCTTGTGACTTTTGGACATTGATTTGTATCCTGAGACTTTGCTGAAGTTGCTTATCAGCTTAAGAAGCTTTTGGGTTGAGACAATGGGGTTTTCTAGATATAGGATCATGTCACCTGCAAACAAAGACAATTTGACTTTCTCTCTTCCTATTTGAATACACTTTATTTCTTTCTCTTGCCTGATTGCCCTGGCCAGAACATCCAATACTATGTTGAATAGGAGTGGTGAGAGAGAGCATCCTTGTCTTGTGCATTCCCTTTTAAAAAGGGAAGGCTTCCAGGTTTTGCCCATTTAGTATGATATTGGTTGTGGGTTTGTCATAAATGGCTCTTATTATTTTGATGTATGTTCCTTTAATACCTAGTTTATTGAGAGTTTTTAACATAAAGTGATGTTGAATTGTATCAACAGCCTTTTCTGCATCTATTGAGATAGTCTTGTGGTTCTTGTCTTTAGATATGTTTATGTGATGAATAATATTTATTGATTTGCATATGCTGAACCAGCCTTGCATCCCAGGGATGAAGCCAACTTGATCGTGGTAAATAAGCTTTTTGACTTGCTGCTGGATTCGGTTTGCCAGTATTTTATTGAGAATTTTTGCACCCATGTTCATCAGGGATATTGGCCTGAAGTTTTCTTTTTTGTTGTATCTCTGCCAGATTTTGGTATCAGGATGATGCTGGCCTCATAGAATGAGTTAGGGAGGAGGCCCTCCTTTTCAATTGTTTGGAATAGTTTCAGAAGAAAGGGTATCAGCTTCTCTTTGTATTTCTGGTAGAATTCAGCTATAAATCCATCTGGTCCCGGGTTTTTTTTTGGTTGGTAGGCTATTTATTACTGCCTCAATTTCAGAAATTGTTATTCGTCTACTCAGGGATTCAACTTCTTTCTATTTTAGTCTTGGGAGGGTGTATGCATTCAGGAATTTATCCATTTCTTCTAGGTTTTCTGGTTTATTTACATACAGATGTTTATAGTATTCTCTGATGGTTGATTGTATTTCTGCGGGGTCAGTGGTGATATTCTCTTTATCATTTTTTATTGTGTCTATTTGATTCTTCTCTCTTTTTTATTCATCTAGCTAGCTGTATATCTATTTTATTAATTTTTTCAAAAAAACAGCTCCTGGATTCATTGATTTTTTTGAAGGGTTTTTTGTGTCTCTATCTCCTTCAGTTCTGTTCTAAGCTTGGTTGTTTCTAATCTCCTGCTAGCTTTGGGGTTTGTTTGCTTTTAGTTATCTAGTTCTTTTAGTTGTGATGTTAACGTGTCAACTTGAGCTCTTCCTAGCTTTTTGATGTGGGCATTTAGTGCTATAAATTTCCCTCTTAACTCTGCTTTAGCTGCATCCCAGAGATTCTGATACATTGTCTCTTTGTTCTCATTGGTTTCAAAGAACTTCTTGATCCCTGCCTTAATTTCATTATTTATACAGGAGTCATCCAGGAGCAGGTTGCTCAATTTCCATGTAGTTGTGTGGTTTTGAGTGAGTTTCTTAAATTTGAGTTCTAATTTGATTGTGCTGTGGTCCGAGAGACTGTCTGTTATGATTTCATTTCCTTTGCATTAGCTGATTAGTGATTTACGTCCAATTATGTGATCAGTTTTAGAGTAAGTGCCATGTGGCACTGAGAAGAATGCATATTTTGTTGTTTTGGGGTGGAGAGTTCTGTAGATATCTATCAGGTCTACTTGATCCAGAGCTGAGTTCAATTCCTGAATATCTTTGCTAATTTTCTGTCTTGATGATCTGTCTAATATTGACAGTGGGGTGTTAAAATCTCTTACTATTATTGTGTGGGAGTCTAAGTCTCTTTGTAGGTCTCTAAGAACTTGTTTTATGAATCTGGGTGCTCCTTTATTGGGTGAATATATATTTAGGATAGTTAGCTCTTCTTGTTGAATTAACCCCTTTACCATTATGTAATGCTCTTCTTTGTCTTTTTTTGATCTTTCTTGGTTTAATGTCCATTTTTTTCAGAAACTAGGATTGCAACCCCTGCTTTTTTTCGTTTTTCATTTGCTTGGTAAATTTTCCTCCACCCTTTCATTTTGAGTCTATGTGTGTCTTTGCATGTGGAATTAGTCTCTTGAATACAGCACACTGATGGATCGTTACTCTTTATCCTGATTGCCATTTGTGGTCTTTTAATTGGGGCATTTAGCCCATTTACATTTAAAGTTGATAATGTTATGTGTGAATTTGATCCTGTCATCATGATGCTAGCTGGTTATTTTGCAGGCTAGTTTATGTGGTTGCTTCATAGTGTCACTGGTCTGTGTACTTCAGTGTGTTTTTGTAGTGGCTGGTAATGGTTTTTCCTTTCCAAATTTAGTGCTTCCTTCAGGAGCTCTTGCAAGGCAGGTCTAGTGGTGATGAATTCTCTCAGCATTTGCTTGTCTGAAAAAGATTTTATTTCTCCTTCACTTATGAAACTTAGTTTAGCTTGATATGAAATTCTAGGTTGAAAATTCTTTTTTTTTTTTTTAAAGAATATTGAATATTGGTCCCCAATCTCTTCTGGCTTGTAGAGTTTCCACTGAGAGGTTTGCTGTTAGTCTGATGGGCTTCCTTTTATAAGTGGCCTGGCCTTTCTCTCTGGCTGCCCTTAACATTTTTTCCTTCATTTCGACCTTGGAGAATCTGATGATTATGTTTCTTGGAGTTGATCTTCTTGTGGAGTATCTTACTGGGGTTCTCTGAATTTTCTGAATTTGAATGTTGGCCTGTCTTGCTAGGTTGGGACAGTTCTCCTGGATGATATCCTAAAATGTGTTTTCCAACTTGGTTCCATTCTCTACTTCTCTGTCAAGTATCCCTATCAGATGTAGGTTTGATTTTTTAACATAATCCCATAGTTCTCAGAGATTCTGTTCATTCCTTTTCATTCTTTTTTCTCTAATTTTGTCTGCCTGCCTTATTTCAGTAAGACAATCTTCAAGCTCTGATATCCTTTCTTCTGCATGGTGTATTTGGCTATTGATACTTGTGTTTGCATGGTGAATTTCTTGTGTTGTGTTTTTCAGCTCTATCAGGCCATTTATGTTCCTCTCTAAACTGGTTATTCTGGTTAACAGCTCCTGTAGTGTTTTATCATGGTTCTTAGTTTCTTTGCAATGAATTAGAACATACTTCTTTAGCTCAGAAGTTCATTACTATCCATCTTCTAAAACCTACTTCTGTCAATTCATCCATCTCATCCTCAGCCCTGTTCTGTGCCCTTGCTGGAGATGTGTTGTGATCATTTGGAGGAGAAGAGACACTCTGGCTTTTTAAAATTTCAGTATTATTGCATTGATTCTTTTCTCATCTTCATGGGTTTATCTACCTTTGATCTTTGAGGCTGCTAACCTTTGGAAGGGGTTTTTGTGGGGTCTTTTTTGTTGATGTTGTTATTGCTGTTGCTTTCTGTTTATTTTTCTTTTAGCAGTCAGGCCCCTCTTCTGTAGGGCTGCTGCAGTTTGCTGGGGGTCTAGTTCAGACGCTATTCACCTGGGTCCCTCCCACCTATGGAGGTATCACCAGAAGAGCCTGCAGACTAACAAAGATGGCTGCCTGCTCCTTCCTCTGTGTTACAGAGGGGCACAGAACTGATGCCGGCTGGAGTGCTCCTGTGTGAGGTGTCTGGAGAATCCTGTTGGGAGGTCTCACCCAGTCAGTAGGAGTAGGATCAGAGACTCACTTAAATAAGCAGTCTGACTGCCCCTTGGTGGAGTGGGTGTGCTGCACTGGGAGGAATCCCCCTCATCCAGGCTGCCCTGACTCTCCAGAGCCAGCAGGCAGAAAAGACTAAGACCACTGATCCGTTATACCACAGCCATTCCTTCTAGGGGCTCCTCTCAGGGATATCACAGTTGTGTTCATAAACCCCTGGCTGGGGATGCAGAAACTCCCACACGGAAGCCCTGCCCAGTGAGGAGAAGTGGATTAGGGTCCTTCCTAAAGAAGTAGTCTGGCCAGGAGCTGACCCAGTTGCTGTGCTGCACCGTGGGGAATTGCTCCCAGTTCAAACCACCCAGTCTCACTTGCACCGGTGGCAGGGGAAAATGGCTGACTGGAGCCTTAGTGATGGGAGCCATCCCTCCCACTGGGAACCTGGTCTTTTTAGGTGGTCTCCAGCCTGCTGCAGTAATTTCAAGCCAGTGGGTTTTAGCTTGTGGGGTTTCATGGGAGTGAGGTCGCTTGGCTCCCTGGCTTTAGACCCCTTCCCACAGCAGTGGATGGATCTCCTACTTCACTGGAGTTTCCAGAGCCAGAGTATACATCTGTGTCTCAGTGCCTGCTCATGTGGCCACCCACCTGAGTAGCTGCCATGAGTCTACACAGCTCTGTGCTTGGGACCCAAGGCCCTGGTGCCATGGGCTCACGAGGGGACCTCCTGATCTGTGAGTTAAAGGGATCCGTGGGAAAAGCTTGGTTTTCAGGAAAGAATAGCACAATCCCTCATTGCCTCCCTTGTCTGGGAAAGGGAGCTCCCTTTGCCCCATCAGCTCCTGGATGGCCCTCACTCCACCCTGTTTTCCTTGCTCTCCATGGGTCACACCAAACACCTAGTCAGTCCCAATGAGAGAACTTTGATACCTCAACTGAAAATGCAGAATTCACTCGTTATTTTCATCCTTCTCCATGGAAGCCACAGAGCCCAGCTGTTTCTATTCAGACATCTTAGCTGTTCCCTCCATACTTTCTTAACATGGTAAAATATATATGCCTTAACCCCAAACCAACATCATGCTCAGTAGGGAGACAGTGGAAGTATTTGTATTAAAGGTAGGAACAAAACAAAGGTATATTTTATCATCATTATTATTTAGCATGGTTTTGGGGTTATTAACCAATGTAATTACATAAGAGAAAGAAATGAGGAATGAAAATCAGAAAGAAAGAGCAAAAATTGTAATTATTTATGGATAATATGGTTATTTAATCAGAAATTCAAGTGGATGAAGTGAAAAATGATTAAAATGGTAGACTTTATGTATGTGGGAACAAGACCATATGTACAACAGCAATAAACTTGATACAAGATCATAATTTCAATAGGAGATGCCTTTTGACTTGTGTACTGTATGTATACGTTACATAATAAAAGTAAGATGGTCTGTGAATTACTTGAATTTTGAGAAATCTTGAGATGGTACATGTCCTGTGCTTAGAATTAATCTTGGTGGGTGATAGAGCTTGAGAAACATTTTCTTCCCTTTCCACCATTCACTTCCACACTGCAGCTGACCCTTAATCTTGTATCTGCAGACCTCATGCCTTCCCAAAGTCAAGGGCCACACCTCTCTATTTTTGGGTAGTGTTTCGGGCTGGGTCGTAACATCCTAAAGATTCTTCACCCAAGACTCATCTTTCTCAAAAGCCCCAGGACCCTCCATATACTGGGAAATTGACACTATTCCTTGAACATCCCAATACAGGTCCTGCCTGACCATGGGTGTTCCACTAACAGGGATTAAGTGGGTCACAGGTCAACAAAGTCTGGCTGATCACTAAAGAGTTCACCTTTCATACTTTGATGTTTGAATAAGAGTCACTGTTCCTACCTGTGGGGGAACCCATGGGAGCAGCTCATGCTGCCTTGCTGTCTCCGTGGGATGAGGCAGGAAGACCTGGGTCTCTGGCCTCAGCTCCACATTAAGGAAGGATGTCGAGGACCCTGGGGTGAAGGGTGGTGTGGGAAGATCTTACCAAGTCCCTTCATTGCCCCAGTGTCTTCATGGTCTAGGCACACTCCGGAGCTCTGGGCTTGTCCAGATCTTGTCATACACAGTGTGGACTGCTGGAGCCAGCGTGGGGCTCTGTGCATGGCAGCTTCTCTTCTTCATGTCATTCTGCAATTCTGGTGGGATTGAGGAGCTGGCTTGGTCAGCTTCTAAGAATTATGTAGAGGAGCCAGCCAGGCTACCTGTCTTCCTGTGCTTGTTGTCCTCAACCACCTAGTTTTGGCTATGAAGCTTGATATCTCCCCATAATAAACTTCAACTGAGACCCCTTTCAAGCTTCGTACATTCTGTAGAGTCTTTGCACTTGTTCTGTCCTCTGCCCAGGATGCTATTCTTCTCCCACCACACAAACCTCCACATTATTCACGCCCTCATCTCATCCAAGCTTTCTTTTCTCAGTGAGGCTTTCCCTGACAGACAGCCTTAGTTAAAGTTACACTCCCATCATATTCCTTATTTCCCTTTCCTGCTTTATTTTCTCTTGAGCACTTGTCATTCTCTAACACTTCGTATTTTTTTTTGTCATTCTCTCTACCCCATCTCTACCTGCATTAAAATGTATATTCTATAGGGAAAGGATTCTTATTCTTTTGTATTTTTTTGATCTGGACCTCTGTAACCTAGATGAGAACAATTCTAGGAACACAGTAGGAATTCCATAAATATTTCTTGGACAAAGTTGTAAATTGCTATGACTACTCTCATTGAAAAGTTGCTTTGGAAAACTACAAAGCACAAGCTAAATGTAAGGTACTATTATTTTAATCCATATTATGCAAAAGAGGAAAATGAGACCCAGGGAGGTAAAGGAAACTTTCTAAGGTTGAACAAGAAGTCAGGATCAGAGCTGGGTCACACATCCATCTCTCCTGGCACTGTATCTTCATGCCACTCCCACCTCTGTGGTCCTCTCCCTGTATCCCAGGAAGTATTCATTTTCTCCAGCAGTCTGGGAGCTCCTCCAGGACAGGGACTGAGGTGGCAGGGGGCTTCAGAATAGGACTGAGTATCTGGGTCGAACGTCACTTGATTCGTTTCTCTATCTCAGACCCACATTCCGCTCCCTTGTGTTAAAATTGTACCCCTCCCCCACCTCTGTGTTTCTCTAGTTGGGGGTAGTGGGGCTTGGATTCCAAAGAGTTATGTTCTGAGTTCCCTGAGGCCCAAGACAGATGAGGACATACATCAGAAGGGCCGAGTTGGGAAGGCACAATGTGACAGGCACTGAGGCAGGTGGGGACAGTGGACAGAGAACTGGATTGGGAGTGAGGAGGCCCCGTCCTGCCTTGTGCTTGCCATGGTTCTCTGGGTAAGCCCCAGAGTTCCTTCTGGACCCCACTTTCCCCCACCATAAATGACTGCAACCAATTAGGGGATTTCTAAGGTTCTGATGCTCTGTGCCTCAACGATCTAGTTACTCCCTCTTTAGAGAAGTCAAAGGATGAAAGAGGAGAGGACCCAGCCACTGGCTCTTCCTGAGAGTCCAGGCTGAACAAGGAGTCAGGTTCGGCTAAACTCTGCTTGTCTGCCTTGTCTGCTCTTTAGCCTAGCGGTTCTCAAAGTATGAGACCAGGAGGGTCAGCATCACCTGGGGATTTGGTAGAAATGGGAATTTTCGGGTCTACCCTCAACCCACTGAGTCAGAAACACCGTGAGTGGGTCCAGCAGTCTTTGTCTTACCAGGCCCTCCAGGTGATTCTGATCATACTTGTCTGGGAGCCACTGCTTCTGGGAAGCCCTTTCAGTGCCCTCTGCTCCTCTGGCTCTTCCAGGTCTCCCCCTAGGCAGAATTACTCCATGGGGGACCATAGCACCAACTTCCAATGAAGGGCCAGCGGCCATATGAGATGCTCTCCCAGGGGCATTTTATCAGTGGGGCCAAAGCCTTTATACCTGCAGGGGCATTCATGGTAGGCTCTGGAGTAGGGAAGATGGGAGGGACTGGAAAGGGGAGGGAGAAAGTTGGCCTTTTCTGATGCCCATGGATTCTAGTATCTGCCCTGCCTCCAGGACCTGCCAGGCCCTCTACTTTTACTTCCTTTGGGTCCTGCACAGACAGTTCAGTCCTACCGGACACCTGATCATTTACACTCACCTCTCCTGTGGCCTGAGTTTCTTCCTGTGGATGGTGAGCCTCTCCAGGGTTCTTGGCCATATTCCCCACTGCCAAGAGGTGGGCCCTTTGGTGAGTCTTTCACCTCAGGGAGCCTCAGTACCCCATCCTCTCCTCTGCTATTGCTCCTCACTGGGTGTCAGAAAGGCACTGATGAGATTACAAATGTATTGTACGTGCAAGTCACTTATCTTGCAGCTCTTAACATGCTTTGGCTACCTAGGTGTGCAACCATATTGTCCAAGGAAAGGATTGGACCCAGAGCCCGACTGTGGGGCAAAGTATCCTGGGCCTCCAAGGACTCCTGGCCTCTGAACATGTGCCAGTTGCCCCGATTTCATTTTGTTATGCTCACCCTAGGGAGCCTCAGGAGGCTGATCTCCACATAGGAAGGGTGGTGGCTGTCAATCTCACTAGTCTGCAGGTTAGCAATGTCCCGTGTGGGAAGGGCCTGGGGAGCAGCCGCTGAGCATGAGCATGGCACCACTGGCAGGAGAGTGGATCCACCTGCATGCAGCAGATGCTCACCTAGGGCATGTGGAAGTGAGGTGACACCTTATCAGGCCCATGTAAGGGCACCATAGCTTTCTGCTCAGTCCCTAACACCTGCCACCCTTTACTTCTGGTCATTCACACACCTCCTACTCTCAGCATTGCTCCCCAGCCTTCTGCCAGGGCTGATTCACAGGAGAGGTCAGTGAGCCTCTATCTGCCCACTGTCATCCTCAGTCTGCTCACTTTTTCTGGGGTCTCCTCCCTGCACTTCTTCCCCAGGACCCCAAGCTGAGCACTCCCCTCAGGATCTCTCTAGCGCCCACCTCTCTGTCTTCATCTTCCTTTTTCACATCCATGCTCCAGCCCCGAGGCTCATCATCTCATGGCTCAGAGGAATTGTCGGACTACACAGATGCTCCAGGCTGAGTCCAACCCATGAAGTTGGGAGGCTCACTGCTGGCGTGACAGGAGAGTGTGTTCTTTCAGTGCATGCAGTTGGTACCATGTGGGCTCCAGGAGTGGAGGCTGCCATAGCTCTTATCACAGCTGGCTTGCTGATGCTTAAGAGGCCCTCACAGGTCTCTTGACTACTGAGGGTAAATGGACTGATGGGTAAGCAATTGAAAAATAAACACAGCTAAGGGGCATCAGTAACAGGAAGAAATGGAAACCCAGCAGAACACCTAGAGCACTGTGCCTAGAGTAACAATGCTAAACATTTACAATACTTAGGAATCACCTGGGATCTTGCTAAAATGCATATTTTGATGCAATAGGTCTGGGTGAGGCATGAGAATCTGCACTGCTAATAAGCTACTAAAGGAGGCTAATGCTGCTGGTTCTTGGACCACATTTTCAGTAGCAAGAACCTAGTGAAACCTGACTAAATCATAATTTTCAACCCTGGATGCACTTTAGCAGTACCACAAGAGCTGTTTAAAAACTCCAATACCTAAGGCCCAACAGAGACACAATCAAATCAGAATTTCTGGGGTGGGACTAGACAGTGTATCTTTAATAAGCTTCTAAGGGATAAAGCCTGGGTTGAAACATACTCAACTTTTTTAGTACCTCTATTGTATTTATTTTAATTAAGATACAGTTAACAAATAAAAATTGAATATATTTACAGTGTGCAACATGATGTTTTCATATACATATACATTGTGAAAATGCTTAACTCAAGTTAATTAACATACTCATCACTTCATACACTTATTATGCTCTGTTGTGAGAATGTTTAAGATCTATTCTCCTTATTCTCAAGTATACAATACATTATTATAAACTATAGGCATCATGTTGTACAATAGATCTCCTGAACTTACTCATCCTAAGTGATTTTTTATACCTTTTGACCAGTATTCCCTATATCCCCACCCCAACCCCCAGCCCCTGGCAATGACCCGTCTACTCTCAATTTTTATGAGTTTGACTTTTTTAGATTCCTTCCACATATTTATTTATCTTTCTCTGCTTGGCTTATTTCAATAACATAATGTTCTCCAGTTTCATCCACGTTGTCAATTAAGACAGGAATTATTTGTGTTTTAAGGCTGAATAGCTTTCCACTGTGTGTACATACATGCGCACACACACACACACACACACACACACACACCCCTCACATTTTATTTGTCCATTCATCTACTGATGAATACTTAGGTTGATTCCATATCTTGGTTATTGTGAATAATGCTCCATTGAACATGAGAGGGCAAATATCTCTTTGACATACTGATTTCAGTTCCTTTAGATATATACCAGAAGTGGGATTGCTGGAACATATAGAGTTTTGTTTATAATTTTTTGAGGAACCTCCATACTGTTTTCCATAATGGCTGTACTAATTTAAATTATCAGCAAGAGTGTACAAGTGTTCTTTTTTCTCCACATCCTCACCAATACTTGTTATCTTTCATTTTTTTATAGTAGCCGTTCTAACAGGTGTTAGATGGCAGCTCATTGTGGCTGTAATTTGCATTTCCCTGATAATTAATGATGTTGAGCATTTTTGATATACCTGTTGGTCATTTGTGTATCTTCTTTTGAGAATTGTCTATTCAGATCCTTTGTCCATTTTAAAATTGAATTATTTGTTTTCTTGCTATTGCGTTTGTTATATATTTTGGATATTAACCCCAATCGAATGTATGATTTGCAAATATTTTCTCCCATTCTGTAAGTTGTCTCTTCACTGTGCTAATTGTTTTCTTGGTGGTGAAGAAACTTTTTAGCTTTATATAGTCCCATTTGTTCATTTTTGCTTTTGTTTTCTGTGCTTTTGGGCTCATATCCAAAAAAATCATTGCCAAGACCAATATTATAGACTTTTTGTCCTATAATTTCTTCTAGTAACTTTATAGTTTCAAGTCTTACATTTTAAGTCTTTAATCCATTTTGAGTTGATTTTTGTACATGGTGTGAGATAAGAGTTCTATTCATTCTTCTGCAGGTAGATATCAAGTTTTCCCAAAACCATTTATTGAAAATACTGCTCTCTCCCCAGTGTGTGTTCTTGGCACTGATATCAAAAATCACTGTAAATGCATGGACTTACTTCTGGCCTCTCTGTTCTGTTCCATTGGTCTATGTGTCTGTTTTTGGCTAGTACCATGCTGTTTTGGTTACTACAGATTTGTAGTATATTTTGAGATCAAGTGGTATCATGTGTCCAGCTTTGTTCTTTTTGCTCAAGATTGCTTTGACTGTTCAGGGTTCTTTGTGATTCCATAAAAATGTTAGGATTGGTTTTTTTATTTCTGTGAAAAAGTCATTAGAATTTTGATATAGATTGCATTAAATCTGTAGATAATTTTCTGTAGTATAAACATTTTAACAATATGAATTCTTCCAATCCATAAACACTGATACCTTTCAATTTACTTGTGTCTTCAATTTTTTCATTAGTTTTATAAATTTTAGTGTAGTTTTCTAACCTCCTTAAGTTTATTCCTAAGAATTTTATGTCTTTTTGGAGTGATCATAAATAAGATTGTTTTCATAATTTCTTTTTTGGATAGTTTGTTATTAGTGTATGGAAGCATACACTAATATGTTGATTTTATATCTTGCAACTTTACTGAATTTTTTTTATTAGTTCTAAGAATTCTTTGTGGAATCTTTAGGGACTTCTATGTATAAGATCATGTCATCTGCAAACAGAGACAATTTTACTTCTTTCTTTCAATTTGGATATCTTTTATTTATTTTTCTTCTCTAAATTCTCTGGCTAGGACTTCCAGAACTATATTAAATAGATGCGAGAGTTCAAATCCTTTCTTTTGTTTCTAACTTTAGAGGAAAGCTCTCAGCTTTATATCACTAAGTATGATATTAGCTGTGGGATTGTAATACCTAGTCTTTATTATGTTGAGGCACATTCCTTGTATACTTAATTTGTTGAGAGGTTTCTTTTTTAATCATGAAAATATGTTGAATTTTGTCCAGTGCTTTTTCTACATCTATCGAGATGATCATATAATTTTTGTCCTTCATTCTGCTAATGGGGTGTGTCATGTTTATAGATTCACATATATTGAAACAGCCTTGTATCTCAGGGATAAATCACAATTGATTGTGGGGTATGATCCTTTTAATGTTGTGTTGTATTCAATGTGCTAGTATTTCTAGATTTCTTTGCATCTATCTTTATCAGTTATATTGGCCCATAATTTTCTTTTCTTGTAGTGTCTTTTTCTGGCTTCGAGTGGAGCTGGACTTCTAAAATGAGTTTTTGAAGGGTTCCCTCCTCTTCAATCTTTTAGAAGAGTTTGGGAAGGATTCTTTCAACATCCCCAATATACATCTTGCATACAGCAAAACCAGTTCTAAGGTGGTGACAGTTACTGCTCTAGGTAAGCAATGTTGGCTGGTTAACTGAGAAGCTTTCTTGAGCTGAGAAGATGAAAAGGACTTGGTAAGAAGGAAAGAGAGGAATAAGCATGTGTTGAGCATCTGCTGTATGCAAGATCTATATTGGAGATGTTGCATGTATGATCTTAGTTCAACCTCATACGCCATATGGTACCTGTGAGGCTGGGAAGGACAGTGAGGCAGGAAGGGCCAAGACAATGGGAACCTCTACTCAGCACCAGGTCCTGGGACATGGGTTGGGAATCTGGCTTTATACATAGTCTTCTTAACTAGGTGACATTACCCTCCTTTAGCATCTAAGAAAACCAAGGCTCAGAGACTTCTCCTGACCAGTGTCTCTTTGCACTAGGCACAGCCCACTTGGAGGGGAAGTACAGCCTCTCTACTCCAGTTGCTTGTCTCATGTCTTCCTTAAGCTAATCTGCCTTCCTCAGCCTCTTTGGAATTTTGGTGAATAAAACTTTCTCCATCTCATTACATCTTCTCAAAATAACATTTGTAACTCCTTGCAAATGCTCTCATCCAAGGGTGAGAAAGGAGAAGTAAAGTACAATATATATTTGTGACACAGGACTCCTCTGTCCTTTGTAGTATCACACTCCCCATCTTCTCTACTGGTGGAGACAAAACATTCCTCTGGGTACTTTCAATGATCCTGTAATTCTATGGTCTTTTATGTCTCCTGGTTTCCTTTGGGGGCACCAGCTCACCAAATCTGGTTTTATCCCTGCAACCCAGCCAGGCAGGGGTCTCTCTTTATCATTAGGAGGTGCTAGGGGGTTCAAGCTGGGAAGTGTGTAACTATTGTTTGACAAAAACATGTCTCATTTGAATTTAGAGCTGGGTTTCTGCCACATGTCTTCTTTAGAGTCAGGGACCACCGTGGTATCATACTCCTGCTTTCTGGAAGAGAGCATCATTTATCAGGTGCCCTGCCTGCATTGGCCCCTCTCCCCAGGGTCTTTTCCTCTTATAAGAAGAGTAGAATAGTTTATCTACTCAGTTCTTTGACCTCTAAATCTAGAACTATTCTTCACTGTAACTCCCTTCTCATTTCCTGACTTTCATTTTTGAATTCCTTGGGTGGGAGTTGGCTCCAGGTGCCCTCTGCTACATGACACTCTTTGTAGTCACACAACAGGTTCTTCCTGCCCACCAAGACAAAACTAATTCACTGAAACCATGCTATTGCAGCAGAGACAGAGTTTTATTAATGTGAGGCAGGCCAGATGGGAGATGGAGTTATCACTCAAGTCAGTCTCTCTGAGGGCTTGGAGGTTAAGGTTTTTCAAGGATAGTTTGGTGGGTACGGGACTCAGGAATGAGTGCTACTGATTGGTTGGGGATGCAATCATAGGGGTGTGGAAAACCATCCTCATGTGCTGAGCCCAGCTCTTGGTTGGGGGCCACAAGACCAGTTGAGTCATGAGTCCAGGTGGAGTCAGTCAGTTGCCAAAATGCAAAGTCTGAAAAATATCTCAAAAGAGCAATCTTAGGTTCTACAATAGTGATGCCATCTATAGGAGTAATTGGAGAAGTTACAAATCTTGTGACCTCTGGAACAATGGCTGGTTGTTATTTAACTATGCCTATGTCTTAGCAGAATTCAAGCCCCCAGCATAATCCTAATCTTTTGGCCTCTCATTAATTTTACAAAAGCAGTTTAGTTTTGGGAAGGGCTATTATCATCCTTGCTTTAAGGTTAAACTATAAACTAAATCCTTCCAAAATTAGCTTGGCCAATGCCTAGGAATGACCAAGGACAGCTTGAAAGCTAGAAGCAAGAAGGAGTCAACTATGTCAGATTTCTCTTACTAATTTTGCAAAGATGGTTTTACCTTTCTTTCCTTAAATGGTTTGTTTCTTGCCTGAATCAAGCATGTGGGAATTTCTGACTCCCAGGATTGAGGCAGTGCATTGTTTTATCTGAATCCATTCCACATATACTAGGACTGCTGGGTACTAAAATCTGAGTGGTCACACCTGTGATAACTCCTTGACCCCACTAAACATGCATGAAGATCAGTAGACAATGTGTATGACAATACCTCTTACGCATGTGGTCTGGGCTTCTTCTCTGGCTAGAGGTGGAAGTTCTTTATTTCCCCACCTGAAGAACATTGCTTTGCAGAAATGTAACTGTAGGGGCTGAACATATATACATTGCCTTCAGATCCCTAAATCAGAACTGATGACTCCCATTCCAACCCCATCACTTGGTCTATTTGACAAATATTGTACCATCTCTTCATGTTTCTCAAATAGCTTCACCAAGACCGATAGAGACCCCTCTTGTGTAGTTCAGGCTTCTTTATAAAACTTCATTATCGATTCTTCTATAATGCTATGGTCTAGCTAGCAAGCCCCTTGTCCCCTGTGGCATCTCACTGAATACATCTCTCTAATCTCAACACCTGTATAGAGGCCTTTTCTTCTTTTCGGTTGATGTGTGGTCAGAAACCCAGCATATGAGTCTCTCTGACTATGGACGTTACCAAACACCTGTGAGACCCCTGCTAGGCATTGACTTCACAGAGAAGGAGGCATTTGTGGCTGTAAACCCAGATATGTTTTCTAATACTGGTCATTGTAGACACTTTCTTAGTTTACGTCACTTCGTCATTGGCACTGTGCTTCCTGCAAGCGTCTCTTGTTTGTGAACAAGTTTCCTTCAGCATAGCCCTGTGACTTTCCTGGCAGTTGTTCCCCCAGCAGAAACAGTCCAGTGTTCAGGAAATTCTGTTCTATCAAGTAAAGCAAGGAGGCCCAAGTAAGCGCAGTGTTGACCACAGACCTCCATTCCCCTTCCAGGAAAGTTTCCAGTTTCTCAAGAATTTGTGGTTCCATTGGGTAAACACCAATTTCCACCTTGCAGCTTCATGAATAATTTCTTAGAATTTACTCATTCTGCTGTGATCACATGACAATATTTCAAAATCAGAGAACTGAACATACTTTATTCAACATGTGTTAGCTTAATTTATAATTTTTTTATATGTAGACATATGATGGTGATTGCATCTCCATGTGTACCCTTTCCCCGGGTTCCACAAATGTTAGAGATGGTCTTGGCAGCAGGAGTAGGTGCACTGTTATTGTAAGCTGCCTGCTTATGCAACTCATTTGTGTTTTCAAGTCCTGCTTGAGCCTGTTCTTATATATATGTAACTTCCACTTGATGATAAAATGCTGTTGGACATACCTGATTATAGGGGTGCATGAATTAGAAAATACCCAGTTGAGGGTGGCTCAGGTTGCATAGTCATTTGGTGTGTCTCATAGTCAGTGTATTAGTCTTTGCACTGCTATAAAGAAATACCTGAGACTGGGTAATTTATAAAGAAAAGAGGTTTACTTGGCTCAGGATTCTGCAGGCAGTACAGGAAACATAGTGGCTTTTGCTTCTGGGGAGGCCTCTGGAAACTTACAATCATGGCGGAAGGTGAAGGAGAAGCAGGGATGTCTTACATGGCAGGATCAGGGCCAAGGGGTAGGGGGAGGTGCTACACACTTTGAAACAACCAGATCTCACAAGAACTCAATCACCATCATGAGGACAGCACTGAGAAGATAGTGCTAAACCGTTTATGAGAAAGTTCTCCCATGATTCAATCATCTCTCTCCAGGCCCCACCTCTAACACTGGTAATTACAATTTGACATGAGATTTGGACAGGGACACAGATCCAAACCATATCAGTCAGGTATAGCAAACCTAAAGCTATACCAGAAAAGAGTTATTTTCTTAAGATTATGTGGTTCTGCTTAACATTCAACGAACATCTGTTAGTTTTTTATTGTTGTTGTTATCTTAGTCTGCCATACCTTCAAGGAGAAATCAGACGGCTCCAGGTCACCTCAAGCACATTTAGGTCTGCAAGGCCATAAGGGCCAATGGCAGAGATGCTTACATTGTAGCCCGAACGAGCAGGAGAATCTTCTCTTGCTTTGGGCCCATTCAAAGTTGATTGTCTTATAGCTAGTGAATGTGCTGACATAATACACCTAGTTGCGATGTATATTGTCTCCAAGTACAAGAAGACCTACGAAGTATGATGTCTCTTTCTTAATGACAGTGCATTCAAGGTGAAGCAAGATTGCATTTATCTTTGAGGGAATGTGCTGATATTCTCCAAATGACTGGACTCCTAGAAACATTACTAAGGTGTCAGGCCCCCTAACTTTCATGAGATTTATCTTGGTACTTTTGTGCCTCTAGCGTATCTGCTATTGGCTTCTCACTACATCATCAGATCATCATAATGTAATCCCTATGGTAGATCAGCATGATGGCAAAGGGAATGGGATACAATGAAGCTGTCTGTTATATTTCTCCCTTCTGGGTATAATACCTTCATAATCTATTACCATTAGTATTTTGCAGATCTTTGCTAAATAAATTAACAAAAACTGGCAAGTCTTTTGGTGTGAAAGCCTACTCCTCTGAAGTCTGACTATCTTATTGACCCAGGGGATATGCAGTGACCTAGTTTATAGGCCTGGAGGAATAAGGAGTAAGAGGTTGAGGCATAAGGAAAATTGGTATCTTCTTTCAGGAAAGGAGGATCCTAGGTGAGTGAGGTTATTACAGACTGGTAAGGCAGAACTAGTTTTCCAGATGAGAGTAGGGGCCATGTCTGCAGGTAAGGGAAGCCTTAATCCTCAGGGTTCTATTCTTTCTTCATCAATGTGCTGCCTTTTAATAGAAAAAAATTCAGAAGGCTGAGGATTCAACCTGCTTTGAAATCCAACAAGCCACAGGACCAGAATCTGTATCTAATTTTTGACTGTCCAGGCTTCCAGCCCCTGCAGCCTCCCCCTGGGAATTCTGGTGAGTGAAACTTTTCTACCTCACTGAGCACAGGAGAGTCAGAGATGGAGGGGAATAAGAACTGAATAAGCGAAAACAAAAAATGTGCTTTTCAGTAATTTTTCTTAAGCCCACGTAAACCAGTTGAAACTATTCCAACATTTTCCATGAAATAAAGCACACATTTATTACCAGATAGTATACATAATAATTGCTTCTGCTTTCATTTCCTGTGGGAGAAGAATAATCCATCATCTTTTGTGTCGTGTCCATAGGATACAAAAACGGTACGTGGCACATTGCAATATAGTGTGATGAGAAGGAGTGGAGAACATAAAAGAAGCATCTCCCGTGGACTGGGGACAGGGAGAGGGATGAGAATAGGGGAACCTGCTTCAGATGGCACAAAATGGGAGGGAAGCTGAGGCTTAGAGAGCGCTGCTTAAATTTCCTCACCAGTAAGTGCTAGAATCACTCTTTTTTCTTCCTCCTTAAGATTGTGACAATAAAATAAAACTGCTGCATGTAAGGTGCTTAAAATGGATCTTACACATTGCAGGGATTATCGTCTTCTCAAGGAGGTCGGGAGAGGAAGAAGCCAAAGACAAGGTCCAGGTTCCTGGTTGGGGCCATTGCCTGAGAATGGGAACACAGAAATAGGCTAGAAGATGAAGATAAACGCAGCATTTGACACACCGAGTTTGAGGCACCAGTGGAGATGTCTAGTAGAGAGCTGAATGCAGAATCTGATGCTAGGCAGAGGATGGGGGTTGGAGATACAGACTTGGGCATTAGCAGCGTGGGGATGATCATTGAAGGCAGAAAAGTGGATGTCCCAGTGAGAAGATTAAAAAAGGCTGGGCACAGTGGGTCACAATTGCATTCATAGCACTGTGGGACACTGAGGTGGGAGGGTCATTTTAGCCCAGGAGTTAGAGACCAACCCGGGCAACATAGCAAGACCCTGTCTCTACAAAATTAAAAATTAAAAAACTATCCGAGCTTGGTGGCACATACCTAGCTATAGTCCCTGTTACTCGGGAGGCTGAGGCAGGAGGATCACTTGAGCCTGGGTGTTTGAGTCTGTAGTGAGCTATGATCATACCACTGAACTTCAGCCTGAGTGCCAGAGCAAGACCCTCTGTCTGAGGGACAGAGAGAGAGAGAGAGAAAGAGAGAAGGGTAGAGAGAGAGAGAGAGAGAGAGAGAGAGAGAGAGAGAAACGGGCTTATGATAGGCCCTTAGAAGTACCATTCAGGGGAAGGGTGAAGGTGGAGAAAGAGGAGGCAGCAGAAGAGCCTGAGGAGAACAGCAGGAGGAAGGGGATCCAGGAGAGAGTGATGTCAGGGAAACTGAGGAAGAGTTCTCAAGAAGAAGAAAAAGAAAGGGGTAAACAGTGCCAAATCCTGGGTGGTTGCTGGTCAACTGGTTGTGTTCTGAAGTGTGCTGGTAGAGGAAGGCCAAGGAGTGAGTGTCTTGGAGCAAGTGTAGAGGCATTGCTGTGATGTGGAAGATCAAGAAACAGGATGATAGTTAAAGTGTGAGGTTATGGAGATGCTACAACCTTCGGAGGGTTTCTTCCTGCCTGCTGCATACAGATAGACCACAGTATTGTAGTAAAGAAAGAGTTTAATAGACATAAGGCCAGACATGCCACATGGGAGATGGAGTTTGTACTCAAATAATCTAATTCAAAGCTCATAGGTTAGGGGTTTTTCAAAGGCAGTTTGGGTGAAGGGTTGGTGGTGGCCAGGTAACAGGTGCTTGCTCCTGATTGGTTGGGACAAAGATAAAATCACAGGGGGTGGAAGCTGTCCTTCTGAGAGCTGAATTGCTTATGGGTGGGGCCATAAGAGCAGGGTTGGCAGTCCAGATGGAGCCGTGGGTGTCAGACACGCAAAAAACCTGGAAAGATATCTCGAAAGGTCAATCTACAATACTGGTGTTATTTGCAGGAGTAATTGGGAAAGCTGCATATCTTATAACCTCTGGAATCATTTATGCCTGCACCTTAGCAGGACTCAGGGTCCTCTCCTCTCCTCAGCCTCATGGTCTTGCATTAGCTTTACAAAAGCAGTGGAGTTTTGGGCAAGGCCTATTATCATTCCTAGCTTCCCTGCAAGCCCCATTGAATGCAGACCAACATATTTTTGTAAACTTCCTTAAAATATTGTTTTTTTTTTTGTTTTTTTTTTTGTTTTTGTTTTTTGCTCCTGAGCTATCATTAGTGTTAGAGTATTTTATGTGTGGCCCAAGATAATTCTTCTTCCAAAGTGACCCAGGGAAGCCAGAAGATTGGAAATCCCTGACTGTAGCCAAAAATGTCTTCAAAAGTTAGCTCAGCCCAATAGCGTAGGAATAGTTAAGGGAAAGGCAAGTTTTGCAGGGGAGTAGAGAGGAGAGTTAGTTCACCTTACTGTTATGATTTTCTCAGTGATTTAATTTTTGCAAGGGTGGGTTCAGGTTTTGCTGAGAATATGGAGAGGTTTGGGAGAATGTGAGAGGGAATCAGTAGAATGATGAAAATGTGGGCTCTGGATTCAAACTACTTGCATTTAAATCCTGGTTCTGATATTTCCCAGCTGTGTGAACTTGAACAAATGACTTGGTGTTCTTATGTCTCCTTTTTCTATTTTCTAAATGGGGATAATGAAACCTATTTCATAGAGTGTTTATGAGGATTAAATGAGTTAAAACCTTCAGAATGCTTAGAAGAGTCATGGCACATAAGAAGCATTCAATAAGCACTATTATTAATTTATATTATCTTTCAATAGCTGTCATGCACATAACATTGCTGAGTGGTGTTAAAGTTTGCTTGGGATTGGCTGCATGAATTTATAACGGTGTCACCTGAGAGGCTGATGATTGTGTCAGGCAGCATGAGTGTTGTGCAGAGATGGACACTTGGATCAACCCCAGATTTATAATTTTCCAGGAGCTTCCAAACCCTTAGAATTTTCTGAGGAACAGGAATGTCTTTATTATTCACACGAACCCCTTTTGACCATATCTGAGTGTACACTAATGCGTTGACTCTTGGCAGGTCCCTGCAGAGCTTCAGGATAGTGACTGGTTGCTTGAGGAACCGTGCATGTGATTAGAGAGTTGGCAATTTCAACTCCACCCTTATCCCAACCTCTGGGGAGGAGAGAGAGACTAGAGATGGAGCTCTCCTTGTTAGCAGTGGCAAATTTGTATAGGTCTGCAGCAACCTCAGTTCTTGCCTCCTCAGAAGAAAGAATTTGACCACAGGGCATAAGGCAGAGTTAAAGACTATGGCAAATTTTAGAGTAGGAGGAAAAGTTTATTAAAAACTTTAGAGCAGGAATGAAAGGAAGTAAAGTACACTTGGAAAAGGGCCAAGCAGGTGACTTAAGAGATCCAAGTTCCCAGTTTGATCTTTGACTCAGGGTTTTATATGTTGGCATGCTTCTGGGTTCTTGCATTCCTTCTCCCGTGATTCTTCTCTTGGGATGGGTTTTCCACATGCCCAGTAGCCTGCCAGAATTTGGGAGAGGCTGCATGCACAGTGTGTTTACTGGAGTTGTACACATGCTCACTTGAGGCATTCTTTCCTTACCAGTTCAAATGTTCCTAGAAGGTCACATACCAGTTAAACTCCACCATTTTGCCTCTTAATGCACATGCTTAAGCCCACTTGCCCAACTCCTGTGATCTTATTGGGAAGCTGCTTATCACCATTTTAAAGTTTTTCCCATCTATTGGGAGACTGTCTTTTTTTGGTGCTGGCTGTGACCAATTATTATTTTAGAGACACAACGTAACACCCGCCTGACCATCATTGATGGTCACCTGACATTCCTAGTTAGGCGAGTCCTCTCCTGCCCTGCTTCTGTCTGCCTGACTACCTACTGTAACATCATGAGTACTCATGAGCAGATAGGTTCTTTTCCGCAGGGGCCAAATTTGGAAACCCTTGAGGAGCTTTTGGAACCCATGACCACTTGGATCCCTTTGGAAATGCCCTATGAACTACTCTATGGTTCAATAAAAATCTGTTTGGAGGCTAGGTGCAATGACTCATGCCTTTAATGCCAGCACTTTGGGAGGCCAAGGAGAGCAATTGACTTGGGCCCAGGAGTTTGAGTCCAGCCTAGGCAATATGGCAAAATCTCATCTCTACACAAAAATACAAAAATTAGCCAGGTGTGGTGGTGTACACCTGTGGTCCCAGCTACTCAGGAGGCTGAGATGGAAGGACTGTTTGAGCCCAAGATGCAGAGGTTGCAGCAAGCAGAGATTGAACCACTATACTCCAGCCTGGGTGACAGAGTGAGATTCTGTCTCAAAAAAAAGAAAAAGAAAAAAAAAAAAAGATCTGCTTGGTTAATGAATGGCTTGCTTAACGGTTTCAAGATGAGAAGGTGCATCCTGTTTGGGAGGGTGCCACTTTTGTTGAAGAAGGTAAAAACAAATCAGCTCAGTGGTATCTGTAGTGTGTGCCATGTTGGGTGGCATGAATGTAGAACACTATGTGCAGTTTGCCACTGTAATTCAGAAACAGTATTCTAAGCTCCTCAATTGACTGAAGGGACCCTTCCCACCCCTACTTGACCAAGGGGATTCCAAAGAAACCTGCAAAACTAGGTCAGGCCCTGAGGGGAAGGGAGGTTGGATACATCTCATTATACAGCCTGCTTCTAGTGTTTTGACACAACTGACCAGCATTCACATTAAAATAGAGATCATAAAACTGACAAAACAGACTTTTTATAGCAATAAGATACCAAATTCCAACCTGACCCTGGTATAGCCTCACATGACAGATAGCCGGGCCTGAAGAAAATCAGTCTTTTGCCCCAGTACATACTTTGAAATGGCCCTGCAAAGTTTTCTCTTGTGAGGGAAATTTGCATTCTGTAGAGAATCTCCTTTCTTTTGTAGGTCTTTTCCCAATCTAGGCGAGGTTTAACTAAGAGTACGACACCTTTTAAGGTCCAAAAAGTGGCATTTACCATCTACTCTCTCTGAAGCCTAATACTTAGAGGTTTCATCTACATACCAAGAATCTTGGCTTCCACAACCCCTCCTTACCTTAACTCAAGCATTTCTTTTTGCTGACTTCAACTCTCGAGTCAAGACTTAACTTTTGCAACTAATTGCCGGTCAGAAATCCACCTATGACCTATAAGCTCCCCCACTTTGAGATGTTCCATCTATTCAGGCCAAACCAATATACACCTTACATGTATTGATTTATGTCTTTGCCTGTAACTTCTGTCTCCCTCTAAATATTTTACAGAGTTTGGCTTTTTTTTCACAACAGCAACCTGGGTCTCCATGACCGGAGTTACTATTCGGGCTCCATCATGTAGGCCTGATTAATTGCCCACATGTTTAACTTCAGCCATTCTGGAAGTCATCTGATAGCAGGTGAACCAAAGTTTCCACCCTAAATCACATTGGTGGTCTTTTGGCATGGCCAGACTATCTGGTGTGGCTAGCACCCACCCTAAATCATATTATTTGGTGATCCAGTGATCCAAGGCCTCCAGTAAATCAAAGTAACTCCTATCAGGCATGACATTCCAAGGAATTAAAGATTACCTCCCAGCCAAGGGCAAAACCAGACTTTACTTTGAGCAAGGTTAAATTCTTTTTGCATACACACCTGGAACCAATTTTTCTCCCAGTGTAAACCAAAAGTAAAATACAAAGCCCTCCACTGAAACCGCCTTTGCAAAAATTATAACTGAGGAAATTATGTCAGTAAAAGAGATCAGACCTAACCAACCCCATCTTCCTTCTAACCTCTAAACTGTCTTTGTTCATTCCTGGGTATAGGCCTAACCAGCCTTAGGAAGGAATTCAGTTTATAGTTTAAACTGAAACAAAATGGATAATAGCCCTTTCCTGAAAATCCCCTTTTTGCCTGGGGACTGGGGACCTGTCTGCCTTTGTAGGACTAACAAATTAGCTACAAGATTAGTTATCAAGGTTTAGAGGCCATGCAGCCTCTGGCTGCAAGAGTCTGAAGCTCCCCAAATTGCTCCTGGGAATAACATTGCTGTTGTAAAACCTAAGATCAGTGCTTGAGATATTTTGCAGACCCTGCATTCCGATGCAGCAGATGACACCACCCAGACTGATAATCTGGCTCAACCAGTTCTGCAATCCTACCCAGGAACAGAAGTCAGCAAGAAGAACTCACTTTGACTTCCTATGATTTTATCTTCAACCCAACCAATCAGCACTCCCCACTTTCTGAGCCCACAACTGCCAAATTATCCTTAAAAACTCTGATCCCCGAATGCTTGGGGAGACTGATTTGTGTAATAATAAAATTCTGGCCTCTTGCACAGCCGGCTCTGTGTGAATTACTCTTTTGCCAATGCAATTCTCCTGTGTTGATCAACTGGCTCTGTGTAGGCAGCGGGCAAGGTGAACCCATTGGGTGGTTACACCAACCCAAACCATCTGAATGGACTTCCTTCTCTAGGCCAGGGCACTCCAAATTTGACCTCAAAGACTGGTTCAGTTCATGACAGGAAGTAGGGGTCGGACAGGCCTCATTATGCCCGCCTTTGTTTTGGAATTCAGAAAAAGCCTATCAGCATTTAACATTCACGTAGTAAGTCTGATAAGAAACATTTACAATCTCTTCTCTCTAAAGCCTGCTACCTGGAATTTCATCTGCATGATAAAACTTTGGTCTCCACAACCTCTTATCCTAACCCAGACATTCCTTTCTATTGATAATAACTCTTTCAACCAATTGCCAATCAGAAAATTGCCTAATCTATCTACAACCTGGAAGTCCCTGCTTTGAGTTGTCCTGCCTTTTAAAATCAAACCAATGTATATCTTAAATGTATTTGATTGATGTCTAATGTCTCTCCAAGATGTATAAAATGAAGCTGCGCCCTGGCCACTTTGGACACATGTTCTCAGGGTCTCCCAAGAGCTATGTCACTCATATTTGGCTCAGAATAAATCTCCTCAAATATTTTACTGAGTTTGATTCTTTTCGTTGACACCAGTCATTGCTGAGAGGCACCAAATGCATATTGGGGTATATTTTCAATACTCAGCTGAGTAGTTGACAAATCTTCCTTAGTCTGCACCTCCTGCCTGCACAGAGCCTCAGTTTCAGCTATGGTGAGAGTGTAGGGCTTTTTGAAGCCTTTACTAAGCATCAACACAGTACGTGCGATGCACACAGTAAAGGGATGTGCGTGGTCTTCTAGATTCTGAGAAATATGTGAGAGCTTTTCAAAGCCCAAGTGGACAACTCATTCAAAGCTTTTCCTTTCAAGCTTTTTGGCTACTCTGTTGTTTGCATTTATTGTTATCCATTGCAGTACACAGCCACAAAGTTAAACAATTACTAATAGTTGCTTTCAACAAATGTCTTCTAACCAAAGGGCTTTTTGTAGTGGGAGAGCTTCAAGATACATCGAATACTGACATCATTGCAAGTAGGGTCTTCCTGGGAACCACTAAGAGATCAAAGAATGACATTTCTTTGGGAATAAACCTTTAAAAGAGCTTCAACTCTTTTCTGCTCCTTTGAGTAGCTACTAGACTGCTGTTTTTCACCATGAATGCACATTGATACATTTCAAGGCTACAGTGGAGTTGGAGTGTGGGATGTGGGACTGGAGAAAGTTATAAAACACAAAGCTCTCTGTTCTTATTGAGATTAGAACTTTTCTTGAATTGCTGCAAGTTGTTGGATAATTTTCAGAATTCTGAAAAAGTTCCCTCCAAAGTTAGCAAGTTTTCTCATTGCTTTACAAAAGAGAGGGTTTTTTTTTTTAAATAGGAGCCAACTTTACTGAAAAACAATCAAAGATCTCCAGCAACCAAATGATGATCCAAACAAGAAAAAGCCACATTCAAATTAATAGGAAATTCCATTGCAATTTTTTATGAACTCACCCCAACGCCTGATAGGTATGCTCTTGGTCTTGGGAAGGAGGCATCCCAATTCTCAATTCTCTATCTCAAGTTGAACTCGAGAGAGAGAACTCGAGAGAGGCAACTTGAGAGAGAGCAGAGCACACCTTATTCACACTGTTCTAATCTGTCCAGGTGCTGCCTAGTGGAGGAATCTCAGGTAGGGAGAAGGGAAACTTACCTGCAGAATTCTGGAGCAATAGATTACAGGTGGAGAATACCTTAGAACTTCTAAATTAGCATCCCGGTTGCCAACTCTTTCCTTCAACTGAGAGGGAGCACAGCACACCTTGTTCACAAGGTTCTAACTGGATAGAGGCTGCCTGAAGGATTAGTCTTTGTTTTGACTAACTCAGATCTTAGGTAGGGAAAAGCACTCAGAAGATAGACTTTTTGGGGCTCTTTACTCCATCATTTCTAATACATATGTTGAATTATAAAGCTTTTAATATTAAAGCTAAAGTTATTCAGTATTTGTATACCCCTCCTTTAATAATCCATTGCAACCACCCATTATTTATTTTCTGAAATTTTTGCTCTAACATATTTTAACCTAAATATCAGTATTAGTATTAGTACTATTTATCAGCAAATAGGCAGTTGGGTCTAGAGGAGGAGAGAAGGAAGAACAGATATTTAGGGACTATCCTGAGAAAGAGTTTTAATTGTAAGCCTGCTGAATGAGGAGACAGGAGCAAACCTCAAATATACCTCCCCAAAAAGTTAAGGGCTTTGGAATGGTCCAAGGCATGGGGATCATTGATTGCTCTCAGTGCAGAGTGAAGCCATGGGATGCAGAGATGAAGAAACTGCATTCTCATGCTGATTTAGTGTCTCTGCGTTTTTTTGAAACAGAGTCTTACTCTTTGCCCAGGCTGGACTGCAGAGGCGCGATCTCAACTCACTGCAACTTCTGCCCACTGGGTTCAAGTGATTCTCCTGCCTCAGCCTCCCAGGTAGCTGGGATTACAGGAGCCCTCCACTACACCCGGCTAATTTTTGTATTTTTTGTAGAGATGGGGTTTTGCCATGATGGCCAGGCTGGTCTTAAACTCCTGAAATCAAGAGATCTGCTTGCCTTGGCCTTCTGAAGTGCTGGGATTACAGGCGTGGGCCATGGTACCCAGCTTCTTTGGGAATCTTAAAACTGATTGGTGTCAGCTGGAAATCAGGATCTGAAAAAGTCTTAATTAATTATTAATGAAAGCCTTATGATTCTAACACCAGTGATTCTATCTATAGGAACAATAAGGATGCAAATAGGATCTAGGGCTACTTGAATTTCAGTTACAAGGAAGTGGGTCAAAGTGCACCTGATTAATGCTTCACTGTGACTATATTTCTGCCCAGAACCCCACACATCATTCTTATTAACGCTGTGAGGATGGTTTCATTGACAGCTGTGCACCTTGTCACTTACCATAGGTGTGTACTGGAGTGAGTTACTTAATCTCTCCGGACATCTAGGATGCTGTACCACCTAGAAGGTGCGTGTAATGCTTAGACAACAGGGTTATTTTGAGAATGATTTGATGTATGTTGTGGATTAATTAAAATAATGCATATAAAGCCACAGGATATAGCAAATATTCAGTAATTACATTCTTCATGTACCCTAGTATTCATCTGGCACTTCTTATGGTTCGGGTTTCAAATAAAATAAATGTGACCACCCATCCCATATTACAGAGACATCCAGAGCCTTTCCCAGAATTTCTCTGAATTCCAGGGATTTAGGTTCTCAGGGTCACTAAGTCCTGCAGACCTCTTATTCTTCCTAGACTCAATCACATTTGATCAACATTTCTCTGCTATGTGGCACTTTCCCCCGCCACACACACAGTCTGCTGCTACAGATCCAGATCTGTCTTCCTTTAATTCCCCAAAGCATTACCAGCAAGCACCGTTAGTGATGGCAGAGATCCCAGTTATCTGGAGTTAGCAGTGGGGTAGCAACTTCAGTCCTTGCCTCCTCAGAAGAAAGAATTTGACTGGGTGGTATAAAGCAGAAAAAGAGACTGAAGCAAGTATCCGAGTAGGAGTGGAAGTTTATTGAAAAAGGCTTTAGAACAGGAAAGAAAGGAAAATTCACTTGGAAGAGACGCAAGTGGGTGCCTGAAGTTCCAAGAGAGAAAATGGGAGCAAAAAGGGGCCTTTAACCTTGATCCTGGGACTTTATAGGCTTGCCTCTTTCCCATGACTCTTCCCCTAGGGTGGGCTTTCTGCATGGGCAGTGCTCTCCTTACCCTTTGCAACTGAGCACACACAGTGTGTTTAGGGAGTTACATGCATGCACGTCTGAGGCTTTCTTCCTTTTTTTGGTAGATTGTACCTGGGATATCATCCTGCCCTCATTTTTTCTCTTCACAAGCATGCCCAGGAAGTTGCTTCTCCCTGGGGCCTGCATTCAATGAACAGTTTGAATGTTAACAGGTGTGGACCATCAGGAGATTGTCTCTCCCTGGCTACCGAATTATCATTTTTAGAGAGACAGTGTGATAATTGTGGAATCATCACCTGACATTCCTAGCTGGTCAGAGGAGAGCCCTCTCCTGCCTGCTCATGCCTCTCTAACTACCTGTAACAGCACCACGAAGTTATGGAAGTAAACTCTTACCAAAGGACTTGTGGTTGGTGTGTGTGAAAGTGCACGTGATATGCCTGAGAAAGGAAAAAACAAAAAACAAAAAACTTTTATCTGAGGAATGCCAGTCCTTTTAAAGTATCAGGCACAGAGAAACATTAAAATAAGACAGCATTCATGCCCTTCTCTCCCCCTTGAGCTATGTATTCATCTCTTGAAACTGCTTGTTATTGGGACAAGTAGCTATAAATTAACCTAACTATGCCACACCAGACACTATAACTCATACCTTACAGCTAAACAGTGTATAACCAATCACTGATCAATGTTACTTCTGTAAACCAAGCAGAATTCCTGACAAGCAACTTTGTATCAGCCCATCCTTGTCCCCTGCTTTGCCTTTAAAAAGCTGCTTGTAACAAAGGGTGAACAGAGCACACGTCTAAGGTTACTTGGGTCTGAGTCTTCCAGGCAACTGTCCTCACTTTGGCTCAAGTAAAGGCTTTCAATAATATGTTGTGCCTCTGCCTCCTCTTTTTAGGTTGACATGCCTCAGCACAGAATGGAAGGGATGCTGAAAAACTGATTAGTCTTCTGGAGTTTTTTTTTTTTTGTCAGTTCCTGGTCTTTTGCCAGTGTGGAGTGTATATTGGGGTTGACTCTCTCTTCCTGTTTCCAGACTGTGCTACATTGCCAGTTCCTTCTCTCCATGCTGTTCCTTCCTACTATCACAGAATGGTTTCCATTTCAAACAGTTCCCCAAAAAAGAGACCTCTCAGGAGAGGTGCAGTGACATGTGTGGGACTGGCCCCATAACACTTGAGGGTGACCAATGGGTGAGCTGCTCAGAGTTTGCTCCAATAGAAAAAGTTTGTGGCCAGGATGCACAAATGGCCTGTGGAAGATATTTACCTATTAGTAGGCAGGATAGGATGGAAATTAAGCCAGTATTAAACGTTATTTCTTCTAAGATGTTGCAGAGCAGTTTGGGGGAGAGCACAGACTGGACTCCAGGTGACCTACATGAAGTCACACAGTGAGATGGGCTAGCAGCTGTGAGACTGCAGGGTGAGCCTCAAGCTTGTCCTTAGAAGCCAGATCCTGCCCCTTGACTAGCTGTGTGACCTTTTACACATTGCATAACCTCTCTGTGTCTCAAGCCGCATATCCCTAAAATGAGTTTGTAAGTAGTGGTCTGAGTGTGTGGGAGTGGAGCTAAGCCTCCAGGACGATAGACTGTAGGACTTTGGATACTGGTTCCCAGCAAAAGATAAATGCCAATATTTGCATTGGGTATGGGGGGAGTGAACACTTCCCACAAAGGCCTTTGTTCTTTTGCCCACAGCTTGTTACTTAGGCAACTGACAATTGAAGTTTGTGGAAAACCAGAAAGGAAATTAATCATTAATTGGGGTAGGGACAAAGGAAAACCACTAAAAACAGGAGGGGCCTAGCTGAGCCTTGCTATAAGAGTATGACTTTTGTGCCTGACCATAGGCTGACACTGGTGACCAGGGCTACCTGGGGCAGAGCTGTGAACACAGGGAAGCTGGCAAGCAGGGGGAGGTGTGTGCGAGAACACCAACGGGCTGCGTGCGGAGAGGGGCTCTTCAGTGCAGTGCCAGGAACACTACAGAGTGAGGTTCTTTCCACATTTATTCTACAGTTACCTACTGAGTATACACTGCAGGTGCTGGAATAAGCTGAAAGAGCTTTCTTTAAAATCGTGGGCTGTCACAACAGAACTAACTAGCCAGAGGTCAAACAAGAATTAACTTGTGTAAGCCAAAAATAAAATTCTAAACCACCAAATGACTAAATAGACCCCCACCCCCCAGCCAAGGGGATTCCAAAAAAACCTGAAAAACTAGCTTAGGCCATGATAGGAAGTGGGGGGTCAGATATGCCTCATTGTACTCCTCTCCATTGAGAATTCAGGCACAACTAGCCAGCATTAACATTAAAACAGATCTTAAGAGTGACAAAACTGACTCTTTGTAGCAATAAGAAACATCACAAAATGACGGACAGCAGGCCCTGAAAGAAAAATAGCTTACCCTGAAATATATTTCTTTGACGTAGTTTGAAATGGCCCTGCAATGCTGTTCCTTGTGGGGCAAATTTACATTCTGTAGAGAACCCCCTTCCCTTTCCAGGTGCTTTGCTGATCCTGAAGACATTAGCTGAGAGTCTAGCACCTTTTGAACGTCTGAATAGGAAACATTTGCCATCTATTGCCTCTAAGGGTGGCCACCTATGAGACTTCCTCAACATAATAAGAACCTTGGTCTCCAAAACCCCTTTTCTTTTTTTTTTTTAATTTTATTATTACTATACTTGAAGTTTTAGGGTACATGTGCACAACGTGCAGGTTTGTTACATATGTATACATGTGCCTTGTTGGTGTGCTGCACCCATTAACTCGTCATTTAGCATTAGGTATATCTCTTAATGCTATCCCTCCTTCCTCCCCCTACCCAACAGCAGTCCCCGGTGTGTGATGTTCCCCTTCCTGTGTCCATGTGTTCTCATTGTTCAATTCCCACCTATGAGTGAGAACATGTGGTGTTTGGTTTTTTGTCCTTGCCATAGTTTGCTGAGAATGATGGTTTCCAGTTTCATCCATGTCCCTACAAAGGACATGAACTCATCATTTTTTATGGCTGTATAGTATTCCATGGTGTATATGTGCCACATTTTCTTAATCCAGTCTATTGTTTTTGGACATTTGGGTTGGTTCCAAGTCTTTGCTATTGTGAATAGTGCCGCAATAAACATACGTGTGCATGTGTCTTTATAACAGCATGATTTATAATCCTTTGGGTATATACCCAGTAATGGGATGGCTGGGTCAAATGGTATTTCTAGTTCCAGATTCCTGAGGAATCGCCACACTGACTTCCACAATGGTTGAACTAGTTGACAGTCCCACCAACAGTGTAAAAGTGTTCCTATTTCTCCACATCCTCTCCAGCACCTGTTGTTTCCTGACTTTTTAATGATCGCCATTCTAACTGGTGTGAGATGGTATCTCATTGTGGTTTTGATTTGCATTTCTCTGATGGCCAGTGATGAGCATTTTTTCATGTGTTTTTTGGCTGCATAAATGTCTTCTTTTGAGAAGTGTGTTCATATCCTTCGCCCACTTTTTAATGGGGTTGTTTGTTTTTTTCTTGTAAATTTGTTTGAGTTCATTGTAGATTCTGGATATTAGCCCTTTGTCAGATGAGTAGGTTGCAAAAATTTTCTCCCATTCTGTAGGTTGCCTGTTCACTCTGATGGTAGTTTCTTTTGCTGTGCAGAAGCTCTTTAGTTTAATTAGATCCCATTTGTCAATTTTGGCTTTTGTTGCCATTGCTTTTGGTGTTTTAGACATGAAGTCCTTGCCCATGCCTATGTCCTGAATGGTATTGCCTAGGTTTTCTTCTAGGGTTTTTATGGTTTTAGGTCTGACATTTAAGTCTTTAATCCATCTTGAATTAGTTTTTGTATAACGTGTAAGGAAGGGGTCCAGTTTCAGCTTTCTACATGTGGCTAGCCAGTTTTCCCAGCACCATTTATTAAATAGGGAATCCTTTCCCCATTTCTTGTTTTTGTCAGGTTTGTCAAAGATCAGATAGTTGTAGATATGCAGCATTATTTCTGAGGGCTCTGTTCTGTTCCATTGGTCTATATCTCTGTTTTGGTACCAGTACCATGCTGTTTTGGTTACTGTAGCCTTGTAGTATAGTTTGAAGTCAGGTAGTGTGATGCCTCCAGTTTTGTTCTTTTGGCTTAGGATTGACTTGGCGATGTGGGCTCTTTTTTGGTTCCATATGAACTTTAAAGTAGTATTTTCCAATTCTGTGAAGAAAGTCATTGGTAGCTTGATGGGGATGGCATTGAATCTATAAATTACCTTGGGTAGTATGGCCATTTTCACGATATTGATTCTTCCTACCCATGAGTATGGAATGTTCTTCCATTTGTTTGTATCCTCTTTTATTTCCTTGAGCAGTGGCTTGTAGTTCTCCTTGAAGAGGTCCTTCACATCCCTTGTAAGCTGGATTCCTAAGTATTTTATTCTCTTTGAAGCAATTGTGAATGGGAGTTCACTCATGATTTGGCTCTCTGTCTGTTATTGGTGTATAAGAATGCTTGTGATTTTGTACACTGATTTTGTATCCTGAGACTTTACTGAAGTTGCTTATCAGCTTTAGGAGATGTTGGGCCGAGAAGATGGGGTTTTCTAGATATACAATCATGTCATCGGCAAACAGGGACAATTTGACTTCCTCTTTTCCTAATTGAATGTCCTTTTTTTCCTTCTCCTGCTTGATTGCCCTGGCCAGAACTTCCAACACTATGTTGAATAGGAGTGGTGAGAAAGGGCATCCGTGTCTTGTGCCCGTTTTCAAAGGGAATGCTTCCAGTTTTTGTCCATTCAGTATGATATTGGCTGTGGGTTTGTCATAGATAGCTCTTATTATTTTGAGATACGTCCCATCAATACCTAATTTATTGAGAGTTTTTAGCATGAAGGGTTGTTGAATTTTGTCAAAGGCCTTTTCTGCATCTATTGAGATAATCATGTGGTTTTTGTCTTTGGTTCTGTTTATATGTTGGATTACGTGTTGATTTTCATATGTTGAACCAGCCTTGCATCCCAGGGATGAAGCCCACTTGATCATGGTGGATAAGCTTTTTGATGTGTTGCTGGATTTGGTTTGCCAGTATTTTATTAAGGATTTTTGCATCAATGTTCATCAAGGATATTGGTCTAAAATTCTCTTTTTTGATTGTGTCTCTGCCAGGCTTTGGTATCAGGATGATGCTGGCCTCATAAAATGAGTTAGGGAGGATTCCCTCTTTTTCTATTGATTGGAATAGTTTCAGAAGGAATGGTACCAGCTCCTCTTTGTACCTCTGGTAGAATTCTGCTGTGAATCCATCTGGTCCTGGACTTTTTTTGGTTGGTAAGCTATTGATTATTGCCTCAATTTCAGAGCCTGTTGTTGGTCTATTCAGAGATTCAACTTCTTCCTGGTTTAGTCTTGGGAGGATGTATGTGTTGAGGAATTTATCCATTTCTTCTAGATTTTCTGGTTTATTTGCATAGAGGTGTTTATAGTATTCTCTGATGGTAGTTTGTATTTCTGTGGGATCGGTGGTGATATCCCCTTTATCATTTTTTATTGCATCTATTTGATTCTTCTCTCTTTTCTTCTTTATTAGTCTTACTACCAGTCTATCAATTTTGTTGATCTTTCCACTACTCCTTTCTATTGATTCCAGGTCTTCAGGTATAATTTAACTCTTTCAACCAATTGTCAATCAGAAAATCTTTGAATCCATCCATGACCTGTAAGCCCTTGTTTCAAGTTGTCTCATCTTTCTGGATCAAACCAATGTATACCTCACATGTATTGATTGATGTCTGCCTGTAACTTCTGTTCCCCTAAAATGTATGAAATCCATCTCTAATCCAACCACTTTGGGCATTGTTTTCTGGACCTCCTGGAGCTGTGTCATGGGTCATGGTCCTCACATTTGGCTCAGAATAAGCCTCTTCAAATATTTTACAAAGTTTGACCTTTTTTTTTTTTTTGGTCAAATATTGCTAGTTCCATCCTGGAAGATTGTGTAAGGCCTCCTAGGCTCAAGCTTTTCTTCTTTTCTTACCTTGTCCCTTCCTGTTGTTTCCTCTGCAGCTGAACAGGTGGCAGCTGGCCTACCATGGGCTACTGCTCTGAGGACCAGCCCCTCACTGGGCCTCCCAACTCCTGGGATTCATCTGCCTCCTCTTCAGTGAGTGGTAGGGTCCCTGGGAAGGGAGGGCAATTGGGTGGGGCTGGGCTAGCTGGGTCCTGATCACTGGGTGGGCTGTTCAGATTCTGCTGTCTTTGGGGAATAAAAAGAAAAGAGCGCTCTGTTATGATTTACAAATGCAGCATATTTGGTTGGAAATGGCCCTTTAGTGGCGAGGAGGCTGGCAACCCTGAGCCAGGGCAGTCTTGGCTGCATGAAGGGCACATTTACTAGGGAGGTGAGGCCACATCGGCTTCATTAGCAGGGACGGTAAGAGAGCCTGGAGTGTCCCTACATCTGCCACAGGGAGCTGGAGAAGAAAGTCCCTGCCATTATGGGCTCCAGACAGAGACGTGGGGACAGTGGAGACAGCACCAGGGAGAAGAGTTTTGGTGTCATACATGAGTTGAGAGGAAACTACTGTTGGTTTTCCATTGTAATGATAGAAAGGAAGTGTCAGAAAAGTGGACAAAACTTTGTTATGTGTGAGAGTTACATTTTATATTATTTAAATGAATTTTTAACTCCACCTCAATTATAACCAGATCCTGTCTGGCTTGTTTTTTCTTCTTCAGGATTAGCTTCTCTGTAGGTCAGAGAGCTCTTGCTCCCTTCCTTCTCTCTCTCTCTCTTTCTCTCTCTCTCTCTCTCTCTGAGTCTTTCTTCATCTTCCTGCTGGCTGTGCTCACCATCCAGTTTCTAGGGCAGATCCTCCCTGGCAGCCTGAGGGCTGAGCCTTGTTTCTTCTTCCAGGAAGTGGGGTCTGTCAGGGCTGACTATTCAACCCTCAGCTAACCAGAAGTCCCTGCTCTGCTCAGCCACTCAAGGTGCCTGCTTCTCCTTCCCAGGAGAGGGCCAAGCCTACCCGCCACCCTGTATCTGATCCTGTACCTTCTGCCTTCACCTTGTGACTGTGAACAGTTCTTGTTCCTGTTAGGTCCGGTGCTCCTCTTGGACCAGATTTTCTCTCCACTTGGCTACTTCAGTGACATCTCCCTACAAGTTCTTCTTTCCAGTATTCTTATTTTTTTCCCAATCTTTATTGAAATATTTTCATTAGCATAAAAACGTAAAATAATCCTACAAATTCACACTCCCTCCAGTACTGTCCCATTTTTCTTCACCATTTTGTAGCAATTTTTCTTGAAATAATTATCTATATTTCCTAGTTCCAACCCACTCCTTTCCTGCCTTTGTCTCTTTTATAAATAGCGATAGATCTAATTCACATACCATAAATTCATGAATGTAAAGGGTACGATGCAGTTCTTTTCAGTATATTTGCAAGGTTGTACAATCATGAGCACTATTTAATTTCAGACACTTTCATCACCCCCAAAAGAACCCCATACCCATTAGTGGTCACTTTCCCTTTCCCTCTCCTATGCCACCTGGCAACCATTAATCTACTTTTTGTGTCTGTGGATTTGCCTTTGATGGACACTTCATATAAACAGAATCATACAATGTGTGACCTTTTGTGTCTGGCTTCTCTCACTTATCCTAATATTCTTAAGATTTATTCATGTTGTAGCATGTATCAGTACTTCATTCCTTTTTGTGGATGAATAATATTCTATTGTGTGGATATACCACAACTTGTTTTTAAAATTTTTTTATTATTGTTTTGAATAAAGACGAGGTCTCATTAAATTGCCCAGGTTGGTCTCAAACTCCTGGGCTCAAGTGAACTCACCTTGGCCTCCCAAAATGCTGTGATTTCAGGCATGAGCCAACACAACCAGCCTACAACTGTTTATTCATTGATCAGTTGGCAGAATCTGGATTGTATCTGATTTTAGGCTCTGATATGAACATTCATGTACATGTACATTTTGTGTAGATGTGTGTTTTATTTGTTTTCACTTCTCTTAGATATATACCAAGGAATAGAATTGCTGGGTCATATAGTCATCATCACTCTCTTGCAGTATTGCAGTAGCCTCACAGTCTTCTTGCTTCTATTTTTAGCCTCTTAAGTTTATTCTCAAAATAGCATCTAGAGTAATTCTTAGAAAACTGTAGGTTATATCATATTACTTACTCCTTAGCCCACGGCTATAACCTACATGTAGGTTATATTGTATTACCCTCTCCTTAGCTCATGGCTATAACCTACATGATTCCTTCCATGGCTTCCATTTTACCTGCAAGGCCCTGCACCATCTAACCAGATCTCCCACCTTCTCTGCCTTTATTCCACCCTGCTATTCTTTCAGCAGACAAGGCATGTTTCTGCCTGAGGGCCTTTGCTTCTATCTGGAATTCCCTTTCTCCAGGTATTTGCTTGTCTCATTTCCTGACTTTCTGCAGGTTTTTGTACAAATGTTATCTTAGCGGAGTCTACCCTGACCATCCTATTTAAAACTGCAACCTCCTCCTGGTGCCCTTCTCCCTCCTCCTTGAATGTTCATTCACAGCACTTATTACAGAAATGTGAATCAGGGTGTACTTAGTCTGGATTGTTCACCTAAGACCTGAAACTATAAAAATTCTAGAAGATAACATTGAAAAAACCCTTCTAGACATTGGCTTAGGCAAGGATTTTATGATCAAGAACCCAAAAGCAAATGCAATAAAAACGAAGATAAATAGCTGGGACCTAATTAAACTAAAGAGCTTTTGCATGGCAAAAGGAACAGTCAGCAGAATAAATAGACAACCCAGACAGTGGAAGAAAAATCTTCACAATCTATACATCTGACAAAGGACTACTATCCAGAATCTACAACGAACTCAAAAAAATCAGTAAGAAAAAAACCAAACAAAAACCATCAAAAAGTGGTCTAAGGAAATGAATGAGCAATTCTCAAAAGAAGACATATAAATGGCCAACAAACATATGAAAAAATGCTTAACATCACTAATGATCAGGGAAATGCAAATCAAAACCACAGTGCAATACCACCTTACTCCTGCAAGAATGGCAATAATCGAAAAAAAAAAAAAAACAGTAGATGTTGACATGGATATGGTGAACAGGGAATACTTCTACACTGCTGATGGTAATGTAAACTAGTAGAGCCACTATGGAAAACAGTGTGGAGATGCCTTAAAGATCTAAAAGTAGAATTACCATTTGATCCGGCAATCCCACTACTGGGTATCTACCCAGAGGAAAAGAAGTCATTATTTGAAAAAGATACTTGCACACTCATGTTTATAGCAGCACAATTCACAATTGCAAAATCATGGAACCAACCCAAATGCCCATCAACTAATGAGTGGACAAAGAAACTGTGGTATATATATATGATGGAATAGTACACAGCCATAAAAAGGAATGAATTAACAGCATTTGCAGTGACCTGGATGAGATTGGAGACTATTATTCTAAGTGAAGTAACTCAGGAATGGAAAACCAAACATCGTATGTTCTCACTGATATGTGGGAGCTAAGCTATGAGGACAGAAAGGCATAATAATGATACAATGGACTTTGGGGACTTGGAGGGAAGATTGGAAGGAGGGTGAGGGATAAAAGACTACAAATATGGTTCAGTGTAGACTGCTTGGGTGATGGGTGCACCAAAATCTCACAAATCACCGCTAAAGAACTTACTCATGTAACCAAATACCACTTGTATCCCAATAACTTATGGAAAACAAACAAACAAACATATAAACAAAAAACCCCAAAAACAAATGGGCCAATGAGGACTCAAAGAGTAAGCTATACATCCTAGTATGTAGATACCATTGTTATTCTCAGGAAACTGGAATAGTGATGAGTCAATGAACTCATCCAAGACTCAATTCAGTGATAGAGCTGGGATTCAGACTAAAATCCTGGCTCCTCACCACTACATTATACTGGTTAAATCAATTATAGTCTTTCCACATGATAGTGTACTGTTTAGGTAATAAAAAGGATAAATTACATTCTAATATGTAATTCACATTTTAATATGTAATTATGTAAATGGGAATGTGTCTGTGAAATATTGTGTGCTATGGAGCATCATGTATAGTATTATCCTGGTATTATAAATATATAGTCACATCTGTTTTCTTGGGCATAAAGCAAGTCTAAAAGTTGTGAAACAGTCCACAGTGGCTATTTTCTGGGATCTGTCTCTTTCTCTGTATCATTAGATTGTCTGTAACACTTAGAAAAAAGATCATCTATTAAAATTTTTGGGAAAGGCAGTGACAGGATCATAGTTGTGCTTCAGAAAGATTAAGTCACATGCACGACAACAGGAAGATGATCATCTTGGAAACCAGTGAAAGTGTTTATTCTAACTTTCACTTCCTATTGTGTTGAAATGACCCATTCACAGTCTTTACTGAAATCACTCCAAAACATCTCTGGACCTGTCTAAACAATACCAGCAAAGTGGAAAATGTGGTCTAGCTGATCCAAATGGGAAATCCCCATGAATGGCTCATAAGCCTGGCTGTACATCAGACCACCTGTGGAGCTCTTAAAAACGAATGCCTGGGCCCTGTCCCCAAACTAGGTATCATCTGTAATTTTTTTAAATGTCAAAAGGTAATTCTGACACATAATCAAGATTGAGAAGTGAAAACACTGGCCTATTGGAGTATTTGTGAAATTCAAATGGTCACATTCTTGGCAAGGAGAAGTTTGTCTTCCAAGGTGGTCCTTAGTGTGTCCTCTGTGTATAGAACAGTAAATGTTCTATGAATGAAGGACAGAATGAATGATGAGAGCCCACAGATTGGCATTTCTGTGATGTATTCACCATAACTGAAAGTCTGAGCCTCAGACTGTGAGCCTGATCCCCAGAAGCTGTATCTCATCTATTCTCTAGAATTGACGTAACTTGTAGAAACAAAATCTTGCTAACAAATGTCATAAGACACTGGTTGACAAAACCACATTGCTTATTTATTAATTTACAGTAAGAAGTATACTTGTCAACTGGGTAGAAAGAAATTCTCATTAGCCTGACCAGAATGTCCTGTTCCCAAAGGCAGGCCATATGGGAAACCAAGACATCGACGGGCTACTTGGGGAGTTGTGAGTCAGGGCAGGTGAGCAGATGCAGCTGGTGTTGACTCCATTAGCTTTCTAGAGTCTGAGCTCTCCATTCCGTAGTAGGATTTACCTGCCTGGGGCCTGGAATTCTCCTTCAGCTATCTCTACCATTCACCTTTCTTTATGCTCCATTTCTTACTGATCTCCTACCCTGACCCTGAGATCAATATATTGTTTATTTGGTCATGTTTATCTGTGAGACTGAGTTGTGCCCTGTTGTGTGAGCTGGAATCTCCATACCTATTCTGTGATCAAGTAGGTGGCTTTATATTTACTTTCCAGAAACAAAAAAACCTACACACTTTATCTCCCCTATTTCCAAGTTCTAGCAGAGGTTGTAGAGGGAGGGGACATCCATCAACACGCTGCATCCCACCAACTGAACCGCCAAACTGCACTCGTAAACTGACTCAGTGAGAAAAACTGGACTGGTGAATGGGATTCTGTAGCTCACAATGTTGGAATCTTCACCTAATTTATCACTTAGCCTTTCAGCAAGATCCTTTCATATTTAAGACAGCAAAACGAAAACAACAAAACTCTAGAAAAATGTAATATATAATGTCTGTTCAAGTTAAGAATAATCATGAAATGACAAATTTCTAGGAAAATATATATCACTAAAATTGATTTACCTCACAAAAACAACATAGAAAGTGTAAAACTTATGTAAGTATCCTATTACTGGTGCATTGCTTCAAACCTTTAAAGAATTGGTAGTTTCTGTTCTAACAAATATGTTTTAAAGCTTGTCAGAAGAAGATAGGTTTCTTTGTGTCTTGGAAAACCTGAGATATCCCCAAAAAAATGAAATAAAGTCCCATCAAATTTTCTGGGTCATTGTGCCCAGATTTATGGTCAAACATTATTCTAGATGTTTCTGTGTGGATGTCTGGGGATGAGGTTAGCATTTAAATCAGTGGACTTTGAATAGAACAGATTGCCCTCCGTAATACTGGGAGGTTTCATTCAGTCAAATGAAGCCCTTGATAGAACAAAAGGCTGACAACCCTGAGCAAGAAAACTTCTCTAGGAGTTTGCCTTCTGACTTCATCTGCAACATCACCTCTTCCTGGCTTTCTAGCACACTCTGCCTTTAGACTCAAACTTCCAGTATTTCTTGACTCTCCAGCCTCGTGGCCTCCCACAACATATTTTGAACTCACCAAGCATCCATAATCACATGAGCTAATACATAGAATATGTGTGTGTGTGTGTGTGTGTGTGTGTGTGTGTGTGTGGGTACTATTTGTTCTGTTTCATTGGAAGAAAATTCACTAGGAGTCCAACTTCCTCCTGCACTTCTAGGACCCCTACCAAGTGGTTGTGCCTCTGTGTACACTACACCAGTGACAGGAACCTCACTGTTTCCCAAAGCTTTTATTTATTTATTTTTTATTTTTTGGATGACTCAGACTACAGAAAACTGTCTTTAATATGAGTCAAAACCTTCCTCCCTCTATCTTCTTCTGATACTAGTTTCCAACTGGAGGTTACTCCTTACAAATAAGACTCCTGATTCACTGAATGGCTCTTCAAGTGCTGTTCAGAGCAGAGCAGACATAAGTGCCTGGTATCACCGTTCTTTTCTTGTTTGAAAACCCTGATTTCTCTCCTTCCACATAGTTTCCTGACACGTGTGCCAACTGTGGTTTCTCTGAATCTCCCAACCTTGTATGGTCCTAGGGGCTGTGATATGGTTTGGCTGTGTCCCCTCCCAAATCTCATCTTGAATTGTAGTTCTCATAAACCCCATGTGTCATGGGAGGGACCTGGTTCGAGGTAATTTAATCATAGGGGCAGTTACCCCCATGCTGTTCTCATGATAGTGAGTTCTCATGGAATCTGATGGTTTATAAGGGGATGTCCCCCCTTTGCTTGGCACTTCTCCTTCAAGCCACCCTGTGAAGAAGGTGTCTTTCTTTCCCTTAGTCTTCTACCATGATTGTAAGTTTCCTGAGGCTTTCCAGACATGTGGAACTGTGAGTCAATTAAACCTTTTTTCTTTAAAAATTACCCAGACTAGGGTATTTCTTCATAGCAATGTGAGAATGAACTAATACATGCTGAGAAGGTTGAATGTTTCCTGGAGATGGTGAGCACCAAAACACTGCATTCCCAATCTCCTGGGAAAGAAGTGTCTCCAGAGTTGGGCACACTCACCTTGCTGGCAATTTGTTAAGCTCAACAGACTCTTCCAACATCTAAGGTGACAGTTTTCTGGTGTCTGAAGTTTCTGACCACATACAGAAGACCGGCATTGCACTGGCTCAGGCTCAGGCAGGCTCACAGCCAAGGTCCAGGGATTGGGGGCTGATCCTGGTGCCCCACTCTGCTCCAGCTTCTTGGGGAGGCCTTTGCTAACCCAGGTCACATTCATATCCTCTGTGGTCCCTAGAGAATTGTCCTCCACTGTGATGTTGTACCAGCCTGCTGTGATGGATGATGACTCAGCCAGGACCTGGGAAAGAAGGGAACAAAAGAATTATTATTGCATTTGAGGAGCACATTCTTCATGTATTATCTCAATAGTTTTAGAGCTCCCTGCTAGGCAGACAGGGCATTTTGCAGCCAAAGAAACTGAGACCTGGAGAAGTGAAATAGTTTGCTCGAAGTCATATACTGAAAAAATTCCAGATTTAGGGAAGGAAACATAGCTGAGCCTCTCAGCTCTTTCCATCATCTGTACACCTTGCCCACACCACACAGTTGAATTCATATCTGTTTGTTCTCCACACTTATATTCAGACCCTTTATAAACCCTGAAGCACTTAGAGGGTACAATGAAGCCTTTTGCGAAATAGCTTCCACATGCAAAATCTGAAAAGCAGGTTCTGGAAACTATTGTAAGACTCTTAAGCTCTCATTCATATTGACAGCAGAAAAGGTTAAGATGTGAAGATAAGAGGAAGAGAATTAATTTGCAGAAAGCTATGCCATGAATCCCATTCCACCCATGGTTGCCTCCCCTCACCTCAAGCCTGGTGAGAGGGGCGTCAATGAGACCATTCAGAGAGTTTGATGCATGTGCATTTGACTCCTCAATGGGGATGCAGTTTCCCCACTGGCAGTCCTGACTCTGTGGCCATTGGCTGTTTCAGCAACATCTCCCTCTTTGTTTCTCAGGTGTGAGTCAGGCACCTGTGCAGTGCATCTCCAAGCTGTATCAAAGAACCAGGGACAAAAGAGAAAGAACAAATGGCCACTCTGAGAGTGCATTACATGTGAGAAGGTAGGTGACAGATCCTCAACATAGGGAAGGAGGAATAGCCAAGAAACTTATAAAAATGCTACATGACAGAAAGGGTAAACCTAAACATTGTCAATCCTAGAGCATGAACTACTTGTTGACCAAAATAGGAATAGTCAAGGAAAGGCTTTCCTGTTGCCTCTTCCAAGAGTTGCAACAACTTCACATGAAGTCTGTTTAAACATTCTGATTTTCATCCAGGTTATGGAGTTTCAGACATTTTCTTCTCCACCCACTAGGCATTTTACACAGTCATGTGTCTATAATCTTGAGTCCTCACTCTGTGTTGAGCACATATACCCGGGCCTTATTGTGAGAAAACTGAGAAAACATCAATCACCCTCAGCATTTGGAGGACTGGTTTCTTATTGTCATCTTTGCCCTCTGGCTTTTAAAATTTCAGCACAGTACAGATAGCCAAGATGGCCGAATAGGAACAGCTCCAGTCTACAGCTCCAAGCATGAGTGGCGCAGAAGATGGGTGATTTCTGCATTTCCAACTGAGGTACTGGGTTCATCTCACTGGGGAGTGCTGGACAGTGGGTGCAGGACAGTGGGGGCAGCACACTGTGCATGAGCTGAAGTAGGGTGAAGCATCACCTCACCCGGGAAGCACAAGGGGTCAGGGAATTCCCTTTCCTAGTCAAAGAAAGGGGTGACAGATGGCACCTGGAAAATCGGGTCACTCCCATCCTAATACTGTGCTTTTCCAATGGGCTTATCAAATGGCACACCAGGAGATTATATCCTGCACCTGGCTCAGAGGGTCCTATGCCCACGGAGCCTTGCTCTTTGCTAGCACAGCAGTCTGAGATCAAACTGCAAGGTGGTTTGTGCTAGCTCATTGCTAGCACAGCAGTCTGAGATCAAACTGCAGCGAGGCTGGGGGAGGGGCACCCGCCATTGCTCAGGCTTGAGTAGGTAGACAAAGCAGCTGGGAAGCTCAAACTGGGTGGAGCCCACCACAGCTCAAGGAGGCCTGCCTGCCTCTGTAGGCTCCACCTCTGGGGGCAGGGCACAGACAAAAAAAAGCAATAACCTCTGCAGACTTAAATGTCCTTGTCTGACAGCTTTGAAGAGAGCAGTGGTTCTCCCAGCATGTAGCTGGAGATCTGAGAATGGGCAGACTGCCTCCTCAAGTGGGTCCCTGACCCCCGAGTAGCCTAACTGGGAGGCACCCCCCAGTAGGGGCGGACTGACACCTCACACAGCCGGGTACTCCTCTGAGACAAAACTTCCAGAGGAACGATCAGACAGCAGCATTTGTGGTTCACCAATATGCGCTGTTCTGCAGCCACCACTGCTGATACCCAGGCAAACAGGGTCTAGAGTGGACCTACAGTAAACTCCAACAGACCTGCAGCTGAGGGTCCTGACTGTTAGAAGGAAAACTAACAAACAGAAACGACATCCACACCAAAAACCTATCTGTATGTCACCATCATCAAAGACAAAAGGTAGATAAAACCACAAAGATGGGGAAAAAACAGAGCAGAAAAACTGGAAACTCTAAAAATCAGAGTGCCTCTCCTCCTCCAAAGGAATGCAGCTCCTCACCAGCAATGGAACAAAGCTGGATGGAGAATGACTTTGACAAGTTGACAGAGGAAGGCTTCAGAAGATCAAACAACTCCAAGCTAAAGAAGGAAGTTCGAACCAATGGCAAAGAAGTTAAAAACTTTGAAAAAAAATTAGATGAATGGATAACTAGAATAACCAATGCAGAGAAGTCCTTAAAGGACCTGATGGAGCTGAAAACCACGGCACGAGAACTACATGACGAATGCACAAGCCTCAGTAACCAATGCAATCAACTGGAAGAAAGGTTATCAGTGATGGAAGATGAAATGAATGAAATGAAACATGAAGAGAAGTTTAGAGAAAAAAGAATAAAAAGAAATGAACAAAGCCTCCAAGAAATATGGGACTATGTGAAAAGACAAAATCTATGTCTAATTGGTGTACCTGAAAGTGACAGGGAGAATGGAAACAAGTTGGAAAACACTGCAGGATATTATCCAGGAGAATTTCCCCAATCTAGCAAGGCAGGCCAACATTCAAATTCGGGAAACACAGAGAACACCACAAAGATACTCCTCGAGAAGAGCAACTCCAAGACACATGATTGTCAGATTTACCAAAGTTGAAATGAAGGAAAAATGTTAAGGGCAGCCAGAGAGAAAGGTCGGGTTACCTACAAAGGGAAGCCCATCAGACTAACTGCTGATCTCTTGGCAGAAACTCTACAAGCCAGAAGAGAGTGGGGGCCAATATTCAACATTCTTAAAGAAAAGAATTTTCAACCCAGAATTTCGTATCCAGCCAAACTAAGCTTCATAAGTGAAGGAGAAATAAAATACTTCACAGACAAGCAAATGCTGAGAGATTTTGTCACCACCAGGCCTGCCCTAAAAGAGCTCCTGAAGGAAGCACTAAACATGGAACAACCAGTACCAGCCACTGCAAAAACAAGCCAAATTGTAAAGACCATCAAGGCTAGGAAGAAACTGCATCAACTAACGAGCAAAATAACCAGCTAACATCATAATGACAGGATCAAATTCACACGTAACAATACTAACCTTAAATGTAAATGGGCTAAATGCTCCAATTAAAAGGCACAGACTGGCAAATTGGATAAAGAGTCAAGACCCATCAGTGTGCTGTATTCAGGAAACCCATCTCATGTGCAGAGACACACATAGGCTCAAAATAAAGGGATGGAGGAAGATCTCCCAAGCAAATGGAAAACAAAAAAAGGCAGTCTCGGATAAAACAGACTCTAAATGAACAAAGATCAAAAGAGACAAAGAAGGCCATTACATAATGGTAAAGGGATCAATTCAACAAGAAGAAATAACTATCCTAAATATATATGCACCCAATACAGGAGCACCCAGATTCATAAAGCAAGTCCTTAGTGACCTACAAAGTGACTTAGACTCCCACACAATAATAATGGGAGACTTTAACACCCCACTGTCAACATTAGACAGATCAATGAGACAGAAAGTTAACAAGGATATCCAGGAACTGAACTCAGCTCTGCACCAAGCAGACCTAATAGACATCTACAGAACTCTCCACCCCAAATCAACAGAATATACATTCTTTTCAGCACCACACCACACCTATTCCAAAATTGACCACATACTTGGAAGTAAAGCACTCCTCAGCAAATGTAAAAGAACAGAAATTATAACAAACTGTCTCTCAGACCACAGTGCAATCAAACTAGAACTCAGGATTAAGAAACTCACTCAAAACGGCTCAACTACATGGAAACTGAACAACCTGCTCCTGAATGACTACTGGGTAAATAATGAAATGAAGGCAGAAATAAAGATGTTCTTTGAAACCAATGAGAACAAAGACACAACATACCAGAATCTCTGGGACGCATTCAAAGCAGTGTGTAGAGGGAAATTTATAGCACTAAATGCCCACAGGAGAAAGCAGGAAAGATCTAAAATCAGCACCCTAACATCACAATTAACAGAACTAGAAAAGCAAGAGCAAACACATTCAAAAGCTAGCAGAAGGCAAGAAATAACTAAGATCAGAGCAGAACTGAAGGAAATAGAGACACAAAAAACCCTTCAAAAAATCAATGAATTCAGGAGCTGGTTTTTTGAAAAGATCAACAAAATTGATAGACCACTAGCAAGACTAACAAAGAAGAAAAGAGAGAAGAATCAAATAGACACAATAAAAAATGACAAAGGGGATATCACCATTGATCCCACAGAAATACAAACTACCATCAGAGAATACTATAAACACCTCTACCCAAATAAACTAGAAAATCTAGAAGAAATGGATAAATTCCTCAACACATACCCTCTCCCAAGACTAAACCAGGAAGAAGTTGAATCTCTGAATAGACCAATAACAGGCTCTGAAATTGAGCAATAATTAATAGTTTACCAACCACAAAAAGTCCAGGACCAGGTGGATTCACAGCAGCATTCTACCAGAGGTACAAGGAGGAGCTGGTACCATTCCTTCTGAAACTATTCCAATCAATAGAAAAAGAAGGAATCCTCCCTAACTCATTTTGAGGTCAGCATCATCCTGATACCAAAGCCTGGCAGAGACACAACAAAAAAAGAGAATTTTAGACCAATATCCTTGATGAACATTGATGCAAAAATCCTCAATAAAATACTGGCAAACCAAATCCAGCAACACATCAAAAAGCTTATCCACCATGATCAAGTGGGCTTCATCCCTGGGATGCAAGGCTGGTTCAACATATGAAAATCAATAAACGTAATCCAACATATAAACAGAACCAAAGACAAAAACCACATGATTATCTCAATAGATGCAGAAAAGGCCTTTGACAAAATTCAACAACCCTTCATGCTAAAAACTCTCAATAAATTAGGTATTAATGGGACGTATCTCAAAATAATAAGAGCTATCTATAACAAACCCACAGCCAATATCATACTGAATGGACAAAAACTGGAAGCATTCCCTTTGAAAACGGGCACAAGACAGGAATGCCTTCTCTCACCACTCCTATTCAACATAGTGTTGGAAGTTCTGGCCAGGGCAATCAAGCAGGAGAAGGAAAAAAAGGACATTCAATTAGGAAAAGAGGAAGTCAAATTGTCCCTGTTTGCAGATGACATGATTGTATATCGAGAAAACTCCATCTTCTCAGCCCAAAAATCTCTTTAAGCTGATAAGCAACTTCAGCAAAGTCTCAGGATACAAAATCAGTGTACAAAAATCACAGCATTCTTATACATCAATAACAGACAAACAGAGAGCCAAATCATGAGTGAACTCCCATTCACAATTGCTTCAAAGAGAATAAAATACCTAGGAATCCAACTTACAAGGGATGTGAAGGACCTCTTCAAGGAGAACTACAAACCACTGCTCAAGGAAATAAAAGAGGACACAAACAAATGGAAGAGCATTCCATGCTCATGGGTAGGAAGAATCAATATTGTGAAAATGGCCATACTACCCAAGGTAATTTATAGATTCAATGCCATCCCCATCAAGCTACCAATGACTTTCTTTACAGAATTGGAAAAAACTACTTCAAAGTTCATATGGAACCAAAAAAGAGCCTGTATTGCCAAGTCAATCCTAAGCCAAAGGAACAAAGCTGGAGGCATCACACTACCTGACTTCAAACTATACTACAAGGCTACAGTAACCAAAACAGCATGGTACTGGTACCAAAACAGAGATATAGACCAATGGAACAGAACAGAGCCCTCAGAAATAATGCCGCATATCTACAACTATCTGATCTTTGACAAACCTGACAAAAACAAGAAATGGGGAAAGGATTCCCTATTTAATAAATGGTGCTGGGAAAACTGGCTAGCCATATGTTGAAAGCTGAAACTGGATCCCTTCCTTAAACCTTACACAAAAATTAATTCAAGATGGATTAAAGACTTACATGTTAGACCTAAAACCATAAAAACTCTAGAAGAAAACCTAGGCAATACCATTCAGGACATAGGCATGGGCAAGGACTTCATGTCTAAAACACCAAAAGCAATGGCAACAAAAGCCAAAATTGACAAATGGGATCTAATTAAACTAAAGAGCTTCTGCACAGCAAAAGAAACTACCATCAGAGTGAACAGGCAACCTACAGAATGGGAGAAAATTTTTGCAACCTACTCATCTGACAAAGGGCTAATATCCAGAATCTACAATGAACTCAAACAAATTTACAAGAAAAAAACAAACAACCCCATTAAAAAGTGGGCGAAGGATATGAACAGACCCTTTTCAAAAGAAGACATTTATGCAGCCAAAAAACACATGAAAAAATGCTCATCATCACTGGCCATCAGAGAAATGCAAATCAAAACCACAATGAGATACCATCTCACACCAGTTAGAATGGCGATCATCAAAAAGTCAGGAAACAACAGGTGCTGGAGAGGATGTGGAGAAATAGGAACACTTTTACACTGTTGATGGGACTGTAAACTAGTTCAACCATTGTGGATCTTGGTGTGGCGATTCCTCAGGGATCTTGAACTAGAACTACCATTTGACCTAGCCATCCCATTACTGGGTATATACCGAAAGGATTATAAATCATGCTGCTATAAAGACACATGCACACATATGTTTATTGTGGCGCTATTCACAATAGCAAAGACTTGGAACCAACCCAAATGTCCAACAATGATAGACTGGATTAAGAAAATGTGGCACATATACACCATGGAATACTATACAGCCATAAAAAATGATGAGTTCATGTCCTTTGTAGGGACATGGATGAAGCTGGAAACCATCATTCTCAGCAAACTATTGCAAGGACAAAAAACCAAACACCGCATGTTCTCACTCATAGGTGGGAATTGAACAATGAGAACACATGGACACAGGAAGGGGAACATCACACACCAGGGACTGTTGTGGGGTGTGGGGAGGAGGGAGGGATAGCATTAGGAGATATACCTAATGCTAAATGACGAGTTAATGGGTGCAGCACACCAACATGACACATGTATACATATGTAACAAACCCGCACGTTGTACACATGTACCCTAAAACTTAAAGTATAAAAAAAAATTTCAGCACAGTTGGGTGAATAAACAGATTAGTTTAGGGCCCTTCAATATTGGAGAGCTAGCAGTGACTCACATTGCTCCACCCAATGTCCAAACGTGCTGCATTAAGACCCTTATTTTAGCTCTATTAAAGTTCTCTTTCTTTTTCCCACTTCTTAATAAACACTTAAAATTTTTAGCCTCCTAGATAGAGTCCCTCCATGTCGCTCAACTCTCTCATTTCTTTTCCCCATTCTCACTGAAATCACTCTAAGTCTCTTCATTGTCTGTTGTTCAGGCATAACTCTTCTACTTGGTAGTGGTCCCGAGGCTAGCAGCTGTAGCTCAGACTTTTAAGCCTGGCTCAGCACTAGGATCTACTCCAGGTGCTTTACTTTACTTTTACTGTGACTTTTCCTACCAGGAGTGGCCCTGAGGCTACAGACTATAGCTTGGCCCTCTTAGAATCTCAGCTTCACTCAATATCAGAATCCACTCTAACATTCTCCTTTACTTTCAGTTGAGCTCTTACAGATGAAAATAACCAAGAGATTATATTTTTAGCCTTTTTCTTGGTACTTTTCATTTCCTTATGCATCCAGTGAGCCTCCAATTCATGAGCTGAATCCATCATTTCTAAATTCTACTACCAACTTTTACATCTAGTAAATAATCATAACATAGGTGCAGCTCCATACCATAGATAACCCTGTTTCCATGCAGGAACCAAAGGTTCATTATCCCTTACCCTCTCATTCTTCCTCCTCCCAGACTACACATTTTTCTGTCAGGGTCATTCTAGTCAATCCACTTCTGATGCAAACGATGAGAGTTGGACCTGCTACAAACTTTGTGTAGTTAGGTTTTATGTTGGGGTCTATCCAAGACTTCTCTTACTTCAACTGCAAGTTCAGAGAGTTCCCAAATCACCCTGAGGTTCAATAATTTGCTAAAGCGTTGCTAAGTACTTACTGAAGCTACTGGACTCAAGGTTATGGTTGATTATTGGGAAAAATACAGATTAAAATCCGACATAGCAAGAAATTCATAAGTCAGAGTCCACAAAAAGTACCAAATGCAGAGTTTCCAGTTGTTCTCTTCTCATGGAGTCAGGACACTTTTCCTTTCCAAACATTGATGTATGATGATACTCTTAGAGTATTTCCAACCAAGGAAGCTCACTCAGGCCTCAATGCTGAGACTTTTTGTTGGAGTTCCATCAGGTAGGCATGATAATTGATTTTCCAGGTGACAGGTATCAGTTTCCAGCTACTCCAGAGATCAACTGATATTGCATAATTCAAACTCTTACTTTAAATCATGTTTTTTGGTCTTTCTGATATGATCAACCATACTTAATTCATGCTACCAGTGACCCAAAGCTCCTGGCAAACAGATGCTCCTATCAGGTGTGATGATCCAAGGAGTAAAAGATTGCTTCCCAGAAGCCAAGAGAAGAAGTCAGACCTCTCTTTGGGAAAGGTAAAAATCCTTTAAAACACACATCTGGAACCACCAAGTCTCCCAGGGATTGCTGAGGGGCTTGGTGTACAGGGCATAACTTTATCACTCAGCCAGGAAGTTGACTACTTTGTCTTACTGTCACTTCCTGCTTGTGCAGAGCTTCAAGGTCAGAGATGATGAGAGGTTAGGGTCTTCTCAGATTTTTCCTAGGCAGGCGTACAGACCTAAAAATGCATACAATCCCACAATTGCATATGACCGTCTATGGACATCTCATTCCTTAGCTTTTCCTGTTAAGATATGTGGTGAGTCTATTGTTTGCATCAACAGTTATTCTCAGCTTCAGGAAGCCAAAAAGTTTAACAATTGCCTGTAATTGCTTTCCTCAAGTGCCCCACAGGTAAAGGGCTATTAGAAGTAAGAGGGCTCTCAGTCAGGTGAAACACACATATACTTGGAAGTGGGGTCTTCCAAGGTACCACAAGACAGGTGAAATAATAACAATTCATTGGGAATGAGACTTAGAGAGAGCTCCAGCTCCATTCTGCTCCCTCAGGTGCATGCTAGACTTCTGGCTTCATCATGAAAGCAAGCTGTTACTTCTGAAGGCTACAGTGGAGTTGCAGAGTGATGCTGTGACTAGGGAAAGTTAGAACACTACATAATGTCCAGTTCTCAGGTTCCTGCAAGTCATTGGTTAATTGTCAGAGCTTTGAAAATGTTCTCTATAAAATCAGTAGGTACTCTTGCTCTCTTGCTGTTTTTAAGAAAAAGAGAATTTTCAAATTTCCTCAAATTTCCTTAAACTATCTTTTTACACTTCATATTTTAACATATGTTGAATTTTGTTTTTTTCTATTTATTGCTACTGTTGTTCTGTAATTTTGTACTATTCTCTAAGGATCCATTGAAAGGATACACCATCCTGTTATTGTTTTCTAATATTTTAATTATTTTTTAATTCAAAAAATTCTACCAACACATAGTTGGGTTACAGAGGAGGAGGGAAGAAAGAAAGGAAGGATATCAAAGGTCAACTGTCAGTCTACATCTACTGCTGTCTGCTTCTCTCCCCCAACCCAGCTGTGGGACTACCGTGCTGCAAACCCCACAGGCTAGACTGATGACTCTTCTCTTTAATCCAGATAAGGAGGTCAGGAAAAGGCCATAACTCAGAGCTTCTACTCCAACCTTTCCTCTACCTAGACACCTAGACTTCTGCCTAGGGCTGCAGTTCCCTCTCACATCAAAAAACAGCCATTCTGTCTCAACCCAGAGTCTCACGATCATGTCTTGAGTTTCTCAGAATCTATAGTCTTCTTTCCCTCCTGGCATCTGTCTGTGGCTGGGCTGATGTTATAAAGCCTTTGCCACTTACCCTAGGCATGAACTTGGACAATTGGGATCTCTCTGGACATCCAGGATCCTATATTGTCTTAGTCTGTTTGGTGCTGCAACAACAGGTTACCTGAGACTGGGTAATTTATAAGGAATAGGAATGTATTTGGCTCACAGTTGTGGAGGCTGGGAAGTTCAAGATCAAGGGGCTCCATCTGGTGAGAAGCTTCTTGTTGCATCATCAATGTCAGAAGGCAGAAGGACAATTGAGCACATGCAAGAGAGAGCAAGAGATTGAACTCTCAACCTCAAGTTCTTTTATAATTAGCAACTAATTTATTCATGGTGGAGCACTCATGCCCTAACACCTCCCATTAGACCCCACCTCTCAACACTGTTACAGTGGGAATAAAGTTTCTAACACATGAACTTTGAGGGACACATTCAAACCATAGCATATATTATCTAGAAGGTTAATGTAATGGTTAGTCAACAGGGTTATTTTGAGAATTCAATTTAATATATAATGTAGATCCATTAAAATAATACATATAAACCCACTGATATAGTAAATATCCAATAAATATATTCCTCTTGTAACCCAACTCCCAGCTTGAGTGTCCTGTTATTTGGGATTCAAATAAAATATATGTGACCACCCATCCCATGTCTTATAGAGGTCCAGAGCCTTATCTATACATTTGCGAATTCCTAGGAGCTTATATTCCCATGGTCACCTCTCAATCTCTGTTCTTGACTCTCCATCACACTGAACTTTACATTGCTCTCTTATATGTTACATACACACACATGCACACACACACATGCACACATGCAGACACACACACACGCACACACATACACACACTCTGCTGCTTCAGATCAGATCAAGGTCTGCCTTCCTTTATATCCCTAAAATATTACTGGCACCAGGCTGCTGAATATATAAAGTCTTACTAAAGGCTCTGCAGGTGGTGTGTGTGCATGTGTATGTCTTTGGACAGGATAAATGAACACTGAGATTAGATTAAAAGCCCTGTCATTTTGGCAGTATTGAATGTCTATTGGCTGACTCTCCAGTGACACTGGTCTCCAGCCACACAGCTAATTCTCTCTCTCCAGGTTCTTCCTTCCCCAAACCTCTCACTTATATAGTTTTCCAAACCAAACAATTCCCAAACAAAAACTACCTCCTGGACTGGACAAGAAGAAGAAGGAATGGGATAAGGGCAGGAAGAGATGGAGAGGGGCCTTGAGTTTGGGAGAACACTGACTTTCATGGCCAAAGGTAGACACAGGCACTGCACTGACCCCAGTGATGTAGGTCCTGAAAGCAACACCTTCAGTTCACCTTGAGGGGAGCTGAAGGGACTGGATGCTTCAGCATGGAGGAGCCCACGTAACACCTCCATAATGAAGCCTTTCCTGATTCCACCAGTGAGAGTGGCCTGTCTCTCCTTTGAACTGCTTTGCATCATTTGTTGTATATACAGCTTTTGTGAGATTAAACCTTGTGATGAGGATGCTTCATACTGAGTCTTTACAGACCAATGTGAATGTGACTCCCCATGGTATTGATCACATCTGACTCCTGGACATGTCCCTAGGGCCTTGATCCTAGTAGAGGCTTGGTTGAGTGCATTAATTAATAAGTAGGAAGAACCTATCTGACAGGGTGCTGCCCTTGAAGCCATGGCATAAGTAATTCTCTGCCCCCAGTGAAGACAAGGAATTGTTAAATTTAAGTTAAGCAGGAGGGAGGCAGGTCAGATACAAGGAAGAACTTACAGACTCAGTAAACTGGTTACACTAACAGGCAATGGCAAACCAAACAAACACCACATCTTTGAAAGGAGAGAGGAGGTAGCTTCTGTGGTGCCTTCCCCTGGTCCAGCACTGATCTGAGAGATGAACAGAATGAGGACGGAGACCTCATCAAGCTCCCTGGGGCTGATCAGAGGCCTAGGGTAGTGGCTGTGGGGCAGGTTAGGGCTCAAATGAGGCCCTGATGCAGTTCATGGTCACAACTCTGCAGCTGGAGGAAGTGAGGGAGCCTGGATGGCACCCTGGCTGGGATTGTTTAGGGCATTGATCCCAAGAAAGAGAAACCATAGATCCAGCACTTTCTAGGTGCCAGACATGGCACACTAGATGCTTGGGACTTTATCGTATTTCACCAGAGCAGCAACATAGGGAGGGAAGCCTTACCAGCCCCAGTTTGCAGAAGAGCAAGCTGTGGCTTAAATTTGAAATTTGAACACAGTTTTACTATACTTGGCTACCTTTCTAGAATCAATGGGATAGAAGGGGTGGATTTCATTTAAAAAGGAAAGTTCTGTGGTTCTCTCATTTGTTCTTACTAAGAAAACACCCCTTTTTCCTATTTCAAATGCCCTAGGTGTCTGCACCTGCACAGCCAACATTTCTGGGTCACATGGTTCTGGAGTGAAGGATTCTGAAGCCCACGTTCTTCTAAAGGGAATCCAAAGAGGTTCTTTCTTGTTCCATGTGATCAAAAAGTCAGGAGTAGCTCTAGGAGCCAAGCTGGTGGAGGTTTTGTGTGGCGTTGGACCTTAGTCCGACTACACAGTTGTGCCGCAAGTCCCCAGGGGTGGCAACTCATCATTTCTGCCACATTGAGCAGCTCTCCTTGGCAGCTTACCATCAAGCCGTGACTTGGCCCATGGGCTCCTTCCATTACCTGGCAATACCCCACGGGAGTCCTTTGCTTCAAGCCACTGGGACAAGGAAAGTCAGGCATCTCTTCATCGTCTCAGCCTGGATGTTAAGCAATTTAACATCTCTTAATCGTCTCAGCCTGGATGTTGATCAATTTTCATTGATCAAAACTCAATCACATAGTTCACCAGACTTTGGGAGAGTCTAGGGAAAATGTAATCTTCCTGTGTGGCCACAAAAATACAAAGGACATCATCTGATGGATGTTACCTCTATCCTCATAGATGTTTAAGTAAAAACTATTGAATAATTGAATTAATTTACTTCTAAAACTGGGTCTGCTTTGATTTTGTTCTTCCTGGTGTAGACTTGTAACTTGTACATTTTTTAATAATAGCACTTTGTGGTTTTTATTTCTTTTTGGGACTGTTTTAATAGGTTATACTTTTCTAGAAAATGATCCACTAAAGTCTTCAAATATAGTAGCCTAAGTTATTTCCAGTATTAGCTTTGTTTTTGTAATCTCTGCTGCCTTTATTGCTGTGTTCTGTTTCTTATTTCTAAATTGTATTGTTTGTAGGCCTTCTCTTTCTTTTCTGTGGTCATTCTTGATAGGTTTTTTTCTATTGTTTTGTCTTCTTAAGAAGCCAGCATTTGGCTTTGTTGACCAGGTCTGCTGTATCTTTATTTCAGTTGCATTCATTTTTCCTTTTATTCTTATATTCAATTTCTTTTATATTCTCCCAGTTTTTTTCTTTCTAATCTTATGAAGTGGACAAGTTGCTCAGTAATTTGTAGCCCTTTTTGTTTTCTAAGTTTAAAAAAATTTTCTAAATACTATTTCAACTATATCCCATAAATTTATACATATACTATTATTATTATTTAGAAAATTGTTTTGTAACTTCCAAAAATGATGACTTATATCATAATTTTCTATTGATTTCTGTACAGCTGGCATTGAAGTTGGAAAAGAATAATACTAGCTCTTCAATATTTATTGAAAGTTGATTTTGCCTCAGTATATTGCCAAATTTTATGAATCTTCCACGTGAACTTGAAAATAATATGCATTATCTCATTATTGGGTATTAAGTTTGGTATTTATCTATTAAATCAAATCAGTCAATTGTGTTGTTCAAATCTTCTCTCTTCTTCCTAATTTTTGTCTGTATGCTTTTTCAATTACTAACAGACTTGTGTTAAGATTGCCTACTGTGAAAATAGATTTGTCGTTTTCTTCTTGCAATTCTGTGAGTTTTGCATTATATATTATGAAAGTGTGTCATTGAAAGCATTTTTACACATTGCTGGTATATTTAGAATTGTTGTATGATTCCCTTTCCCCCTAATAATGTTTCTGTAAACTCTGGATTTCCATATTTAAATAGCTGGATTGTGGATGGCTGGATTGAGTTTTCTCTCTAATCTGTTCATCTCAGTTGTCTAATTAGTGAGATGTTTTTCCATTTGAGGTATTGTGATTGCTGATGCATATGGCATTATTTCTCTCATCTTATTATATCTTTCTATTTTTCTGTTTTCTCTATGTGTCTTTTCTACTTTCCTTTATGTAGTTAAGTTTAAAATTTTACTTTAGTTACTCCTCTGCTTTTGTAGAAGTTATACACTGCATTTCTCTTCATTTAGGATTTGACTTAATATATTAACACATATACCTAATTCAAATTCTAAATCAGTATCTCCACCCACTTCCAGAAATTGAAAAGGAACTAACAGCACTTTCACTCTTCTCATTTTCTTCTTATCCTAAATATTATCATTACCCAATATCTCTCTTCTATTTTTCACTGCAACAATTATAAACTTTTATTATTTTTATGCAACCAGTGGTCAAGTATCCTTTCTGTTTACCACTTTCTATTCTCAGCAATCCTTTTGTTTTCAACCTTTTCTTCCAGACCATTTTTCTTCTTCACAAAGTAGTCCTTTAGTGATTGTCTGTTGGTGATAAATGTTCTCAGTTTTAATTTGACTGGAAATGCCTTTGTTTTGCCCTCATTTTTGAAGATAGTTTACTCAGGTATACAGTTTAAAGCTGGCAATTATTTTCTACAAACCACTGAAGATATCATACAATATACATTACTGCTGGGCTATCATTTTCTCAACATTGCTTTGCAGATGGTCTGTCTTTTCTACCTCTAGCTTTTACACAATTTTATCTTTGTCTATGGTGTGTGCCTAAGCTGTAATACATTTAGCTTAGGTGGAGAACTGCCCCAAAGCCAGCGTCGAATGAGGATCTGAGAAAGACCAATGAATATATTAGGAGGAGATAAAGAACACAGTCGATGCTTCCAAGAAAACAATGTGTATAAGAAAAGATTAAAGACCCTTAGGAAAACCAGGCAGCCCATGTCTAGGGTAGGTGTCTGGGGCTAATGAAGCCTCCTGCTTCCACCACTGGGGCTGGAGCACCTCCCACCTCTGTGGTTCCTGGAGGCGCCTGATTCCACTGTGCCTAGGCTGTGCTTGTGCTTGTAGAGAAGCTGCAGAAAGGCAGATGAGGAACTGGGATGAAACTCTGATGGGAAGGTTTCTGTCTTCTGGCCTGGGAAATCAGCTAAGGGGGCTGACAGCTGCACTGTACTGTGCATGGTGTGGGTGTGAATTCTTATCACATGCTGGAACCCTGAGCCCAGGCATCATTCCATGTAGGGTCGTTTAACATGGGCCTCTAACGTATGCTTCTGATACCCCCTGGAGCCACCAGAACTTCAAATTCCATTCATCTCTTTAGCACAAAATTCTCCCTTGGAACTCTCCATAACTGGAGTTTTGTTGAAACTAAATTATACAAAACATTTTTATTATATTTTTATTGAGCATATTCTATCATCAGATCATTAGGAGGGGCTTCCTGAGTCAGCTGAAGTGCCTTCTTGTCTGGGAGTTTCCAAAATGTCCTTATTATTCTTATATTTTCTGTTGCCCAAAAACCTCCAACACTTTTGGGCCAGGCAGCTACTGCTTCAGGTGGAGGCCACAGAGAATGCAGAACTCAGTGTTCATCTTTGACTTTCAAAATGAGCAAGAGAAGTATTTTATTAATTATAGATAATATCAATGTGGGGGAACTCCCTTCCCCAGTCCATGGGGATGGGAAAGGAGAGAGGAGCAGAAAAGAGGATGGAGTTGAGGAGTCGGGAAGAGCCTTCCCTGGCTCATCCCGTTGTCGTCATCAAGCAGTTCGTCCTCTGGATTCGACAGTGATTAGCGTGATTCTTTCTCCCATGGGGCATTTTCATAGGTTCTTTAGATACTTCTCCTCCCTCGTGCTGGGAATCTGCCATCTATTCCTTTACAGGTAATATACTCAAGGGGTGAGCATTTCTGTCTTTTTTACCCCTGGTACATAGCTGGTCCATTTCTTTCTTTTTTTCTTTTTTATTTTTTTATTTTTATTTTTTTGAGATGGAGTCTTGCTCTATCACTCAGGCTGGAGTGCAGTGGTGTGATCACGGCTCACTTCAAGTTCTGCCTCCAGGGTTCATGCCATTTTCCTGCCTCAGCCTCCCCAGTAGCTGGGACTACAGGTGCCCACCACCACACCCGGCTAATTTTTTGTATTTTTAGTAGAGACAGGGTTTTACCGTGTTAGTCAGGATGGTCTCCATCTCCTGACCTCGGCCTCCCAAAGTGCTGGGATTACAGGCGTGAGCCACTGTGCCCAGCCCATAGCTAGTCCGTTTCTACACAATCTCTCTACTGGGGTTCTATTACTCCTCCTTTTGGCTCTCAACACAGTTCTGTTAAGTACTTGCATCTGGACGATGAAAAATATGTTCATCAATGGCACTGCAATTTCTTCCCTAGTGGCAGCCAATACTCTGGTACCATAGGCTATTTCGGCAGCATCTCCCCCCTTGGCTATCTCAGGTATGGATCAGACACCGTTCAGTGCATCCCCAATCCGCATGGGACATATCAAGCTGTCTGAATGGTATCATTGAACTTTGCTCACTAGGATCGAAGGGAGGGGTGGGTACCCATGAGGTGGGAAGGGGACTTGCAGCATAACTCTCTCCACCTTCCACCGTATCTCCAAATTCTAATCTCTTAATGTCATTGGTATAGGTGACAGCTTATGGGCCTTAAAACCAGTTTTCAGAAACTCCTTTGTAAATTCTGTATGTGGCAGGTATTTTCCCTAGAGGTTTGAATTTACCTTCCAAGTGCTATGAGAGTTGTGAAGGATCAGATGACGTGTGTGCAGAACAAGAGAAGGGAGTATGGGTGGTGGAGGAAGCTGAGAGACTTTGGTTGCCGTCTCTTCTCTAAATCTGGGGCTCTGTGGCACTTTCTCAGTGTATCACTTTGGGTAAACTGTTTCACTTCCCCAAGCCTGTTTCTCTGGCTGCAAAGTGCCCTGCCTGCCCAGTAGGTGCTCTGAAAGTATTGAGATAATGGATGAGGAGTGTGCTCTACAAGTGCATTAATTCTTCTGTCCCATTCTACCCCAGAGCCTGTGCCCCTTTTCCAGGTCCCAACCAGGTCACCGTCCATCACACCAGACTGCTGAAAATTTACCCAAGAGGGCAGGGCTCCAAGAGCCACAGAGGACCTAAATGTGACCTGAGAGAGAGCAAAGGCCTCCCCAGAGAGCTGGACCAGACAGGGATGCCAGGACCAGCCTACAACCCCGGGACCCTGGCCGTGAGCCTGCCACTGAGCCAGTGCAATGCCAGCCTGACCTGTGTGATCAGCAACCACGAGGAACAGAAAACTGCCACCTCAGACCTTGGGGGAAATGTGTTTAACTCAAAAAATTGTCCAGCAAGGGCAGGTTCTAGTTCTGGAGGCACCCCTTTCCCAGAAGATTGAGGGTAGGGTGAGGTGTTGCTCACCATGTTCAGGAAATGTAATATCCAACCTTCCTAGCTCCTGGGACTATGCCATCTGGGAAGACACAGAGATAGTAAAAGTTGGCATGTGCCCTAGGAAACTATGGAGGGGGATTGGGAGGGAGAAATCGGGGCATTTAAGACAGGAAAAGATTGCCAGGACTGGTGAATCCCTCTTGAAGTGACTTTGAGTGGACGTAGAATCCTATTTGTAATGAGTAGCCTCAAAAGGGAAGCCAGTATCAGCAGAGAAAGGTAGAGGGCTGAGCACTTTACTTATGACATTAGAGGACAGCTTTCTAGAGTCCTACAAACATGAAATGAAAGTTTTGGGACACAGAGATGGTCACTTGGTGCAGGTGTTATAAGTGCGGGAGTCAGCAAGACTCCATGGATAATTTCCTTCTGACAACACATTCGTAGAGTCTAGAAAACTCTCTTTGGCAAAATCACATAGGCTTATTCCCAGTCCCAAACCCTCAGGTGAGCAGAGTGCCTGGCACTGAGCCAACCCCCTGCAGGGAGTGTGGCAGCCCCAGGACCCAGGCACCCAGCAGCCTCTCTCTCTCTGCTCCCTGTCTGACCCAACAGGGACTGGAACTCCACTCTTATTCCCATTACTGTGAATGATGCAGGCCAAAGACCTTCTGCTCCTTGGGGTCCTAGGGAAGCTGGGAGTTGAGCTCACCTGGAAAAAGTTTCCAGCGGAAGAAGGGAAGTGAGAGCTGCTCACGCAGCCTTGACCACTGAATAAGACTTTACTTCCTATTCTTTATGCTCTATCAAGTTTCCTAAATCACAAATGAAAGCTTTCTATCTTCTGCCAAGTTTTAAAACATATTTGTTACCACAAAAACTCTCTATTCATTAATAGTTTGAAGGAATCCACTGGCAATAAAACTTGGCCCTTAAGCCATTGAAGGGAAAATATATCAGTTTCACAAGGTTGTCTGGATGTTTTTTGAGGTTTGTAAACACATGCAAATCAATTTTGTAATGTAGGATTTTCCAGAAATTATCATTTCATGATTGTTTTAAACTTGAATAGACATTAACTATGTATTACATCCTCTTAGAGACTTGTTGGTGTTGTTTTGCTTTCCTAAATATGAGAGGATCTTGCTGAAAGGCTCAATGATCAATTAGGTGAAGATTTCAATCTTGAGAGCTACAGAATTCCATTCACCAGTCCAGTTTTTCTTATTGAGTCTGTTTACCAGTGCAGTTTGGTGGTTCAGCTGGTGCTATGTGGTATATTAAGAGATGTCCACTTCCTCCACACCCTCTGCTAGAACTTGGAAATGAGGAAGATAATAGTGGATTGGGGTTTCTGGTGTTGTTATTGATGGTGCTGTTTGTGAATCAAATAAAATGCCACATACCTGAAACATAGGAGAGGTACAGAGATTCTAGCTCACTCAGCTGGGTGAGCTGACTTAATCTCACGATGAACACGATCAAAGAAAAAATATGTCATCCGAAGGAGGGTTAATAAGTAATAGAACATAGAAAGGTGAGTGACAAAGATAAATGAAGTGGTCTGTTAGGCTGGCAGGAGAAACAGTGCCCTGATCAGGTAAATCCTACCATGAAAATAGAGGGCTCAGACTCCAGAAGGCCAGTGAATTCCATACCAGCAGCATCTACTTACCTTCCCTGACTCCTGGATCTCCAAGCAGCCCACTGATGTCTTGGCTTCTGATGGTGCCTCCTCCAAAATTTGTGTTGAAACTTCATCCCCAGGGCAACAGTATTGAGAGGTGTGGTCTTTGGGAGGTGATTAAGTTATGTGGACTCTGCCTTGATGCATGGGATTAGTACCTTTATAAAAGGGCTCCAGGTTGAAGGGAGTACTCTCTTGCCCTTCTATCCCTACTCCCACATGAAGACACAGCATCCCTCTCTCTGTAGGATGAAGCCATGAGGGCCCATCTGGGAAGCAGAGAGCAGCCTCACCAGACCCCAATCTTGCCAGTGCCTTGTGATCTTGGACTTCCCAGCCTCCAGAACTATGACAAATGAATGTCTGCTATTTATAAATTACTCAGTCTCAGATATTTTGTTATAGCAGCACAAATGGACTAAGGCAGCTTCCTGTGTGGCCTTTCTTTGGGAACAGGATGCACTGGTCAGGCTAACAGGAATATCCAGTCCAGTTGAAAAGCATACTTCTTACTGTAAATTAATAAACAAGCATTCTAGTTTTGTCTATCCATGTCTCATGGCATTTGTTAGCAAAATTTTGCATCCCCAAGGAAAGCCAGAGCTGGGCAATGGATGAGATAAAGTTTCTGGGCTCAGTTTTAGAGTCTGAGGGCCAGACTCTGAACCTTGGTTAACACATCAAAGTAATGATAACCTGAGGGGTCTCATGATTCATTCCTTCACTCAACCAACATTTACTGGGCTGTGTTCTGAGGATTATTATCTTAAAAGGCAAACTCTCAGCCTCTGCTTACCACGTATGTTCCAGCTTAAATTTTATGAAGCCTCCATATAGATCAGATTTCAGTGCTCAACCCTGACCATGCCCACATAGACATGCACACATGCTGTTCCATACCACAATTAACATTTCACTGATGTCTTCCCATTTAAATATATAAAAATATAGTCATGTGTCACTCAGTGACATGAATATGTTCTGAGAAATGTGCCATTAAGTAATTTCATCGTCGTGCGAGCATCATAGAGTGTTTTTACCCAAACCTAGATGGTACAGCCTACTATCCACCCAGGCTGTATGGTATAGCCTATTGCACCTGGGCTACAAACTTGTACAGCATGTTACTGTACTGAATGCTATATGCAATTGTAACACAATGGCAAGAATTTTGTATCTAAAAATATCTAAATGTGGAAAAGGTACAGTAAAAACATGGTATAAAAGATGAAATATGGTACACCTGTTGTAAGGGCAGCTGAGAGAAAGGAAGAATAGAGCCAAAGTCAGGCGAGTAAGTTTACTGAACCTGCCAGGCTGTTCCACCACACTCAGAGGAGGCAGTGCCAAGCTTACAGAATGAGGGGTTTATATTGGGGAGGGGGTTTGAGGGAGCTTTTTGGTATGGCCGCATGCATTTTTTGGTATGGCTGGTTAATTTTGCCACATATCACCTGGTGACATTTATGATAGCAGAAACTTACAGGAGGGTAAAGTTTGTTTATGCTTCCCATGACCTCCCGCTGTGTGGTCCGTATGGTTTGTAATTGAGGTTTGCTTATAGTAGCAGGGCCTGTAAAGTGAAGTTTGCTGGCTTCACTGGGGCGCCTAGATAAGGGCTTAGAAATGTAAAGAGCTTGGGGGAAAGAGGGGGGTGGCACGGAAAGGAGTTGCAGAGTGGGGATGGGCGGGCAGCACGGAGAGGTTTCAAGAAGCTTTTTTGGGGCAGTTTGTCCCTAACATTCCAGCCTTTTAATAGGTAACAGAAGAGGGATGCCATTGTCTGGCTACTTCCTGCTGGGAAGGGGCGACGGTTATGGGGGAAGGCTGGATGGTAGGGACTGCTGTTCTTGGAGCCATTGGTATTCCTGGAACAGCATCATATTTTGTACTGTCCCATGGGTGAGGGCTCTGATACGGTCCTGTAAAACTGGGGTAGAAGGCGTAAGAGACAAGGGCTGAATGCTAGAAAAAGAAGAATGGTTATGGCCAGGTCTAGGAGGGGCGTTAGCCATGGAAACCAGGCACTAAAGGACCAGGAGGGCCACACTGGCCATCGGGAGACTTTGTGTGTGTGTGTGTGTGTGTGTGTGTGTGTGTGCGCGCGCGCGCGCGCTTGGTCCTTTTTTTTTTTTTTTTTTTTTTTACAGCATTTTGTATTAAGCTAGATGGGTTAAGATAAAAGTAACATTGTTTATTTAGAAAAGGGCAGAGTTCTCCATTTTTGGCTGTGAGGGGAGGTAAATATCAGTTGAGGTACCGCATAGGAAAAGTATGCCTTGGCTTGGTAGACACAACTGGTTGTGTATGCTAAAAAGATGTATTATTTTGTTATTTTTATGTATTCATAGGTATGTGGGTGAAATCTATTTGCCAGTTCTTTCTTGGGAGTGTTCCTCTTAGCTGGTGTGTAGGAATAGATGGGGAGTGGAGGGCTCCTTGAGAGGAGGTGACAGAGCATATATGACAGTTTGAAGTTATGTTTTTTAATGAGGTGAATAGGTGAGGGGATAAGAAATATGGGTGGAGGAGGAGATACAGGGGACGTGCACCAATACGGAAAGATTGGTGGAGATGTTAGGATTTTGTTCTTTTGGCCCTGGGGAAGGACTGGCTTCTGGTCCTTAATTATCCAGTCCCCCTGGAGGAAGGCTCATTGTTGTAGTAATAAGGCTGTTTTAGTGGGGGAGTATTGAGGTTGGATTGTAGGGATAATGAGGAGGAGGGAGGCAGGAGTGGAAGACAGGAAGGCTTCTTTTGTTGCATCATCAGACTTTTTGTTCCCTCTTGAGATTTTATCTGACCCTGTTTGATGTCCTTGACAGTGTATAACTCCCGCTTCAGTCGAGAGGTGTGTGGCCTGAAGGAGTTGGTAAGTAAGGGGGCTGTTAGTGATATGGGGCCTTTTGGCAGTGAGGAATCCTCTCTCTTGCCAGATGGCAGCATGGGAATGAAAAATGTGATATGCATATTTGGAGTCTGTGTAAATGTTGACTCATCTGTCTTTGGAAAGGGTTAGGGCTCTGGTGAGAGCTATGAGTTCTGTTTTTTGAGAGGAGGTTCCTGGAGGTAGGAGTTTAGCTTTAGTTACTCAGTCAAGGGAAACAATCACATACCCAGCAATTTTTGGGGAGCCAGTGGGCCCGGAAGAGGAGCCATTTATAAATAGCTGGTCATCGGGGTTGGTGAGAGGCTCGGAGGAAATGTTTGGAAAGTGTGGCTGTAGGTGATCCAGGATGTCAGTGCAAGAATGAGTAGGAGGGGAAGAGGATACGGGGAGTAAGGATGCTGGGTTGAGAGGAGCACTTTTGGCAAGACTTGAATTCAGGATTTTTGATAAAGAGGGCATGGAGTAATTGAATCCGGGAAGGAGGAAGGGAGCTTAATGCTTGGGAGGAAAGGAGATTTTGTAGATTATGAGGACTGTGGACGGTGGTATTTTGGCTGAATGTTAAGGAGCTGCTGTCCACAAACTAAGTAAAGGAAGTATTTAGAAGGCGTTGGTCTGTTAGGTTTGGAAAGGGTATAAGAAAGGTTTGAACAGTGTTTACACAGAAGTGTGCAGGGTCTTGACAGGTAGAAATTTCAGGTAAGAGCATGGCTGGGTTTAGACGAGAGCTGGTTAGCACGGTGATTTGGGGAGTTTTTATGAATAGAGCATACAGTTGGAGAAGCTGTGAGGGGGAGATGAAACTTAGTACACTGTGGTGAGTTAGCATGTTTTTGATGTTATGGGTTGAATAAACTGTTAGGTTGGCATGGAGAGATGGTTTTAGGCTTTTAAGGTGAGGACAGCAGCTGCTGCCAATGCTTGGAGACAGGCAGGCCGTTTGAGAACTGTGGCTTTAAGCTGTTTAGAGAGGTAGGCAACAACCTGGAGGATGGGTCCTTTAGACTGGGTTAGAACACCCAGTGTAACTTTATGCCATCCGTTGGTATAGAGGGAGAAAGGTTTGGTGAGGTCTGGGAGAGTGAGGATGGGGCTGAGGTGAGAGATTTTTGGAGGAGACAGAAAGGCTGGGTAATAGGCTATGCAGAGTTTAAAGGCTCATGGAGAGGGCCTTTAGTATCTTGGTATAACAGTTTGGCAAGTAGAGCAAAGGAGGGAAACTAGAGCCTAAAATATCCTGCTAGTCCTAGAAAAGAGAGAATTTCTTGTTTAGTTTGTGGAGGTGGGAGGGACTGGAGGAGGGATATGCGGTGGGTTGTGAGCCTTCAGGTTGGCACGGTAAGGGCTAGGCCTAGGTAGGTGACTGAGGGGGTGTATATTTGTGTTTTTTTAGGGGAGACCTAATACCTCTGTTCTGCTAAGAAGTTTGAAAGAGAGAGATAGTCTGGGCGTTGCAGTTTTTTTGAGAGGGGCTACACAGGAGCAGATTATTAACACATTGAGGGAGAATGGATGCTTTTAGGGATAAGGTACAGAGGTCGTGAGCAAGGGCCTGCCTAAAAAGATGGGAGCTGTCTCTGAAGCCTTGAGGTAGTACCCACCAGGTAAGCTGACGTGAAAGGTGGGTGTTGGGGTTTTTTAATGTAAAGGCAAGGAGGTTTTGGGAATCAGGGTGTAAAGGAATTGTGAAAAAAGCATCTTTTAGGCTTAGAATAGAAAAATGGGTGGTATTGGAGGGAATTGTGGAAAGTAAAGTGTATGGATTAGGAAATACTGGACATACTGGGAGTACAGCTTGGTTAATGAACCTGAGGTCCTGGAGTAAGCAATAAGTTTTATCTGGCTTTTTAACAGGTACAATTGGTGTGTTAAAAGGGCAGTCTGTTGGGTGGAGTAAGTGACTGGTGAGGAGGTGAGAAATGGTAAGCTTTAGGCCTATGAGAGCTGCTTGGGGGACGGAATACTGCTTTTGTGTCAGGAACTGGATGGGGTTAATTACAGATGGGGAATAAGGAAAGGTTGCATGTTTTAAGGTGGGAGGTTGGAGGAGTAGAAGAAAGTTGGAAATATTAGAGGGGTCTGGATGGCTGTGTTGGGTGTTGGGTACTACAGGGGATGTGGAAGTGGAGAGTAGTGTGGAGTTTTGAAAGGATGTTTCTGCCTAGGAGTGGAATTGGATATGAGGGCTGGACTGAGAAAGAGTGAGTGAAGGAAAAGGTGTGTAGGGAGCAGAAAAGTGGAGGGGTGGCTTGGGGTTTGGAGATTTGTCCATCATTTCCCACAACAGAGACTTGGGAGGACTGGGTGGGTCCTGAAAAATTAGGTAAAGCAGAATAGGTTGCCCTGGTATTCATTAAAAAATATACTGGCCTACTTGCCACCATCAGGGTTACCCTTGGCTCGGATGAAGAGATGGTAGTTGCCAGACTGTCCATTCCAGGGCACTGTTAGACTTCAGCGGCAAGGCCAATGAGTTCCTAGTAGGAGGTTTTGGCCGGCTCAGGAAGGGATGGGGGTGGTCCTTGTTGGGGCAGCTCACAGTCCAACTTCCAGTGGTGTCCTCCGCAGAGGGGGCACGGCCTGGTGGGCTTACCTGGGTATGGGCATTGTCTGGGCCAGTGGCCTTTATGACCGCATTTGAAACGGGAGTCAGGTGGAGGTGGATTATTAGGAGGCTTCCATGTAGAGCCGCGGCCCAGTGGCCTGCAGGGCCTCTGACGGCAGAGGCAAGCATTTGAAACTCTGCCTGTTTTTGTCCTTTACTTTCCTCATTATGATTGTTAAAAGGCATTGAAGGCTAAATTAAGAAGGTTTTGTTGTGGGGTTTGAGGGCCATTGTCAACCTTCTGAAGCTTGTGCCGAATATTGGGGAGTGGATTGGGAGATGAACTGAAGGTTTAAGATAGTGGTTCCTTTTGGGCTGGCTGGGTCTAGCCTGATATATAGGCTTACGGCTTTAGTTAAACGAGAGAGAAAAAGGGCTGGGTTTTTGTCAGGACTTTGGGTGATTTCTGAAAGTTTTTTTGTAGTTTACTGCTTTATGGGCACTCTTTTTGAGCCCTGCAAGCAGATATATAATTGTGTGGTCTTGATGGCAGTGCCCAGAGGCCTTGTTTGATCATTCCATTGTGGTTCCTGGTTGGGGACTGCCTCTGTGCTAGTAGGCTGGGTAGGAGCTTGGTGACGAATTGTATCAGTATGTGCCTGAGCTAGGGTTTAGAAACGGTTCTGCTTTTTTGGGGTGAGGGTGGAAGAGAGGATAACATAGAGGTTATGCTAAGTTAGTTTATAAGACTGGGTAAGGTACTGAAACTTTTTAATATAAGAGGTAGGGTTTTTTGGAAATGAACGGAGTCTTTTGTTAATTAGAGAGAGATTAGTGAGGGAGAAGGGAATTTTAACAATACCTTTAGCTCCTGCTGCTTCCTGAAGGGGAAGCAAGGGAGCTGGTTGCTGAGCATGTTGGGCCCAAGAGCAGGTGAGAGGCAGAGATGGAGAGGACTCAGAGTCGGAGGCAGGATGGTTGGAGAGAAGGGGAGAGAGAGAGCCTGAGCAGAGACATACAGCGGGGGATCATGCTGTTCCAGTGGAGGATTATGATGCTGTTAGGAAGGAGGAAAATCGGCGAGTCAAAGGAAGAGGAGTTGTCGGCTGGGGCTACTGGGTTGAGGGGAGCAGGGGGCGAGTGGGGTTTGGAGCGCATGAGGAGAATTCGAAAAGTAGAGCAGGATTGGCAGAGGGAAGGATGACTAAGGAGAGTAAAGAAAGCCTGAACATAAGGAATCTCAGACCACTTCCCATTGCGGTAGCAAAAGTTGTCTTAAGTCTCCGAGCACGTGGGAGTTGAAAGTGCCATTTTTGGGCCATTGAGAGCCACGGTCTAATTTGCATTGAGGCCATGCGGTATTGAAGTAAAAAATAAGCCTCTTAGGGCAGATTTCTGAACGGAGGCCGACAGCCTTGAGATTGCGAAGGAGACATCTAAGCTGGGTAGTTTTAGGAGTAGACTGAGAGGCTCTCATAGCGAATGGAGCGTGGTGGGCGGGGGTGGGTGGTAGAGGAAGAGACTTCTGGTGGTGACAAGGACGACGGGAGAGCTTGCCCGGAATAGAGGAGGTAACCGCCGTGTCGGGCGTCCCTGAAATGGAGGGACCAGAGAGAGGCCCGGAGGCCAGAGGAAGCCCTTGGCCCAGCGCTGGGGTTTTCGGAAACGGAGAGACGGACGGGTTCCGGGGAAGGGCAACAGTCTCTTTTTACTCACCCTGGCGGAGGTTTTGATGGTGGATGAGGTCGCCAGCAAAGGGAGAACCTAGGAGATTCTCTGGGTCTTCGGCAGGTTGGGGAAAGGTGAGAATGGCCAGGAGAGCGGTGATGGGGAGGGAGAGAGAGGAGAGAGTGAGTCCCGGCCAGAGTCTATCCCCTTCCGGGCTTTCGGCACCAGAATGTAAGGGCAGCCGAGGGAAGGAAGAATAGACCCAAAGTCAGGCGAGTAACTTTGTTGAACCAGCCGGGCTACTCCACCACACTCAGAGGAGGTAGCGCCAAGCTTACAGAATGAGGGGTTTATACTGGGGAGGGAGTTTGAGGGAGTTTTTTGGTACGGCCGCATCCTGGGGGTGTTTGCTGGTTAATTTTGCCAAATATCACCTGGTGACATTTATGATAGCAGGAACTTACAGGAGGGTAAAGTTTGTTTATGCTTCCCACGACCTCCCCCTGTGTGGTCCGGATAGTTTGTAATTGGGGTTTGCTCACAGCAGCGGGGTCTGATAAGTGAAGTTTGCTGGCTTCACCGCAAAGTTTGCTGGCACCCAGATAAGGGCTTAGAAATGTAAACAGGCTTGAGGGAAAGAGTGGGGCGGCATGGAAAGGAGTTGCAGAGTGGGGAGCGGAGGGCAGCACGGAGACATTTCAAGAAGCTTTTTGGGGGCAGTTTGTCCCTAACACCTGTATAAGGCACTTACCATGAATGGAGCTTGTAGGACTGGAAGTTGGTCTGAGAAGTGGGTGAGTCGTGAGTGAATGTGAAGACCTGGACATTACTGTACACTATTGTAGGCTTTATAAGCAGTGCATACTTAGGCTACACTCAATTTACTTTAAAGTATTTTTTTCTCAGTAATAAATTAACTGTAGCCTCCTGCAACTTTTTTACTTTTAATTCTTTAACTTTATAATTCTTTTATAACAACACAGCTTAAAATGCAAAAACATACAGCTATATACAGTATTTTCTCCTTTGTACATCCTTATTCTATATGCTATTTTCTATGTTAACATTTTTTACTTTTTAATATTTTTGTTAAAAACTAAGACACAAACATACTCATAACACAGAGTCAGGATCATCAATGACACTGTCATCCACCCGCACATCTTGACCCACTGAGAGTTCTTCAGAGGCAATAGCATGCATGGAGCTGTCATCTTCTAGGATCATAATGCCTTCTTCTGGAATACCTCTGGAGGATCTGCCTGAGGCTGCTTTACGGTTAATTTTTTAATAAGTAGGAGTATATTCTAACATAACAATAAAAATATAGTAAATACATAAACCAGTCACATAGCACTTTAGCATAATTATCGAGCATTCTGCACTGTACATAATTGTGTGTGCTATACTTTTATATGACTGGCAGTGCAATAGGTTTGCGTACAACAGCATCACCACAAACACATGGCTAATGCATTTTGCTAAGACATTGCAATGACTACAGCATCACTAGACAATAGGAATTATTTCAGCTCCATTGTCATTTTTTTTTTTTTTGAGACAAGGTCTTACTCTGAGAACCAGGCTGCAGTGCAGTGGCATGATCACGGATCACTACAGCCTCAAACTCTCAGGCTCTGGAGACTCTCCCCTCAGCCTCCCAAGTAGCTGGGACCACAGGCACCTACTACCATGCCCAGGTAATCTTTTGGATTATTTCTGTAGAGATGTGGTCTCCCTATGTTGCCCAGGCTGGTCTTGAACTCTTGGGCTGAAGCAATACTCCAACCTCGGCCTCCCAAAGTCTGGGATTACAGGCATGAGCCACCATGTGCAGCCAGCTTCATTATAGTCTTATGGGACTACCATTGTATATGTGGTCCATCATTGACTGAAACGTTGCTAAGTGGTTTATGACTGTAATTTATCCTTTTAATCACCTAAATAGTACACTACTATGTGGATAAACTATAACTGATTTAGCTAGTGTGATATGGTGGTCAAGAGCAAGAACTATAGGACCCAACTCCAATGCTTGAATCCCAGCTCTGCCACTTAGTAACTATGAGAATTTGGACAAGATTCTTAACTTATCAGTGTTGCAGTTTCCTGGCCATAATAATGATTTTGGCAGGCTAGAATTTGTGGCTCACTTGTTGAGGTCTTCTTTGCATATTTGTCATTAAAGGACAGCCAGGATAAAATGCACCCTGCCTCACTTCCCTGTGATAAGTGGTGTTGAGGAAGGTAGAGCAGGGAGAAGGGAGCAGGAGCAGGAAAACAGGAGGAGGATGTAGCTTTAAATGGAATGGGGAGGAAAGGACCAGGGTAGATCCCACTGAGAAGGGAGCATTCCTAAAAGACCTGAAAGAGGACAGGAAATGAGACAGGTAAACGCCTGGAAGAAGAGAATTCTAGACAGAATCAAAGGCCTTGAAGCAGGAGCATGCCTGGTCTGTTGAAGGAAATAGAAAAAACCCCAGTGTCTTAGAGTAGATTGAGGAAAGAGGGGAGCATGGGCTATGAGGTCAGATGGTGCAGGGCCTTGCAGGTGAAGTGGGAGCCACGGGAAAGTTCTGAGCTAAGGAATATGATAGAACTGATGTTTTGAAAATATCACTTGCCACTATTTTGAGAGTAAACATTAGGAGGCCAAAAATAGGCACAGGGATACTGTGGGGCTATGCAATAGTCCAGGTAAGAGACGAAGGTCATATGGTAAATAGTTATACTATAAATATATACATTGAATAAAAAATATTTTTTGCTAATGGAGAGTGGGGTGTGAGAAAAAGAACAAAGTCAAGGATGGCACCAAGATTTTGTGGCTGCAACAAATGGAGTAATAGAGATGACATTTATTGGGATGGGAAGACTGTATGGGAAGCGTGTTTGGGGAGTTTGAAAGCCAAGCTGGAGATTCCTGTTATACGTCCTAGTGGAGCTGTCAAGTAAGAAGTTAGATATTCACAATGTGGCATCCATAGGAGGGATCTGGCTGAAAATGACAGAGTAGCCAATGTTTTTAAAACCATGAGACAGTATGGCAGCTTTGTTAGTTTTCTGTTTCTGTCACAATAAATCAGCACTAATGTAGGCACTTAGAACAAAAGCGATTTATTATTTTACAATACTGGAGGTCAGAATTCTGGTACAAGTCTAATTGGAAAAAAGTCCTTGTGTCGCTGGGGTATGTTCCTTTTTGCTCATTCTGGCTATTGTTAGAATGTAGTTCTTTGTGGTTTTAAGATTGAGATCCTCATTTTCTTGCTGGATATAAACTGAGATCCTTTCTTAGCTTCTAGAGCCTACTGCATTTCCTTGACTTGAGGTCCCCTTACTCCATCTTCAAGGCCAAAAACAGTGGAACAAGTTTTCACCTTCTATGTCTCTGACTTACTTTTCTTCTTCTTCCAATTTTTAGGACTCATGTGATTATACTGAACTGACCCAGATAACCCAGGATAATTCACATCTCAAGACCCTTAAACTTGATGACGTCTGCAAAGTCCCTTTTGCCATAAGGTTATATTGGCATATGGTCCAGGAATTAGTGCAGAGCCACAATCTCAGAAAGAAAATGAGAGTGGATAATGAAGACAGATCATCTGGGTGTAAACCTGAGGATATTCCAGAATATAGAGGTTAGAGAGATAAGAAAGAAACTAGCAAGGAAACTAAGGAGCAGCCTCTAAGTAGAAGGAAAAGAATGGTGAGTTGTAATTGGAGGTGAAGACAGTTTCAAGGGAGGGTATGTTAATTGCTGCTGACACATCAAGGAAGATGAGGACTGAGCATTGACCATTGGATTTAGCAACATGGAGTTTTCTGCTGACCTGGACCTGAGCAGTTTTAATGGAGTGGTGGGGGCAATGCATGACAGAAGAGAATTCAAGACAGAAGGGACTTTTCCAAAAAAAAAAGGTATACAAATGGTTATTGTGCAACGTGGAAAGATGTTCACCAATATTAGTCATTTAGGAAATGAAAATCAAAAGCACAATGAGTTACCAGTTCACACTCACTCAGAAGGCAATAATCAAAGAAATGGACAATAGCAAGGGTTGGGAAGGATATGGAGATATTCTCCCACATTGCTGGTGGAATGTAAAAATGGTGAAGGTGAAGGTGGAAAAACGGAAATGAAGTATTGAGAGGGAGATGGAATATAAGAAGCTTTCTGACAGATAACCCAATGGAACAAACTGACTGACTGGGCATCTGAAATGAGTAAGAAGGAGTCAAAAATGAGCAAAATTATGCTTCTCTGTGGATGCAAATCATATCTCCATTACTTACACCCAGGAGAACTTGTATGAAGTAGTTAACTTCTCTGGATTTTAGCTTTTTCATGTGTACAATGGGGGGTTTATGCCTCATAGAGTTGTAGAAACTGCAAATGAGAGACTTATGAAAAGCCTACTGAATGACCTTATGAATAATAATATCATCAGTGGAAGGTGATTTGAGGATGTGATGCTGTTATCCCTGACATGGGCAGGAGGGAACTTGGACAAAGACCAAGGAAGAAAATATCTCTTCTCTGAATGTCTTGTCTGCATTTGAGTGCAATGTCCTTTATTCCGTGTCTTCCACCCAATCAGGGCCCTACTGCCACTTAAGGGGTAATTTCTCTTTCAATCATTAGTTGTTCCAGCACCAAGAAGCTTAGCCTCAGTTGAGGCACCTGAGTCAGGAGGCCAGGATCCTTGGGAGATTGACAACAGGAGGATAATCCCATCAGAATACTCCAGGATTCCAACAGTATCTTAGTCTATTTAGCTACTATAATAAAATACCTTAGATGTATAAATCACTGGGCAATTTGTATATAATAGAAATTTATTTCTCACAGTCTGGAGGCTGAGAAGTCCAATATCAAGGCACCAGTGGATTCAGGATCTGGTAAGGCAGATTCAGGGTCTCTTCATCTCACCTTCAGCTCCATAGATGGCATCTTATTGTGACATCATCACATAGCAGAGGGGGAAACACTGCACTCAGTGGTGAAAGGGGAGAACAGTATGTCCTCACATGATGGAACGTGGGAACACCATGTCCTTACATTATGGAAGCAGGCAACACTGCGTCCTCACATGGTGGAAGGGGCAATACTGTGTCCTCACATGATGGAAAGCAGGAACACCGTGTCCTCACATGGTGGAAGGGGAAATACTGTGTCCTCACATGATGGAAAGTGGGAACACTGTGTCCTCACATGGTGGAAGGGGCAATACTGTGTCCTCACATGGTGGAAGGGGCAATACTCTGTCATTACATAGTGGAAGCAGGGAACACTATGTCCTTACATAATGGAAGGAGAAACACCATGTCCTCATATGTTGGAAGTGGGGAACACCATGTCCTCATATGGAGAAAGGGGGTAAGACTATGTCCTCACATGGTGGAAGGGAGCAACACTGTGTCCTCACATGGTGAAAGGCAGGAACATCATGTCCTTATATGGTGGAAGGGGGAAACACAATGTCTTCACATGATCCAAGGCAGGAACACTGTGTCCTCACATGGTGGAAGTGGGGAACACTGTATTCTCACATGGTGGAAGGAGGAACACTGTGCCCTCACATGGTTGAAGTGACAGAAGGGCAAAAGGGGTGACACTGTCCTCAAGCCATTTTATGAGTACCAATCCCATTCTTGGGACCTAATTACCTCCTAAAACCCGGCTCTTCTTCATGCTTTTGCATTGGGGATTAAGTTCCAACATGAAACATCCAAACCATAGCAACGGTCTTCAGTGACCATTGTCATGAGGGGAAAAGATAGGAGCTTTGGAATCATCCAGTGTTGGATCTAAGGCTTTGCTCTGCCACCAACTAGTTTTGAATACTGTTGACCTATACCAACTATAGTAGGTTCTTATAACAATTAAAAGGAATATCAGAGTAAAATGTGTATTTATAATGTAATGTTTTCAACAGAAGAAAATATAAATAAAAATTTATTGGGTCCTTTGAATGCAGAGGAATTTTAAGTTTGATATCATTGGAAGAAATCATAAACAAGAAGAGTAAAACATTTAGTATTTTAAAATTAAAAATGTATTTAAAGAAGAATTAAAAAGAATAATATGTGCAAAGTGCCTGGGACAAAAACTGGTTCAAAACAGCCTCAAAAGCCTTGTTCCTCTTTTTTGTTTGTTTGGTTTGGTTTTTTGTTGCCTTTGGTGCAGTGGGAAGGTCAGTTAGTTGGGTGATCACATCTTATGCTGCCCCAGGGTTAATGTGCACTGATACCCAGTAATGTCCAGTCACCTGGGAAGCCAGTGAAGAGACTGGCACACCCTCGGCCTTCAGCTCAGCCTAAAGGGAAAGACGGCAGAAATGAAGCCCTGCTATGGATCCTCTCCCTCCTGCCTCACCCACCCACCATCCAGCAGGCACCTAGCACTATTTTCTAGTGCTCCATCTCTTAGCAGGGACTCTGTTCAGATCTTTGTTTTCTGTGGGTGGCAATGAGGAAATGAGCTCACCTGAGCCATGAGGGAAACTAAGAGGCCCAAGGGTCTAGGCCACCAGACATGCCACAGCAGCTCATGGTACTAGAGTTAGGTCATCTCTGCATAAAAGCTGGGACTCAAATAAGAAGCAGAGGCTGCAAGAAGCTGAGGACCCCTCAGGAGGAAAGAAACACCCACATACCATGATGGAAGAATGGCCAGGTTCGCAATAAGAGGTGGATGAGGGAGTAAGGAAGTCTCCAATTAGGACCTCAGGCCACGCATAGTCAAGGGAGGTCATTGTGTCCATCCCTGTTTCCAGGTAGAGCCACACCAGAGAGTTTGTCAGTAGCCCCTGTGCTGCATCTCCCTCTGCTGACCCCATGGGTTGGGAACAAGGTGGCCCAGACCATTTGCACCAATGGTCTCCTCAGCCCTATTACCCCACAGCCCCACATCCTCCTGAGAGAGCCCAGGTTAGTCCTGCAGGAAGACTCATGACCATCCCAGGACAAACTGTGGCAGGGACCGTACATAGTGTCCAAGGTGTTCAGAAAAGTCAGTTGTGGGAGAGATCATGTCTAAACCTTTAAGATCCAGAGAGCTCCATGGAACAAGCATCTTGGGAAGAGCTTTGAGAAGCACAGTAGTATTTCAACAGGCGGGAGTGAGGGTGAGGAACAGGGAGAAGGAACTTTCATGTCAGGCAGAGGGATGCAAGTGAGCAAAGAAGTGGATGACCTAGGGTTTGGGGCCAGCATGGCTACTGGGGTATTAAGGGTCAGAATAAGAAGAGGTTGGAGAGGGCTGAGTCAGACCTTCTCAACAGCTTCACCCATCAGAGCCCAAGTAGCCCTCATCAAGTGGGTGTGGAAGGATATCACACTTCTGTTCTTACAGCCAAGTGCCTTATACTAGGCCAAGGAAAGAGCTGAGGCTGTGTTCCTAAGACAGCCTCCAACTGTGGCCTCTTAGGGTCATTCTCTGAGACACTGAGGCTAGGAAGGTTTTGAGATGATAAAAATTTCTCTTTCCACTCTACAGGAAGTTGAGTTTGGATCCACAGGCTGAGGCTGAAGATTAAGTTCAGATTAGCACAGAAGAAAAGAAAGGTGGCTTTGGTTCAGTTGTATAATGTGCACTAGACACCCCCCTCCACCACCAACCTGCATGCACACACGCACTGCCTGATACCCGCAAGGGAGCCCTACACAAAATCTGCAAAGGAAGCCTCGGCGTGTTCCTTTGTGGGCTTCTACCCACCCACGATATCCTCCAACTCAGCATCCAGAAGCCAGGTCTATGTCCCTCCTCTGCAGCACAGTCAACACCTCTGCACAGTTCCCATGTCTGGGCTTGTGTCCTCAGAATTACACACACAAGTGACATGGCAGAGGTGGTGGGGATTTGCCACCTGTGCAATCAGACAGGGTCCCCTTGGGAAGGCTTCTGAAAGAGAGGGGTCAGGAGCAATGTCAATGACAAGGGAAGAATCTTTGCCCAAGTGTAAGTGCATCTTTGGGAGGTGTCACAGAATGCGAACAGGCCATGGGTACACTGTAGAACTGTAGCTATGAGATCAGAGTAACACAGACTAGGGGCAGCGGAAACTGAACCAGCACTGGGAAAGGCGGGGATCTGCAGGCTTCAGGCTCAGAGTACAGGTGTCCTGGGAGTGCCAGATCCTGTTGCTTCCTCCAATCGAATGATCTTAATGGCCTGGCCTGGACAATGATAATGAACCTCACTGTAGATAGGAGTGAGAGACTCCCTTTTTTCCAGATATTGTTCACCGATGCCCTGGAATACAAGACAGAGGGTTGTTGGATCAGCTGAGGGATAGAAACGATGTGGAGGGACCCACAGGGCCAATACCCACTGCCATGCACAGCTCATGAATTCCTCTAAAGTGCCCAGCACTACATCACACCCAGATGCAAATTTCTTAGTAAACGCTGTTGATTGTCCAGATACAGATAAACAGGCGGTGTGGTCAGAAATGGCAGGTCCTGGAATTAGAAGCCCAAGGCTGGACAGAGAGACCTGGGAGTTGCCAGAGTGGGCAGTGCCCCAGCCCTTACCTTGTCCTTGCCCTTCGGAAACACTTGCTGCCTGAGATCTTCATATTGGTTGACACCATCATCGACCCCATGGTTCTCCTGCAATTCTCTACCTGAGAAAATCAAAGCTTGAATCTGTGCCATAGAAACCTGTATCCCTCCCCACTGCCACGAACCCCAAGGCCAAGGTCACACCCACCATCCCTCTGCAGAGTCCACTCCCTGGAAGAAAAATTCAGGAGAAAGGAAGCTGGGGTTCTAGTGAGGGAGTGGAGGTGTCTGGGTATGGAAGGAGAAATTCAACTTGCCTCTTCCTATATTCATCATCTTCTTCTTCTTCTTCCCACATGTCTTCAAAAGATACAGCCCAGTTCCCAGGACCAACAGCATACCCACAACAGCCCCTAGGATGCCTGGGAGCAGTCTAACCATGTTGTGTGAACCTGTTTCTGTCACATGGGGAGAGTGGAAAATGTTAAGGCAGGAGGTAACTTGAGATACTCATTGCCAAGAGGAGACAGAGGGAGAAAGCAGGTGGAGCAGTGGGAAGGAGCCTGGTGCCAAAGCTGAAGAGGGAGGAGCATGGCAGATCCATTCATTCAACTGGTTAGGAGCTGCTGCTTGGTACCAGGGATGCTGAGATGCACAAGACAATGTCCACAGCAGCCCAGCACACAGGAAGGAAGACAGAAAATACCAACTTACAGACAGAGGGATCGCAGCTGCAATAGTGGTTTCCACCTTGTACAAGGTCTTCAGGGAGGACCTCCCAGAGGAGGTGCTGGCTAAAGTGAGGCTTAAGGGCGAGTGTGAGATTCTCAGATATTCAGGATGGGGGAATTCAAGGAAATAGGAGCACCAAGTTCGGGAAATGTTTGTGTCAAAACACCAGCCCTGGGAGTTGCCGGCACCCCACTGTAGCAGGAGAGAGACAGAGCAGGGAGGAGCTGTGGCAAGGGGAGTCAGACGGAGGCAAGAGTCTGTGCCCGGAGGGCCTTGTGGTCATGCTAAGTGCTGAACACTCCAGGATGGGGGTGAGGGAGGAGGTGGCAGGCAGTTTAAAGTGATGCTGACACATCAGATCCCCCAGCAGCTCCTGGAGGGAGGGTTGGAGAGGATGAGGCTGCACACAGGGTATCATTCATTCAGTGAATACTGCTTGTGAGCAAATGTTGCCAGGAGCTATGCTTGGCACAGGGATTCAAAGGAAAACATCAAGACATTGCAGTCTACAGGGCAGACAGTGACATAAACAGGTCATTGCTACTCAGTGTGAGGTGCCATGGACGGCTCCCTAAGGAGGTGGGGCCTGAGGGCAGGACCAGATACATCATTTTCAGGGCCCTGTGCAATGCAAATTTAAATTCCCTTGATTAAAAAGGATTAAAAACTTCAAGGAAGGAATAGCAGAGTTTTAACCAATTGTGGAATCCTGTGAAGTGTGGGACCCTGTGTGACTGCATCTGTCTTGTGCCCATAAAGCCTGTCATAGGTTAGAGGAATGCTTGGAAAGGAATGAAAGAGGAAGTATCAGTCACTGGGTGTGGGAGGGCTGATGGGGTAAGAAACAGCATGCTCAGAAGCTCAGAAGCTTACAGAAAGCAGGACATATTTTGGGAAATAAAAGAAAGGAGTTTGGTGTGAAGTGCACAGGTGAAGCCAGAAACATGGGCAAAGGAGCATCTGAGCCCCAAATTCCATGGGGGAGTAACTGGAGGCCAGATCACACAGAAGACACAGACAACAACCCAATTTGACCCACTTTTCCCAAAGCCCACTCTGGATGTTCAGTGGAGGATGGATGGGGTGAGACAGCTCCTGGAAGGCTGCTTTCCTAATCGGCAGGGACATGGTGGGGATGTGGCGAGGAGGGTATGGCTGAGAGAGATGATTAAAGGCAGAACGAAGGTGATGTGACTCCCACACTGCTGTGTGTGGTGAGCACGTGGAAGGTGGTGCTAATGCACATGGCAGAGAAGAGAGCCCAGAACCCTCAGACCCCAGTGCTACCTGAGCTTTGGCAGCCCCTCCTATCCTGCAGGCTACACTCGCCACTCACCTTGGACACAGAGTTTCCTAAGGTCTAAGACTGCAGCTTTCTGATCCACCTGGTTGCTGACCACACAGGTGAGGTGGGTGTTGCACTGGCACAGGGGCAGGTTCACAGCCAGTGTCCAGGGGTTGGGGGCTGGTCCTGGTGTTTCTCTCTGCTCCAGCTCTCTGAGGAGGCCCTTGCTCTCCCAAGTCACATTCAGGTCCTCTGTGGCCCCTGGAGCCCTACACTCCAGGGTGACGTTACACAGGTCTGGTGTGATAGACAGTGACTTTGCCAGGAACTCAGGGTGAGGCACAGGCTCTGGGGCAGAGGGGGACAAAAGAGGGGAATCTCACATGTGTGGAGAACATTGCACGTCTCACTTTTCATAATTTTCTCATTGCAGCCATGGCATGTGCCCTATAAAGAAAGTGGGTGTATTCTACAGATGAAACACAATTTGCCCAAAGCTAAATACTGAGCAAATGAAATAAGAAGGGAAGCCACTGAGTTCAGCTCCATGTGGGTTCTCTAGATTCAACATGTCTTAAAACTGTCCCAAAGAAAACAAAATCTGGACTCTACCTTCCCAGGATGCAGGGTTTTCAGAATATCAGGGTCTTTCCAAGAAGGGGAAGAAGTCTGGGGAAGAAAAGCTTGTGCTGGACCAGGGTCCCTCCCCTGTGTCTCCAGCTGAGGCCATGCCTGAGACTGCATAGCCCTTGTGGGGCAGGACATCAGGTCAGCTCTGGGAGGCCAGAGAAAGGCCCATGATCCCTAAAGGAGACACGTCTGTGGGAGATGCGGTGATAGTGACTGGGAACAATGACTCTGAGTGTGCTTAGAAAGTGCCACTGAACCTGTGTTGCAGACAGAAGAGAAGAATCAGATTCACAGGCCAGCCTGAGAAATCACACGGGACCTAAAGCTGCAAAAGCCACTCTCTCCATGGCAGGATATTTCCCTATGCAGAGAGGAACTTTAGGGAAAGAAAGAGTTTCTAAATGGGTTCCCTAAGAAGTGTTGTGGTGTAAACTTTCTCCTACACATATGGAGGCTTTGAGAGCTAGATTTGTGGCGGCTTGTGTGACTGAGGCCGGCTTTGGGCTGGGGCTGAGTGAGAGGAGAGGGGACTGGGAGGACTCCATTCACAGGGATTCCCAACTGTGGTAGGCAGAACAGTGGCCTCCAAAATGTCTAGGGCCAATCCTCGTAACCTGGGAATAGGTTAGGCTGCTAGAGAGGAGGAATTAAGGTTGACGGCATTAAGATGGAATTAAGGTGGCTAATCAGCTGACTTTAAAATACGGAGATGATTCTGAATTCCCAAACACTAACATCAGTGTTCTATTAGGAGATACAGGAAGATGGCCATGAGCCATGGGATGCCAGCAGCCACTAGCAGGTGGAAAAGGTGAAAAAACAAGTTCTCCCCTGGAGTCCCCATAAAGAACACAGCCCTGCCACCACCTTCATTTTAGCTCACGGACACTTGTGTCAGGCCTCTGGCCTGTAGCACAGTGAGATAATAAATTTATCTTGCTTTCAGCCAATAATTTTTGACAATTTGTTACATCAGCAATAAAAAATTACTATACAAATTGACATTAGTCATATATAGGACGATTAATGTTATTGAAAAAATTGCTGTTTTTCAGAATTTTTATTTCCTCTTCCAAAACACTGAAAGAGCTTCATTCCCTGGTGTGAATCTCAGCTCTGCTCTCTATGTCTGGGGACCTCACAAGCCTTATTTTTAGTGGAGAAAATGAAGTCTGAAGGTCGGTGTCTGAATGGAACCCTGCATGGGGCCTATGTGACATTCTAGGGACAAAAAAAGCAGGTAAGCCAGAGGATGGGGGAGGGAGGGGTGTCACTCACCATAGACAGTGAGGTAGAAAACCTGGAAAATCCCCTCTCCCTTAGTAGAGGTGATGTTGGCAAAGTACTGCCCACTGTCTTCAGGGGCCAGGTTCTCAATCCTCAGGGATGACATGCTGGGTACATGGACCCTCTGCTTGAACTTGTCCTGGAGTTTCAACCAGGTTGGAGAGTCGGCCCCACTGCGGACTCGCAGCAACTGTGTATGATCTGTCAGAGTGCCCAAAGCCCATAGAACCTCCTCCAACTCGGTGCCTACATCTACTCTGAGCTTCTCGATCGCATTAAACAAGATAGAACCTCCTCGGATGCCCTTCAGATGAATGGGGGCTCCAGAATCCTTCCCTGCAGAGCCATGTGCTCCAGAAGTGTTGGCTGCAGTTCTGCAGACACCTAGGGCATAGAAACAGGAAACATGAGTATTTCCTCATCAAGATCAAATGAGAGAACCACAGAACTTTGGTTCAGAGTCACAGAAATCCATCAAAAATCATCCCTTGATTCTGGGGGGGCTGCCTAGTACAATGGACTTGAAGCAATTTTAGCATCCACTCCTGGTTCTAGTGGAGTGTGATCTTGAACAGGTTCCTGAACCCCTCGATCTTCGGTTTTCTTACCTGCCCCATAATGAGAGTAAGGATCAAATGAGACCCTAGATCAAAAGCACCTAGCACATTTTCTGGCATATGCTAAGTGCATAACTGCAGGAGGCAGCTTCTAACATGGCTCCCAAGGATGCCTCCCCACTGTATGCACACCCCTGTGTAATGCCCTCCCCTGGAGTATGGGCTGCACTGATTACTTGCAAACGCGGCAAAAGTGATGGAGTGTCCCTTCTGTCTGTCTCACATCCTCTGTCTCCATCACTCTCTCCTGTTCAGGCTGATGAAGCCCGCTACCACATTGTGAGCTGCTCTGTGGAGAGGCCCACATGGCAGGGAGCTAAGGGCAGCCTCGACCAATACCTTCATTCCAGTCTCTGTGACCTTGAGCCACAGGACCCAGCTGAACGACACCTGGACCCTGACCTCCATAAACTGTGAGACAATGAACCACAGGAACCAGGTCCTGGGTTCTGACCTCCATAAACGGTGAGACCATGTCCCATATTGTGTTAAGGCCCTAAGTTCTAGGGTTACAGGTCACACAATACACAACTAAGGCAAAGATGAAGGTTGCTTTCCTTTGCCTTTCCTTCTAGGAAGGGAATTAGCCCAGATAGGATAGGGCAGGATAAGACAGGGCATGAATTATACAGGTTGTCCTGTGGCAACAGTTACAAAAGTCAGGGACTTAGAACAAAGGGAGTTTGTATATTACTCACATTACATGTCCCACAAGGGATAGTGAGAGAAGGGTCATGTCACTCGTGGGTGGGGGCTCCACACCTTGTAGCAGCTCCATATGGAACCCAGAGCCTCATCACATCCTCCTCCATCCCCACAGTAGAGAAGGAAGGAGATAAGAGAGGCACCCGTGGGGCATTCACTGCACCATCCAGAAGTGATGTAATCTCTACCCATATTTTCTGGACAGAACTAGTTAGGAGACCCTGCTAACTTCCAGGGGCTGAAAGTGTGGGGGAGCAGATGGACTGTTTGGTGGCATTCTGTCCCTGCCACCAAAAGAGCACTTCCCTATGCAGTGCCCCTGAGGACCCTGGTCAGTCTCCCTCAGTCACTGTCTCCCAAAGAGCCCTGACCAGTGGGGACAGCCGCCTCAGCTCCACCTCTTTCTGAGCCCTTCCTTGTCAATCAGGCACATCCACAATGAACCCAGAGACCTCTGTCCTTCCTGGGGACCAGGGTGGGACCAATCTGGACCAGGTCCATCTGGGTTTGTTGCTGTGTGGCAGGGCACCCAGTGCTCTCTCTAATGACTAAATTCCTCCCCATTTTCAGCCTGCACCGTTCTGCTGTCCTACACCCATTCCTGGTTCTCACTGAAAGCAAATAGCTCATGCCAATCCTTAGATGTGGAAGCATTTCAAATATTTATGTTTCCAGTTATACACTAACTCAGTTCACCAACCCCCTCCTCTGGGCCAGGCCTCACTCCCTCCTTTCAGCTCCCTCAAGGGACTAGGCCCCACCCCAGGCTCAGCACCCCTTAGCACCAGGACCACAGGCCTTCAGGATCCACATCAGTGAGTTAGTGGTTTTGTCAGTCCATTTTTGCATTGCTATAAAGAAATATCTAAGGCTAGATAGTTTATAAAGAAAACATGTCTAATTGGCTCACAGTTCTGCATGCTGTACAGGAAGTGTAGAGCCAGCATCTGCTCCTGGTGGGGGCCTCAGAAAGATCACAGTCATGGTGGAAGGCAAAGGGTAGCCAGCATATTACATGGTCAGAGCAAGGGCAAGAGAGATGGGGAGGAAGATGGCCGAGTAGGAACAGCTCTGTTCTGCAGCTCTCAGTGAGATCAATGCAGAAGGCGGGTGATTTCTGCATTTCCAACTGAGGTACCTGGCTCATCTCACTGCGAGTGGTTAGACAGTGGGTGTTGCCCATGGATGGTGAGCTGGAAGCACAAGGGGTTGGGGAACTCCCTCCCCTAACCAAGGAAAGCCGTGAAGGACCCTGCCATGAAGGACTGTGCTATCTGGCCCAAATACCACGCTTTTCCCACAGTCATCACAACCCGCACACCAGGAGATTCCCTCGGGTGCCTAAGCCACCAGGGTCCTGGATTTCAAGCACAAAACTGGGCAGCCATTTGGGTAGACACTGAGCTAGCTGCAGGAGTTTTTTTTTTCATACCCCAGTGGCACAGGTGAGACAGAACAGTTCACTCCCCTGAAAAGGGGGCTGAAGCCAGGGAGCCAAGTGGTCTAGCTCAGCGGATCCCAACCCCACGGAGTCCGGCAAGCTAAGATCCACTGACTTGAAATTCTCACTGCCAGCACAGCAGTCTGAAGTTGACCTGGGATGCTCAAGCTTGGTAGGGGGAGGGGCATCTGCCATTACTGAGGTTTGAGTAGGTGGTTTTCCCGTCACAGTGCAAACAAAGCTGTTGGGAAGTTTGAACTGGGCAGATCCCACTACAGCTTGGCAAAGCCGCAGTAGCCAGACTACCTCTCTAAATTCCTCCTCTCTGGGCAGGGCATCTCTGAAAGAAAGGCAGCAGCCCCAGTAAGGGGATTATAGATAAAACTCCCATTTCCCTGGGACAGAGCACCTGAAGGAAGGGGCAGCTGTGGGTCCAGCTTCAGCAGACTTAAAGGTTCCTGCCAGCAGGAACCTGTGGATCTACCCGTACAGTTCTTGAACTCTGCTGAGGGACAGACTGCCTCCCCAGGTGGGTCCCCCTGGGGGGGGTGACCCCCATTCTTCTTGACTGAGGGACACCTCCCAGCAGGGGTCGACAGACACCACATACAGGAGAGCTCCAGCTGGCATCTGGTGGGTGCCCTCTGGGAGGAAGTTTCCAGAGGAAGGAACAGGCAGCAATCTTCGCTGTTCTGCAGCCTCCGCTGGTGATACCCAGGCAAACAGGGTCTGGACTGGACCTCCAGCAAACCTGCAGCAGAGGGGCCTGACTGTTCGAAGGAAAACTAACAAACAGAAAGGAATAGCATCAACATCAACAAAATGGATGTCCACACAGAATCCCCATCCAAAGGTCACCAACATCAAAGCCCCAAGATAGATAAATCCATGAAGATGAGAAAAAACCAGAGCAAAAAGGCTGAAAATTCCAAAAACCAGAATGCCTCTTCTCCTCCAAAGGATCACAACTCCTTGCCAACAAGGGAACACAACTGGATGGAGAATGAATTTGACAAATTGACAGAAGTAGGCTTCAGAAGGTGGGTAATAATAAACTCCTCCAAGCTAAAGGAGCATGTACTATCCCAATGCAAGGAAGCTAAGAACATGGAGAAAAGGTTAGAGGAATTGCTAACTAGAAAAACCATTTATGGGAGAACATAAATGACTTGATAGAGCCGAAAAACAGCACAAGAACATCGTGAAGCATACACAAGTATCAATAGGTGAATTGATCAAGAGGAAAAAAGATATCAGAGTTTTAAGATCAACCTAATGAAATAAAGCATGAAGACAAGATTAGAGAAAAAAGAATGAAAAGGTATGAACAAAGCCTTCAAGTAATATGGGACTATATGAAAAGACCAAACCTATGTTTGACTGGTGTACCTGAAGGTGATGGGGAGAATGGAAACAAGTTGGAAAACACTCTTCAGGATATTATCCAGGAGAACTTCCCCATCTAGCAGCACAGGCCAACATTCAAATTCAGGAAATACAGAGAACAACACAAAGATACTCCCTGAGAAGAACAACTCCAAGACACATAATCGTCAGATCACCAAGGTTGAAATGAAGGAAAAAATGTTAAGGGCAGCCAGAGAGAAAGGTCGGGTTACCCACAAAGGGAAGCCCATCAGACTCACAGTGGATCTCTCTGCAGAAATCCTACAAGCCAGAAGAGAGTGGGGGCTAATATTCAACATGCTTAAAGAGAAGAATTTTCAACCCAGAATTGCATCTCCAACCAAACTAAGCTTTGTAAGCGATGGAGAAAAAAAATTCTTTAGAGACAAGCAAATGCTGAGAGATTTTGTCACCACCAGGCCTGCCTTACAAGAGCTCCTGAAGGAAGCACTAAATATGGAAAGGAAAAACCGGTATCAGCCACTGCAAAAACATACCAAATGGTAAAGACCATTGACACTATGAAGAAACTGCATCAACTAATGGGCAAAATAACCAGCTAGAATCCTAATGACAGAATAAAATTAACACATAACAAAATTAGCCTTAAATGTAAACAGGCTAAATGTCCCAATTAAAAGACACAGACTGGCCAATTGGATAAAGAGTCAAGACCTATCAGTGTTCTGTATTCAGGAGACCCATCTCATGTGCAAAGACATACATAGGCTCAGAATAAAGGGATGGAGGAATATTTACCAAGCAAATGGAAATAAAAAAAAAAAAGCCGGGGTTGCAATCCTAGTCTCTGATAAAACAGACTTTAAACCAACAAAGATCAAGAGACAAAGAAGGCCATTACATAATGGTAAAGGGATCAATGCCACAAGAAGAGCTAACTATACTAAATATATATGCGTCCAATACAAGAGCACCCAGATTCATAAAGCAAGTTCTTAGAGACCTACAAAGAGACTTAGACTCCCACAGAATAATAGTTGGAGACTTTATCACCCCATTGTCAGTATTAGACAGATCAACGAGATAGAAAATTAACAAGGATTTTCAGGATTTGAATTCAGCTCTGGACCAGGCGGACCTAATAGATGTCTACAAAACTCTCCACCCCAAATCAACAGAATATACATTTTTCTCAGCACCATATAGCACTTATTCTAAAATCGACCACATAATTGGAAGTAAAAAACTCCTCAGCAAATGCAAAAGAATGGAATTCAAAACAAACAGTCTCTCAGACCACAGTGAAATCAAATTAGAACTCAGGATTAAGAAACTCACTCAAAATTGCACAACTACATGGAAACCGAACAACCCGCTCTTGAATGACTACTAGGTAAATAATGAAATTCAGGCAGAAATAAATAAGTTCTTTGAAACCAATGAGAACAAAGACACAATGTACCAGAATCTCTGGGACACAGCTAGAGCAGTGTGTAGAGGGAAATTTATAGCACTAAATGCCCACAGGAGAAAGCAGGAAAGATCTAAATTCGACACCCTAACATCACAATTAAAAGAACTAGAGAAGCAAGAGCAAACAAATTCAAAAGCTGGCAGAAGACAAGAAATAACTAAGATCAGAGCAGAACTGAAGGAGATACAGACATGAAAAACCCTTGAAAGAAAATCAAGTAATCCAGGAGCCAGTTTTTTGAAAAGATAACAAAATAGATAGACTGCTAGCCAGACTAATAAAAAAGAAAAGAAAGAAGAATTAAAAAGATTTAAATAGACACAATAAAAAATGATAAAGGGGATATCACCATCAATCCCACAGAAATACAAACTACCATCAGAGAATACTATAATCACCTCTGCACAAATAAACTAGAAAATCTAGAAGAAATGAATAAATTCCTGGACACATGCACCCTCCCAAGACAAAACCAGAAAGAAGTTGAATCCCTGAATAGACCAATAACAAGTTCTGAAATTGAGGCAGTAATTAATAGCCTGCCAACCAAAAACAGCCCAGGACCAGACTGATTCAGAGATGAATTCTACCAGAGGTAAAGAGAGGAGCTGGTACCATTCCCTCCGAAACTATTCAAAACAATAGAAAAAGAGGGACTCATCCCTAACTCATTTTATGAGGCCAGCATCATCCTGATACTAAAACCTGGCAGAGACATAACAAAAAAAGAAAATTTCAGGCCAATATCCCTGATGAACATCAATGGGAAAATCCTCAAAAAAATACTGGCAAACCAAATCCAGCAACACATCAAAAAGCTTGTCCTTCATGATCTAGTGGGCTTCATCCCTGAGATGCAAGGCTGGTTCAACATATGCAAATCAATAAACGTAATCCATCACATAACAGAATCAATTTCAAAAACCACATGATTATCTTGATAGATGCAGAAAAGGCCTTCAATAAAATTCAACACCGCTTCATGCTAAAAATTCTCAGTAGACTACGTGTAGATGGAACGTATCTTAAAATAATAAGAGCTATTTATGACAAACCCCCAGCCAATATCATATAGAATGGGCCAAAACTGGAAGCATTCCCTTGGAAAGCCAGCAGAAGACAAAGATGCCCTTTTTCACCACTTCTATCCAACATACTGTTCAGAGTTCTGGCCAGGGCAATAAGCCAAGAGAAAGAAATAAAGGTTATTCGAATAGGAAGAGAGAATGTCAAATTGCCTCTGTTTACAGATTACATAATTGTATATTTAGAAAAGTCCATCATTTCAGCCCCAAATCTCCTTAAGCTGATAAGCAACTTCAGCAAAGTCTCAGGATACAAAATCAATGTGCAAAAATCACAAGCATTCCTATACACCAATAATAGACAAACAGAGAGCCAGATCATGAGTGAACTCCCATTCACAATTGCTACAAAGAGAATAAAATACCTAGGAATCCAATCCACGAGGGATGTGAAGGACCTCTTCAAGGAGAACTACAAATCACTGCTCAAGAAAATAAGAGAGGACACAAACAAATGGAAAAACATTCCATGCTCATGGATAGGAAGAATCAATATCGTGAAAATGGCCATACTGCCAAAAGTAATTTATAGATTCAATGCTATCCCCATCAAGCTACCATTGACACTCTTCACAGAATTAGAAAAAGCTACTTTAAATTTCATATGGAACCAAAAGAGAGCTCGTATAGCTAAGACAATCCTAAGCAAAGAGAATAAACCTGGAGGCATCACACCACCTGACTTCAACCTATACTACAAGGCTACCATAACCAAAACAGCATGGTACTTGTACCAAAACAGATATATAGACCAACGGAACAGAACAGAGGCCTCAGAAATAATGCCACACATCTACAACCATCTGATCTTTGACAAACCTAACAAAAACAAGCCATGAGGAAAGGATTTCCTATTTAATAAATGGTGCTGGGAAAACTGGCTAGCCATATACAGAAAACTGAAACTGGACCCCTTCCTTACACATTATAGAAAAATTAACTCAAGATGGATTAAAGACTTAAATGTAAGACCTAAATCATAAAAATCCTAGGAGAAAACCTAGCCAATACCATTCAGGACACAGGCATGGGCACAGACTTCATGACTAAAATACCAAAAGCAGTGGCAACAAAAGCCAAAATTGACAAATGGGATTTAATTAAACTAAAGAGCTTCTGCACAGCAAGAGAAACTATCATCACAGTGAACAGGCAACCTACAGAATGGAAAACATTTTTGCAATCTATCCATCTGACAAAGGGCTAATATCCAGAATCTACAAAGAACTTAAACAAATTTACAAGAAAAATATGAACAACCCCATAAAAAAGTGGGCAAAGGATAGGAACAGACACTTCTCAAAAGAAGACATTTTTGCAGCCCACAGACATAAATAAAAATTCATCATCACTGGTCATTACGGAAATGCAAATCAAAACCACAATGAGATACCATCTCATGCCAGTTAGAATGGGGATCATTAAAAAGTCAGGAAACAACAGATGCTGGAGAGGATGTGGAGATTTTGGAATGCTTTTACACTGTTGGTGGGAGTGTAAATTAGTTCAACCATTGTGGAAGACTGTGGCAATTCCTCAAGGATCTAGAAGAAGAAATATCATTTGACCCAGCAATCCCATTACTGGATATATATGCAAAGGATTATAAATCATTCTACTATAAAGACACATGCACATGTATGTTTATTGCAGCACTATTCACAACAGCAAAGACTTGGAAGCAACTCAAATGCCCATCAATGATAGACTGGATAAAGAAAATGTGGCACATATACACCATGGAATACTAGGCAGCTGTAAAAATGGATGAGTTCATGTCCTTTGCAGGGACAAGGATGAAACTGGAAACCATCATTCTCAGCAAACTAACACAAGTACAGAAAACCAAACACTCTGTGTACTCACTCTTAAGTGGGAGTTGAACAATGAGAGCACATGGACACAGGAAGGGTAACATCACACACCAGGGCCTGCTGGGGGGTGGGGTGCTAGAGGAGAGATATCATTAGGACAAATACCTAATGTAGATGACGGGTTGATGGGTGCAGCAAACCACTATGGCATGAGTATAACTATGTAACAACCCTGCATGTTCTGCACATGTATCCCAGAACTTAAAGGATATATATATGTGTGTGTATATATATATATATGTATATATATACACATATATATGTATATATACACACATATATATGTATATATATGTATATATATACACATATATATATGAACAAATTGAAATTCTAACAAAAGACACATACATGTATATGTTCATTGCGACATTATTCACAATAGCAAAGATGTGGAATCAATCTAAATGCCTATCAATGGTAGACTGGATAAAGAAAATATGGTACATATACACCATAGAATACTATGCATCCATAAAAAAGAATGAGATCGTGTCTTTTGCAGGAAAGGGGGTGCAGCTGGAGACCATCATCCTTAGCAAACTAATGCAGGAACAGAAAGATAAATACCGTATGTTCTCACATGTAAGTGGGAGCTAAATGATGAGAACACATGGACACAAAGTAGGAAACAACAGACACTGGGGCCTACTTGAGTGTAAAGGGTGGGAGGAGGGAAAGGATCCGAAAAAAAATAACTATTGGGTGGTAGGCTTAGTACCTGAGTGAAGAAATAATCTGTACAACAACCCCCCATGATATGAGTTTAACTATATAACAAACTTGCACGTGTATCCCTGCAGCTAAAATAAAAGTCAACAAAAAGAAAAAAAAAAAAGAGAGATGAGGAGGTGCCACACACTTTTAAACAACCAGATCTCACGGGAACTAACTGAGCAAGTCCCCACCTAGCACCGAGGGAATGGTGCTAAACCATTAATGAGGGACCTGACCCCATGATCCAATCACCTCCCACCAGATTCTCCCTTCATCCCCAGTGGGAATCACATTTCCACATGAGATTTGGAGGGGACCAACATCCAAATCATATCAGTGGGCCAGTGCCCTGTCCGGTTCTGCCTAGGGTCATACAGGAGAGGCAGCAAGTGAGCAGCCACCAGCCTCCTCCTATCACCTCCAGTTCCTCCACGATTCCTCCTCCCACATCTCACACTCCTCTGACACCCGGTTCAAGAGGGGGCTTATGCGCTCCCACAGAACATCCTGGGGTGCAGCACAGACACCTGACTTGGCCCACAAAATATTGCTGAGGAGAGCCAGATGAGGCTGTGCTGCCAGAGCCCTCTAAACAAGCCAGGGCACAAAGGCTGGTCCTGAGACATGGTGGCTATTTGTCAGTAGCAGAAAGGGTAGAAGTGCATTCTGTCCTCCAAGCTCCAACCCCTGCCTTTATGCACCCACAGGATCCTGAGTATTTCAGGTTTCCTGGAGTCTCAATGGGGAGGAGTCCAATCTAGTCTGTCCTGGAGTAATGTGCTGGCTGGGGTATGGATACCAGTGATACCCTGTGAGTATAGGCTGCTCCTGGTGGATCTTGTCACTTGGACAGAAGCCAAATACATTTCCACTTTTCCAATTGCAGTGAGTGCTAGGACTCTCCTGTGATTGGCAGTTGCACCTCCTCTGAACCAGGCTCCCTGTTCACAAATCCACACTAAGTGAGGGTGACTGTAAACCAAAGTGGCCTAGCCCATCCAAGTTAAAGCCATTCACAGGGCTCAAGACTGTCCCAAGGAGAGGGGGTATGATAGAGAGACTGGGGTGAGACCGCCAAGGTTTGGGGTGGCCATTGCCACTGAGGGAGAAGGAAAGGAAAAATGATTGGAGAAAAAATTCACACTGCAGAAGCAGCCTGCCTGAAAAGTCACAGCAACAGGCAAAAATAAAACAACCTGGGAGCGGGAAGGGAAAAAAACTCAAGCTGCACCTGGACAGATAAACAAACAGAGCCCAGCACAGAAACTTTTTGTTCTTTGTCTATTAGCAAGCTCCTAGAAAAAAGTTTCTTTCCCTTTTCAGGCATAGTCATGGTGGGAACTTGCACAGGGAGAAGGGGGGCTTACCTAAAACAAACCCACAATCATATAAACAAGAGAAGTGGTACTTTGGGCTTGCCCAGAGACATACCCACAACTACATAGAAAAGGGGGAGTTGTGCAGACAGCCCTACCGATAGAAGAAGTTACTTAAATTGCTGCAGAGACAAGAGGAGTTTCTTGTAAAAAGCTTTTGAATTCAGCGATATAACCCAGCAATCCACTCAGACTCCCCTTTCTGCTGCGGAGAATATTTTTTCTTTCACTTATTAAACTTTTGCTCCAACCTCGCCTTTGTGCCTATGTTTCTTAATTTTCTTGGAGGTAGGACAAAACACCCAGGGTACTAGTTCAGACCACGGGAAACTTCTACATTAAGGTGCATCGGTGAGACTGCAACACCACTGGACCCTGAACCCCAATTATAGATGTAGATGCACCTCTGTGGCCAGGTGCAGGCAGAGTGCCACAGGACAGGCAGGTGAGCTGAACTCCCTCAGGACCTTCATTAAATCTCCCTTGGGTAGGAAGATGACCATCCAAGGATCAAATATTTCTGAAGGGGGGTGTTGGTCATGGTGTTGAAGCTTCCTGGAAAAGGCCATCTGGCCACCTATGTCCCAAGGTCTTCCCCAGATAGTGGGAAGCAGCCCAAAGAGGTCAAAGATGCAGGAACTGTGGGAGAGAGCCACTTTCAACTCACACACACGGCCTCTTCCCAGGGCAGCCACCTCACAGACCCAGAACCTCGGGCCACCTGCCCTCCCCGACAATGAGCTCCCACACTGCACCCAACATATATACAGTGACATCCCCACTCCCATACTCGCCACAGGAGGGCACTTTTAAGTGTCTTAAAATCCTAAAGTTCTAGTTCCTTATTCTTTCCCCCCCAAATGTGACCTGCTCATACTATACTTTCATAACCAAAGGAGAATACTTGAAATTTTTTGGAATACCTCTTTCAAGGTGCAGACACACCTTTCAATATTTATAAACAAGAAGAAATACAAATTTAGTCTCCAGGCGGGCACCCCAGGATACATGGAAGGTGATGCTGCAGATATATTTATTAGACTCTAGTGTCCCCCAGTCAGGAGGGCTTGTTTTTGAGGGAGAGGTGGGGCATGGGTTGAATTGTGTCCCCCATAAAGGATATGTTGAATTCCTAAACCCAGCACCTCAGAAGGCAACTTTATTTGGAAATCTGATCTTTGCAGATATAGTCCAATTATGATAAGGTCATGAGGGTGGTCTCTAATCCGATATGACAGGTGTTCTTATAAAAAGAGGGAATTTAGACACAGACACTGACATGCACAGAGGTAAGACAATGAAAAGAGACATAGGGAGAAGGTGCATGAAGATGGAGGGTTTGACTGATGCAGCTACAAGACAAGGAACACCACCAATTGTCAGCAAACACCAGAAGCTAAGAAGGGGCAAGGACAGGTTTCCCTTGTTATGGAATGAATATTTATGTATCCCCAAATTCATATGTTGAAGCCTTGACAGCCAGTGTGACTGTATTTGGAGATGAGGCCTCTAATGAAGTAAGGTTTAATGAGTTCATAAGGGTGGGACCATGACCCAATAGTGTTAGTGTTCTTATAAAAAGAGACTTCAAAAAGCACGAGAGTTTTCTCTATGCACGTATTCTGAGAAAGGCCATGTGAGGACATAGAAGACAGCCTTCTGCAAAACCGGAAGAGAGGCCTCACCAGAAATTTAATTGGCCACAGCCTTGATCATGAATTTCCAGCCTCTAGAACTGGGAGAAAATAACTTTCTGTTGTTTAAGCCATCCAGTTTATGGTATTTCGTTATGGTATCCATAGCTGACCAATATACCCCTGCAGATTTCAAAGGTAGTGTGGCCTTGTCAACACCTTGATTTTGGGCTTCTAGTCTCCAGAACTGTGTGACAATAAATTTCCATTGTTTCAGCCACTCGGTTCTTGTTATCTCACAGTCCTAGGAATCTAATGCAGGAACTCAGGAAAGGTGGTAATATAGTTTAACTCTTTGTCCCCTCTAAATCACATGTTGAAATTAGATCCCCAGTGTTGGAGGTGGGCCCTGGTGGCCTTCCTTGTGTCTTGGTGCCATCCTTGTGGTAGTGAGTGAGTTCTTGCTCTGTTAGTTCCTGTGAGAACTGAATGTGAAAAACAAGCTGACAGCTCCCTCACTTCTCTCTTGCTCCCTCTCTTGCCATGTGATGTCTGCTGCATTTCACCTTCTGCCATAAGTGAAAGCTTTCTGAGGCCCTCACCAGAAGCACATGCTGATGCCATGCTTCTTGCACAGCCTGAAGAAGCATGAATCAAATAAACCTCTTCTCTTCATAAACTACCCAGCCTCAGGTATTCATTTATAGCCACACAGATGGACAAAGACGGTGGCACCAAAGGATTACAGGTTAACTCTTTCAGGGGTTCCTGGAGAGTCAGGGCTGGGCCCTTGGCCAGCAAGTCACATGAGGCACAAGCTCTGGAGTGGGACAATTTGGGTTCAATCCCAGATCCACCATATTTACTGGCTGAGTGATCTTTACCAAGTTGCTAATCTAAGTCTTGAGTTCCCACATATGAACAATAGAGATAATAATTGTAAGTACTCATGGGCTCCTACAAGCACTAAAAATATGATACATTTTTAAAAAGCACTCAACTGTACAGTTGAGTTGTTATAATTGTTACCAGTATTAGGGCCCACCTGCCATGGAATTGCCACAGTACTGTAGCTGGATTTCTCCCAGTGTTTCCCTGTCGGGGAAAGAGGTTGCCCATACCCCATGAACTTGATTCCCAGTTTCTACCTCTCATCGGTTTCTTCAGATACTGAACATCTGATGATTCTCAGGACAACCCTTCAAGGTGGGAGGTTACAGATTATTATCCCCATGCAAAGGCTGGGGAGGTTGCATTTCAGTAACACTAAGAGGCTTTTTAATTTTTTTATTTTAATCAGATTATATATTCATATGGTGCTTTAAAAGGAGGGAGAAATTAAGGAGATTGAAAAAGGAAGTGTCACTCCTGTCTCTGACTCCCATTGCCTGGTTCTGGCTTCCAGAGGCAGGCACTATTATCAGTGTCTTGTGTTACTATGCAGAGATAGTCTATGCACTCAAACACACACATGTGCATCTCCACATACACAACACACTCTATGCGACTGTCCTGCTCTTTGTCTTTTCTCAAAGCAACATTTGTTGGAGCCCACTCTGCATCTGTACACATGGGTGTGTCCCATCTCCTGTCTGCAAACTGTTCCTTGTGGGGCTCTAATCCTCCTCCGCTTCTGATATTTAAGTTGTTGCTTAACACCACAAAGTTGCAATGAATATCCTTATATTTGTGCCTTTACACACATGGATGTGTATATAACAGTGAAAATCATTAGGGTGGATCTAATGAGTCAAAGGCACATGTACTTATACTTTTGATTGATATTATTGTCTCCAAAGAGTGTTCCTATCTACAAGCCTACCAAATATTTAGGTCTGTCACCAATACCTAATGATCAAACTTTTTGAACTCTGTCAAGTTGATAGTGGAAAATATCTCATTATCGTTTTAATGGGCATTTCTTCTATAAACAAGATTCATCATCATCATTTTACATTACTATGTCATTCTTGCTGCCTTTTCTGTGAACTATGAACTGTCTGCTAATGTCTTTTGTCCATCTATACTTGTTTCTTTTCTATTAGTTTATACGAGTTAGACATATTTTAAGAACATTCGCCTTTATTCTAACATACTACAATTTTTAAGTTTGTTTTTCAACTTTACTTACAGACTGTTTGCAATGCCAAAATGTTATTTTCATAAAGTAAAATGTATCCATTTTTATGGCTTACTCTTTTTGTATCTTCCTTCAAAAGGTAACCCCCAATTCAAACAAAGAGGTTTTAATTAAAACCTTTAATTAAAAGGTACCCCCAATTCAAAGAGAGAGTTTTAAATTCTCTCTTGTTTTAAATGCATTTATGGCTTTAAATTTTATATTTACTCTTAGATCCACCCAAAACTTATTTTGGAGTCAGGTGATACAGATGACTGGTGTCACAAAGTGGTGAAAAGATTGAACTTTAGAGTCCATGAAACTTAAGTCCTGATCCTTCATTTTCTGGCTGTGTAAACTTGAACAGTTATTTAACCTCTCTGGCTTTAGCAGTCTCATATGTGATATGAAGAAAAATGAAAATGCTTACCTCATTGGACTCTTCTTTGGGTTTAAATAGAAAAAATTTTTCAGCACAGTATTCAGTAGTTGTCCTATTAATATTAGCTGCTCCCATTATCATGATGAGTATTAGTTGCCCAAGCCCACCTGGAATCAGAACCAGGTGTTCCCAGCTTCCAGGCTGCTATCCTTTCCTCCCCAGCAGCCGCCCCTCTCAGGGGTCCCCTCCTGGGTACAGGGATGGGTTCTAGGGATTTAAACATATCTGAGTTCAATGCCATAAGTGGCTGCAGGGTGTCAAGGTCTAGCCAGGGCCTACTTGGTTACCAGAGCCCTGAGTTTAAAAGGAAGTTCATTGCTCTATGTCCACACATTGTCATCATCAATTACCATGTTACTGAAAAGCTGAGAACATCTTTATAGCAAGGAAAGTGGTAAAGATGTGTTCCCACCCAAATCTCATGTAAAAATATAATCTCCAAAGTCGGAGGAGGGGTCTGGTGTGAGGTGATTGGATCATGGGGATGGATTTCTCATTGCTATTCCCATGATAGTGAGTGAATTCTGACAAGATATAGGTTTTTAAGAGTGTGTAGCACTGCCCCTGCTCTCTCCTCCTTCTCCTGCCATGTAGGACGTGCCTCCTTCCCCTTCACCTTCTGGCATGATTGTAACAGCCATACCTCCTATACAACATGCAGAACTGAAAGTCAATTCAACCTTTTTTCTTTATAAATTACCCAGTATCAGGTAGTTCTTTATAGCAATGAGAGAATGGACTAATGTCCTTCAGCAGGTGGTCTAAGGGCATTGGCCCCTGAGACCCCTCTCAGGAGCAGAGGCGGAGAAGCAGAGGGTCAGGTAGAGGAGGCTGAGAGAGGAAAAGTCCCTTCCTCCCTCAAGAGCTGAGGAAGTGGCCACAGGGACACCCAGAGTTTTCTCTCTGAAGGAGCCCAAAACAGGCTCACCAGCTCTCAGTGCCTATAAAGCCACAGGATAGGACAAGAGAGGATGGGAGAGACAAAGTAGAGGCCTTGATGAAGCCACAGTATCCCAGAACCTCACTGCTGGGAGGGGACTCAGGGGTGATTCTGCCCAAGTCCCTGCTTTAACAGAGGAGGGAGCTCTCTAGGGGGTAGACTTTTCCTGGGTCACACAGGGCAGAGCCACACCTGGAGCCCACTTTCCTCCCCCAGCCCAGGGCCTCCCCTGCAGGACGCTGCCCAAGAGCTCTTCCACCCTCCCCTGCCCTCCCCAGAGCTGAGCTACACTGTTGTCTGAACCCACCAGGACCTGAGCAGCTGCTGAGGTCTCCACCCCAGCTGCCCTTTCCTGAAAAAGGAAGCAGGTACTTTCAGTGGCTTAGCAGAGCAGGGACTTCTGGCTAGCAGAGGGCTAAATAGGCAGCCTGGAAAGACCCCATTTCCTGGATGAGGGAACTGGGAAGAGAGGAGGCTCAGCCCTCAGGCTGCCAGGGAGGATCTGCCCCAGAAAGTGGATGATGAGCATAGCCAGGAGGAAGACGAAGACTCAGAGAGGGAAGGAAGGCAGCAGGAGCTCTTTGATCTGCAGAGATGCTGATCCTGAAGAAGAAAAAACAAGCCAGGGAGCAGGTGGTCATTTACAAGGTGGAGCTAAACATTAATTCAATTTGTATAAAATTTAAGGCCCTGTAAACAACATAAAATGTTGCTCAGTTGTCTGACATAGCCCCCATCAGCACACTCACAAACCAACGATTCATGTTTGATGTCCAAACTGCACTTCTTGGTACCATCTCCATTGTCTCATGTCTCTGTCTGGAGCCCCTAATGCAGAGATGCTTTCTCCTCCAGCTCCCTGCTGGCAGACACGGGGTGGGCATTCAGTAAGTGCTGTTATTATTATGGTCAGGGAGTAGCCAGAAGTCTAGGACCACCCTCATGTGTAGCTTACTGTGTCTCTAGGAAATTATATGTGAGCTGAGCCACCCTCAGTCTCCCTCCTTCCCTTCCACACTTTCCTATCCAAACACATGTCCAGAAAGGGTGTAAGAGTTTAAGAATGATGAGGGGCAAATTCCTCATTTCCACCTTCACCATCACTACTTCACCATCCATCTCTCTCCCTGGGTCAAGGGTGAACTGGAACAGGGACAATGCAGAAACCACAGAAAAAAAATGCATCCAACTGTGGAGCTTCAGGATTCCTCAGAGGATCCAGAGCAATTTCATGGTAATGTTCCTTCCACGGACAGCCTCTGACCAAACTCCACTGCCTGGGGGCTTGTCTCATTCATACCACAGAGGTCAGGCCTAATTGGACAACCAATTTCAATTTCATTCCTTCACAGTGGTTCCCTGAGATAATCACTTTCTTTTTGTGAACACAGATCTCCTTCCCCCAAAATGAGAAATTCTAAGTCCTTCCTTCCTTCTTTTTTCTTTTTTCTTTTCCTTTCTTTCTTTTTCTTTCTCTCTCTCTTTCTTTCTTCTTTCTTCTCTCTAACTCTTCTTCCTTCCTTGCTTCCTTCCTTCCCCTTCCCTCCCTCCCTCTTCCCTCTCTCCCTTTTCTTTCTTTCTCTCTCTCCTTTCTTTCTTTCTTTCTTTCTTTCTTTCTTTCTTTCTTTCTTTCTTTCTTTCTTTCTTTCCTTCCCTCTTCCTTCCTTCCCTCCCTCCCTCTCTTTCTTTCTTTCTCTCTTCCTTTCTTCCTTCCTTCCTTCTCTTTCTTTCTTTCTTTTTCTCTTTATTTTTTTTCTCTCTCTCTTTCTTTCTTTCTTTCTCTTTCTCCTTTCTCCTTCCTCCTTCCTTCCTTCCCTCCCTCCCACCTTCCTTTCTTCCTTCCTTCCTTCCTTCCTTCCTTCCTTCCTTCCTTTCTTTCTTTCTTTCTTTCTTTCTTTCTTTCTCTCTCTCTCTCTCTTTCTTTCTTTAGTAATCCTCCAAATCTAGTGCCTAGTGGAGAAAACTCTACCCAGTTAGACATATTTCCAGGTAAAGAGCATCGTATAAGCAGAGAAAGCCTGCGTTTTGCTGTTGATAGAAAGGAGATCTAACCCCTTTCTATTGCAAAGCTCATTGTTCCTTCAAGACCTCCTGTGTTACAAGTGCTCTGTAATCCATTAGATTTCATATAATTCCCTGTAAGTCCGATTAGTGGCTGGGATATAAAAGCAAAAAATTATAACAAGAACAGCTTTCATCAAAATGCACTAAATCTTATTATTTTCTCATTTTAAAATTTAATTTTATTACACTTACAACCATATAATCGTTCATAAAATAATGATTGTGATATACAGCCTAGATTAGGACAGTCTTTTTTGCAGTTCACTTTTTGCTTAACTTTCTGTATTCTCTACTTTCTCCCTCTCTCTGTGTTTTCTTCCTCAATTTTATGTCCTCTCGTAGCCCATGTTGGCAATCTACTGATTCCTTCCACATTTTTAGCATAGTCTTAGAAACATTTAGATGCTTAAATTTTGGTGACTGTGTTTCCTTTTATGAAGCGAGATTGTATTGTATTCAGTTTCCTGAGTCTTGCTGATGGGAATCTATGCATCTTAATTCATGGAAGTTGAACAGTCCTTCCAGATAACTAGAACATTTGTTTTTGTAACCTCCATAATATGCAATGGTACAGACACTCTTTGACTTGTTCACATGTTCCTGAATTGATGGGCTCCTCCTGTTTCTTTCTAGGGTTTTTCCTAGAACCGTGCTGTAATAAACATGGTCTGAGCAGCATTTCCCAGTGGAGGAAAAGGCACCTCACAGGGATGTGAAGGGTGCCCACTATATACACATTTTACCCAAAGGTAAGTTCTTTTTAATTTTTAAAATGAACAGTAATGCAAATTACAAACACGACTTTAAGATTGAGACGTTCAAGGTCCCTCTCTTTTGTGATGATTTGCTTGGAGAGCAGCCCTAGGCCCATGCAGTGGGTGACGATTCTCTCAGTGCAGCGAAGGTAGCCCTGGCTCGGGGTTCCCAGCCTTCTCACTACCAAAAAATGTTTCATTCTTTCCATCTTGGGACTCCAACCAAATATGTTGCATTCGTAAATCATAACAGAGTGTTTTTCTGTGTTGTTGCCCAAAGACATCAGAAGTTGAACAGCCCACCCGTTGGTCAGAGCCCAGCTAGCCCAGCCCTCTCCAATTGCCCTCCCTTCCCAGGGACCCTGCCACTCACTGAGGAGGAGGCTGATGAATACCAGGAGCCCAGTCATCCAGAAGAAGGACCGGTTCTTGGAGCAGGACCCCATGGCAGGTTGCCTGCTGGCCTGTTCAGCTGCAGCGGAAACAGAAGAGAGGAAGAGGTAAGAAAAGAGGACGAGCTTGATCAAGGAGCCCTTCACAGTTTCCCCACTTCAAGGGCAGGGCCAGCAAGTTACTACTGGGGAGACAGCCCACGAGTCGAGAGAAAACCATTCAGCTCTTTCCTCCCCTCCCAGTCCCCACAGTACCACACATAGTCAATAAGTAATTGCAGAAGAAATAAAGGCATAACCTCATTCTGTGATGTTCCTGGCAGTGTATTAGACAGGCCCCCTTCTCTCGGGCACAGCCAGCTTGGTGTTCCCTCCCACACCCTCTCCTGACACTCACCTGCTTCTCTGGGTTCACAGCTCTGCCCCAGGTGGCCGTGGTCACCAGTGTCAGCCTATGGTCAGGCACAGAAGTCACCCTCTTACAGCAAGGCTGGGCTATGCCCTTCCTGAACTTGATGACTTTACTTTGTCCCTACCTCACATAATAAGTTAAATTTCTGTTTTGATTTTTCAAAAACTTCAATTCTCAGTTGCCTAAGTAAGAAGCTGTAAGCAAAAGAACAGATCTCCTGTGGAGAGTGTTAACTCCCCACATCTCCAATGCAAATATCAGCATTTACTTGTTGCAGGCGGCTGTGTGGTTTCTCAGCTCCCACTAGGGGTCATCAACTCTCCATACACGCAGGGTAAGAAGAACCCCCTGCAGAAGCTGACAGGCTCTTGGCTGCATCACAACTAAATTTTCCTTTCAGCCTGTGTCAGCTCTGCTCCTAGTATTTCAAAGGGGTGGGGCAGAGAAGTTCACACTCCCTCTGCCACAGCCTCAGCAGCCTGAAACCCACCACTACCTGCTGAGGCTCAGGTGATGTCCTCTTCTCTCCAGACCTGGATACTCCAGGACATTTAAGAACTCCCCCTCCCATTAGCCTGAGGGAGGAGCACCATCTTCTTAACCCCCAGGCACCGCCTCCTTCTCCTCAAGTAGTCTCCCCTGATGGCTGCCCAGGCAGAACACCCCCAAGGCTGGAGCTGCAGGCCTGACCCCAAGACCATCTCAAGGTAGTCAGGTTCCTGGGTATTAAACCCATTTAATCAATGTGAAACCCAAATCCCAGAGGTGTTATGCGACCTGTGAAAGGTCACATGGCTAATCAAGCAACAGGGTCTGGACTCCTGACCACAAGCTCAGGACTTGTCACTGATATCACAGCCGCTCTCCCATCCCACTATGTGGCCCCATGCACGTCATCTTGAGTGAACCCTCTGTTCTCACCCAGAACTGCTCTGCAGATTTCCAGGAGAGAGGATATTCAAGATTGGCTCGATTCTGACTACCCCACGTGGTAATGAGGAAGTTACTGCAAAAGGCAGTCCATGAGTTCTAGAGTTGGAAACTCCTTGTGTGGAATCAAAATTTGGGCAGCTTATCTGCTGGTCACCCTCAGGGCAATGGGGATTAAACCTCATAAGCGCCCCACCCCTATGCCCACAGCTCTCCAGACTGAACTTCTTTGAGAAGTGCTTGGCTATGAACACTATTTGTAAGGAAGGAGAATGCAAAAGATGAACCTTCAGAGAGGAAACCAGCCCTGTGGCTAGAAGCCAGGAACTCTGGAGAGAGTCAGCAATGAACGTTCCATGCTGGCAAAACACCAGGGATGTTTAAAAATCCAGACCTCTAATCTCATTTTTGACATCCCAGCCATCCTGTGCAAAGGCATAAACATGTACATGGGCACAAACCCCAACCATGGGAATTTTGGTAAGTTAATTACACACAACTGCCTAATGCTGGTAATGTTTTGGTGAGTTAAAGGAAGGCAGCAGCAGAATGTGTGAGTCACCAAGTGCCAGATGGGAGATAAGTGGAGACTTCTGGGTAGTCTGATATGTTATTGTCCATGTGCCTTGCATTTGTGTTTGTGGATTGGAAGAAGCAAACACATCTTCCAGTTTTTACAGACTGTTTTTGGAAGACAAAGACCTTCTCCTCTTTGGTCTCCAGGCTTATAGGATTGCTTCTCAGTTCTAAGTTCAATGGGGTTGGAGACATGTTATGTGGCTTTAGCTGGGTCCAAATATGGTCCGTCGTTGGTGGAACTGTTATCAGCAGCTCAAGTGGCTGTAGATTCTGTCTGGTCCTTGAGTGCATTGGACTTTGTCTAAAATCTTGTTCATTAGGGCTACACTGTTTCAAGGTTCCACAGTTGGGCCTGCAGATGGTGGTTCTGTTTTCATGAGTGTGATGACAGTAGCTCTTTCTGAGTCCCTGGAGTGCTCCTACTGGATCACTGGATGGGTCCCTGGATTGACAAGACTGTCCTTGTACTGTTACTGAGAGTGGTGGAACTGAGTCACAGGGCTGCTTCAGGGTTCACAATTTGCAAGCAGGTCTCTGGAGGATTAGACGGGTATGCCTCCTACCATGTTCATGGTAGGGAAAGACTGCCCCTGGACCATGACTGAGCAGGGCTAAAGCAGGGCTGCTTCAGAATCTGCAATCAGTCCAAAGTTAGAAGATGTACCAACATGAGCACAGACAGACATATCTCCCAGTGGGCTCCTGGGTGGCTAGGAATACTCTCTGCCCACAACTGGGTGAGAATAAGTTGTGTTTCAGAATGAAATCAATAGTCACGGTGGAAATGAGGACAGAAGGGGCTGATGCCAAGTGCCTTGCTTCAGGGTTCTCTGTCAAGATCAAAGTCAACAGGCCTGTCGCCCAAGGCAGGGGTGGTTATGACTCCTCTCAGGTCCCTTGGCAGATTGTTCTGGTGGCAGGACCAAAGCCAAAGAGAGCTATATCCAGATTTACTGGGGCAAAGTGTTGTTTCCAGGTCTGTATCCAGGAACATGTACAGTGAGCCTGCTACCTGGTTGTGAAAACACCCTCTCAAAACAGCTCTCTTCAGTCTTGGGCTCTCCTAAGGTTTTGCTGCCTTTGACCTGGAGTCCAATACGCTCACAACTGTACTTTGGTCTGTGGAAGGCTCTCAAATTCTTGTTGCTGTGGGAGGATATGAGTGGGACATCCCCTACTCTATATTCTGCTCTCAAATTTTATTTTACAGAGAGACACTAAACTACCCAATCAAAAAGTTCAATGAACCCAAAGTAAGATTAATTCAAAAACATCCAAACCTAGACATATCAAAATGAGATGATCAAAAGCCAAAGTCAAACAGAGAATCTTCAAAGCTGAAATAGAAAAGTGAGGCTGCATATTCAAGGGATCCCCAATAACACTGACAGCTAATTCCAAGAATGCCAACGGGCACTGTAATGACATATGCAAAGTGTTCAGAAAAAATCTTACAACTAAGAATTTGCTGTCCTTCAAAACTATGCTTCACAAATCAAGGAGAAGTTAAGACATGCCCACAGAAACAAAAATGGAGACTTGTCACTAGCAGACTTGCGATATAACAAATGCAAAGGGAGTCATTCAATCTGAACTGAAAGACACTAGAAAGTCAATAAAAGCTATATGAACAAATAATGAGCACTAGTAAGGGTAATTAAATAGATAAATATAAACAGCAATATGAGTGTTTTTTATTTATAATAGCTTTTTCTCTTAACTCACCTCAAATAAACTTACCTAACATAAAAAATATAAGTGTGCTAAAGGGTACATGAGGTAAAAGATGTAATTTGGATAAGAATAACAGTACGAGGATAGGAGAACACAGCAATGTAGAATCAAAGTTTTTGTATATCATTGACATTAAATGAATATTAAACCAATAAGGAATCTATAAATAAAGGTAGTAATTATATTTCCCAGAAATAAAAAAAATATCATGAAGGGATACTAACAATAATTGTATGACAAAAATTAGATAAAGTTGTTAGTAGAAAAATTTCTAGAAATACATGAACTATGAAAACTGACTCAAGAAGAAATAAAAATTTAGATAAACCTGTAACAATTAAGAGAATGACTTAGTCATCAAAATACTCCCACAAAGTAAAAACAGAATGGCTTTACTGTGGTACTACACCAAATGTATAATTAAAAACGACCAATCCTTCACAAATTCTTGCAGAAAATAGAAAAGAAAGTGATATTTGCAACGCATTCTATCAAGCTAGAATTACACTGATACCACAACCACACAAAGATATCAAAAGTAAACAAAAGCCAATATCTCTTACATGCAAAAATTCTCAACAAAATACTAGCAAACTAAATCCACCAATATATAAAAAGGATTATACAACACAACCAAGTGGGATTTATCTCAAGCATACAGAATGGTTCAACATACAAAAATTAATCAACTTAATAGAAGATATGAGTAGATAAAAATTGGGAAATGGATGATCCCTTCAGCAGAGGCAAAAAAGTATTTGACAAAATCCAGCACCTTTTCATGAAGAAAAACCATGGACTAAGTAGGAATTGAGGAGAATTCCCTCAACCTAATAAAGGATATTTATGAAAAACATGCAACTTACATCATATGTAATAGTGAAAAATGAAAAGTTTCCCCCCTAAATCCAAAGACAATACAAGGGAATGTGCTTGTGACATTGACATTCAACATTGTATTGTGGGTTCTAACCATAACAATTAAGTAAGAAGACAATTGGGGGTCGCTTCCAAGATGGCTGTATAGGAACAGCTCCAGTCTGCAGCTCCCAGCGAGACTGACACAGAAGATGGGTGATTTCTTCATTTCCAACTGAGGTACCTGGTACATCTCACTGGGACTGGTTGGACAGTGGGTGCATCCCATGGAGGGTGAGCTGAAGCAGGGTGGGATATTGCCTCACCAGGGAAGTGCAAGGGGTTGGAGGATTTTCCTTTCCTAGCCAAGGGAAGCCATGAGAGATGGTACCTAGAGGAACTATACACTCCTGCTCAAATATTGTGCTTTTCCCACAGTCTTCACAACTGGCAGACCAGGAGATTCCCCCATGCCTGGCTTGGTGGGTCCCACATCCACGGACCCTTGTTTGCTGCTAGTGCAGTAGTCTGAGATTGACCTGGGATGCTGGAGCTTGGTGGGGGGAAGAGTGTCTGCCATTGCTGAGGCTTGAGCAGGTGGTTTTATGCTCACTGTGTAAACAAAGCCACAGGGAAGCTAAAACTGGGTGGAGCCCACCGCAGCTCAACAAGGCCTACTGCCTCTCTAGATTCCACCTCTGTGTGCAGGGCATATCTGAACAAAAGGCAGCAGAAAGCTTCTTCAGACTTAAACATCCCTGCCTGACAGCTCTGAAGAGAGCAGTGGTTCTCCCAGCATGACATTCAAGCTCCAATAACAGACAGGCTGCCTCCTCAAGTGGGTCCCTGACCCCCGTGTAGCCTGACTGGGAGGCACCTCCCAGTAGGGGCTGACAGACACCTCATGTAGGCAGGTGCCCCTCTGGGAAGAATTTTAAAGAAGAAGGATCAGGCAGCAATATTTGCTGTTTTGCAGCCTCTGCTGGTAATACCCAGGCAAACAGGGTCTGGAGAGGACCTCCAGCAAACTCCAACAGACCTGCAGCTGATGGGCCTGACTGTTAGAAGGAAAACTAACAAGCAGAAAGGAAAAGCATCAACATCAACAAAAAGGACATCCACACCAAAACCCCATCTGTAGGCCACCAACATCAAAGACCAAAAGGTAGATAAAACCACAAAGATGGGGAGAAACCAGAGCAGAAAGGCTGAAAATTCCAAAAACCAGAATGCCGCTTCTCCTCCAAAGGATCACAACTCCTCACCAGCAAGGGAACAAAACTGGAAGCAGAATGAGTTTGATGAGCTGACAGAAATAGGCTACAGAAGGTCGGTAATAACAAACTTTTCCGAGCTAAAAGAGCACATTCTAACCCATTGCAAGGAAGCTAAAAACCTTAAAAAAAGGTTAGATGAATGGCTAAATAGAATAATCAGTGTAGAGAAGAACTTAAATGACCTGATGGAGCTGAAAAGCACAGTACAAGAACCCCTTGAAGCATACGCAAGCTTCAATAGCTGATTTGATCAAACAGAAGAAATGATATCAGTGATTGAAGATCAAATTAATGAAATAAAGCATAAAGACAAGATTAGAGAAAAAAGAATGAAGAGAAACAAACAAAGCCTCCAAGAAATATGGGACTATGTGAAAAGACCAAATATACATTTGATTGGTGTACCTGAAAGTGATGGGGAGGATGGAACCAAGTTAGAAAACACTCTTCAGGATATGATCCAGGAGAGCTTCCCCAACCTAGCAAGGCAGGCAAACATTCAAATTCAGGAAATACAGAGAACACCACAAAGACCCTCCTTGAGAACAGCAGCCCCAAGGCACATAATTGTCAGATTTGTCAAGGTTGAAATGAAGGAGAAAATGTTAAGGGCAGCCAGAGAGAAAGGTTGGGTTACCCATGAAGGGAAGCGCATCAGACTAACAGCAGATCTCTCAGCAGAAACCCTAAAAGTCAGAAGACAGCAGGGGCCAATATTCAACATTCTTAAAGAGAAGAATTTTCAACCAAGAATTGTATATCCAGCCAAACTAAGTGTTATAAGTGAAGGAGAAATAAAATCCTTTATAGATGAGCAAATGCTGAGAGATTTTATCACCACCAGGCCTGCCTTACAAGAGCTCCTGAAGGAAGCAGTAAACATGGAAAGGAATAACTGGTACCAGCCACTGCAAAAACATGCCAAATTGTAAAGACCGTCGACACTATGAAGAAACTGCATCAATTAAGAGATGAAATAACCAGGTAGAATCATAATGACATGATCAATTTCACACATAACAATATTAACCTTAAATGTAAATGGGCTAAATAACCCAATTAAAAGATGCAGACTGGCAAACTGGATAAAGAGTCAAGACCCATTGTTGTGCTGTATTCAGGAGACCCATCTCACATGCAGAGACACACATAAATTCAAAATAAAGGGATGGGGGAAGATCTACCAAGCAAATGGAAAGCAAAAAAAAAAAAAAAAAGCAAGAGTTGCAATCCTAGTCTCTGATAAAACAGTCTTTAAACCAACAAAGATCAAAAGAGACAAAGAAGGGCATTACATAATGGTAAAATGATCAATTCAACAAGAAGAGTTAACTATCCTAAATATATATTATGTATGCACCCAATACAGGAGCACGCAGATTCATAAGCCAAGTTCTTAGAGACCTACAAAGAGACTTAGACTCCCACAAAATAATAGTGGGAGAATTTAACATCCCACTGTCAATACTAGACAGATCAATGAGACAGAAAATTAACAAGGATATGCAGGACTTGAACTCAGCTCTGCAGCAAGCGGACTTAATAGAAATCTACAGAACTCTCCACCCCAAATCAACAGAATATACATTCTTCTCAGCACCACATCACACTTATTCTAAAATTGATCACATAATTGGAAGTATAACACTCTGCAGAAAATGTAAAAGAACAGAAATCACAACAAACTGTCTCTCAAGCCACAAGGCAATCAAATTAGACCTCAGGATTAAGAAATTCACTCAAAACTGCACAGCTACATGAAAACTGAACAACCTGCTCCTGAATGACTATTGGGTAAATAACAAACTGAAGGCAGAAATAAAGATGTTCTTTGAAACCAATGAGAACAAAGACACAATGTACCAAATATCTGGGAAACATTTAAAGCAGTGTGTAGAGGCAAATTTATAGCACTAAATGCCCACAGGAGAAAGCAGGAAAGATCTAAAATCGTCACCCTAACATCAAAATTAAAAGAACTAGAGAAGCAAGAGCAAACACATTCAAAAGCTTGCAGAAGACAAGAAATAACTAAGATCAGAGCAGAACTGAAGGAGATAGAGACATGAAAAACCCTTGAAAGAAAATCAAGTAATCCAGGAGCCAGTTTTTTGAAAAGATCAACAAAACGGATACACCGCTAGCAAGACTAACAAAGAAGAAAAGAGAGAAGAATCAAATAGATGCAATAAAAAATGATAAAGGGAATATCACCACTAATCCAACAGAAATACAAACTACCATCAGAGAATACTATAAACATCTCTATGCAAATAAATTAGAAAATCTAGAAGAAATGGATAAATTCCTGGACGCACATACCCTCCCAAGACTAAACCAAGAAGAAGTTGAATCTCACAATAGACCAGTAACATGTTCTGAAATTGAGGCAAAAATTAATAGCCTACCAACCGAAAAAAGTCCAGGACCATATGGATTCATAGCTGAATTCTACCAGCAGTACAAAGAGGAGCTGGTACCATTTCTTCTGAAACTATTCCAATAAATAGAAAAAGAGGAAATCTTCTCTAACTCATTTTATGAGGCCAGGATCATCCTGATACCAAAGCCTAGCAGAGACATAACAAAAAAACAAAATTTTAGGCAAATAACCCTGATGAACATCGATGTGAAAATCCTCAATAAAATTCTGGCAAAATGAATCCAGCAGCACATCAAAAAGTGTATCCACCATGATCAAGTTGGCTTCATCCCTGGGATGAAAGGCTGGTTCAACTTATGCAAATCAATAAATGTAATCCATTACATAAACAGAACCAATGACAAAAACCACGATTATCTCAATAGATGCAAAAAAGGCCTTCAATAAAATTCAACAGCCCTTCATGATAAAAACTCTCAATAAACTAGGTATTGATAGAACACACATTATTGGGGAAACCAGCCCCTGATATTTCAACATAGGTTTTCTATTTTCCCTAAGTGTCAGTCGGTCTGAGAAATAAAGGGAAAGAGTACAAAAGAGAGAAATTTAAAAGCTGGGTGTCTGGGGGAGACATCACATATTGGCAGGTTCTGTGATGCCCCCTAAGCCACAAAACCAGCAAGTTTTTATTAGTGATTTTCAAAGGGGAGGGAGTGTACGAATAGGGTGTGGGTCACAGAGATCACATGCTTCACAAGGCAATAAAATATCACAAGGCAAATGGGGGCAGAGTGAGATCACAGGACAGGGGTGAAATTAAAATTGCTATTGAAGTTTCATGTCCCACTGGGCATGCACTGTCATTGATAACATCTTATCAGGAGACAGGGTTTGAGAGCAGATGACCGGTCTGACTAAAATTTACTCGTCAGGAATTTCCTCATCCTAATAGGCCTGGGAGCGCTACAAGAGACCAGTGCTTATTTCATTCCTTATCTGCAATAGTATAAGACAGACATTCCTAGAGCAGCCATTTTAGAGATCTCCCCCTAGGAACACATTCTCTTTCTCAGGGCTGTTCCTTGCTGAGAAAAAGAATTCAGCGATATTTCTCCTATTTGCTTTTCTAAGAAGAGAAATATGGCTCTGTTCCGCTTGGCTCCCAGGCAGTCAGACCTAATGGTTATCTCTCTTGTTCCCTGATCATCGCTGTTATCCTGTTCTTTTCTCAAGGTGCCCAGATTTCAAATTGTTTAAACACACATGCTTTATGAACAATTTGTGCAGTTAATGCAATCATCACAGGGTCCTGAGGTGACATACATCCTCAGCTTACAAAGATGATGGGATTAAGAGATTAAAGTAAAGATAGGCATATGAAATCACAAGAGTATTGATTAGGGAAGTGATACATGTCCATGAAATCTTCACAATTTATGTTCAGAGATTGCAGTAAAGACAGGTGTAAGAAATTATAAAAGTATTAATTTGGGGAACTAATAAATGTCCATGAAATCTTCACAATTTATGTTCTTCTGTCACGGCTTCAGCAGGTCCCTCCATTCAGGGGTCCCTGACTTCCTGCAACAATACATTAAAACAATAAGAGCTATTTATGACAAACCCACAGCCAATATCATACTGAATGGGCAAAAACTGGAAGCATTCTCTTTGAAAACTAGCACAAGACAAGGATGCCCTCTCTCACCACTCCTATTCAACATAGTATGGTAAGTTCTGGCCAGGGCAATCAGGCAAGAGGAAGAAATAAAGGGTATTCAATTAGGAAAAGAGGAAGTCAAATTGTCCCTGTTTGCAGATGACATGATTGTATATTTAAAAAACCCCATCATTTCAGCCCCAAATCTCCTTAAGCTGATAAGCAACTGCAACTTCAGCAAAGTCTCAGGATACAAAATCAATGTGCAAAAATCACAAGCATTGCTATACACCAATAACAGACAAACAGAGAGCCAGATCATGAGTGAACTCCCATTCACAATTGCTACAAAGAGAATAAAATACCTAGCAATCCAACTTTCAAGGGATGTGAAGGACCTCTTCAAGGAGAACTACAAATCACTGCTCAAGGAAATAAGAGAGGACACAAACAAATGGAAAAACATTCCATGCTCATGGATAGGAAGAATCAATATCATGAAAATGGCCATAGTGCCCAAAGTAATTTATAGATTCAATGCTATCCCCATCAAGCTACCAATGACTTTCTTCACAGAACTGGAAACAATTACTTTAAATTTCATATGGAACCAAAAAAAGAGCCCACATAGCCAAGACAATGCTAAACAAAAAGAACAAAGCTGGAGGCATCACACTACCTGACTTCAAACTATACTACAAGGCTACCATAACCAAAACAGCATGGTAGTGGTACCAAACAGATATATAGACCAATAGAAAAGAACAGAGGCCTCAGAAATAACACCACACATCTATAACCATCTGATCTTTGACAAAGCTGACAAAAACAGAAAATGGGGAAAGGATTCCCTATTTAATAAATGGTGCTGGGAAAGCCAGCTAGCTGTATGTAGCAAGCTGAAACTGGATCCCTTCCTTACACCTTTTACAAAAATTAACTCAAGATAGATTAAAGACTTAAAAGTAAGACCTAAAACCATAAAAACCTTAGAAGAAAACTTAGGCAATACCATTCAGGACATAGGCATGAGCAAAGACTTTATGACTAAAACACCAAAAGCAATGGCAACGAAAGCCAGAATTGACAAATGGGATCTAATTAAACTAAGGAGCTTCTGCACAGCAAAAGAAACTATCATCAGAGTGAACATGCAACCTACAGAATGGGAAAAAATTTTTGCAATCTATCCATCTGACAAAGGGCTAACATTCAGAATCTACAAGGAACTTAAAAAAATTCACAAGTAAAAAACAAACAACCTCATCAAAAAGTGGGCAAAGGACATGAACAGACACTTCTCAATAGAAGACATTTATGCAGCAGGCGGACAAATGAAAAAATGCTCATCATCACTGGTCATCAGAGAAATGCAAATTAAAACCACAATGAGATACCATCTCACACCAGTTAGAATGGTGATCATTATAAAGTCTGGAAACAACAGATGCTGGAGAGGATGTGGAGAAATAGGAATGCTTTTACACTGTTGGTGGGAGTGTAAATTAGTTCAACCATTGTGGAAGACAGTGTGGTGATTCCTCAAGGATCTAGACCTAGAAATACCATTTGATCCAGTGATCCCATTACTGGGTATATACCCAAAGGATTATAAATCATGCTAGTATAAAGACACATGCACAGGTATGTTTATTTGGCACTATTCACAATAATAAATGCTTGGAACCAACTCAAATGTCCATCAATAATAGACTGGATAAGGGAAATGTGGCACATGTACACCATGGAATACTATGCAGCCATAAAAAAGGATGAGTTCATGTCCTTTGCAGGGACATGGATGCAGCCGGAAACCATCATTCTCAGCAAACTATCACAAGGACAGAAAACCAAACTCCACATATTCTCAGTCACAAGTGGGAGTTGAATCAGGAGAACACATGGATACAGGGAGGGGAACATCACACACCAGGGCTTGTTAGGGGTTGGGGGCTAGGGGAGGGGTAGCATTAGGGGAAATACCTAATGTAAATGATGAGTTTATGGGTGCAACAAACCAGCATGGCACATGTATACCTATGTAAAAAACCTGCACGTTGTGCACATGTACCCTAAAACTTAAAGTATAATAATAATAAAAAAGACAACAACTAGAAGGTGCTTAGATTAAAAAAGATATTTAAAACTATATTTAAAACGACATGGTCTTATACATAGAAAATTCGAAGAAATTCAAAAGAAACTATTAGAGCTAATAAAAAATTCAGTATGGTTGTAAAATGCAAGATAAATTTGCAAAAATTAGTTATAGTATTCTATATTAGCAATGAGCAATCAAAAGATGATTTAAAAAACAATTCCATTACAATAAGATCAAAAAGAAAAAGTGCTTAGGAGTAAATTAACAAGAGAAGTGCAAGACAAGTCCACTGATAAATGCAAAATATTGTTGAAATAAAAGAGGATTGAAATAAATGAAAAATCATGACGTGCTTATGAATGAGGAGATTTAATATTGCTAAGATGATAATATTTCCCCAATTCATCTACCAATTCAATGCAATCCCTATCAAAGTCCAGGTGAATTTTTTTGTAGGAATTGACAAAGTAGTCCAGAAATTACTAGAGAAATGCCATATGAATAGCCAAAAATTTTGAAAAAGAGGAATAAAAATGGAAGACTCACACTTTACAGTTTCAAATCTTACTACAATGCTGAATCAAGCAGTGTAGTACTGACATGATGAAAATCACTGGAATAAAATTGAAAGTTTGGTAATGAACCCACACATCAACTATAAATTTGTTTTCAACAAGGATGCCCAGACAATTAAATGGGGAAAAATAGTGTTGAATAGTGTTTTCAATGCATGGTGCTGGGAAAAATGGATCCATACATGTGAAAGAATGAGGCTGAGCCTTTATCCCAGAACCATAAACAAAAATTGACTCAAAATGCATTAAACACTGAGTTATTCAAGCTAAAACTGAGAGCTACCTCTTTAAGGTAGGTGAACGTATTCATTTCTTAGTCAATGGTCTCTGAAATATGACACCTCAAACAACCAAAGAAAAAACAGATAAGTTAAACTTCAACAAAATTAAAAACGTTTGTGCATAAAAGAACACTATCAAGAAAGCCAATGATGAGCCAGAGAATGGGATGAAATATTTGTCCATTTTACCATATACCTGGTAAGAATCTAGTATCTGGAAACTATCAAGAACACTTATACCTCCAGTAGAAAGACAAATAATTCAATGTGTTTAATGACAAAGGAGTTGAGTAGACATCAAAGGACTTATAAAAATGGCCAATAAAGTAATAGAAAGATACACCAGATCATTAGTCATTGGAGAAATACAAATCAAATCCAAAATGAGATACTACTTCATTCCCACTAGGATCATTATAGTAAAACACATTGGGTAACAACAAGGTTATAAAATAAAACCATCACTTATTGCTGGAGGGAATGTAAAATGATTCAGCCACATTGGAAAACAGTTTGAATGTTTCTCAAAATGATAGTAATAGAGCTACCATATGACCCAGAATTTCCACTCCTAGGTAAAGCATCTAAAAAAATTGTAAACGTGTTCACACAAAACATGGCATTATTTGTAATAGCCAAGAACAGAAAAATAACTGAAATTGTTCATCAACTAATATACAGATAAAGAAAACATGGTATAACCATACAACTGAATATTTGATTTTTCTTATTTTCTTCCATCAATTTACTTCGTGTTTTATTTGTTGTTCTTTTTCTAGTTTAGCTAGGATCAAGGTTAGATTACTGATTTGAGATCTTTCCTTTTAATATATGCATTTTTGGCTATAAATTTTCCTCTAGGTAATGCTTTCAACACATCTCATAAGTTTTGGTATGTTGTGCTTTTAGGATTTTTCACTTTAAAGTATTTTCTGATTCCATTGTGATTTATTCTTTGACTCTTTGGTTGCTGAAGAGTGCATTTTTATATTTCCCAGATCTGTGATTTTTCTGAATTTCCTGCTGCTGTTGATTTCTAATTCCATTCTATTGGCTTTGGAAAACATACTTTGTATAATTTTATGCTTTTTAAGTGAATTGAAGCTTGTTTTATGACTGAATATATTGTCTTTTCCAAAGTATATTTCATGTACATTTGAGAAGAATGTATAATCTGCTCAATAGTTAGAAGAAGTTCAATAGATGTGTTTAGGTCTAGTTTATAGTGTTCAATTGTCTTCTGTTTCCTTAATGAGCATTTGTCTAGATTTTCTGTTTATTATTGAAATTGGAACACTGAAATCTCCAACTGTTATGTTGAATTGTTTATTTGTACTTTCAATTCTGTCCGTTTTTGCCTCATACTGCAGTGCTCTGTTGTTAGGTGCATATATGTCTATAATTATTATGTCTTCTTGATGGATTGACCCTATTGTCATTATATGATATACTTCTTTGTCTCTAGTAACCATTTTTATCACAGTCTTTTTTGCATAATAGTAGTAAAGCCACTCCAGCTATCCTGGATACTACTTAATGGCATATTTTTTCTATCCTCTTATTTCCATCTGTTTGTATCTCAGTAGGTATCATATAAATGGATCTCTATTTTATTTATTCTAACAATCTATCTGCCTTTATTGAAAATTTAATTCACTTACCTTTTGTAACTATTGATCAGATTTACATTCACCATTTTCTTGTCTGTATATCTTATGTATTTTTTAATTCCTCCCTTGCTACTTTCTTTGTGTTCAATGATTATTTTCCATGCTATCATTTTCATTTCTTGGTCTTCTTTTATTATATTTTCCTGTTGTTTTCTATGAGGTTGTACTGGGGATTCAATTGACATGTTAATTTATAAACATCTAGATTGTACTGTGAAAGGAAAATATCTTGGGTTCCCAACATCACTAAGCTAAAAGGGCAATTTAAGCTGAAAACTGCTCAGGGAAAACCTGCCTCCCATTCTGTTGAGTCATCCCTCTGTTCACCAAGATAGATACATATCCTGATTGCCTCCTTTGGAAAGTCTTATCAGAAACTCAGAAGAATGCAACCATTTGTCCCTCAGCTGCCTGTGACCTGAAAGCCCTCGGGGGGAGGGGGCTTGCTTTGAGTTGTCCCTGTATTTCTGGATGAAATCAATGTACTTCTTACATATATTGATTTATATCTCATGTCTCCCTGAAATGTATAAAACCAAGCTGTGCCCTGACCACATTGGGCACATGTCCTCAGGACTTCCTGAGGCTGTATCATGGGCATGCATCCTTAACCTTGGCAAAAGAAACTTTATAAATTAAGTGAGACCTGTCTCAAATTTTGGGGGTTCATCCTTTGGTAACCACAGAGGGATTCTGAGTGAGATGCCCCTGACCTTTGACAAATCTCCTATCGGTGCTTGGTAGTAACCAATAGGAGATTTATTTATGGCTCAAAAAAATAGGACAATTTGCTGAGGTCGGAAAGCACCCCCTCCAGAGAATCCCTGAACTCCCAAAATTTGGTCGAGATCTAAAGTTGATTTTGCTGTGCAATTCTTTTTTTTTTTTTGAGTTTTACTTTCAACACAAGGAAGGCGAGTTTTTCCTGCTTCCATTACCATGGAAGTCAGGTAACCTTTTTATGGAGTTTGAGCTCACTTCCAATAGGGAAGATGAAGGGTTTTTTTTAATTGTTTTTTGTTTCTTTGTTTGTTTTTTTTACCCCGCTTCTAGAATGGTAGAGAGCAGTCTACAGCCTGAGACCCATCACCTGGTAAGAAACTGGCTTTTGATTCTGTCTTGTAAATTCCTTTTAAATGACTAAAGTTAGCATTAACAACCAGCTGGTGTTAACTTATGCTTACAGTTAAAGCACTCAGAAATCACACAATTTGTGTAATCAGTTAGTTTTGCTTAAATGTTTTATTGTTTGTTTCTGTCTTCTTGGGGTTTGTGTGTTTTGGTCCTTTCCCTTATTAGATTTGACCAGTTCCAAACCCTCTAGCTCATGAGTGTGGAATCTTCCACTCTGAAGAAATAAGAGCACCTTGCTCCCCTCAGCCTTTCAGGGAATTCTCAAGGCAACTGAGAATCACGCGAGGGTGTCTGGGGGGAATGCTCCGAAAGCTGTGCAGCGGGTCTAAATAGGTTTTCCCCTCAGAAGAAAATATTTAGGGTCTTATCTCAGCTGGCAGGTGCATATAAGGAGCTGACTCCTTCTGCACCTTGAGCCCCTGACACACTGTACCAGGTAACCACAACATGGGTAGACCGAAACGTTTCAGGGGGTAACAGTCCTGAAAAGCTAGGTCTGCAAGCAGCACATTTGGGGTCTGACACACATCCTGACTTGGTCAAATGCAAAGGCAAATTCTAAATTATGAGAAACAAGGCCTCTGAAATGGCTAATTACTCCCCGATCCACACATACACACAAAAGGTGGGCTTTGATTATGAAAGAGGCTTTAGTTACATAACAAGGCCACCTTTTTGCCAGCCAGAACAAATTGAAAGAGCAATGGCTGTACTGCTGAAATAGCAGCATTTTGTTATAGCTGGAATATGGTGATGAGATTTTAAAAGATTTCTTTTAAAGGAGCTCAGTGGCTAAAAGTCAGCTTACTTAAAATGCCAACATCCAAGATGTGTGTGTACGTATGTATGTGTTCATGTTTGTATTTAAAAGGCCTTCATGTTTTTCTTTTTGTTTTACTTTCCTAAGACCTTGTCTTTTTTATTTTGAGCAAAACTTTTTTTTTCTCAATTGACTGAATTCTCTTTTCATCTGATTTTTTGACCAAAATAGTTATTGCAACAGAGGCTACTCAGGTTTTTAAGAAAGAATGTAGTTTATTTGTCTACTTATACAGTTCTTTGATAAGTTTCTATAATTTTATGTATGATTTGGCTCAAAGAAAAATAAAAGTGTCTCTCTCTAGCACCATCATACTTTTTCTTTCTGTAACTTATGATGTAAATTTTGCTATTTGATTTTCACCTGAGTTGTTTCCTTTAATATGCAAATTTAAGCGATTTAGCTGACAACTGCCTAGGATTGTAAAATAGGTTATCAAGAATCTGAAAGTCTAAGATAGAAAAAAAGGGGTCTTTATAAATCTATAAAATGTACTTCCATCAGCATGCCTAATACATCTATTTATTTGTGTTGTGTACACATTGTTTCACTACTAAAAATATATAAAGGAGATCTAATTAATTGGCTTAAAGGAAAACAAAAGCACTTAAATCAAATACTTTATCAGGAAAAAAGAGTAGTCAAATGCATTTTCAAGTTTATGCAACTTAAGTAAAATATTTAATCAGTAAGCTAGCTTTTAAATTATTGACAAAGTAATATTAGAAATGTCTTAAGAATTTCCAGCATACATTTTTGTTTTGCATTTAGTAATCAAGTAATTTCATACTTATCCCTGCCAAGTACTATAAGGTGTCAAAATTTGGCATAGGGGTTGCAAAACTATGAATACCTGTTATTTAATTTAATATAACCTTAGATTATAAATTATGACAAGTTTGTTTACAAGTATTTATCCCATTACATTTACCTAATTATTTTATTTTAAATGTTTACCTGGATTATTTATGAAAACTGTAATTATCATGATTTAAAGTTATGAAACCACCATTGTAAAATTATAACTGAGACAGTGAAAAAGATATGACCCAGCCCAAAACAGAATGATCTTTGCTTGAATAATTTTTAATAAGTAAGACATTGATATTGATTTAATAAAAACAGCTGCATCTTGAATTTAGTAAGAGTACCATAACTTCTAATCTTGTGGCTTTATGCAGTTTAGTCTGCATGAAGGAAGGAAGTTTGTTTTGGGAAAGGACTGTTATCATCTTTGTTTCAAAGCTAAACTATAAACTAAGTTCCTCCCAAAGTTCAGGAATAAACAAGGACAGCATGGAGATTAGAAGCAAGATGGAGTCAGTTAGGTCAAATCTTTTTCACTGTCTCAGTTATAATTTTGCCATGGTGGTTTCATAACTTTAAATCATGACTATTACAGTTTTCATAAATAATCTTGGTAAATATTTAAAATAAAATAATTAGGTAAATGTAATGGGATAAATACTTGTACACAAACTTGTCATAATTTAGAATCTAAGGTTAAGGTTATATTAAATTAAATAATAGGTATTTCATTATTTGAGTATTTTCTGATAAATATACAGTATAGGAAGATGTTCTTGCTGAAAACAAGTGTGTCATTTTTTAAAAAAGGTGAACAAGTTTTGTCTAATTCAAAGCTTATTTAAAGGTTATGTATAAAACAAGGTAAAAGGAATCAGGAAATAAAAGAGACATAAAGAAAGTTATAAAAATAAAGATTTTTTTTGTGTGTGGTAAGAAAGCTTAAAGAGAAGTAATTTTATATAAAAAATAATTTTGTATGGTAAATTTAGTCCTAAAATAAAATGGCTGATTGTTTAAGAAAGAGGGATGTTCAGGACAAACCAGAAAGTCCAAACATGTCTTGAACAGTTGATGTAAGGCACCATAAGAGGATTTATATATAAAAAAATTATATGATCAAGTTGTCATATTATTATTAAGTTTTGGTTTGCTTAGGAAAAAGAAACTGAGATAACCTTTTTTATTTAAATTAAGGATATTACATCCATGTATCTTCCTGAATGTGCTTTTAAAGTCTTTGTGACATTGAGTTACAGGGCTTTGACTCCTGGGTCTAAAAATTACACCAAATATTGTTAAATCTTAAACACTAACAGCAATTCAAGCCTCATCTTCAGGTCCTGGAGAAGATGCCAATATAAATAAACTACATTCCTAAGGCAGAGGGCCAGAAATTAAAGCCATTCAACTGCTCAAGGCCCAAGGACTATGTCAGAAGAGATGGGTGTGTGAGATTGTAGGGCCCATTTTAAGAGATTAAATAAGTTCAGTTTCTTTTATAAATTAATCATTAATGTCAAAGGCACACTGATGCAAGACCAGCATATGGACCCCTGTGTCAGATTAACAAGGTTTTCTTGAAGAATTAACTGATTCCTTAATACAGGTTATAAATGTTATAGAAGGGTTATGGGAGGTATATCTTATGGTCAAGATTGAAATTTTATAGATAGTTTATAAAATTTTGAAAAAAAAATTAATTGGTTTCATCCTGTTTTCATTAGGGCTTACTGTTTGGAAATTAAATCTCCTCTTTCAAAGAAGGCCAGCTTTTGCCTTTTTTTTCTTGAAATCCTTGAGTTATCAGTTTGGTTAAAGGAATGACTTATTTTACAATGCCTTGTGATTCTATTTTGTGATATCAAGTGTTTTTAAACCTTTGATATTGGACAAGCTTTCCAAAATCAAATAAAAAATTATTTCTTTTTCTGACCTAATTAATCCTTTAAGATATTAGTTTTCCTAAAGTCCAAAAATGACACAATTTAGCTTATTTGGTACAAAAATAACACAGAAAGAATTTTCAAATATGAAATGGTGTTTGGTTTTATAGGGAGCTGTATTTGTATAAATATGTTATTGGTATGTGTTTCTATAATTCTGGTATAACTTAGCATACATTATCAGTAATCATAATTGTTATGCTAAAATTATTGTGTGCCACAGAGGTAACAAATTTCCTTCTCAATTGTGTCTTTGACTATGGCTGTCCTAAAACCTTTGTCATCCACAGCCAATTGTTATCTTGTTTTGGTCCTCTTTAGAAGGTGATTTTATAATCAGCTATAAAACTCTAACAGGTGCTCTTGAATGTAGGTTTATGATAACTTTGGAGGTAGTAACATCAGAATAGAAGAAAAACTTTCACAATTCTTGGGGAGCTAATATGTTCATGAGTATCAAGCAGAACAGTTATTAACTGCATGGACTGAACTAATCTTTTTGACTTTTTGCTTAAAATGTTTGCTGATCCTTTGTTTTGTTTTTCAGAGTCTTGGAAGTGTTCTTTTGAGCTGTTGACAGCTTTTAACAATTTAGTATACTCCTATGAACAAAATTTGGAGCATATTTGTTTCTCTCTACCTGATTTCTCCAGACTTTGAAAGCTATTTGTCAATATTCTTATGGCAATACAGTTATTTGCATAAGTGCAATAAGAATCTGTTTTCATTTGTAACAGGACACAATTGGAGAAACTGGTTATTTTACCAAGGCTTTGACTGGAATGGTGTGATTTCCCTTAAGGAATCAAACTTGATTTATGGAGCTAACAAAGACTTTGGAAAACTGTTGTCTTATTTTGTGTACACAGTTCCTGTTTCTGACCTGTGGTAAGTAAAGAATGTCACTTTCTGACAGTCCCAGAAGACCCAGGTTTATCTTGGAACCATCAAGAGGAGAGGAAATTCACCAAACTCATGGGTATTTGATGGCACAAATCCATGGCTGGGCTCAGCTTTTAAAAAAGTCTTACCTGAGACTCCTACTATGGAACAAAGTTCCATCAAAGCCAATTTAAAACTTATGTAAAAAAATTATTCTTGCTGCACTGTGTACAAATAATTTGGCCAAGTGTAATAAAGCAAAACCAGTAGTACCATGATTTGTCTTTAGCAAAAATGTGAAACTGGAGAGAGAAAAATTATGTTTCAAGAACTATAGTACACCTGTTGTTAGATTCTAGCCTTGCCTCATGTTTTTTCAGTTTTTATTATTTTCTACAGTTTGGACCAAATTGTAATTTTTCTTGGCTACAAGTCTTCAAAATTCAATATTTTCTTCCTCCTCCCCCATATTTTTCCTAATTTGGAGTCCCTGAAAACTAAGCTGTGCTTTCTTAAAGTCTCGCAAACTGAAGTCAGACAACTTAAACCTCAGAAGAAAGTAACAGTAACCTATTTACATATATAAGCCACTTTCATACCTGCCTACTAATGTATGGACTTCAAAATAATGTGGCGTTATATCGATTTTTACAAGATTGTTCTTTTGTTTGTTGTTGTTTTTTCTCCTTTCCTCCTCCCTATTTTCTATTCATAGGACATGAGACTTCGCAACCTGCTAAAAATGAGCTTTTGGGACCTACCCATCTAGGAATAAACCGTCCTAGCCATGAGAGATTAGATGAAACCTGTGACCAGAGACTCATTTTTTTTCTAAAATGCTTTCTCCAAAATATCTTCTAAAAGAAAAGGGGAGAAATGTGAAAGGAAAACATCTTGGGTCCCCAAAATCACTAAGCTGAAAGGGAAATTCAGGCTGAATATTGTTCAGGGCAAATCTGTCTCCCATTCTATTCAGTCATCCCTCTTCTCACTGAGATAGATGGATATTCTGTTTGCCTCCTTTGAAAAGGCTTATCAGAAACTCAAAAGAATGCAACCATTTGTCTCCCACATACCTCTGGCCTGGAAGCCCCTGGGCAGGGGGTGGGGACTTGCTTTCAGTGGTCCCTGCCTTTCTGGACAGAACCAATGTAGTTCTTACATATATTGATTGATGTCTCATGTCTCCCTAAAATGTATAAAACCAAGTGGTGCCCCAACTATCTTGGGAACATGTGGTCAGGATTTCCTGAGGCTGTGTCATGAGTGCGCTCCTCAACCTTGACAAATAAACTTTATAAATTCACTGAGACCCATCTCGAATTTTCGGGGTTCACAGTACTAATACCAACTTAATATAAACATTAATAGTATTATACTATATAACATTTATATAGAATGATTTCATTAAGTGTGCTGAATTTAAGATCAATATATCAAAATACATAATACATTACTTACAGTTGAATGGAAGTGTAATTGAAGGAAAAATATATATAATTCACAAGAGTAAAATCATTACTTTATTAATTTCATAAAGGTTAGCCCTAACTGAAACCTGTCTCCCTCTGCCTCCCCTGAACCTCTCAAGTAGTTGGCAATCATGTAATCACACTCACATATCTTAGGATAGATAGGTAGTCAAGCTTTCTTTACTCGTCTTGTATTCAGTTCACAGTTTCTCCACAAAATGTTCAATACCCAGTCCTCTGAGGATATATCTGACTATGTCACACTGTATACCTCCTCCTTACAGTCATCTATGTACCAACCTCCTGGTCATTTCTCATCCAAGACAAGCTCAGGGCCAGGCATGTGGTTCATATCTATAATCCCAACATCTTGGGAGGTTGAGGTGGGAGGATTGCTTGAGTCCAGTAGTTTGAGAACAGCCTGGGCAACATGACAAAACCTCGTGTCTATAAATAAAAATTCAAAAATTGGCCAGACATGGTGGTGTGTGCCGGTAGTCCCAGCTATTCAGGAGGCTAAGGTGGGAGGATCACTTGAGCCAAGGAGGTTGAGGTTGCAGTGAGCCATGACCACGCCACTGCACTCCAGCCTGGGCAACAGAGTGAAACCTTAAACATTGTGTCCCATTTTCACAGGTATAGTGAGACACTCAGGGGCCTCTGCTACTGCAGAAAATCCAGTGATGTCATCACTGTCCTTAACACAGAAACAGCAGAAAAAGAAAAGGATTAGCTACTGCCTCACTTTCAACCTCCAAGCCCACCTCTGACCATAAAACTTAAATCACACTCAGAATCCCAGCTACCAGGGAGTGTGGTAAATGTGAGCTTCACTTTCCTGCCTCTGAGATAGAGGAACTCCATTGAGAACCTGCTCACCACATCTATTACACCTCTTTCACTACCCTTCTAAAATCTCATGCATGAGCACATCAAACACTCCAGCCAGGCTCCTAAATACCTTTGTATTGCTATCACTAGGTCTCACCTTCTTAGCAAATCATGAACCTTGGATTGATCCAACCTCTGTACAACACTCATACTACCTAACAGAATTGCAAACCTCCTGTCTGACACTACTATAAATTCAAAATACCTGGCCTCAATCAGTCATTAACACCAGTCAACAATCAGTTAATTGCATGACTGCAAAGGTAATATAAATTAATAATAGCTAGCTCTTTTTGATTGCTTCCTATGTGCCATGACTCTTCTAAGAATTCTCTGTGTTTTAATTCATTTAAACCTCATAAACACTCTGAGAGATAGGTATTATCCCAATTTACAGATTAGAATAAGGAGACAGAAAGACTAAGTCATTTGCATAAGTCCACACAGCTGGAAACTATCAGAACCAGGATTCAAATCTAAGTAGTTTGGATCTAAAGCCCACTTTGTCATCATTCTGCTGACTGCTTCTCACAGTCTCCCAAACTTCCTATAGACTGAATTGTGTCCCCCAGAATTCTTATGTTGGATCCCTAAAGCCCAGTGCAATGGTGTTTGGAGAGCAAGCCTTTGGGAAGTAGTTAGGTTAGATGAGGTCATGAGGGTGGGGCTTTAGTGATGGAATTCATGACCTATTAAAAGAAGACAATATGAAGATATGTCTGTCTCTCTCTCTCCTGCACCCCTTATCTCTCTCTCTCTCCCCACCCGCCCACCCCCATCACTCTCTAGCCATCTTGTGAGCACACGGTGAGAAGGCAGCTATCTGCAAGACGAAAAGAGAGCCCTCACCAGAACCCAACCATGCTGGCTCCCTGATCTTGGATGTCCAACCTCCGGTATTGTGAGAAAATAAATTTCTGTTGTTTAACCTATTCAGTCTATGGTGTTCTGTCATGGCAGCCTGAGCAGACTAAGACATCATCCTACCTTATTACTCATGGCAAATGACAGAACCTCCTATTTTTTTTGGAGACAAATAAATGGGAGAAAGTGATGACTTCAAGTTCCTACCAGCACATTTCTCACTGACCTGCCCTTATATTCATCTGTCCTAACTCTCTCCTGTCCCCACACAAAGCAGTGTGCTCCTGTTGTCTAAAGTGAGTGCCTTTTCCTGTGGTTCAAGTCCCTTTTCCTCCCACTGTTTCAGGAACACTGATCTCTGATGCAGTTCCCCTTTCTTTGGTGTGTTCCATGGACCCTGCTCACTCCTTTGCTGCAGCCCTTAAACGTTCTCAGGACTCTCCCCTCTCAGCATCCCCTTAACCTCACCCTGCAACTATCTGCTGTTTCTTCATCTTCCATGTCACAGCTGCACTTCTACACTTGCTCCAAGACACTCACTCCTCGGACTTCCTTCACCAGCAAGTACCCCTGAGAACTCCACCAGGTGACCAGGAACCGCCTAGCATTTGGCACTGTTGACCTCTTTCTCTTTCTGAGAACTCTCTTCCTTGGTTTCCCTGATATCACTCTCTCCTGGATCCTGCCCTCCACCGTTCTCAGGCTCCTTTGCTGCCTCCTCTTTCTGCACCTCCATTCTCCCCTCAAGCACTGGGTCTTGTCATGAGCCGATTTTCATCTCATATTTTATGTTCTCACTAGTGCATCTACTTCCCTGCCTTCAGTGATCATTCCCATGCTGCTAATGCCCACATCTGTATCTCCACCCCCTACCCTCTGCTCAGCATCAGACCCTGCATTCAGCTCTTTACTAGATGTCTCCATTGACACCTCAAGGTCAGTGTGTTCACTGCTGTGTTTATCTTTACCTTCTAGTCTATTTCTGTGTTTTCATTCTCAGGTCATTGTCCCATCCAGGGACCTGGGTATTATCTTGGGCTCCTTCCTCCCCTGACCATCCCTTGGCAGTTGATTGAGGACCTACAATGTGTTAGATCCATTGCTAAGCACCTCACTTGCAATAGTTTTATTTTATTGTCACAGTCTTAAGAGAAAGGAAATAAATAATTAAACTTTAGATGTTTCTAGTACCTACTGGTGAGGACATTGTAGCAGAGCTCCCCAAGCCATAACACATTATCTCAGCTTCCCCACACTTTGTGGCATCTTCTTCCTCACCCATCTCCCTGGCCTCAGACCAGTTTATGGGCCCTTTTGATGTCCTTCACTTGTCCTTCATCACACTATTTTGCAACGCGCCAGGTTCCTTTTTTTATTATATGGAACTTGGAGAAAAGAAAGTTGCATTATATTCTTACAGAAAATGAAAGCAGAAGCTATCATTCTGTGTGCTATCTGGCAATAAACTGATATTTCTCTCATGGGAAAGACTGGAATAGTTTTAGATAATTTAACTGGGCCTATGAAAGTATTGAAAATTACCTTCTTCACAACAAATTTTCTCTCTCATCTTTCTCCACCTACCACCTCTATTCCTCATGCAAACCAGACAACCTTCCATTTGCTCAATTTTTAATGGAAACAAGAAAAAAATTTGTCTCTTTTGTTTCTTCCCTTCAGTCTCCCCAGCTTAGCTTGCAGTTCCACCTACAGCAGTCAGATTCCCAAAGATCAAAGGGAACCAGGCAAATTTATCATCCCTTATTCCCAGCCTCTGCAAAGGACATGCATACATACACCACAAATACATGCATACAAATACACAACCCAACACACCAGCTTCCAGCCATGCCAGTGTGTGTTAATTATAACTGAGATCATCCCAAACCATGAAGATTGTTAAACAAGGATTCTAAGTACCCGAGGACACAGTCACCTTCCAGTCACCTTCTGGATGGGTTAGGGAGCCGCATGGTCTCCCAAAATTGTTCAAGTACATATTCTGAACTCGGCTCCTTCTCCCACAGGGTTCCAGAAGTTCAGCCTTGCTGGTGGGCAGGAAGCAGGTATTTTTCTTTCCAGGGGACACTGAGATACAGTAACTATAGTAGATATTACTATTATTATTAATTATTTTCCAAATAATCTGTGGAGAAAGTGTCCCCAACTTGGTTGAAAAAGTGGTTCCTATTTTCAATTTATACCGAATGGTAAGGGGGACAGATGAGATTGGAAGTGAGTACACAAGTCCATGATCATTGCTACAAAGCTTAACAGGGCTACATGCCACCACAGTCCTGTCCTCCCCTCTAATCCATTATATAGGCCTAGAGAGATTATCCTCCTCTCTGCACACTCCTTTAAGAACCTCGAATGGACTCCTAAATCTGAGAATCCAAACTTTTGCAAATGTTAGAGGTGAGGCCTCTTGGAAAGTGATCCCATCATGGGGGTGGATCCCTCATGAATGGTTTATCACCATTTCCTTGGTGATAAGTGAGTTCTCACTCAGTTCACACGAGATCTGGTTGTTTAAGAGTCTGGGACCTCCCCCCTCTCTCTCTCTTGCTCCTGTTTTAGCCGTGTGACATATTGGTTCTCTGTCAGCTTACACTATAATTGTAAGCTTCCTGTGGCCACAGCAGAAGCAGATGCTAGCACCATGCTTCCTGTAAAGCTTGCAAAACCATGAGCCAATTAAACTTCTTTTCTTTATAACTTACTGAGTCTCAAGTTCTTTTTATATTAATGCAAGAATGGCCTAGTACATTTTGCTAAACTCATTTGTTATTTCTAGAAAGTTTTCTGTGTAGACAAGCATGTTATCTTCAGATAACAATAGGATTTTCTCCACTTTCCTTTTTTTTTTTGAGATGGAGTCTTGCTCTGTTGCCCAGGCTGGAGGTGTGAGGGTGTGATCTCGGCTCACTGTAACCACTGCCTCCCGGGTTCAAGCGATTCTCCTGCCTCAGCCTCCCAAGTAGCTGGGATTGCAAGTGCATGCCACCACTTTCTAATCTGTATAACTTTGTCTCTTTTTCTTGCTGTAATGCACTTAGTAGAACTTGAAGTACAATGTTAAAAATAAGTGGTGAGATTGGGCATCTTTATTGTATCATTCATTTCTACTCTTATCTTTCTATTTCCTTCCCTCAACTTTATTTGGGTTTCTTTTATTTTTCTCTCTATTCTGAATGTGCAAATTTAAATTTCAAATGCGATATTTCTTATTTTCTAATGTAAGCCTTTAATTCTACTAATTTCCCTTTAAGCACTGCTTCAGCTTCATTCCACACATTTTTAAAAATTAAAGTTCTGGGATACATGTGCAGAACGTGCAGTTTTGTTACATAGATATACACGTGCAATGGTGGTTTGCTGCACTCATCAACCTGTCATCTACCTTAGGTATTTCTCCTAATGCTATCCTTCCCCTAGCCCCCAACCCACTGACAGGCCCCGCTGTGTGATATTCCCCTCCCTGTGTCCATGTGCTCTCATTGTTCAACTCCCACTTATGAGTGAGAACATGCGGTGTTTGGTTTTCTGTTCCTGTGTTAGTTTGCTGAGAATCATGGTTCCCAGTTTCATCTATGTCCCTGCGAAGGACATGAACTCATCCTTTTTCGTGGCTGTATTCCATGGTGTATATGTGTCACATTTTCTTTATCCAGTCTATCATAGATGGGCATTTGGGTTGGTTTCAAGTCTTTGCTATTGTGAATAGTGCTGCAATATACATATGTGTGCCTTTGTCTTTATAGTAGAACAACTTATAATCCTTTGAGTATATACCCAGTAATGGGATTGCTGGGTGAAATGGTATTTCTGGTTCTAGATCCTTGAGGAATTGCCACACTGTCTTCCACAATGGTTGAACTAATTTACAATCCCACCAGCAGTGTAAAAAGTGTAAAAGCATTCCTATCCTCTCCACTATCTGTTGTTTCCAGACTTTATAATGATCACCATTCTAACTGGTGTGAGATGGTATCTCATTGCAGTTTTGATTTGCATTTCTCTAATGACCAGTGATGATGAGCTTCTTTTCATATGTTTGTTGGCTGCATAAATGTCTTCTTTTGAGAAGTGTCTGTTCATGTACTTTGCCCACTTTTTGATGGGGTTGTTCGTTTTTTTCTTGTAAATTTGTTTAAGTTCCTTATAGACTCTGGATATTAGCCCCTTGTCAGATGGATAGGTTGCAATTTTTTTTCCCATTCTTTAGGTTGCCTGTTCACTGTGATGATTGTTTCTTTTGTTGTGTGGAAGCTCTTGAGTTTAATTAGATCCCATTTGTCAATTTTGGCTTTTGTTGCCATTGCTTTTGGTGTTTTAGTCATAAAGTCTTTGCCCATGCCTATGTCCTGAATGGTATTGCCTGGGTTTTCTTCTAGGGTTTTTATGGTTTTATGTCTTACATTTAAGTCTTTAATTCATCTTGAGTTAATTTTTATGTAAGGTGTAAGGAAAGGGTCCAGTTTCAGTTTTTGGCATATGGCTAGCTGGGTTTCTCAGCACTATTTATTGAATAGGGAATCCTTTCCCCATTGCTTGTTTTTGTCAGGTTTGTCAAAGGTCACATGGTTGTAGATGTATGGCATTATTAATGAGGGCTCTCTTCCATTGGTCTATATATCTGTTTGATACCAGTACCATGCTGTTTTGGTTACTGTAGCCTTGCAGTGTAGTTTGAAGTCAGGTAGTGTGATGCCTTCAGCTTTGTTCTTTTTGCTTAAGATTGTCTTGGCTATATGAGCTCTTTTTCAGTTTCATATGAAATTTAAAGTAGTTTTTTTCTAAATCTGTGAAGAAAGTAAATGGTAGCTTGATGAGAATAGTATTGAATCTCTAAATTACTTTGGGCAGTATGGCCATTTTCATGATATTGATTCTTCCTATCTATGAGCATGGAATGTTTCTCCATTTGTTTGTGACCTCTCTTATTTCCTTGAGAAGTGGTTTGTAGTTCTCCTTGAAGAGGTCCTTCACAACCCTTGTGAGTTGGATTCCTAGATATTTTATTCTCTTTGTAGCAATTGTGAATGGGAGTTCACTCATGATTTGGCTGTCTGTCTATTATTGGTGTACAGGAATTCTTGTGATTTTTGCACATGGATTTTGTATCCTGAGTCTTTGCTGAAGTTGCTTATCGGCTTAAGGAGATGTTAGGCTGAGACAATGGGGTTTTCTACATATGCAATCATGTCATCTGCAAAGAGAGACAATTTTACTTCCTCTCTATTTGAATACCCTTTATTTCTTTCTCTTGCCTGATTGCCCTGGCCAGAACTTCCAATACTGTGTTGAATAGGAGTGGCGAGAGAGGACATCCTTGTCTTGTGCTGGTTTTCAAAGAGAATGCTTCCAGTTTTTGCCTGTTCAGGACGATATTGGCTGTGGGTTTGTGTTAAATAGCTCTTATTATTTTGAGATACATTCTATCAATACCTAGTTTATTGAGAGTTTTTAGCATGAAGGGGTGTTGAATTTTATCGAAGGTCTTATTCTGCATCTATTGAGATAATCCTGTGGTTTTGTCATTGGTTCTGTTAGGTGATGGATTACGTTTATTGATTTGCATATGCTTAACCAGTCTTGCATCCGAGGGATGAAGCCAACTTGATTGTGGTGGATAAGCTTTTTGATGTGCTGCTGGACTCAACTTGCCAGTACTTTATTGAGGATTTTTGCATCGATGTTCATCAGGGATATTGGCCTGAAATTTTCTTTTTTTGTTGCGTCTCTGCCAGGTTTTGGTATCACGATGATGCTGGCCTCATAAAATGAGTTAGGGAGGCATCCCTCTTTTTCTATTGTTTGGAAAAGTTTCAGAAGGAATGGTAACAGCTTCTCTTTGTACCTCTGATAGAATTCGGCTGTGAATCCGTCTGGTATTGGGCTTTTTTTTTTTTTGGTTGGTAGGCTATTTATTACTGCCTCAATTTCAGAACTTGTTAATGGCCTATTCAGGGATTCGACTTCTTTCTGGTTTAGACTTGGGAGGGTGTATGTGTCCAGGAATTTATTCATTTCTTCTAGATCTTCTAGTTTATTTGTGCAGAGGTGTTTATAGTATTCTCTGATGGTAGTTTGTATTTCTGTGGGATTGGTGGTGATATCCCCTTTATCATTTTTATTGCATCTATTTGATTCTTCTTTTCTTCTTTATTAGTGTGGCTACAGTCTATTTTGTTAATCCTTTCAAAAAACCAGCTCCTGGATTCATTGACTTTTTGAAGGGTTTTTCATGTCTGAATCTCCTTCAGTTCTGCTCTGATCTTAGCTATTTCTTGTCTTCTGCCAGCTTTTGAATTTGTTTGCTCTTGCTTCTCTAGTTTTTTTTTTTTTTTTTTTTTTTGTGGAATGCAGCTTGCTGGATCTTTTTCTTTATTATTATTATTATTATTATTATTATTATTATACTTTAAGTTGTAGGGTACATGTGCACAATGTGCTGGTTAGTTACATATGTATACACGTGCCATGCTGGTGCGCTGCACCCACTAACTCATCATCTAGCATTAGGTATACCTCCCAATGCTATGCCTCCCCCCTCCCCCCACCCAACAACAGTCCTCAGAGTGTGATGTTCCCCTTCCTGTGTCCATGTGTTCTCATTGTTCAATTCCCACCTATGAGTGAGAATATGCGGTGTTTGGTTTTTTGTTCTTGCGATAGTTTACTGAGAATGATGATTTCCAATTTCATCCATGTCCCTACAAAGGACATGAACTCATCATTTTTTTATGGCTGCATAGTATTCCATGGTGTATATGTGCCACATTTTCTTAATCCAGTCTATCATTGTTGGACATTTGGGTTGGTTCCAAGTCTTTGCTATTGTGAATAATGCTGCAATAAACATACCTGTGCATGTGTCTTTATAGCAGCATGATTTATAGTCCTTTGGGTATATACCCAGTAATGGGATGGCTGGGTCAAATTGTATTTGTAGTTCTAGATCCCTGAGGAATCACCACACTGACTTCCACAATGGTTGAACTAGTTTACAGTCCCACCAACAGCGTAAAAGTGTTCCTATTTCTCCACATCCTCTCCAGCACCTGTTTTTTCCTGACTTTTTAATGATCGCCATTCTAACTGGTGTGAGATGGTATCTCATTGTGGTTTTGATTTGCATTTCTCTGATGGCCAGTGATGGCGAGCATTTTTTCATGTGTTTTTTGGCTGCATAAATGTCTTCTTTTGAGAAGTGTCTGTTCATGTCCTTCACCCACTTTTTGAAGGGGTTGTTTGTTTTTTTCTTGTAAATTTGTTGGAGTTCATTGTAGATTCTGGATATTAGCCCTTTGTCAGGTGAGCAGGTTGCGAAAATTTTCTCCCATTTTGTAGGTTGCCTGTTCACTCTGATGGTGGTTTCTTTTGCTGTGCAGAAGCTCTTTAGTTTAATTAGATCCCATTTGTCAATTTTGGCTTTTGTTGCCATTGCTTTTGGTGTTTTAGAGATGAAGTCCTCGCCCATGCCTATGTCCTGAATGGTAATGCCTGGGTTTTCTTCTAGGGTTTTTATGGTTTTAGGTCTAACGTTTAAGTCTTTAATCCATCTTGAATTGATTTTTGTATAAGGTGTAAGGAAGGGATCCAGTTTCAGCTTTCTATAGATGGCTAGCCAGTTTTCCCAGCACCATTTATTAAATAGGGAATCCTTTCCCCATTTCTTGTTTTTGTCAGGTTTGTCAAAGATCAGATAGTTGTAGATATGCGGCATTACTTCTGAGGGCTCTGTTCTGTTCCATTGGTCTATATCTCTGTTTTGGTACGAGTACCATGCTGTTTTGGTTACTGTAGCCTTGTAGTATAGTTTGAAGTCAGGTAGTGTGATGCCTCCAGCTTTGTTCTTTTGGCTTAGGATTGACTTGGTGATGCGGGCTCTTTTTTGGTTCCATATGAACTTTAAAGTAGTTTTTTTCTAATTCTGTAAAGAAAGTCATTGGTAGCTTGATGGGGATGGCATTGAATCTATAAATTACCTTGGGCAATATGGCCATTTTCACAATATTGATTCTTCCTACCCATGAGCATGGAATGTTCTTCCATTTGTTTGTATCCTCTTTTATTTCCTTGAGCAGTGGTTTGTAGTTCTCCTTGAAGAGGTCCTTCACATCCCTTGTAAGTTGGATTCCTAGGTATTTTATTCTCTTTGAAGCAATTGTGAATGGGAGTTCACTCATGATTTGGCTCTCTGTTTGTCTGTTGTTGGTGTATAAGAATGCTTGTGATTTTTGTACATTGATTTTGTATCCTGAAACTTTGCTGAAGTTGCTTATCAGCTTAAGGAGATTTGGGGCTGAAACAATGGGGTTTTCTAGATATACAATCATGTCATCTGCAAACAGGGACAATTTGACTTCCTCTTTTCCTAATTGAATACCCTTTATTTCCTTCTCCTGCCTGATTGCCCTGGCCAGAACTTCCAACACTATGTTGAATAGGAGTGGTGAGAGAGGGCATCCCTGTCTTGTGCCAGTTTTCAAAGTAATACTTCCAGTTTTTGCCCATTCAGTATGATATTGGCTGTGGGTTTGTCATAAATAGCTCTTATTGTTTTGAAATACGTCCCATCAATACCTAATTTATTGAGAGTTTTTAGCATGAAGGGTTGTGGAGTTTTGTCAAAAGCCTTTTCTGCATCTATTGAGATAATCATGTGGTTTTTGTCTTTGGTTCTGTTTATATACTGGATTACATTTATTGATTTGCGTATATTGAACCAGCCTTGCATCCCAGGGATGAAGCCTACTTGATCATGGTGGATAAGCTTTTTGATGTGCTGCTGGATTTGGTTTGCCAATATTTTATTGAGGATTTTTGCATCAATGTTCATCAAGGATATTGGTCTAAAATTCTCTTTTTTGGTTGTGTCTCTGCCTGGCTTTGGCATCAGGATGATGCTGGCCTCATAAAATGAGTTAGGGAGGATTCTCTCTTTTTCTGTTGATTGGAATATTTTCAGAAGGAATGGTACCAGTTCCTCCTTTTACCTCTGGTAGAATTTGGCTGTGAATGCATCTGGTCCTGGACTCTTTTTGGTTGGTAAGCTATTGATTATTGCCACAATTTCAGATCCTGTTATTGGTCTATTCAGAGATTCAACTTCTTCCTGGTTTAGTCTTGGGAAAGTGTATGTGTTGAGGAATTTATCCATTTCTTCTAGATTTTCTAGTTTATTTGCGTAGAGGTGTTTGTAGTATTCTCTGATGGTAGTTTATATTTCTGTGGGATTGGTGGTGATATCCCCTTTATCATTTTTTATTGTGTCTATTTGATTCTTCTCTCTTTTTTTCTTTATTAGTCTTGCTAGCGGTCTATCGATTTTGTTGATCCTTTCAAAAAACCAGCTCCTGGATTCATTGATTTTTTGAAGGGTTTTTTGTATCTCTACTTCCTTCAGTTCTGCTCTGATTTTAGTTATTTCTTGCCTTCTGCTAGCTTTTGAATGTGTTTGCTCTTGCTTTTCTAGTTCTTTTAATTGTGATGTTAGGGTGTCAATTTTGAATCTTTCCTGCTTTCTCTTGTGGGCATTTAGTGCTATAAATTTCCCTCTACACACTGCTTTGAATGGGTCCCAGAGATTCTGGTATGTTGTGTCTTTGTTCTCGTTGGTTTCAAAGAACATCTTTATTTCTGCCTTCATTTCGTTATGTACCCAGTAGTCATTCAGGAGCAGGTTGTTCAGTTTCCATGTAGTTGAGCGGTTTTGAGTGAGATTCTTAATCCTGAGTTCTAGTTTGATTGCACTGTGGTCTGAGAGATAGTTTGTTATAATTACTTTCTTTTTACATTTGCTGAGGAGTGCTTTACTTCCAAGTATGTGGTCAATTTTGGAATAGGTGTGGTGTGGTGCTGAAAAAAATGTATATTCTGTTGATTTGGGGTGGAGAGTTCTGTAGATGTCTATTAGGTCCGCTTGGTGCAGAGCTGAGTTCAGTTCCTGGATATCCTTGTTAACTTTCTGTCTCATTGATCTGTCTAATGTTGACAGTGGGGTGTTAAAGTCTCCCATTATTAATGTGTGGGAGTCTAAGTCTCTTGGTAGGTCCCTAAGGACTTGCTTTATGAATCTGGGTGCTCTTGTATTGGGTGCATATATATTTAGGATAGTTAGCTCTTTTTGTTTAATTGATCCCTTTACCATTATGTAATGGCCTTCTTTGTCTCTTTTGATCTTTGTTGGTTTAAAGTCTGTTTTATCAGAGACTAGGATTGCAACCCCTGCCTTTTTTGTTTTCCATTTTCTTGGTAGATCTTCCTCCATCCTTTTATTTTGAGCCTATGTGTGTCTCTGCACGTGAGATGGGTTTCCTGAATACAGCGCACTGATGGGTCTTGACTCTTTATCCAATTTGCCAGTCTGTGTCTTTTAATTGGAGCATTTAGTCCATTTACATTTAAAGTTAATATTGTTATGTGTGAATTTGATCCTGTCATTATGATGTTAGCTGGTTATTTTGCTCGTTAGTTGATGCAGTTTCTTCCTAGTCTCGATGGTCTTTACATTTTGGCATGATTTTGCAGTGGCTGGTACCGGTTGTTCCTTTCCATGTTTAGCGCTTCCTTCAGGAGCTCTTTCAGGGCAGGCCTGGTGGTGACAAAATCTCTCAGCATTTGCTTGTCTGTAAGGTATTTTATTTCTCCTTCACTTATGAAGCTTAGTTTGGCTGGATATGAAATTCTGGATTGAAAATTCTTTTCTTTAAGAATGTTGAATATTGGCCCCCACTCTCTTCTGGCTTGCAGAGTTTCTCCCAAGAGATCCGCTGTTAGTCTGATGGGCTTCCCTTTGAGGGTAACTCGACCTTTCTCTCTGGCTGCCCTTAACATTTTTTCCTTCATTTCAACTTTGGTGAATCTGACAATTATGTGTCTTGGAGTTGCTCTTCTCGAGAAGTATCTTTGTGGCGTTCTCTGTATTTCCTGAATCTGAATATTAGCCTGCCTTGCTAGATTGGGGAAGTTCTCCTGGATAATATCCTGCAGAGTGTTTTCCAACTTGTTTCCATTCTCCCGTCACTTTCAGGTACACCAATCAGACATAGATTTGGTCTTTTCACATAGTCCCATATTTCTTGGAGGCTTTGCTCGTTTCTTTTTATTCTTTTTTCTCTAAACTTCCCTTCTTGCTTCATTTCATTCATCTCATCTTCCATCACTGATACCCTTTCTTCCAGTTCATCGCATCGGCTCCTGAGGCTTCTGCATTCTTCACGTAGTTCTTGAGCCTTGGTTTTCAGCTCCATCAACTCCTTTAAGCACTTCTCTGTATTGGTTATTCTAGTTATACATTCTTCTAAATGTTTTTCAAAGTTTTCAACTTCTTTGCCTTTGGTTTGAATGTCCTCCCGTAGCTCAGAATAATTTGATCGTCAGAAGCCTTCTCTCAGCTCGTCAAAGTCATTCTCTGTCCAGCTTTGTTCCGTTGCTGGTGAGGAACTGCGTTCCTCAGATGGAAATGCAGAAATCACCCATCTTCTGTGTCGCTCACGCTGGGAGCTGTAGACCGAAGCTGTTCCTATTCGGCCGTCTTGGCTCCTCCCTCAAATGTCTGGATCTCGCTTCTCTAGTTCTTTTAATTGTGATGTTAGGGTGACGATTTTAGATCTTTCCTGCTTTTTCCTGTGGGCATTTAGTGCTATAAATTTCCCTCTACACACTGCCTTAGCTGTGTCCCAGAGATTCTGGTACATTGTGTCTTTGTTCTCATTGGTTTCAAAGAACTTACTTTTTTTGCCTTAATTTCGTTATTTACCCAGTGGTCATTCAGGAGCACATTGTTCATCTTCCATGTAGTTGTGTGGTTTGAGTGAGTTTCTAAATCTTGAGTTCTAATTTGATTGCACTGTTTCTGAGAGACTGTTTGCTATGATTTCCATTCTTTTTCATTTGCTGAGGAGCGTTTTACTTCCTATTATGTGGTCGATTTTAGAATAAGTGCTATATGTTGCTGAGAAGAATGTATATTCTGTTGACTTGAGGCAGAGAGTTCTGTAGATGTCTATTAGGTCTGCCTGCTCCAGAGCTGAATTCAAATCCTGAATATGCTTGTTAATTTTCTGTCTCATTGATCTGTCTAATATTGACAGTGGGGTGTTAAAGTCTCCCACTATTATTGTGTGGGAGTCTAAGTCTCTTTGTAGGTCTCTAAGAACTTGGCTTATGAATCTGGTGCTCCTGTATTGGGTGCATATATATTTACGAGAGTTAGCTCTTCTTGTTGAATTGATCCATATACCATTATGTAATGGCCTTCTTTGTCTCTTTTGATCTTTGTTGGTTTAAAGACTGTTTTATCAGAGACCAGGATTGCAACCCCTGCTTTTTGTTACCTTCCTTTTGCTTGGTAAACGTTCCTCCATCCCTTTATTTTGAGGCTGTGTGTGTCTTTGCACATGAGATGGGTCTCCTGAATACACCACACTGATGGGTCTTGACTCTTTATCCAATTAGTTTCTTCATTGAGTCAATGGCCTTTACCATTTGGTATGTTTTTGCAGTGGCTGGTGCCAGTTTTTCCTTTCCATATTTAGTGCTTCCTTCAGGAGCTCTTGTAAGGCAGGCCTGGTGGTGACAAAAATCTCTCAGCATTTGCTTGTCTGTAAAGGATTTTCTTTCTCCTTTGCTTATGAAACTTTGTTTGGCTGGATATGCAATTCTGGGTTGAAAATTCTTTTCCTTAAGAATGTTGAATATTGGCCCCCACTCTCTTCTGGCTTGTAGTCTTTCTGCAGAGAGATCTACTGTTAGTCTGATGGGCTTCCCTTTGTGGGTAACCCAACGTTCCTCTCTGGCTGCCCTTAACATTTTTTCCTCCATTTTACCCTTGGTGAATCTGACAATTTTGTGTCTTGGGGTTGCTCTTCTCAAATAGTATCTTTGTGTTGTTCTCTGTATTTCCTGAATTTGAATGTTGGCCTGTCTTTCTAGGTTGGCAAAATTCTCCTGGATAATATCCTGAAGAGTGTTTTACAACGTGGTTCCATTCTCTCCATCACTTTTAGGTATATCAATCAAATGTAGGTTTGGTCTTTTCACGTAGTTCCATATTATCTGAAGGCTTTGTTCATTCCTTTTCATTCTTTTTTCTCTAATCTTGTCTTCCTGCTTTATTTCATTAAGTTGATCTTCAATCTCTGATATCCTTTCTTCTGCTTCATCAATTCGGCTACTGATACTTGTGTATGCTTCACTAAGTTCTTGTGCTGTGTTTTTCAGCTCCATCAGGTCATTTATGTTCTTCTATAAACTAGTTATACTAGTTAGCAATTCATCTAACCTTTTTTCAAGGTTCTTGGCTTCCTTGCTTTGGGTTAGCATGTGCTCCTTTAGCTTGGAGGAGTTTGTCATTACCCACGTTCTGACGCCTACTTCTGTCAGTTTGTCAAACTCATTCTGGGTCCAGTTTTGTTCCCTTGCTGGTGAGGAGTTGTGATCCTTTGGAGAAGAGGCTTCTGGGTTTTGGAATTTTCAGCCTTTTTGTGCTGGTTTTTCCTCATCTTCATGGATTTATCTGCCTTGGGCTTTGATGTTGGTGACCTTCGGAAGGGGTTTCTGTGTGGATGTCCTTTTTGTTGATGTTGATGCTATTCCTTTCTGTTTGTTAGTTTTCCTTCTAACACTCAGGCCCCTCTGCTGCAGGTCCACTGGAGTTTGCTGGAGGTCCATTCCAGATGCTGTTTTCCTGGGTATTACCAGCAGAGGCTGCAGAACAGCAAAGCTTGCTGCCTATTACTTCCTCTGGAAGCTTCACCCCAGAGAGGCACCCACAAGATGCCAGCTGCAGCTCTCCTGTATGAGGTGTCTGTTGACCCCTGCTGGCAGGTGTCTCCCCAACAGGAGGCATGGAGGTCAGGGACCAACTTGAGGAGGCAGTCTGTCCCTTAGCAGAGCTCAAGTGGTCTGCTGGGAGATCTGCTGCTCTCTTCAGAGGTGGCAGGCAGGAATGTTAAAGTCTGCTGAAGCTGTGCTCACAGACGCCCCTTCCTCTGGGTGCTCTGTCCTAAGGAGATGGAAGTTTTATCTGTAAGTTCCTGACTGGGGCTGCTGCCTTTCTTCCATAAATGCCCTGCCTGGAGAGGAGGACTCTAGGGAGGCAGTCTGGCTACAACAACTTTGCCAAGTTGCAGTGGGGTCCTCCCGATTCGAACTTCCCAGCAGCTTTGTTTACATTGTGAGAGGAAAACCACCTACTCAAGCCTCAGTGATGGTGGATGCCCTTCCCCTGACCAAGCCCCAGTGTCCCAGGTTGACTTCAGACTGCTGTGCTGGCAGCAAGAATTTCAAGTCAGTGGAACTTAGCCCACAAGTCAGTGGGCTCCTTGGGGCTGGCATCTGCTGAGCTAGACCACTTTGCTTCCTGGTTTCATCCCTTTTTCAAGGGGAGTGAAAGGTTCTTTCACACTGTCACTCTGGGTGCCACTGGGGTATGAAAAAAAACTGCAGCTAGCTTGGGTGTGCCCAAACAGTGCCCAATTTTTTGCTTGAGACCCTGGGCCTGGGTGGTGTAGGAAACTGAGGGAATCTCCTGGTCTGTGGTGGCAAAGACCATGGGAAAAGCATAGTATATGGGCCAGAATGCACCTTTCCTCACAGCACAGATCCTCACAGCCTCCCTTGGCTAGGGGAGGGAGTTCCCCAACCCCTTGTGCTTCCAGGGTGAGGCAACACCCCACCCTGCTTCAGCTCACCCTCCATGGGCTGCATCCACTGGCTCACCAGTCCCAATGAAATGAGCCGGGTACCTCAGTTGGAAATGCAGAAATCACCCGCCTTCTGCATTAATCTCGCTGGGAGCTGCAGACTGAAGCTGTTCCTATTTGGCCATTTGCCAGCCACTGCTATTGTCCATATTTCTATCAGCATTTTTATCACAACCATTTAGCCAGTCTGAAGTTCCAAATCTTACCTCATCTTCCTGTCTTCTTCTGAGCCCTCCAAACTGTTCCAACACTGCCTGTGATATGGTTTGCCTCTGTGTCCCCATCCACATCTCATCTTAAGTTATAATCCCCATGTTTCATTGGAGAAACCTTGTGGAAGGTGATTGGATTATGGGGGCAATTTCCCTAATGCTGTTCTTGTGATAGGGAGTGAGTCTCACAAAATCTGATGGTTTTATAAGTGTTTGGCAGTTCCTCCTTCTTTCTCTCTCTCTTTCTCTCCTCTCTCTCACCTGTTGCTATGTAAGACACGATTGCTTCCCCTTTGCCTTTCACCATGGTTGTAAGTTTCTTGAGACCTCCTAGCCATGCTTCCTTTTAAGTCTGCAGAACTGTGAGTCAATTAAACCTCTTTCCTTTGTAATTACCCAGTCTCAGGTTGAATTCTTTATAGCAGTGTTAAAATGAATGAATGCAGCCTGTTAGCCAGTTTTAAAGCCACTTCCACATCTTCAGGTATCTTTATAGCACTATAAAGAAATACTGGAGGCTGTGTAATTTATAAAGCAAATAGGTTTAATTTGCTCATAATTCTGCAGGCCACACAAGCATGGCTTCAGCATCCATTCTTGGTAAGGGCCTCAGGAAATTTCCAGTCAGAGCAGAAGGCAAAGGGAGAGCAGGTAGTATCACATGGCAAGAGCAGGAGCAAGAGAGAGGAGGGGAGGTCCCAGACTGTTTTAAACAACAAGATCTCATGTGAAATAACTGAATGAGAACTCAATTATCACCAAGGGGATGATGATGGTGCTAAATGACCTATGAGAGATCTGCCTCCATGATCTAATCACCCCACCAGGCCTTACCTCTAACACTGGAAATCACATTTCTTTTCTTTCTTTTTCTTTCTTTCTTTCTTTCTTTCTTTCTTTCTTTCTTTCTTTCTTTCTTTCTTTCTTTCTTTCTTTCTTTCTTCTTTTTTTCTTTCTCTTTCTTTCTTTCCTCTTTCTTTCTCTTTCTCTTTCTTTCTCTCTTTCTTTCTTTTCCTTTCAGGCAGGGTCTCTTTATAAGTCCATTTTCTTGCTGCTGATAAAGACATGTGAAACTGGGCAATTTACAAAATAAAGAAGTTTAATGGACTTACAGTTCCACATGGCTGGGAGGCCTCACAATCATGGCAGAACGCAGGGAGAAGCAAGTAATGTCTTACATGTATGGCAGCAGGGAAGGAGAAGAGAGCTTGTGCAGGAAAACTTCCATTTTTAAAATCAGATCTCATGAGACTTATTCATTATCAACTATCAGATCTCATGAGACTTATTCATTATCATGAGAACAGCATGGGAAAGCCCCAGCCCCATGATTCAATATCTCCCACCAGTTTCCTCCCACAACACATGGGAATTATGGGAGTTACAATGCCAGATGAGATTTGGGTGGGGACAGAGCCGAACCATATCATTCTGATCCTGGACCCTCCAAAATCTCATGTCCTCACACATCAAAACCAATCATGCTTTCCCAACAGTTCCCCAAAGTCTCAATTCATTTCAGCATTAACTCAGAAGTCCACAGTCCAAAGTCTCATCTGAGACAAGGCAAGTCACTTCTGCCTATTAGCCTGTAAATCAAAAGCAAGTTAGTTACTTCCTAGATACAATGGAGGTACAGTTACTGGGTAAATACAGCCATTCCCAATGGGAGAAATTCACCAAAAAAAGGGGGCTACAGGCCCCATGCAAGCCTGAAATCCAGTGGGGCAGTCAAATCTTAAAGCTCTAAAATGATCTCCTTTGACTCCATGTCTCATATCCAGGTCATGCTATTGCAAGATGTGGGTTCCCATGGTCTGGGGCAGCTCTGCCCCTGTGGCTTTGTAGGGTACAGGCTCTGTCTTGGCTGCTTTCATGGGCTGGCATTGAGTGTCTGTGGCTTTTCCAGGCACACAGTGCAAGCTGTTGGTGGATCTACCATTGTGTGGTCTGGATGATGGTGGCCCTCTTCTCATAGCTCCACTAGGCAGTGCCCCAGTAGGAACTCTTTGTGGGGGCTCTGACCCTACATTTCCCTTTTGCACTGCCCTAGAAGTGGTTCTCCATGAGAGACTCACCCCTGCAGCAAAATTCTGCCTGGACATTTAGGCATTTCCATACATCCTCTGAAATCTAGGTGGAGGTTCCCAAACATCAGTTCCTGACTTCTGTGTACTGGCAGGCTCAACACCACATGGAAGCTGCCAAGGCTTGAAGCTTGCACCCTCTGAAGCCACTGCCCAAGCTTTACATTGGTCCCTTTCAGCCATGGCTGGAGTGGCTGGGATGCAGAACACCAAGTCCCTAGGCTGCACACAGCACAGAGACCCTGGGCCTGTCCCACAAAACCACTTTTTCCTCCTAGGCCTCTGGGTCTGTGATGGGAGGGGCTTCCATGAAGACCTCTGACATGCTCTGGAGACATTTTCTCCTTTGTCTTGGGATTAACATTTAGCTCCTCATCACTTACACAAATTTCTGCAGCCAGCTTGGATTTCTCCTCAGAAAATGGGATTTTCTTTTCTATTGCATTGTCGGGCTGCAAATTTTTCAAACTTTTATGCTCTGTTTCCCTTTTAAAATTGAATGCCTTTAACAGCACCCAAGTCACCTCTTGAATGCTTTGCTGCTTAGAAATTTCTCCTGCCAGATACCCTAAATCATCTCTCTCAAGTTCAAAGTTCCACAAATCTCTAGGGCATGGGCAAAATGCTGCCAGTCTTTTTGCTAAAACATAGCAAGAGTCACCTTTACTCCAGTTCCCAACAAGTTCCTCATCTCCATCTGAGACCATTTCAGCCTGAATTTCGTTGTTCATATTACTACCAGCATTTTGGTCAAAGCCATTCAACAAGTCTCTAGGAAGTTTGACTTTCCCACATTTCCTGTCTTCTTTTGGGCCCTCCAAACTGTTACAACCTCTGCCTGTTGCCCAGTTCCAAAGTCATTTCCACATTTTCAGGTATCTTTTCAGCAGTACCCCACTTTACTGGTACCAATTTACTATATTAGTTCATTCTCATGCTGCTGATAAAGACATACCCAAAACTGGGCAATTTACAAAAGAAAGAGGTTTAATGGACTTATGGTTCCACATGGCTGGGGAGGCCTCACAATCATGGCAGAAAGCAAGGAGCAGCAATTCATATCTTACATGAATGGCTGCAGGCAAAGAGAAGAGACAGCATGTACAAGGAGACTCCTATTTTGAAAACCATTGGATCTCTTGAGACTTATTCCCTATCATGAGAGCAGCATGGGAAAGACCTGCCCCCATGATTCAATTACCTCCCACCAGGTTCTTCCCACGACACGTGGGAACTGTGGGAGTTACAATTCAAGATAAGATTTGGGTGGGGACACAGCCAAACCATATCAGTCTTGCTCTGTTGCCGAGTTGGAGTGCAGTGGCATGATCACAGCTCACTGAAGCCTCAACCTCCCGGGTTCAAGCAGTCCTCCTGCGGCAGCCTCCTGAGTAGCTGGAACTACAGGCACATGCCACCATACCCGGCTAATTTTTAAAATTTTTTTGCAGATATGAGGTCTTGCTATGTTGCCCAGGCTGTTCTCAAAATCCTGGCATCAAGTGATCATTCCACCTCAGCCTCCCAAAATGCTGAGATTACAAGCATAAGCCACAGCACCCAGCCAGGAATTACATTTCAACATGAGATTTTGAGAAGTCAAACATCCAAACCATGCCAAGTACTTATAGCCCTAAAGCAGAGCTCCACAGCTGACAGTACTCTTATGTTCTAAAGAGGAGCTTCTAATGACATCCCATGCTATTGACTAAAAAGTAGCCTCACTCACCCTTCAGCGCTTCATGATCCTCATGCACCCTCATCAGCTGAAGTCTAGAGTTCATTAAGGAGATGACAGGGGAGTAGATGGAGATCCAGTGAGGGGCCCTGGGCATTGTACCTCCCTTCCTGACCCAGCTAGGGGAAGACAGGACTCCTAGATAATCGCTTAGAGAATAGAAGACTCCTTCACCACTAGGGAAAATTTGCTAGCTCAGGAATTCACAGGCCCCCCCAGTGGCTCTGAATTGGCCCCTCAGCAGAGCTGTGTGAGAGAGCATTTAGGAGATCTCAAAACCAGTGCCTTGGAGTTTGGGGATGTTAGAAGGGAGCACCTCCTCCTCAGTCCTGTCATTTCCCCCCATGTGGAAGGAATCCATTTGCACAATACTTCTGGCTTCTCTCTGCTCTCCCTCCTCCCTCAATCCCCCAAGAAGGAGCAGCTACTTAGCTCCCTGGTGAGTCTAGAAGGAGAGCATGGGTAGGCATAGGGACCAGGCCCTTTGTCTTTCTTTTCATGGCCTGGAGCAGTCCACAGGAGCTTATGTATTCCTCTGCCCTAAGTTTTAAAAGGACATGCCTCTACAGAGAGGTGCCTGTGGTTTTAGGTATGTAACTCCAGCCGCAATATCTAGTAAACAAGGTTTCAAACCTTGAGAGATAGAATAGAGACATATTCAGGGAATCAGAAAGCACAATAAGGATGAGAGTTCCTACCACAACCCAAGCAGATGGCTTTACACTTTGGTGGTGCTTGCCTGGGTTTTTACCATGGCTCTTTAAAGCAATTTATTTGGAGCCATCATTTTGCTGGGAGCTGAGTTGGCTTTTGGCTACTGAACCTGGAAGAGGAGCTCTAAGTTAGACTGCAGTGTTTTGTGGCAGGTAGCTAAAACTTGGACAAGGCTTTGTCCCAGAGCTATAGGGCTGGAAATGTACATACTGACCATTAAGTAATGCTGAGCTGGTGTGCTGGACTCTTCTTGTTTGAGTTGCCATAGCCATGGCTGCTGCTTGTGGTTTTAGACTTAAGATGCTGTATCTGCCAGTCAGGGTTAACAATTCCTCCTGGCATGTGGGGGTATGACATAAAAACACCTCTCTCATGCAAACTGTGCACCTCACACTTTCACTCTGGGGCTCCCCTACCAGGCTGAGATGCAAATGTGCAAGGAAGTTGACCTTGAAAATGAAATATTGGAGCCAGTGGATAAAATCTTCTCCCTTTCTCCTCCCCGCTTCCCTACTCCCACAAATGCTGTTCAGAGATGCAAAAGCTTCATATGAGGACATCCTGGGAGATCAAGCAATCGACTTGTTGCAAAGCTTTGGCCAAGTTGGGAACACACACCCTTATATGTGTTCTCCTTCATTCCTAGCCTCTCTCCCATTCTCTCTCATCCCTGTTTCCCGGGATTAGACTCACCCATCAAGCACATGGCCTCTGCTTCAAGCTATTTTCTAGGGAACCAGAATTAAGACAGTAGGTTCCATAGGCCTCAAGCCACAGAGACTTTCAGCCAAATGGCTGTCACTTGAGGCCTGGCAGTCAGATGCCAGACATGCAGCCTCAGCAAGGGTGGCAGTCAAAGGCTTTGGCACTTGGGAGGGCATAGTGAGGGCCTCAGCAAAGCCAGGAGCCTTGAAAAGGCACCCACTTTTCCTTGAACTGACATAGCTTTCTTGAGCAGTTGTAGCTGTAGCAAAGACTCAACCATAAAAATCACTTTTTTCGTTAAATCCACGGACATAGTGGGAGCCAGAGCAATATTCTTTACTTCAGTGCAAGGCAGCTGAGTTCTATGTGTGCCACATGGCTTTTCATGCTTCCAAGTGTCAGGGCCTTTCCCAGATAGACAGGGCGGGGTCTGCTGCCCCAACCATAGCTGAGCCTCTCAACAAGGAAACCAGACACCTGAGACAGGAGCCTGTACTGCAGAGCACAAGGCCAAGGCATTTGTCTTCACAACCGATAGACAACTAGTGTCAAGGTGGAACAAGGAAAACATATTCCCACCAAAGACGCTTTCTTCAGCCAAGTTGAAAGTCAAGAGGGGACAGCAGCAAGGGTAGGCTCAGGATTAAAGAAAAACAAAATCTGCTCACAGTCTATTCTGGAGGTCACATAACCAAATGAAGCTCATACCCAATGCAGCTCTGAGAAGGTAGAAGCACCAGGCTGAAATGAGGAAATCAAAAATTTCTCACTGGGAAAGAACCATACCCCCACCATCCCAGAATGATAACTTCACAGTGGCAGAACAAATTCCACCACGAGTTGAAGTTAAAGGTCATAGTCTCCAGACAAATGTTAGTAGATCAATGTCTTTCTGGTGAGACTAATATTAAAAAGAGATTTTCTGTTGACCCTCCATGATTCAGACCCAGGTCTCTTTGGCAGCGCTAAGGATTGAGTTCTTTGAACTTGATTTTATTGAGATAACTGTTTTAGGAGCTTCGAATTAGGTTGTTTTCTAAAGTCAGGGGGTCTATGGTCAGTGCTGACATGGTCTGTGTGACCTATTAAATCTCTAGAATATTTTAAATAGTAAGACACAATACCTATTGGTTAAACTTGGGATAATTTGAGCATAAAAAGAATTTGATTTTACTTAATATAGTTAAAAAATAACTAAAATTAAAAAAAATTAAATATTGGTAGTAACCAGCTATAATACATTAAAATTTAAAATAATTTATGAAATAATTATTCTCAAAACAAAGGAGCAGGGGAAATCTCCTTTTCACAGAAGACAACAGATGACCAATATAGAATGAATGCTGATGTTGGAAAATCATCACTCTGCAATCCCATAGTAATAATTGATCCAGGATTACCAATGGATGTTAAAACCAGAGGGTAAGAGGTTACTGGGCAACAGGAGATCCTCATGGTCTCAATGCATCATTACCCTGGTTCTAATTAATTAAAAGGGAAATGTACCTTTACAATGGAGAGCTCTGGCAGGATCACTCTTAATCAATTGATCAAATGTAGCATCACTAGGTAGTTGGAGACCTGCAGCCTGTGCTTTCTGATGTGATGCAGTGGGACATAGAATCTCACCCGTGAAGTACTTTTGTCAAAAAAGCTTACCCAGAAACTGCAAGAGGAGAGAAACAAATCCAGAACATGGACCCTTCCGACTGAGGCTTTTCAAAACTGTTAAGTGTCCTGAAAGATGGAAACAAAAGGGCAGTGGGACTCAGGGAGACTAACGAGACCTGACAACCGTATAGGAAGCTTGACTGGATTCTGGATGTTTTCTAAGACCCACAGGATAAATTTTGGCAACAATTAGGGAAAACTGAACACGGACCAAGTATTATTGTCAAATCAATAATTCAATATTACTTTCAAAATGCTTTTGAAATACGTGAAATACCTTAAAATGGTTCATTAAAAATAAGAAAAAAAATGTGTGTGTAAGTGTGCGTGTGCAGGGAGAGGGCAAGATAAAGTAAATGTGACCCAAAAAATGTTAACAATTGGTGAATGCAGAAAAGGGCAGGCTGGTGTTGATTGTACTAGTCTTTCTTTAAAGTTTTCTGAGATTTAGACTTGTTAAAAATAAAATATTGTGTGAAGGAAAATGGAGCACACGAGATACTTTGAGTTGAATTTATGGGGTCCCTAGCTCCTGATAGAACTTCACTCAGCCCTGAAAGCCATTCTCTCCCATTACAAGGGTGGAAAGAACCTCTACTTGGCCCAGGTAGTGAGGGACTCCCTGGCTAGGACAGAGCCAGACAAGACATCGAGGGCAATGACTGAAGATTTTAGCTTGAACTATTTTACTTTATTTTCCTTGGGAATTTAATCTTTGAACTGTAAGTTCAAACTGGATGGGCCCACCCACATTAGGGAGGGCAATCTGCTCTATTTAGTCTAATTATTCACATGTTAATCTCACCCAGAGAGACCCTCACAAAACACTCAGAATCATGTTTGATCAAATGTCTGGACACTCTGTTGCCCAGTCAAGTTGACACATAAACTTAACCGTCACAATCATGAAGGTGGTCTCTCAGCTCCACAACATTTTTTGGGTTATTTCAGTTGGTTCAGAACTCTGAGCTGTTACTTTTAGGTCTCATCAAAGAGAAGAGAGGCTCGGCTTCCTTCACATTTGCGGTTAAAAGAAAGCTAGTCCAAGATTATGCCCACTTCCTCTCTGTTTTGTCTTTTGTCACTCCTCAAAGTCCACTCTCCTCTTTGATGTCTTGTGGCAGGCCAGATCTCACTAACACAGGCCTCTATCACAACTGTTTTAGCACTGAGTGAGTGGTTAAGTTAAATATTAGAAGCTAGAAAAGCCAGTACCCTTACACAAAGGTTGGAATATCACAAAAATCCATCAAGAGTTTTGCCTAGGCCTTTCTTGGGCCTTAAAGCATGACAAAATAAAAAGGAATTCTTAACGGGACCCATTTAAGAGTAAACAAGTTTTATTGGGGGTCTGAAGGAACTCCCCAAACCTCTGTGATTTAGCAGGAGACAAGACAAGGGTAATCACAAGACAAGGATAATCACCCCAGCACCTGGACCCATTTAGATTAAGTAAGCTTACTAAGGCTCCCGAAGAAGGTCTTCTGGAGTTCATCTGCATCTCATTATTGGGCCACAAGAAATAGCAGCCTGACTTTCAATTTGGTCCAGGAACAAAATTTGGCAAGCCAGCCAGGAGATAAGGAAGGTGCTGCATTCAGTGGCTGGCAGCTTGTGACAAGACAGTCTCGGGGAGGATTTCGGCAGCTGTCGGGTAAGGTTTCCCCTGGGGATCCTCCCGAGGGCTGTTCCATGTGCAAATCTGCATGTCCCCTTCACTACTGGGCAATAATGAAGATCAGGAGCAGAGGTGCTCAAAGGGTGAGTTAACCAGATCATATGCCAGGAGCCTATTGTTTTCCTATCTGGGCTTGTTAAGTCATTTGTCCGGTACCACCAAGGGAAGCAATAGGGCTTACTTATACACCAGCTTTGCATTTTGGTTGAGATCAGATTTTGAGTTGGTTTTGAGTCAGTTTTGCCTGAGTGCACTCCCCCTTGTGTTGTCCAAAATTTGTCTCCACTTATTTGTATATCTGTCTTATTCCCTTTGATATCATGTAAACTTGAAAATGGGAAGTACTGGGTTCCTTCCTGCTGAGATAAAATATACTTATGGTAAAAAGATTATAAGGAGGCATGAGGATGTGGATTTTTGCCTAGATTAAAAGATTAAGGGATTTTTTTTAAGTTAGATAAAATAAAAATTAAGGTTGAGGCAAGTTGTAGAAGGTTGATTGTAAAGGAACTTCTGTGTGTAAACATATTGGCTAAAGTTAAAGGGGTATCATCCAGTTTTTCTGTAAATTAAGCATTAAACTAAACCACAATGGGTTTCTCTTACAGCACTAACCTGCTCTTTAACAAAAATTGTAAAGGATTATACAAAGTCTATAAAAATCTTGCCTTATGGTCAAACATTAAAATTGGGTAAATATGTCTATAAGGTTTTATTAAGAATTGGGTTTAACATCAATAGCACACTAATGTAAAGGTAAAATTTGGCTTATTTGGTATAAAAATCATACAGGAAGCATTGTCAAATACGAAATTGTGTTTGGCTTTCTTTGGGCTATATTTGTATAAATATGTTATTGGTATGTGTTCCAAAATTATGGGAAACTCCTGTGATTCTCAGATATTTTAGTGTTTGTTGTCAGTAATAATTATAATTGTTATGTTAAATTATTGTGTGCCACAGAGGTAACAGATTTCCTTGTCAATTATGTCTTTAACTATGGCTACTTCCTAAAGCTTTTTGTCATCCATAAACAAATGTTTTCTTGTTTTGTACCTCTTTAGAAGGTGGTTTTATAAGCAGCTATAAAACTCTAACAGGTGCTGTTGAATGCAGGTTTCTGATAACTTTGGAGATTGTGACAGCAGAAGAGAGGAAAAATGTTCAGGACTCTTGACGAGCTAAAAATGTTCATCAACATCAAGTGGGGCAGGAATTAACTGCATGAACTGAGCTAACAGGAGACAGGAGTCATCTTTTTGACTTTTTGCTCAAAATATAACTAATCCTTTATTTTGCTTCTCAGAGTCAAATAAACTTTTCTTTTGAGCTATTGACAGCTTTTAACAATTTAGTATACTCCTTTGAACAAAATTTGAAGCATACTTGTTTCTCTCTGCCTGATTTTCTCCAGAATTTGGAAACTATCTGTGAGTATTCTTAAGTTGTGGCAATATAGTTATTTGCATAAGTGCAATAAGAATCTGTTTTTTTTGTAACAGGACACAATTAGAAAAACTGGTTATTTTTACCAAGGCTTTTACTGGGATGGTATGCTTTCCTTTAAGGAATTAAACTTGACTTATGAAGCCAATAAAGCCCTTGGGAAACAGGCCTCATATTTTGTGTACACAGTCCCTGTACAGGGTTTCTGATCTGTGGTAAGTAATGAATGTCACTTTCTGACAGGCTGCGAACCCCAAGTTATCTTGGAACCTCAAGAGGAGAAGAATTCACCCAACTCATAGGTATTGATGGTATAAATCCATGGCTGGGCTTGGCTTTAAAAATGTCCTATATCAGATTCCTTTTATGGAACGAAGTTCCATCAAAGCCAATTTAAAAGGCCTATGTAAAAATAATTATTCTTGCTACACTTTATACAAATAATTAGGCCAAGTATAATAAAGCAAACCAGTCCTACAATAATTTTTCTTTTAATAAAAATGGGAAACTGCTACTACTTATTAAAGAATTAATGTGTCAGATCTTATGTTAAGCTTTTTGCAAAATCATCTTACTTAGCGTGCACAACAGGCTTATGCAATACATATCCATTACTGTCCATATTTTACAGATGAGGAAACTGAAACATAAATAAATTAGTTTAGCCTAAGGCCACACAACAGTAAGTCAGAGCTAGGACTGTGCATCCCCGGAGTCCACGCTTAGTCACTTCACCAAATGTCCTCAGTGAGTATCATGGGCCACAGAGTCCTATTTGGGGAGAGGCAACTGTGAAGCAGGAAAAGAGTGCACCAGACTTGGAGCCAGAAGGCCTGGCTCCTGTACAGGCCACTACCCATTGCTGTTTAGCCTCTCTGAGCTCTGGTTATCTTGTCTGTAAAACTGGAAAAGAAATAACAGCTACTTGACTGGATTACGTATGGAAGGAGGTAAGGTTTGAGTAAACACCATACAGGTGTTCATGGAAGCAGGTGGGGAGGTGCCTGTGTTTGTTACAAAGTTTGCATTGCTTTCTGTTTGCCTTTGTTGGTCCCTCCCCCATCATTACAGTGGAGCAGCTGCTGAATTGCAAAAGCATACTTCAGAAGAAAATGATGGAAAATAACCTGGTATTCTTTTTAATGTGAGAGGAATGGGAGGTGTGAGAATACATAAATTCAGCATTTCAGGGATTACATGGCAGAAGACATGGGAGAGTAAGGCTGAGAGGCAGGTGCCCCTCACTTGCCTTCCTTCCATCTGACCAGGCTGTGCTCTCTGTCAAGACCACTGTCACCTGGCCTCACCAAAAATAGAATGAGCTCTGCATGGGAAGGGAAGGAGGAGGAGGTGCTGTGGCCATAGCCATGAGGTAACAGGTGCATAGGGAGGGTCAGAGAATGGCACAGGAGGACCCTCCCCAGCTGGCCCAGGGACTCCAGGCCTCAGGATTTGGGGTGTGGGAGTGGTCAGGGAGGGGTGAGTTGTTTAATTTTCATGTCTTATTATTAGAGAAGACCTTGAAGGGAATCAACTTCTTGTACTTTTCTCATGCTTGGGCCCTCCACAGCATCCCTGCTGAGACATCAGCCAGCCTATGCTGGAATGCCTCTGGGGCCAGGGAGCTCAGCACCTCACCTGGCCTGAAATCACCGAAAGTTAGAGCTGGAAGGGACTCTTGAGACCCTCAGGCCCTGCTCATGCTCATGTTTCCTGTCACCCTTCTTGCACTCTGAAAGTGACCTCCCTGTCACTCTTACCCTTAAGGAGAGTCTTCCCCCTGTACTTATTAGCCAAACTGCCTCCTTCAGGTGTCACCTTCAATAGCTAAACCGTGGGGCAAGGCAGTGTGGGAGCTTCTCCACTCTCCTCACTATCATTTGCAAATTCCTTCACTGAGTATGTGTTCTTATTTAGTATGAATTCATATTCAGTGCCTACAACTGAGAATTGTTGAGAAGTCATCAAGAAGACCCACCTTGCCACTATGCACATCCTCAGTTTTGCCTACAACTGAGAATTCTTATTCATATGTATTCATATTCTGTACCTACAACTGAGCCAGGTGCTTGCTGTACTAAGTACTTGGAATACACTGGTAAACAAGGCAAATAAAAAAAATTGTGCCCTCAAGGAGCCAACATTCTAGCAGGGGAAACAAACAGTGAACAGTAAACATGATAAATATGTAACTTATGTCAGAATTTAGAAGGTAGCATGTGCTGTGAAAAAGAAGAAATACAGCCAATTAGGGGGATTAGGATGCCCCAGGGAGGTTGCAACAATAAAGAGAGTGGTTGAGGAAGTCCTCACGGAGAAGGTGATCTGAACAAAGATATGAAAAGTTCCATGGCCATTTGGACAGCCTACAGGTGTCAGAGGGCGAAGTGCCCCAAGAAGAGGGCATAAAATAGGATCACACCCAACAAGTTTGGGGCTAGACAGCAGAGAGCCACGTGGAGGCAGGGGGGCCAGTTAGGAGACCACTACACGATCCAGGTGAGAGACTGTGACAGTTGAGATGAGGGTGAAGGTGGTGGGGTCAGAAGTGATGGAATACTGGGCATATCTTGAAGCTAAAGTATCCAGAATTTTCTGATGGATGAAATGAAGATTCAAGAGAAAGAAAAGAATCAACATGATTTCAAAATATTTGGCCTGAGATTCTAGAAGGATGGCAGCTGCATCCTAAGGTGGAGAACACTGTAAGTGGAACAAGTTAGGGGAGAAGATCAGGAGTTTGGTTTTGAGCAAGTTGCACTTGAGATGTGCATTGGACATGCAGGTGGAGATGTCAAAGAGACAGTCAGCGATGGAAGGCTGGATTCAGGAGGGAGCTCTGGAGACGTACATGTCAGTCATTGGCATTGAGGATGGCATGAGAGCATAAAATGTGTGCACAGTGATGAGGTGGGCCTTCTTCACTACTTCAGAAATATGTCTTGTCTGCCAATTCAGGATGGCCAAATGAGCACATCCCTGTACTCCTCCCCCTTGCAAAATCTATGAAAATATTAGATTTATCATTTATTGGTCATTGTCCTAACAGTACTACACACATTGTCTCACTCCATCTCAAAATAACTTATAAGAGAGCTGTATTGTGCCCGTTTTACAGATGAAGATGCCACAGTGCTGAGATCCAGTTATCCAAGGCCACAGGATTAATACGAAGCAAGGTTTCAAACTCGGGAAGCCCACTTTTAACCACCATGTTATACTGACGTATCACATGTTCCAGCAAATCTAAACTTTAGCAAAAAAAATAAAATCCAAGAAAGAAAATGTCACAAGATCCATGAGAATGTAGGACTCAGGTGTGCCAGAAAAAAATCCAAGCTGACAGCTACACAGCAGCCCCAGAAAACGACACATCCAAAAAGTCAGAGGACTCGGTGAAGATTGTGCCACTTCCACCAGAGGAAGTCACTTCCACTCCAGAAATTATAGAAGTAAGAATACAGAATAAAGATTCTAAGCAGGTCTTAGTCAATTCTAAACAATCAGATGAGCTATGTTATTCCTCAATAAAACTTACAGCAAATAGAATGACAATTAGAAACCCAGGGAAAACAAGACAGTCTAAGAAAGTCGTGGTTCAAATTTGATGCAACTGAAGCGTGGGTAACTGTGGATAACTAATGGAGTGGAGAAAAGAGACCTTCATTCATAGAACATTCTCCTTTGAGTGCTCAAGGTTTAATTATGTAGTATTTTATTTCCTTTTCCGTGGGCCTAGTCACAGTACTTGGTTCTGCAGTGAATCGTGTTTACATCATCATAATGCCTTAAATACTGTTTAAGGGTTTTCAATTTTTAGAATCAACTTCAAGCACGGAACACGTAATTATGTCTACTTCAGTATTCAAATTCTATAAACATGTGCAACCCAGAAGTGATATTATGGCTCACAGAAATCTGGAGGTGGAGAGCACAGCAAAGTCTATGTGCACTAATTTCCTTTTTTCGTGTAGTGCAGAATCAATAGAGACTCTTTCTAATATTAATACATCAAGAAACTGAGATTTATATACATTATTTTAAAGCATAAATCTAACCACTAAAAAATCTAGTAATGTTACAGATTAAAATGATGAAGTAAAGGGGACAGGAAGAATGAAAAGTCATATAATGCCCTAAATTCTTTATCTTTCCTACAATGTAGGTAATAGACACCATCTAGTATAGTCTGGATGTGTGCTCCTGCCCAAATCTCATTTTAAAATGTAATCCCCAGTGTCGGAGGTGGGGCCCAGTGGGAGGTGATTGGATCTCTGGGGCAGATTTCTCATGAATGGTTTAGCACCATCCACCATCCCCCTTGGTAATGTCCTCACAATAGTGAGTTACTGTGAGATCTGGTTGTTTACAAGTGTGTGGCCCCTACCCCTGCACTCTCCCTCTCTCTCTTGCTCCCGCTATGACCGTGTGATGAGGCTGCTTCCCCTTTGCCTTCAATCACGATGGTAAGTTTCCAGAGGCCTCCCCAGAAGATGAGCAGATGCCTGCATCATGCTTCCGGTGCAGCCTGTGGAACCATGAGCTGATTAAACCTCTTTTCTTTATAAATTACTCAGTCTTGGGTATGTCATTATGGCAAGGGAGGACAGACTAATACACTATCTAAAGTGGATAAATCAAGAATTTACATGTATTATCAAGTTACTTATATTCGTGTGCTGACCAGATAACTAAAAACAGAAAATGTTTATCACAGGAGTAAACGCGAGCTATAGGGAGGAGAAACTTTACTTTTTATTGCATGTCTGAACCAGCTGTTTGAAGTTTTAAACGTGGGTAAAGGATATGTGCTCACCTTTTTAACATTGAGCCCCATCAGAGCCTTCTTGTTGCACACTGAACTCAAGTGCAGCCACAGTTCTAACTAATGGCCAATAGGTGTCACTAGGTCCCCTGGCTGTGCCAGGCTGGAACCAGAGTAGCCAGGAGAGCTGACTGCCCTGTCTCTTTGGGGCCCTGACAGGGAACGGGGCAAAAGGAGGCAGCAGCTGGAGGCCAGTGGCTTGCCAGCAGCAGAGCTGGCATTCGGCACACAGCTGCAGTTCTCAGGGCATGGGCAGCTCCAGATGGCATCACCACAGGGAAAATGTCCCGATGGAGGCGGTTCACAGAAGGCTGGGCCGGGCCAACCTGCATTAGGAGGGCAGAGACTGTGAGAAAGCAAAGGAAGCCAGTCATGAGAAAACAGAAACTGAAGCAGAGAGCAGTACTTGCATCAAGCGAGAGTGTCTGAGCCCACCTTCCCTAGATCCACCACGTGCCAACTTTGTGACTGCAGCAAGCTGCTTAGCCCAGGTGAACTGAGCACCTGGGAGTGGGATAATAACAGTACCCACCCCAAGCATTTCTGAAGACTAAAATATTCATAAACATTTTAGAAACTGCTTCTCAGTTTGGCAATTTCCTATAAAGTTAAGCATACACTTGCTGTACAACCCAGAAATTCCCCCCTAGGTTTTACCCAAATGAAATGAAAACTGAGATTTACAGAAGAACCTATACATGTACATTTTTAGCAGTTTTGTTTATAGTCACCCAAAACTGGAAACAACCCAAATATCCCTTAATAGGGAAATGGATAAACAAATTGGACAAATTCCATACAATGGAATCCTTCTCAGCAATTAAAAAAGAGAACAAACTCCAGAAAAATAAGACAGGTGTTGCAGGACTTTTCATTAGTTCAGCTAAAAATGGGGTTCTTTGTCCCATGGCCATGAAAATTCAGGCTCACAGACAATTTAAATGGTAAGACAGGTTTTTACTGAATTAAAAGGAAGAAAAGGGGCAAACAGGAACTCTTGGAAGGACAGAGTCCCTGCTGGAGCGCTTCCTTCCCAACCTTCAAATCCCAGGTTCCACACAGGAAGAAGAGGGGCCTGACTCCTCCCCACAAAGGGTGTGAACTTCTGTGGCTCCACCCCATTGTGCAGGCTGGTTGGAGTTTTTCCGGGTATCCCCCTCCCACCTGGCTGTCTCATTCCCCTTTCTAAAGAAGTACATCAAACTTTTGTTAGATTAAGCATAAGGATGAAGACCCAGCTTAACTGCTTCCTGCTGACATAGGATGCTGTTTTGGGGAAACAACAGTCCGAGCTCCCTCAAAGGTCTATTTAAGGTTTCCCAGCAGAAGGGGACATTGTCAGAGGCTCCAGCTGCATGACTATTTGGAGTTTGATGGCCTGAAGGCAAGAAGAGACAAACTATGTTATTAGAAAACATGTATCCAAATGAAACAAGGGGAGGGTTAAGGACAGCTCAAAAATTCTGAGGCCTTTTACCAGTTTGCACAGGAAGAGGGAGGCCAAAAGCCCAACTGGTTAAAATACTTTACCCTTTTGCCAGCATGTTGGGCTTCTGGGTTCTCTTCCCCTGAGCCCAATCCTATGGCAGCCATTTTAAGGTTTGGGAAATTAACTCTTTCCAGTTTGTAGGATGCATCTGAAGGGAGTGTCTTGTAGTACAGAGACACAATTACCTATTAGTGAAGAGAGGACAGAGAAGGAGAAAGGAAAAAAAGAGGCACCTGTTAAAGGAGTCCCAGAGGTTCAGGATGCATTCGGAAGGGGTACAGACTGAAGATGAATGGCTACCCATCTAGAAAGAGGGGAGCAGACATCCCTGGTTCACTTCTCTTCCTAGCAGATACCTGGGGCATGTGACGGAGAGAAGGAAGAGCATCCTCCTTCCTCTTCCGTGCTTGCGTCCCTGAGTTCCAGTGACCTTGGAAGGTCCTGCCATGAGTGCAAAAGAGCCTTGCACCCATGAAGCAGGGGGCTCTTAGGGGTGGGGATCATCCACTCTTACCCACGTATGCCCTGTCTCCCCTGCTGTAGGTAGCCTTGGAGTTCCCTAGATCTCATTTATGCTGTGGATATTAATGTGGCCTTTATCCATGAAATAGGAAGCTTGGGGTTGGCTTAATTGGCAGGAATCAGCCACACTCATCTGTGCTCTGCCTTTTGGCCTTGTAGTTGCCTGCCTCTGGATCCCTTAGATCCAGTTCTCTTTCTTAGAACATTGACCCGAAGCCTGGAATTGAGTTTGGGACAAAAATATGTCTCAGGGGCTTGCATGGACTCCTTCTCATAAGCCGAATGTTAAAGTGAGACTCTGGAACTGAGTCCTTCTCCAACAAGGAAGAGAAAAAGATGGCTTGTGACACACCTAGATAACTGGTGGCTATAGTTATCCTTGCTACGATTTGAGTGTAGTGCAGCTTTTTAACTTCCGTTAAAAAAATACTTGATTCAAGTACTGGTCTTTCTTTAGGCCAAATTAATTAGAGCTCTTTTTACAGACATTACACATAATAACACACACAGACAGGCAGAAGAAAACCCAGTCCCTACGAGATTCTTTTTCACAATGAAAAACTTTATGGAGAGTACAAACAGTGATAGTTGTGGGGCTTGGCCTAGTAAAACGTCTTCTAAAAAAAACCCAAAAAACAAAAACAAAAATCTTGCTTAAAACTTAACTGCTGACAGGGTAGAGAAGAGGGTAAAAAAGAGAATAGTTTAAAAATGCCTGGGGAAGAATCTCTTATTCTTAGGCAAGGGGTTCCTCTACCAAGAGAAAAGCTTAATTACTGTCCAATGGAGCTGAACCCCTTGACCAGAGAAGGAGAAGGCTCCAGTGGCTTGTGGTGGAAAATGCCAGCCAGCTGGCTCTGTGAGACCCTTGGGCCATGCATCCCAGCCCTGGCAGGGAGGGGAGAGCAGTGGGGAGCTGCTGCTCACCAGTGGGTCCTGAAAAAGGAAGGAAAATGCTACTAAAAGTCCCAGGAGCTAAGGGGGTTGGGGGCATGGTTTTATCTACTCTCAGGAGTCTGAGGATGAAAAGGCTTAGGAGCAACAGCGAGAGGTTTTGAGTCCCCATTTCATTCACTGCTTCTCTAGCCAAACGTTGGGTGCCAAAAATGTTGCAGAACTTTTCCTTAGTTCAGCTAAAAACAAGGTTCTTTCTCCCACAGCCATGAAAATTCAGGCTTGCAGACAATTTAAATGGTGAGTAAGACAGGGTTGTGGTGGGTGAAAAGGAAGGGGCAAGGAAGAACTCTTGGAAGGTGAGAGTCCCTGCTGGAGCATTTCCCTCCCACTTTTCAAATCCCAGGTTCCACACAGGAAGAGGAGAGGCCCGAGTCCTCCCCACTGCAAAGAGTGCAAATTTCTGTGGCTCCACCCCAGTGTGCAGGCTGGTTAGAGTATTTCTGGGGAGCCCCCTGCCACCTGCCTCTCTCACATGGATGACTCTCAAATGCATTATTCCAAGCAAAAGAAGCTATTCTCAAAAGACTGCAAACTGTGTGATTCCATGTTGATGACACTCTTACAAGACAAAACTATGGGGACAGCAAACATACCAGTGGCTGCCAGAGATCATGGTAGAAAAAGAGGTTCACAACCAAGGGAAATAAGAGAAGGAGTTGTGGTCAGAGATAACTCTGACTTCCTGGTTGTCACTCCTGCCCCCACATGGCGTGTGACTTGTTTCAGCTCCCCAAGGCTTAAGGTGCTATCCTGGGAAGCAGTGGGTTTCTCCTTCCCTGGAATTAACCAAGCAGAGGCTGGAGGAACTCTTAGCAGAGAGGTGACAGAAGTCCTGAAAGCTTTTGCCACTGACAGACAATAAATACATATTTCACCACTGACCCTATGACATGCAATAACTCTAGTCATTTCTTTTCTCTTCTCCCCTCTCCTCCTATCCCCTCCTCCTCTCTGTTTTCTTCTTCTCTATGGGTGGGGCCCAGCAATCTATGGTTCAACGGGCGTTTCAGGTGATCCTGTTGCTTCCTAGAGTTTGAGAGTCACTGCCTTAGGGAAAAGAATAGATGTGCTCCAAATTGCAAACAGGTAGGGAAAGAATTGCACCTTCATGACGATGAAAGAGTCAAAGGTGGCCTTGTACTTAACGTGTCATAATATCTGCAGTTGGAGGCTCAGGAGTTCGATCCACAGAGCAAACTCAATGAGAACACAGGGTCAGCATCCACAAACATCCTCAGAAGGGTGAAGCCTTTCAACTGTGATGCCTTCAGGAAAAATCCACAGAGGCCAGGAAGAAAAGTGATGGCAACAAAAAGTTGTTTCAAGCAAATGGGATAAAATTAGTAAGGTCATGGGTAAAATGCAGTTAAGAGATTATGAGATATTCATCCCAAGTATGATGGTGACCAAAGTCCTATTTACAAAGAGGAGATTTATGGGGATCCTGAGATAAGAAGAACTTGTGTTCAAACAAGATATTTAAAAACAAAAACTCTCATGGTTCTACAGACCTGAGAATGGGGTTAACAAGACAGTTCTCATTAAATGAAGGAGGTAGCCTAATAAATTAAGGGGATCATGAGGCCTCTGGACTCCAGTCTTCCCAGATTTGGGAAAGATCAGATGCATATGGTTTCTGCATTTTGATTCTCAGCCATGATTCGAGGCCTTTCCTTAGAATCAGGTGCCTGGCTTCGTGGTCTCCATGCCATAGGCCCTGGACCTGAGCTGTTTGTGGCAGGTTCTGTTCTCTGGGCATGTTGTACTGGGGGCCCTGACCATCCTCTTCATGTTTGATTTCCTGCTCTTGTGTGACCTGCCTAAACTTGACAGGAGTTTCTTTGTGACACTGCATCCTTTTCCTGAGAGCATGCTGACATTTGGCCCCATTTGGGGAAACTCTGGCAACATGGCAGAGCACAAATGAATGAAATTCCAGGCATTCCATTTGGAGGCAGGGATGGTCCGTCCGGAGACACAGGTGGGTCTAAAATCCTGCAAAGATTGGAAGGGCTTCATGTGGCCTAGGAATGATGACAGATTTGTGGGTCTTAACAGTGACCACCATATGGAGACACATTCCAAGAACAGAAGTTGAGTGTGCAAGGTCTGCAGACAGACGCCCAGCTCTGTCACTTTCTAACTGGGTGTGCCTGGACAACTTATGAAAAGTAGTTTCACATCTTTCTAAAATGGAAATATGAATATATTAATGGTACCTACTGTTATAGGGCCAATAGGTTTCTATGACCGCTGTGCAGTAACAGACCACTTACACTAGGTCAGCAGGGTTTGCAGCAGAGAAAGAGTTTAGTGATCACAGGGCACTGAGTGAGAAGATAGAAGAAGATCCTCAAATCCATCTCCCTGAGAAGTTCTGGGCTGGGGTTTTTAAGGATATCGTGGAGGGTGAGATGCCAGAAAATTGGGGTTGTTGATTGGTTGGGGTAAGGGGGAAGAAATAATCAGCAATTGGAAACTGCATATTTTGGTGAGTCAGCTGCTCCTGGGATCATTCAGACCCACTGAGTCAGTAGTTTAATCAGTATGCAAGACCTGAGGGAATATCTCAAAGGGAAAACATAACATTTCAAGTTGTTATTTATAGAACAGTTGATAGGAACTATAATCTTAAAAGAGGATCTACATGATTCTGAGGCCATAGGCACCAAACAACTGTGGGGAAGCAGTTAGAAAGCAGCAGACCTCATGATTAGTGCTGAAGGTGCTGCAAGCTCGGTTTATTTTCACTTCTACCCTCTTCCTCTCCCTGTCCCCAATCCCAGGATTCAGAAAGACAATTATGAGAGTTCAGAGGTGTTGGTGCCTCTATGATGCTGCAAGCAACATTTTCCAGGATGGCCTTGAGCTTGGGTGGGAAAGCAGGCATGGTAATGGGAATGGGTCAGGCACAGGCTGCTGAGGACAGAGCATTGGAAAGACCATCATGACCTTTAGAATTCTGTAATCAGTGGATTTGACCTTTCATAAATTGCCTGAAGTTCTGTAGCATGTAGCAATTCATAAATTTACAAATACAAAAACATTGCATTGTGTATTCTCTGAGGTTGGTGTATTGTAGATGGCTTAGCTAGTGAGTGAGCCTAGTAGGCTGCCAAGTGATCCTAAAATCATGGCTTAGTGGCTCTCGTGCTGTACATTGTTGAACCACTCTAACTGTTAGAAATGCCTTCCTGAAAACTTTCTCCTTCTAAAAGTCATCATTTGTATCTACATTTTGTTCCTAGTATACAAAGTGTCATTCCCTCCTCCATAAAGTCGCTTCAAATAGCTGAAGAGCTACAGCGTGGAACAGGCCAATATGGGAGACACCAGGGACTGGTAGGCCCTCATTTCAACACCGCATCAGAGGAATCCAGAGGCTTATCTAAGGGAGAACCTGTTTGTCATTGAAATCGTCCACCATTCAATGAAGTTGCAGTTCTTGCTTGAACCACTAGGTGTCACTGACACTATGCGTGGCAGACACTAGTGTGGGGCTGAGAATGAGTCCCCTGTTAAAAGTCAAACATGCCCTTTGAATCCCAATTTTGACTTAAATTGTTTTATTATCACATTACTCAAAGGCATACAAACAAAATCTAGACACCGTATGCTTATCTCAAAACAATAAAATTAAAAGTATAGAAATAGAAACAAAGCAATAACATTCAAGTTAATTTAATGTGCTAGGTAATGTTATTCTACTGGAACTAAATGGGTGATTTGGACTTTTTAACATCACTAATGTGCATTCATATTTTTTTGGTCTACTGGTCATGGACTTAAGTCTATTTACTACCCATATGATGGACCAACATTTGAGTCATTTTAAAAACTTTTACTTAAAAACTAGCTATTTTAAAAATCATCAACCCATCCTTTTCAGGTGCCAATAGATTGAAGAATACAACTCCAACAATTCAATTCAATTATACCCCATTTTACGCAATCCCTTGCTGTACTGATTCATTATAATGCTAATTACCTTTGAAATATTTCAAAAATGTTTCAAATATTTCAATCCCTTGCTGTATTGATTCATTATAATGCTAATTACATTTGAAATATTTCCCTAAAAGAGTTATATGTAAATACAAACTATTGCAGTAGCTAGTAATATTTTCTTTGTGTCCTTCAGTGAATGAGAGCTAGCCAGACCTTGGGGAGCAGAAACTACCAGGTCTGCTCCATCCTTCCTGACACTGCCACCAGGTGCAACTTGGGTCAAGCAGTGCAGCTGCTTCACCCCTGCCCTGTAGGTCTCTGTGGTCTCAAGGCCCCAACACACGTGCCTCCACCAGCTTTGTCATCAGAGGCAACATACCCCAGAACCATCGGCTGCTGACACTGGGTTTCAACTATGAGGCCAAATACGTGGGTTACCCACCCTGCCCTGCCCTGCTCAGCTCAGCTCAGCCATCACAGGTCTGGACCTTCAGGCGCGAACTCTGAAAGGAGTCTTAAGCAGAACAGCATCATATCCTGGGAGCACAACTGGGAAGCTGGGAATCCATGTGTGGGTTCCATCCCTCCCTAGCCTCTGCAAATTAACATATAAGGAGAAGAGTCCCATTAATTCACCCAAGTTACCAGCTCTTTCCCACAGTGGTGCTACACACACCAAGAAATGTGAGGATGTGGCTAGGCATCTGTTAGAAAAATTTCCAAATATTCCATTGTAATTACTGGTCTCTCTAATATCTGCAGTGGGAGCTGATCTGCATTGAGTAAGCATCTCAAGAGTGAAGAATGGCTTGATTCCAAGTGAACTCAAATCTCAGCCTTACAACAGCCAAGATACCCTGCTCTGCCTTTTGTTTCAGGAAACAAACTTTGTAGCTTCTGCAAAGCTCTTCATCCTTACTCAAGAAATTCTCCCAGAAGGGTTTGCAATGAGCATGTTGTTTTCTCTCTCTCTTTCTTTCTTTCTCTCTCTCTCTTTCTTTCTTTCTCTCTCTCTTTCTCTCTTTCTTTTTTTTTTGACAGAGTCTTGTTCTATTTCCCAGGCTGGAGTGCAGTGACATGATCTCAGCTCACTGCAACCTCCGCCTCCTGGGTTCAATTGATTCTTCTGCCTCAGCCTCCTGAGTAGCTGGGATTACAGGTGTGTACCACCATGCCTGGCTAATTTTCTGTTTCTCAGTAGAGATGTTGTTTCACCATGCTGACCAGGCTGGTCTCGAACTCCTGACCTCATGATCCACCCACCTTGGCCTCCCAAAGTATGGGGATTACAGGCGTGAGCCACCACGCCCAGCCGCCTGCTGTTTTCTTTAGGCTCTGCTCCCAGAGATAGTAACACAAATGATACTGGTTACCAAGTTGGTGGGCCTTGCAGAAACTAAAATACACACTCACAGATATGAACATTAATGGGGCACTACCATCACTGGAAAACACTGCATAAGCCCAGGACACTGACCTGAAGTGCAAATGTTTTCAACAAATTCAGAGAAAGACCATAGAAACTAAGCTTTCAGAAGATAGCTACCCACAGTCCAGCCTCTAAACCCACCTGTGTCTACACAGTAGATAAGCAGAGAACATCAACATGTGTCTCTCTCAACTTAAGTTCCAGGGGGAAGATGCAAACAGAAAGGGGAGACATGGTTTGACTCATGATATCATCAGAAAAATGACAGACCAGGCCAGACAGTCCCCCATTCCCATGTAAGAAGAAAAACAGTACATGAATCTAATATGCAGTTGTAGAAAAGTTAAAATTTTTCTCTAAGAAACACAAGGAAACTTTGTTAATATACTTTAAACTGATGAATTGTACTGGATGTAAACTGGACCTCAATAGAAGCCATCAGCCCCTGAATCACACTTGCTCCCTCCTATCTCAGACCTTCTCACACACCACTCCCTCTGCCTGGAATGTCACGTCCATTTCCTCCCAGTTCCCAGCTCTTTCATGCTACATCTGATCTGCAGTGTTTTGCTTCTGAACCATTTATTATTTGTAATTAAAAGTTATGTGTGCCTGTTGCTTTTAACATGTGGTTCTCTCTGCATACATACGCTCCATGAAGGGCTGTTTTCTCATCATCAGATGAGCCCATCTGGGAATGTGGATTGAAACTACCACCTCTTGCCCCATCCTGGAACTGTGAAAAACCGAAGATCTCTCTAAGAAGACTCTGATCAAATCCTTTTCTGGCAGCGGGGGTCAGTCCCCACCAGGGTCTATATTGCCCTTGAGCCTTGAAGACCCCTAGGTTTGAATTATTTTTTTACAGGAAGAAAATGTAAAAATAAAATAAAATACTGAAATATATATATGTATATATATATATATATATTTTTTTTTTTTTGAAATGGAATTTCGTTCTTGTTGCTCATGCTAGAGTGCAATGGCGTGATCTTGGCTGATTAGAACCTTGGCCTCCCGGGTTCAAGCAAGTCTCCTGCCTCAGCCTCCTGAGTAGCTGGGATTACAGGCATGTGCCACAATGCCCGGCTGATTCTGTATTTTTAGTAGAGATGGGGTTTCTCCATGTTGGTCAGGCTGGCCTTGACCTCCCGACCTCAGGAGATCCGCCTGCCTCGGCCTCCCAGAGTGCTGGGATTAAGGGTGTGGGCCACTGCGCCCTGCCTGAAATAGTTTTTAAAACGAAATAAAAAGATAATCCACAGGTGGGAGAAATTATTTGCATTTGTATATGTGATAAGGTATTTTTATCCAGGATATATGAATAACTTTCACAACTGAAGAATAAACAGACAAATAACCTAATTTACAAATAGGCAAATGATCTAATAGGCATTTCCCCAAAGAAGATATACAAATGGCCAATACACACATGAAAAGGTGCTTGACAGCATTAGTCATCAGGAAAATGCAAACCAAAACCTTGAGATACCACTTTACATCCATCAGGATAGCTAGAATCAAAAAGTTCATAACGACAAGTGCTGGCAAAGATGTGGAGGAATTGAAGCCCTCATACATTGATGGCGAAGTGCAGCTGTGTTAGAAGGCAGTCTGTCAGTTTCTCATATGATTGAACATAGAATTTTACCGTATAATCCAGCAGTTCCACTTCTAGGCATATACCCAAGAGAAATGAAAACACATGTTCACACAGAAACTTGCACATGAGTGTTTATAGCAGCATTGTTCATAATAGCCAAATGGTGGAAACAACTCAGTGGATGAATGAATAGATAAGTAAAAAATTGTATATCCATATAATGCGATATTAGAACTGAACTATAACACAACACTGATGAACCTTGAAATCTTGTGCTGAATTAAAGAAGCCAGTCACAAAAGACCACATCTATTTGATTCCACTCCTATGAAAGTCCAGAATAGGAAACTCTATAGCGACAGAAATTAGATTAGGGCTGAGGAAAGATGGGGAATAGGAGAAAATGGGTGGATGGCTGAAGGATACAAACTTTTTTTGAGGTAATAATGTCCTGGCCTGGCACGGTGGCTCGTGCCTGTAATTCCAGCACTTTGGGAGACTGAGGCAGGTGGATCACGAAGTCAGGAGTTTGAGACCAGCCTGACAGACATGCTGAAACCCCATCTCTACTAAAAATAATAATTAAAAGAAGTAGCCGGGCATTGTGGTGTGTGCCTGTAATCCCAGCTACTCAGGAGGCTGAGGCAGGAGAATCACTTGAACTGGGGAGGCGGAGGTTGCAGTGAGCCAAGATCGCACCACTCCACTCCAGCCTGGGCAACAGAGCAAGACTCCATCTCAAAAAAAAAAAAAAAAAAGTTCTAAAATGGACTGTTTTGATGGCTGCACAAACTTGTGAATATATTAAAAAGTATTGAAATGTACACTTTAAATGGGGAAATATATGGTATGTAAATTATGTCCAAGCTAAGTTGTTTTCTTTTTAAACACTGTATTGGAAGTATAGAAAAAATGATACGGGGCCAGACTGATCTGAGTTTGAATTTTTGCTCCAGTATTTACCAGCCTTGGATCTGGATTAAGTCCCTTTGATCCTCTAAACCTTGTTTTCTCATCTATAAAGTGAATACATTGATTATACCCACCACAAAGAGTTATTTTGGGAATTGAGATAATGCATATCAAGTGCTTAGCCTCATTGCCTTGTACATAGTAGGCACTAAATGACTGTTAACTGAATGAAATATTCAGGGAGCACACAGCCAGATGTAAACACGTAGAGCAGATGCCCAGGGCCCCCAGAGATTATTCAGAAGCCTGCAAATAAATTTGTTAGAAGAGCAGATTTTGTCCTTTGGTGAGGACAGCTTTCCAAAGGGATAAAACCTATTTCAAAGCCCTAAGGATAGGGACACCCAGGCCAATCAATTAGTAGTAGACATTTTTTCTGGGTGGGAGTGGGGATGTTCTTTGCATGGTTAGATTCTAATAAATGGGCCCTCCTGCATCTGCCCACCCTACAGGGAATGGGGACAGTGGACTTCCCTCCTTCCCTCTGCACATTCCCTGACCAGAAGGTCCAGGGGAAAGGATGGGCAGAGAGCAGAGTAGTTACATAGGTGTGATGGGCAGAGGCCAGATCTCCCTCCAGGTCATGAGGAGACTCACGGCAGATCTCAGTAGATGGAAGTGTTCAGCCCCGAGGACAGCCATCTCTGCACAGGAGAAATTCTTCCATGTAGGGAGGTTTTGAGGACTTTGGCAACAGCAGCCAACATCATTTGCAGAGTGTAAAGGTCTCTGAAGGTGAGTGGGGGAGAAAACATCCACTCCTTGATGGAGCTGGTGTCGAGTGAGGGTCCTGGCAAGAAAAGGGCTACACTCTCTAACCAAATCCCAGACAGGAGCGAGGGCTTCTGCCTCATTTTTAGCCTTTTCTTATCTCTGATTGGTATTTTGGTTGGTGAGGCTCTTGGGATCATGCCACACACTTAACTCTACCCCAGAGACTGCGACCCTAGGCACACATTTATACAGTTCCCCATGGTTTCCTAATGTTCATTTGAAATAATTGCCTTTTTCATAACCTGTTCTTTCTAGTCCTTTGAAAACAAATACGTAATCTATTCAGCTTATCCATTTGCTTAGGTTTAATGACATTTCTTTCTGATGAGTGAAGAATCTACTGGGGGTGTGGAGGGAAGTGTTATAAATATACACTTTAAAAATTTTCTTTCATTGTAAATGGGTTTCAGTGGTTCATACTTTAAAATGCAGAAATAAGTTGACTAAAAGAATTAGTGTGTATCTATCCTCAGGTGTTTGCTGTCCTCAAGGAGATTTTCTTTTCTTTTTTTTTTTTGAGACAGGTTCTCCCTCTATTGCCGTGACTGGAGTGCAGTGGTGCTATCAGTGCTTCCTGTAGCCTTGACCTCCCTGGCTCAAGCAATCCTCTCACCTCAGCCTACCAAGTAACTAGGACCACAGGTGTGCACCACCTCGCCCAGATAATTTTTAGGTTTTTTTTTTTTTTTTGGTAGAGACGAGGTCTCATTGTGTTGCCTATGCTGGTTTCAAAATCCTGGGCTCAAGCCATCCTCCCACCTCTGCCTCCCAGAGTGTTGGGATTACAGGTGTGGGCCACCAAGCCTGTCTAATAGTTTTACTTTGAAAGAAAAATTGGAAAATACAGAGCCATGACTCTCGCCTGGTGGTAAAGCCAGCACCTTCGGAATGGAGGAAAGATCTCCCAGATGCAGGGTTCAGAATGAAATAGGAGCATTGGCTGAGCATATGCCAGGGACCTCACTGGGCACGCACAGGGCCTCACTTACTCAACGCAGACACTCCCTGAAGTGGGTGCTTGTGCACCATTGTGATGAGCTCATAGGCTCAGGCAAGTTCAGCAATCTGTCCCGGGTCACCCAGATAATAAGTGGAAGATGAGATTCAGACCCAGTTCTGTGCAGTTCTAAAGCCCGGGCTTTCCCAGACCAGCAGACTAAGGCTCGGCCCATCTAGGGAGGGCTCAATACTTGGAAGGCGCTGGTCAGCGCAGAAGCGAGGCTGGTGGGCATGTGTCCTCGGGGCAGGGTCACAGGCATCAGCCCACCAGGGAGGTGTTTCCAGCCGGGGTTACGGGGTCTCGGGGTGTTCCTGAATGTGGGAGTAAAGTCCCTCACCCTGACCATCTCGGAGTCTGTGTCCAGTAATATCCCTTGTTATCTGGAAGATACTCCCCTATTAATAGGGAGTATCTTGGTTTGCTGACTTGGTACCCATCCCCAGACAGGAGTATCTTTTCTATTATAAATGAGTAACTTGCTTTCTGCTTTATGAATCATTGTCCACATAATTTTGTCACCATGAATGTATCACCAGGAGTCTGTTACTACATAGTATAAGAATTTAGAGTTTTTAAACCTAAGATACTGAGGTTAAAACTGTAGACTTTGAGGTTCTCCCCATGAGGGGTAAAGGGTTTAGGGGGAAATTAGGTTCTACATCTGAAAAATAAAGTCGAAAAGATGTGGCCAAGGGAACTACTGAGGGGGTCAGGAACCAGGTAGGTGATGTTTATCAGGATGGGGAGAGGGAGTAAAAGAGGGTCAGGAGCAAGATAAGGGCAACAAATGCTTACCCAGCATTCATCTAATGAGATGACAATTCTTGTCTCCATTTTACACAACAGGAAACTGATGCTTAGAGAAGTTACACAACTTGATTAGGATCAAACAGCTAATATTTGGCAAGGCTGGGACTTGAACCTCATTTTCCGGATGCTAGTGCCCAGTCACTTTCCATAATGCCAAATGGCATCTCAGAATCCCAGCACCTCTTCTCTAAGTGCTTTCCCGGTTTTCCTCAAATCCGGAAACTGTTGGTCTTTTGGGCAATTCTGAGCACAGCCACTAAGTGGCGACATTGCCCGACTATGGCTCAGCCCTGTTTCTCTGGGGAAGAATGGGGGAGGGGAGGCAGTCGGAGTTGCCCTGTTGTGTGTTGTGCTGTGTGTGGGGCTTTCTTCTATCTATTTAGTCCTCCCAGCAACCCTGCAGAGGAGGTATTATCCCATTTTCCAGATGAGGCCATTGAGGATGTGCTGGATGACAGAGCTTAGCGGTAGAAGCAGGGATGGAATCAGTGTCCCGCTGGATCCCAAGTTCTGCCTCCAAGCATGCTGGGCTCCCAAAAATAAAGTCATTTTGTGCCCTCAAATTTTAGTCTGGTGGGGAGGTAGATGGGGGAACTCCCTTCAGCCTGGGCTTGGACGGCCTAGTGAAGAAGGGTGGAGGAGAAGTAACCATGCCTTTCCTTCGGTTACTGGAGGGAAGAATTAAGTTTTAAAGTGGAAGTTAAGTACAGTTAAAATTACTCTGGTGTTGGGACAACTGGATTTCCACATGCAGAAGGGTGAAAATGGACCTTCATCTCACTCCATGTGCAAAAATCAACTCAAAATCAATTAAAGACTTAAATATAAGACCTGAAATTATAAAACTACCAGAAGAAAACAAAAGCAAAAAGAAATAAATAGGCTTACGTTAAACTAAAAGGCTCCGCCCAGCCAAGGAAACAATTAACAGAGTGAAGAAACAATCTATGGAATGGGAGAAAATATTTGCAAACCACGCATCTGATAAGGGATTACTATCCAAAATATATAAGGAGTTCAAACAACCCAACAATAAGAAAACAAAGAATCTGATTAAAAAGTAGGCAAAGGATCCGAATAGACATTTCTCAGAAGACATATGAATGGCCAACGAGTATATGAAAAAATGCTCAAAGTCACTAATCATCAGGGAAATGCAAATCAACACCAGTGAGCTATCACCCGACACCTCTTAGAATGGCTATTATCAAAAAGATGAAAGACAGCAAGTGTTGGTGAGGATGTGGAAGAACAGAACCCAAGTACACTCTTGGTGGGGATGGAAATTAGTACAGTCATTAGGGAAAATAGCATGGAGGGTCCTCAAAAAATTAAAAACAGAACTACCGTATGATCCAGCAATCCTGCTTCTGGGTATATAACCAAAGGAAGTGAAATCAGTATGTTGAAGAGATAGCTGCACTTCCGTGTTTATTACAGCACTATTCCCAATAGCTGAGATACGGAATCAACCTAAGTGTGCATCAAATAATGGACGGATAAAGAAAATGTAGTATCTATACACTGTGGAATACAATTTAGCCATTAGAAAGAAGGAAATTCAATCATTTATGACAACACGGATGAACTTAAAGGACATTACGTTAAGCGAAATAAGCCAGCATGGAAAGAAAAATATCTCATGACCACACTTACATATGAAAGCTAAAAAGTTGAAGTCATAGAAGTAGAAAGTAGAATGGTGATTTCCAGAGGTAAGGGCACAGTGGGAGGAGATGTTGGACGAAGGATACAAAATTTCAGTTAGAGAAGAATAGTAAGTCCAAGAGATCTATTGTAAAACATGGTGACCATGGCTAATAGTAACACACTGTATTCTTGGAAATTTACAAGAAAGTAGATTTTAAGTCTTCTCATCTCTCTCACACACACACACACAAACACACACACACGATAAGTATGTGAGGTAATTAATGTATAAGTTAATTAGTTAGATGTAGCCATCTACAATGTTCACGTATTTAAAAACATGTTGTGTACAAAAATATACATGATTTTGTCAATTAAATAGAAAATAACATTTTAAAAATAGAAAAATAAATACAATTACTCTTGTGAATCCCTTAGAGTTTTTCCTGCTTTAGAAGAGCCTGCATTTTCTTCCTGATGAAACAGTTGGCTGATGTTTAGGGGCCATGCTATGTGAAAAATGTGCCCTTCACATTTAAACATTAGATGCACTCGTGGACAGTGTGTGCTGGAGCCAGCTGGAAACCACTTGTGAGCTGGTTTTGTTCATCTCCTCCCAAATCTATATTCACAGTCATGATGTTGGTAGCTTGAAATCAGCCAAAGTGGGGTATTTACACCACAGAAATTGCCAAGTGCTTGAAACCAGGGCTCTTCGCTCCTTGAGAGCTGGCCTTTAATCAGATACCAGCAAACCATGGGCACCCAGAAAGGTGGGTGGGAACAGAGAGATGGACCAAGGGAACCATGGATTTACAAATTCCAACTCATATTCACGCCAAGGCTTTAGGTATTTGAGCGAAGTTGATTCTAGTGGGGTAGAATTGCTACACAATTTAAACTGTTACTTTTTTCTCTCATTTTTCTTTGCTGAGGGTAAAAAACTGCATTTCAGAAGTTCAACCTGTACCTGAGGTGCCTCCCCAGCAAGCAAGATGGCTGACGCTGGAGTGTGTCTTGGGCCCAGCCCTGAGCTGGAGCCCTGCAGGCTCCTAAGGAGGTGGGCACCACACAGCCAGGGTGGGCTGCGCTGTCAGCTATGGAACAACAGCGCACACCTGACTGCTCAGGGCCGCCTGAAGACAACTAAAGGAGAGGAGCTCTCCTTCATTTTTCCACAGAACACGTAGCTTGGGCCACTTGTGGGCTGAGGTGTCTGTCGGAAGGGGAGGTGCTGGGTGAGGCTGTGCTCTCTGTGAAGCCACCTAGGAGCTCAGTGACAGCAGCAGATGGTGACTGGACAGGAAGGGAAGTCTCCTCCAGTGCCAGGCTCAGGTGTGCTCAGTAAATATGTGCTGCATGACAAGCAGTCCAGGCTGCTGCCTGTAGCTTAGCTGGAAGCTGCTGTCTTGTTCCAGAGCATACATGAGAACCTCAGGGTATTCATGGATAACAGCTAAGAGTGCTGGTAGGGCCCAGAGCACCTAATTCACCTGGGACAGGTCGGGGATGGCTCCCCAGGGCCATGTGAGCTGCATGTGGAAGGGACAGCAGACATTTGACAGGGGATGGCAGGGAAGGCTCTTATGCAGGTGGGAAGGCTGGAGGCTGACAGGGCATCCTTCTGTGGTCCATAAGGGATGGGGCTAACCCCTGTAAATGAGGAGTTGTTTTCCCAATGAACAGCTCCTGCTGGGCTCTCCCTCCCCTCTGTGCCCCATCGAGAGGGGGCTCAAAGGTCTGTGGGCACGTTCTGGGGTTGCAGGTGGGATCTGCAGAGACCACAAACTTCCCTGGTGGGTGGAATAGCTGTGGCTTGAGTCCTTGGTGGGTTTGGAGGTTGGAGTAGGTGATGTGGTCGGTCCTCCTCTGATGGATGAAAGAAACCAAGAACCGAGAGGGAACTCTTGAGATAAAGGAAGTCCTGCAGAAAGGCAGCAGTCTGCTGTGGTTGGGGTGCAAATGTCACCAACACAGTGACGTTGGGCAGAAGCTGGCCCTACCACAGGCCCGAGCCATCTCTCCATCAGTGGAATCTTCCTCCATCAGAGGAATCTCCATACTGTTCTCCATAGTGACTGTACTAATTTACATTTCCACTAACAGTGTACAAGAGATGGATGTCCCAGTTACAGGAATGTAATTATTACACATTGTATGCCTGTATCAAAACATCCCATGTACCTCATAAATAGATACACCTATTATGTACCCATAATAATTAAGAAGAAAAAAATTTAAACAACGAGGGGGGCTTTCCTGAGACTCCACTGCCCACACCAGCTGCCTGAGTTCTCTCCAGACCATACATTCAGGGATTTTTCCTTTTTGTGTTTGAAGAGCCCTCCGTTGTTGGTGTCAGAGGAGGAAATGCCTGGCTTCTGGAAGGTTGGTGTCTGGAGCTGGTGGTGGGTGGGGGTTGACTGTATCATACATGGACCTCCCACAAAGCTCCCTGCCTCAGCCCCACTTCTCACCCAACCCTGCATCCCACCTGGCCTCTCTGAGCTCAGAATCCCTGCGGGTTCCTCTGGGCGGACAGCTTCAATCCCTGCTGGGCCCCTATTTGTGTATTCTAAGTCAGTGATTCTCAAACTTAGCTGTGCATTGAGCACACTGGGCTCCCCTGGGTCCTTAAAGGAAAACTGTTCCCTGGCAGCCACCCCAGAGATTCTGATGTGGTTGGTCCAGAGTCTGGCACTATCTTTCTAAGCCACCTCTTCCATCTCTCTCTGAGATTCCAGGCCTCTCTGGTCTGCTCATTAGCTGCCAACCAGTCTCACCTTCATGTTGTGATTTAGAGACTAAAGCAACATAAATGTACTATATTATTTTTAAGAAGCTTAGGGAATGATGGGAGGCATATGCATGTACTTGGTTCATGAATATCTTGAACAAGAAGTCCAAAGCCTAATTTCAATTGTGATTTACATGCTCAACTTAACTTTACATGTCCATTTACATGTCCAACTTAATCTCCAACTACTCCTTCTCTGCACTCTATAATTTAGCAAATACAAACAAACTCCAAGACCACTCCCTTCCTCCCACCGACACACTTTTTCCCACAATCATAAAGTTACTCATGCTGCTCCTGTGATAACGTCTAAGCACTGAGACCAGCTATGGCTGAGTTTGGATCAGCACTCAGGGATTCCAGGGCCCCGGTCAGCCTCTGCCTCTTCTTAACCTCTGCTCTAAGAGGGCTATCACAGGTTTTTTTTTTTTTTAATTTTAGTTTAAGTTACTGGATCCATGTGCAGAACGTGCAGGTTTGTTACATAAGTATACATGTGCCATGGTGGTTTGCGGCACCTATCAACCCGTCCTTAAGGTTTTAAGCCCAGCATGCATTAGCTATTTGTCCTGATGCTCCCCCTCCCCTCACCCCACACCCCCCAACAAGCCCTGGTGTGTGTCGTTCCCCTCCCTGTGTCCATGTGTTTTCATTGTTCAACTCCCCACTCATAAGTGAGAATGTGCATTGTTTGGTTTTCTGTTCCTGGGCTCTCACAGTTCTGAGCACCATATTCTCAGCCACATTCAGAGGCAGAAACCAGTGGGGAGGGTGGGGCCAAATTTCCTCCTCACCCTATCTATGGTTTGAATTGTCCCACAAATGTCATGTGCTGAAACTTAATCTCCAATGTGGCAGTATTGAAAGGTGAAAACTTTCAATAGGTTGGGTTGGGTCATGAGAGCAGAGCCCTCATGAATAGGTTAATGGGTGTCAGTAGGTGGTCAGTAGGAGGCAGAGCCCTCATGAATAGGCTAATGGGTGTTAGTATGTGGTTTGGTCATGAGTTCAGAGTCCTCATGAATGGGTTAATGGGTGTTAAAGTAAGTTTCGCTTAAAACTGCCTCCTTACATATTTTAGGTTCATCCTAAAGGTTTCTCCACACATAGTGAAATGTGACCTAGCTGGATGTTTAAACAAACTATAATCTACTCTTGTATCAATCACAGAGTTTCAGCCCATCACAGACGTCAACTCCTCAAACTGTGTTCATACAAGTAGGCATTAACCTGTTTGTTTGAATAGGATAGGTTATAGCTTAGCCAGTGAAGCTGTTTCTGTACCTCACTTCCACTCTCTGTCTGTTGCTTTCCTTTTTTTGGTCCATAAATCTTATCTGACCATCTGGCAGCCCAGGAGTTGCTCTGAACTTATTCTGGTTCTGGAGGCTACCTAATTCTCAATGGTTCTTTGCTCAGTTAAATTCTGTTAAATGTAATTTGTCTAAAGTTTTTCTTTTATGATGGGTTAATGGATTAATGGATGATCATGGGAGTGGAACTGATGGCTTTACGAGAGGAAGAGAGACCTGAGCAAGTACACTAGTACACTCACACTCAGGCCCCTTAGACTAAGGCTCCCCTTCCTCCCTAGCGTTTCTGAAGCCCCAGCACCCTCCCAGCTTCATAACTGAAAGTCCTTCCTGCCTTTACCCTCATAGAAAGTCTTTTGCCAGGTGATGCTGCTGCAGCAAGAATCGCCATGTGATGGCCTGCGCCACCTCAGGATATGATACAGAATCCCCACCAGCAAGAAGGCTCTCACCTGATGTGCCCCCTTGACCTTGGACTTTCAAGCCCCCATAACTGTAAGATAATAAATTTTTCTTCTCTATAAATTACCGAGTTTCAGGTATTCTGTTAAGAGCAACATCCTGACAAGACGAAGGAGGGTGTCTTAGTCCATTTTCTGTTGCTTTTAACACTATCGACTGATGAGGGAGATCAAATATATGGGTAACTAGTGTCCCCAAAAAGGAGATCAAAGGTATGGAGAGGAGAAAATACAGTAATCAATGCCATCAATTTCTTCCCCCGAAGCCATTCCCCTTCTTACTGAGAGAACCCTTACGGTTCAGATGTCAAGAAGAGATGGTATCAGGGAGGAGGTGGGCATGTGACACTAGTCTGGCCAACCATATGTAAGAAAAAGTTTGGCCCGGCGTGGTGCCTCATGCCTGTAATCCCAGCACTTTGGGAGGCCGAGGCGGGTGGACTGACTGAGCTCAGGAGTTGGAGACCAGCCTGGGCAACGTGGCAAAACCCCGTCTCTACTAAAATACAAAAATTAGGTGGGCATGGCGGTATGTGCCTGTAATTCCAGCTGCTCGGGAGGATGAGCCAGGAGAATTGCTAGAACCTGGGAGGTGGAGGTTGCAGTGAGCCAAGATCGTACCACTGCACTCCAGCCTGGGCAACAGAGCAAGACTCCATCTCTAAAAACAACAACAACAAAAAAACAAAAAAGAGAAGAATAAGTTTACTCAGGACTGCTTTGAGCACTTGCAAATGCCAGCACCACTCTAAGTGCTGTCAGTGTATTAACTAATAGTCTTGTTCAACAACTCTATGCGGGAAAGCATTCTAGTTACTCCCATTTTCATGGATAAAGGCACAGGGAGGCTAAGTCCCTGTTCAAGACCCTGCACAGCCAGAAAGTAGAGTTAGGATTGTAACACAGACAGCTTGGCCCCAAAGCCAAATTTCTTATCCATTAAGCTGTAAGGCTCACATCAATTTGCCCAAAGGTCAACTCATCTAAAACCAATTTGCTGAAAGACAGTTTACTAGAGAGTCCATTTCATGAGTGAGCAAATCACTGAATGACCAATTTGCTGAATTGGCTAAATTCATAAAATATGTATTTCTATCCGTTTTTTATAAAGCTTGGAATGATTTGAATCAGATAGGTTATAAGGCCTTTAGGAAGAAAAGGTTCTGGCTTCAGATTTCTTCCCTGGAAGTCGTCTGCCTCTCCTCCCCCTGTCAGTCTCCATCTCTCTCTGTCCCTTAATCCCCCACTTTCAGGAATCAGCAACTCTAGATTCTTAGGAACTGACTTGTCTTTCTATCTCTTAGCAGGGAATTGGGTAGAGAAGAATTAAACATTGGCACTCTTAAGAAGAAATGATGAAAACTTGTTAACTAAAATGACCAGAAATGTTTAAAAGCTGTTTAAACCATCCTATACAATATGCTTTAAGCCTTATTCATAGTTAAAAGAAAGAAGATTCTGAAAAATGGATGGCTTTGATAATATTGATGACTTGATCGTTCACTGAATTGGCACCTGGCAAATTGGCTCACTTCTGCCCCATAGTGCCTCTAAAACAGGCGTGTCAAACCCAAAAGTCCTTGCTCCATAGCTGTCAGGGATATATCTGACTTTCAAGCAGAGGTATGGGATTCTATTTTTGTGGTAACCACTTGCAATTGTTCATTAGCAATACTGCAGTAAATGCTCATTATGGTAGCAAACACCCAGGGTATAAGTTTTTTGTTCTGTGATTCTAATAATAACTGGATAATATGCATTGAGTGGAAATTTCAATTATGCTGAAATGTTAATTTTTTTCAGGTGAAGAAAACAATTTCACAGATCTATTAGTTGTTACCTGGAAACCTTTTGATTAAGAATAAGGTTAACTATCTTGAACTAGTAAACAAAGACTTTAAATTAATCAAGTATTGTACAATAAATGTATATGAATTACCATTCTTTGTATTAAAGGTTTTTTTAAAGGTTACAGAACCTGATACGAAGCCTGTTTTCCTCTCAATCCCAACATCAGTTATTTAGTTTCAGCAAAACAAAAACACCCATCACATTAGCTTACATTTGTAGGTTTGAATATTAGTTTAATAACCATTGTTTCTTTGTTTTACTGTTTTTATTTATATTATATACATTTTTCATTTATAATATAAAAGCTATAAGCACAAGACATTTATACATAGTTTTATGTTTGTATGTCTTTAAGTAACATCATAATAAAAATAATTTAAATAAACAGTAATAAAACTTTTTTAAAAGAACATTTTTTACTTAAAAATATTTTATTAAATTATTAAAAGAAGTAAAGATAAAATACATCCTCAGTAAACAAATCCTTAATAAGCATAACACAAACACCAAACTGACAAAGTAAAGCATACAAACTACAGGAGAATGTCATTTATGAATAATGATGCAAAAATCACAAATAAAAATATTATCCAACAATAGCACATTAGAAGAATAATACATCAACTGAGGTTTATCCCAATAATGCAGGAAAGGTTTGAAGGAAAGGAAAGGAAAGGAAATCTATTAATGTATTACTAATAAATAAAAAAATGCAAAACTATATGGTATATTCACAGATGCAGAAAGGGAGATGTTAATACTTGACATTTTATTTTTGATAAAGCTTTTCACAAAATAAAATGGATATATACTTTTTTTTTTTTTAATTTATTTTAAGTTCCAGGGCACATGTGCAGGATGTACAGGTTAGTTACGTAGGTGAACGTGTGCTATGGTGGTTTGCTGCACCTAACATCTCATCACCTAGGTATTAAGCCCTATATGCATTAGCTATTTTTCCTAATGCTCTTCCTCCCTGCATCCCCCCCCCGATAGGCCCCAGTGTGTGTTGTTCCCCTCTCTGTGTCCATGTGTTCTCATTGTTCAGCTCCCACTTATAAGTGAGAACATGCAGTGTTTGGTTTTCGGTTTCTGTGTTAGTTTGCTGAGGATAATGGCTTCCAGCTCCTTCCATGTCCCTGCAAAGGACAAGATCTCATTCCTTTTTATGACACATAGTATTCCATGGTGGATATGTAACACATTTTCTTTATCCAGTCTATCATTGATGGGCATTTGAGTTGATTCCATGTCCTTCTATTGTGAATAGTGTTGCAATGAACATACACGTGAATGTATCTTTGTGATAGAATGATTTATATTCCTTTGGGTATATACCCAGTAATGGGATTGCTGGGTAAAATAGTATATTTCTGGTTCTAGATCTTTGAGAAATTATCACACCATCTTCCACAATGGTTGAACTAATATACATTCCTACCATCTGTGTAAAAGCCTTCCTATTTCTCTGTGACCTCACCAGCCTCTGTTGTTTCTTGAGTTTTTAATAATTGCCATTCTGACTGGCGTGAGATGGTATCTCACTGTGGTTTTGATTTGCATTTCTCTAATGGTAAGTATCATTGAGCTTTTTTTTTTCATTTGTTTGTTGGCTGCATAAATGTCTTCTTTTGAGAAATGTCTGTTCATGTATTTTGTCCACTTTTTAATGGGGTTTTTTTTTCTTGCAAATTTGTTTAAGTTCCTTGTAGATTCTGAATATTAGCCCTTTGTCAGATGGATAGATTGCAAAAATTTTCTCCCACTCTGTAGGTTGCCTGTTCACTCTGATGATAGTTTCTTTTGTTGTGCAGAAGCCCTTTAGTTTAATTAGATCCCATTTGTCAATTTTTGCTTTTGTTGCAATTGCTTTTGGTGATTTTGTCATAAAATCTTTGCCAATGCCTGTGTTCTGAATGGTATTGCCTAGATTTTCTTCTAGAGTTTTTATACTTTTGGGTTTTATACTTAAGTCTTTAATCCATCTTGAGTTAATTTTTGTATAAGGTGTAAGGAAGGGGTCCAGTTTCAATTTTCTGCAAACTGCTAGCCAGTTCTCCCAGCACCATTTATTAAATACTAAATCCTTTCCCTATTGCTTGTTTTTGTCAGGTTTGTCAAAAACCAGATGGTTGTAGATGTATGGATTTATTTCTGAGTTGTCTATTCTGTTCCATTGGTCTATGTGTCTGTTTTTGTACCAGTACCATGCTATTTTGGTTATTGTAGCCTTGTAGTATAGTTTGAAGTGTGGTAGCATGATGCCCCAGCTTTGTTTCTTTTGCTTAGGATTGTCTCAGCTATATGAGCTCTTTTTTTGTTTCATATAAATTTTAAAAGTATTTGTTCTAAATCTGTGAAGAATATGGATGGTATTTTAATGGGAATAGCATTGAATCTATAAATTACTTTGGGCAGTATGGCCATTTTCATGATATTGATTCTTCCTATCCATGAGCATGGAGTGATTTTCCATTTGTTTGTGTCAGCTCTGATTTCATGTCATGACTATCCCTATCAGTTATACACTTGATCTTTTAACATAATCCCATAGTTCTTGGAGGTTTTGTTCATTCCTTTTTATTCTTTTTTCTCTAATTTTGTCTGCTTGTCTTGTGTCAGCAATAGTCTTCAAGCTCTGATATCCTTTCTTCCACTTGGTCTATTCAGGTATTGGTACTTGTGTTTACATTATGAAGTTTTTGTGTTGTGTTTTTCAGCTCAATGAAGTTATTTATGTTCCTCTCTAAATTGGCTACTCTGGTTAACAGCACCTGTAGTGTTTTATACTGGTTCTTTATTTCTTTGCTCTGCAAAGTTTGTTATTACCCATTTTCTGAAACCTACTTCTGTCAATTCATCCATCTCAGCTGCAGCCCAGTCCTGTGTTCTTGCTGGAGACATGTTGTGATCATCTGCAGAAGAAGAGGCACTCTGGCTTTTTGAGTTTTCAGCCTTATTCCATTGATTCTTTCTCATCTTCATGGGTTTATTTACCTTTGATCTTTGAGGCTGCTGACCTTTGGATGGGGTTTTTGTGGAGTCTTTTTCATTGATGTTGTTGTTGCTGTTGCATTCTGTTTGTTTTTCCTTTAGCAGTCAGGCTCCTCTTTCATAGGGCTGCTGTGATTTGTTGGGGGTCCACTCCAGACCCTATTAATTTGGGTTCCTCCCACCCCTGGAAGTATCACCAAAAGAGGCTGCAGACCAGCAAAGATGGCAGCCTGTTCCTTCCTCTGGGGGCTCTGTCAGAGAGGGGCACAGACCTGATGCTGGCTGGAATGCTCCTGTATGAGGTGTCTGGAGACTCCTGTTGGGAGGTCTCACCCAGTCAGGAGGAGTGGGATCAGGGACCACTTAAATAAGCAGTCTGGCTGCCCCTTGGCAGAGTGGGTGTGTGCGCTGGGGGAAACCCCCCGTGTCTGGGCTGCCGTGACTCTCCAGAGCCAGCAGGCAGAAAAGACTTAGACTGCTGATCCACAATATTGCAGCCCCCGCTTTTAGTGGCTCCTCTCAGAGAGATCGGAGTTCTGTCTATAAACCCCTGGCTGGGTATGCTGAAATTCCCACAGTGAGGCTCTTCCCTGTGAGGAAGTGTGGATCAGGGTCCTGCTTAAAGAAACAGCCTGGCCACCATCTGACCCAGCCGCTGTGCTGCGCTGTGAGGAATTGCTCCCGGTCCAAACCACCCAGTCTCACTGGCAAGTTGCAGGGGAAAATGGCCTACTGGAGCTGCAGTGGTGGTGGCCACCCCTTCCTTTTGGGAACTCAGTCTTCTTAGGCAGTCTTCAGACTGCTGCCCTGGCCAGTAGGGGTTCCAAGCCCGTAGGTTGTGGTTTGAGGGGTCCCATGGGAGTGAGGCTGCTTGGCTACCTAACATTAGCCCCATTCCAATGGGAGTGAATGGATCTCCTGCCTCACCAGAGTTCCCAGAGCTGAAGTACACAAACACTCCTGTGTCTCAGTGCTGGCTTGAGTGACCACCCACCTGAGCAGCCACTGTGAATCTGCACAGCTCTGTGCTTGGGACCCAAGGCCCTAGTGGAGTGGGCACATAAGGGGACCTCTTGATGTCCTTGCAAGGATCTATGGGAAAAGCATGGTTTTCAGGGAGGTGTAGTACAATCCCTCACCACTTCTCTTGGCTGCGGAAGGGAGCTCCCTTTTCCCCGTGCAGCTCCCAGGTTGGCCGTCGCTCCACCCTGAGTTTCCTCACTCTTCATAGTCACATCAACTGCTTAGTCATTCCCAATGAAAGAACCTTGGGACCTCTACTGAAGATGCAGAATTCACTCACCATTTTCATCATTCTCAGTGGGATCCGCAGAGCAGAGCTGTTGCTATTTGGCCATTTTGGCTGGTTCCATGGTCCTATTTTTTCCTAATCAACGTGATTCCTTTTAACACAATAAAATTAAGAAGGCTGAAAATTCAACCTACTTTGAAATCCAACAACCCACAGGACCATAATATCTAATTTTTGACTATAGAAAATAAGAAATTATTTTATGATGAGCATAGAAAATCCCTGGTTTTAAAAACATTTCTTAAACTGAAAATTTTTAAACTTGAACTTGTCTTCAGCAGAATTAGAAGGATCCAGGCTACCCTATATATCTCATATTCACTATGCCTTCTCCCCATAATTTTTAATCACAGTAACCACTTCAATCTGTCAGCATCTTATCTTTAACAGGCATTTTGTTCCAGGTGACAATAGGTGATAGTTTAAGTAAATGTTTACAACTGAGTGCTATATACTATCACTGTGACATAATACAATAGTAATATTTGTAACTGCCTCAGATTCCTTTTATTATACAATATGACTTTTAAATCAATTAAATTAAAATATAAAATTCTTCTAATCCACCCAGGTCAGATAGAGAATTTCATTTGCATTTTCCTTTACAGTCTATTGCCAGCAACTAATTTTATATCACTTTGCATTAGTGAAAGTTTTCTGTTAGGACAACCGCATTGTAGCTACTCTACAAACAAAAAGGTGTACTAAAGGATATATTTTATGATTTTTTGTTGCAGAAAACTAGCCTGTTACATGGCAAGAATGATGCCATCTTGAAGCAAAACCATTAGGATGATTGATGTTTGACTCCTGCATCTGCAGCAAGGTCTTTGCACACTCTCCAAAGCAGAAACAACCCCTCATAAATAAACAATGTCTAGAGCATAAATAACCCTTCATGAAGATGTCTATCTTACCAAAAAGCTTGGTATAGAAAGTACCTTACTGGAAAGCGGGTGCAGGAATCCACCATCTTGCAGCTGCCTGAGATATCACTTCTGTTTGTAACTCCCTATTAAATGATTTGTTGTTGTTGTTTTAGAAACCGGATTTGTCAGCCTCTTTCTTCAACCTCTCAGCTCCCTGGGCCTTTGGGGGTAGGTTTGCCATAACTGCTCATCACAGAACATTTGGTAGCCAAAGATCCCAGAAATGCCTTCCAGAGCCACACTGCAGAATTGGGCTGTGGAGAGAGCTGCTGCCTGTGCCAAAGACAGGAAACTGCAAGGTCAGCAGCCGCTGGTCGTGATCATGCCATTACTGCCTGCATTCCATGACCAAAAAGACATATCCTGCACCTTGCCTCAACCCCCATGTTACTCAGTTTCAGTGAAAGTCCCGGGTATGGGAAATGACTCAGTTGAAATACATCTGGAAAATGTAGTTTTGAGCTGTTTATCCTCTGCCGTACTGGAAGGCATCTGGTATGGTTTGAGTCTGCGTCCTCGCCAAAATCTCCTGTCAAATTGTAATCTTGCATGTTGGTGGGGGGGGTCTGTTGGGAGGCAATTGGATTCTGGGGGCAGATTTTCCTTTTAGTGCTGTTCTGGGTATTGTGAGTGAGTTATTGTGAGATCTGGTTTTTAAAATGTGTGTAGCACCTCCCCACCCTCCCTCTTCCTTTGCTCTGGCCATGTATGGTGTGCCTGCTTCCCCTTCGCCTTCTGTGTTGATTGTAAGTTTCCTGAGGTCTTCACATCCATGCTTCCTGTAGAGCCTGTGAAACCGTGAGCTAATTAAACCTCTTCACCGTATTAATTACCCAGTCTCAGGTATTTCTTTGTAGCAGTATGAGAATGGACTAATACAGCATCCTAGGTCAGGATTGTAATGGGTGTTGCATGAGCCCTTTCAGGACATTTGCCAATTTGTCCTCAGAAATACACTTGAGCTTGATTTCACCCCTCTCTGGAGTTTTACAGAATGATGTCCACCATCCTTCTGTAAATGTCCATCTTTACTGTCTCATTGTCATCCACTTCCTTTCCCTCCCTTGCTAACCATTCCCACCTGCACCCACACCTACTGTCTTGGCTGTGTTCTGCCCTGGTTTTCAGGAAAAAACCCAGTGGATTCAAGATGGTGCTCAGTCATTGACTTCACTGCAAATCTGGGTCTATCTCAGGGAGGCATCGGATCTTGTTGGCCACACACAGGCTTCCCCTCTTAGCCATCACTTTCATATTTGCCTCCTTCCACAACCTGAGTTCTGCCTGACATAGGACCACTCTTCTGTCTGTGATGTCCTCTGGGCTTGGTGATCTAGTCCACTTTCCTCTAATTAGTTCTCTGAGGGAGCAGCCTGGCCAGACTTTCAGCTCCTGCAGCCTCCCCCTTGGAACTCTGTTGAGTGAGTTTATTAGTCTGTCTTCACACTGCTATGAAGAAATACCCGAGACTGGGTAATTTATAAAGGCAATAGGTTTAATTGACTTACAGCTCCACATTGCTGAAGAGGCCTCAGTAAACTTATAATCACAGCAGAAATCAAAGGAGAAGCAGGCACCTTCTTTACAGGGTGGTAGGATGGAGTGAGTGCAAGCAGGGGAAATGCCAGATGCTTATAAAACCATCAGATCTCATGAGACTCATTACTATTACAAGAAAAACATGGAGGAAACTGCCTCTATGATTCAATTACCTCCACCTGGTCCTACCCTTGACACACAGGGATTACGGGGATTACAATTCAAGATAGATTTTGAGTAGGGACACAGAGCAAAACTATATCAGTGAGACTTTCCTACCTCACTACCTCAGTGTGCACAGGAGGACCAGAGATGGAGGGAAAAAGAACTGAAAAAGTGATAACAAAAAGTATGTATTTCGGTAATTTTTCTTAAGCCTGAGTAAACCAGTTGAAACTACTCCAACCTTTTCCATGAAGTAAAGCACACATTTATTACCAGATAGTATACATGATAATTGCTTCTGCATCTATTCCCTACGGGAGAAGAATAATCCGTCGTTTTTTGTGCCAAGTCCATATAATACAGAAAGGAAACATGGCACATTGCAATATAGTGTGATGAGAGGGAGTGGAGAACATTTAAAAAGCACCTCCCATGGACTGGGGTCTTTCTCTCTCTTTAACTGTAATATATTTGTTTTCTATATCTGGGGTGCTCTTGTGTTGGGTGTATACGTACTTACAATTGTTGTGTGCTGTTTTTTGAATTGATTCCTTTATCATTATATAATGACCCTCTTCGTCTTTTGTTTTGTTTTGTTTTGTTTTTGACACAGAGTCTCTCTCTGTGTTCCAGGCTAGAGTGCAGTCACAGCATCTCAGCTCATTGAAACCTCTACCTCCTGGGTTCAATCACTTCTCATGCCTCATCCTTCAGAGTATCTGGAATTATAGGCATGTGCCACCACTCCTGGCTAATTTTTATATTTTTAATAGAGATGGGGTTTTTCCATGTTGGCCAGGTTGGTCTCCAACTCCTGGCCTCAAGTTATCTGTCTGCCTTGGCCTCCTAAACTGCTGGAATTACAGGTGTGAGCTACCACAGCACTTGGCCCATCTCTTTATTTTCAGTCTATGTGTCTTTACAGCTGAAGCATTTTTCTTGTAGGCAACAGATCATTGGGTCTTTTTTTTTTTTAATACCCATTCAGCCACTCTATGTCTTTTGATTGGAGAGTTTAGTTCATTTACATTCAATGCCATTATTTGGTAAGTAAGGGCTTACTGCTGCCTTTTTGTTATTTGTTTTCTGGTCTTCTTGTTCTTGTTTTCTCCTTTCTCTCCTTCTTTTAGTAAAAGTGATCTTCTCTAGCAGTATATTTTTGTTTCTGGCTTTTTTTTGTGTGTAGCCATTTTATGTTTTTAGATTTAAGGTACTATGAGGTACTAAATAATATTTTATAGCCCATTATTTTAAACCAATAACACTAATTGCATAAACAAAAAAACAAGCAAAAAGAAAACTAAGAAAACTCTGTATTTTAACTTCATCTCCTTGCTTTTTAACTTTTTGTTGTTTCTATTTATATCTTATTGTAATGTCTATGTCTTGAAATGTTATAGTTATTATTTTTGATCAGTTCATCTTTTTGTCTTTTAACTTAAGATATGAGTAGTTTACATACCACAATTACAGCATTATAATATTCTGTGTTTTTCTAGGAACTTACTACCATGCATGAGTTTTGTACCTGTAGATGATTTCTCATTGCTCACTAATGTCCTTTTCTTTCAGATTGAAGAATTCCCTTTAGCATTTCTTGTAAGACTGGTCTGGTGTTGGTGAAATCCTTCAGCTTTTGTTCCTCTGGGAAAATCATTATATCTTCTTCATGTTTGAAGAAGTTCTTTTTGAAGGACTTCTTTTTTTGTGTGTAAAATCTGCTTGGTGTTCTTTAACTTTCTTGTACTTGAATATTGATACCTTTTTCTAGGTTTCAGAAATTCTCTGTTATTATCCCTTTGAAAATATTTTCTACCCCTATCTCTGTCTCTACCTACTCTTTAAGGCCAATAACTCCTAGATTTGCCCTTTTGAGGCTGTTTTCTAGATCTTTTAGGCATGCTTCATTCTTTTTTATTCTTTTTTCTTTTGTCTCCTCTGACTGCGTGTTTTTAAATAGCCTACCATTGAGCTCACTACTTCCTACTTCTTTCTTTTGTTTAATCGATTCTGCTATTAAGAGTCTTTGATGCATTCTTCAGTATGCCAATTGCATTTTTCAACTCTAGAATTTATACTTGATTCTTTATAATTATTTCAATTTCTTTGTTAAATTTATCCATAGGAATCTAAATTCCCTCTGTGTTATCTTGAGTTTCTTTCAGTTTCCTCAAAAGAACTATTTTTGAATTCTCTGTCAGGTCACATATCTGCCTCTCTGGGATTTGCCCTTGGTGCATTATTTAGTTCATTTGGTGAGGTCATGTTTTCCTGAATGGTCTTGATGCTTGTGGATGTTCATCAGTGTTTGGGCATTGTAGAGTTAGGTATTTATTGTGGTCTTCACAGTCTGGGCTTGTTTATACCCATTCTTCTTGGGAAGGATTTTAAGGTATTCAAGAAGACATGGGTGTTGCGATCTAAATTTTTGGTTACTGCAACTTTATCTACATTAGGGGACACCCCAAGCTTAGTAACCCTGTAGTTTGTAAAAGTACTGCCTTAGTGATATTGGATAACATCTGGAAGAATTCTCTGCATTACCAGGCAGATACTCTTGCCACCACGCCTGGCTAATTTTCACTTTTTTTGTTTGTTTGTTTGTTTGTTAGTTTCTTTGTTTTTTGTAGAGACGAGGTTTTGCCCTGTTTCCCAGGCTGGTCTCAAACTTCTGGGCTCAAGCAATTCTCCCACCTTGACCTCCCAAAGTTTTGGGATTACAGGCATGAGCCACCACACCTGGCCCTGAGCTTGTATTGGATGAGAAGTGACCAGGATGTTGGTAGATAGATGACGGTAATGAAGAGGTGTAGAGTGTGATAATAGTCAGATATACCCTCAAAGGACTGGGTATTGGACATTTTATGGAGAAATTGTGACCTGGATACAAGAGAGAAGTAAAGAAGGCTTGAACACCTGTCTATCCTAAAATATGTGAGTGTGATTAAATGACTGCCAACCTCTAGAGTGGTTCAGGGGAGGCAGAGTGAGAGACAGGTTGCAGTTAAGATTAACTTTTATGATATTTACAAATAAACCATTCTATTCTTATGAATTACGTATATTTTTCCTTCAATTACATTTCTATTTGGTTGTAAGTAATGTATTATACTTTTTGATATATTGTTCTTAAATTCAGCACACTTAATTAAATCCTTCTATATAAATGTTATATACTACAATACTATTAATGCTTATATTAAGTTGGAATTAATACAATCTAGATGTTTATAAATTAATATGTCAAATGAATCATCATGAGAACCTTGTAGAAAACAACTACAAAATATAGAAAAAGAAGACAAGGAGATTAAAATGATAACATGGAAAATAATTATTCAACACAAAGAAGGTAGAAAGGGAGGAATAAAGAAACAAAAGATACATAAGATATACAGACAACAGGAAAATGGTGGACGTAAATCTTATCAATAGTAACATAAAAGGTAAATGAATTAAACATTCCAATAAAGGTCAATAGGTTGTTAGAATAGATAAAATAAAAAGATCTATTTATATGATGGCTACTGAGATACAGATAGATGGAAATAAGAGGATGGAAAAGATATGCCATAAAGCAATAATCAAGAGAGCTGGAGTGGCTTTAATAGCATTATGCAAAAAAGAATGTGATAAAAATGGTTATTAGAGACAAAGAAGTATATTTTATAATAATAACAGGATCAGGCCGGATGTGGTGGCTCATGCCTGTAATCCCAGCACTTTGGGAGGCTGAGGCAGGCAGATCATGAGGTCAGAAGTTAGAGACCAGCCTGGCCAACAGAGTGAAACCCCGTCTCTACTAAAAATACAAAAAGTAGCTGGGCATGGTGGCGTGTGCCTGTAATCCCAGCTACTTGGGAGGCTAAGGCAGGAGAATTGCTTGAACCCAGGAGGTGGAGGTTACAGTGAGCTGAGATGGTGTCACTGCACTCCAGCTTGGACAACAGAGTGAAACTTCATCTCTAAAATAATAATAATAATAATAATAATAATAATAATGATAGGATCAATCCATTAAGAAGATATAAAAATTATAGACATATATGCATGTAACGACAGAGCCCTAAAGTATGAAGCAAAAATGGACATAATTGAAAGTACAAATAGGCAATTCAACAATATTAGTTGGAGACTTTAATATTATAATTTTAATAATAGAAAATCTAGACAGTTGTTCATCAAGTAAATAGAAGACAATAGAATACCAAAAACCAATTAGATCTAACACCCATCTATTGAACTTCTTCTAACTATTGAGCAGATTACAAATTCTTCTCAAGTGTTTATGACATATACTGTGGAAAAGACAATATATTAGGTCATAAAACAAGCTTCAATTAACTTAATAAGCATGAAGTTACACAGAGTATGCTTTCCAAAGCCAACAGAATGAAATTAGAAATCAACAGCAGCAGGAAATTTGGAAAAATCACAAATCTGGGAAATATAAAAATGCACTCTTTAGCAACCAAAGTGTCAAAGATTACATCACAATGGAATTAGAAAATAGTTTAAGATAAAAAATCCTAAAAACACAACATACCAAAACTTAATGTGATGTGTTGAAAGCATTAAATAGAGGCAAATTTATAGCTATAAATGCCTATATTAAAATAGAAAGATCTTTTTTCATTTCTTTGAAGTTTAACTTATCTGTTTTTTTCTTTAATTATTTGTGTTTTAGGTGTCTTACTTCAGAGACCATTGTCTAATAAATGAATATTTTTACCTACCTTGAAGAGGTAGCTCTTAGTTTTAGCTCTTATAACTAAGTCTTTAATGCATTTTGAGTTAATTTTTGATAATGGTCTGAGCCAAAAGCTTAACTTCATTCTTTCACATGTATATATTCAGGTTTCTCAGCACCATTCTTTGACAACACTATTCAACACTATTCTTTTCTCCATTAAATTGTCTTAGCATCCTTGTTGAGAATTAATTGATTATTGATGTGTGGGTGTATTACCAAACTTTCCATTTTATTCCAGGTATCTATCATTATGCCAGTACTACGTTGTCTTCATTACTTCAGTGTTGTAGTAAGTTTTGAATCTGTGAAGGGTGAGTCATCCGTATTTGTTTCTATTTTTCAAAATTTTTGGGTATTCCTTGACACTACCATAGTAATTTCAGGACTCGTTTGTCAATTCCTGCAAAAAATCCAGCTGGACTTTGGTAGGGATTGCAATGAGTTTGTCGATGAGTTTGGGAAATATTGCCATTTTAACATTATTAAATCTTGTCATTCATAAGCATAGCATGTTTTTCCATTTATTTAAGTGTTCTTTAATTTATTTTAACAATATTCTGCATTTTTGGGTTCACTTTTCTTGCATTTCTCTTGTTAATTTATTCCTAAGCACTTTTTCTTTTTGATTCTATTGTAATGAATTTGTTTCTTAATTTATCTTTTGATTACTCATTACCAGTATATAAAACTATAACAGGTTTTTTACATGTTTATCTTGCATTTTGTAACCATGATGAACTTGTTTATGAGCTCTAATGGTTTCTTGTAAATGCTTTTGAATTTTCTATATATGAGATCATGTCATTTTAAATAGAGATAATTTTAATTCTTCCTTTCAAATCTGGGCACCTTCTAACTGTTTTTCTTAATTAATTGTTCTGGCTAGAACCTACAGCACAATTTTGAATACAAATGTTGCAAACACACACCCTTGTCTTGTTTTGAATTTAAGGGGAAAGCTTTCCATTATTCATCATTATGTATGATGTTACCTGCACATTTTACATAAATGTCCTTTATCAGGTTGAAGAAATTCTTCTTACTTCCTACTTACTCAGTTGTTTTTCTTCATGAAAAGGTGTTGAATTTTGTCAAACACTTTTTTGCCTTTACTGTAGTAATCATATATTTCCCCCTCCCTTTTATTTATTCTTATCTTCTATTAAATTGATTGATTTTTGCATGTGGAATCATTATGTATGGTTGGGATAAATCCCACTTGGTTGTGTTGTATAATCCTTTTTATATGTTGGTGAAATCAGTTTCACCAACATATAAAAACATAGTATTTTCACCAACATAGTATTTTTTGAGGAATTTTGCATGTATAGTCATAAGAGATATTGGTCTATCATTTATTTTTTATGTCTTTGGTTTTGTGTCAGTATAATTCTAGCTTTATAGAATGAGTTACAAATATCACTTTCTATTCTATTTCCTGGAAGAATTTGTGAAGGATTGGTATTAATTTTTAATTAGATATTTGATATAGTACCACAGTAAAGCCATTCTGTTTTTGCTTTGTGGGAGTGTTTTGATTACTAATTCATTCTCTTAATTGTTATAGGTTTATCTAAATTTTCTATTTCTTCTTGAGTCTGTTTCCATAGTTCATGTCTTTCTAGAAATTCTTCTACTAACTAGTTTATCTCTAATGACTAATGCTGCGGCATATCTTCTTATTATTTTATTGGCCATTTGTATAAGTCTTTTGATGTCTACTCAAACCCTTTGTCATTAAACAAATTAAATTATTTGTCTTTTTACTGTTGAGATATAAATGTTGTTTATATTTTCTTGATACTAGGCCCTTACATGTATGTGGTAAAATGGGTCTGGATTTTCAAAATGTCCCTGGTGTTTTGCCAGCATGGAATGTTCATTTGCTGACTCTCTCCAGGGTTCCTGGCTTCCAGCTATAGGGCTGGTTTCCTCTCTGAAGGCTCTTCTTTTGCATTCCCCTTCCTTACAAATAGTGTTCATAGTGAAGCACTTCTCAAAATGTAGCAGGACGAGCCGCAGACAAAACTCCTCAGACAGAGAGTTAAAGAAGGAAGGGGTTTATTTGGCCGGGGGCATCAGCAAGATTCCTGTCTCAAGAGCCGAGCTCCCCAAGTGAGCAATTCCTGTCCTTTTTAAGGGCTCATAACCCTAAGGGGGTGTGTGTGAGAGGGTTGTGATCGATTGAGCAAGCAGGGGATACGTGTCTGGGGGCTGCATGCACCGGTAATTAGATATATTGGAACAAAACAGGATGGAGATTTTCACAGTGCTTTTCTATACAATGTCTGTAATCTATAGATAACATAATTGATTAGGTCAGGGGTCAATCTTTAACTACCAGGCCCAGGGTGTGGCACCAGGCTGTCTGCTTGTGGATTTCATTTCTGCCTTTTAGTTTTTACTTTTTCTTTCTTTGGAGGCAGAAATTGGGCATAAGACAATATGAGGGGTGGTTTCCTCCCTTAAAAGAAGTTCATTTTGGAGAGCTGTAGGCATGGGGGTGGATATGAGGTTTCATCCCCATTGCCCTGAGGGTGACCAGTGGATAAGCTGCCCAGATTTTGATTCCACATAAGAAGGATTGCTTAACTCTGGAACTTGTGTACTGCCTTTTTGCAATAACTTCCCCACTACCAGGTGGAGTAGTGAGAATCAAGCCAATGTTGAATATCTTCTCTGCTGGGAATCTGTGGAGCAGTTCTGGTTGAGAGCAGAGTGCACTCAAGGTGACGTGCTTGGGGCCACACAGTGGGATGGGAGAGTGGCTGAGATGTCAATGATGAGTCCTGAGCTTGTGGTCAGGAGTCCAGACCCTGTGCTTAATTAGCTGTATGAACTTTCACAGGTCACCTAACACCTCTGAGGTTTGGGTTTCACATCGATTAAATAGGTTTAATACCCAGGAACCTGACTACCTTGAGGTGGTCTTGGGGTCAGGCCTGCAGCTCCAGCCTTGGGGGTGTTCTGCCTGGGCAGCCATCAGGGGAGACTACTTGAGGAGAAGGAGGCGGTGCCTTGGGGTTAAGAAGATGGTGCTCCTCCCTCAGGCTAATGGGAAGGGGAGTTCTTAAATGTCCTGGAGTATCCAGGTCTGGAGAGAAGAGGACATGACCTGAAGCTCAGCAGGTGGTGGTGAGTTTCAGGCTGCTGAGGCTGTGGCAGAGGGAGTGTGAACTTCTCTGCCCCACCCCTTTGAAATACCAGGAGCAGAGCTGACACAGGCTGAAAGGGAAACTTAGTTGTGATGCAGCCAAGAGCCTGTCAGCTTCTGTAGGGGGTTCTCCTTACCCTGAGTGTATAGGGAGGTGATGACCACTAGTGGGAGTGGAGAAACCACACAGCCGCCTGCAACAAGTAAATGCTGATGTTTGCATTGGAGATGTGGGGAGTTAACACTCTCCACAGGAGATTTGTTCTTTTGCTTACAGCTTCTTACTTAGGCAACTGAGAATTGAAGTTTTTGGAAAATGGATAAAAGAAATTTAAGTTATTATATGAGGTAGGGACAAAGTAAAGTCATCAAGTTCAGGAAGGGCATAGCCCAGCCTTGCTGTAAGAGGGTGACTTCTGTGCCTGACCATAGGCTGACACTGGTGACCACGGCCACCTGGGGCAGAGCTGTGAACCCAGGGAAGCAGGTGAGTGTCAGGGGAGGGTGTGGGAGGGAACACCAAGCTGGCTGTGCCCGAGAGAAGGGGGCCTGTCTAATACACTGCCAGGAACATCACAGAATGAGGTTGTACCTTTATCTCTTCTGCAATTACTTATCGACCATGTGTGGTACTGTAAGGGCTGGGAGAGGATGAAAGAGCTGAATGGCCTTCTCTAGACTCGTGGGCTGTCTCCCCAGTAGTAACTTGCTGGCCCTGCCCTTGAAGTGGAAAGAGTGTGAAGGGCTCCATGATCAAGCTCGTCCTCTTTTCTTACGTCGTCCCCCTCTGCTGTTTCCACTGCAGCTGAACAGGCCATCAAGCAGCCTGCCATGGGGCCCTGCTCCAAGAACCGGTTCTTCTGCTGGGCGACTGTGCTCCTGGTATTCATCAGCCTCCTCCTCAGGGAGTGGCAGGGTCCCTGGGAAGGGAGGGCAGTTGGAGAGGGCTGGGCTAGGTTGGCCCTGACCACTGGGTGGGCTGTTCAGGTTCTGATGTCTTTGGGCAACAAAAAGAGAAAAACACTCTGTTATCATTAACAACTGCAACATATTTGGTTGGAGTCCCAATATGGAAAGAATGAAAAGTTTTTTGGTGGTGAAGAGGCTGGGAACCCTGAGCCAGGGCTGCCTTGGCTGTATTGAGGGAAACTTTACCCACTGTCTGGGCTCAGGGCTGAGCTCTAAGCAAATCATCAGAAAGGAGAGGTCCCTTGAAAGTCTCAATCTTAAAATTGTTTTTGTAGTTTGATTAGTGTTCATTTTAAACATTAAAAAGAACTTATATTTGGGTAAAATGTGTCTATAGTGGGCACCCTTCACATCCCCGTGAGTTGCCTTTTCCTCCCCTCGGAAATGCTGCTCAGCCCTTGGATGAAACCATGTTTATCACAGCACTGTTCTAGGAAAAACCCTGGAAAGAAACAGGAGGGGCCCATCAATTCAGGAACATGTGAACAAGCTGAGAAGTATCTGTTCCATGGCATATTATAGAAGCTTACAAAAACAAATGTTCCGGTTATCTGGAAGGAATGTTCAACTTCCATGAAGTCAGATGCCTAGATTTCCATCAGCAAGATTCAGGAACCTGAATACAATACAGTCTTCATTTTATAAAAGGAAACGCAGCCACCAAACTTTAAGTGTTTATACACCCATATGTTTCTAAGACTATGTTAAAAATGTGGAAGGAATCAGTAGATTGCTAACATGGGCTACAGGAGGGCATAAAATTGGGAAGGAAAACATGGAGAGGGAGAAAGTAGGGAACACAGAATGTTAAGCAAAAAGTGAACTGAAAGAAAGACTGTCCAAATCTAGGCTGTATGTCACATTTGCTATTTTATGAACAACTATATGTTTGCATTTATAATAACATTAAATTTTAAAATGAGAAAATAATAATATCTAGTGCATATGAATTTTGATGAAAGCTTTGCTATGATTTTTGCTTTTATATCCCAGCCACTAGCTGAACTAACTTACACGGCCAAATCTAATGATTAGAGAGCACTTATAAAACAGGAGTTCTTGAAGGAACAATGAGCTTTGCAATAGCAAGAAGTTAGATGCCAGTTCTGTCACCAGCAAAACGTAGGCTTTCTCCACTTCTGCAACGTTGGTTATCTGGAAATATGTCTAACTGTGTAGAGTTTTCTTTATAGGCCCTGGGGTTAGAAGATTACTAAACAAAGAAAAAGAAGGAAGGAAGGAAGAAATGAAGGATGGGAGAAGGGGAAGGAAGAAGTAAAGAGAGAGAGAGAGAAAGAAGGAAACAACTTAGAATTTCTCATTTTGCGGGTAGATCTGTGTTCAGACAAAGAAAGTGATTCCCTCAGGGAACCACTGGGAAGGAATGAAATTGAAATTGGTTGTTCCATCAGTCCTTACCTTGTGGTACTGAATGAGACAAGCTCCCTTGCAGTGAAGTTTGGTCAGAGGCTGTTTGTGGAAGGAATATCACTGTGAAATTGCTCTGTTTCCTCTTAGGAATCCTGAAGCTCCAGAGTTGGAGGCATTTTTTTCTGTGGTTTCTGGATTATCCCTGTTCTAGTTCACCCTTGACCTAGGGAGAGGGATGGGTGGTGAAGCAGTGATGATGAAGGTGGGGATGAGATATTTGTCCTGATCATCCCTAAACTCTTACACCCTTCCTGAACATGTGTTTAGATGGGGAAGTGTGGAAGGGAAGGAAAGAGCCTGAGGGTGGCTCAGCTCACATATAATTTCCCAGGGACAGAGGTAGCTGCAGGTGAGGGTGGTCCTCAACTTGGGGGGACCCCCTGACCATAACAATAACAGCACTTACTGAATGCCCACTCCGTGTCTGCCAGCAGGGAGCTGGAAGAGAAAGGGTCTCTGCATTAGGGGCTCCAGACGCAGACACGAGACAATGGAGATGGCACCAAGAAGTGAGGTTTGGACATCAAACATGAATGGTTGGTTTGTGAGTGTGCTGATGGGGGCTATGTCAGACAAATGAGCAATCTTTTATGTTGTTTACAGAGCTTGAAATTGTATACAATTTAAATGAATGTTTAGCTCCACCTTGTAAATGACCAACCACTCCCTGTCTTGTTCTCTCTTCTTCAGGATTAGCATCTCTGTAGATCCAAGAACTCCTGCTGCCTTCCTTCCCTCTCTGAGTCTTCCCTCATCTTCCTCCTGGCTGTGCTCACCATCCAACTTCTGGGGCAGATCCTTCCTAACAGCCTGAGGGCGGAGCCTCCTTTCTCCCTGGTTCCCTCATCCAGGAAGTGAGCTTGTCCAGGCTGGCAGTTTAACCCTCTGTTAGCCAGAAGTCCCTGCTCTGCACTGCCACTGAAAGTACCTGCTTCCCCTTTTCAGAAGAGGGCAATTGAGGTGGAGGCCGCGGCAGCTTCTCAGTCCTGCGGGGCTCAGACGACAGTGCAGCTGAGCTAGTCTAGGGAGGGCAGGTGAAGGTGGAGGAGCTCACGGGCAGTATCCTGCAGGGGAGGCCTTGGGCTGGGGGGTAAAGTAGGCTCCAGGTCTGGCTCTGCCCTCTGTGACCCAGGACAAGTCTACCCCCTAGAGAGTCCCTCCTCTGTTAAAGCAGGAGCTTGGGCAGAATCACCCCAGTCCCCCTCAGCAGTGAGGCTCTGGGAGTTGGTGACTCCCGTGGCTCTACCAAGGTCTCTGCTCTGTCTCCCCATCCTGTCCTGTCCTATCCTGTGGTCTGACAGGCACTGACAGCCAGTGAGCCTGTTTCAGGCTTCTTCAGAGAGAAGACTCTGGGTGTCCCTGTGGCCACTTCCTCAGCCCTTGAGGGAGGAAGGGACCCTTCCTCTCTCAGCCTCCTCCACCTGACCCTCTGCTTTCTCTGCCTCTGCTCCTAAGAGGGATCTCAGGGGCCATTGCCCTCAGGCCACCTGCTGAAAGACATTGTATATAGGCTGTTCTCTAACTGCTATAAAGAACTACCTGAGACTGGGTAGTTTATAAAGTAAAAAGGTTTAACTGACTTTCAGTTCTGCAGTCTGTACAGGCAGCATGGCTGGGGAGGCCTCAGGAAACTTAAATCATATCAGAAGGCAAAGGGGAAGCAGGCACTTCTTACATGGCCAAAGATGGAGGAAGAGATAGCAGGGGAGGTGCCACACACTTTTAAACCGCCAGATCCTGTGAGAACTCACTATCATGGAAACAGCAAGTGGGAAGTCCGCCCCCATGATCAAATCCCCTCACACGAGACCCCCTTCTCCAACACTGGGAATTATATTTTGACATGAGATTTGGATGGGAACCCAAATCCAAACCATATTAGACATCCACTCCCTTCCCACAGTGTATGGAAATGTGGTCTGCATACTGCAATCAGAAAGGCCTTGTGCAACTGTGGCATTTAGAAGCTGCTAATAAAAGCCTCAACCAGACCTTTTCCTATCTGCTTCACAGAAAAGACTCGCTTATTTCTCAATGATCCCTCTTTCAGTGCTGGCAAGGGGAGAGACAAACATTATTTTGATCAGAATTATCCATGCAAATGCCTTAGGAAGGTCCCCCTGTGGAGTCTGAAATGTTGTTTCTCTAGCTAGTCCATTTGTCTTATTTCCCCCAGTCAGAAAAGAGGACTGTGCTTTTGAGCCCTACATTTGACAGAGCACTCATGGTTTTTGTCTATTGTTTTGCCAAAAATTGTATATTTAACCATGCAATTAACTCTGAAAGGGATGAATGGGATGCTTACTCATTAATTAATGAGGGGCCTAGTAGGATGTTATAACCCATTCAAAGGGAGCATCAAAGATACTTCTGTAGGCCAGCAGGAATGCTGAAATGAATTTACCAATAGATGCCCTGTGATCACAGGGTCTGTGGTATTTGTGGGTACACAGATGACTGTCTGGAGGATACACACTATTTAAAGTATTTTCCTTTGGGATAAGCCATATTTTGAACTTTTACTTGAAGCAGCTCTGCACCCTGTATAATTTTCAATGTAACATATAACACTTTTATGTTATAAACAACCTACTAAAGAAAGGGGAAAATGGATAAACCAAATACAATTAATATAATTTTTTTAGCTCACACATGAAATTAAAAGTAATCTCTCTTTTCTTCAAATTTTTTTTATTGTTTGTAGAAATGGGGTCTCACTGTTTCCCAGGCTGATCTTGAACTTCTGGCCTTAAGGCATCCCCTGGCCTGTGGCTCCCAAAGTGTTGGGATTACGGGTGGTGTGAGCTATTGCACCCAGACCTTCCACCCATCTTTACCACTCTCCTCACTACAAAGATATTCTTAGCTCCTTGGTAATATGGGAATTGATGGCGGCTGTGTGTGGACACAGCAATGAACTTCCTTTTAAATTCCAGGCTTTGGTAAACAAGAAGGTCTTGAGTGGAGCTTGACACTCTGCAGCCACGTATGGGATTTAACTCAGAAAGATTTAACCCTCTGAAACTCATCCTTAGACCCAGGAGGGGACCCCCTGAGAGGGGCGGCTGCTGAGGAGGAATGGATACCAGCCTGGAAGCTGGGAACATCTGGTTCTGATTCCAGGTGGGCTTCGTGAAGTAATACTCATCCTGACATAGAGAGTAGCTAATGTTAATACGAAAATTACTGAATACTGTACTGCAACATTTTCTCTGTTTAAACCCAAAGAAGATTTCAATGAGGTAGGCATTTTCATTGTTTTCGTAACACATATGAGAGAGCTAAAGTCAGAGAGGTTAAATAACTGCTCTAGTTCACACAGCCAGAAAATAGAGGACCTGGACTTAATTCTCACCGGCTCTAAAGTCCAAACTTTTCACCACTCTGTGAAACCAGAGTCACGTCACAGACTGGTGACACCAGCCAACTACATCACCTAGTTGACTCCAAAATAAATTTCAGTTGTATCTAAGAGTAAACATAAAATTTAAAACCATATATGTACTTAAAGAAAACAAGAAAGAGTTAAAAACCTACTTTTGAATTGGGGGCTATCTTTTAAAGCAAGATACAAAAAGAATAAGCCATATAAATGGATACATCGGACTTTACGCAAATAATATTTTGGCATTGCAAATAGTCTGTAGGTAAATTTGAAAAATAAACTAAAAAAAATTGTGTTATGTTAGAAAAAAAGCTAATTTTCTTAAAATATGTGTAACTCCTATAAGCTAACAGAAAAAAACCCCAATGGATAAAGCACATTAGCTAATAGTTCATAGTTCACAAAAAAGGCAATAAGAATGACTTAGTAATCTAAAATGACAATGATGAATATCATTTATAGAAGAAATGCTCATTAAAACAATAAGGAGATATTTTCCCCTATCAACCTGACAAAGGGCAAAAAGTTTGATCATTACGTATTGGTGAGAAACCTAAATATTATTGGTAGGAATATAGATAAGAACACTCTTTGGAGGTAATAATATGAATCAATAGTTTAGGTATGTTTGCCTTGATCCATTAGATCCACCCTAATGATTTTCCCTAATATATACACACCAACATGTGCAAAGAAACAAATATAAGGATATTCATTGCAACATTGTTTGTTGTGTCAAGCGGCAACTTAAATATCAGTAGCAGAGGAGTGTTAGAGCCCCACAAGGAACAGTATGCAGACAGGACATGGGACACATCTACTTGTAGAGATCCTGAGTGGGCTCCAACAATTGCTGCTTTGAGAAAAGGCAAAGAACAGGACAGTCACATAGCATGTTTTGTGTATGTGGAGATTCACATATGTGCATGTAAGTGCATAAACTATCTCTGCATGGTAACACAAGACACTGATAATAGTGCCTGCCTCTAGGAACCAGAACCAGGCAATGGGAGTCAGAGATAGGAGAAAGACTTCATTTTCAATCTCCTTAATTTCCCCCTCCTTTAAAATAAAAAAAAATGAATGTTTAATCTGATTAAAATCCAAAAATTAAAAAACCTCTTGGTATTGCTAAAATGCAATCTCTTCAGCATTTTCATGGGGATAATAATCTGTAACCTCCAACCTTGAAGTGTCCTGCGAATCATCAGAAATTCAGTATCTGAAGGAGCTGCTGAGATTAGGGATTGGGAATGACATTCATGGAAGATGGGGAACCTGTTTCCCAGACAGGGAAAGCAAAGAGAGAAATCCACCTACAGTAACTGTGGCAATCCATGGCAGTTGGGCCCTGATAATAGTAACAATCATAGCAACTAAACACTACTGTTGAGTGCTTTTTAAAAAATGTATCATCTGTATTAATGCTTGTAGCAGACAATGAATACTTGCAATTTTTATCTCTATTGTTCATCTGTGGGAACTCAAGGGCTAGATAGTTTAACAATTTGCTAAAGATCACTCAGCCAGTAAATATGGTGGATCTGGGATTGAATCAGGGTCTGCCTGATTCCAGAGCTTGTGCCTCATGTGATTTGCTGGCCAAAGGCCCAGGCCTGACTCTCCAGGAATCCCTGAAAGGGTCAACATGTAATCCTTGGGTGCCACCTGTCTCAGTTCATTTGTGTTGCTATGAAGGAATAACTGAGGCTGGGTAATTTATAGAGAGAAGAGGTTTATTTGACTTATGCATCTTCAGGCTGTACAAGAAGCATGGCATCAGCATCTCCTTCTGGTGAGGGGCTCAGGAAGCTTCCACTTATGGTGGAAGGTGAAGGGCAGCAGACATCACATGGCAAGAGAGGGAGCAAGAGAGAGAGGAGGGAACTGCCAGGCTGTTTTTCACAATGAGTTCTCCCGGGAACAAATAGAGCAAGAACTCACTTGTTACCACAAGGATGGCACCGAGAGATTAATTAGGGATCCACCCCCATGACCCAAACACCTCCCACGAGGGCCCACCTCCAACACTGGGGGTCTAATTTCAACATGCGATTTAGAGGGAACAAATAGCTAAACTATATCAGCACCTTTCCTGAGTTCCTGCATTAGATTCCTAGGACTGCCAGATAACAAGAACCGAGTGGCTGAAACAATGCAAATTTATTGTCACACAGTTCTGGAGAGTAGAAGCCCTAAATCAAGGTGTTGACAGGGCCACACTACCTTTAAAATCTGCCGGGGTATATTGGTCAGCTATGGATACCATAACAAAATATTATAAACTGGATGGCTTAAACAACAGAACTTTATTTTCTCCTAGCTCTAGAGGCTGGAAATTCAAGATCAGGGCTGTGGCCAGTTAAATTTCTGGTGAGGCCTCTCTTCCAGTTTTGCAGAAGGCTGTCTTCTATGTCCTCACATGGCCTTTCTCAGAACACATGCATGGAGAAAACTCCCTTCCTCTTTGACGTCTCTTCTTGTAAGGTCTCTAACATTGCTGGGTCGTGGCCCCACCCTTAGGAACTCATTAAATCTTACTTCACTAGAGGCCTCGTCTCCAAATACAGTCACACTGGCTGTCAAGGCTTCAACATATGAATTTGGGGGTAACATAAATATTCACTCCATAACAAGAGAAACCTGTCCTTGCCCCTTCTTAGCTTCTGGTGTTTGCTGGCAATCGGTGGTGTTCCTTGTCTTGTAGCTGCATCAGTCCAGTCCTCCATCTACACGCGCCTTCTCTCCATGTTTCTTCCCATTGTCTTCCCTCTCTGCATTTCAGTGTCTGTGTCCAGATTCCCTCTTTTTATAAGGACATCAGTCATATTAAATTAGAGACCATCCTCGTGACCTCATCTTAATTGGACTATATCTGCAAAGATCCGATTTCCAAATCAGGTTGTCTTCTGAGGTGCTGGGTTTAGGACTTCAATGTATCTTTTCTGGGGGATACAATTCAACCCCTGCAGTCCCTGTACCTCTCCCTCAAGGACATGCTCTCCAGACCAGGGGACACCAGAGTCTAATAAATATGTCTGCAGCATCACCTTCCGTGTATCCTGGGCTGCCCAGCTGGAATCTAAATTTGTTTTTCTTCTTTGTTTATAAATATAGACAGATGAATCTTTAGATAAATGACCAAACAAAAAATTACCCTCAAAGAAGCCTTTCAAAACATTTCCCCAAGTGTTCTCCCTTGGCGATGAAAGTACAGTATGAGCAGGTCACATTTTGGGGAAAGAGAAACTAGACCTTTAGGATTTTAAGACACTTCCTGTGGGGTACCTTCCTGTGGGGAGTATGGGGGTGGCGATGTCACTGTAGAGATGCTGGGTGCAGTGTGGGAGCTCATTGTTGGGGAGGTCAGGTGGCTCAAGGTTCTGGGTCTGTGAGGTGGCTGTCCTGGAAAGAGGCCGTGTGTGTGAGGTGAAAGTGGCTGTCTCCCATAGTCCCTGCATCTTCGGCCTCTTTGGGCCACTTCCCACTATCAGGGACAGACCTTGGGACATGGACGGCCAGATGGCCTTTCCCCAGAAGCTTCAACATCATGGCCAACACCTCCCTTCAGAAATATTTGATCCTTGGATGGTCATCTTCCTACCCAAGGGAGAGTTAATGAAGGTCTTGAGCAAGTTCAGTTCACCTGCTTGCTCTCCGGCCCTCTGCCTGCACCTGGCCACAGAGGTGCATCTACTCCCATAATGGGGGTTCAGGATCTAGTGGCAATGGCTACCCCAAACCTTGGCTGTCTCACCACAGTCTCTCTCTCATCCCCTCCTCCTTGGGGCAATCGAGCACTGTGAATGGCTTTAACTTGGATGGGCTAGGCCACTTTGGTTGACAGTCACCCTCGCTTAGCGTGGACTTGTGAACAGGCAGCCTGATTCAGAGAAGGTGCAATTGCCAATCACAGCAGTGTCCTAGCACTCACTGCAATTGGAAAAGTGGAAATTTGTCTGGCTTCTGTCCATGTGGCAAGATCCACCAGGAGCAGCCTCTACTTAGTGGGTATCACTGGTCTCCATTCCCCAGCCAGCACATTACTCCAGGACAGGCTAGGCTGGACTCCTCCTCGTTGAGACTCAAAGAACCCTGAAATACTCAGCATCTCGTGGGTACATAAAGGAAGAGGTTGGAGCTGGGAGAAGGAAAGACTGCACTTCTACCCTTTCTGCTACTGACAAGTGGGCACCGTGTCTGGGGACCTGTTGGACTGTGGCCTTTGTGCCCTGGCTTGTTTAGAGGGCTTTGGCAGCACAGCCTCATCTGGCTCTCCTCAGCAACTTTTGTGGGCCGGGTCAGGTGTCTGTGCTGCGCCCCAGGATGCTCTGTGGGAGAGCATAGGCCCCCTCTTGAACTGGGTGTCAGAGGAGTGTGAGATGTGGGAGGAGGACCGTGGAGGAGCTGGAGGTGATAGGAGGAGGCTGGTGGCTGAATATTTGCTGCCTCTCCTGTATGGTCCTAGGCAGAACTGGACAGGGCACTGGCCCACTGACAAGGTTTGGATGTTTGTCCCCTCCAAATCTCATGTGGAAATGTGATTTCCATTGTTGACGGGGGAGCTGGTGAAAGGTGATTCGATCATGGGGGCAGGTCCCTCGTAAATGGTTTAGCGTGATTCCCTTGGTGTTAGGTGTGTTCTTGCTCAGTTAGTTCACAGGAGATCTGATTGTTTAAAAGTGTGTGGCACCTCCCCCTGTCTCTTACGTTTGCTCTGGTCATGTGACACACTGGCTCCCCTTTGCCTTCAACGATAACTGTGAGATTCCTGAGGCTCCCACCAGGAGCACATGCTGGCTCTCCACTTCCTGTACAGCCTGCAGAGCCCAGAGCCATTTCAATATCTTTTCTTTATAAATTACCTAACCTTAGGTATTTCTTTACAGCAATGCAGTAATGGACTGACAAACCCACTAACCCTCTGATGTTGATCCTGAAGGCCTGTAGCCCTGGTGCTAAGGGGTGCTGAGCCTGGGGTGGGGCCTAGTCCCTTGAGGGAGCTGAAGGGAGGGGGTGAAGCTCTGGCCCAGATGAGGGGCCTGGTGAACTGAGTTAGTGAATAACTGGAAACAGAAATATTTGAAACACTTCCACATCTGAGGATTGGCTTTAGCTATTCTCTGCTTCCAGTGAGAACCAGACAGCAGCAAGGTACTGGCAGGAAATGGGGAGAAATTTACACATTAGAGAGAGCACTGGGCACCCTGCAACTCAGCAGCAAACCCAGGTGGACCTGAGCTGCTTTAAGGAGGAGACAGTTCTTCCTTCAAGATCAAGGGTGTTCTGTGGCAGTTTCCCCAGGTCAAGATTGGTCCCACCCTGGTCCCCAGGAAGGACAGAGGTCTCTGGGTTCATTGTGGCTGTGCCTGGTGGGCAAGGAAGGGCTCAGGAGGAGGCAGAGCTGAGGTGGCTGTGGCCACTGGTCAGGGCTCTGTGGGAGACAGTGACTGAGGGAGACTGACCAGGGTCCTCATGAGCACTGCGTTGGGAAGTGCTTTCTTGGTGGCAGGGACACAGCACAACCAAACAGTCCGTCTGCTCCCCCACACTTTCAGCCCCTGGAAGTTAGCAGGGTCTCCTGGCTAGTTCTGTCCAGAAAATATGGGCAAAGATTACATCACTTCTGGACAGTGCAGTGAATGCCCCATGGGTGCCTCTCTTGTCTCCTCCCTTCCCTACCGTGGGGGCTGAGGATGCTGTGAGGAGGGTGTGGGTTCCATATGGAGCTGCTACAAGGTGTGGAGCCTCCATCCATGGGTGACATGACCCTTCCCTCACTATCCCTTGTGCGACATGTAGTGTGAGTAATAAACAAACTCCCCTTGTTCTAAGTCCCTGACTTTTGTAACTGTTGCCACAGGACAACCTGCCTAATTCACTTCCATCCTATCCTGTCCTATCCTATCTTGACTAATTCCCTTCCTAGAAGGAAAGGCAAGGGAAAGCAACCTTCATCTTTGCCTGAGTTATGTATTGTTGTGTGAGTTTTTACCCTAGAACTTACTTCCTTAACACAACACTGGGCATTGTTTCACAGTTTATGGAGGTCAGAATCCAGGTGTGGTTCAGCTGGGTCCTGTGGCTCAGGGTCACAGAGACTGGAATGAAGGTTTTACCCGAGGCTGCCCTCAGCTCCCTGCCATGTGGCCCTCTCCACAGAGCAGCTCACAACGTGGTAGCAGGCTTCATCAGCCTGAACAGGAGAGACTGATGGAGACAGAGGGTGTGAGCCAGACAGAAGGGACACTCCATCACTTTCGCTGCGTTTGCAAGTAATCAATGCAACCCATACTCCAGGGGAGGGCATTACACAGGGGCCTTGCACAGTGGGGAGGCATCATTGGGAGCCACGTTAGAAGCTGCCTCCTGCAGTTATGTACCTAGCATATGCCAGAAAATGTGCTAGGTGCTTTTGATCTAGGAGCTCATTTGATCCTTACTGTCATTATGGGGCAGGTAAGAAAATTGAAGATCGAGGGGTTCAGCAACCTGCTCTAGATCACACTCCACTAGAACCAGGACTTGATTCCAGACTTGATTCAAGTCCATTATGCTAGGCAGCCCTCCCAGAATGAAGGGAGGATTTTGGATGGACTTCTGTGACTCTGACCCAAAGTTCTGTGGTTTTCTTATTTGTTCTTGATAAGGAAATACTCATGTTTCCTGTTTCCATGCCCTAGGTGTTTGCAGCACTGCAGCCAACACTTCTGGAGTGCATGGCTCTGCAGTGAAGGATTCTGGAACCTGCATTCATCTGAAGGGCATCCGAGGAGGTTCTGTCTTGTTTAATGTGATTGAGAGGCTCAGAGTAGTTGGAGGAGGTTCTATGGGCTTTGGGTACTCTGTCAAATCATACATGGTTGCTGCGAGTCCACAGGGGGGCCAACTCTCCAACCTGGTGAAGCCTGGAGGACAAGTTCAAGCAGAGGGTCCATGTACCCAACATATCATCCCTGAGGATTGAGAACCTGGCCCCTGAGGACAGTGGGCAGTACTTTGCCGTCATCACCTCTACTAAGGGAGAGGGGATTTTCCAGGTTTTCTACCTCACTGTCTATCGTGAGTGACACCCGTCCTTCCCCCATCCTCTGGCTTACCTGCTTTTTCTCTCTCTAGAGTGTCACATAGGCCTCATGCAAGGTTCCATTCAGACACCGGCCTTCAGACTCCATTTTCTTCACTAAAAATAAGGCACATGAGGTCCCCAGAGATAGAGAGCAGAGCTGAGATTCACACCAGGGAATGAAGCTCTTTCAGTGTTTTGGGAGAGGAAATGGAAATTCATCAAAATAGCAATTTTTCCAATAACATTAACTGTCCTATATATGATTAATGTTACTTAATTTGTTTAGTAGTTTTTTATTGCGGATGGAACAGATTGCCAAAAATTATTGGCTGAAAGCAACACAAATTTATCATCTTACTGTGCTGTAAGCCAGAGGCCTGACACAAGTCTCTGTGAGCTAAAATGAAGGTGGTGGCAGGGCTGTATTCTTTCTGGGTGCTCCAGGGAAGAGCCCATTCTTTTGCGTTTTTCACCTGCTAGTGGGTGCTGGCATCCCATGGCTCGTGACCATCATCCTGTATCTCCTAATAGAACACTGATGTTAGTGTTCCATTAGAAGTGTCAGAATCATCTCCCTATTTTAAGGTCAGCTGATTAGCAAACTTAATTTCATCTGTGACCTTAATTCCCCTTGCCTCACAGCCTAACCTATTCCCAGGTTACCAGGATGGGTCCTGGACATTTTGGAGGCCACTGTTCTGCCTACCACAGTTGGGAATCCTTGTGAATGGAGTCCTCTCAGTCCCCTCTCCTCTCACCCAGCCCCAGCCTGAGGCCAGACTCAGTCACACAAGCTGCCATAAATCCACATCTCAAAGACTCCATATGTGTAGGAGAAAGTTTACACCACAACACATCTTAGAAACCTCATTTAGCCAACTCTTTCTTTCCCTAAAGTTCCTTTCTGCATGGGGAAGTATCCTGCCATGGAGAGAGTGGCTTTTGAGCTTTAGGTGCCACGTGATTTCTCAGGCTGGCCTGTGAATCTGATTTTTCTCTTTTGTCTGCACCACAGGTTCAGTGGCACTTTCTAAGCACACTCAGAGTCATTGTTCCCAGTCACTATCACTGCATCTCCCACAGATGTGTCTACTTTTGGGAGCATGAGCCTTTCTCTGGCCTCCCAGAGCTGACCTGACATCCTGCCCCATAAAGGCTGTGCAGTCACAGGCATAGCCTCAGCTGGAGATTCAGGGAAAGGACACTGGGCCAGTACAAGCCCATCTTCCCGAGACTCCTTCTCCTTCTTGAAAAGACCTCAATTTCCTGAAAATTCTGTGCCTTGGGAAGTGAGACTCTTGCCTTTATTTTCTTTGGGACGGTTTTAAGACATGTTGAATCTAGAGAACCAACATGGAGCTAAACTCAGTGGCTTCCCTTCTTATTTCATTTGCTCAGTATTTAGCTTTGGGCAAATTGTGTTTCATCCATAGAACACACCCACTTGCTTGCTGTGGCTGCAATGGGAAAATGATGAGAAAGTGTGATGTGCAATGTTCTCCACACATGTGAGATTCCCCTCTTTTGTCCCCTTCTGCCCCAGAGCCTGTGCCTCACCCTGAGTTCCTGGCAAAGTCACTGTCTATCACACCAGGCTTGTGTAACATCACCCTGGAGTGTAGAGTTCCAGGGGCCACAGAGGACCTGAATATGACTTGGGAAAGCAAGGGCCTCCTTGGAGAGCTGGAGCAGAGAGAAACACCAGGACCAGCCCCCAACCCCTGGACCCTGCCTGGGAGCCTGCCCCTGAGCCAGCCGAACAGCAATCTCAACTACGTGGTCAGCAACCAGGTGGATCAGAAAGCTGCTACTTTAGACCTTGGGAAAGTCTGTGCCCAAGGTGAGTGGTGAGTGTAGCCTGCAGGATAGGAGAGGCTGCCCAAGCTCAGGTAGCACTGGGGTCTAATGGTTCTGGGGTCTCTTCTCCACCATGAGCATTAGCACCACCTTCTACCTGCTCACCACACACAGCAGTGTGGGAGTCACATACACCTTCGTTCTGCCTTTAATCATCTCTCCCATCCATACCCTCCTCTTCACACCCCCACCATGTCCCTGCCGGTTCAGACAGCAGCCTTCCGGGAGCTGTCCCACCCCATCCATCCTCCACTGAACATCCAGAGTGGGCTTTGGGAAAAGTGGGTAAGATTGGGTGGTTGTCTGTGTCATCTGTGGGATCTGGCCTCCAGTTACTCCCCCATGGAATTCAGGTCTCAGATTCTTCTCTGCCCATGTTTCTGGCCTCACCTGTGCACTTTGCACCAAACTGCTTGCTTTTATTTCCGAACATATGTTCTGCTTCTTGTAAGCTTCTCAGATTCTGAACATGCTGTTTCTTACTCCATCAGCCCTCCCACACCTAGTGTCCAACATTTCCCTTTTTATTCCTTTCCATGTACTCCTTTCGGCCATGGCCAGCTTTATGGGCACAAGACACATGCAGTCACACAGGGTTCTTCAGTCAGCAGCATTCTACAATGGGTTAAAACACTGCCATTGCTGCCTGCAAGTTTTTAATTTTTAATCAAGGGATTTTAAATTTGCATTGCACAGTGCCCTGAAAATGATGTATCTGCTTCTGCACTCAGGCCCACCTCCTTAGGGAGATGTCCGTGGCCCAAACAGTGAGTAGTAATGACGTGTTTATGTCACTGTCTGCCCAGTAGACTGCAAACATCTTGATATTTTCCTTTGAATCCCTGTGCCAAGCAAAGCTCCTGGCAACATTTGCTCACAATCAGTGTTCACTGAATGAATATATGACCTGATACCGTGTATGCAGGCTTGTCCTCTCCAACCCTCCCTCCAAGAGCCACTGGGGGATCTGATGTGTCAGCATCACATTAAACCGCCTGCCACCTCCTCCCTCACCCCCATCCTGGAGTGTTCAGCACTGAGCATGACCACAAGGCCCTCCGGGCACAGACTCCTGCCTCCGTCTGACTCTCCTTGCCACAGCTCCTCCCTGCCCTGTCCCTCTCCTGCTGCAGTGGGGTGCCGGCAACTCCCAGGGCTGGTGTTTTGACACAGCCATTTCCTGAACTTGGTGTTCTTCCTTCCTGGAATGCCCCAGGCTGAATATCTGAGAAATTCCTATTAGCCCCTCAAGCCTCAGTTTAGCCAGCACTTCCTCTGGGAGGCCCTCCCTGAAGACCTTGTACAAGGTGGAAACCTGTATCACAGCTACGATCCCTCTGTCTGGCAGTTGGAATTTTCTGTCTTCCCTCATGGGTGCTGGGCTGCTGCGGACATTGTCTTGTGCATCTCCGCATCCCTGGTACCAAGCAGCAGCTCCTAACCGGTTGAATGAATGGACCTGCCATGCTCCTCCCTCTGTAGCTTCTGCACCAGGCTCCTTCCCACTGCTCCACCTGCTTTCTCTCTCTGTCTCTCCTCTGGTAGTTTGTATCTCAAATTATCTCCTGTCTTAACATTTTCCACTCTCCCCATGTGACAGGAACAGGTTCACACAAACAGGACATGGCTAGACTGCTGCCAGGCATCCTAGGGGCTGTTGTGGGTGTGCTGTTGGTACTGGGAGCTGGGCTCTACCTTTTGAAGAAGAAGAAGAAGAAGATGGAAAGAAAAAGGTGCAAGTTGCATTTCTCCTGACGTGCCCAGACACCTCCCTCCCTCACTAGAACCTCAGCTCTATTTCTCTGAATTTTGCTCCCAGGGAGTGGACTCTGCAGAGGGGATGATGGGTGTGGTCTTGGCCTTGGGGTTCATGGCAGTGGGGAGGCATACACGATTTCAAGACACGGATTCAAGCTTTGATTTTGTCTCAGGTGGAGGATTGCAGGAGAACCAAGGGGTCAATGATGGTGGCATCCTCTTTCAAACGCTCAGCCAGCAAGTGTCACAGAAGGGCAAGGACAAGGTGAGTAACTGGGACACTGGCCACCCTGGGAACTCCCAGGGTGGGAGTTCTGCCCAGCCTTGGGCTTCCAATTTTGGGACCTGCCATTTCTGGCCCAACTTCCTGTTTATCTATATCTGGACAATCAACAGTATTTACTAAGAAAATTGACATCTGGGTGTGATGTAGTGCTGGGCACTTTAGAAGAATTCATGAGCAGTGCCTGTCAATGGGTATTGGCTCTGTGGGTCCCTCCACATCCTTTTTATCCCTCAGCTGATCCAACAGCCCTCTGTCTTGTATTCCAGGGCATCGGTGAACAATATCTGAAAAAAAAGAGGAGTCTGTCACTCCTCTCTACAGTGAGGTCTGTTATCCAGACCAGACCATGAAGATCATCTGATTGGAGGAAGCAGGAGGATCTGGCACTCCCAGGACACCTACACTCTGAGTCTAAATCCTGCAGACCCCCGCCTTTCCCAGCTCTGGTTCAGTTCCCGCTTCCCCTTGTCTGTGTTTCTCTAACCTCATAGCCACATTTCTACAGGGTACACATGGCCTGGTTGTACTCTGTGACACCTCCCCAAGCTGTCCTTACACTTGGGCAGGGGCTGTTCTCCATCACTGAGATGTCTCCTGACCCCTCTCCTCCAGAAGCCTTCCCAAGAGGAGCCTGTCTGATTGAGCAGGTGGTGAATTCCGACCACCTCTGCCATGTCACTGGTGTGTATACTTCTGAGGACACAAGGCAGACATGGGAACAGTGCAGAAGTGTTGACTATGCTGCAGAGGAGGGAGATAGGATCTGTTTTCCGGATGCTGAGTTTGAGGACAGCATGGGTGGATAGAAACCCGCAAAGGAACAGGCCATGGCATCTTTTGCAGATTTTGTGTAGGGGTCTCTTGGGGGTATCAGGCAGTGTGTGTGTGTGTGTGTGTGTGTGCGTGCATGTTGGGAGGACTGTCTAGTGCACATTATACAACTGAACCAAAGCCACCTTTCTCATCACCTGTGCTAATCTGAGCCTAATTTTCAGCCTCAGCCTGTGGATTCAAACTCAAATTCCTGTAGAGTGGAAATAGAAATGTCTATCATCTCAAAACCTTCCCAACCTCTGTGTCTCAGGGAGTGACCCTAAGAGGCCACAGGTGGGGATTGTCTTAGAAAACAGCCTCAGCTCTTCCCTTCTCCTAGGATAGCGCACTTGGTTGTACGAACAGATGTGAAGTATCCTTCCATGCCCCCTTGGTGAGGGCTACTTGGGCTCTGATGGGTGAAGCTATTGAGAAGATCTAACCCAGCCCTCTCCAGCCTCTTCTTATTCTGACCCTCAGTCTCCCTCAGCCATGCTGGCCCAAACCCTAGGTCAACCACTTCTCTGCTCACTTGCATCCCTCTGCCTGAAATTAGTTTTCTCTCTGTGCTCCTCACCCTCACTCCCACCTGCTGAAATTCTAGCGTGCTGCTCAAAGCCCTTCCCAAGGTGCCTGTTCTATGAGCTTTATGAATCCTAAAGGTTTAAAAATGACATCTCCCATATATGACTTTCCAGAACACCTTGGGCACTATGTATGGTCCCTGCCACAGTTTGCCCTGGGTTGGTCATGAGTCTTCCTGCAGTACCAACCTGGGCTCTCTCAAGAGGGTGTGGGACTGTGGGAGGACAGGATCAAGAAGACAAGCACCTCTTGGTGTAAAGGTTCTGGACCACCTTTCTCCCATCTCCCATCCTTCTGCTCAGCAGAGGGAGATGCAGCACAGGAGCTGCTGATAGACTCTCTGGTGTGGCTCTACCTGGAAACAGGGGTGGACACAATGAACTTCCTCGACTATACATGTCCTGAAGTCCTAGTTGGAGACTTCCTTACTCCCTTATCAGCTTCTTATTGTAAACCTGGCCATGCTTCCACCATGGTATATGGGTGGTTCTTCCCTCCTGAGGAGTCCTCACCTTCTTGCAACCTCTGCCTCCTGTTTGAATCCCAGCTTTTATGCAGAGATGGGCTAACTCTAGTACCACGAGGTGCTGCAGCATGTCTAGTGGCCTAGATCCTTGGGTTCGTGGTTTCACTCACGTCAACCACAGAAAACAAAGGTCTGAAAAGAGTCCCTGTTAAGAGATTGAGCACTAGGTAATAATCCTAAGTACTTGCTTAGGATCCTAAGTATTGCTTAGGATGGTGGATGGGTGAGAGAAGACAAAGAGTATTCACAGTAGGGCTTCATTTCTACCCTCTTCCCATTTAGGGTGCACAGAAAGCTGAGGGTGTGCAAATCTTCTCACTGGCTTCCCAGGTGACTGGCCATGACTGCGTATCAGTGTCCATTAGACCTGGGGCAGCGTAAGATGTGATCAGCAGCCTACCTTCCCACAGTACCAGCGGCAGCAAAAAAAAAACAAAAAAAAACAAAAAAAAAAAACAAAAACCAACAAACAAAACAAACAAATAAAATAAAAAAAGAAGAAGAACAGGGCTTTTGAGGCTGTTTTGAACCAGTTTTTGTCCCAGGCACTTTGCAAATATTGTTTCTTTTAATTCTTATAAGAATCCACTAGGGTTGGTATTGGTCACCAGCATTAGAAGTAGATGGTGGTGAGCTCTGTACTTTCGGTGCAATTTTTCTGTATACCTAAAACTGCTCTAAAATAAAGTGTATTAAATGATAAGTATTAAAAAATTGAGAAGGCTGCGTGGAGTGATTGGATGGCACCAACGGACAAAGCTCTGACACCACCCAACTGCGTGGTCTGGGCAGGCTGGCCAAGACCCAGACCACGGAGATGGGGCAAAGGCTTAGATCCAACACTGATGATTCCAAAGCCCCCTTTTTTTCTTCTTCATGAAATAGTGACTTAGAAGACCCTTGCTATGGTTTTGACGTTTCATGTTGGAACTTAATCCTCAATGCAAAAGCATGAAGAGTGGGCTTGGGGAAATAATTAGGCTCCACGAATGAGATTAGTACTCTTATAAAATGGTTTGAGGACAGTGTCACCCCTTTTGCTCTTGTACCCCTTCAAACATGTGAGAGCACAGTGTTCCTCCTTCCACCATCTGAGGACATGGTGTTCCCCCTTCCATCATGTCAGGACACAATGGTCCCCTCTTCTGTCACGTGAGGACACAGTGTTCCTCCTTCTGCTATGTGAGTACACAGTTTTCCCCCTTCCATCATGTGAAGACACAGTGTTCCCCACTTTTACCATGTGACAACATGGTGTTCCTCCTTCCACCATGTGAGGACAAGGTGTTTTTGCCACCACCATGTGAGGACACGGCATTCCCTGCTTCTACCAGGTGAGGACATGGTGTTTCTCCTTCTACCATATGAGGACATGGTGTTCCTGCCTTCCACCATGTGAGGACATGGTATCGCCCCTTCCACCATGTGAGGACACAGTGTTCCTGCCTTCTATTGTGTGAGGAAATGGTATTGCCCCTTCTACCATGTGAGGACACAGTGTTGCCCGCTTCCATAATGTGAGGACATGGTGTTCCCACCTTCCGCCATGTAAGGGCACTGTGTTCCCACCTTCCATCATGCGAGGACATACTGTTCTCCCCTTTCACCACTGAGTGCAGTGTTTCCCCCTCTGCCATGTGATGATGACACAATAAGATGCCATCTATGGAGCTGAAGGTGAGCTGAAGAGACCCTGAATCTGCCTTACCAGATGCTGAATCTATGGTGACTTTATATTAGACTTAGCCTCCAGACTGTGAGAAACATATTTCTATTACATACAAATCGCTCAGTGATTTACACATCTAAGGTATCTTGTTATAGTAGCCAAATAGACTAAGACACCCTTGGAATCCTGGAGTATTCAGATGTGAGTATCCTCCTGTTGTCAATCTCCCAAGGATCCTGGCCTCCTGACTGAGGTGCCTCAACTCAGGCTGAGCTCCTTGGTGCTGGAACAACTAACGATTGAAAGAGAAATTACCCCTTAAGTGGCAGTAGGGCCCTGATTGGGTAGAAGACATGGCATAAGGGACATTACACTCAAATGCAGACGAGACATTCAGAGTGGTCTTTATCTAAGGCTCCCCCCATCCATGGTCCATGTCAGAGATAGCATCATCCACATCCTCGAATAACCTTCAGCTGATGAAATTTTTGTTCATAATGTCATTCAGTAGGTTTTACATGAGTCTCTCATTTAAAGTTTCTACAATTCTGTAAGGCATAAACCTCCATCACTGTGCACATGGTGAAACTAAAATCCAGAGAAGTCATGCAATTTCTCTTCAGTGTAAGTGATGGAGTCATGATTTGCATCCAAAATGAACCATAATTTTGCTCATATTTGACTCCTTCTTATTTATTCCAGATGCCCAACCAGCCAGTTTGTTCCATTGGAACAAAGTCATAAAGTGTCTTGTATTCCATCTTCCTCTCATTATTTCAGTTTTTTTCACCTTCACCTATGCCATTTTACATTTCACCAGCGATGTGTGAGGGTATCTTCAAATCCTGCCCAACTCTTGTTATTGTCCATTTCTTTGATTATTGCCTTCTGAGTGTGTGTGAAGTGGTAACACATTGTGCTTTTTATTTTCATTTCCCAAATGAAATGAAAATCCCAAATACTAATATTGTTGAACATCTTTTCATGTGTTTTCATGTGCACATTAACCATTGGTATAACTTTTTTTTTTTTTTAATCTGTCTTGAATTCTCTTCTGTCATGCATTGCCCCCACCACTCCATTGAAACTGCTCAGGTCCAGGTCAGCAGGAAACTCCATGTTGCTAAATCCAGTGGTCAATGTTCAGTCCCCATCTTTGTCGATGTCTCAGCAGCAATTAACATATCCTTCCTTGAGACTGTCTTCACCTTGCAATCAACACTCACCATTCTTTTCCTCCTACTTAGGGGCTGCTCCTTTGTTTCCTTTACCAGTTTCTGTCTTATCTCTCTAACATCTCTATTCAGGAATATCCCCAGGTGATCTGTCTTCATTACCCACTTTCATTTTCTTTCTGAGATTGTAGCTATGCAGTAATCCCTGAACCATATGACAATATTACCTTACACGGCAAAGAGAACTTCGCAGATGTGATCAAGTTGAAGAGCCTTGAGATGTAGATTATCTTAGATTATCTGGGTGGGCTCAGTATAATCACATGAGTCCTAAAAGGTGGAAGAAGAAGAGAAATAAAAGTAGGCCAGGGACATATAAGGTGAGGACTTGTCCCACTGTTGGTGGCCTTGAAGATGGAGTAAGGGGCCCTCAAGCCAAGGAAATGTGGTAAGCTCTAGAAGCTAAGAAAGGATCTCAGTTTACAGCCAGCAGGAAAATGAGGATCTCAGTCTTATAAGCTCAAAGAGATAAATTCTGGCAATAGCCAGGATGAGCAGGAAATAGATTCTCCCCAGGAATCTCCAGAAAGGAACATAGCCTAGTGACACATTGATTGTATTCCAAATAGGCTTGTTCCAGACTTCTGACCTCCAGTGTGGTAAGATAATAAATTTGTTCTGTTCTGCCTGCCTAAGTTAGTGCCGATTTATTAAGATGAAAACAGAAAACTTATTAGTTTTCTAATAAAGTTGTCATACTGTCTCAAGGTTTTAAATACATTTGCTACTCTGAAATTTACAGCCAGATCCCTCCTATGGATGCCACATTGTGAATATCTAACTCCTTACTTGACAGCTCCAGTAGGATGTATAACAGGAATCTCCAGCTTTACTTTCAAACAACCCAAATATGCTTCCCACACAGTCTTCCTATTCTAATAAATGTCACATCGATTACTCCATTTGTGGCAGCCACAAAATCTTGGTGCCATCCTTGACTTTGTTCTTTTTCTCACACCCTACAATCAGTCAGTGAACAATATCTTGTTATTCAATGTATATTTTTATGGTATAACTGTTTGCCACTTAACCATATGACCTCCATCTCTCACCTGGATTATTACAGTAGACCCACAGTATCCCTGTGCCTATTTTTAGCCTCCTAATGTTTAGTTTCAAAATAGCGGCAAATGATCTTTACAAAACATCAGTTCCGTCACATTATTCCTCAGCTCAGAACTTTCCCGTGGCTCCCACTTTACCTGCAAGGCCCTGCACCGTCTGACCTCATAGCCCATGCTCCCCTCTTTCCTCAATCTACTCTAAGACACTGGGGTTTTTTCTATTTCCTTCAACAGACCAGGCATGCTCCTGCCTCAAGGCCTTTGATTGTGCCTAGAATTCTCTTCCTCCAGGTGTTTGCCTGTCTCATTTCCTGTCCTATTTCAGGTCTTTGCAGGAATGCTCTCTACTCAGTTGAGTCTACCTTGGCCCTCCTTCCCCATTTCAAACTGCATCCTCCTCCTGGTTCCCCGCTCTTTCTCCTTCCTTCCTGCTCTACCTCCCTCAGCACCACTTATCACCAGGAAGTGAGGCAGGGTGCATTTTATCCAGCTGCCCTTCAATGACAAATATGCAAAGAAGGCCTCAACGAAGCAAAAATTGACAAATGGGATCTAATTTAACTAAAGAGCTTCTGCACAGCAAATGAAACTATCATCAGAGAGAACACACAACCTACGAACTGGGAGAAAATTTTTGCAATCTATCCATCTGACAAAGGTCTAATATCCAGAATCTATAAGGAACTTAAGCAAATTTATAAGAAAAAAAGCAACCCCATTAAAAAGTGGGAAAAGTGTATGAACAGTCACTTCTTAAAAAAACACACACGTGGCCAACAAACATATGAAAAAAAGCTCAACATTGTTGATCATTAGGGAAATGCAGATCAAAACGACAATGAGATATTGTCTCAGACCAGTCAGAATGGTGATCATTAAAAAGTCAAGAAAAAACAGATGCTGGCAAGGTTGCAGAGAAACAGGGATGCTTTTACACTTTTGATGGGAATGTAAATTAGTTCGACCATTGTGGAAGACAGTGTGGCAATTCCTCAAAGACATAGAACAGGAAGTACCATTTCACCCAGCAATCACATTACTGGGTATATACCCAAAGGAATATAAATCATTCTATTATAAAGATACATGCATGCATATGTTTATTGCAGCACTATTCACAATAACAAAGACATGGAATCTACACAAATGCCCATCAGTGATAGACTGGATAAAGAAACTGTGGTACATATACACCATGGAATACTATGCAGCCATGAAAAGGAACAACATTGGGCATCTGGCAAGATGGCTGAATAGGAAAAGCATTGGTCTACAGCTTCCAGTGAGACCAATGCAGAAGGCAGGTGATTTCTGCATTTGCAACTGAGGTACTCAGTTCATCTCATTGGGACTGGATGGACAACGACTGCTGCCCATGGAGGTGAGCAGAAGCATGGTGGGGTGTTGCCTCACCATGGAAGTGCAAGGGGCCAGGGCCCTCCCTCCCCCAGCCAAGGGAAGGTGTGAGGGACTGTGCTATCTGGCCCAAACAGTATGCTTTTCCCATGGTTTTTGCAACCCGCAGACCAAGAGATATCCTCATGTGCCTACATCACCAGGGCTCTGGATTTCAAGCACGATATTGGGCGGCTGTTTGGACAGTCACCATGCTAGCTGCAGGAGTTTTTTTTCTCATACCCCAGCAGTGCCTGGAATCCCAGCGAGACAGGACTGTTCACTCCCCTGGAAAGGGGGCTGAAGCCAGGGAGCCAAGTGGTCTTGCTCAGTGGGTCCCACTCCCATGGAGCCCAGCAAGCTAAGAACCACTGACTTGAAATTCTCACTGGCAGCACAGCAGTCTAAAGTCAAACTGGGATGATCGAGTTTGGTGAGGGGAGGGGCGTCCGCCATTACTGTGGCTTGAGTAGGCAGTTTTCCCCTGACAGCATTAAGGAGACTGAGAAATTCGGACTGGGTGGAACTCACCACAGTGCAGCAAAGTGGCTGTGGCTAGACTGCCTCTCTAGATTCCTCCTCACTGGGCAGGACATCTCTGGAAGAAAGACAGCAGCCCTAGTCAGGGGCTTATAGATAAAACTCCCATCTCCATTGCACAGAGACACTAGGGGAAGGAGCTGCTGTAGGTGAAGCTTTAGCAGACCTAAATGTCTCTACCTGCTGGCTCTGAAGAGAGCCACGGATCTCCCAGCACAGCGCTCAAGCTCTGCTAAGGGACACACTGCCACCTCAAGTAGGTCCCTGACCCGGGTGCCTCCTGACTGGGAGACACCCCTCAGCAGGGGTCAACAGACACTTCATACAGGAGAGTGCCAGCTAGCATCACGTGGGTGCACCTCTGGAACAAAGCTTCCAGAGGAAGGAGCAGGCAGCAATCTTTGCTTTTCTGCAACCTCCACTTCAGGCAAACAGGGTCTGGAGTAGACCTCCAGCAAATTCCAGCAGACCTGCAGAAGAGGGGCCTGACTGTTAGAAGAAAAACTAACAAACAGAAAGCAATAACATCAACATCAACATCAACTAAAAGCAACCCCCAAAAAACCCCCCTCTAAAGGTCATCAGCCTCAAAGATCAAAGTTAGATAAATCCACAAAGATGAGGAAAAATCAGCAAAAAAAGGCTAAAAATTCCAAAAACCAGAATGCCTCTTCTCCTCCAAATGATTGTAACTCCTCTCCAGCAAAGGCACTAAACTGAATGGAGAATGAGTTTGACAAATTAACAGGAGTAGGCTTTAGAAGGTGGGTAATAACAAACTCCTCTGAGCTAAAGGAGCATGTTCTCACTCAATTTAAGGAAGCTAAGAACTTTGATAAAAGGTTACAGGAACTGCTAAATAGAATAACCAGTTTAGAGAAGAACATAAATGACCTGATGGGGCTGAAAAACACAGCACGTGAACTTCATGAAACATACACAAGTATCAAAAGCTGAATCAATCAAGCAAAAGAAAGGATATCAGAGATTGAAGATCAACTAACTGAAATAAGGTGGGAAGACAAGATTAGAGAAAAAAGAATAAAAAGGAATGAACAGGGCCTCCAAGAAATATGGGACTATGTGAAAAGGCCAAACCTACGATGGACTGGTGTACCTGAAAGTGACAGGGAGAATGGAACCAAGTTGGACAACACACTTCAGGATATCATGCAGGTGCACTTCCCCAACCTAGCAATACAGACCAACATTCAAATTCAGAAAATATAGAGAACACAACGAAGATATTTCTTGAGAAGAGAAGCCCCAAGACACATAATCACCAGACTGGTTGAAACAAAGGAAAAAAATGTTAAGCGCAGCCAGAGAGAAAGGTAGGTTATCTGCAAATGAACCCCATCAGACTAACAGCAATCTCTCTGCAGAAACCCTACAAGCCAGAAGAGAGTGGGGGCCAATATTCAACACTCTTAAAGAAAAAAATTTTCACCCCAGAATTTCATATCCGCCAAACTAAGCTTCATAAGCAAAGGAGAAATAAAATCCTTAACAGACAAGCAAATGCTGAGGGATTTTGCCACCACCAGGCCTGCCTTACAAGAGCTCCTGAAGGAAGCAGTAAATATGGAAAGGAAAAACCAGTACCAGCTACTGCAAAAACACACCAAAATATAAAGACCAATGACACTATGAAGAAACTGGCTCAACTAATGTGCAAAATAACCAGCTAGCACCATGATGACAGGGTCAAATTCACACATAACAATATTAACCTTAAATGTAAGTGGGCCAAATGCCCCAGTGCTAAATGCCCAATTAAAAGACACAGACAGGCAAATTGGATAAAGAGTCAAGACTCATTGGTGTGCTGTATTTAGGAGACCCATGTGACACACATAGGTTCAAAGTAACGTGATGGAGAAATACTTGCCAAGCAAATGGAAAACAACAACAACAAAAAAGGCAGGGGTTGCAATCCTAGTCTCTGATAAAACAGACTTTTAGCCAAGAAAGATAAGAAAAAAAAAAAGAAGAAGGGTATTACATAATGGTAAAGGAATCAATGCAACAAGAAGAACTAACTATCCTAAAAATATAGGCACCCAATACAGGAGCACCCAGATTCATAAAACAAGTTCCTAGAGACTGTCAAAGAGACTTAGACTCCCATACAGTAATAGTGGGGAACTTTAACACCCCACTGAAATACAATTTAGAAATAAAAAACAGAACACAGCAATACAGGCAGCAGAGATTACAAAAAGAATGCTAATACTATAAATAACTCAGGGTAATATACTTGAACAGTTTAGTGAATAATTTTCTAGAAAAATATAACCTACTAATACAGTCCCAAGAAGAAATATAACCACAAAGTACTATTATTTTAAAAATTACAAATTACACGTCTACCTGAGGAAGAACAAGACCAAAGCAGACCCAAACAGTTACAGAAGTAAATTAATTCAATTCACTCAGCAGTTTTTACTTGAACATCTATGAGGGTAGAGGTAATGTTCATCAAATGATTTCCTTTGTATTTTCCTGGCCACATTGGAAGATTACATTCTCTCCAGACTCTTCTGCAGTTTGGTGAACTATGTGATTGAATTTTGATCAATGGAATGTGGTTTCTTAAGATCCAGGGTCAGACACAAAAGAAATGCCTGACTTTCCTTGTCCCAGTGGCTTCAAGCAAAGGACTCCTGTGTGGTATTGTCAGGTAATGGAAGGAGCCTGTGTGCCAAGTCACTGCTTGAACGTAAACTGCCAGGGAGAGCTGCTCAATGTAACAGAAATGATGTAATTAGGAAATAAATTCTTATTTTCTAAAATTCCAAGATTCCAGGGTGGTTGTTATAGCAAGTAGTGTAAACTATCCTACAGATACACCTGCATTTGATATCCTTCTAGGATTTTGGGATACATCAGTGCTCACAACAGAGAGCACCTGCTCTCCTAGAATATATATTCTAGTTGAGGAGGTGACAGATAGATAAAATTTCATGTAATAAAAATATACAGTATGTAAAAAGTGTGAGTCGTTATGGAAAAAATAAAATTAGAGCAAGGTAAGGAGGATCAGGAATTCTGGGAGTGAGGGGAGGACTGGCACATTGCTCTTTGAAACAGAAACCAAGGAGGCCTCACTGAGAAGGTGAGATTTTCAGAGTAGAAGGAGGTGAGAGAGTCGGTCATACTCACTCCCACCAACGTTCAAGCAACAGATAAACCAAATCTCATACAAACTATTAAGAAGAATGAGAAAGAAGGAATATTCTGCAATGCATTTGATGAAGTTTGTTTAAAATTGCTACAAAATCCAGTACAACAGGAAAGGAAGAGAAAGGAAAATGATAGTTCAATCTCACTTATGAACATAGAGATAACAATGGTAAACAAAATACTAAGAAACCAAGTCTAGTAATGTTTAGATATTTAAAAAAAACCAAAAAAACAAAAACAAAAACCAGCCCCCAAACCAAATTGGATTCATCCTTGGAATCAAAGAATGGTTTAACATTGGAAAGACCTATTTGTGAACCCCAGTACATTAATTAGCAAGCAGGTTTAAAGAGATGAGTCGCATATTATCTCGTTATAACTAAAGTGTTTGTGTGGTTCATTGTCATTGTTAGAAAGGAATAATACCTGAGGCTGGTTAATTTATAAAGAAAAGAGCTTTATTTATGGCTCATAATTCTGCAGGCTGTACAGAAGCATGGCAGTGGCATCTGCTCCTGGTGAAGCCTCAGGAAGCTTCCAATCATGGTGGAAGGTAAAGAGGAGCTAGAATGTTACATGGTGAGAGAGGGAGCAAGACGGGTGAGGGAGACGCCACACTGTTAAACAAGCAGATCTCACATGACCTCAGAGCAAGAACTCACTCATTACTGCAAGAAGGACACCAAGCCATTCATGAGGAATCCACCCCCATGACCCAAACACCTTCTACTAGGCCCACCTCCAACATTGCAGGTCACATTTCAACATGAGGGGACAAAATGTCCAAACTACATCAATACAACTAAATTTCCACTTAGAAAAAAACTCATAGAAATCCAGGAACGGATGCATTGTTAGTGGAAGTGTTTTGAGATGCCCCTGGGACATGTCCTGAAAGGAAGAGGCTGCCCTTATTTGATTCCCCGTCCTGCTGCTTAGGGTGGTGTGATGAGTGGAGTCCAGGCTGTCATTTTTGACAGAGAAGCCAGGAATTCAGGACAGTAATGCACAAGACACTTGGGTTTCAGTGCTGTTGCTATGTCCTGTTATAATACCCTTTAATCTATACAAAATCATCTGTACCCTGGCTAGCTTTCTTACTGAATAACTTTTAACCTACTAATAATATTTAAATGAACCTCATTGGTTTCTGAAACGTATAGGTTACTTGTAAATTTTTTTGTTAGGCTGGAAGATGATCTTTGGCATTTTCCCCTTTCCTACATGCTGTGGAGGAAAAGTTAAATACACAATTGAAAGTGGACACAAACAATGGTCACCAACAGGTGTGTAAGCCCCTTGATGCATTCATCCAGCACTGTTCCAGAGGAATCTCTATTTCAATCTATTCCTATATGTTAGTTATTGAAAAACAACAGACAATTACAAAACCAAGTTGACCTTTTTGTGTTCCTTGAGCCCAGTCTCAAGGGGCCCTCATGACTGGGCCTCATGCCGAACAACTTACAAAAAGACCTAGGGTCCCAGGCCACACCAAAGCTTCATGAAACCTCTCCTTGTTCTGTGCACAGATGGGTGGCTGACTCTGGAGCCCAGGCTATTGCTTCCCCATCTGGTGATGATTCCTCTATAATCTGGTGAATATATATTTATATCTTTTTCCTTCTTCCCTTCCCATTGCAATTATCTTATTATATCATTTGCTTATTAAATCCGTATTGCCATATACTTGGGATAAAGGCTGTTTACCCTTAAAGGTATTGTGTGTGTCTTTTCTTTCCCCTTTGCATGTTTCCTGCACAGAACATTTTTTGGTGTCATGAACAGGATTCAAAAATAAAAGTATGTCATTTTTTAGCCGAAAGAACAGAGCTGGAGGCTCAAGGACTTCCCATATCCCGGATGGGAACTCCCCTAGTTCTCCCCTCTGGGCGATTATATGGTCCAGGGGAACTGGCCTTTGTGAAAACTGGGAATCTAAATTAGTGCATTATAAACCACTGGCTGTGCATGAGGCACTGCAGGGAATCCCAGTTGGTAAAGGGGACACTGAGGGAATTTCCTGGTGGGGATGGGGCTTGCTTACTCCTTATAAGTTAATATATCAAGGTAGGGACTGGTTGCTACAAGAGAAATGTAAGCTGGAAAAGGAAAATGCTAATCTGACTTGCAGACTGGTCCTGACCCAATGCCAGACCTATGTCTTGACTCATCAGCCTCAAAGCTATCAGCTTATTGCTGAAAAAAAGCAGCTGTCCGAGTTGCCAGGTCAGGGTAAAACTGAAGAATTAGTTAGCCGGGACTTGGAGCAGATAAAAACCCAGCTCCTATCTCAAGAATGGGAAATTAACCCTAGTAAAATTCAAGGACCTGCACAAACTGTAAAGTTCCTTGGCATCCTATGGAATGCAGGGAAACAGTCAATTTTACCAAAGACTAAGGCTAAAATACTAGATTTGCAACACCTACCACTAAAAAGGAGGCCCAAAATTTATTGGCTTGTTTGGATTCTGGAGACATCATATTTCCCACTTGAGTAACATTTTACAAGCTCTTCATGCAGTCACTCTATAGAAAACACTATGGCTTTCACTGGGGAAAGAAAGAGAACATGGCTTTGAACAAGCTAAACAAGCGGTGCAACTGGCCCTGGATCTATGGCCCTTACAGGATGGGCCGTAACTGCAAGTAACTGTCCTAGATCAACACGCTGATTGGAGCCCTTGGCAAAAACAAGATGGGAAGAGGGTGCCTTGGGGTTTTGGATCTGGAAGCTGCCAGAGGCCGGCAAAGCTTATAACCCTTCTGAAAAGCAACTGTTAGCTTGCTGTTGGGCTTTGCTGGAAACAGAGCACCTCTGCTTCAACCATGATGTCTTTATGAGGCCTGAAATTCTTATTATGACTTGGGTCATGAGCTCCCCCAAAACCCATTGAACAGGGCACGCTCAAAAAAGTAGCTTTATAAAACGGAAATGGTATATACAAGATAGGGCTAAGCCAGGACCAAAGGGGGTATTGTTTTTACAAAATTTGCCAACTCAGGAAACCACTGAGCAAGTCCTGCAGATGGGGATCTTTCCCCATCCAATGGGAAAAATACTTTAAAGAACTAAGCCCAAAGGATCAGAAACATTTTTGGTTTATTGATGGATCCACCAAATATGTTGGTGGGACCCAATGCTAGAAGGCCATGGCTTATAATCCTGTTAAAAAAAATACGCATTTCTGATGAAGAAAGGGGTGGGAGCAACCAGCTGGCTGAATTGGTAGCCATCCTCTGAGCTATTCAGGAGGAGGCCAGAGGGATTTTTCACTTGTATACCAACTCTTGGTCAGTAGCAAATGGTCTTACTGCCTGGATTGGCAGTAAACAAAACAAATGATTAACTGGGAATAAAGAGGTTTGGGGAAAACAATACTAGGAATACTAGGAAGATATCTAAATCCTGGGGCACACCACCATTATCACTGTTTTCCATATTGATGCTCATGCATCTCTGCTTTCTCTTAGAAGACTGTTTAATCACAGGCAGATCAACAGGCCAAAATTGCCACCACAACTGCAAACTTGAATGCGGATGAATGGATTACAACACGTTCAAGCCTTGCAGTGAGAGGCATTACAGTGTATGATGGTATAATTGATAGTGATTACTGGGGAGAGTTAAAAATCATACAATACTACCTCAGATTCTTTTGCCATAAAGCTGCACATGCAGATTGCCCAGCTACTGGTAGCACCCTGTCAGCAGTTTACCCCAGAGGAAATTTCTGCCCCAATAGAAACAACATATACAACTGGAGATTTGGGTCCACCGGAGTGGGCTTAAGTCCTGGGACTTAAGTGGACATTTAAGTCCTGGGGCCAAAGTATGGGTAAAGCACCCAACAGATCCCGCCCCCTAGGGCTGGTGATCTTATAGCTATGGGGGCAGAAAATGAAGAGGTAATACAATTTTCTAAAGAAGAAGGAAAAAAAAATCATGTTTCTCTCTGTTTTTGTTACTACAGAGAATAACCTGTCTGCTAGTAATGACTACCTAGAGAGTCATGTCTGAGGACGAAAACGAGTTCATCAACTGAGTAACCACTGCTGGCTAAGAGTTGAATTGCGAGAGGCTGCAGGAAATGGACTACCCTGGAGAGTCATCCCTGCCAACATTTCCGAATGGCTATGTCACTACCAATGGGGCCACAAAAACAACACTTGCAATCCAACCCGGACATCCTTTGACCAAACCAAGCAATCTATCTTTGCCCAAGTCAGGTGAAAGGTGAACTCCACCCTTTTGATGCCTTGCATCAAAAGCTTTGTTATGCTGCCCAATATGCCTGGAAAGGCTTATACTGGGAGCCTGCTGTGCTGGTAGCTGGACTCCATATAGCCCCACTTTGTTTGGAGGCCTTAAATGGCTCCTCCAATGCCACTCTGGGGTTTCTCCCACCAGACAATTGTCAATTGTCAATTTCTCCCCCAGTGAAACACAATCTCTTTCCTACTTTAGTAACACCATATACACTATAATTACAGTAAAACCATTGCTGTCTCCTGGGGGCCCTCTGGGTATGCGGATCCTATGGGTGGTGATACCTGCCCCGACATTGGATGGAGACATGCACTTAGGGGTGGCCATTAATTGCATTCACGGTCCAGGATAATATCCCCCTCCCCAGTAATCTAGATGCTTACAAACCTCGCTGGTTACAAATGCACTGGACTCCCTGGTGGTGGTACCCTATCACAGTATTCTCCCCTGCCACTGGTATAATCCTGCTACAACAACAAATTAAAATATTAAGCTTACATGTAGAAAAAGCTCTTAATGATAGTAGCACTGGGCTTATGTTTTTATTGGATGAATTTGCTCAGCTTCATACTGTTGTGTTACAAAATTGAATGGCATTACCTATGCTTACCACAGCCCAAGGAGGGGTTTGCACCTTACTGCATACTGAATGTTGTGTGTATATTCCTGATGATTCTCACAATATTACTGTCCTTGCCCAAGATATGCAAAAACAAGTAAAACAGTTAGAATCTAACCATCAGCACCCCATCTTGGACTGGCTGTCTAACTGGCATTGGCATTGGCCGTGGTAGGTATAGTTTTTTATTAATTATGTCTTTAATCCTCCTGTGCTTGCCCTGTATCTGTAATCTATAACAACTATGCCTTCCCATGTATCTGTAAGGGTATTTTCCTACAATTGAGTATCAAATTGAGGCCAAATGTGGAGGAAAAGTTAAATACTAAATTTGAACTCAATTGAACATGGACACAAACAAAAGTCATCAAGTTCCAGAACAGGTTGTATGAGCCCCTTGATGCATTCATTCAGCACTGTTTCAGAGGAATCTCTATTTCAATCTATTCCTATACCTTAGTTATTGAAAAACAACAGACAATCACAAAAACAAGTTGACCTTTTTGTGTTCCTTGATCCCAGTCGCAAAGGGCCCTCATGACTGGGCCTCATGCCGAACAACTCGTTACAAGAAGAGCTAGGGTCCCAGGCTGTGTCAAAGCTTCATGAGCCCTCTCCTTGTCTGTGCACGGATGAGTGACCGACTCTGGAGCCCAGGCTGTTGCTTCCCAGTCTGGTGATGAATCTTCCATAGTCTGGTGAGTGTAGTGGTCAACTCTGGAGCCCAGGCTGCTGCTTTTTGGGCTGATAATGAATCCTCCATAGTCTGGTGAGTGTAGTGTCCAACTCTGGAGCCCAGGCTGTTGCTTTCCAGTCTGGTGATGAATCCTCCATAATCTGTTGAATGTAAATATGTAGATATCTTTTCCCTTTTCCCCTTCTCATTGCAATTTGCTTATTATATCATTTGCTTACTGTATCATTTGTTTACTATATCATTTGCTTATTATATCTGTATTGCTATTCACTTGGGATAAAGGTGACAAAGCAGGAGCATCACCATCATGAACAAGCACCTCATTTTAAAATTCACCTTAAACAAAAACTGCCTAAATCCAAAGGGCATCAGTCTAATGGCTAAGATCAACATGATCATAAACAACAAATAACATCTCCAACCAAAAACATTTCAAACTCTTCCTCAACCAGAGACATGCTAGTCCCAAGATAACCCCACTCTGGCCAGGAAGATGTCAGTCCCCAAATAACCCCACTCCTGCTGGAAAGATGTCTGCCCCAAAATAACCTCCCCTCCTTCCAGAGACATTCCAACCCCTCTATAAAACTTCTCCCTCACACAAAAACATTCCAAGCTTGCAATAAGCCCCTTCACCCTAAAACCAATATATACTCTTAGTCTGTAAAAAAACAAAAGCACTCAAAACCAAAAATCAGCCAGACACCCCTCTCATGTTTTATCTAAAGTAAACCTGTCTTTAACTGTCAGCTGCATTTTGTGTTTCTTTCCTCTTTCTTTAAGTCTTACATTTGGTGCTGAAACCTGGGACGGGTGCTGATGGCAGAGGCTCTCTTGCAACCCAGGAAGCAATAGGCAATGGCAGCTCATCCTAAGTTAAGTCCTGGATCCTGAGGGTCTCTGGCCATCTGCCTCATCTTTTCTCTCACTTCACTTTTCAAGCAATTTGGGTGAGGAGGACAACTAATCTAAAGGGGACTGTGAGGCTCTGGCCGGGGCTACTCCCCAGCGAGTTCTCTAAACCCTCAAATCTCAGGAATCCACCTCTAACCACCCACAATGGGTATTTCACTCTCTCCCCTCCTCCTCCTTATCTTCCCTTCTCCTTCTTTCTCTCTTTCTCTCTTCCTTGTGCAGCTCCAGCCTGAAGGACCCTTTGCCGATTCTAACCAGAACACCCAACATCAGACATTAATCCAGCTGAATAATAAGATCTGCCCTCCCCTGGCTTTATCTCAGTACCTGGGAAAGTCAGATCTGCTGTCCCAGTCCTTGAAGGACCAGTGGGACTAAGCTAGAGGAAATCTGGGGGGACACCCAATTTCTTCTCAGCTTGACTGTCCTCTTTAGAGAAAGGATTTCGAGTCTCTGTCTTTTGTCTGGGGATGCCTAAAACAAAAAGAGACACCCTCAGCTTCTTCTCACAAGTCCACATGGGTGCCAAACAATCCCACATTCCTATACCCTCTCCACTGTGCTGTCTCCTTCACAACCTCACCAAACTTGGCTTAAGCATTTAGTCTTTTATTACAACACAGCCCAACCCCAATACACATTAGATAATGACAGCCGATGGCCCAAAAATGGCACCTTTAACTTGCAAATTCTCAGGAACCTTGACAACTTTATAACCAGGAATGGCAAATGGCAAGAGGTTCTCTATGTTCAGGCTTTCTTCTACTTCTACCTTAAATCCCATCCCTCACTGTGTCAAGCTTCCAGCTCTCATAAAATCTTTCTTAATAAAAACCCTCCCCAGGTCTCTCTCTCCTCCAAAACTCCTTTTAACTCATTCTTCCTTTCCAGGAAGTGGCTGGGGCTGAATACATTGCTTGCGTTCATGTCCCTTTCTCCATGTCTGATTTGTCGCAGATCAAAGTTGTAAGTATATTCAAAGGCCTTTATGTTTTTCTCTTCACCAATCTTGTTTTCCTGGAAAAGGTTTTTTCCCAGTTAACTGAATTACTTTTCTCCACTCTGTCTTGCCACTATTTTGCATGTATAAAAAACCCTAAAATGACTTCTGGTGGCCTGGGACTTCTTGGGAAAACAGAAAAGTCACCACAAATCCCATTTGGGAAAAAATCTGTTTTCCTTATGGAACCCCTGGAATTAAAGGTAAATAAGTACCTCTCAAAATTTGTCTTTGTCTTCCAGCTGTACTTGTTTGGCCCTAAAAACTGTTTTCCTGGCCCCGTTCTTAAAGGGCCTCACCCAAAGGCCAAAATCCAATTGGGAAATTAGCAAAAGAAAGATCTTATAACTACCGAATCTTCTTCTGGTTGTCTGTGTGGCTATATATGTGTTAGGTATGCAATATCTACTTAAAATGATTTAATTAATAGGCCTAAGAACAATACACTTAAATCAAAAAATTTTAAGGAAAAGGTAAAAGCTGTGATCATTCAGTTCACGTGACTTTAATTTTTTAAACTTACTGGTATAGTAAAATTAGAAATGTCTTAAAAGTTGCCAGCATGCATTTTTGTTTGCATTTTTAATCAAGCAATTTCATACTTATCTCTGCCAAATACTATAAGGTGTCAAAATTTGGCAAAAAGGCTACAAAACTATAACTCAGCCCAAAAAATAATCTTTGCATGTGTAATTTTTTAATAAATAAAACATTAATATTGGTTTAATGAAAATAGCTACATCTTAAACTATTTAGTAAAATACCCTAGCTTCTAATCTTGTGGCCTTAGGCAGTCTAGTCCACAGACATGAAAGGAGAGTTGTGGCAGGTGGAGGTACTCTATCTAGGAAGATGGAAATTACTGCAAGTTCTCCAATATTGACGGGTGTTAAGCTAATCTGTTTATTGACCCTACTGTGTGGAAATTTTGAAAGTCGGAGGGCAAAGATGACTATGAGAAGCCAGTCCACCAAATGCCTAAGGTGACTGAGGTTCCCTCAATTTACTCATGATAAGAATTGACAAAAGGGCATGGGTCTCTTGGCACAATTGGGTGAGGACCTAAACATAGGCACATGAGTGTGTAAAATAGTTAGGCAGTGGAGAAGACAATGTCTGGGTCTTCTGACCATGGATGAAAATTAGAATGCTTGAAAAGACTTCATGTAAAGTGGATGCAACTCTTGGAGGAGGTAACAAGAAAACCCTCTGTTGACTAGCCCTATTGCGGTCAACAAGCAGTTGGTGCTCTAGGCTTGATAAAATTTAGGTTTACCCCTTCTGTCATGTAGCATTTTCAAAGGTTTCTTGGAGCTCCCTCCCTCCGTATGCTGAGGATCTGCCACCTACCTTCTCACAGGTAATGCAATCAGGGTGGCCATTTTTTTTTCTATTTGGTCCCTGGTTCTTTGATGCAGCTTGGGGATGCACTGGACAGGTACCTGACTCATACCTGGGAAACTCAAAGAGGGAGTTGCTGCTGAAACAGCCTATGGCTGCAGAGTCAGGACTGCCAGTGGGGAAACTTGCATCCCTATTGAGGACTCAAATGCACATGCATCAAACTCTCTGAATGGTCTCACTGACACCCCTCTCACCAGGCTTGAGATGAGGGACAGGCACCGTGGGTGGGAGGGGATTCATGGCATAGCTTTCTCCAAATGAATTATCTTCCTCTTATTTTCAAATCTTAACTGTTTATGCTACCAGTATAAATGAGAGCTTACGAGTCTTATAACTAGTTTCCAGAAATGGCTTTGCAGATTTTGCACGTGGAAATTATTCCCCAAGAGGGTTCATTGTACCCTCCAAGTGCTTCAGGGTTTGTGAAGTATTTGAGGATAAGTGTGAAGAACAAATGAAAATAAGTCCAGCTGTGTGGTTTGGGCAAAGTGTACAGATAATGGGAGAGCTGAGAGGCTTGGCTATGTGTCCTTCTCTAAATCTGGGGCTTCCACAGTATTTGACTTTGTGTAACTGTTTCACTTCTCCAAGCTTCAGTTTCTTTGGCTGCAAAATGCCCTGTCTGCCTAGCAGGGTGCTCTGAAACTATTGAGATCATAGACAAAGAACGTACTCTTCAAATGCAATAATAATTTTGTTCCCTTTTTTCCCCAACCCTGGCTGAGTCACCAACCATCACAGCAGACTGGTGCAACATCACCATGGAGGGCAAGGCCCTAGGGACCGCAAAGGATTTGAATGTGACCTGGGAGAGCAAGGGCCTCCCCAAGAAGCTGGAGCAGAGTGGGATATCGAGATCAGCCGCCAACCCCTGGACCCTGACTGTGAGCCTGCCTGAGTTGATGCAGCTCAATGCCAGCCTTATCTGTGTGGTCAGAAACTTCAAGGACCAGAAAACTGTCACCTCAGATTTTGGAGGAGTCTGTTGGGCTTAACATAATGCCAAAATATGAGTGTGCCCAGTTCTGAGGACACTTCTTTCCCAGGAGATTGGGGGTGCAGTGTGTTGTTGCTCACCATCTCCAGAAATATCCAACCTTCCCAGCCCCCAAGACCATAAGAGGTGGGGAGATCCAGAGACACCATAGTTGGTACATGTGCCAAAAAACTGCAGAAGGAGACAAATCAGGTACTTACCTCTACTCGGCTCTGAATAGCCATTGCATAAATGAGGAGTCATATTCGTAAGGATTGACCTCCAGATAAAAACTAATATCAGTTGAGGAAGATACAGGATGGCAGGTTTGGACTCATTATATTAAAAGAGCTTTCTATAGTTTGAGTCATCCAAAAAAGGAATAGAAGCTTTGGGACACAGTGAGATTCCTGTCAGTGGTGAAGCATATATATATACACAGGCACAGCCACTTGGTAGGGGTGTTAGAAGTGCAGGAGGAAGTAGGACTCCTGGTGAATTTCCTTCCAGTGACCCATTCCTAGATTTTAAGAAATCCTTGTATTGGTAGTCAGGTTTTCTAGAGAAACAGAACCGATAGTATACACACACACACACACACAAACCACATTTTCAGAATTGGCTCATGTGACTGTGGAGGCTTGGTGAATTCAAAATATGTTATGGGAGGCCATGAGGCTGGAGAATCAGGAAATACTTGAAGTTTGAGTCTAAAGGCAGAGTGCTAGAAAACCAGGAAGGGGCAGTGTTGCAGATAAAGTCTGAAGGCAATCTCCTAGGGAAGTTTTCTTGCTCAGGGTGGTCAGCCTTTTGTTCTATCAAGGGCTTCAGTTGACTGAATGAGGCCTCCCAACATTATGAAGGACAATCTGCTCTATTCAGTCTATTGATTTAAATGTTAATCTCATTCCCAAACATCCACACTGAAACAGTCAAAATAATGCATGACCATAAATCTGGGCACAATGACCCAGAAAATTTGATGAGACTTTATTTCATCTTTCTGTGGTTTGTCAATTTTCCAAGACACAATAAACCTTTCTATCTTCTGCCAAGCTTTAAAACATATTTGTTGGCACAGAAACTAGCAATTCTTTAGAGGCTTAAAGCAATTCACCAGTAATAGGACACCTCTCTAAGCAAGGCTGCAAGAGCTCTCTGATCTACAGAAATGCTAATCCTGAAGAGGAAGGAAAAACAAGCCAGGCAGTTTGTGGTAGTAATAAAGGTGGAGTTAAAAATGTATTTAAATAATATAAAGTTAAAAACTTTTACATATAATGTATCCAGTTGGTTCTTACTCTGCTACAAAGAAATACCCAAAAGTGTGTAATTTATAAGGAAAAGAAGTTTAATTGACTCACAGTTCCACATGGCTGGGAAAGCCTCAGGAAACTTACAATCATGGCAGAAGGTGATGGGGAAGGAAGGCACCTTCCTCACAAGGCAGCAGAAAAAAGAAGTGCTGAGGAAAGGGGAAAAAGCTCCTAATAGAACCATCAGATCTTGTGAAAACTCATTCACTATCACAAGAACAGCATGGGCATAACTGCCCCCATCATTCAATTACCTTCCACCAGGTTTCTCCTATGACATGTGGGGATTATGGAAACTCCAATTCAAGATGACGTTTGGGTGGGGTCACAGCCAAACCATATAATTCTGCCTCTGGCTTCTCTCAATTCTCATGTCCTCACATTTCAAAACACAGTCATGCCTTTTCAATAGTCCTGGAAAGTCTTAGCTCATTCCAGCATCAACCCAAAAGTCCAAGTCCAAAGTTTCATCTGATACAAGGCAAGTCCCTTGTGCCTGTGAGCCTGTAAAGTCAAAAAGAAGTAGTTACTTCCTAAATACAAAGTGGGTACAGGCATCGGGTAAATACACCCATTTCAAATTGGAGAAATAGGCCAAAACAAAGGGGCTACGGGCCACATGGAAGTTCAAAATCCAATAGGGCAGTCATTAAACAATAAAGTTCAAAAATGATCTCCTTTAACTCCATGTCTCCTATCCAGGTCACACTGATGCAAGAGGTGAGCTCTTGCAGCCTTGGGTAGCTCCATTCGTGTAGCTTTGCAGGGTACAATCTCACTCTCACTTCCTTTCACAGCTGGCATTGAGTGTCTGTGGCTTTTCCAGGCACTCAGCTCAAGTTGTCGGTGGATCTACCATTATGGGGTCTGTAGGATGGGGGCTGTCTTCTCACAGCTCCACTAGGCACTGCTCCAGTGGTGACTCTGTGTGGGGGCTCCAACCCCACATTTCTCTTTTGCACTGCCCTAGCAGAGGTTCTTCATGAGGTCTGAAACCCTGCAGCAGACTTCTGCCTGAACATCCAGGCATTTTCATACATCCTGTGAAATCTAGGTGGAGGTTCCCAAAACTCAATTCTTGTCTTCTGTACACTTGCAGGTGCAACACCACGTTGAAGCTACCAAGGCTTGGGGCTTGTGCCCTCTGAAACAAGGGTCTGAGCTGTACCCTGGCCCTTTTTAGCCACAGCTGGAGTGGCTGGGATGCAGGGCACCATATTCCAAGGCTGCGCAGAGCAGGGGTGCCCAGGGCTTGGCCCAGGAAACTTTTTTCTCCTAGGTCTCCATGTTTGTGATGGGAGGGTCTGCCTTGAAGGCCTCTGACATGCCCTGGAGGCATTTTCCTCATTGTTTTGGTGATTAACATTTAGCTCTTTATTACTTATGCAAATTTCTGCAGTTGGCTTGAGTTTCTCCTTAGAAAATGGATTTTTCTTTTCTGTCATATCACCAGACTGCAAATTTTTCAAATTTTTATGCCATGCTTCCCGTTGAAGACTTTGCCACCTAAAAAATTTCTTCTGGGAGATACCATAAATCATCTCTCTCAAATTCAAAGTTTCAAAGATCTCTGGGGAGGGGCAAAATGCCACCAGTCTCTGCTAAAGCATTGCAAAAGTGACCTTTATTCCAGTTCCCAACAAGTTCCTCATCTCCATCTGAGACCACTTCAACCTGGACTTTATTGTCCATATCACTATCAGCATTTTGGTCAAAGCCATTCAACAAGTCTTTAGGAAGTTCCAAACTTTTCCCCATTTTTCCATCTTCTTCTGAGCCTCCCAAACTGTTCCAACCTCTGCCTGTTATCCAGTACCAAAGTCACTTCCACATTTTTCCGTATCCTTATAGCAGTGCCACATTCCCTCAATGCCAACTGACTATATTAGTTTTTTCTCATACTGCTATGAAGAAGTACCTGAGACTGAGTAATTTATAAAGAAAAGAGGTTTAGTTGACTCACAGTTTTGCATAGCTGGGAAAGCCTCAGGAAACTTACAATCATGACAAAAGGTGATGGGAAAGAAAGGCACCTACTTCACAAGGAGGAAAGAAGGAGAAGTGCTGAGCAAAGTGGAAAAAAGCCCCTGATAAAACCATCAGATCTTGTGAGAACTCACTCACTATCATAAGAACAGCATGGGGGTAACCACCCCCATGATTCCATTACCTCCCAATGGGTCCCTCTCATGATGACATATGGGTAGGGACACAGCAAAACCATATCACATAACGTAAAATTTTATCCATTTTTCTAACATTGCCTTCCTATCATCACACTGTAAAACAAACTAGTTTCCTCTTAACTCATCAATGACACCTAAACTCCTTTTCCTCATGCTGTATCTACTTTCCCTATGTCTGTCTAGAACTCATAGAACTCATAATGGCAGCAACTTTCTTCTCCAGCTCCCTGCAGCAGATGCAGGGACACTGCAGGCTCTCTTACCTTTCCTGCCAATGAAGCAAAGGTGGCCTCACCTCCCTGGTAAATGTGCCCTTAATGCAGCCAAGACTGCCCTGGCTCAGGATTCCCAGCCTCCTCACCACCAAAGGGCCATTTCCAACCAAATATGCTGCATTTGTACATCATAAAGGAGTGCCCTTGTCTTTTCGTTCTCCAAAGACATCAGAACCTGAACAGCACACCTGCCCCAAGACCAAACTGAGGGTCAGGCTGCTTATTCTCACAGCCAAATAATGAGATGCAGATGGACTGGGAAAGGAGGATGTTTATTTCTGTAACCCGGTACAGGCAGAAGGTCTGGAAATTATCCCCAGACCAACTCAAAATTACAAAGTTTTCCAGAGCTTATATACCTTCTGAACTACATGTCTACATGTAAATGTCCATTCATTTAAAGACATAAGTGATTGACTTCTTCTAATCTATAACTAAGATCTGAGTCCTGAAGACCTTCCTCTGGAGCCTCAGTAAATTTTCTTAATCTAAATGGAAGCAGATGTGGAGTGATTACACTTACTTCATCTCCTGCTAAGACATGGAGCTTTGAGGAGTTTCTTCAGACCCCCAATAAACTTGTTTGTAGAGGCCTGGGGACTTTCTTCAGATGAAACCTGTTTAATCCTAAATGGGTCCTGTTAAGAATTCCTTCATTATCTTGTCAGGCTTCAAGGCCCAGGAAAGGCCTAGGCAAAACTCTTGGTGACCTTTTGTTACATTCCAGTCTTTGTATAAGGGCACTGACTCTTTCAGCTTTTAATAATTAACTTAACCAGTCAGTACTAAAACAGTTGTTATGGAGGCCTACATTAGGGAGACCTGGCCTGCCATAATCTCCACTGTCAATTTGCGCATGATTTCTATCATGCTTGTATATTTATTTATCATAAGAATCATAGGGAGATGGGGCATCATAATGTTTCTAGCTACTTCCTGCTGAGAGGGGGTAATTGTTATGGGGCACCGAATGCAGCATTGGAGTGGAAAAGGTCAATTTGTTGCCAGTTGTACTCTCTATTTTGGGGGCTTAGGAGCAGCATCTGCTGAAACATAACAGTATGCAACAGCAACACATATAAGTAGATTGCTGCTGTTTTCTTCTGAAGTTTAAGTTATCTAGTCTTCAGTTTTCAGGGCTTTAAGAAGGCACAGCTTAGGCTGCAGTGATTTCCAATTAGGAAAAATGGGAACAAAAAAAAAAAGAAAAAGACAAAAACTGAAAGCACTTTTTGGAGATTTGTAGCCAGGAAAATTAGAATTTAATCCAAACTGCACAAAATAATAAAAATTGAGAAAACATTAGGCAAGATGAGAATCTAACAAAGGTTAGTGTACTATAGTTTTTGAAACATTATTTTACTCTCAAATTTCCAATTGTTACTAAAGACAAATTATGGTAGGCCTGATTTGCTTTATTATAATTGGTCAGATTGTTTGAGTAAAGTGCAGCAAGAATAATTATTTTTCACATAAGCCTTTTAAATTGGCTTTGATGGAACTTTGTTCCATGGAAGGAATCTAAGATGAGACCTTTTAAGGCCAAGCCTAGCCATGGATTTGTACCATCAAATATCTATGAGTTGGGTGAATTCCTCTCCTCTTGAAATTCTAAGATAACTTGGGGCTCCTGGCCTGTCAGAAAGTGACATTCTTTACTTACACAAATCAGGAACCTTGTACATGGACTGTGTAGACAAGGTATGAGGCTTTCCCAATGGGCTTTTATTGGCTCTATAAGTCCAGTTTGATTCCTTAAAGAAAAGCACATCATTCCCGTCAAAGCCTTGGTAAAAATAACCCGTTTTTCCAATTGTGTCCTGTTATAAATGTAAACAGGTTCTTATGGCACTTATGCAAGTAACTATATTGCCATAAGTTAAGCATATTCATAATAGTTTACAAATTCTGGAGAAATCAAGTAGAGATAAAAAAAAGCTCCAAATATTGTTCCTAAGGGTCCACTTTACATAATTGTTAAAAGCTGTCAAGAGTGTAAAAGGTTTTTTTACTCTAAAAGCAAAACAGCAACGTTTTAAGCAAAAAGTCAAAAAGATTATTTCAGTCTCCCATTCGTTCAGCTCATGCAGTTAATTCCTGTCCTGCTTCATATTAATGAACATTTTATCTCTCCAAGGGTCCTGAACATTTTTCCTCTATTCTGATGTCACAATCTCCAAAGTGATAAGAAACCTGCATTCAAGAGCACCTGTTAGAGCTTTATAGTTGATTATAAAACCAGCTTCTAAAGAGGACCAAAACAAGACAACAATTGTTGATGGGTGACAAAAAGTCTTAGGGTGGCCATAGTCAAAGACACAGTTGACAATCTGTTACCTCTGTGACACACAATAATTTAACATAAAAATTATAATTATTACTGATAATGTACACTGAGATATCAGAATTATAGGAGTTTCCCATAACTTTGGTACACATACCAGTAACATATTTATACAAATATAACCCAAAGTAAGCCAAACACCATTTTATATTTGACAATGCTTTTTGTATGATTTTTGTACCACATAAGTGAAAATTCACCTTTACATTAGTGTACTATTAATGTTAAACCCAATTCTTAATAAAACCTTATAGACATATCTACCCAATTTTAATGTTTGATCATAAGGTAAGATTCTCATAAACCTTTTATAATCTTTTACTATTTTTGTTGAAGAGGAGTTTAGTGTTCTAAGAGAAACCTGTTGTGCTTTTATTTCAGTGTTCAATTTACAGAAAAGCTGGGTAATATCCCTTTAAATTTAGCCAATATGTTCACACACAATTTATTTTACAATTAATTTTCTCATAAACCTTCCACAACTTGCTTAAACCTTCAGCTTTATTTTATTTAAAACAATCCTTTAATCTTTTAGACAAAAAAATCGACATTCTCACGCATTATTATAATCTTTTTTTTACCAAAAGTATATTTTTTTACACAACTTGCATGTAAAATTGTCTCTTCAGTAGTCTCAAATACATGTTACACTGTTAGCTCTTAGCAAATTTTACTTCTAGTGAAAACTTTGGTAAGTTTGGGATTTTAATTATGTAACAGGTGTGGGGCCTAGGACCTAGACAGAAGTGCAGATAAGGTTTGACTTTTTCTAGCATCTAACTCCATGTGTCCCAGGCCTTACCTAGCTGTAAAGCAGACAAGTTGTACAGTTAAGAGTCATAGTTGCCTTTTATGAAGCATTTAGGAGGCCTAATTACCTTTAAATGGTACAATGTTTTTGTATAAATTCCCTTTCATAAATTCTTTCAGGACTTTCATCCCTCTTTCTAACCATACCTCTTTCTAAAACAACCAGTCATTTTATTCTAGGACTAAATTTCCCATACAAGATTCTCTTTTATGTAAAGTCATTTTTCTTCAAGCTTTTTACCAAAAATAACTGTTTTTATAACTTTATATCTCTCATATTTTCTGGTTCCCTTTACCTTGTTTTATGTATAACTAAATAAGCTTTGAATTCGACAAAAAGTATTTACCCTTTAAAAGGATAGTTTTTATAAAGAATGTTTTCCTATATTTTTATTGGAAAATACCCAAATAATATCTATTGTTTAACTTAATGTAACTTTAGATTTCAGATTATGACAAGTTTGTCTATAAGTATTTATCCCATTACATTTACCTAATTATTTGTTTACCTAGATTATTCAGGAAAACTGTGATAGTTGTTATTTAATGTTATAAAACTGCCATTGCAAAAGTATTACTGAGACAGTGAAAAAGACTTCTTGCTTCTGACCTCCAAGCTATTCTTATTAAGGTAGTTTATAGTTTAGCTTTGAAACAAAGATGATAACAAAACAAACCTCCTTCACCCCTGTGAACTAGACTGCCTAAAGCCACAAGACTAGAAGTTATGGTATTTTGCTAAATAATTCGAGATGTAGCTATTGTGTCCGGAATTGGTGGGTTCTTGGTCTCACTGACTTCAAGAATGAAGCCGCGGACCCTTGCGGTGAGTATTACAGCTCTTAAAAGTGGCGTGTCTTAAGTTTGTTCCTTCTGATGTTCGGATGTGTTCGGAGTTTCTTCCTTCTGGTGGGTTCATGGTCTTGCTGGCTCAGGAGTGAAGCTGAGGACCTTGGCGGTGAGTGTTACAGCTCTTAAGGCGGCGCGTCTGGAGTTGCTCCTTCCTCCTGGTGGGTTTGTGGTCTCGCTGGCTTCACGAGTGAAGCTGCAGACCTTCGCGGTGAGTATTACACTTTATAAAGGCAGTGTGGACCCAAAGAGCAACAGAACAAACCTTCCGCACCGTGGAAGGGAACCCTACCAGGTTACCACTGCTGGCTCGCGCAGCCTGCTTTTATTCTCTTATCTGGCCACACCCACATCGTGCTGATTGGTCCATTTTACAGAGAGCCCAGGGGTCTGTTTTGACAGGGTGCTGATTGATGCGTTTACAATCCCTGAGCTAGACACAAAGGTTCTCCAAGTCCCCACTAGATTAGCTAGATACAGAGTGTAGACACAAAGGTTCTCCAAGTCCCCACCAGAGTAGCTAGATACAGAGTGTCGATTGGTGCATTCACAAACCCTGAGCTAGACACAGGGTGCTGATTGGTGTGTTTACAAACCTTGAGCTAGATACAGAGTGCCAATTGGTGTATTTACAATCCCCTAGCTAGACATAAAGGTTCTCCAAGTCCCGACCAGTCAGGAGCCCAGCTGGCTTCACCCAGTGGATCTCCCACGGGGGCTACAGGTGGAGCTGCCTGCCAGTCCCGCGCCATGCGCCCACACTCCTCAGCCCTTGGGTGGTTGATGGGACTGGGCGCCATGGAGCAGGGGGCTGCACTCATCTGGGAGGCTGGGGCTGCACAGGAGCCCACGGAGTGGGGGGAGGCTCAGGCATGGCCGGCTTCAGGTCCCCAGCCCTGCCCCGCGGGAAGGCAGCTAAGGCCCGGCGAGAAATTGAGCGCAGCGGCTGTGGGCCGGCACTGCTGGGGGACCCAGCACACCCTCCGCAGCCGCTGGCCCGGGTGCTAAGCTCCTCATTGCCCAGGGCGGCAGGGCCAGCCGCCGCTCCGAGTGCGGGGCTCGCCAAGCCCACGCCCACCCGGAAATCCAGCTGGCCCGCAAGCGCCCCGTGCAGCCCCGGTTGCCGCTCGCGCCTCTCCCTCCACACCTCCCTGCAAGCTGAGGGAGCCGGCTCCGGCCTTGGCCAGCCCAGAAAGGGGCTCCCACAGTGCAGCGGCGGGCTGAGGGGCTCCTCAAGCGCCGCCAAAGTGGGAGCCCAGGCAGAGGAGGCGCCGAGAGCGAGTGAGGGCTGTGAGGACTGCCAGCATGCTGTCACCTTTCACTATCTTCACTAAACCATATTGGTGTTTTATTTACTAAAAATTACACAAGCAAAGATCATTCTCTTTTGGTCTGAGTTTTAAGTTTTGTATACTCTATGCCAAATTTTGACACCTTATAGTATCTGTCAGTGATAAGCATGAAATTGCTTGATCAATAAATGCAAAGAAAAATGTATCCTGGCAAATCTTCAGGCATTTCTAATGTTACTTTACCAATATTTTTAAGGCTCACTTATTTATCAAAGATTTTACTTGAGTCACGTAAACACGAAAAAGCATTTGAATAGTCTCCTTTTTTCTGTTAAAGCACTTAAGAACTTTTAATTTTCTTAAGCCAATTAATTAGAGTTCTTTTATATATTTTCAGTAGTAAAACACTGTGTACACAACACATAAATACATAGATGTATTAAGCATGTCAATAACAGTACATCTTATAGATTCATAATATCTCATTTTTTCCTATCTTAGATTTGCAAACTCTTGATAACCTGGTTTATTACCCTGGCAGTTGTCAGATAAGTAGCCCTAAATCTGCATATTGAAAAAAAAAACTCTTAGGTGAAAAATCAAATAGCAAAACCTTAGGTTTTCAAGATGGGAAAATTATTATGAGGCTGGATCATGTGATGCTTTTACAGTGCACTTAAAAATTTTTTTCCCCAAACAAAGACATTTCTAAGTGTCTAAACTACACTTTTTCTTAAAAACCCAGGAGTACCTTCTGTTGCAATAGCTATTAATGAACAAAACAGAATTCAGTCAACTAAGAAGAAAAAACTTCTGCTCAAAAAAAAAAAGACAAGGTCCTAGAAGAGAAAAAAACAGAAACAAAACATGAAGGCCTTTTAAATACAAGCACACATACACACATTTTGGATGACAGCTTTTAATTAAGCTGACTCTTAACCATTGAGCTCCTAAAAAAGTCTTTTTCCTTCCCAGAGGGCTCCCAGCAGGAATAGACCCAATATCTTCCATTTTTAAGCTTACATGGTATCAAAAGGGACAAGAGAGATACACAAATGAGTGAAGACAGATTTCAGATAAACACAAGGTTGTGTGCACTCAGGCAGAGCAGACTCAAAACCAACTTAAAACCTGATTTTAACCAAAATGCAAGGTGGGTGTATGAGTGAGCCCTATTGCTTCCCTAGTGGTACCAGGCAAATGGCTTAACAAGCCCAGATAGAAAAACAATAGGCTCCCAGCATACAATCCAGTTAAATCAACCTTTGAGTGCTCCTGATTTCCTTTCTTTCCCAGTAGTGAAGCGGATGTGCAGTTTCATGGACAAGGTAGCCCTCAAGAGGGTCCTCGGAAAAATCTTACCTGGCAGCTGCTGGGATGCTCCTGAAGACTGTCTCTTTGCAGGCTGCTAGCCACTGAATGCAGCACCATCCCAGTGGCTACTGGCTGCCTTGCCAAATTGTTTCCCAGACCAAACCAAGGGTTGGTCTACTTATTCTTGTGGCCCGATAATGAGATGAAGGTCAATTGGGAAAGGATGGTGTTTGTTTCTGTAACTGGGTTCAAGGAGAAGATCTGAAAATTATCCCCAGACCAACTCAAAATTACAGTTTTCCAGAGCTTATATACCTTCTAAGCTATATGTCTATGTGAAAGTGTGCATTCATCTAAAAACATAAGTGATTAACTTCTTCTAATCTATAACTAAAATCTGAGTGCTGAAGACCCTTCTCTGGAGACTTAGTAAATTTGCTTAATCTAAATGGGTCCAGGTGCTGGAGTTATTACCCTTATTTTGTCACCTGCTAAATCAAGGAGGTTTGGGGAGTTCCTTGAGACCCCCAATAAGCTTGTTTGTGGAGACCTGGGAAGTTTCTTCAGACCCTCAATGAAACTTGTTTAATCCTAAACAGGTTCATTAAGAATTCCTTTATTATTTTGTCATGCTTCAAGGCCCAGGAAAGGCCTAGGTAAAACACTTGGTGGGGTTTTGTTACATTGCAGCCTTTGTATAAGGGCACTGACTCTTTCAGCTTTTAATAGTTAACTTAACCACTCAGTCAGTGCTGAAGTAGTTGTTATGGAGGCCTGCATTAGTGAGACCTGGCCTGCCACACACCTGGTAGTCAGGGCCCAGCTAGCCCACCCCCACCCAAATGATCTCTCTTTCCAGGGACCTCACCACTCACTGAGGAGGAGGCTGATAAATCCCTAGAGCTGGGAAGCCAAGCAGAGGGGCTGGTCCTTAGTGCAGGGCCTTAAAGCAGGCTGCCTGCCACTTGTTCAGCTGCAGAGGAAACAGCAGAGGGGCACAAGGTAAGAAAAAAAGAAAACCTTGAGCATTGGAGTCCTTACACATTCTTCCAGGATGAAACTAGCAGTTGTTGACAAAAAAAAAAAAAAAGCCCAATTCTATTCTAAGCCAAATGTGAAGACCATGACCCATGACACAGCCTCAGGAACTCCTGAAAACAATGCCCAAGGTGTTTGGATTATAGCTTGATTTTACACATTTTAGGGGAACAGAAGTTACAGGTCGACATCAATATATGTGAGGTAGACATTGGTTTGGTCCAGAAAGGTGGGACAACTCAAAGCAAGGGCTTACAGGCCATAGGTGGAGTCAAAGATTTTCTGATTGACAATTGGTTGAAAGAATTAAATTATTATCTGAAAACCTGAAAACAATAGAAAGGAGTAGATACTTTTTAAGAAAAGAAGTTGTGGAGACCAAAGTTCTTATTATATTGAGGAAGTCTCGTAGGTGGCCCCTCTTAGAGGCAATAGATGGCAAATGTTCCTGTTCCGACCTTTAAAAGGTGACAGACTCTCAGCTTATCTCATCAGGACCAGCAAAACACCTGGAAAGGGAAGGCATTCTCTACATAATGTAAATTTCCCTCACAAGGAACAGCTTTGCAGGGCCATTTCAAAAAACATAAAAGAAATGGTAAAATATTTTTATTTATTTCAAGCCCTGCTGTCATTTTCTGATGGTTTTTATTTGTACAAAGAGTCAGTTTTGTCACTCTTAAGATATCTGTTTTAATATTAATGCCTGTTAGTTGTGCCTGAATTCCCAAGGGAGAGAAGTACAATAAAGCATATCTGACCCCTGCTTCCAATTATGCCCTAACCTAGTTTTTCAGGGTTTTTGTTTTTTGTTTTTTTTGGAATCGTCTTGGCTGAAAGGTATGGGGGGTCTATTCAGTCTTTTGGGGGCTTAGAATTTTAATTTGGCTTACACAGGTTAATTCTTGTTTGACCTCTGACTAGTAAGTTAGTTCTGTGGTGACAGCCCACCATTTTAAAGAAAGCTCTTTCTGCTTATTCCAGCACCTGCAGTACATACTTTGTAGGTAACTATAGAATAGATGTGGAAACAACCTCACTCTATGATGTTCCTGGCACTGCACTGAACAGCCCCCTCTTTCTGGGCAGCCAGGTGGTGTTCTCACACACACTTGCCCCAATTTGCCAGCTTTCCTGGTGATATAGTCCAGCTGTTTCCGCACCCAAAATCTCATCTTGAATTCTAATCCCCGTAAATCCTATAATCTCCATGTGTCAAGGGAGAAACCAGGTGGAGGTTTCTTGGGGGTGGGGTGGTTTCCCCTATGCTGTTCTCTTGATAGTGAATAAGTTCTCACAAGATCTGATGGTTTTATAACTGTTTGAAGAATTTCTCCTTCAATCCTTCTCCATCCTGCCTCCTTGTGAAGAAGGTGCCTGCTTCACCTTGCCTTTGGTCATAAATGTAAGTTTCCTGAGGCCTCCCCAGCCATGTGGAACTGTGAGTCAATTAAACATCTTTCCTTTATAAATTATCCTGTCTTGGGAAGTTCTTCATAGCAGTATGAAAATGGACCAATATACCTGGATTCACAGCTCTGCCCCAGGAAACCCTGGTCACCAGTGTCAGCCTGTGGTCAGACATAAAAGTCACATTCTTACAGCAAGGCTGGGCTAGGCCTCTTTTTTATTTTTTTATTTTTTTTTTGGCTTTCCTTTGTCTCTGTGTTACCATAAAAGGGTTCCAGATCCAGACCCCAAGAGAGGGTTCTTGGATCTCGCACAAGAAAGAATTTGAAGTGAATCCATAGAGTAAAATGAAAGCATGTTCATTAAGAAAGTAAAAGAATAAAGAAGGGCTCCTCCATAGGCAGAGCAGCCACGAGTGCTGATGGTTGCCCATTTTTATAATTGTATGCTAAACAAGGGTAGATTATTCATGCCTCCCATTTTTAGACCATATAAGATAACCTCCTGATGTTGCCATGGCATTTGTAAACTATCATGGTCCTGGTGGGAGTGTAGCAGTGAGGACAAACAGAGGTCACTCTTATCACTGTCATGATTTTGATGGGTTTTAGCTGACTTCTTTACTGCAGTCTGCTTTATCAGCAAGGTCTTTATTACCTGCATCTTGTGCTGACCTCCAGTGTCATCCTGTGATTTAGAATGCCTAACCTACTGGGAACACAGCTCAGCAGGTCTTAGCCTTATTTTACCCAGCCCCTATTCAAGATGGAATTGCTCTTGTTCAAATGCTTCTGACACCTGCCCTAATTAATGAGTTGAATTTCTTTTCTGGTTTTCCGTAAACTTCAACAGTCAGTTGCCTACGTAACAAGCTGTGGGCCAAGGAACAAAGCTCTTTGTGGGAAGTGTTAACTCCCCAATATCCCAAAGTGTTCATTGAATGCAGGCCCCAGGGAACAGCAACTTCGTGGGCATGTTTGTTAAGAGACAATGAGGGAAGGATGATATTCCAGGTACACTCCACCAAAAAAAAGGGAAGAAAGCCTCAGACGTACATGCATATAGCTTCCTAAACACACTGCGTGTGTCAGTTCCAAAGAGCAAGGAGAGCACTGCCCGTGCAGAAAGCCCACCCTAGGAGAAAGAGGCAAGCCTATAAAGTCCCAGGATGGAGGTTAAAGGCCCCTTTTTGCTCCCTTTTTCTTTCTTGGAACTTCAGGTGCCCACTTGGGTCTCTTCCAAGTGAATTTTGCTTTCTTTTCTGTTCTAAAGCCTTTTTCAATAAACTTCACTCCTACTCTGAAACTTGCCTCAGTCTCTTTATGCCACTCCGTCAAATTCTTTCTCCTGAGGAGGCAAGTACTGAAGTTGCTACCACCGCTAACTCCGGGTAACTGGGATTTCTGCCACCCACTAACAGTGCTTGCTGGTAATGTTTTGGGGGAATTAAAGGAAGACAGATCTGTATCTGCAGCAGCAGAGTATGTGTGTGGTGGGGGGTAGAGGGGGATATGCCAGATAGGAGAGAAATGTGGATTAAGATGTGATAGAGTCTAGGAAGAATAGGTTTGCAGGACTTAGTGATCCTGAGAATCTAAATCTCTGGAGTTCAGAGAAGTTCTGGGAAAGGCTCTGGACATCTCTGTCACATATGATGGGTAGTCATGTCTATTTTATTTGAAACCAAAACCAAAACGAATGCCAGAAGAGTACTGCGTTACATGAAGAATGTAATTACTGAATATTTGCTACATCTTGTGGCTTTATATGCATTACTTAGATTAATCCACAACACACATTAAATCAATTCTCAAAATAACCTTGTTGTCTAAGCATTACATGCACCTTCCAGGTGATACAGCATCCTAGATATCCAGAGAGATTAAATAACTCACTCAAGTACACATCTATGATAAGGGGCAGGGTGCTCACAGCTGTCAATGAAACCATCTTCACAGGGTTAATAAGAATGACATTAATCAGGTGTACTTTGGCCCACTTCCTTGTAACTGAAAGTCATGTAGCTCTAGATACGGACCATTTGCATCGTCACTTTTCCTATAGATAGGATCACTGTTGTTAGAATCATAAGGCTTTCCTTTAAGAATTGTTTAAGATGTTTTCCAGATCCTGAATTCCAGCTGACACAAACCAGTTTTAGGAATCCCGCAGGGACATTAAATTGGCATGAGAATGCAGTTTTTTCATTTCCCCATCCCACGATTTTGTCTTGCATTCTTAGAGCAATCAATGATCTTCATGCCATGGCCCATTCCAATCCCCTTAAAATTCCTATCCCCGAACTCCTCAGGGAGGTGTATTTGAGGTTTGCTCCTATCTCCTCATTCAGCAGCCTTATAGTTAAAACTCTTGGCCAGGTGCGGTGGCTCACGCCCGTAATCCTAGCACTTCGGGAGGCTGAGGTGGGCGGATCATGAGGCCAGGAGATCGAGACCATCCTGGCTAACACAGTGAAACCCCCGTCTCTACTAAAAATACAAAAAATTTTGGTTTATAGTGGCAAACTGCACATACTGTTCTACATTCATGCCATCCAGCATGGCACCCACTATAGACACCACTGAGCTGATTTGTTTTTACCTTCTTCAACAAAAGTGGCACCCTCCCAAAAGGGAATGCACCTTCTCATCTTGAAACCATTAAGCAAGCCATTCATTAAGCAAGCAGATCTTTACTTTTTTTTTTTTTCTTTTCTTGAGACAGAGTCTCACTTTGTCACTCAGGCTGGAGTATAGTGGCTTGATCTCAGCTCACTGCAACCTCTGCCTCCTGGACTCAAGCTGTCCTTCCATCTCAGCCTCCTGCATAGCTGGGACTACAGGTATGAACTACTATGCTCAGATAATTTTTATATTTTTGTGTAGAGATGGGATTTTATCAAATTTCCCAGGCTGGTCTCAAACTCCTGGGCTCAAGCAATCTGCTCTCCTAAGCCTCCCAAAGTGCTGGCATTTGAGTTGTGAGCCACCATGCCTGGATTTTAATCAGATCTTTATTGAATGATAAAAGTGTTCATTGAATGCAGGCCCCAGGGAACAGCAGCTTCCTGGGCATGTAGATTCTAGCACCTCCTCAAGGGTTTCCAAATGTGGCTCCTGTGGAAAAGAACCTACCTGCACACGAGTACTCATGATGTTACAGTAGGTAGTCAGGCAGACAGGAGCAGGGCAGGAGAGGATTCCGCTAACCAGGAATGTTAGGTGACCATCATGTGACGGTGAGGCAGCTGTTACATTGACTCTCTAAAATAATAATTGGTCACAACTGGCACCAGAGAAAGGCAGTATCCCAATAGATAGGAAAAACCTATAATTGGTGATAAGCAGCTTCCCATTAAGATCACAGGAGTTGGGTGAGTGGGCTCAAGCATATGCAGTAAGAGGCAAAATGGTGGAGTTTGGCTGGTATATGACCTTCTAGGAACATTCAACCTGGAAGGGAAGAATTCCTCAAGTGAGCATGTGTACACCTCCAGTAAACACACTGTGCATGCGACCCCTCCCAAGTGCTGACAGGCTAGTGGGCATGTAGAGAGCCCACCCCAAGAGAAGAATCAGGGGAGAAGGAACACAAGACCCCAGAAGCATGCCAATGTATAAAACTCCAAGTCAGAGGTCAAACTGGGCATTTGGATCTCTCAAGTCACCTGCTTGGACCCTTTCCAAATGTACTTTACTTTCTTTCATTCTGCTCTAAAGTTTTTAGCAATTTTTCCTCCTGCTCTAAAACTTGCCTTGGTCACACACTCTGCCTTGTGCCCTGTGGTCAGATTCTTTCTTCTGAGGAGGCAAGAACTGAGGTTGCTGCACACCTGTACAGATTTGCCACTGCTAACAAACAGAGCTTAATCTCTAGTCCCTGTCTTCTCCCCAGAGGTTGGCATAGGGGTAGAGTTAAAATTGCCAACCCTCTAATCACATGCATGGTTTCTCAAGCAACCAGTCACTATCCTGAAGTTCTGTAGGGACCTGCCAAGAGTCAACGCATTAGTGTACACTCAGATACGGTCAAAAGGGGTTCGTGTGAATAATAAAGACATTCCTATTCCTCAGAAAATTCTAAGGGTTTGGAAGCTCCTGGCAAATTATAAACCTGGGGTTGATCCAAGTGTCCATCTCTGCACAACACTCATGCTGCCTGACACAATCATCAACATCTCAGGTGACACCATTATAAATTCACGCAGCCTAGTCTCAAGCAAACTTTAACACCACTCAGCAATTTTATGTGCATGACAGCTATTGAAAGATAATATAAATTAATAATAGTGCTTATTGAATGCTCCCTATGTGCCAGACTCTTCTAAGCATTCTGCAGGTTTTAACTCATTTAATCCTCATAAACACTGTATAAAATAGGTATCATTATCCCCAGTTAGAAAATAGAAACAAGAGACATAAGAACACTAAGTCATTTGCTCAAGTTCACACAGCTGGGAAATATCAGAACCAGGATTTAAATCCAGGTAGTTTGAATCCAGAACCCACATTTTCATCATTCTGCTGAATCCTTCTCACATTCTCCCAAACCTCTCCATATTTTTAGCAGAACATTAAACCACCTTTGCAAAAAATTGTATCACTGGGAAAATCATAACAGTAAGGTGAACTAACTCTCCCCTCTACTCTCCTGCAAAACTTGCCTTTCCCTTAACTATTGAAGACATTTTGGCTACAGTCAGGGGTTTCCAATCTTTTGGCTTCCCTTGGCCACATTGGAAGAATTATCCTGGGCCATACACAAAATACACTAACACTAACAATAGCTGAGGAGCTAAAAATAAATACTCATAACGTTTTAAGAAAGTTTACAAAATTGTGTTGGGCTGTATTCAATGTGGCTTGTGGGCCACAGGTTAGACAAGCTTGGAATGATAATAGGCCTTGCCCAACACTCAACTCAACTGCTATTGTAAAGCTAATGGGATGCCATGAGGCTGAGGGGAGGAGAGGACCTTGAGTCCTGCTAAGGTGCAGACATAAATGACTCCAGAGGTTATAAGATATGCAGCTTTTCCAATTATTCCTGCAAATAACACCAGTATTGTAGATTGATCTTTTGAGATATCTTTCCAGGTTTTTTGCATGTCTGACACCCATGGTTCCATCTGGACCACCAATCCTGCTCCTGTAGCCCCACCCATAAGCAATTCAGCCCTCAGGAGGACAGTTTTGACCCCCTATGATTTCATCTTTGTCCCAACCAATCAGCAGCAAGCACCTATTACCCTACTCCTTTACCCAAACTGCCTTTGAAAATTCCCTAACTTTTGAGCTTTGAACAAGATGATTTGAGTACAAACTCCATCTCTCACATGGCATGGCTGGCCTTGCATCTATTAAACTTTTTTTATTTACTACAATGCTGTGGTCTATCTTTATGCAGTGGGCAGGAAATACCCCTTAGGCGGTTGCAGCATCTCCATAACCTCACTCCCCAAATATCATCCTTTTTCTTCATCTTCCACGTCACAGCAATGCCTCTACACTTGCTCCAAGACACTTACTCCTTGGCCTTCCTCCACCAGCACTGCTCAGAATGCCACCAGGCAACCAGAAACCACCCAACATTTGGCACTGTTGACCCCTTTCTTTTTTTTCTTCTTGAGAACTCTTTCTCGGTTTCCCTGACATCACTCTCTGCTGGATCCCCTTCCTCCTGCTGTTCTCCTCAGGCTCTTCTGCTGCCTCCTCTTTCTCTACCTTCACCCTTCCCCTGAAGGTGCTTCTAAGGATCTTGTCATAAGCCCATTTCTTTCTCTGTCAGACAGAGGGCCTTGTTCTGCCATTCAGGCTGAAGTGCAGTGGTGTGATCATAGCTTACTGCAGTCTCAAACTCCCAGGCTCAAGCAATCCTCCTGCCTCAGCCTCCTGAGTTGCTGGGACTATAGGTGTGTGCCACCAAGCTTGGACCATTTTTTAATTTTTAATTTTATAGAGACATGGTCTTGCTATGTTGCCCAGGCTGGTCTCAAACTCCTGGGCTCAAATAATCCTCCTACATCAGTGTCCCAAAGTGCTGTGGTTGCAGTTGTAAGCTGTGCCCAGCCTTTATGTTCTTACTAGGCCATCTACTTTCCTGGCTTCAATAATCATTCCCATGCTGCTAATGCCCAAGTCTGTGTCTCCACCCATCACCCTCTGCTTAGTGTCAGACCCTGCATTCAGCTCTCTACTAGACGTCTCCACTGGCACCTCCAACTCAATGTGTCCAATGTTGCATTTTTCTTCATCTTCTAGTCTATTTCTGTGATTCCATTTTAAGGCAATGGCCCTGTATTACTCAAGATTTTCTAGAGGGACAGAAGTAATAAAATAGATAGACAGATAAAGGGGGGTCTATTCCAGAGTATTAACTCACATGATCACAAGGTCCCACAATAGGCCGTCTGCAAACTGAGGAGCAATGAAGCCAGTCCGAGTCCCAAAGCTGAAGAACTTGGAGTCTGATGTTCAAGGGCAGGAAGTATCCAGCATGGGAGAAAGATGTAGGCTGGGAGGGTAAGAAAGTCTAGCCTTTTCACGTCCTTCCTGCTTTTATTCTGGCTGCATTGGCAGCTGATTAGATTGTGCCACACATATTAAGGGTGAGTCTGCCTTTCCCAGCCCACTGACTCAAATGTTAGTCTCCTTTGGCAACACCCTTGCAGACTCACCCAGGATCAATACTTTACCTCCTCCAATCCAACCAACTTGACACTTAGTATTAACCATCCCAAGTCCACCCTTTGTCAACCTGAACCCATACACATCTCCTGACATCATACATAATCTTCAGAGACAATAAGTTCAAAATTACGCCTTACATGTACAACTATCCTTCGTAAACCAGAAATGCACCAATCCCCAACCAAAATGCTATTACATAAAGTTAACACTTAAAATGCTGACATGAAATTTATAAATCTTATGTCACATGATAAAAAGGAAAGGAAATAAAATGAAGATATTTTCTTAGTACAAGTGTATACATGTGCAAACATGTTTTTAATAAAAGAAGGAGGAAATACTCATGACAATTACAGCCCTCATTTCTGCAACTACTCACGTGGTCATAGCTGATATTGATGACTACCTTTTTCTACCATCTATTCTGTATTCCCTTTGTCTTCAGCCTGCACCTCAGCAGGTCGTGGTTTTGTTTTTTTGGGTGTTTGTTTGTTTGTTTTTGATGGAGTGAACCAAACCTTTATTCCCAAAGGGTCTGGATGATTTGTAGTCCTGCCTGGATTGGGCTGTTGTAGTTTCCCATTGACCTTAATCACAGGGCATGGTAATACTAAGAGACACCCCAAGGGATCTCCTGTATTCCATGCATACTCTTTCTTACCTCCATTGTGGAGTAGTAGACTGATTTCATCTTGATAGTCTGGTCAATCACTCTGGCCAACACTATAACTCCCTTCTTAGCCTGTTGACTTAAAGGTAAGAGGAGCCTAAAGTGTCCAGGTGGCAATCTTCCAGTTTAATGGAATCATTGTTGTGTCTCCTGGTGGCACCATTCCTCCCTCTTGGCCAGCAGAAAGTACTGTCATGGGAATGGGAAGCAAAAATTTTGCTAGTGGGTCACTAGGGGTGATGGTGAATGGTGCCACTTCCACTTCCACCCCTTCATTCCTGGACCCGTGAATCCTGGCTATGGGAGAAACAATACCATATATTGGATGCTAACTCAGAGCATACACACCCTTCTGGAGAACTTTGCTCCGGCCCTGCAAAGTATTGTCCCCCAGTTGGCATTGTAATTGTGACTTCAAAAGGCCATTCCACCGTTCTATTAATCCAGCTGCTTCAGGATGATAAGAAACATGGCAGGACCAGTGAATTCCATGAGCATGAGCCCACTGCTGCACTTCTTTAGCTGTAAAATAAGTGCCACAGAGGCAATGCTGTGTGGAATACCGTGATGATGGATAAGGCGTTCCGTCAGTCCATGGATGGCAGTCTTGGGAGAAGCATTGCATGCAGGATAGGCAAACACATATCCAGAATAAGTGCCTATTCCAGTGAAAACAAACATTTACCCTTTCCATGATGGAAGAGGTCCAATATAATCAACCTTCCACCAGGTAGCTAGCTGATCACCCTGAGTAATGGTGCCATATGGAGGGCTCCGTGTTGGTCTCCGATGTTGGTAAATTGGGTACTCAGCAGTGGCTGTAGCCAGGTAAGCCTTGGTGAATGGAAGTCCATGTTGCTGAGCCCATGCATGACCTCCATCCCTGCCACCATGATCACTTTGTTCATGGGCCCATTGGATGATGACAGAGGTGGCTGGGGCTTTCCCTGAGTGGTGTCCATAGAACAAGTCATGCTATCCACTTGATTATTACAGTCCTCCTCTGCTTAGGTCACCCTTTGGTGAACACTCACATGGAATACAAATATCTTCAAGTTTTTGACCACCCAGAGAGGTCCATCCATATACCCTTTCCCCACATTTCTTTGTCACCAATTTTCCAATCACGCTTCTTCCAACTCTCTAACCATCCAGCCAAACCATTGGCTACAGCCCATGCACATCTGGCCATTTCTCCTTCCACGCAGAGTGCACTGCTTGAAGTTTTGCCCACTGGAAAGATTTCCCTTCACCACTGTCTTTCAGGGATGTCCTAGAAAGCAGGGCTGTAGTGCTGCAGCTGTCCACTTTCGGGTGGTGCCTGCATATTGTGCAGAACCATCTGTGAATCAGGCCCTAGTCTTCTCTTTCTCTGTCAGTTGATCATAGTGAACTCCCCTTGAGGCCATTGGTGCAGGCTGGAGGAGAGAAGACAGGGTGGCAGGAGTGACCATGGCATTTGAGCCACTTCCTTATGTAACTTACTTGTGCCTTCAGGACCTCCTTCAGCCCAATCACGTATATACCACTTCCATTTGATGATGGAATGCTGCTGTGCATGACCCACTTTATGGCTACATGTGTCAGAAAGCATCCAGTTCAAGATAGGTGGTTCAGGTAGCATGATGTCTTGATGACCCATAGTCAAATGTTTAGTTTCCATCAAAGCCCCGCAACAGACCAAGAGCTGTCTCTCAAAAGGAGAGTAGTCATCTGCCAAAGATGGCAAGGCCTTACCTCAAAATCCTAGAGGCCTCTGCTGTGATTCACCTTCAGGGATCCTGCCAGAGACTCCAAACAGCATCCCTATCTGCCACGGACACCTCAAGCACCATTGGATCTTCTGGGTCATATGGTCCAAGGGGCAGAGCAGCTTGCACAGCAACCTGGACCTGTTGCAGAGCCTTCTACTGTTCTGGATCCCACTCAAAGCTGGCAGCCTTTCAGGTCACTCAATAAATGAGCCAGAATAACACACTCAAATGAGGAATGTGTTGCCTCCAAAATCCAAATAGGCCCACTAGGAATTGTGCCTCTTTCTTGGTTGCAGGAGGGGCTGAATGCAGCAAGTTATCCTTCACCTTAGAAGAAATATCTCGACAGGCCCCACACAACTGGACCCCTAGAAATTTTACTGAGGTAGAGGGTTCCTGAATTTTAGTTGAATTTATTTTCCATCCTCTGGCATGCAACTATCTCACCAATAAGTCCAGTGTATTTGCTACTTTTTGCTCACTGGATCCAACCAGCATAATGTCATGAATGTAATGCACCAATGTGATATCTTACAGAAGCAAAAAGCAATCAAGCTCTCTCCGAATAAGTTTATGACACAAAGCTGGAGAGTTGATATACCCCTGAAGTAGGACAGTAAAGGTATATTGCTGGCCTTGCTGGCTGAAGGCAAATTGTGTCTGGTGGCCCTTATGGACAGGAATGGAGAAAAAGGCATTTGCCAAGTCAATAGCTGCATACCAGGTACCAGGAGATGATGTGTTAATTTGCTCAAGCACTGAAACCACATGTGGTACAGTAGCTGCAATTGGAGTCACCACTTAGTTAAGCTTACAGTAATCCACTGTCATTCTTCAAGATCCATCTGTCTTCTGCACAGGCCAAATAGGAGAGTTGAACAGGGTTGTGGTGGGAATCACCACCTCTGTGTCTTTCAAGTCCTTGATGGTGGCACTAATCTCCATAATCCCTGCAGGGATGTAATATTGTTTTTGATTTACTGTTTTTCTAGGTAGAGCTAGCTCTAATGGTTTCCATCTGGCTTTTCCCACCATAATAGCCCTCACCCTACCAATCCGGGAGCCAATGTGGGGGTTCTGCCAGCTGCTAAGTGTGTCTATGCCAATTATGCATTCTGGCACTAGGGAAATGACCACAGGATGATTTCAGGGACCCACTGGACCCACTGTAAGTCAGACCTGAGCTAAAACTCTATTAATTACCTGACCTCCATAAGCCCCTACTTTAACTGGAGGACCACAGTGATGTTTTGGGTCCCCTAGAATCAACATCAGCTAAGAGCAAATGTCCAGTAGTCCCCCAAATGTCTGATTATTTCCCTTTACCCAACGCACAGTTACCCTGGTAAAAGGCTGGAGGTCTCCTTGGGGAAGGATGGGAGAAAGATTAACAGCATAAATTGTCAGTAGTGTAGTGGAGTTCTTCCTCAAGGGGACCCAACCTCCCCTTTATTCATGGGGTTCTGTGTCTGTAAACTGGCTCAAGTCTGAAAATTGAGGGTGCTGTGATTCTGTTTTTATAATTCAAGTTAGTCTTTTGTCCACTCGACCTTGAAGTTCTCTGCTTATATAAATTAGGTAGGAATGCAGTAGGCTTCCTATCAATTTCACTTCTAGGAACACCATAATTAATTAGCCAATGCCAGAGCTCTACAAGTCAGACTATTCTTATTGCTGTTTTTCCTCTGGTCTCCATTACAGTAGCTATGACCCCTACCCCCTTGTCTTTGATGCTTGATTGACACCACTTGGCCCCTGCCACCTCAGGGTCCAATTATTCCCATTGTATTTAAATTTTGTAGTTTAGTGACTGTGGTTCCTACTGTTAGATCTGGCATACAGAGAAGAGCAATTACAGGGCTCTTCAAAGATGCAGGTGCTGCCCTCAAAAATCTATTTTGCAAAGCACTGGTCAAGGGTATATCTTCTGGATCCTCCCAGCTGGGATGAATAGGTCTAAAGTGACTAATCTACTTCAGCAACCCAGTCTCCCTAAGCCTTTGGATTCCTTCCTGTACATCAAATCAAGGGAGATCAGACATTTCCAGCTCCCTCACAGTGGGCCATATTTTAATCCATATTTCAGTAAACCAAGCAAATAAACTATTAGAACCTTTTTTAACTCCCTGAGTTACAACATGAATGCAGAATCTCTACTTAGTGGGCCCAAATCAATCATTCAGCCTGATCCAACTCTATGTTCCTTCCAGCATTATTCCATACCCTTAATATCCATTCCCATACCTGTTCTCCAGATTTCTGCTTATATAAATTAGAAAACTCAAGCAGTTCTTTTTGAATATAGTGCACCTCCTCATGGATCACACTCTGAACCTCACCTCTAGGGGCCTGCCAGGGCTTTAGTCTAGTTATAGGTCTAGAAGCAAACAGGGGTGTTGGGGGTGGCTTCTGAAGAGAATCAACATTATCTTGCCTGGCAACTGACTCAGGGGAGACCATCACTGTTGTCTCAGGCAGTTCAGGGTTTATCTCCTCAGACAAAGGTGGAAAGGCTGATGGCAGCATGGATTTGAGAGGAAATGTTGCCACTAATGGGGATGGGAAGCTGTTTCTTCTGGCAAAAAAAGGTTCATCACAGTTTACAAGCTCAGTGTCCCCAGCTTCATCAGGGTCCTCCCACGTATACCCATTCCAAGTTTCAGGGTCCCATTCTTTTCCAAACAGTGCCTTCATTTTAACAGTAGACAACTGGCGAGGCTGTGCATGCACCTTTCATTGCAGGCCAGCCACTCGTATGATAAGAGCTTGTGTCTGTTTTTCTACAATTTCAGCTCTTTCTCTACAGGAGATAAGACTCTCACACAGGGCAATCTTAGCAGATTTGAGGCTCAGTACCTGCTCTTTAAGCTGGGAATCAGAATCCCTGAGTTCATCATTTTCTTTCATCACTTTGTCCCGTGAACTTAGGAGCAACCAACCAACTTCATTTTGTTCCTTGGTTCTCCACATATAGTCAAAGGTATCATGTATAGAGTCACTAAACTCCTTGCCTTGCACAAGCATGAATCAGGAGTGTTGAATGCATTTATTTTGCATAACTCTCCAAACAGTTCATGCAAAGAGCTATCAGTGTTCTTCATACTATTGAAAATAGAGTCCTTAGCATTTTGGGGTCTAATTATAGTAAGCAACCAATTCCAGAAACCCCCAAAACCAATGAAAGGACTCCATCCTTAATATTCTGTTCCTCTAGAACCACTCCTGGTACCAAAATCTGTATTAGGGTTCTCTAGAGGGACAGAACTAATAGAAGATATATATGAGTTTATTAAGGTATATTAACTCACAGGATCAAAAGATCCCACAATAGGCCATCTGCAAGCTGAGAAGCAATTAAGCCAGTCCAAGTCCCAAAGCTGAAGAACTTGGAGTCTGATGTTTGAGGGCAGGAAGCACCCAGCATGGAGGAAAGATGTAGTCTGGGAGGCTAAGAAAGTCTAATCTTTTCACATTCTTCTGCCTGCTTTTATTCTGGCAGTGCTGGCAGCTGATTAGATGGTGCCCACCTATATTAAGGGTGGGTCTCCCTTTCCCAGCCCACTGACTCAAATGCTAATCTCCTTTGGCGATACTCTCACAGACACACCCAGGATCAATACTTTGCATCCTTCAATCCAATCAAGTTGACACTCTGTATTAACCATCACAGGCCCCATCCAGGAACCTGGGCCTTATCCTTGGCTCTTTCCTCTACCAACCCCCTGGGGCAGTTGATCACACCTGCAATGTGTCAGATCCATTGCTAAGCACCTCATATGCAATGATTTTATTTTAGTGTCACAATCTTAAGGGGGAAGAAAGAAAGAGTGAAACTATGGCTGATTCTAGCTATGGCACTTATTGGTGAGGAAATTTAAGCAGAGCTCTCTAAGCCTCAGCTTTCCTCCCATTTTGTGCCATGTGGAGCAGGTTCCCCTATCCTCATCCCTCTCCTTGTCCCCAGTTCATGAGAGATGCTTCTTTTATGTTCTCCACTCCCTTTTCTCACACTATATTGCAATGTTGCCATGTTCTCATTTTGCATCCTATGGATGTGGCACAAAAAAAGATAGATTATTCTTCTCCCATGGAAAATAAAAGCAGAAGCAATTATGATGTATACTATCTGGTAACAAATGTGTGCTTTATTTCTTGGGAAAGTTTGGAGTAGTTTCAAGTGGTTTACTTGAGCTTAAAAAAATTACTGAAATGTACGTTTTTTGTTTTCACTTTTTTCAGTTTGTGTTCCCCTCCATCTCTGGCTCTCCTGTACTCAATGAGGTAGAAAAATTCCACTTACCACACTCCATAGGGGGATGCTGCAGGAACTGAAAGCCTGGCTAGTCAAAAATTAGATACAGATTCTGGTCCTGTGGGTTGCTGGATTTCAAAGTAAATTGAATCCTCAGCCTTCTGAATTTTCTTCTGTTAAAAGGCAGCACATTGGTTAGGAAAGAATAAGACCCTGAGGATCAGGACTTCCCTTACCTACAAACATGGCCCCTACTCTCATCTGGAAAACTAGTTCTGCCTTACCAGTATGTAATATATGTAATCACCTCACTCACATAGGGTCTTCCTTTCTTGAAAGAAGATACCAATTTTCTTCATGCCTCACCCCTCTTACTCCTTATTCCTCCAGGTCTATAACTAGGTCACTGCATGTCCCCTGGGTCAATAAGACAGTTAAACTTCAGAGGAGTAGGCTTTCGCACCAAAAGACTTGCAAGCTTTTGTTAATTTATATTAGCAAAGATCTGGAAAATATCAGTGGGAATAGATTATGAAGGTATTAGACCAGAGAGCAAGAGATATAACAGAGAGCTTTATCATATCCTATCTTCTTTGCCATCATGCTGACCTACCATAGGAATTACATAATGATGATCTGATGTAGTGAGAAGCTAACAGCAGATATCCTAGAGGCACAAAAGTACCAAGATAAATCTCATGAAAGTTAGGGGGCCTGACACCTTAGTAATGTTTCTAGGAGTCCAGTCATTTGGAGAATATCAGCACATTCCCTCAAAGATAAATGCAATCTTGCTTCACCTTGAATGCACTGTCATTAAGAAAGAGATGTCATGCTTTGTAGGTCTTCTTGGAGATAATATACGACACAATTTGGTGTACAACATTAGCACGTTCACTAGCTATAAGATGATCAACTTTGAAAGGGGCCCAAAGCAAGAGAAGATTCTCCTGCTTATTCAGGCTACAATGTAATCATCTCTGCCATTGGCCCTTACGGCCCTGCAGACCCAAATGTGTTTGATGTGACCTGGAGCCAACTGATTGCTCGTTGGAGGTATGGCAGACTAAGATAACAACAATAGCAACAATAATGATAAAAATCTAACAGAGGTTCATTGAATGTTAAGCAGAACCACATAATCTTCAGAAAATAACTCTCTTCTCGTATAGCTTTAGGTTTGCTATACCTGACTGATATGGTTTGGATCTGTGTCCCCGTCCAAATCTCATGTCAAATTGTAACTACCAGTGTTGGAGGTGGGGCCTGGAGGGAGGTGATTCAATCACAGGGGAAATTTCTTATAAATGGTTTAACACTATCCCCTTGGTGCTGTTCTCATGATGGTGACTGAGTGCTTATGAGATCTGGTTGTTTCAAAGTGTGTAGCACCTCCCCCTGCCCCTTGGCCCTGCTCCTGCCATGTAAGACATCCCTGCTTCTCCTTCACCTCCTGCCATGATTGTAAGTTTCCTGAGGCCTCCCCAGAAGCAAAAGCCACTATGTTTCCTGTACTGCCTGCAGAATCCTGAGCCAAGTAAACCTCTTTTCTTTATAAATTACCCAGTCTCAGGTATTTCTTTATAGCAGTGCAAGGACTAATACACTGACCATGAGACACAACAAATGACTATGCAACCTGAGCCACCCTCAACTGGGTATTTTCTAATTCATGCACCCCTATAATCAGGTATGTCCAACAGCATTTCATCATCAAGTGGAAGTTACATATATATAAGAGCAGGATCAAGCAGGACTTGAAAACACAAATGAGTTGCATAAGCAGGGAGCTTACAATAGCAGTGCACCTACTCCTGCTGCCAAGACCATCTCTAACATTTGTGGAACCCAGGGAAAGGGTACACATGGAGATGCAATCACCATCATATGTCTGCATAAAATTATAAATCAAGCTAATAGTTGTTAAATAAAATATGTTCAGGTATCTGACTTTGGAATATTGTCATGTGAGCATAGCAGAATGAGTAAATTCTAGGAAAGTATTCATGAAGCTGCAGGCTGGAAATTGGTGTTACCCAGCAGAATCACAAATTCCTGAGAAACTGTAAACTTCCCTGGAATGGGAACGGAGGTCTGTGGTCAACAGTGGGTTAACTTGGGCCTCCAACCTGCTTGACGTGATGGAACAGAGTTTTCTCAACACTAGACTGTTTCTGCTGGGGAAACAACTAGGAGGAAAGTCATAGGACTACATTGAAAGGGACTTGTTACCACAAACAGGAGACACTTGCAGGAAGCACAGTGCTGATGACGAAGTGACATAAACTAAAAAAGTGTCTACAATGACCATAGTTAGAAAACGTATCTGGGTTTACAGCCACAAATCCCTCCTCTTCTGTGAAGTCAGTGCCTGGCGGGGGTCTCACAGGTGTTTGGTAATGTCCATAGTCAGAGAGACTCATGTGCTGGGTTTCTGACCACACATCAACCAAAAGGAAGGAAAGGCCTCTACACAGTTGTTGGGATTAGAGTGGTTTATTCAGTGAGACACCAGAGGAGATGAGGGGATCGTTACCTAGACCCCAGCATTTGCAGAAGAATTGATAATGAAGTCTTGTAAAAAGGCCTGGATTTCACCACAGGGGCCTCTAAATTATTGGCCTTGGTGAAGCTTTTTGAGAAACATGAAGAAATGGTGCAATATTTTTCAAATAGACCAAGTGATTGGGTTGGAATGGGAGTCATCAGTTCTGATTTAGGGATCTGAAGGCAATGTAGACATGTTAAGCCCCAAAAGTTAGATTTCTGCAAAGCAATGTTCTTCAGGTGGGTGGGGAAATAAAGACCTCCTACTTCTAGCCAGAGAAGAAGCCCAGACCACGTGTGTAAATGGTATTGTTCTACACATTGTCCACTAATCTTCATGCATGTGGAGTGGGGTCAAGGAGTTATTACAGGTGTGACCACGCAGGTTTTATTACCTAGCAGGCCTAGTACATATGGAATGGATTCAGATAAAACAATGCACTGTCTTGGCCGGGCGCGGTGGCTCACGCCTGCAATCCCAGCACTTTGGGAGGCCGAAGTGGACGGATCACAAGGTCAGGAGATCAAGACCATCCTGGCTAACACGGTGAAACACTGTCTCTACTAAAAATACAAAAAATTAGCCAGGCATGGTGGTGGGTGCCTGTAGTCCCAGCTACTTGGGAGGCTGAGGCAGGAGAATAGCGTGAACCCAGGAGGTGGAGCTTGCAGTGAGCCGAGATCATGCCACTGTGCTCCAGCCTGGGGGACAGAGTAAGACTCCGTCTCAAAAAAAAAAAAAAAAAACAAAACCAAAAAACAAAAAACAATGCACTGTCTCAATCCTGGGAGTCAGAAATTCCCATATGCCTGATTCAGGCAAGAAGCAAGCTGTTTAAGGAAAGAAAGGTAAAATCATGTTTTCAAAATTATGTCAGTAAAAGAAATCTGACATAGTTGGCTCCATCTTGCTTCTAACTTTCAAGCTGTCCTTGGTCATTCCTAGGCGTAGGCCAAGCTAATTTGGGAAGAATTTAGTTTATAGTTTAACCTTAAAGCAAGGATGGTAATAGCCCTTCCCAAATCTAAACTGCTTTTGTAAAACTGATGAGAGGCCACAAGGTTAGGATTATGATGGGGGCTTGAATCTGCCAAGACATAGGCATAGATAAATGATATCCAGCCATTGTTCCAGAGGTCACAATACCCAGTATTGGCAGGGCCGTGACAAAATGGGAACCCTCATAGACTGTCCATGGGAATATAAACACACGCAGTCATTTCAAGGTGCAATTTGACAGTATATTCATGCAAATGTACAATATACTTTTATCTTGAAATTTTATTTCTAGGGATACATCTAAACAGAAGCAACACTATATGCATGTTCAAAGAAAGATATTTAAGGGTGTTATGGTTGAAACTGCTGGCCACCTACCCACTATCCATCCCTTTCTTTCCTAACTATATGTCTGGTTGTAGTAATGTGCCTAAGTAAAGATTTCCTTTTCCCAGATTCCCTTGTAAGAAAGAGAGGACCAAAGAAATGTAAGCAGAAGTCACTTAATGGAACTCGGGGAAAAACTCTCTTCCACTTTCAGTCTTTTTTCCTTCCTAGTGTCTGAAACTTGTACATAGTGGCAAGAGATCCAGCAGCCATGTTGTGACTTTGAGAACAGTAGTCACACATGAAGGAAGAGAAAAGAATATAATGCCTGGAACCCTGATGCTTCATAGAGTTACCATTTCGGCCACAGGCTCACAGTTCTTACTAGCAACCAATTGTATTTCTAAAGGACACAGATTTTTGTTGTAATGTTGCTTTAAAATAGAAGAATAATGTAATCAATTCAAATGTCCTTCCTGAGGTTTTCCAGATATAGTTTCACTCTCAGCACATAAGAATCCTTACATTTAACTTCTTTTTTTTTTTTTTTGAGGGTCTAGCTCTGTTGCCCAGGCTGGGGAGCAGTGGTATAATCTCTGCTCACTACAGCCTCGAACTCTTGGGCTCAAGCAGTATTCCCACCTCAGCCTTCCGAGTAGCTGGGACTACAGGCACAGGCTACCATGCCAGGCTAATTTTTTTTTTTTTATATTTCATTGTGGAGACAGGGTTTCTCTATGTTGCCCAGGCTGGTCTTGAACTCCTGGTCTCAAGCAATCTGCCTGCCTCAGCTTCCCAAAGTGTTGGGATTACAGGAGTGAGCCTCTGTACCCAGCCTGAACTTCCTTTTTCTTAAATAAATGAGATTGGTAACACTTTCATACATTCCTCTAAAGCTGCTGGAGAACCAAATTTGTAATGCAAACATTTCTAAATGTCTAAAAAAGAAAACACAGAGTAAACAAGCCAATAATTATAAACTGTACATAAAACTTCAAATTATATCAACAAAAACTAGGAAACAATAGAGAGACGTGCTCAGTTCTCATCTAACAGGGAAAGTAAATAGATAACATTATTTTCATAGCAATCATTAGAGAAAAAATTAGTTCAAGTTATATATTTTGCTAATTTACAGGAAACCACTAGGAAAATGAAAATAGGATGTTTACCTTCAAAATCATTAGAAGGCAAGGAAGGCAAAAAAAATAGAGCCTATGTCAGTGGTCTATAAACTTTTTATGCCAGGGCTATGAAAAATAAAAGATTTTAAGCAGGCAATTCCACCATATGTACATTAATTGATTTGTGAATTGTATATTTTAAAGTATATACCAAAAAATAAACTTGTTACAAATATATTTGTATCCATGAAATAAACAATATTTTAATATCTTGCAGTTCATGATGGTTTCACATAACATTAGATAATACCTCAAGGCTCGATATGCATTTAGAGTTGGGATGATTATTAACTAGTAGAGGCAACTCCATATTTCCTATGGTCTTCTTAAACATTTTGAATTTCAGTGGCTTCTTGTCTAATTTAATTGGATCATCTGTTTTACCTGATGATATGCTGATGAAGAGCTGATACCACATGTGGGAGCAGGGGTGGCTCTGCGTTTTGCTTGTTAATTTGCATTATGTATCTTCAGCCTGTGAATATCAGGGGAATTCTTTTCAAATAACTCAACCACTCTGTGTGGGTTCAGTGATATTCATGTTCACTAGATGTCAGTCATCTGAGATTGACCCAGGAGTGAGTGTCACACACTCATCCTTGGCCATGGGGCCTTACGCTCTTCTCTTGGGGTAGTTCACACACGTGACTGTCTGACAAACAGACCAAACCAGGGTGCAGGGAAAATCTTTTACATATTAGGAAGGGCTTCTTTTTTCTTATTAAATAAAAATATAAATAGCCTTATTTTCTATTTTCTTCTTATACCACAGTCATCTCACATAACACACTTTGGAGACTAGTACCTTACATAGATAACTTTTTAAAAAATTTACTTGAAAATGCACAGAAGAACATACTGAGAGAAACACACAGGAAAGTTTATGGTGGTTAGTTTTGTAAGGCATGATCACATGATTTTATTCTTCTGTAAAATGTTCTGTCTTCCAAAGTTTGTAAACCAGCAGCTGCTTCCTCACTCATATCTGGATGCTCCAAATCAGCCTCCTTCTTGGTGAGTAGCAGAACAAGTCAAGCCACTCCATGTGGGTCTGGTGGGAGACTGAGGAGTCTGGTGTGAGGAGGGCAGGCTGGCAGCTGAGGTTTCCATTGTGTCAACCTCCTGATTTTTTGAGTGTCTTTGAGAATTGAGAGAGAGGAAAATGGAGCCAGGGCTTTTCAGGATTCCTCTAAGTTACCAGCCCCCAGCACAGAAAAATCCCCATGAAACTCTGACTTTGAAAGACAATTATTCACCCTGTTCTGTTCTGCTGCTCCAGCTGTGACTCTGAGAGCAGCGTTTGGGCCTCCAGTTTCCTGTAGCATTTGCAGAAACAACTTCCACAATCTCAGACTCTTCTCTTTATCCACCACCAACCCCCACAGCCTGCCTCCCTTCTCCACTCCCTGGCAGAGGAGGACATGTGTGGTGAATGATGGCCCAGGACAGCCTCCCCACTGCCCTGTCCTTCAGTGGCAGGTGAACTCTGCACCATCTGCAGAGGCAGGGGAGGCAGGACCCTCGCTCCTCATCTGCTGGTGACCTTTACGTGTGGTTACAAGCTGCTCCAAGTCTATGGTGGCAGCAGTGGTGATGGTGGGTGAATACTGCAGATGCTGCCTTTTGTGAACCAGGCCCTGACTTGGTGTCCTGGCCCCCGGCCCTTGTACAAAAAAACCCTATTACAATCCAAAAAGGGGCTAAGTTATACAGTCAGGCCCACGGGTCTGAACTCTGGTTCTGCCCCTTATTGGCCATAAAATCTTGGGCAAATAATATATTTATTGAGGAAAGTTGCTTTCCCTTTCTGACCATTGGTTTCCTTACCTATAAAATGGGTAGATGAATACCTAACTTAAGATGGTATTTGGCAGATTAAATGAAATAGTGTGCCTTCGGGTCAATATCTGGCACAGGGACACAGATTACTATGTACGCGGCATTATACTTTTCTATCTTGATGAAATAATTGCAAATAGTAGATACAATTTAAAAATGGCATCATTTCCTTGTTTTGTTTGATAGTTTTGTCATGATACAATAGTTTAAAAGCAGAAAAGATTTTCTTCTGGGAACCGAGTGGGGTGGTTGTTGTCCACAAAGATTGTGGACTTTCCTATGCTTTCCACTCCTCCTTGACCTCCTACGCGATGGTGAACACTGTAGGCACTTAAAAAAGTTAGTTACCTGTTATAAGTCAGTAAGAGAAATATGACCACCATGGTTGATAAATGAGCAAAAGATATAAACAGAAGATGCATAAAAAAACAGATAAGATAAATTATCCAATATATAGTCATCTTCACAGTCAGTCAAACATTGCAAATTAAGCAAATGATATATTTTGCCTATCAAAATGACAGTTGCTCTTTTTTAGTGAGACTACTTGGTATGGTGATGGAGCAGTGCAACAGGAATTCTCATATTGTAGGCAGGGTTTTAATGAGTGAAACGCATCTTTGTAGTCCATTTGATGTGTCAGAAGCATTTAAACATTTAAAATGTTCATACTCTTTTCCATGGTAATTCCATTTCTGGGATTTAATCCCAAGGAACTAACCAATTATGCAGAAGGGACTTACGCACAAAGAAATTCATTTTGTTCTAGTTATAATAATTAAAAATTGGAACTCAGTAAGAGGCTGAATTACATATGGTAAAATTACAACTATATAAGGTGGCGACAATGATCGCTCTAGGCAAGCAATGTTGGCTGGCTGACTGAGAAGTTTTCTTGAGCTAAGAAGATGAAAAGGACTTGGTTAGAAGGAAAGACAAAAATAAGCATGTGTTGAGCATCTGTTGTGTGCAAGATCTATATTGGGTAAGTGGCATGCATGATCCCAGTTCATGCTTATATACCATATGATACCTGTGAGGCTGGGAAGGACAGTGAGGCAGGAAGGGCCAAGACAATGGAAGCCCCTACTCAGCACCAGGTCCTAGGAAATGGGTTGGGAATCTGGCCTTATATAAAGGTTTCTTAAAATGACAATACCTCCTTTCGCATTTAAGGAAACCAAAGCTCAGAGAGGCCAATTAATTAACTTGCCTGAGATCATAGAACTAATAAGAATCACACTAGGAATCTAGCTGCTCCAATTCCCTGCTCTGCTTGGGACTGCAGAGAGGCAGAGAGGAAGGCTGTGAAGCCAGATCTTTCAAAACTCAATCTTGTCCTCACCATCCTTATCCTCTCCACGTCACTCCCAGACACACAGCTCTGACTCTCTTCTTAATTTAGTCGGAAGGAGAATCTTGCCAAATGGCCCTCTGCTATTTAAAATAAATTACTCTCACAACTCTGTTCCTCCCTTTTTGCTCCGCCCTCCAGGGAAATTACTTCAGTTACATTTTTCAATAGAGAATGAGTTCCCTTAGTACCTTCTGCTGTCAGTCTTACCTTTCCTTTTCCTGTTAAAAACAAACAAAAAAATGCTGCCATTTCCTGGTTTGCATCAGGAAGCCTGTGTGCTCGGTGATTGGTTCAGGGAGTCCAGTTTGTTTTTTTCTTGAGTTGTTAGTTACATCTAGGCTGGCTCCTCTATGCGACCAGAGCACTGCCACCATGTCATTATAATGTTTGTCACCATTCTGACAGGTATGTAGGTGGCAGGGCAAAGGGTGCACAGGAAAACACCTCTGCCTCCATCAGCCCTTTTGTTTGTGTGCTGTTGTTTGCCCAACAACTGCAGAGGGCCAGAAGCCCCAAGAAAAGGAGGTGCAGCTGTTCTTACTTTGCCAAGCCTTACCTGAATTCTAAGCAGGTGCAGAACAGCCAAACACAGGCTGCATGGAATCCCACATGATGGAGGAGGAAAGGGAGGTGGCTGGCTCCCCATGCCCCTACTCACAGAGTACTCTCATCCCTAAACACTGACAAAACAAAATCTTTTCCTGTCTACCTATCTTGGATTAAAGTAGATTCAGGCAGTGCTGGGTTTATGATTCTCATTTCTATTAAGAACTTAAGTACACAAAACTAGTGGGTTATTGTCTTTGATCTCAAAAAAAGTAACATTTAAAGCACATGGCATCATATCATCATATTTAATCTTAATTTTTTAAGTTTGCAAGTAAAACATTTTATGGATACACATATGCTTGTGTCCTCAAGGTGGGGCACAGGATGTATTATGTACTTGAGACAGAATAAAAGTCATCTGTATCCACCTGCTCTTAACTGCCTTTCCGTAATTACTGGACTTGTTCCTTTTCCTATACGTGTTATGGGTTCCAGAAGTATAGTTAGAAGAGAATTGGAAACCAAGGACTCTGGACTCTACAGAGATTGTGGCACCAAGTTCCCTCTTACGATTTTTCTCAATTTTGTTGTAAATTGGAACTCCATCTCCCTGTTCACAGTAAACAATCCTTTCCGTAGCCCATGAGAAATAGCTTAATAAATTTATTTACATCTAAAAGGGAGGGAGCAAAAGAGGGAGAGAGGGAGAGGAACAGATAAGAAGACATACACACACACACACATAGAGAGAGAGAAAGAGAAAGACAGAAAGAGAGAGAAAGAGAAAGAGAGAGAGAGAGAGAGAGAGAGAGAAGAGTCAGGCAGCTCTCAAGTATTCCAGACCATACAGAAAACACAGATCCTAATTTCACTTCTGTGCAAAGCTCCTGAAGCTCCCTGATACTGTTTTTGGTCTCTGGAAATTCCCTCATTCCTATATTTTCCTGAACCCTAATCATTTGCCTTCTTTTAATTATTTTTTCCTGTTCAAAGACCGAACATTGCTTTGGTGGGAAAAAACTGTCTCTTTCTCAGAAGTGTTTTGTTAGAAACAAAACATTGAATCATTCCCACCAGCACATCAGCATGATCTAGTGTCTATAATCTTCCAACAATCCTCCTTAAAAGATTAAATACCCAAATGCAGAAATTAAATAGCAGAAAGTAACCACAAATACACAGGAAGTTAAAAGTTCATTTTGCTTAACTTTATATGAATATATTGAAAACTTAGATAAAATAAATAATTTTCTAGAAAAATATAATTTAATAATATTGACTCCAGAAGAGAAAAAATATATAAACAGATAAATTACTTTGTTAAAAATAAACAGATTATTTTGTCGAAGAATATTCCTCAGAAAGTAGCTGGCTCAGTTTCACAAATTAATTTTAACCAATGTTTAGAGAATAAGTAATTATACTTTCACCATTTTAATGTAACAGCATTAGACATATTAGTTCACATAGTTAGACCAGAGAAAGAAGTGAAGTATAAAACTTTCAAAGCTGACCGGGCGTGGTGGCTCACGCCTGTAATCCCAGCACTTTGGGAGGCTGAGGCGGGTGGATCACCTGAGGTCAGGAGTTCGAGACCAGCCTGGCCAACATGGTGAAACCCCATCTCTACTAAAAATACAAAAATTAGGCAGGCATGGTGGCAGGAACCTGTAATCCCAGCTACTCAGGAGGCTGAGGCAGGAGAATTGCTTGAACCTGAGAGGTGGAGGTTGCAGTGAGCCAAGATTGCACCATTGCACTCCAGCCTGGGGGACAAGAGCAATACTCTGAAGTTATTGAAAGTTATTTATTTATCATTATCTACAGATGATTTAATTTGTTACTGGAAACCTCAAAATATAGGAAAATTATTACAAATGATAAGAGAACTCAGGAAGAGAGTTGGATACAAGCTTAATGTGGAGAAATAAATAGACTCATTACATGATACTAATAATCAGAAAGATATTTTGGCATCAGCAAAATAAAATGCTTATTTAAAACCTAATGGGAAATGTACAAAAGATGTATGATGAAAAATATAAAATGCTACTGAAGAATACAAAAATAATGTCTGAACAAATAAAAACATATAGCACATTCCCCAGTAGGAAAATTAAATTATACAGAAGTCAATTCTCATGAAATTAATCTATAAATTAAATGTGATTCTAATTTAAAAATAATAGGATTTTTAAAAAAATCCAGACAAGCAGATCCTTTATATGGAAGAATGGGTCAAGAACATCCAAAACAATTCTGAAAAATAAGCATAATCAAGGGGACAAGCTACCAGATATTAAAACATATCATGAAACTCCAGTTATTAAAGCAGTATGGTATCAATAAATGAATAGACATAGAAAGTCCAGAAAAGAAAACAATAAATGGTTTTGAAACAACTGGCCGGCCATCAGGAAAAAAAAGTTGGATTCATAGTACATACTTCATACCAAGATAAATTCCACAAAGACCAAAGGTTTAAATGCGTCTAGAAATTTCCCGCTAGAAATGGATAGTGATGATGGTGGCAAAACATTGTGAATGTTTTGAACTCTACACTTACAAATGGTAAATTTTATTTTATGCATATTTTACCACACTGAAAAATATATCACATACAAAAAACCTTTAAATAATAAAAAATGGAAAAAATGATTTTTTTTTGAGACAGAGTCTTGCTCTGTCACTGAGGCTAGAGTGCAGTGGTATCATCTTGGCTCACTGCAACCTCTGCCTTCTGGGTTCAAGCAAATCTCACGCCTCAGCCTCTCAAGTAGCTGGAACCACAAGCATGTGCAGCCATGCATGGCTAATTTTTGTATTTTTATTGGAGACAGGATTTCTCCATGTTGACCAGGCTGGTCTTGAACCCCTGGCCTCAAGTGATCCACCTGTCTCAACCTCCCAAAGTGCTGGGATTACAGGTATGCATCACTGTGCCTGTCTAAAAAAAAATCTTTTAATAACCAAGGGTGAGAAAGCCCATATGACAAATCAAACACACAAGCAATAGCAAACTCTTGAAATCACAAAAAGTTCATAGATTTGACAACAGAAAAATAAAAATTTTCTTCATGGCAAAAATGACTATATAGTCAGAAAAAATATCACAAATTAAGAACAATATTGCTACTCAAATAATAACAAGGTAAAACAGAAAGTACTTAAAATGTTCATTAGTTGGAGGCAATAGAGAATCAGTAACAACACAGGGGAATCCTATGCAACCATGCAAAAATTAAGGCAGCTCTTTATGTACTACTATAAAATAATTGCTCAGATTCATCATTAAGGCAAAAAAAGCAGGGCAGAGTTTATAGTATGTTAACATTTGTGTAAAAATGGAGGGAAATTACGTATACATTTTGTTGGCATATGGATAGAATATCTCTGAAAGGGTACAGCAAAAAAATAATAAAGGGAGAGTCTTTTCATGGTCTATTGTTATGGACCTTTTGAATTTTAATCCTGTTAAAATTCACGGTTATGTACTTTATTAAATTTTTTAACATTTGAACTTTCCCTTAGCCTCTACAATCCTCTTAAACAGCTCTATCAAAAGCTTCCAATATCTCATTAAACTAAAAACAACAGCATATACGAGGCGAGCTCTTCATGAATCTTTATTAGAGAGAACAGTCAGATGGCTATCATCTGGGTGATATAAGAGCTGGGAGACCAGTGACCATGTGGTGGGAGCTGGGGATAGGGCATGGGGGAACTGCAGTACTGTGAAGAGAGCTTGGCTTTCAGAGACCAATTAATTTTCATGGGTTCAAGCTTGAGGGTAGACCTGGGAGAGGCTGCTGGTCCTCATGGCTCAGAGGAACTGTGGGGACTACACAGGTGGGCCAGGCTGACTTGAACCCATGAAGTTGGGAGGCTCACGGCTGGGGTGACAGGGGAGTGTGTTCCTCCAGTGCATGCAGTTGGTACCATGTGTGTTCCAGGAGTGGAGGCTACCATAACTCTTATCACAGCTGGCTTGCTGATGCTTAAGAGACCCTCACAGGTTGACTTGACTACTGAGGGCAAATGGAATGATGGGTAAGCAATTGAAAAAAAAAATGCAGCTAAGGGGCTTCAGAAACTGGAAGAAAAGGAAACTGGACAGAACACCTCAAGCACAGTCCCTAGAGTAAAGCTGCTTGATTGGCTTAGTAGTCAACCTTCTGAATTTTTTTTCTGGCAATTCAAATATCTTGTCTTGGTTTGGATCCATTGCTGGTGACCTACTGTGACCTTTTGGGGGAGTTAAAGAACATTGTGGAATTGTTTTTCTGGTTTCCTCTCATTTGGGTAGACTGTCAGAGGAAAGATCTGGAACTCAAGGGCTACTGTTCCCACTCTTGTGTCCCACAGGGTGCTCCCTTGATGTGGTGCTCTCCCCTTTCCTCTAGGGATGGGGCTTCCTGAGAGCTGAACAGCAGTGATTGTGATTTCTCTTCTGGATCTAGCCAACCAGTGGAGCTACTGGACTCCTGGATGGTACTGGGGAGTGTCTGCAAAGAGTCCCATGATGTGATCTGTCTTCAGGTCTCTCCATGATATCAGCACCTGCTCTGGTGGAGATAGCAGGGTAGTGAAGTGAACTCTGGGAGGATTTTTGGTTATATTTTTGTTAAGTGTGCTGGTTATGTGTTGGGCTGACCTACAGCCAGGAGGTGGTGTTTTCAAGAGCGCATCAACTGTGGTAGTATAGGGAGTATCAGGTGGTGGGAAGGACCTTAGAGCTCCCAAGAGATTATGTCCTTTGTCTTCAGCAACCAGGGCGGGTAGAGAAAAACCATCAGGTGGGAGCAGGGTTAGGCATGTCTGAGCTCAGACTCTCCTTGGGCGGGGCTTGCTGTGGCTGCTGCAGGGGCTGGGGGTGTGGTTCCTAGGCCAATGGAGTTATGTTTTCAGGGTAATTATGGCTGCCTCTGCTGTGTCACACAGGCCATCAGGGAAGTGGGAGAAAGTTGGCAGCCACAGGTCTCACCCAGCTCTCATGCAGACAACCGCCCAAAAGGCTAGCCTCACTCCCACCAAGTCCCCCACAACAGCACCACCAGTGAGCAGGGATGAGAACTTGCCCCAGGCTATAAGCCTCCCAGCTGAGAAAGCAAGCAGACTCACAGTTCCTTGGCTGTCACCTCCTTCAGAGTGTCTGTGGATTCTCTTGGCTTTCCTGGTATGTTCCTGTGGTAGTTCTTAGAGCAAAAGTTCACAATGTAGGTCTCCACATTCGACTCTGTCCATCTGAGAGGAAGCTGCAAGTTAGTCCTGCCTCCTATCCATCATTTCCCTCTATTTTTGCCAATTTTATAACATTTAATGGCAATGTTGCATACCTTAGGGATTTTTCTCTTTTGCTGTCTACACCCATGTATTTACCTCCTGACAAAACACAGTACATTAAAGAGACATCTCTGTCATTATTTCTTTAAATAGTCTTTTTACATCTTTCTCTTTCTCTACTCATCTGGGACACCCATAATTAGTATATTGGTTCACTAGATGTTGTCCTGTAATTCCTGGAGGCTTTCTTCACTCTATTTTCATTCTTTCTTTTATCTTTTGGTTCTCCTGACTGGGTAATTTCAAGTGACCTGTATTCAAGTTCACTGATTCTTTCTTTTGCTTGATTGAGTCATTGCTGAACCTCTCTGTGAAATTTTTTATTTTAGTCATTATGATCTTTGGCTCCAGAATTTCTGTTTGGTTCTTTCTGGCCATCTGGCGTGATCCTTGGGTGGTTGTGCTGCTGGCTTGGTGCCTGGGTCAGCAGCTGGGTATGCCTGGTGCCTGGATTGATGAGGTTGCATCTAGGGCCTGGTTCAAATGGATTAGGCCTGGGGCTTGAGTCTTCTCAGACAGGCCTGGATTCTGGGTTTACAGGGGCTGTCCTGGTACCGGACAAGAGTACCTGGTACTTCTCCACTGGAGAAGACCTGTTTACCGGGTCTACCGGAGTGGGCCCAAATGCTGGCTCATGAGGGTGGGCCTCAAGCCCATGTGTGTGGGGGCTAGCCTGAAGCCTGGGTTCACAGTGGATGACCTGGCATTGGAGAAGGCCTTGAGCCAGAATTTTCAGGGACTGGACTGATGTTAGAAGGGCCTGGTGCCTGGGCCCATGGAGACGGACCTGACACCTGAGTCTACAGGGGCTGGCCTGGCACTGAGGTGGCCCTAGAACCTGATTCTGCAGGGGAAAACCTGGGTCTTGGGTTTGTGAGGGCCAGTGTGGAGGCTGTTTGTATGGATGCTCGTCTGGAGTATGAGGCTGCAGGGCCTGAGTTAGAGCTGAGGCATGCCTGGAGGCTGGGTCCATGGATACTGACCTGGTACTTAGGGCCACAGAAATGGCCTGGGATTTGGGTAAGGTTGAAGCCTTGGGCCACAGGAACTAGCCTAGTTCTGGGGGTGGTCTGGAACCTGAAGTCACTGTGGTTGGCCTGGAGGTGGGGCAGGCCAGGACCCTGACTCTGTGGGAGGCCAACCTAGGGCCTGGGGCCTTTGGGCCTCTAGAGTGGGCCTGATGCTCGAGTCTATGGAGCCAGTTTGGTTCTGGGGTGGGTTTGGAAATTGAGTCTGTGAGTCCCAGGCTGGAGTCTCAGACTGCAGGGGCTGTCCTGGCACTAAGTGGGCCTAGAGGCTTGGTTAACAGGAGTAGGCCTGGGTTCTGGGGCTGCAATATGATGGGCTGGAAATGGAGTCTGTTGGTGGCTGTCTGATGTTTAGGACTGTGGGGGTGGCCTGGCACTAAGGCAGGACTGAAGCCTCAGGCTGCAGGGGCTAACCTGGTGCTGAGGGTAGTCTGAAGCGTGGGGTCACTAGGGCTGCCCTAGAAGATCAAGAGAAAAAAATATCTCAAAACATAGACCTAAAACACAAAGAGATGAAAAAATTGAGAAAAAATATGAAGTAGAGAAGAAAGAACCAGGATATCTGTGAAGCGACTGAAGGAAATTCTGAAAGGATAACATGGCATAAAGAGGGAGAAATGTTACAGAAGTAACAAAAACAAACTTCCATGACCAAAAGAAAGAAGCAAGTGAGAAGATTAAAAGCACTCATCAATTTCTAGATATAATTTTTTAAATTAAGAAAACAGGCATTTGGAATGGCATTACAGAAGATGGCGGAATATAGGAAGCTCTGCCTCCTCTACTGAAGCAGCTGAAGCAGCTTTTCTCAGTGGCATCTATTGAGGGGATTTAAGGAAGCAACCCCCTTTTCTCTCCTTTCTTACTGGTTTCAAACATTAAGAAAATCTTTGACCAGTCACTAACTGACTACGAAGGTAATAGAATAGAGACTTCAATGACCATACATGACAAGGAATTTGTTCTTTGTAAAAATATTTTGGAAAGTCACTGAAGAAATGGACAGCTGCAGCCTTCTTCATGCAATAACAGCAATCCCTGGAGAAAGGGTAGAATCTGTTTTCTAGAGTTACCACATTACAATCTTTAACATTTCCAATTTTCAAGAAAAATTTATAATGCATACAAAGACACGGGAAAGTATGACACTTTTCATACTTTTACTTTTACTTTTCTCATTCATGGGAAAAGTAAAAGAAGGCAACAACCATCTCTGAGGAAGCCCAGACACTGCACTTATAGATGAAAACTTTAAATTAATTGTCTTAAACATTATGAAAAAGCTGAAGGAAACCATGAACAAAACTAAAGGAAACCAGGAGAATAATGTGTAAAAAGTAGGGAATATCAAAAAAGATACAGAAATTATAAAAAAGAAACAAATAGAAATTCTGGACCTAAAAAGTACAATTGATAAAATAAAACATTCTCTAGAATGGCTCAACAGCAGATTTCAGGTGGCCAAAGAAATAATTAGCAAACTTGATGATAGGGCTATTTAAATTACCCAATGAGGAGCAGAAAAAAAAAATGAAGAAAAATAATCAGAGCCTAAGGGACTTGTAGAACACTATCAAACATACCAATATATACACCATTGAACTCCCAGAATGAGAAGAGAGAGAGAAAGGGGAAGAAAGAATATTTGAAGAAATAATGGTCAAAAACTGTCCAAATTTGATAGAAGACATGGAGGCACACATCCATGAAACTTAATGGATTCCTAGATAGTATAAACTCAGAGAGATCCACAATTACAAAAACTAGAATCAAACTGTCATAAACCAGAGACAAAAAGAGAATTTTGAAAGCAACAAGAGAATTTACTTATCCCATGCAAGGGGGCCTCAACAATATTAACAGACATTTTCTCCATCAGAAAAGATGGGAGCTAAAAGATAGTGGGATGATATATTTAAAATTCTGAAAGAAAAAGGACAGCCAACCAAGAATTCTATATTTTGCAAAACTATCCTTCAAAAATAAAGAAAAAAATTAAGATATTCCTAGGTAAACAAAGCAAAGGGTTTTTATTTCTAGTAGACCTGCCCTTCAAGAAATGCTGAAGGGTGTCTTTCAGGCTGAAACAAAAGGGTACTAGATGGTAACCTGAGTCATATGAAGAAATAAAGATCATTAGTAAAGGTAACTGTACTGGCAAATATAAAAGCTAGTATTATTGTATTTTGAGGATGTAACGCCTCTTTTTGTTTCTTGTATAATTTAAAAGGCAAATACATAAAACAGTGATTCTCTTTTTGTAAATATCAAATCAATGTGTTGTGAAAGCACATAGTAGATAAAACATGATGTTCACTCCACTCCTTTCCTTCTCTTATAGCTCTTTCTTTACCAGGTCTCCAAACTGTCACAGAGCCTAGCTCTTCCTGCACATTGAACTGGACTTTGGGGGGATCTGTCCAGCTGCAACTAAACTCCTCTTTGGATCCTAACATCCAAGAGATTGAGTGGAATGGAAATTCTGAGAACGAGAAAAAAGAAATAAAACGGTTTCTGATGTCCTGGAAGCCTAATATCCCTAATCCTCATTGGCATGAGCTTAAAGACAAATACAAGCACAGGTTCCACCTGTTGGAGATGGTTTTCTTGAGCATCAGGAATCTCACTGTGGAAATGAGTGGAGTACATGCAGCAACAATCAAGTTCTACTCAGGAGAATCCCAGGAAGAAGGCTTTAGATTCTGCACATATGGTAAGGTGAGGGGCCATGTCCCAATCAGGCATTCCAATAACCACTTATCCAAAGTAAGTTAGCTAACATCAGGTTAAAAAAAAACCCCACTCATTTTAAGGAGTTTTTTTATTTCCTCTGATGTTCTAAAAATAAAAACTAAAATTTAAAGATTATATCTTAGGAAAAACTAAAATTTTTAAAAGGAATAAAATGCACATTAAATGAGGAGGAAAGAGAAACCAAAAGGATATAAAAAATTCTTCAATCAAAAAATACTGTAAAATTGATTATTAAAATTAATAACATATCAGAAATGTCTTTAATTGGTTGGTTCAAAAACTGATTTAAAATTCTTAAATGACCTAAAAAAGTTGGCCAAAACAAAACAATAAAACTGGACTTTAAAACACTTAGAAGGAGATGGGCTGTTAGAACAGGTCTTTAGGTAAAATGGTCTTAGATAAATTGACCTGAAGGCCAGTTGGAGAGTTCTCAGGACAAAGCCTGTCTGAGGCCCAAGCTGAAGATGCAGAAGGTGACTCAGACCCTGTCTCCTGGATCTCTCAGGGCAATGAGCAAGCCAACATTCTCCCTGGGAAACAAGGAGCCCTAGGCAGAGAGTTTAGTGGAGAAAGCTGGAGAAGTGGGAAGAGAAGGAGCAGAGTCTGAGGGTAAACCAGAGTGCCAGAGCTCTCTCCTGTTGGTCCTCTCTACCTCCACCAGTCCTCTGACATCTCTGCATGGGTTGCCATGCAGCCTCCTAACTGGCCTCCCTGTCTCTGCTGTCTTCCCCCCCTCTCAAAGCACCTTCCACAAAGCTGCTGTTTTGAGCTTTTCAAATGCAGTTCTCTTCTGTTATCACCCTGCTTAAAATCAAACAATGCTTCCCACACCCATCCCCACATAATAAATCACACTCAGGAAAAGAAGTCCAGTCCCCCACAGGCACTGATCACTGGCTGCCTCTCCAGCCTCATTTCCTGATACTTTTTTCCCCATGTGCCTTGCTCCACATTTGCTACCCTTCACCTCACCCACCTGGTCCTTTCTATCCTCCTTGACATATCCTGGCGGCTCTCCAGGGACTACCCATCTCCCACACCTCCCCTGCAGAACTGGCAATTCCTCACCTAGTGGGAGTGGGTTGTGGGTGAGGGATTCCAACATGGGAGATGGAAAAGCTTATGAGAAGAGACAGAGTTGACTGAATTGAGTGTCCAAGACGAGGTTTCCAGTCAGTGAAAGGTGGGGAACAAGCTGCCTCCCTGGCTTCCAGCTCCTTGTTCCTATTTTCTCTCTCCCCTCCCTTGGCTGATAAATCCATTGCATAGCTTTCTGAGTAACATCATAACACTATAGCCTCGTCCGATCTGTTTTGGCACAAGAAATGGAAGACTGTTCAAATTACATCAATAAAGAGGGTTTTCATCTTAAAGATACATAGAGCTCATAGGCGTGAAGATCAATGAAGGAATTCCTCTGGCCTTCATACTCGCAGGAACTAGAAAGATGTTGGGCACTTTCCTCTCTCCATCAGGGGCCACATAGGCTGTCATCTTCCACTCTGTATGTTCGCATCTCTCTCTCTCTCTCCTGTCAGCTTTATTCCCTTGAGCTTCTCCACACCGTAGGGTACATGGCCTTCAGCAGCTATGGGCCCATCCAATTAGAGGGCAAAGGGGCTTTCCTGGTCCACTCCACAAGGACAATCCCAGAGAAGGACTCTTATTGGCTAGGCGTGGCTCACATGCCGACCCCTAGATGGGTCACTGGCCAGGGAATAGCATCCTCTGATTGGCAAGGCCAACCAGGGTCAGGGTGCTGATCATGTAAAAACACAAGGTTGGAGCAGAAGAGGAGTTGCTAGAAAAAGTAGAAGTACTACTAGCTGGTTTCTCTTCATCTTGCTTTCCATTTCCCAACAATCCATCAGTGTCCAAATGAAACCTTCCAACAACAATTGTCATTCCCCGCTGACTGCAGAACTAAGCACTCCTCTCAGCCCTGGGCGCCTCCAGTAAGTGATGCTGTCTTTTCCCCTTGTTTCTAGCTAAATGCATTGTTCCTCATGTATAAGCTCTTTCTCTCTTCCCTCTTGGCATTCAGAACTGTCATATCTGAAATAAAGATTTTTCTGATCCTGTCAAATGAGCCTTTCCATTTGGAAGTCTCAACATTCTTTTTTTTCTAATTTTTAATGGATCTTGTTTCTCTCTGTCTTGTGCTAGAGTATTTCTGTGTGGCCTACTTTCCACTTGACAGCAGAATCGGCACCCTTGGGGGGGCACTGTTTGGTGTCCCCCAAGTACCTCATACAGCTCCCAGTAGGCATTCGGGAGTATCCTTTTAAACAAATAGATTTAAGCAATATTTAAAGGATTCCTACAGAAACATACCTACTTTTTCTATGCTTTTTCTTATCCAAGCCTGACTATTATTCCTTCACCTATTGAAAAGAGCATATAATAAAATTTCATATAAAGCAATTGGTGTATGAATACTTTAAATGCTAAAGAACATAAGCTTTCTGAACACCTATGGGTGTTCCAGTTACAAAGTAATAGACATTCTTTTTTGGCTTTATATTTAAATTATTATCTATTCATTAGACCAGGTCTTTTAAAGAAGCTACTTAAAAATATGATTTTTCACCAGACACGTGTTCAATGAGTCTTGGAATGGTCTGGTGATTTAGATTTTTAATAACTGCCTTAGAGAAGTTGTTGGAAAACTATGGCCACAGGTCAAATCCAGCCCAATGCATTTTTTTAAAATAAAGTTTTATTGAAACACAGCCACATTCATTTGTTTACATATTTTATTTGGCTGCTTTTGCACTATAAAAACAAAGTTGTGTAGCTGTGACAAAGACTTCATGGCCTGAAAAACTTAAAATATTTACTATCTGACCCTTTACAGAAAAGTTTGCCTACCACTCTCTTAGACAATTCTGCTGACACAGCTGGTCCATGTAACTTCATAGGGTTAGGATGAGGATTAAATGAGTGAATGTAAAGCCCTCAGAGCTGTGCCTGGAAGCATGCACCTGCCAAATAATGCAAGCTATTGTTCTCTTTTCATCTGCTAATAGAATAAATGACACTAATACATTTCCTAATTATACCATCCTTGCACTCCCATAATAAACCAAACTTGATCATGATGTATTGTGAGAGTATATTTGCTAATATTTAATTTAGGGATTCTAAGTTCTCTATAACTGATGTTAACCATGGCTTTGCAAGTGTTTTCTCTTGTTTTGTTTTGTTTTGTTTTCGGTATTCTCCTTGTCTGACGTGAGTATTAAACTATCCTTTCAGAATGACCTACTATATTAAACTATCCTTTCAGAATGACCTACTAACCGGGCATGCTGGCATGCACCAATAGTCTTAGCTACTTGGGAGGCCTAGGTGGGAGGATTGCTTGAGCCCAGGGATTTGAGGCTGCAGTGAGCTATGATTGTGCCACTGCACTCCAGCCTGGGTGACAGAGTGATACCCAATCACTAAACAAACAAACAAAAACCCTATTCTTTCCTTTTTCTCAGCTCTGGAACACTGTATATAACATAAGAATTTTATTTTTCTTGGCCATTTAGGAGTCCTCACTCCTAAAACCGTATGTGCTCCATGCCCTTTATAAGGACAAATCTTTGGCTACCATTTTAATTTCTTCTAGGGTTATGGGTCCATCATACATGGACCTCCCACAGCTTAGTTTGAGTATCACTGACCTAGAATACACAAATAGGGGCACAGCAGGGATTGGAGCTGTCTGCCAAGAGGAACCCGCAGGGATTCTGAGCTCAGAGAAGCCAGGTGGGATGCAGGGTTGGGTGAGAAGTGGGGCTGAGACAGCCCCATCCCTTGTGAACCACAGAAGGCCGCCCCATCAGCCTCCAGTCTGCCCACCTGCACCCAGTCCCTGAGTAAGACCCTTCCCTGCCATCCCCTGTCAAATGTCTGCTGCCCCTTCCACATGCAGCTCACATGGCCCTGGGGAGCTGGCTCTGACCTGCCCCAGATTAATTAGGGGCTCTGGGCTCCCCCAGTACTCAGAGCAAGTTGTCAATCATCTGTGGTGTAACCAGGTGCCCTGGCTCTGCCTGCCCTCTGCTGATGCAGGACCAGGCCCCATGAAGAGGTGAGGTGGGGAGGCCCTCACTCTCAGTATATTAGTCAGCTCAGCTCAGGCTGCCACAGCAAAGACCACAGCCCGGGAAGCTTAAACAACATATGTTGATCTTCTCACAGTTCTGGAGGCTAGAAGAACAAGGCTAAGGTGCCGGCAGATTGGGTGTCTTGGAGGCCTCTGTCTTCCCCCAGTGTCTTAACCAGGTCTTCATGTGCGCCTGCTTAAACTCCCAATCTCCTGTTCGTATAAGGACATCAGGTGTATTGGATTAGAGCTCACTCATTTGACCTCAGTTTACCTTCCTCATGTCTTTAAAGGCCCCATCCCAAATACAGTCACATCCGAAGGTCCTGGTGCTTAGCACTTCCATCCCCAGCTGCATTCTGTGGGGAACAATTCGGTCTATAGCACTGAGGTTCACCCTGGTGCAGGGTGGGCACCTGAGACTGGGGGTTGTGCTGCCCCACCCCAGTTCCAACCCTGCCTGTGAACATCCTGGGGTTGTCAGGAACACACAGGAACAAGACAAGCAGCTTCCACCTAAGCTACAGGTGGCAGCCTGCTCTGATTGTCATGCAGCACATATTTACTGAGCACACCTGAGCCTGGCACTGGAGGAGACTTCCCTTCCTGTCCAGTCACCACCTGCTGCTGTCACTGAGCCCCTAGGTGGCTTCACAGAGAGCACAGCCTCACCCAGCACCTCCCCTTCTGACAGACACCTCAGCCCACAAGGGGCCCAAGCCACATGTCCTGTGGTAAAATGAAGGAGAGCTCCTCTTCCTTAAATGTTATCAGGCGGCCCTGAGCAGTCAGGTGTGAGCTGTTGTTCCATAGCTGACAGCGCAGCCCACCCTGGCTGTGTGGTGCCCACCTCCTTAGGAGCCAGCAGGGCTCCAGCTCAGGGCTGGGCCCCAAGACACACTCCAGCAATCAGCCATCTTGCTTGCCAGGGAAGGCACCTCAGGTGCAGGCTGAACTTCTCAAATGCAGTTTTTCACCCTCAGCAAAGAAAAATGAGAGAGAAAATAACAGTTTAAATTGTACAGCAATTCTACCACAATAGAATCGACTTCGTTCAAATACCTAAAGCCTTGGAGCGAATATGGGTTGGGATTTGTAAATCCATGGTTCCCTTGGTCCATCTCTCTGTTCCCACCCACCTTTCTGGGTGCCCATGGTGTGCTTATATCTGTTTAAAGGCCAGCTCTCAAGGAGCAAAGAGCCCTGGTTTCAAGTGTTTGCCAATTTCTGTGTGGCTGATTTCAAGCTACCAACATCATGACTGTGAATATAGATTTGGGAGGAGATGCACAAAACCAGCTCACAAGTGGTTTGCAGCTGGCTCCAGCACACACTGTCTGTGGGTGGATCTAACGTTTAAACGTGAAGGACACATTTTTCACATAGCATGGCCCCTAAACACCAGCCAACCATTTCATCAGGAAGAAAATGCAGTCTCTTCTAAAGCAGGAGGAACTCTAAGGGATTCCCAAGAGTAATTGTATTTATTTTTCTATTTCTAAAATGTTATTTTTATTTAATTGACAAAACCATGTATATTTATTGTATATGACATGTTTTTAATACATGTACATTGTAGATGGCTATATGTAGCTAATTAACATATACATTACATCACATACTTATGTTTGTGTGTGTGTGTGTGTGAGATAAGAACACTTAAAATCTAATTTCCTGTAAATTTCCAGGAATACAGTGTGTTACTATTAGCCACAGTCACCATGTTTTAAAATAGATCTCTTGGACTTATTATTCTTCTCTAACTGAAATTTTGTATCCTTTGCCCAACATCTCCTCCCACTCCCCTGCCTCTGGTAATCACCATTCTACTTCCTACTTCGATGACTTCAACTTTTTAGATTTCATGTTTAAGTGAAGTCATGAGGTATTTTTCTTTCTATGCTGGCTTATTTCAATTAACATAATTTCCTCCAAGTTCATCCATGTTGTCATAAATGACAGAATTTTCTTCTAATGGCTAAATTGTATTCCACAATGTATAGATACTACATTTTCTTTATCCGTTCATCATTTTATGCACTCTTAGGTTGATTCCATATCTCAGCTATTGGGAATAGTGCTGCAATAAACATGGAAGTGCAGCTATGTCTTCAACATACTAATTTCACTTCCTTTGGATATATACCCAGAAGTGGGATTGCTGGATCATACGGTAGTTCTGTTTTTAATATTTTGAGGACCCTCCATGCTGTTTTCCCTAATGACTGTACTAATTTCCATCCCCACCAAGAGTGTACTTGGGTTCTTTTCTTCCACATCCTCACCAACAGTTGCTGTCTTTCATCTTTTTGATAATAGCCATTCTAAGAGGTGTGGGGTGATAGCTCACTGGTGTTGATTTGCACTTCCCTGGTGATTAGTGACGTTGTGCATTTTTTCCTATACTCATAGGCCATTTTTATGTCTTCTGAAAAATGTCTATTCAGATCCTTTGCCTATTTTTTAATCAGATTCTTTGTTTTCTTATTATTGGGTTGTTTGAGTTCCTTATATATTTTGGATAGCAATCCCTTACCAGATGCCTGGTTTGCAAATATTTTCTCGCATTCTGTAGATTGTTTCTTCATTCTGTTGTTTCCTTGGCTGCGCAGGAGCCTTTTAGTTTAATGTAATCCTATTTATTTCTTTTTGCTTTTGTTTTCTTCTAGTAGATTTATAATTTCAGGCCTTATATTTAAGTCTTTAATTGATTTTGAGTTGATTTTTGCACATGGTGTGAGATAAGGATCCATTTTCACTCTTCTGCATGTGGAAATCCAGTTGTCCCAACACCAGAGTAATTTTAACTGTATTTAACTTCCACCTTAAAACTTAATTCTTCCCTCCAGTAACCAAAGGAAAGGCATGGTTACTTCTCACCCGCCCTTCTTCTTCACTAGGCCGTCCAAGCCCAGGCTTAAAGGAGTTCCCCTATCTACCTCCCCACCAGACTAAAATTTGAGGGCATAAAATGACTTTATATTTGGGAACCCAGGATGCTTGGAGGCAGGACTTGGCAACCAGCCGGACACTGATTCCATTCCTGCTTCTACCGCTAAGCTCTGTCATCCAGCAGATCCTCAATGGCCTCATCTGGAAAATGGGATAATACTTCCTCTGCAGGGTTGCTGGGAGGACTAAATAGATAGAAGAAAGCCCCACGCGGACGGGCGCAGTGACTCACGCCTGTAATCCCAGCACTTTGGAAGGCCGAGGCGGGCGGATCACGAGGTCAGGAGATCGAGACCATCCTGGCTAACATGGTGAAACCCCGTCTCTACTAAAAAATACAAAAAATTAGCCGGGCGTGGTGGCGGGCGCCTGTAGTCCCAGCTACTCTGGAGGCTGAGGAGGGAGAATGGCGTGTACCCGGGAAACGGAGCTTGCAGTGAGCCGAGATCGCACCACTGCACTTCAGCCTGGGCAACAGAGCAAGACTCCGTCTCAAAAAAAAAAAAAAAAAAAAAAAGCGCTACGAACAGCACAACACACAAAAAACAACAGGGGATCTTCTACTCCCTCCCTTCCCCCATTCTTCCTAGGAGAGACAGGGCTGAGCCATAGTTGGACAATATCGCCACTTAGTGGCTGTGGTCAGAATTGCCCAAAAGACCAACAGTTTCTGGATTTGAGGAAAAAAGGGAAAGCATTTAAAGAAGAGGTGTTGGGATTCTGAGAGGCCATTTGGCATTATGGAAAGTGACTGGGCACTGGTATCTGGAAAACCAGGTTCAGGTCCCAGCCTTGCCAAATATTAGCTGTTTGATCCTAATCAAGTTATGTAACTTCTCTAAGCATCAGTTTCCTCATGTGTAAAATGGAGACAAGAATTGTCATCTCATTAGATTAACTCTGGGTAAGTGTTTATTGCCTTTCTTTTGCTCCTGACCCTCTTCCAGCCCCCTCTCCCCATCCTGATAAACATCACCTTCCTGGTTCCTGACCCCCTCAGTAGTTCTCCTGGCCACATCTTTTCTACTTTATTTTTCAGATGTAGAACCTAATTTCCCCCTAAACTCTTTACCCCTTATGGGGAGAACCTCAAAGTCTACAGTTTTTATCCTCAGTATCTTAGGTTTAAAAACTCTAAATTCTTATACTATTTAGTAACAGACTCCTGGTGACACATTCGTGGTGATAAAATTATGTGGACAATGATCTCTAAAGCACAAAGCAAGTTACTCATTTATAATAGAAAAGATACTCCTGTCTGGGGATGGGTACCAAGTCAGCAAACCAAGATACTCCCCATTAATAAGGGAGTATCTTCCAAATAACAAGGGCTCTTGCTGGACACAGACTCCGAGATGGTCAGGGTGAGGGACTGTTTCTCCCACATTCAGGAACACTCCGAGACCTCGTGACCCCAGCTGGAAACACCTCCCTGGTGGGCTGATGCCTGTGACCCTGCCCCGAGGACACGTGTCCACCAGCCTCGCTTCTGCGCTGACCAGCACCTTCCAAGTATTGAGCCCTCCCTAGATGGGCCAAGCCATAGTCGGCTGGTCTGGGAAAGCCCGGGCTTTAGAACTGCACAGAACTGGGTCTTCCACTTATTATCTGAGTGACCCGGGACAGATTGCTGAACTTGCCTGAGTCTGTGACCTCATCACAATGGGGCACAAGCACCCACTTCAGGGAGTGTCTGCGCTGAGTAAGTGAGGCCCTGTGCTTGCCCAGTGAGGTCCCCGGCAGATGGTCAGCCAATGCTCCTATTTCGTTCTGAACTCAGCGTCTAGGAGATCCTTCCTCCACTCTGAAGGTGCTGGCTTTACCACCAGGCCAGAGTCCAGGGCGCCCCCTCGTGGCTCTGCATTTTCCAAATTTTTCTTCAAAGTAAAACTATTGGACCGGATTGGTGGCTCACACCTGTAATCCCAGCACTTTGGAAGGCAGAAGAGGGAGGATGGCTTGAGCCCAGAAGTTTGAAACCAGCGTAGGCAACACAATGAGACCTCGTCTCTACAAAAAAAAAAAAAAAAAAAAAAAAAAAAATCTAAAAATTATCTGGGCGTGGTGGTGCACACCTGTGGTCCTAGTTACTTGGCAGACTGAGGTGAGAGGATTGCTTGAGCCAGGGAGGTCGAGGCTACAGGAAGCACTGATAGCACCACTGCACTCCAGCTGGGGCAACAGAGGGAGACCCTGTCTCAAAAAAAAAATGTCCTTGAGGATAGGAAACCCCTGAGGATAGATACACACTGATTCTTTTAGTCAACTTATTTCTGCATTTTAAAGTATGAACCACTGAAACCCATTTACAATGAAAGAAAATTTTAAAAGTGTATATTTATAACACTTCCCTCCACACCCCCAGTGGATTCTTCACTCATCAGAAAGAAATGTCATTAAACCTAAGCCAATGGATAAGCTGAATAGATTACGTATTTGTTTCCAAATGACTAGAAAGAACAGGTTATGAAAAAGGCAATTATTTCAAATGAACATTAGGAAACCATGGGGAACTGTATAAATGTGTGCCTGGGGTCACAGTCTCTGGGGTAGAGTTAACTGTGTGGCATGATCCCAAGAGCCTCACCAATGAAAATAACAATCAGAGATAAGACAAGGCTAATAATGAGGCAGAAGCCCTCACTCCTGTCTGGGATTTGGTTAGAGAGTGCAGCCCTGTTCTTGCCAGGACCCTCACTCGGCACCAGCTCCATCAAGGAGTGGATGTTTTCTCCCCCACTGGCCTTCAGAGACCTTCATACCCCGCAAATGATGTTGGCTGCTGTTGCCAAAGTCCTCAAAACCTCCCTACATGGGAGATGGAAGAATTTCTCCTGTGCAGAGATGGCTGTCCCCGGGCATGAACACTTCCATCTCCTGAGATCTACCCTGAGTGTCCTGATGACCTGGAGGGAGATCTGGCCTCTGACCATCACACCCATGTAACCACTCTGCTCTCTGCCCACCCCTTCTTTCCCCTGGACCTTCTGGTCAGGGAATGTGTAGAGGAAAGGAGGGAAGTCCACTGTCCCCATTCCCTGTAGGGTGGGGAGATGCAGGAGAGCCCATTTATTAGAATCTAACCATGCAAAGAACGTCCCCACTCCCACCCAGAAAAAATGTCTACTACTAATTGATTGGCTTGGGTGTCCCTATCCTTGGGGCTTTGAAATAGGTTTTATCCCTTTTGGAAAGCTGTCCCCACCAAAGGACAAAATCTGCTCCTCTAACAAATTTATTTGCAGGCTTCTGAATAATCTCTGGGGGCCCTGGGCATCTGCTCTACGTGTTTACATCTGGCTGTGTGCTCCCTGGCATATTTCATTCAGTTAACAGTTATTTAGTGCCTACTATGTACAAGGCAATGAGGCTAAGCACTTGATATGCATTATCTCAATTCCCAGAACAACTCTTTGTGGTGGGTATAATCAATGTATTCACTTTATAGATGAGAAAAGCAAGGCTTAGAGGATCAAAGGAACTTAAGACCCAAGGCTCGTAAATACTGGAGCAAAAATTCATACTCAGGTCAGTCTGGCCCCATATCACTTGTTCTATACTTCCAATACAATCTTTAAAAAGAAAACAGCTTTGATTGGACATAATTTACATACCATATATTTCCCCATTTAAAGTGTACATTTCAATACTTTTTAATGTATTCACAAATTTGTGCTGCCATCAAAAGAGTCCATTTTAGGACATTTTCATTACCTCAAAAAAAGTTTGTATCCTTCGGCCATCCACCCATTTTCTCCTATTCCACAGCCCTGCGTAACCACTAATCTAATTTCTCTCCCTATAGTGTTTCCTATTCTGGACTTTCCTCAGCCCTGGGTAACCACTAATCTAATTTCTCTCTCTATAGTGTTTCCTATTCTGGACTTTCATAGGAGTCGAATCAAATAGATGTGGTCTTCTGTGACTGGTTGCTTTAATTCAGCACAACATTTCAAGGTTCATCAGTGTTGTGTTATAGTTCAGTTCTAATATCCCATTATATGGATATACAATATTTTATTTATGTATTCACTCATCCATTGTTTGTTTCCACCATTTGGCTATTATGAACAATGCTGCTATAAACACTCATGTGCAAGTTTCTGTGTGAACATGTGTTTTCATTTCTCTTGGGTATATGCCTAGAAGTGGAACGAACTGCTGGATTATATGGTAGAATTCTATGTTCAATCATATGAGAAACTGACAGACTGCCTTCTAACACAGCTGCACTTCGCCATCAATGTATGAGGGCTTCAATTTCTCCACATCTTTGCCAGCACTTGTCATTATGAACTTTTTGATTCTAGCTACCCTGATGGATGTGAAGTGGTATCTCAAGGTTTTGGTTTGCATTTTCCTGATGACTAATGCTGCCAAGCATCTTTTCATGTGTGTACTGGCCATTTGTATATCTTCTTTGGGGAAATGCCTATTAGATCATTTGCCTATTTGTAAATTAGGTTATTTGTCTTTTTATTGTTCAGTTGTGAGAGTTTTTCATATATTCTGGATAAAAATACCTTATCACATATACAAATGCAAATATTTTCTCCCATCTGTGGATTATGTTTCCATTTCCTTTTAAAAAACTATGTCCATGTTTTATTGTATTGTTACATTCTCTACCTTTAAAAAAATAGTTTGAACCGAAAGGTCTTGAAGGCTTAAGATGGGGACCCTGGTAGGGACTGACCACAGGTGCCAGAAAAGGATTTGCTCAGAATCTTCTTAGAAATCTTCCGTTTTTCACAATTCCAGGATGGGGTAAAAGGTGATAGTTTCACTCCGCATTCCCAGATGGGCTCATCTGATGATGAGAAAACAGCCCTTCATGGAGCATATGTATGCAGAGAGAACCCCATGTTAAAAATAACTGACACACATAATCTTTAATTACAAACGATAAATGCTTGAGAAGCAAAACACTGCAGATCAGATGTAGTATGAAGGAGCTGGGAACTGGGAGGAAATGGACGTGACATTCCAGGCAGAGGGAGTGGTGTGTGAGAAGGTCTGAGATAGGAGGGAGCAAGTGTGATTCAGGGGCTGATGGCTTCTATTGAGGTCCAGTTTACATCCAGTACAATTCATCAGTTTAAAGTATATTAACAAAGTTTCCTTGTGTTTCTTAGAGAAAAATTTTAACTTTTCTACAACTGCATATTAGATTCACGTACTGTTTTTCTTCTTACATGGGAATGGGGGACAGTCTGGCCTGGTCTGTCATTTTTCTGATGATATCATGAGTCAAACCATGTCTCCCCTTTCTATTTGCATCTTCCCCCTGGAACTTAAGTTGAGAGAGACACATGTTGATGTTGATGTTCTCTGCTTAGCTACTGTGTAGACACAGATGGGTTGAGAGGCTGGACTGTGGGTAGCTATATTCTGAAAGCTTAGTTTCTGCGGTCTTTCTCTGAATTTGTTGGAAACATTTGCACTTCACGTCAATGTCCAGGGCTTATGCAGTGTTTTCCAGTGATGGTAGTACCCCATTGATGTACATGTCTGTGAGTGTGCATGTGTATTTTAATTTCTGAAAGACCTACCGCCTTGGTAACCAGTATTATTTGTGTTACTATTTCTGGGAGCAGAGCCTAAAGAAAACAGCAAGGGCTGGGTGCAGTGGCTCACGCCTGTAATCCCAGCACTTTGGGAGGCTGAGGTGGGCAGATCACAAGGTCAGGAGTTCTAGACCAGCCTGGCCAGCATGGTGAAACCCTGTCTCTACTAAAAAAACAAAAATTAACCAGGCATGGTGGTGCGCATCTGTAATCCCAGCTACTCAGGAGGCTGAGGCAGGAGAATCACTTGAATCCAGGAGGCGAAGGTTGTAGTGAGCCGAGATCATGTCACTGCATTCCAGCCTGGGTGATAGAGCGAGGCTCTGTCAGAAAGAAAGAAAGAAAGAAAGAGAGAAAGAGAGAAAGGAAGAAAGGAAGGAAACAGCATGCTCATTGCAAACCCTTCTGGGGTAAGGATGAAGAGCTTTGCAGAAACTACAAAGTTTGTTTCCTGAAACAAAAGGCAGAGCAGGGTATCTTGGCTGTTATAGGGCTGAGATTTGGGTTCACTTGGAATTGAGCCATTCTTCACTCTTGAGATGCTTACTTAATGCAGATCAGCTCCCACTGTAGATGTTAGAGAGACCTGTAATTACAATGGAATATTTGGAAATTTTTCTAACAGATGCCTAGCCACATCCTCACATTTCTTGGTGTGTGCAGCACCACTGTGGGAAAGAGCTGGTAGCTTGAGTGAATTAATGGGACTCTTCTCCTTATATGTTAATTTGCAGAGGCTAGGGAGGGATGGAACCCACACATGGATTCCCAGCTTCCCAGTTGTGCTCCCAGGATATGATGCTGTTCTGCTTAAGACTCCTTTCAGAGCTCACGCCTGAAGGTCCAGACCTGTGATGGCTGAGCTGAGCTGAGCAGGGCAGGGCAGGGAGGGTAATCCACGTATTTGGCCTCATAGTTGAGATCCTGTGTCAGCAGCTGATGGTTCTGGGGTATGTTGCCTCTGATGACAAAGCTGGTGGAGGCAGGTGTGTTGGGGCCTTAAGACTACAGGGGCCTCCAGGGCAGGGGTGAAGCAGCTGCACCACTTGACCCAAGTTGCACCTGGTGGCGGTGTCAGGAAGGATGGAGCAGACCTGGTAGTTTCTGCTCCCCAAGGTCTGGCTAGCTCTCATTCACTGAAGGACACAAAGAAAATATTAATAGCTACTACAATAGTTTGTGTTTATATATAACTCCTTTAGGGAAATATTTCAAAGGTAATTAACATTACAATGAATCAATACAGCAAGGGATTGTGGAAAATGGGGTATAAGTGAATTGAATTATTGGAGTTGTATTATTCAATGTATTGCCATATTAAAAGGATGGGTTGATGATTTTTAAAATAGCTAATTTTTAAGTAGGAGTTTTAAAAATTACTCAAATGATGATCCATCATGTGTACAGTAAATAGACTTAAGTACATGACCAGTAGACCAAAAAGATGTGAATGCACATTAGTGATGTTAAAAAGTCCAAATTACCCATTTAGTTCCAGTAAAATAACATTACCTAGTACATTATATTAACTTGAATTTTATTGCTTTGTTTCTATTTCTATACTTTTAATTTTATAGTTTTGAGAATACGTTATATAGATTTTGTGTTTGTATGCCTTTGAGTAATGTGATAATAAAACAATTTAAGTCAAAATTGGGCTTCAAAGGGCATGATGTTTCACTTTTAACAGGGGACTCATTCTCAGCCCTCACGCTAGTGTCAGCCACGCATAGTGTCAGTGACACCTAGTGGTTCAAGCAAGAACTGCAACTTCATTGAATGGTGGACGATTTCAAAGAAAAACAGGTTCTCCCTTAGATAAGCCTCTGGATCCCTTTGATGAGGTGTTGAAATGAGGGCCTACCAGTCCCTGGTGTCTCCCATTTTGGCCTGTTCCACACTGACTCGTCAGCTATTTGAAGCAACTTTATGGAGGAGGGAATGACACTTCGTATACTAGGAACAGAATGTAGAAACTAATGATGACTTTTAGAGTGAGAAAGTTTTCAGGAAGACATTTCTAACAATTAGAGTGGTTCAACAATGTACACCACAAAAGCCACTAAGCCATGACTTTAGGATCACTTGGCAGCCTGCTGGGCTCATTCACTAGCTAAGCCATCTACATCACACCAACCTCACAGAACACACAATTCAATTTTTTTATATTTGTAAATTTATGAATTGCTACGTGCTACAGAACTTCAGGCAATTTATGAATGGTCAAATCCACTGATTACAGAATTCTAAAGGTCATCATGGTCTTTACAATGCTCTGTCCTCAGCAGCCTGTGCCTGACCCATTCCCATTACCATGCCTGCTTTCCCACCCAAGTTCAAGGCCATCCTGAAAAAGTTGCTTGCAGCATCATAGAGGCACCAACACCTCTGCATTCTCATAATTGTCTTTCTGAATCCTGGGATTGGGGACAGGGAGAGGAAGAGGGGAGAAGTGAAAATAAACCGAGCTTGCAGCACCTTCAGCACTAATCATGAGGTCTGCTGCTCTCTAACTGCTTCCCCACAGTTGTTTGGTGCCTATGGCCTCAGAATCATGTAGATCCTCTTATAAGATTATAGTTCCTATCAACTGTTCTATAAATAACAACTTGAAATGTTATGTTTTCCCTTTGAGATATCCCTTCAGGTCTTGCATACTGATGAAACTACTGACTCAGTGGGTCTGAATGATCCCAGGAGCTGCTGAATAATCAAAATATGCAGTTTCCAAATGCTGATTATTTCTCCCCCCTTACCCCAACCAATCAACACCACCAATTTTCTGGCCTCTCACCCTCCACTATATCCTTAAAAACCCCAGCCCAGAACTTCTCAGGGAGATGGATTTGAGGATCTTCTTCTATCTCCTCACTCAGTGCCCTGTGATCATTAAACGCTTTCTCTGCTGCAAACCCTGCTGACTTAGTGTAGGTACTATTAATATATTCATATTTCCATTTTAGAAAGATGTGAAACTACTTTTCATAAGTTGTCCAGGCACACCCAGTTAGAAAGTGACAGAACTGGGCATCTGTCTGCAGAGCCTGCACACTCAACTTCTGTTCTTAGAGTGTGTCTCTAGATGGTGGTCACAGTTATGACCCACAAACTTGTCATCATTCCTAGGCCACACAAAACCCTTCCAATCTTTGTAGGATATTAGACCCACCTGTGTCTCCAGACAGACCATCCCTGTCTTCAAATGGAATGCCTGGAATTTCATTCAATTATGCTCTGCAGTGTTGCCAGAGGTTCCCCAGATTGGCTCAAAAGTCAGCACACTCTCAGGCAAAAAGGTTGCAGTGTCACTTGATTCCAAGGAAACTCTTGTCAAGTTTAGGCAGGTCACACATGGGCAAGAAATCAAACATGAAGAGGATGGTCAGGTTCCCCAGCACAACATGCCCAGGGAGAGAGCACCTGCCACAAACAGCTCAGGTCCAGGGGAATCATAGCTGAGAATCAAAATGCAGAAATCATTTGCATCTGATCTTTCCCAATTCTGGAAAGCCTGGAATCCAGAGCCATCATGATCCCCTTAATTTATTAGGCTGCCTCCTTCATTTAATGAGAATTGTCTTGTTAACCCCATTCTCAGGTCTGTAGAACCATGACAGTTGTTGTTTTCAAATATCTTCTTTGAATACAGGTTCTTCTTATCTCAGGATCACCATAAATCTCCTCTTTGTAAACAGGACTTTGGTCACAGTCATACTTGGAATGAATATCTCATAACCTCTTAACTGCATTTTGCCCATGACCTTGCTAATTTTATCACATTTGTTTGAAACAACTTTATATTGCCATCGCTCTTCTTCCTGGCCTCTGTGGATTTTTCCTGAAGTCATCATAGTTGAAGGGCTTCACCCTTGTGAGGGTGTTTGTGTGTGCTATGCCTATGTTATCATTGAGTTTGCTCTGTAAATCTATGGCTCAAACTCCTATGTCTCCAACTGCACATATTGTGACACATTAAGTACAAGGCCACCTTTGACTCCTTCATCATCACAAAGGTGCAATTCTTTCCCTATCTGTTTGCAATCTGGAGCACATCTGTTCTTTTCTCTAGGGCAATGACTCTCAAACTCCAGGATGCATCAGAATCACCTGGAAGGCCTGCTGAACCACAGATTGCTGGGCCCCACCCATAGAAAAAAAATAACAGAGACGGGGGTGGGAGGGGATAGGACGAGAGGGGAGAAAAAAAAAGAAACAACTAGAGTTATCACATGTCATAGGGTCAGTGGTGAAATATGTACTTATTGTCTGTCAGTGGCAAAAGCTTTCAGGACTTCTGTCACTTCACTGCTAACAGTTCCTCCAGCCTCTGCTTGGTTAATTCCAGAGAAGGAGAAACCCTCTGCTTCCCAGGATGGCACCTTCAGCCTTGGGGAGCTGAAACAAGTCACATGCCATGTGGGGGCAGGAGTGACAACCAGGAAGTCAGAGTTACCTCTGACGACAACTCCTTCTCTTATGTCCCTTGGTTGTGAACCTCTTTTCCTACCATAGTCTCTGGCAGCCACTGATGTGTTTGCTGTCCCCATAGTTTTGTCTTGTAAGAGTGTCGTCAAAATGTAATCATGCAGTTTGCAGGTTTTTTTGAGAACAGCTTCTTTTGCTTGGCATAATGCATTTGAGAGTCATCTATGTGAGACAGCCAGGTGGGAGGGGGCTCCTCAGAAAAACTCCAACCAGCCTGCGCACTAGGGTGGAGCCACAGAAGTTTGTGCTCTTTCCAGTGGGGAGGAGTCAGGCCCCTCCTCTTCCTTTGTGGAACCTGGGATGTGAAGGGTGGGAAGGAAATGCTCCAGCAGGGACTCTGGCCTTCCAAGAGTTCTTCTTTGCCCCTTTTCTTTCTTTTTACCCAATGCAACCCTGTCTTACTCACCATTTAAATTGTCTGCAAGCCTGAATTTTCATGGCCATGGGACAAAGAACGCTGTTTTTAGCTGAACTAAGGAAAAGTTATGCAACATTTTTGGCGCACAACGTTGGGCCAGAAAAGCAGTGAGTGAAATGGGGACTCGAAACCTCTCAATGTTGCTCCTAAGCCTTTTCATCCTTGGACTTCTGAGGGTGGGGGAAAACATGCCCCCAACCCCCTTAGCTCCTGGGACTTTTCATGGCATTTCCCTTCCTTTTTCAGGACCTACTGGCGAGCAGCAGCTCCCTGCTGCTCTCCCCTCCCTGCCGGGGCTGGGATGCATGGCCCAAGGGTCCCGCACGGCCAGTTGGCTGGCATTTTCTACCATAAGCCGCTGGAGACTTCCCCTTCTCTGTCCAAGCGGTTCAGCTCCATTGGACAGTAATTAAGCTTTTCTCTTCGTGGGGAAACCACTTGCTTAAGAATAAGAGGTTCCTCCCAAGATTTTTAAACTATTCTCTCTTTTTCCCTCTTCTCTACCCTATCAGCAGTTAAGTTTTAAGCAAGTTTTTTTTTTGTTTTTTGTTTTGTTTTGTTTTGTTTTAGAAGACGTTTTACTAGGCTAAGTCCTCCAACTATCACTATCACTGTTTGTACTCTCCATAAAGTTTTGGTTGTGAAAAAGAATCTCATGGAGACTGGATTTTCTTCTGCCTGTGTGTGTATTGTGTGTCATGTCTGTAAAAAGAGCTCTAATTAATTTGTCCTAAAGAAAGACAAGTGCTTGAATCAAGTATTTTTTTAAGGGAAGTTAAAAGTTGTGGTACCTTTCAGTTCATGTGACTTTAATCTTTGAGAAATAAAAGCAGCCTTAAAGATTATTGGTAAAATGCTTGTGTCATTAAAATGTAAATAGGTGAACTAAATTATGCAGGTCAGATGCAAGGTTTGCTAAGTGTTTTGAGGTTACAAACTGCTCTTTGGATTTTGAGAACTGTCTGTCCTTCCTGCTTTACAACTGGTAGGGCCTAGGGACATATGGAACTAACCATGCCCTTAATTTAGAAGGCAAACCTTGGCTGCAGTTAGCACACAATTAAAGCAATTTACCAAGTTTTACCTTAAAGTTAAAAATGTCTAGGAGTTAATTGAAACTACTAGAAATAGATTTACATGCAAGGTGTGTAAGAACAGTAAAATTTGTTTTTTAGTAAAAGGTTATAAGAAGGCATGGAAATGTAAACTTTTGCCTAGGATTAAAGGATTGTTTTGAGTTAGATATGAAAAGCTGAAAGTTCATAGAAGTGGTGGAAGAATTGTGGAAATTAATCTTGCAGAAGAGTTCTCTGTGTGAACATACTAATTAAATTCAAAGGGGTTATAAAAAGTTTCTGCTTCTTTAAATTTCTAAGTCATCATTTTGGCAAAAAGTTTATGGTAATCTAGAACTTTATTCAAGTGTTTTAAACACATTTAACAGCCTTCCCAAAATCAAACTTAAGTTTCAAAATTGTCTTTCCTGACACCTAACTTTTCAGATGCTTCAGAGGGCCCCTGAAGTGTCCAGAAAAGACAGGTAAACAGGATTATTTGACATGTTTAGGTACATGGGGTTGCCAAAATGATGTTCAATTTTCTTTAGGTTATATCTTGGAGAATAATGCTAATATATGTTCCAAAATTGTGTGGAATTTCTAAAATTCTAATTTCTGAATTCTGAGTATATGCTATCAAACATAATTAAGGTTTTTTATATTAAGTTATTGTGAACCACGGAGATAACCAAACCTCTTTGTCAATTATGTTTCTAACTATAACTGCCCTGGACATTTTGCTATTCACAGATAATTGTTGTTTTGTTTTAATCCTTTAAAAGATGGCTTATAATGAACTATAGAATTTTAACGGGTACTCTCAAATACAGGCTTCTGATAACTTTAGAGATTATAATACTGGAATAAAGGAAAACGTACAGGATTCATGAAGAGCTGAAATGTTCATGAATGTCAAGCAAAACAAGAGTTAACTAAATGGACTGAACTTGGAAAGCTGAAGCAACCTTTTTGACTTTTGCTTAGAATATTGCTGGTCCTTGTTTTGTTTTTCAGAGTCAAGGAAACTTATTTTGAAATAGTTATAGCCTTTAGTAATTAAGTAAGGTGTGTCGATGAAAAGAGTCGAACTCTGTAAAATATTTTAAGAGATTTATTCTGAGCCAAATATGAGTAACCATGGCCTGTAACACAGCCCTCAGGAGGTCCTAAGAACATGTGCCTAAGGTGGTTGGGGTACAGCCTGGTTTTATATATTTTAGGGAGGCATGAGACATCAATGAAATACATTTAAGAAATACATTGGTTTGGTTCAGAAAGGCAGGACAACTCAAAGCAGGGGCTTCCAGGCTATAGGTAAATTTAAATATTTTCTGGTTGACAATTGGTTGAGTTTATCTGAAGACCTGGGATTAATGAAAAGGAATGTTCAGGTAAAGGTAAAGGATTGTGGAGACCAAGTTTTATTGTGCAGAGGAAACTCTCAGATAGCAGACTTTAGAGATAACAGGTTGTAAAATGTTTCTTATTGGACTTAAAAGGGTGCCTGGCTCTTAGTTGATTATCTCCTGGGTCTGGGAAGCAAGGAAAACAAAGAGGAAAGGGGATTTTCTATAGAATGTGGATTTTTCCCATAAGAGACTCTGCAGGTCAATTTCAAGGTATGGCAAGAAAATATACTTTGGGGTTAAACATTTCGATTTTCTTCCTTGTTATGCCAGAGTCAGATTGGAAAGTAAGTCATGATATACAGGGTTAAAATAAAGCCCATCTGATGAGAATTTATAGTTTGTAGGGCATGACTCATTAGACCCTTTGGGTAGGAATTTGGGCAAGATAAAGAATCAGAGCTTAGTCCTCAGGTATATACATGTTTGTTTCTCTCTGCCTGGTTCCTCTAGACTTTGGAAACTATCTGTGAGTATTCTTATGGCAATATAGTTTTTTTCATCAGTGCACGAAGAATCCGTTTTTCTTTTGCAACAGGACCCAATTAGAAAAAATGGTTATTCTACCAAGGGTTTGACTGGAAGGGCATACTTCCCTTTAAGGAGTCAAGCTTGACTTACAGAACCAATAAAAGCCTCATGGAAGTGTGGCCTCACACCCTCCCCTACACAGTCTCTGTACAAGGTTCCTGACCTGTGGTCAGTAAAGAATGTGACTTTCTAACAGGTCTAGGAGCTCCAAGTTTATCTTGGGATCTTAAAAGGAGAGGACCACTCAACTCACAGGTATTCGAGGATACAAACCCATGGCTGGGTTGGTTCAACTTTAAAAGGTCTTATCTGAGATGCCTTGTGGAACAGAATTCCATCAAGTCCAATCCAAAAGGCCTATGTAGAAATAATTATTCTTGTTGTACTTTATGGAAATAATCAGGCCAAGTATAAAACCAAAGTCTATTTTGCAAACCCTCAGTCCTATGATGATTTGTTTTTTAACAAACATGAGGACTACAGAGAGAGAAATTATATTTCAAAGCTTATCATATATTTGTCATTAAATTCTAAACACACTAGTTGTTTGTAAGTTTTTGCCTACATTTTAGGATAACCCTGCTTGTTCCTGTGAACCAACCAGCAATCTCCAGCTACAGCTCAGAAAGAACAAGAGGTATGGGTAATGTAGAAATCTGGATCGATATTCTAGTTCTGAGCAATTATCCTGCAAATCCCGCCAGGTGATGGGAATAAATAGGATGCCCATCACTTGAAGGTTTCTTTTTTGGGAAAGTAACACCAAGGGAGCTAACCAAAGCCAAGGACCATGCACCCAAATCCTAGCAAGCATAACTGAAGCCACCAGTTATCTGGGTGTGTCACAAGACATCCTTTTCTTTCCCTTGTTGGAGGAGGACTCAGTTCCACAGTTGCACCTTAGCATTTGGCTTATGATAAGGAGTCCATGCAACCCCCTGGGAAACATTTTTGTCCCAAACTCAATTCCAAGCTTCAGGTCAATGCTATAAGAAAGAGAACTGGGCCGGGCATGGTGGCTCACGCCTGTAATCCCAGCACTTTGGGAGGCCGAGGTGGGCGGATCACGAGGTCAGGAGATCGAGACCATCCTGGCTAACATGGTGAAACCCCATCTCTACTAAAAATACAAAAAATTAGCCAGGCTTGGTGGTGGGTGCCTGTAGTCCCAGCTACTCGGGAGGCTGAGGCAGGAGAATGGCGTGAACCTGGGAGGCAGAGCTTGAGGTGAGCCGAGATCTTGCCACTGCACTCCAGCCTGGGTGAGAGAGCAAGACTCTGTCTAAAAAAAAAAAAAAAAAAAAAAAAAAAGAAAAAAAAGAGAAAGAGAACTGGATCTAACAGATCCAGAGGCAGGCAGCTACAAAGGTTAAAAGGCACAGCGCAGGTGAGCGTGGCTAATTTCTGCTGATTAAGCCAACCCCGAGCTTGCTATTTCATGGATAAAGGCCACGTTAATGTCCATGGCATAAATGAGATCTAGGGAACTCCAAGGCTACCAACAGCAAGGGAGATACGGCATACATGGGTAAGAGTGGATGATTCCCACCCCTAAGGGCCCCCTGCTTCATGGGTGCAAAGCTCTTTTGCACTCACGCCAGACCTGCCTAAGTCGCCCGGACTTGGGGATGCAAGGACGGAAGAGGAAAGAGGACACTCTTCCTTCTCTCCGTCACATCCCCGGGTATCTGCTAGGAAGAGAAGGGAGCCAGGGATGTCTGCTCCCCTCTTTCTAGATGGGTAGCCATTCATCTTCAGTCTGTACCCCTTCCAAATGCATCCTGAACCTCTGGGACTCCTTTAACAGGTGCCTCTTTTTTTCCTTTCTCCTTCTCTGTCCTCTCTTCACTAATAGGTAATTGTGTCTCTGTACTACAAGACACTCCCTTCAGATGCATCCTACAAACTGGAAGGAGTTAATTTCCCAAACCTTAAAATGGCTGCCATAGGATTGGGCTCAGGGGAAGAGAACCCAGAAGCCCAACATGCTGGCAAAAGGGTAAAGTATTTTAACCAGTTGGGCTTTTGGCCTCCCTCTTCCTGTGCAAACTGGTAAAAGGCCTCAGAATTTTTGAGCTGTCCTTAACCCTCCCCTTGTTTCATTTGGATACATGTTTTCTAATAACATAGTTTGTCTCTTCTTGCCTTCAGGCCATCAAACTCCAAATAGTCATGCAGCTGGAGCCTCTGACAATGTCCCCTTCTGCTGGGAAACCTTAAATAGACCTTTGAGGGAGCTCGGACTGTTGTTTCCCCAAAACAGCATCCCCTGTCAGCAGGAAGCAGTTAAAATGGGTCTTCGTCCTTATCCTTAATCTAACAAAAGTTTGATGTACTTCTTTAGAAAGGGGAACGAGACAGCCAGGCGGGAGAGGGCTCCCCGGAAAAACTCCAACCAGCCTGCACAATGGGGTGGAGCCACAGAAGTTCACACCCTTTGTGGGGAGGAGTTGGGCCCCTCCTCTTCCTGTGTGGAACCTGGGATTCCAAGGCAGGCGGGAAGTGCTCTAGCAGGGACTCTGGCATTGCAAGAGTCCCTGTTTGCTCCTTTTCTTCCTCTTTACCCAAAAAAACTTGTCTTACTCACCATTAAAATTGTCTGTGAGCCTGAATTTTCATGACCGTGGGACAAAGAACCCCATTTTTAGCTGAAAGAAGAAAAAGTCCTGCAACGCATGTTCTTGTGTGTTTCTGGAGTTTGTTCATTTTTTTAGTTGCTGAATAGGATTCCATTGTATAGAATTTGTCCAATTTGTTTATCCATTTCCCTATTAAGGGGTATTTGGGTTGTTTCTAGTTTTGGGTGACTATAAACAAAACTACTAAAAATATACTGTATAGGTTCTTCTGTAAATCTCAGCTTTCATTTCATTTGGGTAAAACCTAGGGGGGATTTTCTGGGTTGTACAGCAAGTGTATGCTTAACTTTATAGGAAATTGCCAAACTGAGAAGCAGTTTCTAAAATGTTTATGAATATTTTAGTCTTCAGAGCTGTGCAGGGTGGGCACTGCTATTATTCCACTCCCAGGTGCTCAGCTCTCCTGGTCTGAGCAGCTTGCTGCAGTCACAAAGTTGGCACGTGGTGGATCTAGGGAAGGTGGGCTCAGGCACTCTCACTTGATGCAAGTACTGCTCTCTGCTTCAGTTTCTGTTTTCTCACTGGCTTCCTTTGCTTTCTCACAGTCTCTGCCCTCCTAACGCAGGCTGGCCCAGCCCAGCCTTCTGTGAACCTCCTCCATCGGGACATTTTCCCCGTGGTGGTGCCATCTGGGGCTGCCCATGCCCTGAGAACTGCAGCTGTGTGCCGAATGCCGGCTCTGCTGCTGGCAAGCCACTGGCCTCCAGCTGCTGCCTCCCTTTGCCCCATTCCCTGTCAGGGTCCAAAAGAGACAGAACAGTCAGCTCTCCTGGCTACTCTGCTCAGAGCCCCGCACAGCCCAGGGACCTAGTGACACCTATTGGCCATTTGTTAGAACTGTGGCTGCACTTGAGTTCAATGTGCAACAAGAAGGCTCTGACGCAGCTTCACATTAAATAGGCACATACGTGGCAAAAGGATACGTGCTCATGTTTAAAAATTCAAACAGCTGGTACAGACATACAATAAAAAGTAAAGTTTCTCCTCCCTGTAGCTCGGTTTACTCCTGTGATTAGCGTTTTCTGTTTTTAGTTATCTGGTCAGCACACAAACATAAATAACATGATAATACATGGAAATCCTTGATTTATCCACTTTAGATAGTGTGTTAGTCCATTCTCTCTTGCTATAAAGACATGTTTGAGACTGGATAATTTATAAAGAAAAGAGGTTTAATAGCTCACGGTTCTGCAGGCTGCACAGGAGGCATGACGCTGGCATCTGCTCAGCTTCTGGGAGGCTTCCGGAAACTTACCATCATGACCGAAGGCAACCTGGGAGCAGGTGCATCACATGGCCATAGTGGGAGCAAGAGAGAGAGGGAGAGTGCAGGGGTAGGGGCCACACACTTGTAAACAACCAGATCTCACAGTAACTCACTATTGTGAGGACATTACCAAGGGGGATGGTGCTAAACCATTCATGAGAAATCTGCCCCGGAGATCCAATCACCTCCCACTGCGCCCCACCTCCGACACTGGGGATTACATTTTAAAATGAGATTTGGGCAAGAACACACATCCAAACTATACTAGATGGTGTCTATTACCTACATTGTAGGAAAGATGAAGAATTTAGGGCATTATAGGGCTTTCCTGTCTTCCTGTCCCCTTTACTTCCTGGTTTCAATCTGTAATATGACTAGGTTTTTCTAATGGCTAGATTTATGCTTTAAAAAAAAGGACCTAAATTTCAATTTCTTTCTTTTTCTTTTTTTTCCCTTTTTTTTTTTTTTTTTTTTTTTTTTCTTGAGACGGAGTCTCACTCTCTCGCCTAGGCTGGAGTGCAGTGGAGAAATTTCGGCTCAATGCAACCTCCACCCCCCGGGTTCAAGCAATTCTCCTGCCTCAGCCTCCTGAGTAGCTGGGATTACAGGCGCATGCCACCATGCCTGGCTAATTTTTGTATTTTTATTAGTGACGGGGTTGTACCATGTTGACCAGGCTGGTCTCAAACTCCTGGCTCAAATGATTCACCGGCCTTGTGAATCAATCCCAAAGTGCTGGGATTACAGCTGTGAGTCACTGCACCCAGCCAAATCTCAATTTTTTGATGTATTATTTTTAGAAAAAGTCTATATTGATTCTCCACTACACACACACACATACACAAAGTTAGTGCATGTAGACTTTCCTCTGCTTTCCACCTCCAGAGTTCTGTGAGCCATAATATCACTTTTGTGTTGCACGTGTTTATAGAATTTGAATACTGAAGTAGCCATAATTAAGTGTTCTGTGCTTGAAGTTGATTCTAAAAATTGAAAACCCTTAAACAGTATTTAAGGCATTATTATTATGTAAACACGAGTCACTGCAGAACCAAGTACTGTGATTAGGCCCACGGAAAAGGAAATAAAATACTATGTAATTAAACCTTGGGCACTCAAAGGAGAATGTTCTATGAATAAAGGTCTCTTTTCTCCACTCCATTAATTATCCAGTTACCCACACTTCAGTTACTTCAAATTTGAACCACGACTTTCTTAGACTGTCTTGTTTTCCCTGGATTTCTAATTGTCATTCTATTTGCTGTAATTTTTATTGAAGAATAACATATCTCATCTGATTGTTTAGAATTGACTTAGACCTGCTTAGAATCTTTATTCTGTGTTCTTATTTCTATAATTTCTGGAGTGGAAGTGACTTCCTCTGGTGGAAGTGGAGCAATCTTCCCCAAGTCCTCTGACTTTTTGGATGCATTGTTTTCTGGGGCAGCTGTGTAGCTGTCAGCTTAGAATTTTTTCTGGGACACCTGAGTACTACATTCTCATGGATCTTGTGACATTTTCTTTCTTAGATTTTATTTTTATTGCTAAAGTTTAGATTTGCTGGAACATGTGCTACATCAGTATAACATGGTGATTAAGAGTGGGCCTTCTGAGTTTGAAACTGCTTCATATTAGTCCTGTGGCCTTGGATAACTGGATCTCAGCACTGTGGCATCTTCATCTGTAAAACGGGCACAATGCAGCTCTCTTATAAGTTATTTTGAGATGGAGTGAGACAATATATGTAGTACTGTTAGGACAATGACCAATAAATGATAAATCTAATATTTTGGTGGATTTTGCAAGCGAGAGGAGTAATGGGGTGTGTGCTCATTTGGCCATCCTGAATTGGCAGACAAGACATATTTCTGAAGTAGTCAAGAAGGCCCACCTCGTCACTATGCACATCCTCAATGCCCTCATGCCATCCTCGATGCCAATGACTGGCATGTACGTCTCCAGAGCTCCCTCCTGAATCCAGTCTTCTGTCACTGACTGTGTCCTTGACATCTCCACCTGCATGTCCATTGCTCAAAACCAAACTTCTGATCCTCTCCCCTAACTTGTTCCACTTACAGTGTTCTCCACCTCAGGATGGAGCTGCCATCTTTCTAGAATCTCAGGCCAAGTATTTTGGAATCATGTTGATTCTTTTCTTTCTCTTGAATCTTCATTTCATCCATCAGAAAATTCTGGATACTTTAGCTTCAAGATATGCCCAGTATTCCATCACTTCTGACCCCACCACCATCACCCCATCTCAACTGTCATAATCTCTCACCTGGATGGTGTAGTGGTCTCCTAACTGGCCCCCCTGCCTCCACGTGGCTCTCTGCTGTCTAGCCCCAAACTTGTTGGGTGTGATCCTATTTTATGTCCTCTTCTTGGGGCACTCCTCCCTCTGACTCCTGTATGCTGTCCAAATGGCCATGGAACATTTCATGCCTTTGTTCAGATCACCGTCTCTGTGAGGACTTCCTCGACCACTCTTTATTGTTGCAGCCTCCTCTGGGCATCCTAACCCTCCTATTTGGCTCTATTTCTTCTTTTTCATGGCGCATGCCACCTTCTAAATCATGACATAAGTTACATACTTATCATGTTTAGCGTTCCCTGTCTGTTTCCCCTGCTAGAATGTCAGCTCCTTGAGGGCAGAATTTTTTTTATTTGCCTTGTTTACCAGTGTATTCCAAGTACTTAGTACAGCAAGCACCTGGCTCAGTTGTAGGTACAGAATATGAATACATATGAATAAGAATTCTCAGTTGTAGGCAAAACTGAGGATGTGCATAGTGGCAAGGTGGGTCTTCTTGATGACTTCTCAACAATTCTCAGTTGTAGGCACTGAATATGAATTCATACTAAATAAGAACACATACTCAGTGAAGGAATTTGCAAATGATAGTGAGGAGCGTGGAGGAGCTCCCACACTGCCTTGCCCCACAGTTTAGCTATTGAAGGTGACATCTGAAGGAGGCAGTTTGGCTAATAAGTACAGGGGGCAGACTCTCCTTAAGGGTAAGAGTGACAGGGAGGTCACTTTCAGAGTGCAAGAAGGGTGACAGGAAACATGAGCATGAGCAGGGCCTGAGGGTCTCAAGGGCCCCTTCTAGCTCTAACCTTCAGTGATTTCAGGCCAGGTGAGGTGCTGAGCTCCCTGGCCCCAGAAGCATTCCAGCATAGGCTGGCTGATGTCTCAGCAGGGATGCTGTGGAGGGGCCCAAGCATGAGAAAAGTACAAGAAGTGGATGCCCTCAAGGCCTTCTCTAGTAATAAGACTTGAAAATTAAACAACTCACCCCTCCCTGACCACTCTCACACCCCAAAGCCTGAGGCCTGGAGTCCCTGGGCCAGCTGGGGAGGGTCCTCCTGAGCTATTGCCTCACCCTCCCTACGCCCCTGTTACCCCATGGTTATGGCCACAGCACCTCCTCCTTCTTCCCTTCCCACGCAGAGCTCATTCTATTTTTGGTGAGGCCAGGTGACAGTGACCCTGACAAAGAGCACTGCTTGGTCAGATGGAAGGAAGGCAAGTGAGGGGCACCTGCCTCTAAGCCTTATTCTCCCATGTCTTCCCCCAGCTCTCCTCCATCCACCAACATGGCCACAAGGCCGCCTCTGGACCAGATCTATCCATCGGGTTTGCTCTGTGGTGCCCCACTTGGAGACACAGGTGGACATGGTGTTCAGAGGTGTGGGACAAACACATAAGATGGACGAGAGCAATGGTGGAGAGATGGGAAGGGAGGCTGAGGCCGGGCGTGGAGGACACGTCCCTGAGGCACCCAGCAGCCTGAACACTCTCATTTTGTCTCTTTTCATCAGAGTCCTTAATCTCTTAAACTGCCTGATGCCAAGAAATGTAGAGCTGCAGGATATGCTGGGCCCCACCCACGAAATTTGTATTTATTCACAGCCTTCTTATAAGCAAATATGTTCTTTTGTCAATAAGCCACCCGGAAGAGTGTCTCTGGGGACATCACCCCTTTGCTTTTATTTCTCTGGAAAATAATTAAAGAACATTCACATCAGAAAGATTTTATGAATTTATGTAATCCCTGAAATGTTGAGTTTATGCATTCCCACACCTCCCATCTAATTATCCCATTCCCCTCACATTAAAAAGAAGACCAGATTATTTTCCATCATTTTCTTCTGAAGTATGCTTTTTGTTTTTTGTTTTTTGAGACGGAGTCTCGCCCTGTCACCCAGGCTGGAGTGCAGTGGCGCAATCTCAGCTCACTGCAAGCTCTGCCTCTGGGTTCACGGCATTCTCCTGCCTCAGCCTCCCGAGTATCTGGGACTACAGGCGCCCGCCACCACGCCTGGCTAAGTTTTTATATTTTTAGTAGAGATGGGGTTTCACCGTGTTAGCCAGGATGGTCTCGATATCCTGACCTCATGATCCACCCGCCTCGGCCTCCCAAAGTGCTGGGATTGCAGGCGTGAGCCACCGCGCCTGGCCCTGAAGTATGTTTTTGCAATTCAGCAGCTGCTCCACTGTAATGATGGGGGAGGGACCAAGAAAGGCAAACAGAAAGCAATGCAAACTTGGTAACAAACACAGGCACCTCCCCACCTGCTTCCGTGAACATCTGCATAGCGTTCTCAAACCTTACCTCCTTCCATATGTAATTCAGTCAAGCAGCTGTTATTTCTTTTCCAGTTTTATAGATGAGGTAACCAGAGCTCAGAGAGGTTAAACAGCAACGGGTAGTGGCCTGTACAGGAGCCAGGCCTTCCGGCTCCAAGTCTCGTGTGCTCTCTTCCTGCTTCACAAATGCCTCTCCCCAAATAGGACTCTGTGGCCCACGATACTCACTGAGGACATTTGGTGAAGTGACTAAGCATGGACTCCAGGGATGCACAGTTCTAGCTCTGACTTACTATTGTGTGGTCTTAGTCTAAACTAATTTCTTTAAGTCTCAGTTACCTCATCTGTAAAATAGGGATGTGGCAGGCCAATTCTCCCTGATAGTCACACAGACAGGCCTGCATGACAGTCACACAGACAGGCCTGCATAGCACCCCAGCTACACAGACAAATTTCCACAGCACTGCCTTAACATTGAGCAAATAGTTAAACCTAGAGAAATCGGTGCCCAGACATCAAAGCTGGAAATGAAACATATGGTCAGTAGGAGCCTTGCATGGGCTTCTCCCTAACCTGGAGCAAGCCAAAATAATAGAGACAGTCATAGATTCCTAGTGCCAGGACCTGTCTCTGGTCAATGAAATCTGAGACGAGTCAAGGTAACAGAGGCAGCTGTTTGAATAGATTCATTGGAGAGTCTAAGACAGCTCTCCGGACCAAGCCATAAAGGAGATAAGAGAGAAATAATCACTCCAGTACCACAGTAGACAGGCCTTGAAGGTATTGGAGGCCTTTTAATTGGACTTAGCAAGCTTTTTTTTTGCCTCTGACCTTCTAGTTGAAACAAAATTAGTTACCAATAGACTTAGGTGAATGCTATACTGCACAGAGGCACATAATCCCAACCTATATAAGCACTGAGAAAACTGTAACACTTTGAGTTGGACTGATAGAATTATCTCTGACCTTCTCACTGTATCTGGTTACAGCAATAAGTTCCCTTCTTTCCTAGTTTGTCTGCTTCTCATTATTGGGCCTTGAGAAAACACAGCTGAACTCAGCTTGGTTCCAGGAACAGGGACAGTAATGAATAAGTATTGCATAGGCCTGTTATGCACCCTAAATAAGATAATTTATGCAAAAAGCTTAGCATAAGGTATGACACATTAATTCCTAATAAGTAGTAGTTATTCTTATGGCAAGCTCTCTGTTGAGTGGGCAGTATTAATCAGAGGAGATTGGAAGAGGGCAAAGACAATAAAGTTGGTTAGTTGAGGTAAAATTAGGAGACATGAAACAGGTCAGCTAGATGTCAAAGAGACAGGTGGACTTTGAGAAGTGACAAAAGACAAAACAAAAAGAGGAAGTGGGCATAATCTTAGAATATTTCTTTTAACCACAAATGTGAGGGAAGCCGGGCCTCTCTTCTCTTTGAGGAGACCCTAAAAGTAACAGCTCAGAGATCTGAACCAACTGAGAAACAATCCCCAAAAATGTGTGCAGCCAAGAGACCACCTTTGTGATTGTGATGATTAAGTTTATGTGTCAACTTGACTGGGCCACAGAGTGTCCAGACATTTGGTCAAACATGATTCTGAGTGTTTTGTGAGGGTCTCTCTGGGTGAGATGAACATGTGAATAATTAGACTAAATAGAGCAGATTGCCCTGCCTAATGTGGGTGGGGACCATCCAGTCTGTTGAAGGCCTGAATAAAACAAAAGGGCTGATTCTTCTTCTAGTAAGGGGGAACTCTTCCTGCCTTGGGCTGGGACATTAGTTTTTCAGCCTTCAGACTCAAACTGAAAAATGGCTCTTCTTGGGTCTTGAGCTTGCTGGCATTTGGACTGAAAGAAACTGTACTATTGGCTCTCCAGCTTGCTGACTGCAGATCTTAGGATATGTCAACCTCTACAGTCACAAGAGCCATACTGCTCTCCTAATATGTGGGGCTGTCCCCTCAAAGAAACATTCTGCCTCTGTGGAGCCTCCTGAGACCACTGCTGGGCAGTTGAGATTTTGTCCCTCAAGAACTCGAGTCCACTCCAGGCCACACTATACTCGAGGCTGAGGTTTGCTCTTTGTTTGCCCATTCTAAATTATAGATAGACCCGTTTCACTGGGTCTGTCCTATCCCAGGCTAAAGCATGGGGGAATTTCTTCACTTTCTCCTTCCTCTTCACTCAAGACCAGCACAAGGTTGCAAACTAGAAAAATGTATCTGTTCTAAAGACGGAAGCCTTCCCTCTCATGGAAGTCCAGCCTCGAGAGCAGACGCTTAGCCTGCCCATTTGGTTCTCGCACCCTTGTTAATCATTGTGTTTGTCAGTGTTCTCTAGAGAAACAGAACCAACAGGATGTGTGTGCTTGTGTGTGTGTGGTTTTTTTGTGTGTACTCACATGCACCCATGAGGTAAGCACACAGATATACACCTATCTGTGTACACAAATGCATATACATTTATACACACACATACACATGCACACATACAGAAAGATTGGTTTATTAGAATGAATTAGCTCTTGTGACTGTAGAGGCTGACATATCTCAAGATCTGCAGTCAGCAAGCTGGAGATCCAGGAGATCCAATAGCATAGTTTCTTTCAGTCCATATGCCAGCAAGCTCAAGACCCAAGAAGAGCCATTTTTCAGTTTGCGTCTGAAAGCAGAAAAACTTATGTCCCAGCCCAAAGCAGGAGTTCCCCCTTACTTGAGGAAGAATAAGCCCTTTTGTTACATTCAGGCCTTCAACAGACTGGACGGGGTCCACCCACATTAGGGTGGAGTTTGTTCTGCCACTGTGCAGTTATCATTCTGGGATGGGGGTACCTTACTCTCCCAATGAGAAATTCTAAATTTCCTCTTTTGAGCCTGGTGCCTCCACCTTCTCAGAACTGCATAGGGCGTGAGCTTTGTTGGTGATGTGACCTCCAGAACAGACTGTGAGCAGATTTTTTTCTTTAATCCTGAGCCTATGCTTGCTGCTGTCCTTCTTGACTTTCAACTAGGCCTAAAAAAGCGGCCTCGGTGGGAATGCATTTCTCTTGCTCCACGTCTATTTTAGTTGCATATCTGTAGTGATGACAAATGCCTCCAGCCTTGTCCTCTGCAAGGCTGCACTGGGCTGCATACAGGCTCCTGTCTCAGGTGTCTGGTTTCCTCCTTGAAAGGTTGGGGCAGCAGAGCCAGCCCTGTCTATCTGGGCAAGGCCCTGACACTTGGAAGCATGAAAAGCCATGGTTCAGGTGGAGTGAGCTTCCAATGCCCTTGGAAGGATTTTATTTCAGGGCCGTGGGGCTTAAAAGTCATCACTGTACAATCCACTGGGAGCAAAGATCAAGATAAGATGTGATGGATATCATAAAAGCGGAACAGAACATCCCATTGCTCAGAGATGGGAGAACAACTCTGAATGGAGAGGGCTCAGGTTATATACATTCACCCTTTTCATGGGAAAGTGTGAGGCCTGAGGTGGGGAAACAAAGATAGTGGCAGCTACTTTCCGCTTCCCAGGGTGGCTGATGAAAGCCAACATGTCACAGAGAAGAAGCTCTCTCAGCAACAGCAGCTGGTGGTGCTGTGGCCAAAGGCTGGCCAGGGAGCAGCACGATCCGTGTGAACCGAGTTGGGCCCTGGGCAGCCAGAGCCACACATTCCCTCTCCATGGGCCTCTGCTGAGACCTATAGGGCTTCACATGCATGCAGTGCAGTCCCAGGGCCAGCAGCATCAGCATCCCCTGGGAACATGTTAGAATGGCAGTCTCAGGCTCTACGCAGACCCACTGAATCAGTATCTGTATTTTCACAGGATCCTCAGGTGATCCACAAGCACATGAAAGTGTGAGAAGCCCTTCCTCTTGCTGAACAGTTTCCTCATCCAAGCTCCTTCTCTTCCATTGTTTCTTAGGGAAGCCAGAATACCTCCCGGATTTCCTAGGGAGTGCACTGGATTTTATGCCAGTTTGATTACCCACAGTTTTCTTCCTCATTCATTCATTCATTCAGTCAGTCAGTCAAATAGTAATTGAGCACCTCCTGTGTTCCAGTATGTGTTCTGTCTGCACCCCTGGTCCTCCTGGCCTTGACTTGCTGGGTTACTTCTGTTAGGATGGGAAGAACTTGGGACTTGGTGTATGAAAGCCACTTACTTGGGCAGGTAGACACTGACACATGAGCAGGAGAGAAGTTACCTTGGTGTCAAGTGCCGACCTTAGAGTTTGAGACAGGTGGAGGAGTGTGAAATGCAGCCCCCGTGGGGAGACCCATCACATGTCCCATGTGCACAGGCTGTGTGCTGTCCCATTTGGCAGCACACTGCAGTAGCCCCACCAGGCTGATGACAATTGAGAAATGCATCCACCCAAAGCAGGAACTCTGTGTCGGAGTTTAGGAGCACCTGAGCTGTTAGGCCAGCCCGGCATCTCCTGAAGGCCCACTCTCCCTTTGTGTGGTAAGACCCCCTCTGTGGGGGTGTGATGAGAGCAGTACTCAGAACAGCAACCACAGCTGAAGCCCACTAAGGAATCCAGGAGATGTGCTGGGCCCTGGAGTGGGAGCACCTTGCCACTGGATTAAAAAACCTGCCAGTCAGGGCTTTAACTGGGAAACAGGTGACAGTCCAGCAGGGCCCTGCATTCTGGTCAGACTGAGAATGAGGACATGTGAAACAAAGGCCAGTAGATATGGTCTGGGGCAGCCTAAATCTTCCCACTTCAATGCTGCTTCTCCCCCAAGGGGAACTTTGGGGTGCAGAGGCTGAAACAGCAGTTGGAGAGACGTGTGGACTCATCTGTGAGGAGCTGAGGAAGCCAAGAACAGGGATCCGGAAACCGGGGTTGACGCCACCTTAACTTCAGAGTAGATGATAGGGGAACCCTAGGAGGCAAGAGCACATGCGTGAGGACCAGGGTGGGCCTGGGGGTGGGGGAGGGCATGCAGAAGGGGAGACTCACCTTGTTCCTGAGATGCCTGGGGTCAGAGGCCACTGTGGAAAGAGGAAAGTGTTCAGTTGTGGAAGACTGGCATGGGGCTCTTCCCTTGTGCCTGCGCTGTGGGGCCAGCCCTGAGCCTCCTGGAGGCCCGCTCTCCCTCTGTGCGGTGAGTAGCCATTCCTCTTAGTTGGTGCTCACCCAGTCCCTCTCCATTCCCAACTCCCTCAGCCTCTCAGCACTGACAGACCCTCTCTTCAACTCCCCTTCACACTTTGTGGCCCACTCTGAGCTGCCTAGAGGCCCTCAAGAGAAAGTCATTTGTCTTTTATCTTGTTAGTTATTTGAGCATAATTGGTATTATTGTTCTGGGAAGGTGTGGTGGGTGCAAGTTTTAGAGAGCACACTCCATCAGGGTCTAGACCACCTGAAACTGAGCCTGCCGCCTGTCTTGTCACCTCCGTGGTTGGGGGAAGTCACTCAACATCTCTTGCCTCAGTTGCCTCATCTATATGATGGGAATAAAAATATCCTCTGCCTGTAAGGTTGTGGTGAAGCTATATGAGTTTACACATATGTGTGAGCACATGTATCTGTGTGTCTGTGCATATATTATTTCTATCATCTGTCATGTATTGAGCAGTTTCTATGTGTCAGGTACAGTCCTGATTGCTATATTCAATACATTTTCTCTCTCTCTATTATCATATGTATGCATGCCATAGTTCTATATAAGTGCTACAGGTATAGTTCTAAGAGCTATCCATACAAATATAGTGTATTTATTTATCGCACTTATAGAACTATACCCAGCACATAATAGGAACTATTCAGCACATGATAGATATTATAAATTATTATTGTTATATTATCATCAAACTGGAGAGAAATATGACATTCTCCAGACAAGGCTCTGCCCTTTTGGCTTGGAATGAGCATCAGGACTCCCTGGAATTGCATGAAGAAGCAGAGTTTGGTCTAGAGTTTGGACTCTGGAGAAGACTGTTTGGTGATTGACTATAAGATTTCAGGCAAGTCATTTAAGGTGTCTATGCCTTGGTTTCCTCATCTGTAAAATGGGAGTAGTAACAGCGCATACCTCAAAGGGGCTTGTAAGAGTGAATGAGTTCACATGTCTCAGAGGGGTGCTATAGAACCAAGAATGAGGCACAAACACAATTCACTTGACTTTATATAAGAAAAATTAGAAAACCAGAGAGGGAAGCACACTGGCTAAAATCACGCAGCACTTTTTATGAAGCAGAGGTAGAAAGAAAAGCCTGCCGTGAAGGACTTTGTTCCTCTTTCCTGCTCCGAGTAAGGAGGCAGCCGGGCTGGGATTCCCTCATTTCAAACCACCGACTGTGAGTGAGGGTTGATGACATAGCCAGACCTCCAGCATGTAGTCATCGTCACAGCTGCTCAACCCTCTGCAGTTTCGACAGCATTTCCACACCTATTTTCTCATTTAGTCCCCACAGTTACCCCATGAAACAGCATGGTAGCTGTAATAATGTGCCCCCAAAGATGTCACGCCCTAATTGCTGCAACCTGTGACTATATTACCCTAAGTGGAAAAGAGGACCTTTCAGATGTGATTAGGATTACAGACCCTGAGATAGGGAGATTATTCTGGGTTATCCAGATGGGCCCAATATACTCATATGATTCTCTAAAACCCAAGGACTTTTCTCAGGTGAGGTCAGAAGGAGGCCTGTCTATGGAAGAATGATTAGAGAAATGTGACTTTGCTGGCTTTGGGAAAGGAAGGGGACATGGGTGCAGGAAAGTGGATGGGCCTCCAGGGAGGAACACAGCCCTGCCAACACCATGATTTTAGCCCAGTGAGACCGGCGTCAGACTTCTGACCCACAGAGCTGTAAGATGATAAATTTGTACTGCTTCATCCCCCCAAATTTATGGTCATTTGTCACAGCAGCAATCAGAAACTAGTACAGGTAGGTAGGTGCTATCAACTAAATATTTGTGTTGCTCTCCAAATGTATGGGTTAAAACCTAATCCCCAATGTGATGGCATTTGGAGGTGGAGCCTTTGGGTGACAATTATGTCATGATGATTATCATGATGAGACATGAAAGATGATCTCTCCCTCTCTCTCTGCTGTGTGGGGGATACAGCAAGGAGTCATCTGTCTGGAAAATGGGAATAGGGCCCTCACTAAGAACCTGACCATGCTGGCACCTTGATCTTGGATTTCCAGCCTCCAGAATTGTGAGAAATAGATATTAGTTCTTTAAGTCACCTAGTTTATGGTACTCTGTTACAGGAGCCAGAACTGACTAAGACAGTAGGGAAGTAGTCACAGTTTATGGATAGGGATATGGAAGGTCTGAGAGGTTAAGCGAATGCCCAAAAAGATAGTTTTGTTATTCAGGTTATACTGGGGCCCTCTGCAGAGAATAGGGAAAGGAGAGTGCAGGGGAGGCTTGGATTCACCTGAAGCAGCATAGGCACACATAAAGAAGCCCCATGACCCAGTGGGAGGGGCGGCTCTATGCCTGTCTGGCTCAGATCTGCTGAGTGGGTAGAAACTGAGCTATACTGTCTAAGTTGAGGGTGGGCCAGAACAGAGACATCCTTGGGTCTTACCTGCATGTTTCTTTTTCTCTTGGATGATCCGTACTTCTGAGTAAACCACATTTTCTCCTCTAGGATTTGCTTAGAAAAAAGTTGAAGTTTCAGAGGATGCTGAGGTTCTTGCCTCTTGTTAGAGATACTTCCTCCTCCCCCAGCCAGAGTCTCTTTTCTGGAAGGACTAGAGCCCTCTAGGCCTCGGCATAGTCCCTCCCCATCTCCTGCCCCACCGCTTTCCCACACCAGCCCTCCAGCTTCTGCCAAATGCAGGATCCTCGGGCCTCACCATTAGTGTACACTGGTTGCAGCTCTTCCCAGGCTGGTACATTGTGATAGGTGGGCTCTTGGGAGTCCGAGTCTGAAGGGCTCCTGTGAGACAGAGAAATGTGAATGTTTCTTAGGAATCCAGACAAAGTAGCTATAATGATCACTCCTAGTGAGTGACTTCTTACTGCAGGGTGGCTGCCAGGCCTGGAAACATGAACAAGTACATAACAAACTGACCATGGGCATTCTATTATGAATCATAATCATATTATATATGTTTCCAGGCTTTCTGGTCATCTAGTGTGTAACAGGCATGGTGCTGATGCTTACAGCAATACGTTGTTAGTTCTATTTCATCCTCGTTTTAGCTGAAACAAACGGAGGCTCCAATAAGTGACTTATGAAGATCATGTAACCAGAAAGGGGATGAGCCAAGGCTCAAAGCTGGCTCCGAACCCTGCATGCTCAGAGAGATCAGTGACCAGAAGGCTCCGAGGTGCTCTACATGTTTGGATGCTGCTATCGTGGGCTTGCCCAGGGATAGCTGTGAGCCTTTGTGTGGCTCCTAAAGTCAGCCTTAGGGATACAAGATGGTGGCCCCTTCTTCACAGGGACTACCTCCTGCTGGCAGAGTGACCTCTCTGGGTGGCCAAGTTGTGCGGCTCCATCTTCTCAGTTGTTATCACAAGAGGTGTTGATGAGATCAGCATCTCCAGAGATTTCTAGGTTGACTGAGCTAAGGTCATCTCAAGATATGGAAAGACTTGGTGGTCATAGTGGTCATTCAGACAACCAAGCCAACAATGGTCCAAGGATGTGGGTTAATAAATGAAAAGGCAATTAATACTTGATGAGATAACAGCCTATACAGCTAAGGGGGTGGGTGCAAAGGTCCTGGGAATTGCCTTAAGATATCCCCAGGGACGTACAACAGGTAGTGGCCACACCCCAGCTCAGCAGCACCTGGCAGAAACTGTGCTCTTGGTAATCATCAGATTCAATTCCATTTTTCCACCCTGTGGACATTTCACTAATCACACAGGAATGCAGCTCAGCTCTTACCTGGCGGGGTCAGAGGCAGGCTTTCTCCCTGTAAAGGAAAGCAGAGGAGCATTGGATTCAGGAAGATGAGACCCTCAGTGGGGCACAGCTCAGGCAAGGCTCACTTAGAAACTGCCAGGAGTTGCTGTCACTGAAGGTTGAATCCTTCTTTGTTATGCCCCAGGGAGGTAGCAGATTGGGCAAAAACTACTGACCCTGCCAGAGGGGTTTGCTATGATGTGAAACGGGAGTCCACAATCCGTAATCCTTTAACCTGGAGATTTTAAAGATAATCTCCAAGGCAGGAAAACAGACTTGATCAACTATAAAAATAGTGTACATTTAAAAAATCGGAAAATTACTGAATCCTATCTGGTTTCTATTTTCATTTCTATTTCTCTGAGTTTTTCTCCTCCTCTTCCCATTCGTTGGGGGGGTCTTATAAGGGTCGAGAGGAAGACACTCTGTAGTTTATGATGTTGGATAAACTACATCTCATCAAGACGTCTCCCACCTTATAGGTCTGTTTTGGAAACTGTGCATTTGGTAAAAGCAATTCGGGAGGACCCAGCGGGAAAGGAAGAGGATTGAGGGACAGAGCGGATGAGCTCTTGCGAGCCTGGGATGGTCACAAAGGCAGCATGAAGCCCAAGGGAGCGTTGCTGGGAAGGGCATGAACTCAAGCCAAGGTGTGCCCAGAGTCACCCACCTGCTTTTCTCGAGAGCCAGCAGTAGAGCAGCAGTGCCCCCGCAGCAAGGCCTGCTATGCTGAGCAGGCCCCCGGCGACTCCTGTGGCAAAAGGGCCACTTCTGTTCGCGGTCAGCCCTGAGGGGGAGACCCTGTGTGTGAGCCAGAGGAGAGGCTGTGGTCTGGAACTGCCCGCTCCCGGAAGCTGCTGCCTGGGCCTGACGGTGAACCTAGGTGAGCAGGTCCCCGGCAGCTAAGCAGGGGCTGGTGTGGCACAGAAGATGGCTCCTGTCTTTGTGAGGAAGCCGTCTCTGCGCCTGAGACAAGTGTCCAGGGTCAGGGTGGCCGGTGGCCAGTGAGAGAGGAGGCAGCCAGGTGAGGACCTCTAAAGTCAGTGGCGCTCTTGCGCCCAGCCCGCCAACCCGCGCTCTCAGCCCCAACGCCATCACTTCAGAAGCACTTCAGGAAATATAGCAGTTTAGAGAGCTGCCAGCTGTGTTACTTCGCCCTGAGGAGTGCCTTTCTGATCAAGCACTGTGAGGGTTATCAGAGGGTCCGCGGAGGAAACATTTTGTCCGCATCTGTGGCCCGGGCACGGGAAACTTACCTGTGATATAAAGTGTCACTGTCTCACTGCGCTGGGCCCCGAGGCCATTGTCGGCCTCACAGGAGTAGTTTCCAGAGTGCTCTGCAGTCAGAGAGAGGTTTAAGGACGCTCCTCCAGAGGGGGACGACCTATTTCCTAGGGTGACATCCTCATGAAAAAACCGGTACAGGATCAGGGGAGAGCCTCTCAGGGCCTCACAGTGAAGCTCCAGCAGGTCCCCCACCGCAGCATGGGTCCCGGGAGCCCTGAGGGTGAGGACCGGGCGAGACACCGGAACTGAAAGAGAACAAAAAGTCAACAGCAGTTTCTGCTTCTAACATATTTGTAAGAAACAAAAGGTATCATAAACAAATGTAAAAAGTCATATCTCAATCTTGGAAAGTAGATTAAAACATAGATGATAAAGCTAATTACTTTGACCTGCTAATAGTTTTCAGTGTACAAAAATATCCAATAGAAAACTGTAAAAAGTGTATAAATCACTGAAAACTTCAAATAGACAATAAATATATACAGAGATTCTCATCTTCATTACTAATTAACTAAACACAAAGACAACCATACAATACTATTCTTTTTTCTATTTTTCAGGTTGGCAAAGCTTAAATAGACTGATCATACTGATTAGCTTGTAGATAAACAGGCACCTACATATGCCCTTGGTGGTAATACAAATTTAACACACTTCCTTGAATGGCAACTTGGCAATATCTACAAAATTTAAAGTGCACATAAACTTTGACCCAACAAATCTGCTTCTAGTGGGCCAGGTGTAGTGGCTCACACCTATAATCCCAGCGATTTGGGAGTATGAGGCAGGAGGATTACTTGAGCCCAGGAGTTCAAGTCCTACTTCTAGGGCCATCTCCTTTAGGGATACTGACATAAAATATGCCAATATATTTCTACAAGAATTTCTATTGTAGCATTTTTACAAGAGCTAAAAATTAGAGACAACCTACTGGATTGGGTAATGAAACATGAATGATATCCAAGATGCATTTCTTAAACAAAAGTCAGGATGTATTTTAAGTTAAAAAATGCAACTGGCATAACTATATGTGTAATATTATTCTAGCTTTCTAAAAATTATCTACCTTTAGGTTTGTAGATTATTTCTAGAAGCATACACATGAAACAATTAACAGTGGTTATGTCTGGAGAATATGTGCGTAAGAAGTGATATGAGCAGGTAGAAAGAGACCTTTACTTTTCAATATTGGCCCTTTTGTATTATTTGATTTTTTTCATCACAAACATTCATGTGTTCTTTCAGAATAACAAATTACTAAAAACTAAAATGTTGTGTTAAAAGTGGCCACAACGGATGAGAAAATGTCATCATGTATCAGACTAATGTGAAGAGTTAGAGAGGACTGTGCTTCAACCTGGCTTTACCCTGGCTAGCTGTGTGTCTGCAAGCTAGTTACTTCACTTCTCTAAACCTCAGTCTCTTTTCCGCAAATAGGGGATACGATGGCTTAAAATTTATCCTCACAGGTTTATCTTAATAATTAAATGAGATGTTGCCTATTAAACATTTAGCACAGAGCCTGGAACCTGGTGAAGGCTCAGTGAGTGTTGATGATGATGACACTGGTTATGATGATAATAAGAAATAATATTTCCTTTTCTGGCAGCTCCTGGTCTCTATGACCTGGGTCCTAGTTTCAGGATTCAGACACAATTCATTCAGGCTGGGCAAGAAACCCTTTAGCTGTGATAACAGCAGCAGAAATAACATGCATTTGCGACAGAGAATTATAGAAATGAGGGAGTGAGGATGAGCAGAAAATCATGAAATCATAAGTATAGAATGTAGGAGGTATGATGTGTTGGCTTGCTGTATTGTGAGGAAAGATGGAGCAGCCCTCGGTCCGTGGTACATGCCTGTGTGCTGGCTCTAAGGGATAGGTGTGTAAACTGTGTGGGGAGAGCCCCTGCAAATCTCAGGAAAATTGGATGAGGTTGGTGCTGCTGGTGGGGGAAGAAGAACGAGCTGACTGAATGGGAAAACCCAAATCTGAAGTCATCACCTCCTGGATAACAATGAGATGGTTGCACTGGCTACTTTGTGAGATGCTGGATCATGGGTTAGCATGCCCAGATCAACCTGCTTATGTGACTCTGTCTATTCCTTATGATACCCAGGCACCTTGCCAAAGGGAATAAGAGCATCAGTGTATATTTTGCTTTACATGACTGGAATGGTGATTGCATACCATTGTATGGTCTCGTGTTTCTCCAGGATATATTCCAGGGGCAGGTACAACCTGCTTTTACTTTTGCATATCTCCTTCTAGGAACCTGTACGTCTGCATAATCCATATTCCCTGTCTACCAAAATCATAGAATTCTAGGACAAAGGATGATCATGATTTTCATCTAGTCTGATTTTCCCACTTTGTGGGTGTGGAAATTGAGGTCAGTATGGGAAGAGGTGCTTGGCCAATGTCATACAGCTAGTTATCTTCAGATCCAAGTCTAGAAGATTCATCTCAACACCCCTTAGCATACTTTTGCTAAACACCAGTTCTCTCTAAACAGAGGTTTCAAAGTTTGGCTTGTAGGAGGTCATCACCAAAAAGATTCAGAGCTCACTAGAAGCAGCTTTCCTTGGGTTATTACACTTAATTGAAAGAGATCAAAGAACAGCTTCGAGAATAGAGGAATTTGGGTGATGGATGTCCATTTCCATTCCATGTCATCCTGCTCCCCACTCTCTGCCCTGGTCACCTGTGTCCCTTGCTTTAAAGATCGCTGAGTGTGTCTCCTGAAGGGCTGTACACATAGCTTATGTTAACATAGGATTTTTAATGTGGAAATGTAAGGAACATTTACATCCCCAGTAATGAAAGAGACTCAAGAGTAGAGGCTTGTTAGAAGTCAATGAGAGAAGAATCCGGACAAGAAACAGCTTAATCCTTTCTACGGCAGAGAAACATATGCTCAGAATTCTTTGGTTTCATTTTCATGTAATAATTTCAGTTCAGAATATAGTTTATGTTCTAAAAAAGTCTTATTTGCATTTTTAGTGAGGTGCTTTGATCATCTTCAAGAAGACTGCTGGGAAACATCAGATTCCTGGAACCATACCACAAAGGATCCGAGACTTTCACAGGGAGGTTCTGCAGGCAGGAAGTGTGCTGGGATGCCACACAAGCAAACAGCCCTGAGGAGCTCTGTGGCTCCATTTTCAGCTGCAGGGAGAACAGGCACAGTCAGTTCTCAGATGTGCTGCTGGTGGGCAGGGCCCACTCACCTGCAACTTTCAGTGTCACCATCTCACTGCGCTGGGCCTCCAGACCATTGTCTGCCTCACAGGAGTAGATTCCAGAATGTTCTGTAGTCAGAGAGAGGTTGAAGGAGGCCCCTCCTCCAGAGGGGGCTGAGATCTTACCCAGGGTGACATCTTCATGATAAAACCAGTACAGGATTGGGGAGGAGCCTCTCAGGGCCTCACAGTGAAGCTCCAGCAGGTCCCCCACCACAGCCTGGGCCCTGGGAGCCCTGAAGGTGAGGATGGGACGAGATACTGGAACTGAGGGAGGAAAAACGTTATGTATCAGCTGCTTCTGCTAAAATATATTCCTTCATGCTAAAGACATTTCAAATGGAAGAATGTTTTTCTCAGTTTTTAATGCCCTTGTGACATTACTCAAAACTCAGCAATATTTTCAGATCTCCAGAAAGAACAACATTTGTGTAGTGCTATAAACAGCTTGGAATAGTGGAATATACAAACTCAAATGTGTTTGAAGAATGTGAAAACAAAGATTAAACTGAAACTCAGGTGTCTTAGAGGTAAAAAGACAGTTGGAGAGAGGAGAAATCAGTTCAACAGAAAATGAAGAACAGGAGAGACTTGCTGCTTACATCACCAGGGATGTAATTGCATCTGGGCTGCATCAGAAATAGGGCCCACAAGAGAATGAGTATTGTCAAGTTATTTGCTCATTTTTACATTCATTTATCCATCAAAAATTAATTGAACAAAAATTTTTTAAAAAATTGAGCAAAAATAAAAATTAATTGAGCATTTAATAAGTCCCAAGAATGGCATGACATGCTAGGGAATCAGTGATGAGAAAGACATAGTTACTGCTCTCATAGAGCCTACAATCTAGAAGGATGAGAGGCAGCAATTAAATAAAAATACAGTAAATTACAATTAAAACTTTGATAATTGATAAAGGACAGGGTACTATGAAATGTATGTGTTAGTCAAGGAAAGCTTCCCCACAAAATGATCTTTGAAATTAACATTGAAATTAACCAGTTGATGATGGAGGTGGAGAGTGCACCAGGCAGGCAAACAGTATGTGCAAACGCCCTGAGTTGGGAATAAGACTGGCACATTTGAATTTTTGAAATAAAGTAGCATCACACTGAGAAGATTCTGCAAACTACCAAGAAATAGGAGACTGGAGATCTAGGCTGGACTTCATAAGCCATGAAAGGATTTTGATCCTTCTTCACAGAGCAATGGGAAGTCTATAAGTCTATCTATGCAGGGCTGTGAGATGATCAAATTTGTCCCTTTTAAAAGACCATTTTGACCTCTGTGCATGAAATGGACTGTGGTGGAATGGAAGTGGAATTGAGGGATAGATGAGTGGCACTGCAGTAGTCAAAATGATGGTGGACTTGTCTAGATAGAGGTGGTAGAGATAGAGACCCAAGAAATATTTAGGAAGTCAAATCAACAGGACTTAATGATTAACTGGCTGTGAGGGGTGAGGAAGAGAAATGTTGAGGAAGACTCCTCTGTTCCTGCTTTGTGTATCTGTTGAGAAGAGATGTGTTTCACAGAGGTAGGAACCCTTGAAAGAGGAAGGGAATGTCAGCAGTTCAGTTTTAGAAATGCTCAGATTGATGTGCTTTTGAGATATTTGAGTGAAGGTATGTCATGTGCAGATGCTCAAGTGGGAGGTCCCTTTTAGAGATAGAAGTTTAGGAATCATTATTTATAGATGACAAGGCCATTTATACATGACATACCCAGGATCATCCAGACAAAGGATTTAGATAAGAGAAGAGGGCATAAGTCAAAGTTCTGGAACATGCCAGTGCTTAAAGGTTTTCTATAAAAGGAGGAGCCAGTAAAGAAGACTGAGAAGAAGTGGCCAGGGAGAGAAGAGAGCCAGAAGAAGATAGATTCACTGAAGGGAGGGTTTCAAGAAGGAAGAAATGGTAAACAACATGTAATATATCTGAGATGTCAAGGAAGATGAGGATTGAAAAATGGCCATTGGATTTAAAGCCTTGAAGGTCATCGGTGACCTTTGTGAGAAACATTTTGGTGGAGAGGTTGGAAAAACCTAGTAGATTAGAGCCTAGTGGATAGTGAGGACATGGAGACAGTCTGGGTAACTGACTGTTTTTGGAAGTTTAGCCATGAAGGGGTAGTGTATGGAGGTATAAGTGGGACCAAGAGAGGGTTTTCCTTGGATATGGGAGAGATATACCATGTTACGTGCCAGTGCAAAGGATCCTACAGAGACAGAGATGTTGGGGGCCACAGAAGAGAAAGGGATAATCAGTTACATAGCTTCTGAGAATGCACAAAATGATGAAATCTGGAGACCAGATGGAGATGTTCACCTATGGGGAGGGAAGTCCTCTCCTCTATATTTTAGGAAAAGGACAGATGAGTTATTGGGTGGATACAGAGCTAGACACTCAATTTGGTGGTGGGAGTGGAGGGGGTTATTGTCTAGTGGAGTAGGGAATTAGTGGAGGTATTAATGACCTGGGAGTTCTGTTGAGGTCTGAGAACAATAGTGATAGGAGGAGCTGACGCAAGCAGAAGGCCAGGGGGTGGTTGTCAGATAATAAGGGCTTAAAATTGTCCTTTTGGAGATGAAGTAGTGTATGTATGTGGGAGTGGCTGACTGGTGTGGAGAGGACAGGCCATGGTGTTAAGGGGATTATACATGTGACCATGAGAGTCATGAAATGATGGCAGATTATGGAGTATGGAGAAAGACTGAAAGTACAGTGCCAAAGCCTTCACTGAGAGTGGGCATAACTAGGAGTCTGCCTGTGACAAGGATGCATGGAAGATCTTGATGTTGCTGAATGGAACAGGAGCAGGTAAGGAGGCAGAAGAATTATGTCTTCTAACAAGGGTCTTGGGTGGGAACCCAACCCACTCTGGGACAGGGGCAGGAGAGGCTAGAGAGAAATGTGTGAGCCAATAAGAGAATTGTGTTGGCCTTTTTATTGATTGGCAGACAGAGAAAACCACAACTAAATCTCTTCCAAGGTGAAGCACACAGAACTTTATAACTTTCTTTCTTACTATCACTGTTGGCCAGAATATAGTTTGTATTTTGAAAGCCTTTACTCCTATGTTAGGGGAATTTTGGTCGTGATGGCTGGACTGCTGCTAGCAGGAAAAGTACAGCAAGGGAAGGGAAGGTGCAAGTTCCTGAACGTGTAGGATACAAAACTTAGAGATGGAGGCTGTGTAGGCACCAAGCCTGACAGGATGTCACACAGCAAATGACTCTAGAAACTGTACCTCTGATCTTGGCTACTGGTAAAGTTAGGGGAGATGGTCTTTTTATTTTTGTGCTGCTGGTTAGGTCAACTTACCTATAACACTGAGTGATATTGTGTCACTGTGCTGGGCCACTAGGCCATTGTTGGCCTCACATGAGTAGTTTCCAGAATGTTCTGCAGTCAGAGAGAGGTTGAAAGAAGCTTCTCCTCCAGAGGGGGCTGAGCTGCTCCCCAGGGTGACATCCTCATGATAAAACCAGTACAGGATTGGGGGAGAGCCTCTCGGGGCCTCACAGTGAAGCTCCAGCAGGTCCCCCACCACAGCCTGGGCCCTGGGAACCCTGAGGGTGAGGATGGGGCGAGACACTGGAACTGAGAGAGAAAATGAGTTAGGGACACATGTATTTTTAAAATTAGAAACAGCTCTTTGTCCTAGCCAGAACAATCAGACAAGAGAAAGAAATAAAGGACATCCAAATTGGTAAAGAGGAAGAAGTCAAATTGTTGCTGTTCACTGATGACATGATTGTATACCTAGGAAACCCTAAAGACTCATCCAAAAAGCTCCTAGATCTGATAAATGAGTTCAGTAAAGTTTCAGGATACAAAATCAATGTACACAAATCAGTAACACTGCTATACACCAATAGTGACCAAGCTGAGAATCAAATAAAAAATTCAAACTTGTTTATGACACCTACAAAAATAAAATACTTAGAAATACACCTTCACAAGTAAATGAAAGATATCTATAAGAAAAACTACAAAACACTGGTGTAAGAAATCGCAGATGACACAATCAAATGGAAACACATCCCATTCTCATGGATGGGTAGAATCAATATTGTGAAAATGGCCATCTACCAAAAGCAATCTATAACTTCAATGCAATTCCCATCAAAATACCACCATAATTCTTCACAGAACTAGAAAAAACAATCCTAATATTCATATGGAACAAAAAAAAGAGCCTACATAGCCAAAGCAAGACTAAGCAAAAAGAACAAATCTGGAGGCATCACATTACCTGACTTTGAACGATACTACAAGGCTATAGTTACCAGAACAGCATGGTACTGGTATAAAAACAGACAGGTAGACCAATGGAAGGAGAGAACACAGAAATAAAGCCAAATACTTACAGCCAACTGATCTTTGATAAAGGAAACAAAAATGTAAAGTGAGGAAAGAACACCCTATGCAACAAATGGTGCTGGCATCATTGACAAGCCACATGTAGAAGAATGAAACTGGATCCTCATCTCTCACCTTACACAAAAATCAACTCAAGATGGATCAAAGACATAAATCTGAGACCTAAAACCATATAAACCCTGGAATATACTTTAAAAAACTCTTCTAGACATTGGTTGGCTTAGGCAGAGTTCATGACCAAGAACCCAAAGCAAATGCAACAAAAACAATAATAAATAGATGGGTCTGAATTAAATTTAAAAGCTTCTGCACAGCAAAAGAAATAATCAGCAGAGTAAACAGACAACCCACAGAGTGGGAGAAAATATTCACAGACTATGCATCTGACATGGGACCAGTATCCAGAATCAACAAAGTACTCAAACAAATCATCAGGAAAAAACAATCACATCAAAAAGTGGGCAAAGGACATGAATAGAATATTTTCAAAAGAAGATACACAAATTGCCAGCAAACATGTAAACGTGCTCATCACTATCAAGGAAATTCAAATCAAAACCACAATGCGATACCACCTTACTCCTGCAAGAATGGTCATAATTAAAAAAACAAAAAATAATAGATGTTGGCATGAATGTGGTGTAAAGGGAACAGTTTTACACTGCTGGTGGGAATGTAAACTATTACAACCACTATGAAAACAGTATGGAGATTCCTTAAAGAACTAAAAGTAGAACTACCATTTCATCCAGCAATCCCACTACTGGGTATCTACCCAGAGGAAAAGAAGTCATTATATGAAAAAGACACTTGCACAAACGTGTTTATAGCAGCACAACTCATGATTGCAAAACTATGGAACCAGCCCAAATGCCCATCAATTAAGGGGTGGATAAAGAAAATGTGATACATACGCATGTGTGTGTGTGTGTGTGTGTACACTATGGAATACTACTCAGCCATAAAAAGGAACAAAATAATGGCATTCACAGCAACCTAGATGGAGTTGGAGACCATTATTCTAAGTAACTCAGGAATGGAAAACCAAACATTGTATGTTCTCACTTATCAGTGGGAGCTAAGCTATGAGGACGCAAAGGCCTAAGCATAATATAATAGATTCTGGGGATTCAGTGGAAGAGTGAGAGTGGGGTGATGGATAAAGTACTACACACTGGGTTCAGTGTACACTGCTCTGGCAACGAGTGCACCAAAATCTCGGAAATTACTACTAAAGAAGTTACTCATGTAACCAAACACCACCTGGTCCCCAAAACTACTGAAATTTTTTTAAAAATGAAAAACCCAGCTATTCATTTAATAAAATCAAACTTTACAGAATTATCTAAGTAAAAATAAAAAGTTTTACCATTTTCTTTATTTTTTCAGAAATTACTTCTGTTGAGTATTTGGTGACACTTTCTAGATCTTTTCTATGTATAAGTACACTCATAGACACATAAATAAATACATTAAAATCACACACGTGCATGGGATCACAATAACATACTGGTCTACAACCTGCTTTTTCCCCTTAGCTATATATTATGGGCATCTTTCTGTGGTATTACTTAAAAATCTACATCACTAACTTTTAAAACTCATCTTTATTAAAGCATAATTTACACACAATAAAGTATAACTTTTACATTTACAACTTGATAATTTTGGAAATATATTACCTGATTTTATTTTATTTTATTTTGAGTCAGAGTTTCACTCTTGTTGCCCAGGCTGGAGTGCAATGGCGCGATCTTGGCTCAGCACAACCTCCGCCATCCGGGTTGAAGCGATTCTCCTGCCTCAGCCTCCTGAATAGCTGGGATTACAGGCATGCACGACCATACCCGGCTAATTTTGTATTTTCAGTAGAGACAGGGTTTCTCCATCAGGCTGGTCTTGAACTCCCAACCTCAGGTGATCTGCCCGCCTCGGCCTCCCAAAGTGCTGGGATTACAGGCGAGAGCCACCATGCCCCACTTACCTGATTATTCTTAACAATGACAAAGTATTCCATTGTATAGATATGCTATAATACATTTAAGCATTTTCCCATTAATGGATGTTTGGGATGTTGTTGTTTCTTAAATGTCAAGTGATGCTGCATTAAGTAATTCTGTAGATATATTTTTGTATATTTACACATGCATTTCTTAGGATAAATTCTTAGACATGGAATTTCTGGGATGAAGTATACAAACATTTTAAGTAATAACATATAATGTCAAATTGTTCTTCTAAAAGACTGGACCTTTTAAAATACAAAAGTACAGGCAACAAAAGCAAATATTAGACAAATGGGATTACATCAAGCTGAAAAGAATTTGCACAGCAAAGGAAACAATTAACAGAGTAAAAAGACAACTTATAGAATGGGAGAAAATATTTGCAAAGTTTATGTCTGACAAGGTGTTAACATCCAGAATATATAAAGAGCTTAACAGGAAAAAACCAAACAAGCTGATTAAAAAATGGGCAAAAGACTTTAACAGACATTTCTCTAAAGAAGACATAAAAATGGACAACAGGTACATGAAAAAAATGGTCAATATCACTAATTATTGGGGAAATACAATTAAAACGCCAATGAAGTATAACCTCACTCCAGTTAGAATGACTGTTATCAAAAAGTCAGAAGAAAACAAGTGCTGGTTAAGTTGTGGAGAGGAAGGAACCCTTACATTGCTGGTGGCATTGTAAATTAGTACAGCCACCACAAGAAACAGCATGGAAGTTTCTCAATAAAATAAAAATAGAGCTACCATATTATCTATCAATTTCACTGCTGGGTGGATATTCAAAGGAAATAAAGTCGCTATGTTAAAGAGATATCTGCACTCTCAAGTTTATTGCAGCCCTGTTCACAATAGCCAAGATATAGAAGCAATCTAAGTGTCCCCCAGCAGATGAATAGATAAATAAAATGTGGAATATATGCACAATGGAATAGTATTCAGCCATAAAAAATAATGAAATCCTGTGATTTGCAGCAATATAAAAAGACCTGGAGGATATCATATTTAATGAAATTATCCAGGCACAGAGAGACTGATACTGCATGATTTCACTCATATTTTGAATCTAAAAAAATACAAAGTTGATACTATAGAAGCAGAGAATAGAACTGTGGTTATCAGAGACTGGGGAGGGGAGAGGGAAGAGGAGGATAGGGAGAAGTTGGTCAATGGGTATAAAGTTATAATTTGACAGGAGGAATAAATTCTGTTCTATTGGTGATGATGGTTAATGGTCAGTTATAATATATTACAAAAAAGCTAGAAGAGAGGCTTTTGAATGTTTTTATTCCAAAGAAATGATAAATGCATGAGATGATGGGTACATTAAATATCCTAATTTGATCGTTATATACCATGTATGTATATCAAAATATCAAACTGTGCTTCCATAAATATATACAATTACAATGTGTCAATTAAGACGAAAAGGTTGAACCAATTTACGCTTGTAATAATGGCGTATGAGAGTTTCTGTTTCCTCTTTCCCTGATCATTTGTGATCATATCAATGCACAGGTTTATTTTTATTATTTTTTTTTTGTCAGTCCTAACATCTATGCTTGCGCCACCCAAAGAATTCACTTGTTCTCTCCTATGTGACTCTACAGGCTACTAGTTGGTTTTCCATGGAATTTTAGTGAAGTATAAGCCATTAATGATGAGTAACTGTTGACAAAGTATTCAGAAACGATTTACAAAATGGACATTTTGAAATCTATTACTAATTTTTTAAAACAGTCCATTCTTTTTGAATTGTGAAATAACTCACAATTTACTCTGAAATAATAATAATCATGAGAAAATGATTGTTCCTTTACTTCCTCTCCTTCCTCTAACTATTTTTCTTTGTTACATTTTTTTTACATTTTCAGTGTTCATAATAGTTACTTTCTATTCTGTGACCATAATTCTCACAGTTGATTAGCCTTTGTTTCTATATCTAAATCAGTGGTTTCCAATCTTGTCTACACAATATTCTCACTTGAGGTTGTGTCAAAAAATACTGATTCTGTGGCCCCATCTGTGAGATTCTGAATTGAATTAGTCTGGAGAGGGGCTTTGACGAGTCAATGTGTGACCTTTTACAAAGGTCTTTGACGAGTCTAATATGCAGCCAGGGTTGAGAGCCAGTCATAATGCGGTTTCCTCATTATGAGTCCTTTATATTCATTTACATCTTGTTGGGCTAGATTTTGTCATTAGGTGTTTTTTCCAGAAGGCTTAGTGCATTCTCAGTTTCCTGAATCCCTGTATTTTTGACAATGTCTTTTTGAATTGATATAAAATTTTCGGTTATTATTCTTCCCTCGCAGGTCCAAGTCTGGACCTCCTCTCTCTTTGGTATTGAGTGCACTGCAAAGTCTAAGACTAACTTGATGTTTTTCTTTCTGAGACGACTGCTTTTTTCCCCATAATCATAGGCACATATATATATTTTTAACCTCAAAGTCAATAACGTCATCAACATATATGTTCTGATCTACATATTCAAGTTTTCTTTACTTCCCAACAATTTCTACTACATTTTTGAGTTTCATTTTACTCTTCGGTTCAATTTTCTGAGGGTCTCCATTTTAATTATCCACATAACTGGATACAGACAAATCCATTGTCTGATTTCCATATTATAATTTTTGCCTTTATTTCTGTATCTTTCTACTTTGCATTCTGTATTGTTTTCTCAAATTGGTTCTTCATTCAATTAATGGTTTTCAAAGATATCCAATCTATTCTTACTGCTTCAAATTGGTATTTCATTTCTAAAATAGCTTTGTTTTTTTTCCTCTTGGGCTTTGCTAGATGATTTTTTTAAATCCCCTCTTATCATCTTGTCATATCATCTGTCCACTAAATTACAAATGTTGACTGAGGACCTACTGTGTGCCAAACACTGAGTAGGCACAGGGATGTTGTGAAGACCAAGATGGATGCAGTTCTGTTCTCATGAAGCTTACATTCTACTGGCATTAAGGGTGACAGTCAAGAAACAGAAAATAAAGAGGCTTAAGATGCTGCTGAATATGAGAAGAAAGTAAAACATGGATAAAAAGATAGTAATGGGATGCAGAATGAGTGAAGTCTAGAAGCTTCCTAGTAGATTTGGCTCTGACTTTGGAGTAGTCTCAGAACATTCACATTTTAAAAATAACCTCTTTACTCAACAAGTTATGCTAGGGGCATGTCTGACACATCAGGCTCAAGATTTTTCTATCATACCATTTGGCTTCTCTGAAAAGAAAGTAAACTTTCCCCCAGTTTCTATAAACAAAGATTCAAGTAAAAACAGAAGCAACTTAGCTCCTAAAAAGACACCAAATCGTACACATACAATTTGCACACGTTTCTTGAATGTATGTCATACTTCAACAATAGTTTTTTTAAAATAATACAATAAAATGATACTGATTTTAGCAGGTTAGAAAACAAGGGATCATAAAAACTCCAGAAGTTTGAGGAGTTGGTTCCTAGGGAGCCATTTCCCCCTTTGTTCACCAGCAGCTTTCTCCAAATCTACCATAAGATTGGAAATCCTTTGGAGAATTTAAGGTCTTGACCAATATTTATCTATAAGACTGTGCTTGTAGCTAAGTTAATATGTAAATGTCAGTAGAGAAGTAGGACACGCTCCGTGCATCAAGAAAAATTGGCGTACTGTTGGAACATACAAGGAATGAGGAGAAAATACAATAAATAAATTCATTTGGTAAAAGCTGGGGAATCTACTGAGCTGTTTTAGGGGTCTGGCTGAGCCAGGACTTATGAGTACGGAAAACCCCAGCTAGTTAGTTGAGGAGGAAGCCAAGAAGGGGATTAAGTTGATTAGGGGAGGAAACTGGACAGTGCAAACAGATTTTTAAAGGAATGGGTGAGAGAGAACTCAGCCAGGGGTGGGTGACTGGCAAGAACCCAGCACTTACCAGTGACAAAAAGGCTCACCACTTCACTGCGCTGGGGACCAAAGCCATTGTCAGCTGTGCAGTAGTAATTCCCTGAATGTCCTTCAGTCAGAGAGAAGCTGAAGGACACTCTTCCCACAGAGGGTGTTGAGCTGCTCCACAGGGGCATGTCCTCATGATAAAACTGGTATAGGATTTGTGGGGAACCTCTCTGGACTTCACAGTGAAGTGTCACAGTGGCTCCTTCAAAAGTCAGGGCCTCAGCAGAGCTGAGGGTGAGGACAGGATGAGACACAGGGACTGAGGAAGAGAAAGATTGAATCAAGAGTTGCTTTTGCCTCTTACTGTAGATTTCAACACTTGGCCAGTGCAGATGCCCAGTCTCCAGTACAGGATCTCTAGACTTCACCTACCTGGAGGGCAGCCAAGCAACTTCTCAGGTTTCTGTGACCAGCCCTCCATGCTGGTCTTTCCCTATCTGTTCATCTTTCCAGGAGACCAATACTCTCTTCTTCTCTCATGGCTCCTCTTGTAGTGTGACCTGCCTCCTTTTTGCAGAGGAGATGATGCTTTCAAGGAAAAAATTCCTTGTCTTGCCACCACCAGACTCACTTGCACCGCTCCTCACTTCTTCCTGCAACCATGCAGGCTTCCCTGCAACCATGGAAGAGCCATGCCTGGCCTGCCCAAGGGGGATTTTCCTATGTCTCTTGACCTTGTGCACATCTGCCTCTGTCCTAGACATAAAGTCCTTACCTCTTTTGGCTTCTTCCAAACTACATTTTGGTGTGTTTAACTATCTCCATATAAGAAAAACTATCAGACAATTCAAAAACAACTTTATTTGTATTTGAAGTTCCTCACAGTTGGTTCCTCCACTTTTCTGTGGACAGACTTCTGGAAGAAGTGACCTACATTTATCATCTCTACTTCTTTATCTCATATCTCATATGCATATTCTGTCCATTACAACTCAGTTTTTACCCCCAATAATCTACTAAAGCTGATTTTTCATGTTTATGAATGTAGTAATGATGATAATGATAAATATAAAAAAGATATTTGTTATAATGAGATTATAGTGCCTTTAAGTTCTGGTGTGTGTATATTTGTCAGATGTAATTTGTGAATATCTATATGTATAAAGACACTAAGTTAATCATCAAAACAATTCAATGAGGTAGGTATTATTGTTGTCCCTATGTCACAGATGAAAATACTGAGGCCCCGAGTGGTTGAGTCACACAGCTAGTAAGTGAAGAGGCAGCAGTCAAACCCAGGTATTCTGGTTCTAGTCTGTGTTCTTCTGCCAAAGGGTACTTTGTGGCTAAATTCACTGGATGTGACTCAGTTTTTTTTTTTTTTTTGAGATGGAGTCTCACTGTGTCACCCAGCCTGGAATTCAGTGGCATGATCTCAGCTCACTGCAAACTTTGCCTCCCGAATTCAAGCAATTCTCCTGCATCAGCCTCCTGAGTAGCTGGCGTTACAGGCGACCGCCACCACACCTGGCTAATTTTTGTATTTTTAGTAGACACAGGATTTCACTATGTTGGCCAGGCTGGTCTCAAACTCCTGACCTCAGGTGATCCACCTGCCTCAGCCTCCCAAAGTGCTGGAATTACAGGCATGAGCCACCTCTCCTGGCCATGACTCAGTTTTTATCTTTCATCATCTCTTAGCTTTGCCTTATCCAAACTGGCTCACTATCATCTGCTTAGAACATGTTCTACCCTTGGTGACAGTGGGGCACACTCTCACAGTGAGTGCCTTTTCCCTTGGCCAGAGTCCTTCCTTCTCATGTCCCATTTCCTCTACTGGGACTAGACTGGGGGTTCTGTCCAACTGGACACTCCCTTGTTGGGCTCCCTCCTTCACGCCTGGCTGCTCCTCAAACAGGTTGCTCTATGACCTGATCCCCACTGTACTGCTGGAGTGGTTTTCCCCAACATTTAAAACCTTCATGGAGCCCAGATTGCCCTGCAGAATATGGCCCAAGCCCTTACTCTGCTTCTAAGTAGGTTCTAATGATGTTGTCTTCCCCAACCTTATCTTGTGGTTCTCCACTGTTCTGTCTATGGTTCAGTCATCAAGAACTGACCACTCTCCAGTTCCTTGAAAGTGTCCTCCCTCCCTCACCACAATCCTCTTCTCCATCAGGTCTCATCTTGTTGCGGGAAGTCAGGGACCCCGAATGGAGGGACCAACTGAAGCCATGGCAGAAGAACATAAATTTTGAAGATTTCATGGACATTTATTAGTTCCCCAAATTAATACTTTTATAATTTCTTATGCCTGTCTTTACTGCAATCTCTGAACATAAATTGTGAAGATTTCATGGACACTTATCACTTCCACAGTCAATACCCTTGTGATTTCCTATGCCTGTCTTTACTTTAATCTCTTAATCCCATCATTTTTGTAAACTGAGGATGAATGTCACCTCAGGACCCTGTGATAATTGTGTTAACTGCACAAATTGTTTAAACAATATGAAATCTGGGCACCTTGAAAAAAGAACAGGATAACAGCAATGTTCAGGGAACAAGGGAGATAACCTTAAACTCTGGCTGCCTGTGAGCTGGGTGGAACAGAGTCATATTTTTCTTCTTTCTAAATCAAATAGGAGAGATATCACTGAATTCTTTTTCTCAGCAAGGAACATCCCTGAGAAAGAGAATATGTCCCTAAGGGGAGGCCTCTGAAATGGCCGCTTTGGGGATGGCTGTCTTTTATGATCGTTGCTGAGGGATGAAATAAGCTCTGGTCTCCTGTAGTGCTCCCAGGCTTATTAGGACGAGGAAATTCCTGCCTAATAAATTTTGGTCAGACTGGTTGTCTGCTCTCAAAACCCTGTCTCCTGATAAGATGTTATCAATGACAATGCGTGCCCGAAGCTTCATTAGCAATTTTAATTTCGCCCCGGTCCTGTGGTCCTGTGAGCTCACCCTGCCTCCATTTGCCTTGTGATATTTTATTACTTTGTGAAGCATGTGATCTCTGTGAGCCACACCCTATTAGTACACTCCCTCCACTTTTGAAAATCACTAATAAAAACTTGCTGGTTTTATGGCTTAAGGGGCATCATGGAACCTGCCGACATGTGATGTCGCCCCCGGACACCCAGCTTTAAAATTGTTCTCTTTTGTACTCTGTCCCTTTATTTCTGAGACCAGCTGACACTTAGGGAAAATAGAAAAGAACCTATGTAAAATATTGGGGGTGAATTTCCCCCGATATCATCTCAAATTCCAAGAATTGTTTTCTCACTTTCCAACTCAGATTGGCATGCCTTTCATCTGCTCCTGCAGCCACCAGGTACTTCTAAACTTAGGTTGATGTTTTCTCTATTACTTGACTGCATTTGCTATTAGCCCCTGTGAACTGTGTGGGCAGGGCCAGGTTAGTGTAGTCTTAGATGCATCCTTAGATGTCACTACATCTAGGTGTATATATAGAATCAGCATTTAGTAGGTGAAGAAGTGGGTCATTTAATAGGACTTTAAACATCTCTGAGTGTGTTTGATCATGATGTCCCTGTCTCCACTTTCCTTGGGCCTCTGAATGTTAGGAGTACTGTTCTTTTTCTACATCATTTGATGACTCCCCCTGGGTTCCCTGGCCCTCTCCTTTATAATCACACACATCCATGTGGGAGGGACTGGATTCTTGCTTGTCTTCCAAGGTGGTATTATTGTTTTACAGGAAAGGAAACTGAGGCCGCTTCCGGGACCAACCAAGACTGGACTCTCTGTCTCCAGTATAGGCCCAAATCACACTGTCTCCTTCAACATTGAACCTGGCCATTTAGCCACACATGGATGGTTCAAAACTGAGATCCAAAGCTCAAAGGAAACCTTTTTGATGTCATAACTATTTGACAGTTACCTGAGTAGCCGTGAGGGCATTAAGCCAAGCAAGTAGAGGTTAAGCTGTCTCCTGACCTGCCCTCAGCCCACTGCTGTCTGTGCCTTTCTTACCTACTGCCCAATCAACCCTAAAAAAGGCTTGAGCAAGGGAGACATGTTGGGTTAACTGTGATCCAGCGACTTGTCTTTGTGTCTTACATGACTTTGCATCTGGTTATTCATTGATGTCTGATGTTAACTGGACAGGGGACATTTCTGTGCTCCTGAGAACTGAGTCTGAGTCTATATCTACTAAGAATAATTTAGTAAACAAAAATCAGGCATCTGGCAGATCTACAGGACAAGTGGAGAGCACAAGAAAAGCAATTGGCTGCTCAGAATTTGAGGAGCAGGGAAAAGAAAGCTGCTACATCATTAGGCAGGGGTGGGAAGGCACCCAGACTGCAATGGGATGAGGCTCAAGGGGCAGACAGCTGGTTCAGTGAGCTAGAGAGTGGAGGAGGATATTAGGTTGTTTCAAGAAAGAAACAGAGGATACTAGAAGGTACACGCTGACTTCTGAAGGGTTGGGTAAGAGAGGACTCTTGGCCAGGGGTGGGTGATTGGCAGGAACCCAGGGCTTACCAGTGACGGAGAGGCTCACCGCCTTACTGCGCTGGGGGCCAAAGCCATTGTCAGCTGTGCAGTAGTAGTTCCCTGAATGCTCTGCAGTCAGAGAGAAGCTGATGGCCACTCCTCCTGCAGAGTTGGCCGACCTACGCTCCAGGGCAGCACCCTCATGATGAAACTGGTACAGGATGGGGAGTGAACCTCTCTGGGCTTCACAGTGAAGTGTCACCTTGGCTCCCTCAAAAATCAGGTCCTCAGGAGAGCTGAGGTTGAGGACAGGATGAGACACGGGAACTGAGAGAGAGAAAAAATTAGTCAAGATTTGTTTCTGCCTCCTGCTGTAGTTTTCATAAAAGGAAAATAAATCTTGGGAACCCCAAATCACTAAGCCAAAGGGAAAAGTCAAGCTGGGAACTATTTCAGGCAAACCTGCTTTTTATTTTATTCCTTAATAAGATAACTTCAAAGACTTTTCTAAAAGCTACATACCTCCCTCAAAATTTGTCCACTGAAATATTATTTGTGGGCCCCAAGATCTTTACCCTAAAATGGTTCTGTTTTAAATGGTTCTGTTTTACCCTAACAGTGTAAATTGATAGCTGATTTTCACAAGTGCAGGACAAAAGACAGAACTTTAAGTCATTGCTGCTTACAGGAGACAAATGCATATCTGATTATTTCCCTGACTTAAAAATGCAGACTCACTGGGCTAAAGGAAGACAGAAGTGACTATTCCTCTGCCCCTCTCTCACATGTAAATTGTGTATTCTGCTAAAGGTTGATCAAAGACTCAAAAGAATGCAACTGTTTGTCTGTTATTTACACATACTTTTAAAAAAATTTCTTCCTTTTTCTCCATATCTTCCCTTTCACCTTTAAATATTGAAACCCTCAAAATCATCTTTGGAGAAGGCAGGGAGCTGAATCTGGGGCACATGTCTTTAGCCATGGCAAAATATACTATCCAAATTGATTGAGACCTGTCTCAGATAGTTTTTGGTTCACAGATTCAATGTTTCACCAGTGCAGTTGTTCAGTCTCCAGTCCACAGGCTCTACCCACCTGCAGGGTGACCCAGCCACTTCCCAGGCTACTCTCACCAGCTCTCCTGTCCTCCATCCTAGTCATTCCCTGTCTTTTCCTTTTCCACCAGACCTCTTGTCTTTTCTCCTCTCCCAGCTCCCCTTGTTGTAGGACCTGCCTCTGTTGTGCAGAGATGTTGCTCTCAAAGAATTCCCTTGTCTTTCCACCAGCAGAACCACACCCTTACCTGCATCAGCTCCTCACTCTGACCTGGGCCCTGAGGCTATGGAGGAGCCCTCCTTGGCCTGCCTGGGGGGATTTTCTTCTGTCTTTTCATCCTGTGCTCACCTGCCTCTGTCCTAGATAAAAGGTTTTTACCTCTACTGGCTTCTTGCAAACACCATTTGCATGTGTTTAACCCTCTCCATGTTTAAAAAAAAAAAAAACCATCAGACAATAGAAAAACAACCCTATTTGCATTTGCAGTTCCTCACAGTCGGTTTCTCCGCCTTTCTGTAGTCAGTCTTCTGGAAGAAGTGACCTACCTTTAACATCTCTACTTCTTTATCTCATATCTCATATGCATGTTTTGTCCATTACAACTTGGTTTTAATCCCCAACAATCTACTAAAGTGGATTTTCATGTTTCTGAATATAATTATGATGATAAAGATAAAAATAATAAAATAGATGTTTGTTATAATGACACTATAGTGTCTTTAAGTAAGTTCTGGTGTTTGTATATTTGTTGGATGTAATTTGTAAATATCGATATATAGAGAGACTCTAATTTAATCATCTAAGCAATTCATTGAGGTGGGTATTATTGTTGCCCCTCTTTCACAGATGAACATGCTGAGGCCCCGAGTGGGTGAGTCACACAGCTAGTAAGTGAAGAGGCAGCAGTCAAACCCAGGTATTCTGATTCTAGTCTGTCTTCTGCCAAAGAGTACTTTGTGGCTAAATTCACTGGATGTGACTCAGTTTTTATCTGTCATCATCTCTTAGCTTTGCCTTATCCAAACCAGCTCCCTCTCTTCTGCTTAGAACACATTCTGCCCTTGGTGACAGTGGGGCACACTCTCACAGTGCCTCTTGCTTCAACCGGAGTCCTTCCTTCTCAAGTCCCAACTCCTCTACTGGGACTGGCCTGGGGTTTGCTCCAACTGGACGCTCTCTTGATGAACCCTCTCTTTTACTCCTGGCTGCCCCCCAAACTGGCTGCTCTATGACTCATTTCTCACTGTGCTGCTGGAGTGGTTTTCCCCAAGATTTAAAGCATTCATGGAGCCCAGATTGCCCTGCAAAATATGGCCCAAGCCCTTACTCTGCTTCTAAATATGGTCTAAACATACCTTCCTCTCCAACCTTATCCTACCTTTCTCCACTGTTCAGTCTGTGCTGCAGTCGTCAAGAACCGACTGCCCCTCCAGTTCCTGGAACATGCCTTCCCTCCCTCACCACAATCCTCTTCTCCTGAAATGTTCCCACTCATCCTCAGGTCTCAACTCACACATGAGTTCTTCCAAGAAATTTTTTCTCACTTCCCAACTCAGATTGGCATGCCTTTCCATCTGCTCCTGCAGCCACCAGGTGCTTCTATCCTCAGGTTGATGTTTAATCTCTTACTTGACTGCATTTGCTATTAGCCCCTACGAACTGTGTGGGGAAGGCCAGGTTAGTGTAGTCGTAGATGCATCTTTAGATGTCAGTACAGTCTGGTCCATGGAATATATGCAATCAGCATTTATTAGGTGAAGAAGTGAGTCATTGAATAGGACTTTAAACATCTCTGAGCATGTTTGATCATGATGTCACTGTCTCCACTTTCTTTGGGCCACTGAATGTCAGGGACACTGTTCTCTTTCTACGTCATTTGATGTCTCCCGCTGGGTTCCCTGGTCCTCTCCTTTATAATCTCACACATCCATGTGGGAGGGACTGGATTCTTGCTTGTCTTCCAAGCTGGTATTATTGTTTTACAGGAAAGGAAACTGATGCCGCTTCCAGGACCAACCAAGACTGGACTCTCTGTCACCAGTATAGACCCAAATCACACTGTCTCCTTCAACATTGGACCTGGCATTCAGCCATGCATGGATGGTTCGAAACTGAGATCCAAAGCTCAAAGGAAACCTTTTTGATGTCATAACTATTTGGCAGCTACCTGAATAGCTCTGAGGGCATTAAGCCAAGCAAGTAGAGGTGAAGCTATCTCCTGGCCTGCCCCCAGCCCACCATTGCCCGTGCCTTTCTTACCTACTGCCCATCAACTCTAAAAAAGGCTTGAGCAAGAAGGACATGCTGGGTTAACTATGATCCAGCGACTTGTCTTTGTGTCTTACATGTCTTTGCCTTTGGTTTATTGATTAATGTCTGATATTAACAGAACAGGAGATACCTCTGTGCTCCTGGAAATTGAGTCTGTGTCTACTGAGAATAATATAGTGAATGAAAATCAGTCATCTGGGGAGCCACAGGACAAGTGGAAAGCACAAGAAAAGCACTTGGCTTCTCAGAAATTGGGAACCAGGGGATAGAAAGCCACTGCACCATCAGGCAGGGGTATAAGGGCACCTAGACTGCAATGCAACGAGACTCAAGAGGCAGACAGCTGGTTCAGTGAGCCGGAGAGTGGAGGAGGACATTAGGTTTTCCCAAGAAAGAAACTGAGGATACTGGAAGGTATATGCTGACTTCCGAAGGGCAGGGTGAGGCAGGACTCTTGGCCAGGGGTGGGTGATTGGCAGGAATGCAGGGCTTACCAGTGACTGAGAGGCTCACAGCCTTACTGGGCTTGGCGCCAAGGCCATTGTCAGCTGTGCAGTAGTAGTTCCCTGAATTCTCTGTAGTCAGTGAGAAGCTGATGGATGCTCCCCTTTCACAGCGGACTGACTTGTGCCTCAGGGGGACACCCTCATGATAAAACCTGTACAAAGTGCGCAGAGAATCTTCCTGGGTTTCACAGTGAAGTGTCACCTTGGTTCCCTCAAAATTCAGAGCCTTTTCAGGGCTGAGAGTGAGGACAGGATGAGATGCAGGGACTGAGCAAGAGAAAAAATTAGTCAAGAATTGCTTTTGCCTCTTACTGTAGATTACAAGGCATGGCCAGTGCAAATGCCCAGTCTCCAGTCTCCACCCTTAACTTGCTGCCATCAGAACCACACACCCTTACCTGCACCTGCTTCTTGCTCCTTCCTTCTGCCCTATGACTATGGAATGTTGCACCTGAAGTGCCCAATTATTCTGAGTCTTCTTTCCTATCCCTGTTTATTTCTCCTTCACTTGCATTGGCCTCAGGGATTTATTTGCCATTGCTAGTTTTTCCTTAAAGATTAGCATAGTCTTCTAGAGCTTTTTCTTCTGCTCCTACTCTCTCCCTTGGCCCAGACTGACCTTCTTTATTTACAGGTGAGAAAACTGAGTCAAGGAGAGACTAGGAGACCTGCCTGTGTAGGCTGTTTTCAGGGCCAGCCAGGGCCAGAGTTGGTGTCCTGACTCCTAGTCTGGTGATGATCACATTGCCTCCTTATAAGTGAGCCCGGAGTTTGCCATGAGTGGAGGGATGACACAGGGCTCTACAGAAGCTGTTTTTCCCTCATCACTGTAACTACCATAATAGCTTTGAAGGAAGGATGGTGCTGTATACTAGTAAGGGAGGTGATGTAATCTGGGGTGCATATTTGTACTCATAACTAGGGAATGGTAAACCTCCAGAGTCACATATTTGGAGTAACTATAATGTTGCAACCTGTCTTTGTATCCTACAGAAATTTTCACTTTGGTTATTGTCAATAAGTAATGTTAATTGGGACAACAGATACCTCTGTACACCAGAGTCAGAGAGCTATGCCACAGCCCATGGCTTATCCCTATGGGCCTAGAAGAAAAAAAAATGATGTCAGGGAAGAGAACCCTGCGAGAGAAAAGAAAGAATTGTATTTAATGGCATTGAAAGAAAAAAAATTAGACCTTTCTTTTCTTGGATTTTCCTGGGTCTAAGCTCTTCTAAGATGTTCACAAGAGTAGAGGTCTCTTTGCTTGCACAACTCCCATTCTCACAGGTACGAGTTTTTTCTACAGAGACTGGTGACCCACGCTGATATGCAGCCCTGTCCCACTTTTCCAGCCCTCTCTGCAGCAAATCTCAGGTTCCACCAACACTTACTCTGCACCTGTATCCAGGATCTCGGGCTGTCAGATATGACGCTGTAAGGCATTGTTGCTGCCTTACACCAGTAGAACCCTGAATCTTTACTCCACATGGCAGTAATCTGGAAATTCGGGGAGAGACTCCAGCCTAATCCCAGGGTCTGGTCATCTCTGAAGAAGCGGAACCGGAGCGGGACATCTGACCTCTCTAGAGAGAGCTGGGTCTCACAGGTCAGGGTCACTGGGTTCCCGCTGATGGGCTGGAAGGAGCTGGCTCTCAGCACTGGACGTGTAAATGGCTCTAGAGAGAAGAATCACAACAGTCCCAGAGCAATGAGGCTGGAACTGCTTTGGAGAAAAGCACACTTCAAGCAGCAGCACATCCAAAAGCAGGCAAAGAAAGGAATGCCATTGATCCCTAGCTTCCTTCAGCCCAAAACACTACTATACTTCCTCTGCTCCTTGCAGGAATGTGTCCTGTGGTTTAGTGGTATTCCAGTCCACCCTTTTCCTCCTGTTCTATCTCTATGACCCCAAGGAATCTCCTTTTGACCAACTCACTTCACAAAATAATGAAGGCTTTACCTTGGACTTGGATTTTGACTGTATTGGAAGAAACAGGGCAACAACTTTCCTTATATCCAGTACAGCGATATGCACCATTGTCCTTGAGACATGCATGAGGAATATGGAAGTCAGTTCTTTTATTAAGGAATGCCAGGACATTATCATTCTTGTAAATAGTATTATTCAGTGTTACTTCCGCCTTTGCCCGGCACCTCAGAACCACAGAGTCTCCTTCAAACACAGAAAGTGGAGCTTGCAGGATCAGCGAAGCTATGAGAAACACAATAGAGTTATTTGGTTCATCCTACTGTTTCCCCTTTCTTTTCATTGTTTTTCCAAGTAGATTTTATTTTAAAAAAATGGGTTGGGAAAAAGAACTCTTAAAATAATTATCATTTCTTTTTTTCTGATTTAAAAATGAACACATACACCTTAAGAAAAGTTGAAAAGCAGAAATGTAGGTAAAATCACCTACCATCTCACCACCCATGTTTTGGCATATGTTTTTCCAGTTTTCTCTTCCACTTTCAAGTACTTGGAGCTCATGCGTATTTCTTTTATGGAATAATATTAATATTTGTAGATTTGATAACTTTCCTTTCACTTACTATGCTATGAACACTTTCCTACATCATTAGTATCATTATTGAACCTGATTTTTAATGTTTGCGGTTTTCCTTCACTGGCAGTAATGTAATTTCTTTAATGAGTTTTTTTTTTTTTTTTTTTTTTTTGAGACGGAGTCTCACTCTTTCACCCAGGCAGGACTGCAGTGGTGCTATCTCGGCTCACTGCAAGCTCCATCTCCCGGGTTCATGCCATTCTCCTGCCTCAGCCTCCCGAGTAGCTGGGACTACAGGCACCCGCCACCAAGCCCGGCTAATTTTTTGTATTTTTAGTAGAGACGGGGTTTCATAGTGTTAGCCAGGATGGTCTCAATCTCCTGACCTCGTGATCCACCCGCCTTGGCCTTCCAAAGTGCTGGGATTACAGGCGTAAGCCACCGCGCCTGGCCAGGTATTCTTTTTCTAAACCATGTTAAGGTCTGCCATTTTCAGGGATGGACATCTGTGATTGTTTCAGTAGGCAAATTCTTAAGAGACGGATTGTTAAGTCAAAGAGTATAAACATTTTTGTTTATTCCTTGCTAGTACACTGCTTCCACTACATTAAAAAATGATGTAACTTCAACTTCAAAACAGGTGGCTTTAGGACAAGGAAGGAAATGTCTCTTCCTTTATCTTTCTTTCTCTGTATATTTATCTACCTATGCATTATCTACCCATAAGTATGAACAATTCTCCTGCCACTTATTATTCCAAGTAAATAATGTGACTTAAAACTATACATAGAGGCCGGGTGCAGTGGCTCATACCTGTAATCCCAGCGCTTTGAGAGGCCTAGGTGAGCAGATCACTTGAGCCCAGGAGTTCAACATTAGCCTGGGCAGCATGAGGAAATCCCATCTCTGCTAAGAATACAAAAATTAGCCAGGTGTGATGGCGGGCTCTTGTAGTCCTACTTACTAGGGATACCGAGGTGGGAGAATTGCTTGAACCCGGGAGACAGAAGTTGCAGTGAGCCGAGATAACGCCACTGCACTCCAGCCTGGGTGACAGAGCGAGACTCCATCTCAAAAAACCAAACCAAACCAAACCAAACCAAACCAAACCAAACCAAACCAAACCAAAAAGCTATACATAGATTCAGGAACCACTCAAATAAATTAATCCTCAGACTTTCTGGTACCGGAGAGGCTTGTAAAAAATATAAATTGCTGGACCCCACTTCTACAGGTTTCTATTGAATAAGCATAGGTAGGTCCTGAGTATCTGTATGGTTGATAAGCTGCCCAGGCTTTCTGACTCAAATCAAACTTTAAGAACCACAGGTTTAGAGACATTAATCCACTCAAGTAAAAATTCTATTTATTTTAATGTTTAAAATTAAGCAGCTAACCCCATTCCCTGTCTGGTTGTATTCTGAGCTTTTTACTCTCTCCTTGTCTTACCACAGTGTGAAATAAAATTGTCCACTCATGAAGGGTCTGAGGTAAACAGTAATAACAGCTAGAGAGAAACATGGGCTGAATTGATTTCTAAAGTTGGTGCGTCTTTCACGCTCTCTCACCTGAAGAAAAATCCAAGTGCACAGGGCTACTGAGAGGGGAGCCCTGGGCCTGGCATCTGTACTCTCCAGATTCCTGAACCTCAAGGATATTGTCTGGGGTTTCTCTTAGTATTTCTTTCCCAAGGTACCGATGGTACCATTTTGTTTTCTGTGGTGAGTAGAAGCGAAATCCCTTGCAAGTGAGGGTCACTCTCTCTCCTTGGAAGACTGTGGTCCATGGAGGCTGGAGGAAAATAATGGGCCTGGGTGTCCTTGCTGAAGAGGAAAGAGAAAAGGAGTCTGAGGTGGAGGCGCCTGCAGACCCAGCCTCAGGGCCTCCTGCTGCATAGCCTGAAGGACCTGGGTTTGGAGGATCTGAAAGAGGTCCTCTGGGAGGGTCACTGATAGCTCAAAGCTCCCTGTCAGCCAGTGGCCCTCACCTCACCCAAGGGAGAAATTGCCCAGGGGATGGCAATGAGCAAAATGATTTCAGGAGGGTGACACCAGCAGGATTCGCCATCAAATATCACAGTTAGGTAGCCTTACATGGAAGTGGGTCCCAGAGAAAATCAATGCTGCGCTGCCATTTCATCATGTTCATACACTCATAAGAAACTCCAAAGGTTATGTTAAAATCACAATTTTGCACTTTCCCTAAGAGAATAAATCATATTATCTTAAGATTTGTCCCTGAGAAAACCTTGAGAGCTCAACTTACCTAATATCTTCATTTTGTAGATGATGATTCAAGTGCCCAGAAGAATCCCATCACAGCTAATTGTGGCAGAGCAAGGAAGGGACAAGTCACTCACTGACATCCAGAGGTGACCAGGACAAAGTTACAGCTGGGGCCACTGATTTGGACAAGGAGAGGGGTTGTAGAGGGTTGTTGCTGTTCATGGGTTCTCAATTATCCACTCAGAGCCAAAGGAATGGCAGTAAGAGCCAGAACTAATTAAATGTGGGATGCAGATAACTTGTCTTCTCCCCATCTCCCCTTTCTGTGCCTTTCTTTTTTGTAAGGACCCAGTTATTGGATGTCCTGGAGGATTTTACTCCAAAGTGTAGAGAATGCAGCATTCCTGCTGGCATCAGCACAGTGGGATATTTTCAGGGTATTTTTCTGGCTCGCTGATTGAGAGGATCCTATCCTGAGTCAATATACTTGCCATGGAGTTGAAGATGTCCTGCCTGGCTAAATGGGGTCTGTTGGCAATAATAGTAAATGCAGGGCTTAGCAAAGGCTGGGAGCTGCTTGGGCATTCACCCCTTCCCCCAGGGAGGGTCAGAGGGTGACCATGAAGCTATCCTGGCCCTTGGACGATGCCAAAAAACCAGGCATCACTTTGAAATCCCTGCTGACCTCAGCAAGAAAACAGGAGATATTGTTTTAGGTCTAACATTTAAGTCTTTAAGAAAACCTAGGCAATACCATTCAGGACATAGGCATGGGCAAGGACTTCATGTCTAAAACACCAAAAGCAATGGCAACAAAAGCCAAAATTGACAAATGGGATCTAATTAAACTAAAGAACTTCTGCACAGCAAAAGAAACTACCATCAGAGTGAACAGGCAACCTACAGAATGGGAGAAAAGTTTTGCAATCTACTCATTTGACAAAGGGCTAATATCCAGAATCTACAATGAACTCAAACAAATTTACAAGAAAAATTCAAACAACCCCATCAAAAAGTGGGTGAAGGATATGAACAGACACTTCTCAAAAGAAGACATTTATGCAGCCAAAAGACACATGAGAAAATGCTCATCATCACTGGCCATCAGAGAAATGCAAATCAAAACCACAATGAGATACCATATCACACCAGTTAGAATGGCAATTATTAAAAAGTCAGGAAACAACAGGTGCTGGAGAGGATGTGGAGAAATAGGAACACTTTTACACTGTTGGTGGGAGTGTAAACTAGTTCAACCATTGTGGAAGTCAGTGTGGCGATTCCTCAGGGATCTAGAAGCAGAAATACCATTTGACCCAGCCATCCCATTACCAGGTATATAACCAATGGACTACAAATCATGCTGCTATAAAGGCACATGCACACGTATGTTTACTGCGGCACTATTCACAGTAGCAAAGACTTGGAACCAACCCAAATGTCCAACAATGATAGACTGGATCAAGGAAATGTGGCACATATACACCATGGAATACTATGCAGCCATAAAAAATGATGAGTTCATGTCCTTTGTAGGGACATGGATGAAGCTGGAAACTGTCATTCTCAGCAAACTATTGCAAGGACAAAAAACCAAACACCGCATGTTCTCACTCATAGGTGGGAATTGAACAATGAGAACACTTGGACACAGGAAGGGGAACATCACACTCCAGGGCCTGTTGTGGGGTGGGGGGAGGGGGGAGGGATAGCATTAGGAGATATACCTAATGTTAAATGACGAGTTAGTGGGTGCAGCGCACCAACATGGCACATGTATACATATATAACAAACCTGCACGTTGTGCACATGTACCCTAAAACTTAAAGTATAATAAAAAAAAGGAAAGAAAACAGGAGATATTGGAGATCTCAGGCAGCCATCACAAATGTTTTCTATTTATTAGGAAGAGACACTCTTAACCAGAGACGCTGAAGAGCCAAAGACAGGAGAACTCACCAAACTGTCCACTGACAGGAGCTGCAAAAAAATAAGAGCCAGAGATGAGCACAGAACCATGATTATTTTGTTTTAAGAAGATAATTCCCTTTTTTACCCATGCATGTATTACTTGTCCCTTTAAAAAATTCATTTAAAAACTCTAATAATTATTCATCAAATGTATATATATACACATAAATATACATATATATACATATATATATGGCATGGTATTTGGACTTCTACAATGAATTTTAAAAATGGTATCTGCCATCAAGAAGTTGACTAGTGGAAAAACAGAAACACGATTTAAAATAATATAACACAGGGTGTAAGTGCAATAACAGAAATACACATGGGGTATGTTGGGGGCAGAAGGGCCACTAGCCCAGTGTGTAGGATATATGTGTGTGTGTAGAGTGTGTGTTTGTGTGTACATGTGTTGAACAGGATGGGTGGATCCTTGAAGGTACCTGAAGGAGATGATACTTCACAAAACTGTGAGTGAGAACATGAGTCTGCAGGTGGATGTTAGCATTTGTGTGTGGTAAGAGGCGATTTCTACCTTTCAAGGTAGAAAGGGCACAGAAGTGGAGAAATGACATTGGTGCTCAGGAACTGGGAGTGTTGGGGGAAATAAGACCAGAGAAGCATGCAGGGCCTGAGTAAGTGGTTCTAATTTTATTATAAAAGTGATAAGGAGTCATGGAATGGTTTCAAGGAGGAGATTGACAAGGTTAGAATTTCAGACTTTGATGGAGCACTCTGTCAGTGGACAGAATTTAATGGGACAATATGAAGCAGGGAGACTGATTAGAAGGCAGGGCAAGGAAATGGACATGAATTAAGCCTCCCTTGGGCACCAGACTCCAGGCTATACTCTTTTCATGAGATCATTGAATCCAAGGGCTCATTATCATCATGCCTAATTTTTAAACAATCAACTGATGCTCAGATTATTTAGACCTGATGCTCAGCCCAAGAGATGGTAATGTGTAATTTTTGTCAGAGTATTTATCCAAATTATCTTCATTATCTGCTTGTTTATTTTCCCTTCTCTATAATGCAAGCTCTATGAGACCTAGGACTTTCCTTATGTTCACCATATATCCTCCAGGACCTATAACGGTGAATGGCATATAAAAGATATTCCTTTAATGTTCACTAAATATATTTGTGTTGTATAATGAATTAATTAAAGAACTAGGTTAATAATATAGGAATAGAAGGATAGAGATTTGAGAAATGGGTAATGAAGAGAGAGAGGACACAAAACTGGCAGGTTTATCAATTGAGTAGGTATTCTGCATATGGGTTGATTTATTTATTCAACAGATTTTTGGAATGCCAATCATACTCCAGAGCAAGGCAATAGAAATCCAGGAGTGTGTGAGAGACAAATCATCCCTGTCCACATGAGGCTATTGGAGACTTATCCAAACTTAAGTGTTTTACTGAGAACAACAAATTATTCACCATTCACCTGAATATTTTGGCTTCCTTCATCTTTGCATTGTTTTAAATGAAGCTAATATTTTTGTGAGTGGTTTCTATATGGTCTGCATTTACGTAGGTTATTTCATATAACCATGTCAATAATCCTGTGAGGTAAGCACTAGGATTAACTGCATTTTGTAGACCAGGAATCTGGTAGCCAGTAGGTGGCAAGATGAAGTTTGAACCTAGATCCTGTTTGACCCCAGAGCCCATGTTATAAACTTTGCCCTCTCATGCTCAGGACCTGGCCATTACCCACATTGTGTGGGGCCACACTGAGATGTATTCCTACTTCAGGAATTATAGTCCATGCACCTTCCAACTGTGAGGTCCTCTTTTCTTATATCACGCCTGCTCCATTTCTGCTCCTCTAGCTCCTACTCACCTCTAAGTTTCATGAAGTCTTTACTAGCTATTTTGAATACAGTTTATTATCTGCCTACAGCATTCATTGGTAACTTTGCCTGGACAATTATTTAACTGGGAGCTTGTTGCATAGCTGCTTGAAAGTACATTGGCCTTGCTGGGAGCCCTTCTATGTCATGACTTTCCAGAACATAGACGTAGTGTCTCCTATGGACTCTAATTGCTCAGCACCTGTGCATAGATATTACTAAACACATTTGCTGAACAAATAAATAAACATATTTAATTATAATATTTAACCTTTAGTAAAAATCAACCAGTTCGCACATATGAGTTGATAGAGACTTACGTACACCCACAGGGACAAAGAGAAAGTCATATGCTTTAGATTTATCCTTGCTTTGTCCACCTACGCCTCTGCGACCTCCTCCACCCCATGTTCTTAATCAGCCAATTGCTGCAGTGGTTTGCAATTATGTACAAGAGAAAGACCTGTCTTTCCCGTTAGAAACCTTGCCTCTTATGCTGGGGACCAGGATCTGGCCTTGTCATACAAGGAATAAATACATCTCCTCTGCAGAGAGGAGAGTGGGCTCTTCTATGAGTAAGACAATATGAACAAACAAACATGAAACATTCTCTGGACTTTAAGAAGTACTTTTTAAAGAAAAAAATAAATGAAATTTTAATTGTTGTGGTTATTGTGGTTTCCTACTCTGTAAGATTGAAAATTCCTTCCAGCTGTGGCCATTTTCTTCAGCCTCAAGAGAAAGCCCTGAGCTACAGAGTAAAGTTCAAAAATACAGTCTCCTAATGTAGGAGAGAGTCTCTCAGCAGGGGCTGAGCCCCAAGAAAGGACCAGGCCTGCGGTGGAGAGAGAAGCTGTCCCGATCCCACCCAGGGCCCATGGTGAGCCCTTTTACTCACCCAGGACCAGTAATATCACCCACAGCAGCATGAAGACCTGGACCACCAAGGGCTGAGATCAAAAGAGAAGTTTCCTCAATTCCAAAACAGGTTTGGACTTGATCTTACAGTCAGGACACTGCACACCAGCTCCAAGGAGCACATCTGAGAAGCTGTGCTCTCAAAAAGAGCAGAATGCATTAGTGAATTGAAAAAAGGAAGTGGGAGTACCCGTCTTCAGCTGCTAATCACAGTTTCCTACCCGATGATCAAAGAAAAAAAAAAGTTAAGGTTTTAAAAAATCAAATACCCTTGACCCTACATTTTTGCTATTGGGAAATTACCCTGAAGGAAGTATCTGAAGAGAGTACTATAAGAACGTTTATTGTAGCATTCATTATTGCCTAAACACTGGAAACAAAACAAAAAACCATGATATGGGGACTGTTTAAGAATATTCTGATTCATCCGTATGGTGACAAGCAATCATTAAAGAATAAGGTAAATCTGAACATGCCAAGAAGGGAAGACCACCTTGTTTGATGTGAAGAGAATAAAAGTGAGATATAGATTGGTTTTGTAGTATTATCCCATTGGGTAAATATAAAAAATAGGATATATGTGTACATCAACTCTTTTAAGTATACTTTCTTCTTTTCCTGGAAAGTACACACAAAAATATTGATTATGTTTGAGGAGCAATAGGTGGGAAGAACACAATTTATTTTATGTATTTCTGTACCGTTTGATTTTTTAAAAAATTACCAGGTGAATGTATAGCTCTTATGATTTTCTAAAAGTCAAGTTTCCATCCTGGTATACTGGTCAACAGAGGTTCCTAAGACATTAGCTGCCACGAGGAGTGCCAGTTTCTTTCTTTCAAATATTTTCTCACCCTTTCTCTCTGGGCCCATACCTTGGTCTTCCTAAGGGGGCATTTAATTTTATATCTACAAATGCACATCACCTTAGGTATATTATGTCACATCTGACCCACTGCACCCTGAGGCAAGAAAACCATACAGGGGTTACAGGGGTGAATAGAGATTAAGAGGAGAACTTCAAAGGGAACACAGAATCTTTACCTACTTTTGGTGCTAAAACAAATAGTGCTGCTATGAACATTCTTGTATACATTTATTGGGGCATATGCGCACATAATTCTGTTGGGTATATATCTGGGAGTGGAAGTCCTGGCTCATAAGGTATGCATATATTCAGTTTAGGAAGTATTACCAAATTATTTTCCAAAGTGGTTGTGCCAATTCCCACCACACCCACCAACCAATGTATGAGAGTTATCATTGTTCTAAAATTCTTGCTGATATTGGTATTGTCATCTAGTAAAATCTGGCCGTTCTGCTAGAATTATCTCAATGTGGTTTTAATTTGTATGTCTCTGGTGAATTTGAGAATGAGCATTTTTTCATAGTCTAATTGGTGATGTAGATATCCTTTTTATGTGCAATCTCTGTTCAAATATTTCCTCATTTTTCTCTTAACTTTCAGTCTTTCTTTTCCTGTTTTGTAGTTATTTTAAACCCTGAATATAAACCTTTTGTTGGATATATGTATTGCAAATGTCTTCCTTCAATCTGTGGCTTGCTTCTTTGCTCATTGATAGTGCCTTTTGATGAACAACCATTCTAACTTTGACATAGTCCAGTTTATCAGTCTTCTCCTTTGTGGTTAGAGATTTTTGCATCCCTTCTAAGAAAGTTAGTCTACTCCAAGATCATAAAGATACTCTCCCAGGTTATCTTCTAGAAACTTTATTTTTTACCATTTATTTTATATTTATAAGAGCATTGCAATTGATTTTTGTGTACAGTTTGAGTGTTTATATTCACTTTTAACTTAAATACAGATAATTTATCCTGCCCTATTTATTGAAAGTTGATTTTTTCCACAGTACAGTGCAATTTCACCTTTGTTATAAAACAAAAAGCCATGTAGGTCTATTTTTGGAAACTCCTTTCTTGTCCATTAGTCTATTTTGTCTATCCTCATGCCAATACCACACTCTTCTAATTATTGTGGCTTTATAATAACTCTTATTAACTGATAGTTTAAGTCATAAAATGCTGTTCTTCTTCAAAATTGTTATGGCTATTTTTGGCTTTTTGAATTTTTCTATACATTTAAAAATCACCTTGTCAATTCCTGTCCCCTCTCTCCCCAAAAGCCTAGTAGATTTTTAATAACTGGGATTGCATTGGATTTATAAGTTAATTTGTATAAATTAGAAAAGATTTAGTCTCCCAATCCATAAACATACAATATCCCCTCATTTATTTAGGTTAACTTGACATTCTTTCAGTAATTTTCTATAGCTTTGCCTCTGGAAAGTATATCTTTTGGTAGGTTTATCCTTAGGTTATTGATATGTTTTTTATGATATTGTAAGTGACATCATTAGATTTTTTTCTAAATGTATATTGGTATATAGAAATATAATACTTTTTTGTTTTACTGACCATTATTTTTATTTTTTTGAGACAGAGTTTTGCTCTTGTCCCCCAGGCTGGAGTGCACTGGTGCGATCTTGGCTCATTGCAACCTCCACCTCCCAGGTTCAAGCGATTCTCCTGCCTTAGCGTCCCAAGTAGCTGGGATTATAGGTGTCTGCCACCATGCCCAGCTAATTTTTGTATTTTTAGTAGAGATGAGGTTTCACCATGTTGGCCAGGCTGGTCTCAAACTCCTGACCTCAAGTTATCTGCCCGCCTTGGCCTCCAAAAGTGCTAGGATTACAAGCGTGAGCCACCATGCCCGGCCTTACTGACCTTTTAATATCTACTAAAATTGCGGAATTTACTTATTAATTTTAATAGTTTATCTTTAGGTTATTTTAGATTTCATGCAAACACAATCATATAATGATAGTTTTATTCATTATTTTTAATACTTAAACTTCCTTTTCTCTCACTTATTGCACTGACTAGGAACTCAAACATGATACTAAAGAGAAGTGGTAATATCAGGTGTCCTGTCTTAGTCTCACAGAAAAAGCTCTTAATATTTCAATATTAAATATAATATTTTCTGTAATTTTTTTTGGTGAATACTATGTATCAGATTAAATACCTTTCCTTATATTTCTAATTTGCTAAGAAATTTTCCTTTTTTCCTAAATAATGGATGCTGTTTCAGTAAATACCTTTATTGCCTCTATTAATATGATCATATGATTATTTACTTTTATTGTTAATATGATGAATTACATGGATGATTATAAATGTAAAATCAACTGTGCATTCCAACTTGGCCATGATGTGTTATCTTTTTTATATATTCTTGAATTTGACTTATAAATTTGCTGTGCTTTTTAGCATTTGTGTTCATGAGGAAGATGGACCAATTTTCTTTCTTGATGAATTTTAGTAACAAAATTATATTGGTCTCATAAGCAAGCTCCTTCTTTTTCTATTTTCGTGAAGAGTTTGTGTACGACTGATGTTATTTCTTCCTTAAATGTTTGGAAGATTTTACTGGTAAAGGTACTTACTTAGGCTTATGAAAAAATGCTCACCATCACTGGCCATCAGAGAAATGCAAATCAAAACCACAATGAGATATCATCTCACACCAGTTAGAATGGCAATCATTAAAAAGTCAGGAAACAACACGTGCTGGAGAGGATGTGGAGAAATAGGAACACTTTTACACTGTTGGTGGGAGTGTAAACTAGTTCAACCATTGTGGAAGTCAGTGTGGCGATTCCTCAGGAATCTGGAACTAGAAATACCATTTGACCCAGCCATCCCATTACTGGGTATATACCCAAAGGACTATAAATCATGCTGCTATAAAGGCACATGCACACGTATGTTTACTGCGGCATTATTCACAATAGCAAAGACTTGGAACCAACCCAAATGTCCAACAATGATAGACTGGATTAAGAAAATGTGGCACGTGTACACCATGGAATACTATGCAGCCATAAAAAATGAGTTCATGTCCTTTGTAGGGACACGGATGAAATTGGAAATCATCATTCTCAGTAAACTATGGCAAGAACAAAAAACCAAACACCACATATTCTCACTCATAGGTGGGAATTGAACAATGAGAACACATGGACACAGGAAGGGGAACATCACACTCTGGGGACTGTTGTGGGGTGGGGGGAGGGGGGAGGGATAGCATTGGGAGATATACCTAATGCTAGATGACGAGTTAGTGGGTGCAGAGCACCAGCATGGCACATGTATACATATGTAACTAACCCGCACAATGTGCACATGTACCCTAAAACTTAAAGTATAATAATAATTAAAAAAAAGTACTTAGGCTTGGAACTTTCTCTGGAGGAGGGCAAATTACAGATTTGATTTTTAAAACTGATATGAGATTATTCAGATACTTTATTTCTTCTTGTGCCAGTTTTGATATGTTGTATATTTTTAGGAATTTGCTTATCAATATTTCCAAGTCTATTGGCACAACATTATTTACAATGTCCTCATTTATTTTTTAATATATTTGAGATCTGTAGTAATGTTTTTTATTTTTTCACTCATAATATTGATAACTGTCTTCTCTTAGTCATTCTTTTATTCTTGATCAGTCTCTAGAGGGAATCATCAATTGAATTAGCCTTTTCAAAGAACCTTTTGGCTTTGTTGATTTTTCTGTATTGTATGTTCATTTTCTATTTCATTAATTTCTCCTCTTTTCTTTAATATTTACTTCATTTTACCTTTTAAAAGTTAACTTGCTTTTTAAAAACTTCTTACAGGGATACTTAGGTCTTTGATTTTTTAATCTTTTATTTTCCAATATGCTATACAGTTTTGTCTAAGTGTGACTGCAATGTGTAAGTTTTGATATGTCATATCTCTATGATCATTTTGTTAAGAATATTATTAATTTCCATTAGGGTGTTCCTTCTGGCCAATGGGTTGTTTTGAAGTGTATTGTTTCTTTTCCTAATAGAGATTTTCATTTTTGTTGATATTAATCTCTAGTTTAATTCCACTGTGGTCTGAGAACATATTTTGTGATTTCAGTCTTTTGAAATATGTTGAAATTTGCTTTATGGGCTAGTACATAGTCACGTTTTGTAAATTTTCCATGTTTTCTTTAAAACAATGTATATTTGCAAATATTGGTGCAGCATTTCATTTCTGTGAATTACATAATTTTATATTCTATATTGTGTTATTCAAATATCCTATGGTCTTACTATTTTTTCTAATATTCTATAAGTTACCAAGAGAATTATGTTAGGGTTTTCCATTATCATGGTGAATTTGTCAACTTCCTTTTTATTTCTGTCTTTTTTTGTTTTATATTTTGAAGTTATTTTATGAAGCGCTTACACATTTAGAATTGTTACCTCTTCCTGATAATTTGACACACTCGCCATTATTAAATATCTCTCTTTATCTCTGTTTCTTGCCTGAAAGCCACACTGGGAGAGTCTCATCTACATTTGGACTTGATTCAGTTGATTGGATGCTATACTTAAAAACCCGAATCTGATGCTGTGTTTGCTGTAATGTTACTAATGACGTTCAGCTAATCTGAGTATCTCGTTGAGCATGGTCCATTTATTGAACCATTGTTGTTTTAAGTCACAAGGTTTTGGCTTTTTTTTTTTTTAATGCAGCAATAGATAACTGAGATGGGCTTATTCCATCATGTTTAGGAATGTTCTTTTTTTATCACTAAGTGATAATCCAGTTATCTCTAGTAATGTTTGTTTTAAAATTTATTTTTCTTATTAGGTCAAACTTGTAAATCATGATATTCAAATCCACATCTTTTCTAATTTTAATCTATCTCAACTCTTGATTTCTTTTATAGCATAACTTTTGCATGCTTTAATTTTATCTCGTTCTTTGCAATTTTTATGGTTGTATGTTTTATTTCTCTTGAAATAAAGACATTTACTGCTCACAGAATACCCGTATGCTCCACATTGTTCAGCTCTCATATAGTAGAGGACCATGTGACTAGATGTGTCCTATAGTCTGTGAGAGGAAGTAGTATGAGTTATTTCCAGGCTGACATATACAAGAGCAGACATGAAATGCCCCTGTATCACTTCTCTTGCTATTGGCACCAAACAGCCTATGTGATTCAGACAGTGCAGGTACAAAATGGTGAAGCCTCTATGAGCCTGGATCTGTTGCCAATTCATGTTGGACATGTAACTTGAGTTAAAATAAGCTATTATGTGTTGAGTCACTCAATTTTTAGGGTTGTTTCAAACTGTCTTCTTCTCACTAAAACACACTACCAGAACAATTCTAAATTACCATTTTTTCAAGCCTTACTGGAAACTATTTTGGTGCTCTTCATTAAATGCAAATCTAACTTTTGGCTTGAGATACATAATTGTTATTATATTAAGAAAAAGGTCTGGCCAGGCACGGTGGCTCACATCTGTAATCCCAGCACTTTGGGAGGCCGAGGCAGGTGTATCACGAGGTCAGGAGATCAAGATCATCCTGGCTAACACGATGAAACCCCATCTCTACTAAAAATACAAAAACTTAGCTGTGCATGGTGGCATGTGTCTGTAGTCCCAGCTACTCGGGAGGCCGAGGCAGGAGAATCGCTTGAACCCAGGAGGCGAATGTTGCAGTGTGCTGAGATCGCGCCACTGCACTCCAGCCTAGGTGGGAGAGCGAGACTCCATCTCAAAAAAAAAAAAATTCCTTCTAGTTTTAATTTTTGTGTGCCTCAGGACCATTTAAGTAAATTGCAATTATTCACTCTTTGAAAGTTAGAAAGATTTATCTTTGAAACTATGTTATACTGATAGGTTTCTTAAATAGGATTGTTCCTTGGAAACTTTAAAATTCTACTATGATAATTTATCTGTTTAAATTATCTTTTTTTTATACTTTAAGTTTTAGGGTACATGTGCACAATGTGCATGTTAGTTACATATGTATACATGTGCCATGTTGGTGTGCTGCACCCATTAACTCGTCATTTAACATTAGGTATATCTCCTAATGCTATCCCTCCCTCCTCCCCCCACCCAACAACAGGCCCCGGTGTGTGATGTTCCCCTTCCTGTGTCCATGTGTTCTCATTGTTCGACTCCCACCTGTGAGTGAGAGCATGTGGTGTTTGGTTTTTTGTCCTTGGGATAGTTTGCTGAGAATGATGGTTTCCAGCTTCATCCATATCCCTACAAAGGACATGAACTCATCATTTTTTATGGCTGCATAGTATTCCATGGTGTATATGTGCCACATTTTCTTAATCCAGTCTATCATTGTTGGACATTTGGGTCGGTTCCAAGTCTTTGCTACTGTGAATAGTGCCGCAATAAACATACGTGTGCATGTGTCTTTATAGCAGCATGATTTATAATCCTTTGGGTATATACTCAGTAATGGGATGGCTGGGTCAAATGGTATTTCTAGTTCTAGATCCCTGAGGAATCACCACACTGACTTCCACAATGGTTGGTCTGATTTAATACTTTATTATTTTAGCTGAATTAGACTTGTTTGATATTAACCTCATGATTCTTGTTCTTATTTGTTTGCATGGCTGTACACTTTTGTCACCATTTTATCATGTCTCAGGCTACTTTGTTTTAGAATTATTTCTTGCATATAATATATGCTTGGGTTTTGTTTTTAGATTATAAATCTATTTCTTTGATAAAATTATCATATTTCCACATTCATAAGACAAAGGTGGTTGGTCTTAACTCTGTTATCTAATTCATGTTATCAAACTTTTTCTTTTAAATGTTTTATTTTCTTTCAATCCTTTGTATTTTTAAAGAGGGTACAGCACTGTTCATGTTTTGAAGGAGTTATAGTTTGTTCTTAGTTCAGTGGTTAACCTTGTAACTGTAGTATTCTTATAGCTATCTTTCTTGATTTGACAATATCTACTTATTTCCTATTAAAAAAGAAAGGAATCGGCCTGCTATTACTTTGTCCCATATGTTTTCATATCCTCCACCTCCTGATTTTATTATTAATAGTATAATTTCTATATTCTCAGGGTTTATAACGTTTACACTGTGTTCTATAACCATAATTCTCATAATTGCCTGATTTTAGTGTTATATTTAATTGAATTCAATAGTCCTCATAGGTTTTAAGTCATGTTTTGTCTTAAAGTGCCACAGTCATGGAGTTCTTGCATGTTAGAAAGTATGTTTTTGCTTTATTCCTGAAATATATCTGGATTTAAAATTCTTGGGTTAATCTTTCTTCTCTTGAGGGTCTTTAAACATTAGACTATTGTCTTCTAGTTTTGAACGCAGCTACGAGTTTGAAGACAGCTTTTTCCCCTCCTCCACATAACTTGATTTTTTTCTGGTTGTCCACCAAATTCTTCAATTTTTTTTTTTTTTTGAGATGGAGCCTCTTTTTGTCACCCAGGCTGGAGTGCAGTGGCACCATCTCAGCTCACTGCAACCTCTACCTCCCAGGTTCAAGTGATTTTCCTGCTTCAGCCTGCCGAGTAGCTGGGATTGCACGCATGTGCCACCATGCTCAGCTGATTTTGTATTTTTAGTAGAGACGGGGATTTGCCATGTTGGCCAGGCTGGTCTTCAGCTCACGACTTTAGGTGATCTATCCACCTTGGCCTCCCAAAGTCCACCAAATTCTGTTTTAAAAAATCTCTGAAGTATAGTAACTTTATCCAAATATGTCATGTTGCTAATTCTGTATCAGTTTTCTGGATGCTTTCTTCTATTATATCTTTAAATATTTTTCATTTGCATTTATTCTGTTGGCTTCAGAATACCACTTATGGGAATATTGGATATCTTTTATCTGTCACTCATATCAATTATTTTCTCTGTCATAATTTAAACCTTTGTTCTTTCCTATTTTATTTTGTTTAGTTTTATCAAATCCATCTTTCATTACTATATTTTCAGCAATTTTTATTCATTTTTTGTTTTCTGATTTTAATATGGCTGATTTTCCTCTTCTGTTTTTTGAGCTTTGTTAATTTACCCTCAATATTCTTCTGTTTCTGCTACATTTTTTCAAGCCCAAAGTGTCATTATATGAAAAAAAGACTTTATTTTTAAAATTTCTCTGATGTCATGGAGAAGAGGTTGTCTGATTTTTTTTGGATGGCTGGGTGGCGTTGTGCTTCTTCTGCCTATACTGTTTTACTGCCTATGCTTTTTCATTCTGTCTACATGCCTGAATCCCATGCTAGTGACAGTCTGATTATGGCTTATCTCTCAACAAGGGCCACACTTTCCCAACTCTCTATTGACTGAAGAGCAGATTGTGGGACAAGCTGGGGTGTGAGCTGAGGCAGCAGACAGCTCAGACATAGGTATTTTGCTTCAGAGCATTTCCTCGCCATCTCTGCCATGTTTTCTTTCTTGAGAATCAAGAGGTGGTCCACCTGGCTTAGCATGACATCCTGTAGTTCACAGATTTTTTCCATGTGGTGATTTAGCATGTACTTCTCTTCAGGGAATAATGTTCACACCTGCAGAGCCAGTACTGTGTACCATCTCTCCTCACATCTGCAAAGTGCCTTATTCTGATCGGATGTCCCTGCTTTTTTGAGTGTTCTGTGGGACTTGAGGATGCTCCTACAGTCTCCATACTCCCAACACCTTGTCTTCTGAGTATGGGTTTACTGGTTTGGAGCTTCAGGACTTTGCCCCTTACTGTTGGAAAACTTGGAGCTTTTCCCGTAGATGTGTATTGGAGCCTGCGTTTCCTGCCACCTCATTTCTTCCCTTGGTTTGGTTTGAATTTCAATTTCACTGTGATTAGAAGCTGCTCTCCAGCATTTATAAGTTGAGGAATGTGGGTTTTCAAAAGTTTCACTGAAGATGGAGTTTCTTTTTTTGTTTGTTTGTTTTTTGTTTGTTTTTTGGTCATTTGTGGTTGGTTTCAGTAAGTAAAATGTGGTAGATATGCCTTTTTCTCAACTGAAGGAGATCCTTACCCTTATCTCAATAATGGTTGCCATATATTGGATGGTTACTGTAACACAGCATCACACCAGATACTTTGTAAATATTACCTTATTTAACCTTTGAATCAACAGGGAAAAAACACAGAAAATATTCTTTCAGGCAGGTATTTTTATCGTCATTTTATAGATGGGAAAAACTGAAGTTCAAAGAAATTGCATACTTTACTTTCAAGCATCTTGTAAGCCAAAAGGCACAATTAGTGGTAGACAGCTGTCTGAGCATGAGCCTAAAAAATTCAATAAAGAGCTTCAACAGTCACAGGTATCTGAACAGGAATCTAGATGCAAGATCTTCCTTCAGCCAGCTGTAGCAGCAGCAGGGGCCATGGTTTAATGGTTACCTCTCAAGAGCAATTACTAGGAGCCTATTTTGGTGACAGGAAATGGAAACTTAGAGTTCTGAAGTTTATAAATAAGCACTGTACTATTTACAACACAGAAAGATAAAAATTAAAGGTTCTTGGAGGGCGTATTTAAACAGGCAGTGTGGAATTAACCACAGTAATCTCATGATCACTGAGTGGGCTTGGAGTAGCTCTCGGGCTCTGTCAGTCAGTTTGGAGAGTGGGCAGAGCCTCTCAGGAGCTCCTGGAGGGATGAGCAGAATTTTGTATGCTGACAAGCAGGATGCTGTGGCCACAAAGTGTACTATGGTAAAGGGGGAGAGAGAGTTGATACAGATGAAGAGAAAGTGTTGGCAGTGAAAACAAATCTGGGCAAAAAGAAGCTTTAATTTCTTAAATGTTAATATTGGATTTTCCTGAGGGAAAGTCTTACAGGCAATGTTCTGTCACGATGGAGAGGTGAAGGAGCACGGGCATTGTTACCAGAAAAACTCAGGGCTCTGCCACTCACCAGCTAGGTGACCCTGAGAAAATTATTAAACTCGAGCTTAAGTGTCTTCATCCTAAAAATGGGGACCACGATGCCCACCTCACTAGGATGGTGTGAAAAATCACAGGAGATAACTCAATATATTCAAAACCTTTGTCTGCATGACACCAAAATCTCTTGCTTTTTCAAAGTTCTATTCACTTTCTGCACTTCAGCCTTTCTACCAGTTGTCTTTACTTGTGGTAATGCATGCTTATTAAAAATCCCTGGGTGACTGCCTATGTATTTAACAGCTCTATTGATGTACAATATTTAATGATAGTATTCACTCGTTTTATCACCATCATCTAATTTTAGAACATTTTCACTACCTCAGAAAGAAACCTGGCATCCATTTGCAGTCACTCTCAATTCCCACCAACAACCCAGGCAACTAACTGATTACCACCATTTGACTTTCTTTCTCTATAAAGTTGCCTATTTTGAACACAGAAATGAATTCATATAATTTGTTCCCTTTTGTATCTGGCTTCTTTCAATGAGTATAATGTTTCTGAGGCTCATCCATATAATAGCATACATCACTACTTTGTGAATTTGTATTTTGCAGTTTAAATCTTCTAGAGCAGTATAATCAGGTTTAGTAAGAATCTATTGGAGGGCAGGCACAGTGGCTCATGCCTGTAATCCCAGCACTTTGGGAGGTATAGGCAGGAGGATCGTCTGAGCCCAGGAATTTGAGATGAGCCTGGGCGATATAGTGAGACCCTGTCTCTACAAAAGATACAAAAACTAGCCAGGCATGGAGGTGCCTGCCTGTAGTCCCAGCTAATTGGGAAGCTGAGGCAGAAGGATTGCTTGAGCCTGGGAGGTTGAGGCTGCAGGGAGCTGAGATTGTACCACAGTACTCCAGCCTGAGCAACAGAGGGAAATCCTATCTCAAAAAGGGGAAGAAGAAAAAAGAATCTACTGGAATATTTCACAATTTTCTGAGTGTACTACCTATACCAACCTGAGTGTGTTAAATAAGGGCAACAGCTAGAGATGAGGAAAGAAAATGTCTCGATGTCCACCATAAGCAGCTGCTCAGACTTCCTGGGCATGCCACTCATGCTTTTGGGTTACATTGCATTCTTGCTGCTAATTTTGCAACTATATTCAAAAGGAATATTTGGTCAGATTAAATTGGCCCCTTGACTTTGTCCCTGAATGCTGGCCATCCTCTTTTTGTGTGCTGTGGCTTTGCTTACTTGAACAGGGTTCTAGGAACAAAAGCTCTGCAGCCTTCAAACTCTTTGCTAGTTCTCCAGTATGTGCCCATTCCCACACCTAAATCAACCCGTGGATACTTCCTGTTATTTTGTTTGTATTGACTTTTTTCTTCCTTTTTAATAGCTACCTGCTAATATTTAGGAAAAAGAATAATTGAAACAGGGAGGTATCATTAGATTTGTTAAGCAAATCTCCTCCCATCTTAGGATACATGCTGGGCCTGCCAAGGTGACTCTCATCTAAAATCTCTGCACAAAGACTCTTCTCTTCTTTGTGGCTCTTCTCCCACTCAGCTGTCTCAATACAGCATTGGCCTTGTTTATTCAGACGCTGATCCTTGGCAATGGAGAAAGCTTGTTATATGGAAAGAACATAGGTTTTGGGCTGGGCATGTTGGCCCATGCCTGTAATCCTAGCACTTTGGGAGGTTGAGGTGGGTGGATTGCCTGAGCCCAGGAGTTCAAGATCAGCCTGGGCAATATGGCAAAAACCCATCCCTACAAAAAGTAAAAAAATAAAAAATTAGCCAGGTGTGGTGGCATGTGCCTGTAGTTCCAGCTACTTGGGAGGCTGAGCTGGGAGGATCTCTTGAGCTCAGGAAGTGGAAGTTGCAGTGAGCCGATATTGTGCCACTGCACTCCAGCCTGGGTGACAGAGTGAGACCCCGTCTCAAAAATAAATACATAAATAATAAATACGAGTATAGGTTTTGGAATTGGACAGACGTGAAACTGAATCTTAGCTCTGTCACTGTCTGTGTGACTGGGAAAATTTTTGCAAAATTCTGACCCCAGTTTTTTCGTTTATAAAGCAGGTGTTGGTTATACTTGCCTTATAGTTGTCGTCAGGATTAAATGAGATGTTTGTAAAGTATATTACAAGCACATAGCAGAAGCTGCATAAATAGCAGTTATAAAGTGTATCAGCCTACCACCCTGAACTCTTGCCTTAGTTCTTCTTTCCAGTCACACAATTACTATTTCATCAAGGCTGTTCTTAGTCCAGGGCTTTCAGGCTCAGTAGCCTCCTAAGCCCAGCACAGTCATGGTCAGAAATTCCAATGACAGGTTGAAATAGTTGCAAATAATTTATTAAAAGAGAGTAAGAACTTGTTTGGGGCCTGTTTAATTCTAGAAGATCAATTCCCTATTGGAGAGCCCTCCTACCAGCCTCTTGTGACTTGATGAAAATATCCAACCACAGGTGGCTTCCTTGGATATGTCCGGTGTGGTCACACAGGGCCCAGCACTCAGAAGGGCCCTGAGCTTGGTTTAATGCTTTGTTGTTGCCATCTTGAAACTTGTAATAGTTCTATCTTCGAACTTGTGTTTGGTACATGAAGTCTAATTGGATAAGAGTCTGTGCATGAGCTGAGGAGATACTTGCAATATGCATGTCCACATTTGCAATATCACATGATCCCAGTATTTCTAGTGTACCCACAATGAGTGGGACTTCAGTGAGATGCAAAGCAAGTACAAGGTAAGTGTATGACATCAATGACCGACAACCCTAAGAAGACATCACTTTCCATTTGATCCAGATCTTGCTTCTCATATAGAAAGAAGGCAGTGGTGTTTCTAAGAAACAAACAGCCAAGGAACTCTATCTATTGTATCTTTCTTATGTTACGTCCCTATATTAGCTAATCACTTTCATTGAAAGGATTCATCCCATTCCATTCAAAGAATGAAAGGGAAAGATAGGGCAACCTGGAGTTGTTTTACCTTTCACTCCTTCCATTCTCATCAATAAACCAAAGGTAGAAAGTGTTGTTAGAATGTGCACATATCAAGAAATAAAATAAAAAGAATTGTGTATTTTTTTGAATTATGTAGCATTTCCACTGTTCCGATAAGAACAAAATGCCTGCGTGTATAAGCTACGAAGTAAGTATTGTCTAATTTTAATAATCCTGCATACTACTTAAATGCTTTTATAGTGCAAAATATAAAGATGAACAGTAAAAATTCACACTGATAATTTAAAATGTCATTTTTTTTCTTCTTTTAGAATGACATTAAATAGCAAATAAAAAGCATCTCATGACAAGTTAAGGGAGAGACCATGGAATAAAGGAAAAAGTGCCTTTAATGGCACCTTTTTTCTTGCTTTTTGAACAAGGGCCTTGCATTTTCTTTTTGCGCTCAGCCCCACAAATCATGTAGCCAGTTTTGCATGTAACTCTGTTCTCTTTTCTGCAGTCCCTGGGCAACTGCCAGGGGATGACTTTGGCTTTTTTAAGAGATAATAGAATAGATGTGTTCTCAGAGAAGGAAGGCCCTATGCAGATGAACTTCCTTCCTTTTGTAATGAAAAACCTCATTATTAAACCAGAAAATAGAAGCCAACTGGTTTGAGGCTTTCCCCTTGTCCCCTCAGCTTATGTAAATACTTGAGGTGTTATTTTTCCATGGCTCTGGGAAGTCCGATGACCCAACATACTTTTGCATAAACATAAATGATATATTTATCTTGAGGTTCCTCTTTCTGCAAGTTTAGAACTAACATTTGGGTGGGGGCTGTGGGTTTCTTTTTTTTTTTTTTGAGATGGAGTCTCACTCCGTCGCCCAGTCCAGAGTGCAGTGGCACAATCTGGGCTCACTGCAAGCTCTGCCTCCTGGGTTCAAGCCATTCTCCTACCCCAGCCTCCTGAGTAGCTGGGACTACAGGTGCCTGCCACCACGCCAGCTAATTTTTTGTATTTTTAGTAGAGATGGGGTTTCACCATGTTAGCCAGAATTGTCTCGATCTCCTGACCTCGTGATCCGCGCACCTTGGCCTCCCAAAGTGCTGAGATTACAAGCATGAGCCACCGCGCCTAGCCTGGGTGGGGGCTGTTTTTAAATCTTATCTCAAGTTCATGTCGGCTTTGGAGATTTCATTAAACACGACAAGCGAGAATTTGGGATGAAGCTGATGTGCACTGAAAGCTGATGGTGTGCACACGGGAATCATAGATTATATGGCACTGGTCACAGAGATTACATAGGTCAACTTTCCACCTTGACTCAAGAATAAAGGCAAGAAATTGTCAAAGGCAATTTTTTGTTTTTAGTTAAGACACAAAGTGATATTCTGGGAGAAAGAAAGCCAATATGAGTCTCAAAGTTTCTAGAAATTGTTTTGGGAAAAGATTTGGAAAATTAAATCATGGGGCATAAAATGCAATATTAATAGAAAAAGAATGAAACTTCAATATGACCAAGGAGCTTTTAGATTATGCTGCAGTCTCTCTCCACAGCACATCATTCCCCTGGTTGTCCAAGCCAAATTCCTGGGAGTCAGCCTAGACTGTCTCCTTCACCTCCAGTCAATCACTACTTTTACTGTTTCCTACAAAACAAATTTTGCACCCCTCTGCTCTAGCACATCTGTTGCTCTGGCCCTCTTTTTCTAACCTACGTGATAGTCACAGCAACCAACCACCCTCCCTACCACCAGCCAGTCTCTCCTACCCTAAAGTGATTTTTTTACACAACCACCAGGAGAATCTATCTGAAGCACAAACCTGGATATGTTGCTTGATTAAGCACTTCAGTGGCTTTCAGTTGTTATAAGATGAAGCTCCTGATTATGGCACCAAGGCCTGCTAGGGTCTCACCCTCTCTGGACTGACATGATTTTCCAGTAAAGAGAATTTTATTCTGCAAATATACTAAATTGCTTGTAATTTCTTGAACACATGTTATTGTCTTATGCCTCTGCACATTTTCTATCAGTCTAAAGTCATTTTCTTCATTCCCCAGCACATCCTCTCTGTGTCTAATTTTCCAACTCCATCTCCTTTTGCTCTTCTTTCTGTTCCCTCTTGCCTTCTCAAACTTCCTCCTCTTCCTGAGAGGTACTATTTATTAAATGCTTACTATGTAATTATGCTGTGCTTAAGATTTCACACATTTAAGTGAGCCGAGATCACGCCACTGCACTCCAGCCTGGGTGACAGAGCAAGACTCTGTCTCAAAAAAAAAAAAAAAAAAGATTTCACGCATTTAATCCTCACGATAAGTTTATAGGTTCAAGTTTATTATATTTTACTGTTATTCCCATTATTTAAGTATTAAAAATGGGTTGGAGAGTTTGAGTGACTTAACAAAGCCTACTAATTCTTACCTGAATTTGAACTCAGCTTTTCATGACTCCACATGTCACTGTCTTAATATCTGTGTGCTTATCCTCCAGTAAAATTTCCCTGAATGTTTCCCTTTGCCAAGTATGGCAGTTACTTTCCAGGATGATAAGCAGATCTGTATCCTCTGCTTCTTGGGCCATAGCTAGACTATTTTCCCACCCCTTGAGATAGGCAAGGAACTGTGATTGAATTCTGGCAGATGAAATGTGGGAAGGATGAATGCATGCCACTTTCAGGAATGGCCTCTAGAGTCTCCTGGATCATCTGCCACACACTCCCTCTTTTTGCAGAGAATTTGGAAGCCCTGAATATGGTGGTACGATGAGATGTAAGGAGCCTAGGATCCTGAATGACCATGTGGAGCAGCAGAGCCTTGCCCTTCACCCTGGGAACAAGTGATGGGATGTTTTGTTTTAGAGAGCTCCTAAGATTTCTAGGATCGTCAGTTAAAACTGCTAGTGTTACCTTCCCTAACACACAGACTTAGTGCCTATTAGTTCTAATGTTACTTTCATATTATATGGAAGTTATGTCTTTATGCATCTATCTCTTCCAGTACGTTACTGGGGAAATTTCACAAAGAGAGACACTTTTCCCCCTAACCTGTATGTTGGTCAAGAGAGACACATTTTTCTGATCAAAGATTGTGTTTGGTATACCAAGTGTTCAATAAATGTTTTTTGACCTAGAAACATATCAGTAGTAAATACCAATACTAATAATTAACATGTATTGGGTGCTTATATGAGAAAGGCACCGGCACTTACACTCATTGCTTTATATAATCCTCATAATTCACAAATGTTACTTAAGTGCTTACCATATATTGGTTTCTGTAGGATGCAGTGGGTATACATTAGTGAACAAGACAGATAAAAGTTCCTGTCTTCATAAAGCATAAATAATAGGTGAAATGATCAGATAAAGAAGTGAGAAAAAAATTAGAATATTAGGTGGTGAAAAGTGCATTGGAGAAACATGAAGTAGAGTAGGATGAAGGAGGCTGATAAGGGTTGGGGCATGTTGCTATTCTAAACATGTGGCAACAGAAGACCTCCTAAAAAAGACAGCATTTGAACAGGCACTGAAGGTTATGAGGTCGCAGACAGTGGCTGCCAGGGGAAGAGCATTACAGCCAGAGAGAATGGCAAGTTCAAAAGCTTGGAAGAAGAAATGTGCTCATAGCAGCTGTACAAGGTAGGTGTTATCTTCATTTTGCACAGAAGGAAATAAAACCCCGAAAATGTAAGTAACTTGTCTAAGGGCTTATACTAATAAGTGTGACATTGTGGACTTGAACTAAATTCTCTTGAATTTAAAAATCTATATTCTGTTTTGATACACTCCCTCTGTCTGCAGCTTTTAGTAATTACACTAAAAGAATACACACACACACACACACACACACACACACACACACACACACCATTCTAAAAGAAACATGGTGGTAGATACTGAAGAGTAACTGTTTAATTGCAATTTAAGCTCTTTCTAGAGTGACTTCTTGTGACTTCTTGTTCAATAGGAAGTAGAAGGGTAAAGCAAGGGTCTTTGCATATAGCCTCTTTTCCACTAAACAGACCACCTAGAAGACTCAGAAGTGAGCTTGAATCTACTGAAGTCATAACTGTGTGGCTCTTTTGGAAGCTGGGTGATGCAAGTGGATATTTTGCTTCTTCTGAGCTATGGCCTTTGGTCAGTCTAATCTTGTAGTACCGAGTGGCAGTTATGCAGCTTTCTGACTTGAGAACTTTTGCAGTAGCAGCAGAGGCCCCATGGATCTTGAGTCAGCTGTGGTGACAGTGGCTGCCCTCTTGTTATGCCAATTTGGCAGTTTGCTTCTGGAAGTTGTTCCTACAGGCTCAGCCTAGAGCCTTACTCTCTAGTCTTTCCACTAATACCCTAAACAAATTCCTTTCTTCATAAATTAGTTAGGGTGGACTCTGTTGTCTGCCACTGAACCCTGACTGGTACAGCAACTGGCACAAAAATGGGTGAATATGATTCTCTTCTATGATTCCAAGCAGGCTTCCAGTTTACTTTCATTTGTGTGCGTATGGTCTGCTCACCTATTTTGTTCCCATGACCCAAAGTTCTTTTCTTTTTTTTTTTTTGAGAAGGAGTCTCGCTCTGTCACCCAGGCTGGAGTGCAGTGGCACGATCTTGGCTCACTACAAGCTCTGCCTCCCGGGTTCACGCCATTCTCCTGCCTCAGCCTCCCCAGTAGCTGGAACTACAACAATTTTTTGTATTTTTTAGTAGAGACGGGGTTTCACCGTGTTAGCCAGGATTGTCTCGATCTGCTGACCTTGTGATCCGCCCACCTCGGCCTCCCAAAGCGCTGGGATTACAGGCATGAGCCACCGCTCCTGGCCGCAAAGTTGTTTTCAGTCATAGTATTGTCATTACCATTTTCTCATTATTGTAGCCATGCCTTCTTTTGTCTCTGCTACTCTGAGACTCCATCATTATCAGGGAGCCTACTTGTGAGGCAATGTCTTCACCTTTGTCCTTGACCTATTTCTGTTATACTTTCCAAAGGTGCTGATACTTTTATCACTAATGTATTTTTCAACGTTCTGTGGAAATACCCTTTTAAGAGATATAGGGTACATGTGAATGGAACATGTGTGATATATCGATATATCCACTGCCACAATCCCATCTCTATAAATCTTTGAATTCTTCCCCTACGTTATACCAAGGACTTGTTATTATCTCAACTTTATTTTTCCAAGGCCATTGTTGCCTACAGATTTTGATCTACCAAGAGAGAAACTAATTAGAATCACTCCCAGCTGCTTGATCTAGTCCACTGAGTCGAGAGTCTCTTCCAAGTGTATCTGTACCAATTCATTTAGCCTCAAACAGAATTATATTCCTCTATCCTTGGTCTACTATTCTTAGCAAAATATACAGATTTCTGCTGTTAAAATTAATAATTAAAGAAATTCTATTAAATCTAATTCTTCCTTTTTGGGGATTTATTGTGCAATCGGGTGTCTGCAACATGTTGGGATAGTATATTAAATTGTTGCTTCTATTCTTTTAAGGAAGAAGCCCAACATTTGACAGGCCTCTGGATCTTGGAAGCAACAGATGTCACATTTGGTTGCTTGTTCTGACTCAATAACTGGATAACTCACAAACCTATCATCCTTGAGTGGACCCCTGAGCAAGCAAGGGGTCTTTAGCTTGTCTAAGCTACAGTGCAAGCAGCACTGACCTTAGCTTTTAGGATCCAGCATATCCAAAGAGCCCAAAACTGTCATGGCTGGTCAGAATGTTGTGTAAAGGCTACAGCAAGGCTCTACAGGAGAATCACAGTTGAGAACCATAAAATTTTGGAGCAAAACTATGTTCTCTTCAAGTAACTTTTCTTTTTCACTGAACACTTGAACATGGCCCACCAGAGACCTGAGCTGTTCCCCATGAACTGGAAGCTGTCTGATCCACAAAGCAAAAATTCATAATATATTGAGGATTATTCCATCATTAAGTGGAAGTGATTTGCAGGAGGTCTCACTCCAGAATGGTCTGAAAGCAATGGTAAGTTGAATAAACAATGAATAGCTCATATTCTGCTGCTCTTTTACCTCTCTGTTTCAACCAGCAACTATGACCTGGTGGTGAGTTCCCTATGACCAACTGACAGAGGAGGAAAAAACAGTCTATCCTGGTTTAAATATGCCCTCACATCAGCTGAGGGTGACAATTGCAGCACCTCAACCACATTCAGGAATCCCTGGAGGATTGTGACAGAGATGGGTATTCCCAGTGGTCCACTTTGACTGGAAGATGAGATGTCCAGAGGTGAGGCTTTACTCTGATTCATGAGCAGTGGCTAGTGTTTGGAGCTGTATGGTCAGGAATTTGGAAAGAATAAAACTGCAAGATTAGGCAAGAATCATATTGTTGGACCTCTTTGAATGGATCCAGAGTATGAGAATATTTGTGTCTTATGAGAATACTCACCCAAGGCCTTACTGAGGAAGATCTCAGGAATCAGGAGGCTGTGATCATCTGCTCTGGCTGAATGTCAGGCAGCCTCTTTCTCCAGTTACTCCAGCAATTGCTCAAAGGGCTCATTAATGAAGCGGCCTTGGTGGAAGGTGCAGAGTTTATGGAAGGATTCAGTAACATAAGGATGTACTCACCCAGGCCAGTCTGACCACTGCTAAGTGCCCAATTGACATACACAGAGGCCAAACCTGAGCCTCTGATGGAGTCAGCTCCTCAGGGGCCTGTGTACTCTGTGGTTGTGGATTATTTGCATTGGATCCTTTCCATCATGGAGAGGGCAATGATTTTCCTTACTGAAATAGTTGATTCATTCATTCAAAAATATCGATTAAACACCTACTATGTACCAGGCAGAGTTCTAGGTACTTGGGGTATATCAATGAACAAAGAGAACACAGTTTGTTGCCCTTAAGAAATCTAGTTTTTAGAGAGATGATATGCAGTAAGTGTAGTAAATCGGCAACGTTTGTTTCAAAGTATGTTTGAAAGTGATAAGCGCTATGGAAAGAAAGCAAATCAGGGTAATGGAGACTGGAGGTGCCAAAGATGGGGGGAAGTAGTTTCCAGATTTACATGTGCCTCAAAGCCTTGAGTCACCAGGGCAGACCTCAAAGCCTTGGTGGATATCAGGGAGGAAGAGCATTCTAAGCAGAGAGCAGCCCATGCAAAGGCCTCAAACAGGCATTTACCTGATGTGTGCAAGAAGCAGTGCAGAAGGCAGCGCTTCCTCAGTGAAGTGCTAAGGGGAAGAATGGCAGAAGACTGGAGGCAATGGGAGCGATCAGGTGGAGGCTTGTGGGCACTTAGGGCATCTGGCTTTCACTGTAAGAGAGATGGGGAGGCACTGCAGGGTTTTGAGCACAGTGACCGCAGTGCTGAGAATGGGCTGTGGGGACGAAAGGGAAAAAGAAGGGAGACACGAAGCCACCACTGTAACGGAAGTGAGCAGCACCTCAGACAAGAGTAGAATAATGGAGTGGTATAACGAGGTGGTCTTCTGGGTGTAGATATTTTAACTCTTTATTATGGAAAATTAAAACTTGCAAAAGTAAAGAATAGTATAAGCCTCCTCTTCTTCCCATAATGTACCCTTCACTCAGCTCCAGAAATGGTGCACATATGACTGATCCTGCTACATCTATACCTACCCACTTCCTACCCACCCTCACCTCATCGGGTTATTTCAAACCAAATCACATCATTTCATCTACTAATTTCATGTACGCCGAATTTACGTTAATAAGCTTTAATCTAATACTTCAGTATAAGCGCTGAAAGTGAATATCCTTTTGCTTTTATAAAAACATCACTACAATAAACTATCACTTATATCCAAAACACACAACAATTTCTTAATATTAGTATACAAATTTTTCTTAGTATTTCGTAGGTAGTTTTATTTTTTCTTAATTTGAGTCAGGATCCAAACAAGACCCACACATTCCTTTTGGTCGACATGTCTCGTCTCATTTAATTTATATGTCTTCTATTTTTCTTTTTCTCTTTTTTTGGGGGTGATACATGTGACAAATTCATACACTCATATAATTTGTAAAGATCAAATCAGCGTAGTTGGGATATCTGTCACCTTAAATATTCGTCTTTTCTTTATGTTGAAAATATTCTAATTACTTTTCTTCATTTTTCTTTTCTTCTCTCTCCCTTTCTTCCTCCCTCTCTTCTTTTTATTTCATTTTTTTCCCATTTATTTGTTATAGAAGCCAGGTGATTTGCCCTATAGAACTTTTTCTCAGTTTATGTTTTGCTGGTTGCAATCCCATAATGTTATTTAAACAAATTCCTTTTCTCCATGCATTTTCTATAAAACAAGTATTCAGTTAGAAAGACTTGAATGGATTCAGTTTTAACACTTGGGGCATGGATAATTTGTAGGTGGTATTGTACACTTCCATCAGGAGACCTCTAATATTTGGCTGCTGGTTTTTGTCAATTATTTAACCAGTAGGTGTATCATGAAATATCCATACAAATTTGTGGCTTCCTATTTCTTTTATTCCTTCTTCATTTATTGCAAGAATTATTCTCATATAAACTAATTAGTAACTCAAAGACACAGTTCCTACAAGAAAAGCAACCTTATTTCCTTTGAGAAGGGAATGGTATTTAGAGAATAAAACCTCTCTGCAAGGAGTGCTTATTGCTAAGGGGTTGGTAATTATTTCAGTGAACAGACGTAGGAAATATTTATCTTTTTTTAAAGGCAGAGTTTATTATGAGTTTATACTAATATTTTAAGTTCAAATTTAGTTTTGGAGAGTTGGTACTTAAGTTTTTAATTTTATATTTGTGTCTCTTTTCTCTAATGTTGCAAATCTTTGTCACTAATGACATTAACATAATTATCATTTGCTTTTGGAAGCGCAGCCTAGAGCTTGCATCTCCAGCTCTTCTGATGTCCTCTTTTAAATTCCTCTCTCTGTAAACCATTCCAGATGGGTTCTTTAATCTGCAACTGAATCCTGACAGTGTAAGCTGTGCAGGCAGAAGTGAAGGGGCTTTTCATTGTTTGCACAGTGCCTGTGCAGCCACTCACAGTTAAACAAACTGATGCAAGTGAGTCTCCAGTGAGACAATGGTTGTAGATGTATTAAGCAGAGATCCAGGTCACCCAGTCTTTTTCATCTCTGCAAATCCCAATTCACCAAAATTTGTGCTTCTGTTTTTCATAACAGTCCTTCTCTCTCTTTATCCCCCTTCTCTAAAGCAGACCCTAGGGAATACATTAGGTCAGGCCCACAGCAAATACTACAGGGTCTTCTCTTAACTGTGGATCCTGGTCATTTTAGTGAAGTCTTTCAGAGGCCATTCCATCCCAACATCAGAGTAGACGAATGAGTATTCCTGGGAGTGAATGCATATGCATGAGAAGAATTAGAAAGCTGGAATGAGTTGATCATTCCAGGGGCCGCAAGGACTGCACTGGGCCTGGGACTTTGGACAAGGGAGAAATCACATGAGTAGGACGTTCTCGTAACTTTTCATTCTCTTAACTTTCTTCATCCTTAGAGCTGATCTTTCCAGCTGAGTTATCTGGGTGTTGTGTCTTTACCTCAGAGTAGACAACTGAGACATCCTGAAATGGAAGAAAGAAGTGGAAACCGAGAGGGAGTGTGAGGCTGCAGGTAATGGTGGAGATAAAACTGTGGGGAAATGAAACTCACCTTATCCTCTAGAAGTGTCCTGGAGGTATTAGCTGTGGACAGAAAGAGAATCACTGGACTATGGGCATAATGATGCACTTAGAACTCAGTCTGTTAGCTGATGCCCTAGAGTCTGAGAGCCACTGGGCCCTGTCCACCTCATCCCCTCCACCTCATCCCCTAACATGTCCTGCAATACATATGACTTTCTGTTCTACCATTTCTTAACCCAGCCCTCTGCAAGTTCTTTTCAAGCTCCATTGATCCGTAAAGTCCTCCATCAATACCACACTAAGAAACCTCACACCCTTCCTCTACCAGATATTGAGAGATAATTTTTTTCTTAGTTTTAGTTCTTGCTTCTCTTAACTTACAATACTGTCATCTCACCACCCCCGATTGTTTGGCAAGTTCCCATTAGAGTACTCCATATGCATGCCCTGTGAGAAAAACTCTCTCCTACATTAACAAGTTCTAGTTCTTGATTTTTATTGCCATGATTTCCTAGAGTTGGAGCCAGAGTGAGAGGTAAGTTTAGCAGATGTGATTTGGTGAACCATGCATATTAGAAATTAAGAGTCTCAGAGTAAAAGGTAGAATTATCAGAGCAGCAGAGCAATTTTATGGAGAGAGAGAGCCTGAAAAACAGATACACTCTGGGGCACTTGAGGTTTCTCTCTGTTTCTTACTGTATTGTTACCATATTCTTACCCCAAACCTTTAGGGGTTACAGATATTTTTAATAATATGATGGAAGCTATGTACTCTCCCCAGAATAATGGTCATATGTACAAAACTTTGCATATGATTTCAGGGGCTTCATGTAAACCTTAAGGAACAGGTGAAGAAACCATTCTACAAATCATTAATAATTCAAGTGTCTGAAATGTAACTAGTCCATCAACAGAATGCTTGGCTTAAATGGTGTTTTGATAAATATGTCAAGGAAAGAGTATGAAGAAAAGCAAAATTATCAAGACAGCTTTATAAGATAAGATGTACTCAATCAACCCAAGAAAGGTAGTGGCCATTCTAATGCTGCCATTCAAAGGGGATCCTGATTAATGGAGGTGGCTCAGGGAACAAAGTGAAAGACAAAACAAGTGATCAGGTGATATATGTTGGTCAAATATAGTAATAGGCTGTGCATGCAGAAAATATAGCAAGACAGAAGACTTGGTCTTAGCTTTGTCCTTTACTGGCTTTGTGACCTTGAGAAAGTCCTTCTCTGAGTCTTATGTGTAATACTTCATTTTCATAGAACACCTTCAGCATCAGGTTACAACTAAAATTCCTAGATTTTAACTTCCCAAGTGAGGTGCCATGGGTGGATTTATACAAGAAATAGAGAGAATTGCTTGTTTCCTTGACTCTAAGAACCCAGGTTAATCAACCAAAGCAAGGAAGTGTGGGGAGGAAAAAAATAAGAAGATTGGTTGAAGCGATGTCTTTAGAAAGATGGATCAGTTTATGTCCAATGTGTCTCTGCTTTAGCTTTCTGAGGTGAGAGTAGCAGGTTATAGCCCCCAGCCTGGTGAAGGAGATCTCAGAAATTCCTCTTGAACTTCTGAAGTGATTTTGAAGTGATTTCCCTGATACTGGGATATAGAGCTCCCACCTCAGAAAGCCAAAGTGGACCATAGGTTGCAGTTACCTAGAGAGGTATTTTTCTAACAAAAGATCTCAATTTGTTAGTGGGTCTTGAAATGGGGTCTGAATAGGATTAAAGAAGTGAAGTAGAACTTCAAGAAACAATTCAGCTTATTGTGGCCAAAACGGACTAACAGGGACTGGATTTATCTTCCCATTTTAAACAATGAGAAAAAAGGACAAAACAGTGGTTTTCAGATATTGCACCAGTTTACCACTAAGCTGTGCATGGACTTGGGAGTTTAGAAAGAGCCTGGCTTCTGGCTTGAGGCCTTGCTGACTTGAAGTGACAGAGACCAACAGTTCTGTTTTACTGAAGCAGCTAGAATTTGTAGGACAGTACCAGAGAGACAGGAGGAAAACAGATCGAAAGCTCCAGAAGTCTGCAGAGAGTTCTCCTCAGGTCTTAGGCTGAATACTGATAGGCATATTTGTAAGATGAAAGTATCTTAGGCCGGGGTAAGAACTACCAGAAAAGAACAGGCAGAATAATACCAGAAGCTGATGCAGATTTTGTAATTAATGGACCATCTGATGTAGAGTCCCCAGAAATGCATTGCTTTACTATCAGGCTAGATTAACCCTACTCTAAAGGTTGCTCGAGACTTACCCTAACAAAGCTTAAATAAAAGCAAGCCTCAAAAGGATCCAACTCATTCCAAATAACTTACCTTGCTCCAATATAAAATTTAAAATCTGACAGTAATTAGAGGAATATAATACTGTAAAAATCACATTTTCTAGCACTTAATTAAAATGCCATGCATATACATATATGTGTATGTATACATATATATATGTATATATATTCTCAGCACAATGCTTACCACATAGTAGACATTTTACAAACATTTATTCATTCAGACCTAAGGGAGACCTTAGTACATACACTATAATGATCACAATATCTATCAGAAGGATGCTTAATTTTCATCCTGATCATCAGCAAAAGTATACTGTGTGTATTTCAGTGCCTATCTTCCCTCCTTAGAATCTAAGCTCTCCACTGCAGGGATTTTTGTCTGCCTTGTTTACTGATTGACTTCCCATACTTACAAGAATACCTAGCACATAGGAGGTGCTCAGTAAATATTTGTTGAATGAATGAATATAGTTTGCAGCCAGAATCTCTTCCCAAAGACGTACCTTCCTCTTCTTCTCCCAGCTGAGTAGTCTGGATCTCAGAGTATACCAAATCTCCCTTTTTGGGGTGTACTGGAAAGAAAAGACATTTTCAAGGCTGTTCCTGTTAGTATTAAAGTGCTACAGATGCCTCTTCCTAAGCATCATCTCCACTCTTCTTGGACACATAATGGAACAATTATCTGGGAATATCTGGATTTGGGACACTTTAGGGAGTCCAGGGGCATTTCCCAGGGCTGAAAGCGCATTATCTTTCCATGGCTGAGGCCAGGAACAGCTTCCTAGAAGGGAATCCTCACCATCAACATACAACGACTGAAGCTCCACCTGGGCAGGGCAGATGGAATGGGAGGACTCTCCTGGGCCTGGAGCGGGAGGGAGCCTGTGAGACACAGAAACACATAATAATCCCTGGAACACTGTAACATGCGGGAGAGTGAGATACCCAGGGAGAGCGGCAGAGGAGAAAGAGGATTTGGAGAAAGTCAGCAGCCAGTAGGGAACTGGAAAGCCTGAATGGTTTAATCAGAGTTTCAATAGGTCTATATAGAGTGAGACTGTTCTTTTTAAAAAAACCCTGGAGCTGTGGTATGGACAGGCTGCCTGGAAACAAGGTTAGGGAGTCTCTGACATCATCGTAACAATCATCGTCTCATAGTCAGAATGATTACTCTTGTTTGGTTAAAAAATACTGGCTTTCCAGCCTGGGCAACATAGTGAGACCTTGTCTCTACACAGAATAAAATAAAGTTGGCCAGGCATGGTGACATGCACCTGTAGTCCTAGATACTTGGGAGGCTGAGGTGGGAGGATTGCTTAAGCCTGGCAGGTCAAGACTGCAGGAAACTGAGATGATGCCATTGCACTCCAGCCTGGGTGACAGAGCCAGATCCTGTCTCAAATATATACATAATGGCTTCTTCATCATCAGGAAGTAGTGATTAAATGTCTTTACTTTACTGTTGGCCTGGTGCAGTGGCTCACACCTGTAATCCCAGCACTTTGGGAGGCCGAGGCGGGCAGATCACTTGAAGCCAGGAGTTTGAGACCAGCCCAGCCAACATTGTGAAACCTGGTCTCTACTAAAAATACAAAAATTAGCTAGATGTGGTGGCTCATGCCTGTAATCCCAGCTACTTTGGAAGCTGAGGCACAAGACTCACTTGAACCTGGGAGGCGGAGGTTGCCATGAGCTAAGATCGTGCCACTGCACTCCAGCCTGGGTGACAATACATACATACATACATACATACATACATACATACATACATACATACATAAAATGTCTTTACATTGTAATGTCTGTACAATCCAAGAAGGAATTAGACATAATCCACACTCTTATTCCTTACCTAAGACTGAGACACTGACATAGAAGGAGGAAGATGACAGTATTTTCCAAATGGAAGTTAAGCACATAACGTTTAATGAGTATATATGCGTGTATGGTGCAAAAAGAAGATTATTAGAAACATAGAGTTCTCTGGAAAACCTAGAACATTTGTAGAAAATCTAGACTCTAGTCATTGTATGCATAATTATAGTAACACATTGTCTAACTTAATTATAGTACAAGAAATATTCTGTACTTTATAACCTTTGGTATTATCCATTTAGATGAGTAGGTTAAGATCAAATAAGAAATCTATTATTTTGCATGTATTGCAAACTATTAGCTGACAAGCAAAGTTCTAGGAAGCTTCATTTTTGACAAATTCATGGAGTGTGAAAATGGAAGTATCTAGCCACAGGGCCAAAGAGGTATAACTTGACCTAATTTCATAACCCCACAGTTTTGCATATTGTGTACTCGGGAAACTAAAAAGGAATGGCAGAAACTGAGGTCTCACCTGGTTTCGTCTCCCAAGAAACCAACTCCTGCAAAATAAAGCAAAGACGCATTTTTGTCAGCAGAGGGAGCTCTTTCTCAATGACTTCATGTAACAGGAGCTATCTAAGAGAGGTAATCAAGACAGTCAATTCAAACACCTGCCCAGTCCTGGGTTTTCATGAAAATGAGGTGAAAAAAAGATTGTACAAAGCATATAACTTTTTGAGGCCAGGACTGCACACTCCTGAGTTAAGTATGTAATTGTCTGAGAATTTATTAAGACTCAAGTCTGTGTTGAAATCCCTCAGGAAACATTACATATAACAAAAGTGTCACTTGGAGAGTAGTGAGCTGTGGGTGAACTTCGAGGAACATCTGTGGCCATGCCCAGAGGAGCACTGGGCTCTGACTCAGCCCCACTAAGGAGAATTGGTCAGAGGTCCAAAGCTCCCTACCTCCAGTTCAATGCAGGACACACAGAAGGTGCTGTCAGGAATCTGGAAAGTTGAATTGAATTAAGAGACAGAGTTGAAGGATGTGGGTAATTATTCTAGAGCTGAAAAAGGTTCTGCTCCTGTCTTCTACACCAGGTTTCTTGGCATCTAAAGCCAGCCTGAGGTGGGCTGAGGCAAGAAGTCTTTGGAAGCACGCAGCAAACAGTGCCTGGGACAGACCATCTCCAAGAGGCAGGGGAGGCTGACCTGAGGAGAGAGGGGCCACTGGAGCACCAGATGGCAGGCTCAAGCCTGCTCAGAAAAGCCCCTGAAAAGCCAGACCCAGAAAAGCCCCTGAGGGGACAGAAGGATAAAATTAGCCAGCTCTTATTCTCAATCATTTCTGCAGAGCCTTTAGTTCATTCTGAATCTCCATTTATGGTGGATTTAGGATAGGCTGAAGTATCTAACTGGCCAGTCTATATGAACCAAAGAAACTGCCTAAGTAAACTGTTCAGATAAAGTTTTTGGAACTTTACATTAAAAATTTCACTCTTCCTCCCCTTCACTGAGACTTAGCCAATCAGACTAGATATGAGCAGCTCTCATTCATGGCTTCTGTTTGCAAAACTGCCCCTTAAGGAAGGGACGGACGTGAGTGTGTGTGAACGCTGGGAGTGGAGACTTGGGAGTGGAGACTTGGGAGTGGTGGCCTGGTGGCCACTAAGGCTGTCTGCATGCTGAGTTCAGGGGAAGGAACAGGGCAGGAACTGTGGCAAAGAAAAGAGCACAAACCTGACTTCCTCCGACGCCAGCAGTGAAACAGCAGGGCCACAGCCAGGAGAAGAGCACTGAGCAGCCCTCCAGTGGCTCCCGCGGCGACAAGGCCATCTCTGTTGCCTGGGGTCTCTAAGGGGAAAGGACCTGTGTGAATCTCAGTGGAGAGGTTCAGGGTTTGGGATTGCCTTTTCCTCAGCTTGGTTGGGTAACGAGCCCTGGAAGAGAGAAAAATCTAAAGGACTAGGTCTCATAAAGACATCTTGGGCCAGGTTTTGGCCAGAAAAGCTCACATTGGGTGGGCCAGGGCCTGAGTGCAAGAGGAAACAGCAGCTCCCTCTACCTTCAGTGAATCATTTTAGAAACTAACAATTTAGGGGAAATCCTAATGTTGTATTCTGGTAAGCTGGCTTCCTGCAAATTGCCCCCAGACACCTGGAGAGATACTGTGGGATCATGGCTTGGCAGCACCTAACTTAGGAACAGCAAACTGCCTGAGAGAGAATGAAAATTGCACCACTGATTATGGCACCAGTTGAACCAACAGTAACTCTGAGATTGCTCCGCATTGGGACACCACGATGAAATGGCATCAGCCTCCTTCCTCATAGAAGCCTGTGCCTGTGTGCTCTGAAGGGCAGGAGAGAAAAAAACGGATGGAAAAGTACACATAATCAATAAATTGTTAGGGGCTTTTGATATTTCCATGGGGTCCGTTCTCCTATCCTTTCATCCACGGAAAAGGAGGTTTCATTCAATTTACTTATTTATACAACAAATATTTACTGAGGCTGCCCTGTGCTGGGCATTGACCTAACCCTTGAAGACCCAAGAGTGAACAAGACGTTAAAGTCCCGGCTCTTGAGTTTATAACCCAGGGAGGGGAGACAAGCCATAAACAAATAAATAAATTTATACCGTGCCCTGTAGTGATGCGCTAAAGAGCAAAAAGCATGACAGAGGGACAGAGAGTGGAGAGTGGGGCGTGGTACTTTCCCATATGTATTCTTGGTCCCCAGGTAAACCAAATTCAGACCTCAGACACAGGTACCACAGAATTGACAGAGAACATGCAGGTAGTAGAACAACAGCAACACTGATCATGATTTCCGTTTATTTTCATCTATGATTTTGGGCACAGAGGAGCCATTGGCTAGGAGTGGCTGGTGACATTTCTGATATTATCCTTCCCTCCTCAACAATATCAACAAACCTGCCCTTTGACCTATGAGTGGTTCCACTAATAAACAGTATTCAGTGGACAGCCAGCCCAGCTTCCCAGCCACAACAGCTGAAAGAGTACGGTGGAGAGCAGGACAGAAATCTAAGGACAGAGAGGCTTGGCCACTACATCCTGTATTGAATCTTTCCCCATTGCCTGCTGGGGCATCCGCCGGTGCAAAATCAGAATCAGCCACACCCAGGCCTAGGATTCTAGACTCAAAGGGCAGAAAGCAAGTTACTCTACCTTCCTGGTAACCCTATTTCCTAAAAGAAATGGCTACTTTGGGGAAAGTAATTGAAATTTTGTCTCAGTTAGAAAGGCACAGATTCTAAATCCAGGTTGTTGGATTAGAATCCCAGCTCCTCAACTTACTCACTGTGTGGGCAGGGAAAATTATTTAATCTCCCTTTGCCTCAGTTTCCTATTTACTGTTGTAAATGAGTTAATACATGTAAAGTGCTTTGAACAGTGCCTGCCACTTAAGTGTTACGTCTAGGGAAATACTAGTTCATATTTTGTGGTCCTGACACCATGCCCTAGACTCTCAGGAAATTCAGGCTGCTCTCTGATTAGCTTAGAGGACACCTCCATAGGTTAAGCCTGCTCCCACACAGCCCTACCCCAGACATCCTCAGTCCATGCTATGGATTGATTTGTGCCCTTCTCCCCCAGATTCATACGCTGAAGCTCTAACCCCAATGTGATGGTATTTGGAGACAGGGCCTTTGAGAGGTAATCAGATTTAGATGAAATCATGAGGGTGGGGCCCCAAAGATAGGATTAGTGCCCTTCTAAGAAGAAACACCAGAAAGGTTGTGCTGCTCTCTCTCTCTGCCATGTAAGGACACAGCAAGCAGGTAGCCTTCTGTAAGCCAGAAAGAGAGCCCTCACAAGAATCCAAATTATATTAGTGCACTAATCCCAGACTTCCAGCCTCCAGAACTATGAGGAAATAGATTTCTGTTTTTTAAGCTCCCCAGTCCCTGGTGTTTGGTTATGGCAGTTCAAGCTGCCTGAGACAGCCCACCTTAGCCCAGTGCATGAGGCTACTGCAGAGTTTCTCTCTTTGCTATATATTCTCCTATTTCTAAGCACGGGGATTTTGCATAAAGTCCATGATTAAAAAATATTTAGGAGGGAATCCCTATTCCAGCAAACATCACTGGATCCTTGACGTTTGTTTAATCTTTGAGATCATCTGTTTCCTTAACAGATGTTGACACCTGCTTTCCAGGGCTGTCATGAGAATAAAATGAAATGATACATGTGAAGTGGCCAGTTCACTGCCTGGATCAGGAGAAGCTGATCCATTCTGATGATCTTAACCCCCAAAAGGAAGAGGAATAATTTATACTTACCAACAGATTCACTGTTATCTCCTCAGAGATTATAATCTTTGAACTTCCTGAGGTAAACTTTTCAGAATAAGAGCCTTCCTGCAGAAGAAACACCCTCTACCATCAGTGTTACTCTGGATTTCAGGGCATTCAGGAGTCTTTCGAGGGAGCCCTTGGCAGCTTGCAGTTTTGCTAATCCCTTCTTCCTCTCCCCTAATCTGATTCTTGAAATGCCATTGAGCCCTGGAATTCAAGACCAGACTGGGCAACGTAGTGAGAACCTTTCTCTATGAAAAATAAATTAAAAAAAAAATAGCTGGCCATGGTGGCACATGCCTGTAGTCCCAGCTATTTGAGAGGCTGAGGTGGGAGGATCGCTTGAACCCAGAAGGTCAAGGCTGCAGTGAGCCAAGATCACGCCACTGAACTCCACTCTGGACAACAGAGAGAGACCCCATCTTAAAAAAAAAAAAAAGTCATTGAAATGACATTAGCTCAGTCTCAGTCCTTCTCTGCTGGGAATTACACCCAGTGATGTTCCCAGACTGAGATGCAGATTGCTGTGGTACTTAGTTCTGGGGAAACACCTCAGTCTCTTAACCTGGTGGGCCCTGCTTGATCATAAGACTTGCCTCAAGGGAGTTGAAGGGAAAGTTGAGCCGCATCTGGGCCATTCGCATAGCAACCCCTTGCTGGAGCCTCTGACTAAACTGTTCAGGTTTATGGCTTTGACCGTCAGAGCTGACTTTGTATAAACAGTGCAGCTGTTTTTGGGGAGCAGTCCCCAAAATTTAGAAGTTGGAAATATTATAAGGATCTGGAAAGAAAACTTTAAAAAAGTATCTGCTGAATAGATAGAATACTAACAGGTTATGTCCCAGAAATTGAGCAGGAAAATGTTTCAAGAAGGAGGGAGGGATCAATTGTATCAAAAGCTGGAGGTAGGTCAAATCAAATGGGAACAGTTTTCCACTGGCCTTAGAAATATGGAGATCATTAGTAATTTTGGTGGAGTGAGGCAAGCCTGGTGGTGATGGGTTTAAGAAAAAATCAGGGAGGTAAGGAGAGTGAATTGAGGAGTTTTATTGTATAGAAAAGCAGGGAAATCTAGCTTTCCAGTAACTTAATAAAAGCTAGATTCTTCCTTTCTTTCCTCTTTCCTTTCTTTCCTTTCCTTTCTTTCCTTTCTTTCCTTCCTTTCCTTCCTTTCCCTCTTTCTTTCTTTCTCTTTCCTCCTTTCCTTCCTTCCTTCTCTCTTTCTTTCTCTCTCTCTTTCTTTCTTTCTTTCTTTCTTTCTTTCTTTCTTTCTTTCTTTCTTTCCTTCTTTCTTTCTTTCTTTCTTTCTTTCCTTTTTCAGAGAGACAGGAATACAACTAAACCTGAGATTGAGGAGGAATTGAAGCCCAGTAAAGACCACTTCCTTAGTGCCAAGGTAGCTGAGTGAGAACATAGCTTGGCCCAGTGTGGCTTCTCAGCGATGGAGGAAGAGATGTATATGAGCTAAACCTGTGATATCCCAAAGTAAGGCTTCTCTCCTCAATGGACAAAAGTGGGCTCTGTATCTGCTCTCCCTGCTTCTTGTGAGTTTCCTGACCCACATACAATTTGGCTGCTGAGAATCCCTCAGGATTCTATTATAGTAATGAAGTAAAGGAATGCCTTGTGCTTTTGGTTCTGTGGACTTGAGGCTGCAGGTCTGATGTGTGTGGTGTGTGTGAATGATTTACTGAAAGGAGAGGTGTAGTTGATACTGTAGGATGACACGGTAGGGTGACAGAGCTGTGCCCCACCCAGAAACACTGCTAATGAAGTAAGGCTCCTCTTGGAGATAAACACACAATGGACCCAAACACAGACAAACAAAATCACCTCCAAAAAGCAAAATGGCTCCCAGCCACCATTACCTCACTACAGGACCTTACTCTGACCTGAGTGAGTTATTACTATTCTAATGGAAGAAATTGTTTATCACAGTGGAGCATGGCAAAATGGAAACAGAAACAGCAGAGTCACAGGGTAATGTTAGCTATCCCCACCCTTAATTTGAGGAAGTTTGCTGAGAATAAATAAGGTCAATAGAGATTAAAACTCACCTCTCACAGTGACATTCAGCACCATGCTCTGGACAGGGCCGTAGCTGTTGTCTGCTGTACAGTAGTATCCCCCTGCATGGCTCTGTCTGATGGCAGGGAGCTCCAGCTCTGCTCTCAGGGAACGCTGAGTTTTCCTCCCCAGACTCTCCTGCATGTCCTCTCGGTGCCAGGAGAATGTGGTATCCCCTGTGCCTTCAGCCACGGAGCAGACAAGGACCAGCATCTCCCCTTCAACAGCCTGGCCCCCTGAGGGCTGGGTCTCCAGGAGCACCCCAGACACAGGGATCCCTATGTGAAAATGAGACCACAGGTGGGGGTCGGGTGTGAAGGAGGGCAGGGCTAGGTAGCTGGGGTGTTGGGCAGGGTTACTTTTTATGTGACTTCAAGATATACTCTTCAGCAGGCACTAGCATTGTGGCCAATAGACCACAGATTTAGCGCTGAGAATATCACTAAATGTGATAAGCTTTCCATCCTGATATACGAGGCCCCAGGAAAGAAAAAAGGACTAACCCTGAAGAAGCATTTGGGTTTTGTCTGACATCCTGGCTGGAGGTCTGAGTTGTTTTGAGGGGCAGGTAATAGCAATAGCAGCCATCATGGCACTAGGCTGGACCACATCTGTTTTCAAAAGTCATAATTTTGTACCTAAGTGATATTTATTGGGCCTATCTATCTATCTATCTCTCCTTCTTTTCTGCTGTACACATCATAGGCACTCACACTGTTCATTGCTACTGACCAGGAAAAGGTGGATGCTTGTCTTCTAAATAGTTATCCTTAAGATCTAGCCATTCTAGAATCTGCCAAATCCCTAGCAGGGCACCTCATTTTCTTGTTTTGTTTTGTTTTCCATAGCTCTCAAACCTAACTCCATGAGTCAGCTGTGATTCTGAAGTGATAGAATTTCAAAGGAAGACTGAGTTTTTAGGAAAATGGAGGTAGAAAAGAAGTCATGTATTTCTTTTATTATAGTACTGCACTTCTTGGCCTAAGCCTGGTGCCTCTGTCAGGATGATAAAACCCATCTCTGCTACATAGTCCCCATGCCTACAGAGCCCAAGGGGCAGAGAGAGGCAGGGAAGATGCCTGGCTCTCCAACACTCACGCTGCACATGGATCTGTAGCGAGGGACTGTGCTTGTGGATGTTACCCCTCACTGTTTCAGCACCACACCAATAGGATCCTGAGTTTTCTCTCCAGACGGTTGGGAGCTGGAGTTCCGGGTACGTGCTCCAGTCTGACAGGATGACCTCGCCATCTCTGAAGAAGTTGAAGTGAAGTGGGGTGTCTGACCGCTCTGGAGGAAGCTGTGTTTCACAGCTCAGGTTTACAGAATTCCCCTCTGTAGGCTGAGAGTCTGTAGCTTTCAGCTCTGGATGTGGAAATAGTTCTAGAGAGAAGAGGTAAGTCAAGTTCTGAGCACGAGAGTATTTAGGACTCTGTGAGAGACAGGTTTGGATGCTCAGTCCCAGGAAACTTCAGACACACAGCAAGACAAACTTATCAAGCCCTCTATCACAGTTTTCTTCTACAGGATTATTCAGGTCCAATCACCCCACTTTCTCTGCCTCTTAGAGGATTTGTGCCTCTCATCTATCCAGAGTTTCAATAGTAACCCGTAAATTCTTTCCTTACATGCTCAGTTTCCTATCCCTGTCATTACTAAGCAAATCTATATGAACTGAAAGATTCACCTTGAATTTTAATTATTTTGAAATTTGATCTAAATACATCATTCTCGTCTCCATATCCAATGCATCGATAATTGCCATTGTTATTTGAACTTGCTTGTGGGATAAGAAGATCCCAGCTTTTATTAGAAATGGAAAGAATGTTTCCATTCCAAGTATATTTCACAGCAGTCAATTTCTCTTTCCTTCTTCTGTGGCATCTCAGAACCAATGTGTCACCTTCAAACACAGAATATGGTGCCTGCAGGATTAAGGAGTCTGGAAAAGACACAGAGAGGAGATCGTCATTCAAAGCATTCCTGCTATCTCCTTCTTCTCTTGAATTACAAAGGCTTTATTGTTTTCTTCTTTCTTCCACAGGATGTAGTTTCCTGATCCAAGCTCACGAAACTCCTCCTAAATCAGTGTAACATGCTTCAGGTACAATTCCTAAATAAATCCCAGACTCAACTATTTTATCATTCAAAGTCAGATTCCAAAGATAAGGAGTCTAATACGGAGAATAAAAGCTGAGAGAAGGTGTGATCAAAATCTCTGACATGATAGAGTACAGCAGAACTTAACACCAACCTGCTCACCGAGTCTCAGAGCAGGAGCTATGAAAGAAGTGGCACTTAGAGAACTACATGAGGATCTCTTCCTGGACATTGGAGTGTGATTTGTAGCAGGATTCTTGTCAGAGACACAGTCTAGGTTGAAGGGACAGTGGATGTGGTCCTTTATGGGAATTCCATGCTGTTCATATTCTAATAATTCTAATTTGAGGTTAGCTATATCTCTTCTTTCTTAGATGACTGTGTTGAATGCCTACTCCTGTAGTCCGTGCCCTTGGAAGTGACCAAAATCATTATCCATCAGGTAAAACTGGACAGGAGGAGCTGTGGGAGCTTGATGCCAATCAGAGGGAAAACTAGGAATGAGGAAGGGACGCATAACAACGGGTGGGGATAAAAAGCATCAGGTTGGAGATTTCCCACCTCTGAGCTCCTTCGATGGCACTTTTGTCCTCAGCACATTTACATGTGTGTAATTTCTCCCTTATGAGGCTATAAAGCCCTGCAGGGCAGGATCTGAGACAGCTTCATTTTTGTACTCCCTAAAACTAACTCATTTTCTTGACTGTGTAAGTGTGTGGGGATGTCGATTAATATTAACCATTTAAACTCAAGTTTCAGTAGTAGTTTGAAAAACATTTGTAGACATTGGAGGGAAAATATGAAACTAAAGGAGCTGGGATCGAGGGTTAGAGAGGAATGAAAGACCCCAGTTCGTGGAATCTCCAGGGAGCTAAGATAAACTGATACCATTTATAAAGTTTCAACTAATTCACCTTCTTTCTCACCTGAAGAAAAGAGCAAGCGCACAGGGTTACTTCGTGGGGAGCCCCGGGCCTGGCATCTGTACAGTCCAGATTCCCGAACCTCGAGGGTGTTTCCTGGGGTCAGGGTCAACTTTTCTCCCCAGTAGTGCCGATGATACCATGTTGTTTTCTCTGTTGCATAGAACTGAAATCCATTGCAAGTCAGAGTCACTCTCTCTCCTTTGAAGAATGTGGTCCATGGAGGATGGACGGAAATCACAGGTTTGTGTGCAGCTGCTGAGGAGGAAAGAGTAATAGGTCTGAGGTGGAGGTGCCTGCAGTCCCAGCTGCAGTGGCTTGTGTGGGTTACAGTGGAGGACATGGCTTGGGAGATCCCTAAGATGCCCCCGGATGACTTCTGTTTACCCAGGTTGCAGGTGAGCTGTGCTCACCTCCTGCAGGGTGCAGTGGCTGCTCAGTGGTCTATAGCAGCAGACTGGCCTTTCAGAGGGGGGGCAGCCCTGGCAGGATCCACTCAGCAGTGATAGATGATGGGAGGCTCACAAACCCTCTTACTTGTTTCAGTGAACCAGGTCCTCAGGTAGATAGTTGGAAATTGCATTTCTCCTAGACTCTCACCTGGGATCTTGTTGTTACAGAGACCTCTCTAAGATGAGTTCTTGTATGTGAAGGGTACCAGAAGATGCCATCTCCAGATTTGTCTCTTTGGCATATGGATTATTTTGAGCTAAAGGCTATTGAGAATCACCAGAAATAGGAAAAGTCTAAAAGCAAGGCACAAGTTTTCCTTTATAAGTAAAAAAGGAAGTTTTCCCTTATAAAGGAAATTTCCTTTTGTAAATATGTCTCCTTCTCCCATACCAGGAAGAGGAAGACTCTTGACAACTTTCATCAATAGAGAAGGCATTGACTTAAATATGCATAAAAACCCTTGTTTACCATGTTTTTCCTAGTCCACCCACCAGAGCTTGCCTCCCCAACCCAGAAGCCCAAAACTCCTTTCCCTTTGTTTAATCCAAGATGGTATACAGGTTGAGTACACTTTATTCAAAACACTTTGGAACAGAAGGGTTTTAGAGTTTGAGTTTTTTTTCAGAGTTTGGAACATACGCATAAACCAAAAATCTGAAATATGAAATGCTCCAATGAGCATTTCTTTTGATCATCATGTCAGTGCTTAAAAACTTTCAGATTTTGGATTTCAGATATTTGGATGAGGGATATTCAACCTGTGTAAATCTCAATCATCTGGCTGCCTCCTTGAGCCATTTTTTTTCTTTGTAAATTCCCCTGTGTATGTACATAATTAAAACCTTTTTTCACTTGTTAGTCTGTCTTTTTTTTTTTTTTTTTTAGACAGAGTCTCACTCTGTCACCCAGGCTGGAGTACAGTGGCATGATCTCGGCTCACTGCAACCTCTGCCTCCCAGATTCAAGCGATTCTCCTGCCTCAGCCTCCTGAACAGCTGGGACTACAGGCAAGTGCCACCACACCCAGCTAATTTTTTGTATTTTTAGTAGAGACAGGGTTTCATCTTCTTAGCCAGGATGGTCTCTATCTCCTGACCTCGTGATCCACCTGCTTCAGCCTCCCAAAGTGCTGGAATTGCAGGCGTGAGCCACCATGCCCCGTCTAATCTATCTTTTATCAGGTTAATTTATGGGCCCCAGAAAATTAACCTGTAGGAATCAAGAGAACCTTTTTCCTTGCCCTCTTAAGGTTTGCTGAAAAGTCAACTGATGAAAAGCAGATTCATAGGAGAAATGGCCTACAAATTTATTAACATGTACAAGGAAGAATTACAGAGTGGTTCCCCAAATATACCAATAAGGCCCAGATACTTACACAGCCATTTTTAGAGGGGAGTGGGGAGAGGGGGAATGTAGGTAACTCTTTTGAAGGGCAATAAATAATGACTATGGTGAATTAATGGATAAATGGTTCTATTTGGAAGATGAATGCGCCTGAAGGATAGATATTTTGTTGTGATAGGGTCTGTTCAGGTGTGGTTACACCCGTCAGTCTTCTTTCCTAAAGTAGAGAGAAGGGAAGAACAACTGTTCTTACTGGTGGGTTGGTTTGGTCTTTAGGTGGATAGGGAAAAGTTTCTTCTGTTGATCTTTAAAGGCCTTTAATTCAAAATACTAGTTATACCAGGTGGCCATATTTTGGGGTGAAATATTTTGGTTTTCTTTAAACCTAACATAGATAGAGGGAAATTTTTTCCCTCCCATACATGTAGCATGAGCATGTGGTGGGACAGGGGTTGTAGATGGAGTGAATATAGAAATTGGGAGGTCAATTAGACAGTTATGGAAAGGGATTTAAGTTATATTTTTACTGACAATAAATATATATGGGAGAGGTAAGCAGGCTCTGTTTGTCATAAGAAATATATCCAGATAGTTGCAGACAATAAGAGTGTGGGGAGGTAGGTGCTCCTAACTTCCCAGACCTCAAAGGCACTCTCTTGTGACAGTAAAATACTAACCCTACATGAAAGTAGGCCCTAAAATCTTTGAAGCATTTGTGGATAGAAACTGAAGAATTCAAGGATAATGCAAATTAAAAATAAGAGGCTTAATTCTCCCTGCCAAAAGTAAGTGACTTCTCTTCCTCTTTCAGAATTTCTTTCTCTGTCCTTTTCAAATGCATGTAAATGTTTACACTGGTTAAATAACCAAAACAGCATGGTACTGGTACCAAAATAGATATATAGACCAATGGAATGGAACAGAGGTCTCAGACCTAACACCACACATCTACAACCATCTGATCTTCAGCAAACCTGACAAAAACATGAAATGGGGAAACGATTCCCTATTTAATAAATGGTGCTGGGAAAACTGGCTAGCCATATGTAGAAAGCTGAAACTGGATCCCTTCCTTACACCTTATACAAAAATTAACTCAAGATGGATTAAAGACTTAAATGGAAGACCTAAAAACCATAAAAACTCTAGAAGAAAACCTAGGCAATACCATTCAGGACATAGGCATGGGCAAAGACTTCATGACTAAAACACCAAAAGCAATGTCAACAAAAGCCAAAATAGACAAATGGGATCTAATTAAACTAAAGAGCTTCTGCACAGCAAAAGAAATTATCATCAGAGCAAACAGGCAACCTACAGAATGGGAGAAAAATTTTGCAATCTACCCATCTGACAAAGGCTAATATCCAGAATCTACAAAGAACTTAAATTTACAAGAAAAAAAAACCCATCAAAAAGTGGGCAAAGGATATGAACAGACACGTCTCAAAAGAAGACATTTATGTAGCCAACAGACACATGAAAAAATGCTCATCATCACTGGCCATCAGAGAAATGCAAATCAAAACCACAATGAGATACCATCTCATGCCAGTTAGAATGGCGATCATTAAAAAGTCAGGAAACAACAGATGCTGGTGAGGATGTGAAGAAATGGAAAGGCTTTTACACTGTTGGTGGGAGTGTAAATTAGTTCAACCATTGTGGAAGACAGTATGACAATTCCTCAAGGATCTAGAACTAGAAATACCATTTGACCAAGCCATCCCATTACTGGGTATATACCCAAAGGATTATAAATCATGCTACTATAAAGACACATGTACACATATGTTTATTGTGGCACTGTTCACGATAGCAAAGATTTAGAACCAACCAAAATGTCCATCAATGATAGACTGGATTAAGAAAATGTGGCACATATACACCATGGAATACTATGCAGCCATAAAAAATGATGAGTTCATGTCCTTTGTAGGGACATGGATGAAGCTGGAAACCATCATTCTCGGCAACCTATCACAAGGACAGAAAACCAAACACCGCATGTTCTCACTTGTAGGTGGGAATTGAACAATGAGAACACATGGACACAGGGCAGGGAGCATCACACACTGGGACCTGTCAGGGGTTGGAGGGCTGGGGGACAGATAGCATTAGGAGAAATACCTAATGTAAATGACAAGTTGATGGGTGCAGCAAACCAACATGGCACATGTATGCATAGGTAACAAACCTGCATGTTGTGCACATGTATCTTAGAACTTATAGTATAATAATAATAAAAAAATAAGACTATTGCCTGGCTCACAACCCAGGGAAGTCCTGGGAACCACCTTTTTGAATACAAACATCTAGAGAGATAGTTCCTCCGTCTCTCTCAGTTCCTGTGGGAGAGTAAGGACCTAACTTTGGTGGGCTCAGCTTTCTCCAATGTGCTAAACTACCTGCTGTTGTAAAGACAGAAGTTTGTTTCCCTTCAGTTACTTAAGACAGGTTGTCTCGCCAGTTACCAGGATAAAGTTAAGATGAACTAGTAGAAGAAAAGTTGCTGTCAGGCCCTCTTACTTGAGGCCTAGTTATTGTTTATCTTGAAAACATGTATGCATGGGCTGTATCTAATTGGCTGTATGAGGGGGTGGAATTCCTTTCTGACTTTGCAGCTTCTTAGTGGGTTGTCTGTGATGCTCATCATATTCTGGCTTATTGTTGTTCAATAATACCTACTTTCTCTACTACCGTTGTAGAGAAGATTTCTGAGCTGGGAGGAGATTTTGTTTTTAATTATATATCTTCTAAGAAGAAACTGTTTCCGAGGCTCTTTTTAATCTGAATGTTTATTTTCTGAGTTTTGTAGTTCTGACTTTGTGCCGGCTAACAACAAAAGTAACTACAACACAAATTATTCACTATTAGAAACATTCACTCAAACGTCCTTACCAATATAATACTACTATCTAGCCTTCTCCAAGATAAGTGCTTTGGTAGGCTAATCTTTCAATGGGTGTACAAATGAAAATTGATTGCTATTTTAGATTCTGTTGAAGATGCAGTAATTTATAAACTCGGTAAAAGTTATGTGGAACCACTGCTCTGATGAGTCATAAAATCACTAAAGAGTATGGCAGAGCAAGACCTATTAACGATTATGAAGGAGAAATCTATAATAGGGAAAACACTTGTTTGGCTCTCAAAAGTCAGTCCCAATGCTCTTCTCTCTAACCTTCTGCCCACTAATGTGTTTGAAAAAATGAAGTATTAACTTTCCCACCTACATGATCCAGGTCTGAATAAAGGGATGTCAGAGAAATAATGCTAGGGATGGACTAGGGAATAGGGATTCTGGGAAAATCTTCTTCCTTTATTTGAAAGAAGAGATGCACACTGGGTGCTCTTTGACAGCTTCACTTCCCTTCTCCACCTGTCTCCCTACTTCTCCCCATTTTCTGCCTTGAACAAAGTCATGATGCCTGGAGCTGTGGCAGCTACCACATTTTGAAAAGTCAATATTAGATTCATGCTTTGCCCTACAAATTGCCTGTGGTAATGTAACTTCTGTGAAGTAGAAAATAAAACAAATTGTTTTCATTTGTATTAATTTTCAAAAATAAAATCTCAATTTTGGGGATTGCTATTTACTATGAAATTTTTAATAGAATAAATTATTTTCTCCTTGGAACCTTTTTTACTCAGATGAGGACTGTCTACATTTAAAGATTTTCAGGCAATTACTTTTTTAAAGCTTAAAACTTTAAACATTCTTGCCTTTGCCCAGAAGAACTTCCCAAATAGATCTTTTAGTTACATCTAAATGTGAAGAAAATGCCCTTCCTCTGTTTGAGGGGAAAAAGAAAATTGTAAAATAACCCAACTGCATGTTTTACATGAAGAAGCTAAATGTTCTGTTTGGTAAGGTGAAACATCTCTGTGTCTCTGCAGAATTTATTTTATTTTATTTTTCAGATAGAGTCTTACTCTTGCCCAGGCTGGACTGCAGTGGCCTGATCTCAGCTCATTGCAACCTCCACCTCCTGGGTTCAAGTGATTCTCCTGCCCCAGCCTCCTGAGTAACTGGGATTACAGGCATGTGCCACCACAACCGGCTAATTTTTTGTATTTTCAGTAGAGATGAGGTTTCACCATGTTGTCCAGGCTGGTCTTGAGCTCCTGACGTCAAGTGATCCACCCACCTCAGCCTCCCGAAGTGCTGGGATTACAGGCATGAGCCACTGTGCCCAGCCTCTGCAGACACTTTTTAAAAAGAAAATTCTGTCTTTAAAGGTTTGGACAGAATACTCTATGTCATCAGTGGGAATGGGGCTGTGTTTCTGCTGAAGAGAATAGAAAACCCTACCAGCTATATTCCTGGGAAGCACCTGGATGCAGGGCCATTGGGACTTAGGCAATAGGTCTTCTACTGGAGGGAAGGAGAGTTGATTTCCTTTGATGTATGCAACTAGACTCTTCTTTGCTCTGAGGAAGCTGCCCCTGCTATGTGCAGGTGGCCCTATGGCCAGGAAGGGACATAACTTTTCATGGCCTTCGTGTGTTTGAGACTGAGTTGATGGGCTCTGAGGTTAACCACATCCCTAGCTGCAGTTAATTCAAGGCACTTTTTGTATTTCATTTCCCCATTCTAGAACCATTAGCAAAGTCTGCCAAGTTATAATCTTGTCTCAGGAAGGGTGTGTGGGAAATAGTCTGTGTCCAAGGCACCGAGGAGGGGAAGAACAGCAGAGTTAGGAGCTGCAAGAGACAGTGCACCTCAAGGGGGCCAAGGCCCTTGCTGGCTCCAGCAGCTCCTAGGGTGCTCTATAGGAATGGCCAAAACACCTGTGAGGCAGCTGCCTATAGAGGATGGGACTTTTTGCTGACCAGTAGGATAGATGGAGACTCAGAGTCATCATAATTTGAGCTATTAACAGAGAAGTGTGTCTCCATGGGATGCAGAAGTTGGGGATAAATTTGTTACACATGGTTAGTGGAAAAGCTGCTGGAGCCCCAGCCTCCCCCTCTGAAGTATTGGCTTATTTCTACCCTTTTCCTCTTGGGATGCTATGCATTCCATCAGGCTTGGCTAGAATCCCACATCAGGCGGGGTGACAGCTCCTCTTCCTGTGGACGCTGTGACACATATCCCAGGCCCTGCCATGTTTAGCCAGCACAATGGCAGTTTTGGTTTAAGAGAGTCACCCCCAAATAGCCTGGTTCTTAGGGTCAGAGTCACCACACGAGCTGATGTCTCTACATCCCTGCAGCACTCAGGAAAAGGATGAAATGGACAACAGGGACTCTTGTAAGTATTTGAGATAAAATATAGTTATTAGGGTATCTAGAGACATAAAGGAGCAAAGAAAATAAGGACTTACCAGATTGTCCACAGACTGGAGCTGAAAGAGAGTAAAGAGCCAGCCATCAGCGTAGGCGAAGAGTCCCGAACTATTCACCCTGAGAGCCCATACACTCATATGCTACTTCCAACCAAGAGGAAGAGAAACACGTTCCATTCCATCCATCCCAGGGAAGCGGGGAAACACAGTGGCCAGACGCTCAGGCTGTGGACTCAGACAGTCTGGTTTGAATTTTAGCTGTATGACCCAGGGCAAACCACATGAACTTTCAAGTCTCAGTTTTCTCATTTGAAAAATGAGGCTCATGAAAGCGACCTCATAGTAATACTGTAATGAGTTAGATCAGTAAGGTTTCAATTAATGGCTGCTGTCATTAATTTTTTAGTATGGGGCTGCTGCTGATTCCTCTTCTCTTGACTCAGAACACTTATTATCATAGCTAATTTGGAACTCAAAATGAGACAGACAGTAGAGGGTAGTAGTTAAAAGCCTAGTTTCCAAAGTTAGATTATGGGTTCGAATCCTGACTCTGCCACTGTACTAGCTGCATAAACCTCAGGGACAAGACCAACATCTTTGTGCCTTCATTTCCTCATTTGTAAATGGGAGTTATAAAAGTTCCACCTGATCAAATGTTAGAGAATTGGATACATTTATACATGGGGTGCCCTTAGAAAAGTGGGATGTAGCCAGGGCTTAGCACAAATTAACTGACATCCTCACACATTATCCTGTAACTATTTGTGTAATATTTTTCTCATATTGTCGAGTCAGATGTTCTTGCATGTGTACGTTGAGGTTCTATTGAGAATGTCACCTCTTGAGGGCAGAATCTGTGTCCTTCAGGTCTCTGCATCCTCTGTGGTGCCCAGCAGTGTGGCATGCCAAGTATACCCATCCACTCACTCCTTAGTTCCTATCATGTGCCAATCACACTAATAGGTCTTCCCTTAGTTGGGGTCTGGGGATCAGGTGGGAACTAGACAAATACGCTTAATAAATATTTAATGAACAAAAGACTGACTGTTCTTTAATTCCCTAGTTTGAGCAACTAGGAAATCCGTGCCTCATTTGGACAAACACTGACAAGTGGTACAAAAGCAGGAAGAAAAAAATCAAAGGGAAATCATCTTATCTCTTCTCTTCTCATGCTCTTTGCAAACATCAGAACAGGTTTGAACTTAGAATACAGAGAAGGAAATAACTATTCTCAGCAGGTGATCCTTTCTACCTGAGTTCACAATCAGGACTTTATCCTTCACAAATAACTCAGTCCATCTTTTCCTCTGGGTCCTCATGCTCTGTGACGTAGGGACTGAACCTAGCCATAGGTTTCTTTTTGCATAAACAAAATAAGTCCATTTGGGGGTAAAATGATTTTCCATAGGCAATTCATAGCAAAAATAGATGAGAAATACATCTTTGGAAATCAATTATTATCATTTTCCCCTTCTACCAGTAAATCATTATCTTTCCTTTTTGTTCATTTTCTGCTGTTCTAAAATGGGAGTAAAAATCCATGATTGCAGCAGCAGAAAAGAGGGCTTTTGCTCATGGTGAGGCTCAGCTTTGCAGCAAGCAAAGGTCTCCTCCCCATCACTTACCAAAGGCCAGCAAGGACGCCCACAGCAGCATGGAAGCCTGCTCCAGGATTGGAGAAGGAGTTCTGAGGAGACAAGCCAGGTCAGCCCAGATTGCCAAAGCAGCACTTGCCTACACCAGCACCAGCAGTGAGCTCAGTAAGCTTCTTCTCTGCATAAAGCTGATTGAGATAATGAAGTGAAAGGGGGAAGTAGAGGAATCTTTCTGAAAACACCAAACAGCAATGTGGACCAGTGTGAGAGAATCCAGACCACAAAAATCAAAATTTAATAGAATTAAGTACTGCTGTGACATCCTGGGGTGAATCACTTCTCAAGGCTAAAGCTACTCTAGTTTCAGAACTCTCTAGGCTCTGTCTTTCAAGGAAATCACAACCTATTCTCTCTGCTACTAGAGATGAGGTGAGATTGCAGGCCTATTGAAATCCACATAATCTAAGGATGTCCCTGAATATCCCCAGAGATGAAGAATTTCTCATTCAACACAGAAAAGGCCTCCTCTGACCGCTGATACCTCTACTGGAACACCTCCAGCAGGCCGTCTGTAGACCTGATGAAACATCTCAATCACAAGACAACTCTCACCTTGTCTGATATATATGAAAATATCCTGACTCATCAGTCCAGGGGGAAACCACAACTTTTGATCTGAGTAGAAGGCAAGCTGAGGAGTAAATTATAGCCCCATCATGCTCTTCCTAGATAATAGGCCATAACATTTTTACTTAATGTCCTAGAATCCAAAATTTGCTACAGGAATGTCTTGGCAAATATATATTGATTGAAATACATATGCCTGGTATCTGGTGGCAGAGAGAAGAAGTTGTGATTTCCTTGAAAGACAAGAGGCTAGAGAGTTCTGAAAATATGATGGCTTTAGCCTTGAGAAGCGATTCACGTCAGGAAGTCAGAGTGGGTATTTAAATAATTCTATTAAATTTTGATTTTTGCCATTTGGATTCTTTCACACTGGGCAACATGCTGTTTGGTGTTTTGAGAAACACCTAATGCTCTCCCTACCCATAACAAACCTGCACACTCTGCTCATGTATCCCAGAACTTAAAAAAAAAATTAAGAAAAAAATGGAAAAATCCGTAGTGACGTTTTTTGGTACGTATAATATTTTGGTATGTATAACTCTTTAAAACTTTTTTATGCTATTATCTTGTGTATATGTATGTGTATATATATATATATATATATATATATATATATATATATATATAAAATGTTAATGGCAAAAAAAAAGAAACACCATGGTGCTTCAGGTATGGTGCCAGGTGCTGGAAGTACAGTGTTAATCAAGACTTGGAAAGCTTTCATTCTGGTGGAGAAGACAGCAAGTCAACAGGAAATTACATAGAAGTGAATTGTATGTAATTTCTGAGAGTCCACTAAGAGGGAAATCTGACCCAGTTCTGGGGATGCATAAGAGGCTTCCCTGAGGAAGTAACATCCAAGCTGAAAGAATATCATTCTAGGACTGAGAGATGAGCATGCACTAAGATGGAAGGCAGTTATCGTGACCATCACCATCACATCAAGATATCTGTGAATAGATAATAGACATAGGATGGATTAAGAGTGGTCTGTATTTTTCTAATATAATGTTTTTCTATATATCTGTAATAATTTATTTTCTAACTAGGGTTTGTATTGAACATCAACTATATTTTAGACAATGTCCATGGCCTTAGAAGAATAAAAAGGTGAATAAAGTGCATCTCTCTTAAAGACTTTAAAAAAGTCAATGTGGTAAGGGCCAGAGTAGACATAGACACAAGGAACCATAAAGACATAGAGCTGTCAAGGCGGCACATGGGTCCTTTGTCTCCTTGCCGTGTGACCGTGCTGTCATCTTTCAGCTGCCTTCATTTGTCCCAGGAGGAGCAAGGGTATAAAATGGCAGTCAAGAACCTGATCTGCAGAATCCCACACATCTGGATGAAATCTTGACTTCACCTCTTGCTAGTTGGGTGACTCTGGTCAAGTACTTAGCCTCTTTCACACTGGTAAAAAGGAGATAAAAATAATGTCCAGCTGAAGTGGATGTTGTTATTGATGTTTGTATGAATACATTAATGACATAGAACTCTCAGCTTAGTCCCTATGCTGAGAACTATTCTGTAATACTAGAAGTAACAAGTATAATGAACTAAAAAGCACTTTATAATTGACATAATATCCTACCAACATTTTTGTATTCCTTATAACACTGGAAAATAGTATTTAGCATGAGTTTAGAACTCCAATATTTATTGACTGACTAAGGATTGAGGGAAGTTGAAATCATATTGCCTGTTTTCTTGTTTCTACCATAAGTTTTGCTGAATGAATAGATTTCAATTAGCAAAATAAAATTTCACATTTATGATGTTATACAAGATGTCCAAACACAAAAATCATATTTATTTACAACTACTGTGTAAATGTTTAAGTTTACGTCAGTCAAGTACTATTTTTGTTGTGGTATTTAAGTCACTGACAGAAATATTTTAGTTATTGGTGCCAGAAGTGTGGTTAGTACTTTGAAACATCAGCCAGGAAGTACATATACCATGATTTATTAAGCAATTGCTTGACTAACCAGGAACTTTTAGATTTTATATTAACAAAGGACAAAAATAATTGTTTTCAATGAGAATGTAAGAAACTGAAATTTTTAAACTTTTCTAATTTTTTTTTGAAAAACATTTAAACCTTTACAGTTTAAAAAATAAATTTTCATTTTGGGGTAATTCTAGATTTATATAAAATAGTAAGGATAATACAAAGAGTTCCCATATAGGAAGCCCTCACCTGTTTCAATTTCCCCTACCGTTATCATTTCACATCATGGGGGTGCATTTATCAAAACTAAGAAACCAAGATTGCTACATTACTATTAATTACAGGCTTTATCCAGCTTTTTTCAGTTTTTCCATTGATACCTTTTTCCTCTTCTAGTATCCCTTCTAAGATACTACATTACATTTAGTTATCTTTGCTCCGTCTCTACATTACTATTAATTACAGGCTTTATCCAGCTTTTTTCAGTTTTTCCATTGATACCTTTTTCCTCTTCTAGTATCCCTTCTAAGATACTACATTACATTTAGTTATCTTTGCTCCGTCTCTACATTACTATTAATTACAGGCTTTATCCAGCTTGTTTCAGTTTTCCATTGACACCTTTTTCCTCTTCTAGTATCCCCTCTAAGATACTACATTACATTTAGCTATCTTTGCTCACAGACGTCTCTTCTCCATCTGTGAGTTTCTCAGTGTTTCCTTGTTTTTCATGACCTTGACAGTTTTGAGGAGTACTGGCTAGGTAGTTTGCGGCGTCTTTCAATCTGGGTTTGTCTGACGTTTTGGTCATAATTAAACTGGGGTTATGAGTTTTCACAAAGAATACTACAGCGGTAGAGTGTCCTTCTCATCACATTGGGGGTATGGAATCTCAACATGACTTATCACTGGTAATGTAAATTGTGATCACTTGGTTAAGGTAGTGTTTGCCAGGTTTCTTCGATGTAAAATTACTGTTTGTCTTTTTCTATATTCTTTCGTTTGGGAGCAAGTCCAGCCCACAGTCAGGGTGAGAGGTGAGGTAGGGGGATTTGTCTCCTTGTTCTTATTTACTTATTCATGTATTCATCCATTCAATCATTTATTTATATCACTATAGATTTGTATATTTACTTTAAACTTTGGTAACAATATAATGCTTTATATATTTTGTTGCTCAAATTGATCCAGCTTTGGTGATTGGGAGCTCTTTCAGGTCAGCTTCTTCTTTGTGCCTTTGAGAAACTCTCATCATTTTCCTTGTTGGAACATTTCTGTACTGTCTGGCACTACGAGATGCTCCTGGCTCATCTTACATTTTCCTGCCCCAACTCTAGAATCAGCCACTTCTTCAAGGAGCCCCAATTCCTTTCAGTAGAGACTGATATTTAGAAACCAAGATCTGAGTGCTGAGTATGGTCTTTACTACTACGGGAGAATCATACATTTTTAACTATGTGACAGGGAGTCTGTGGTCTTGTCAGTGCTTTATGGGTGGGAAAAATACTGGAAAGATAAATTTGTTGTTCTTGCTATTAAAAGACTCTTCTCCCAAATCAGTGGCTGTATACGTAATGATTTCTATAGCCATTTGTTAGTAATGGAGGAACAGCCGCTTGGAGTAATCAACTTTGAACTTCAAAGAAAAGGCAGTGAAGAAGCTCAATTACATTTATTTGTAGGCTGGTGCCATCTAGAAGCCGCATTTTATTTTCCATGACTACAGATAATAATATTTCTAGCCTTCAGTGGTAAAATATAATCTCCTTTTGTTTTAGAGACGTTTCCGAGATGATTTCTTGTTCTAAGTCGAGACTCTTCTATCTTCATGAACATACAGATCTTTTTGCTCAAAAACTTGTCCAAAGTGAGAACAGAATCGCAGGTTGTTAGTGCCCTCTATTCCAGATTCACAGATCCACAGTTATGTAGTAGAGGGTGTGAAATGGACACCAGATTTGAACTCTAAGGCCTGGCTATGGTTTTGCTTCATCACTTACAAGCTATGTAGCTGAAGGCAAATCCATTTTGTTACTTGGAGACGTTAACAAGAAAACTTTCATTTCCCCAATATTTTTATTTCAAAAAATTTTAAACCTTTCAAAAAAATGGCAAGAATAGTACAATAAATACTTACCTGCTCTTCACTGAGAGTTATCAGTTATTAACATTTAGCTATATTTGGTCAGTTTTTCCTGAGGGTTGGCCAAGGCAGTGCTGCTTGAGGGATGTGTCAGAAGCTTGGATGTGCGGGCTGGCTCGTTCCAATGTATTGTACTATGGGATGGAGCTGCGAGCAGGAATAAAAGTAGGAAGCTGTAAGCTTGAAACAGGAGACCAGAGCCTGCTTTCCTTGTCATACCTTGTTCTAGTATAAAATTCCCATTATCTTAAAATGTTATATTTGAACCCAGACTTCTAGGTCATTATGAAGGTATATTTGTCAAAGTAGGAGAATAAAACACATCTTATTAGCTTATTAGATTAATTTATAACTTTTTTTTTTTTGAGACAGAGTCTAGCTCTGTCGCCCAGGCTGGAGCTCAGTGGCGCAACCTCCGCTCACTGTAAGCTCCGCCTCCCGGGTTCCCGCCATTCTCCTGCCTCAGCCTCCCGAGTAGTGGGGACTACAGGCGCCCGCCACTACGTCCAGCTAATTTTTTATATTTTTAGTAGAGACGGGGTTTCACCTGTGTTAGCCAGGATGATCTCGATCTCCTGACCTCGTGATCCGCCCGCCTCGGCCTCCCAAAGTGCTGGAATTACAGGCCTAAGCCACTGCGCCCGGCTGATTTATAACTTTTAAATCCTCAGATCTATACTAGGAAGACCTCAACTTGCACTGTTGCCGGGGCCTCTGCAAAAGTTAGGGAGGGACAGAACACTTACCTAGAAGGGGAAGGGAGATACTTATTTTCCATTAATTCACTTAATGTAGAAACTGATTTTCTACTACATTCATTTCTATTAGCCAAAACTGAGTTAATTTCTTGAAAAAGAATCACCAAAATAAAAGTTTTAAAATCATAACTTTTAGATTTCAAGATTTCTCAAACCAGGCAATTTATTAGACTGTATATTGAAGAATTTAAAAATTAGGTGTTAAAGTAAAATCATGCATCCACTGGTAAACAACATTAAGCTAAGCATTTTATGGCTTCCAAATTTTATCTGTAACTACTCATTTTTAGCTGGAACTGCACATCACAAAAACATTCAACAGAGAAGTTTGCTTTAGAGAGGTGTATTTAAAAAATTAAACTGGACGATGAGCTCCATTTCATGGGAGTGGAGGAAGTTTACGTTTTACTGATTAACCCTGGTTTGATTACTTTTTGTAGATTGGTGCCCCTGGCACCAGTTTTAATCTGATTCAGCCTATTTCAGGGGGGTGCAAATTCAAAACCTATGAGAGCCAGGTAGGCAATGTAGAATGAAGAAAGTAATGTGTGAGAAAAACTAACTGCCAAAATTTAATAAAATTTGATTATTTTTGCTGAGCTATTGGATATGTATGTAACTTAATACAAACATTTATTGGAGGTTATATTTTAAATCCACATTTGAAAAATACAAATTGGAATGCAGACACAATTAATTTTTAATTTTTCCTTTATTATTTATTATTTCTGAACTGGGGACTAAAAAGTTTACATCTCTTCTTTTGCACCAAGAAATCAGTGGCAAAACTTACATTTCACAGTGTGTGTGCAATACAGGATTCAGTTTTGTATCCTTTAAATGGTTGCAATATTTAGTTTTATTGTTTTATAAAGGCAAATTGCTGTTTGCAAATGTAGGCACTCTGCCCATGGATAGAAACTTTGCACAATAGTTTTATATTTAGGATAGCTTCTTCTGAGATATTTGTAGATTTCTGGCATTCCTACATTGCCATATTGTTTTTCAGTATTGTTTTCCCTACTTCTATAATTATTGCTCTTTGTAACTCTTCAGCCCCGCTATCAATATTAATTGAAAAAAGCCAATTCAACCATGCTGGTTTATTTTTAGATTTTTACTTTCTGAATTCACTTTTCAATTCAGCAATTTAGGATATGTAATTCAATCCTTTTATTTCTGGAAACTGATTTCAGTGAATAGGATTATCATTTTCGGTAACTATTCATAAATGTTTATCTGAGAAAGATTCAAAGTGTTTAAATGGGTTGTATTGTTCAATAAAAAGGCCAAGTATTTGATCTAATCTTTGGTAAGGAGCCAAGACCAATGTTGTTCATTGGGTGAAATGAAGGAGTTTTTTTTTTTCAATTCACCATTCCACAAGCAAGCCACCTAGAATTCATGTATAGCTGATCACCATACTTTGCATCTAATTCATCAAGCAAAGTGCTAACCCGTCTGTGCTTCTAACCTCAGGAATATATCTAACTCATGGTTTTAATTACTGATTTTGAGATATGCTCTGTTTTTAACTCATTAGTGCAGAGTGATTCTGGTGGATAATATAATAAGATTTAAGTTATCTGTCATTACAAAACATTACCATCTTGAATTTAAATTTCATAACAAGTTCAATGTTAGCACCAATCACAATAGGGTCACCTCTCTATCCTGTTTACTAATTTGTCCAGACTACATTCAACTCTTCAGGACCCATGGTAGATTATAAAAATGGCCACAAATTCTTCCCTTCCCTGAATCCACGTATTTGCAATGTGACTTTGTAGCTATTTACATGGAGAGGTGGAATTTGTTTCTCTAGCTCTTGAATATGTTTTGGCTTGTATCTTTGTGACATGATAAGCAATATGTCTTGGTCTCTGTCAATGGTAATCAACTTTGATGAGTAAAATCAATATCACTTGTTGTCATCATTCTTGTCTTGAGAACATTAGCAGGGCTGAAGTGGTGAGGAGACTCCTCCAATCCTCAATCCCTGGTCCCTTACCCACATGTCTTCTCCCCCTTGAGTCTAGTCCTGAAACATCAACCCAAAGGAAATAATTATCATTGCAGTACACTGGCTACAGCTGGGCAACTAGATGCTATCTAGGGCTGAGTGGACCACTATGACAGCAAGAAAAATAAAACATGATATTTTGACTGAGACATAAATGAGAATGGGAGATAAACTGAGAAGAAAGAGGGTTGAGAGAGAGGATCTCAGAAAATCAGTAGTCAAGAAAAATAAAGGTCCTCTATGAATAATGGGATAATGTAATTTGTGTAGGGCTTTTCAGCATGGACATTTAGGTGGAGGAGAAACAGGAAGAGGGCAGAGGGTGGTGGAGGGAATACCTTAGCTGGAGGAGCAGACTGGCAACTGGACACTCACAACCACAATTCTCCACCTTGCTTGGCTTTAAAATTAATGATATCAGTAGGTTAAAAGTAAGAGGAGAAAAAAAAAGATATGCCATGCAAACACTCATTCAAAGAAAGCTGAAACTGATCAAAGTGATGTCACCAAGATGGCAGAATAGAAGATATTCTGCGCATAGATAGGAGTTTGTAAAAGCCCAGTGGAGCTAAAGATCTAAGAAGGTAATTTTGAGAGTGCAGACAGATATCCAGGTGGCTGATCTGCCTTGCCAGTATTGCTTCTGGGTTCAAGTCCAGAAATAATCTAGTGCCCTAAGGGGGTTAATTACTTCTCTGTTTGGCTTTGAGTTTGCAAGCAAAACTACCTGTCAAGGGTCTGAGAAGAAATTGTGCACACCAGTGCCTTGGCAGAAAGGTTCATCTGTTTGCTGACACCAGTCTTGGCAGTGAACCTGAAAGTTGCCTGGTTGCCCTGCTGCAGGCTTCTTCAGCTGAGGTCCCACATCAGAACTGCTTATATAAGGACCCAGAGGAAGATTCACCCATACCTCATAGCCTGGGAGTTTAACCCTTACCAATGGGCTCCTTAGCCTCTGTCCTGTACTGGATCCCAGGGGGACCCAGTCTCAGCTCTGGTTCCTCTTGCTACAGATGGTGAACTATCTCATCTGTTCTCAGACCTGCTAAAATAGGCATATCTGACTGGATGAATGAGATGGGCTCTCCAGGCTCTGTACTACAGAGGATCCTGAGGGGTCTCAGTCTCAGCTCTGGCACCTCCTATTGCAATTGGGGAACTATCTCAGCTGTGCAGGAACTTGCTGGGAGAGGGATGCCAATCAAGGCCAACAGGGCAGACTTTTGGCCCAAGGTCCCTGGCCAGTGTTTTCATGCAGCCCAGTACTTTCCTTGGGTCTTCTCCAGATCCACCTGGGCTGGAAAGCTGTATCGGAGTCCTCATGAGACTCACAGAAAGCCTCAGATTAGAAAATCTTCTTAGTGCTGAGACAGCTGCAGTGGTCACACAGTCAGGGAACACAACCGTCAGAAAGCTTAGAATGCCTAGAAGGAACTCTGAAAAAGGACAGGCACACAAAAAGCCAGACTGTGAGTAATAAAACAAATACTTAACGTCTTAATGTGCACACATTGTTGCACTTCCACAAGATCAAGAAACTTCAGAAAAATATGACCTCACCAATGAGACAAAATAAGACACCAGAAACTGACCCTAAAGTAATGGAGATGTGTGATTTCTAAGACAAAAAATCCAAAATAGCTGTTTTAAGGAAACTCAAAAAACTTTAGGAAAACACAGAGAACCAATTCATAAATTTGTCAGATAAATTTAATAGAGAGATTGAAATAATAACAAAAATCATAATCCCTGGAGCTGAAAATGCAATAAATGAAACAAAAAATGCAGTGGAGATTATCACAGAATTGATCAGACAGAATGATCAGTGAGCTTGAAGACAGTTTATTTGGAAGTACACAGTCAGAGGAGAAAAAAAGAAAGAATTAAAAGGAATAAACAAAGCGTATGGTATCTATGAGACAACATCAAAAGGAAATACTCAGGTTATTCAAGTGAAAAAGGGAACTGGAGAAAGGCAAAGTGGTATTATTATTGTGTTATTATAGTGTTATTACTTAAAGAAGTAATAATGGAAGGGTTTTCAAACTTTGAAAAGCTAGATATGGATAAGTAATAGATGATGATGATGATTAGATAGATAGATCCAGATATTGATGTATCTATATATTCAGGTATAGGAAGGTCAAAGATTCCAATCAGATTCAACCCAAATTGTAATGCCACAAGACAAATTGTAACTGAAAAAGAAGATCTTGAAAGCAGTGAGAGAAGAAAGCAAATAACATATGAGGGAAATCCAATACACCTGGCAGCAGACTTCTTAGCAGAAAGTCTACAAGCCAAAAGAGAATGGGATGATATATTCAGAGTGCTAAGGGAGGGGGGAAAAAAACCCAAGAATACTGTGCCAAGCACAGTTATCCTTTAGGAATAAAGGAGACAAACACTTTCCCAGAACCCCTTCCGGCCCCCATAAGTAAAGAAATTTATCAGACCTTTTCTATAAGAAATGCTAAATTGTGATTGTTATAGTAACAATTTGTTAATAGATAGATAATAGAAAAATAAAAGTAGACTGCAACACCGTAATAGTGGAGCACGTCAACATCCCATTTATGGCCATATGCAGATCTTCCAGACAGAAAATCAACAAAGAAACATTAGAGTTAAACTATATCTAGGCCAATTGGACCTAACACGCATTTACAGAACATTTCATCCAACTGCTGCAAAATACAGATTTTTCTCACCAGCACATGAAACATTCTACAGGATAGACCATATTTTAGATCACAAAACAAGTCTTAACAAATTTGAAAAAGTAGAAATCATATCAAGTATCTTTTTTGACCTCAATGGAATAAAACTAGAAATAACAAGAGAAATGAAACCTGCACAAATACCTGGAAATTAGACAACGTGTTTCTGATAGATCAATGGTTCAATGAATAAATTAAGAAATTTAAACGCTTATTGAAAAAAACGAAAATAGAAGCACAACATATTAGAATCTGTGTTATATAGCAAAAGGGGTACCAAGATTGAACCATAAAGAAACAGAAAACCAGAATATATCAATAAGAGGTAATGAGATGGAAGCAGTAATAAAAATTCTCCCATCAAAGAAAATCAAAGGACCTGATGGATTTATTGCTGAATTCCACAGAACATTTGAAGAAGAACTAATACCAATTCTACTCAAACTATTTCAATAATCAAAGAGGAGGGAATACAACCAAACTCATTTTAGAAGGCCAGAAATACTCTGATATAAAAACCAGATAAAGAAACAACAAAAAAAGAAAATTATAGGCCAACATCTCTGATGAACATAAATGCAAAATCCACAACAAAATACTAGCAAACAGAATTCAGCAACACATTAGAAAGATCATTCACCATAGTCAAGTAGGATACATCCCAGGGATGCAAAAATATTTCACTATATGCAAATCAATAAACATGATAACGTTACATCAACAGAATGAAGGAGAAAAAAAGTAGGATCATTACAATAGATGCTGAAAATCATTTGATAAAATTCAACACCTCTTCATGATAAAAACCCTCAACAAATTGGGTATAGAAGGAACATATTACAATGCAATAAAAGCCATATAACAAGCCTATAGCTAATATTAAACTGAGCAAAAAAAATTGAAAGCCTTTCTACTAATATCTGGAGGCAGACAATGAGGCCTATATTGACCACTTTTAGTCAATATAGGACTGAAAGTTCTAACCAGAACAGTTAAGCAAGTGAATAAAAGAATGGGCATCCAAAGGGAATGCTTCCAGTTTTCGCCCATTCAGTATGATATTGGCTGTGGGTTTGTCATAGATAGCTCTTATTATTTTGAAATACGTCCCATCAATACCTAATTTATTGAGAGTTCTTAGCATGAACGGTTGTTGAATTTTGTCAAAGGCCTTTTCTGCATCTATTGAGATAATCATGTGGTTTTTGTCTTTGGTTCTGTTTATATGCTGGATTACATTTATTGATTTGCGTATATTGAACCAGCCTTGCATCCCAGGGTTGAAGCCCACTTGATCATGGTGGATAAGCTTTTTGATGTGCTGCTGGATTCGGTTTGCCAGTATTTTATTGAGGATTTTTGCATCAATGTTCATCAAGGATATTGGTCTAAAATTCTCTTTTTTGGTTGTGTCTCTGCCCGGCTTTGGTATCAGGATGATGCTGGCCTCATAAAATGAGTTAGGGAGGATTCCCTCTTTTTCTATTGATTGGAATAGTTTCAGAAGGAATGGTACCAGTTCCTCCTTTTACCTCTGGTAGAATTCGGCTGTGAATCCATCTGGTCCTGGACTCTTTTTGGTTGGTAAGCTATTGATTATTGCCACAATTTCAGCTCCTGTTATTGGTCTATTCAGAGATTCAACTTCTTCCTGGTTTAGTCTTGGGAGAGTGTATGTGTCGAGGAATTTATCCATTTCTTCTAGATTTTCTAGTTTATTTGCGTAGAGGTGTTTGTAGTATTCTCTGATGGCAGTTTGTATTTCTGTAGGATCGGTAGTGATATCCCCTTTATCATTTTTTATTGCATCTATTTGATTCTTCTCTCTTTTTTTCTTTATTAGTCTTGCTAGCAGTCTATCAATTTTGTTGATCCTTTCAAAAAACCAGCTCCTGGATTCATTAATTTTTTGAAGGGGTTTTTGTGTCTCTATTTCCTTCAGTTCTGCTCTGATTTTAGTTATTTCTTGCCTTCTGCTAGCTTTTGAATGTGTTTGCTCTTGCTTTTCTAGTTCTTTTAATTGTGATGTTAGGGTGTCAATTTTGGATCTTTCCTGCTTTCTCTTGTGGGCATTTAGTGCTATAAATTTCCCTCTACACACTGCTTTGAATGTGTCCCAGAGATTCTGGTATGTTGTGTCTTTGTTGTTGTTGGTTTCAAAGAACATCTTTATTTCTGCCTTCATTTTGTTATGTACCCAGTAGTCATTCAGGCAACCTACAAAATGGGAGAAAATTTTCGCAACCTACTCAGCTGACAAAGGGCTAATATCCAGAATCTACAATGAACTCCAACAAATTTACAAGAAAAAAACAAACAACCCCATCAAAAAGTGGGCAAAGGACATGAACAGACACTTCTCAAAAGAAGACATTTATGCAGCCAAAAAACACATGAAAAAATGCTCACCATCACTGGCCATCAGAGAAATGCAAATCAAAACCACAATGAGATACCATCTCACACCAGTTAGAATGGCGATCATTAAAAAGTCAGGAAACAACAGGTGCTGGAGAGGGTGTGGAGAAATAGGAACACTTTTACACTGTTGGTGGGACTGTAAACTAGTTCAACCATTGTGGAAGTCAGTGTGGCGATTCCTCAGGGATCTAGAACTAGAAATACCATTTGGCCCAGCCATCCCATTACTGGGTATATACCCAGAGGACTATAAATCATGCTACTATAAAGACACATGCACATGTATGTTTATTGCGGCATTATTCACAATAGCAAGACTTGGAACCAACCCAAGGATGACCATTCAATAAATGGTGCTGAGAAAATGGGCATGCCACATGCAGAAGAATGAAACTGGATCTCTATCTCTCACCTTATACAAAAACCAACCCAAGATGGATCAAAGACTTAAATCTAAAACCTAAAACCATAAAAAATTCTAGAAGATAACATCAGAAAACCTCTTCTAGATATTAGCTTAGGCAAAGAATTCATGACTAAGAATCCAAAAGCAAATGCAACAAAACCAAAGAATAAATAAATAGGACTTAATTAAACTAAAAACTTCTGCACAACAACAGAAATAATCAGCAAACAGACTACCCACAGGGTGGGAGAAAACATTCGCAAACTATGCATCCAACAAAGGGCTAGTATCCAGAATCAATGAGGAGCTCAAACAAATCAGCAAGAAAAAAAACTAATAATCACATCAAAAAGTTGGGAAAGAACATGAATATACATTTCTCAAAAAAAGATATATGAATAGCCAACACACATATGAAAAAATATTCAACGTCACTAATCATCAGATAAATGCAAATTAAAACCACAATGAGATACCACCTTACCCTTGCAAGAATGGCCATAATTAAAAGGTGAAAAAATGATAGATATTAGAATGAATGTAGTGAAAAGGCAACACTTTTGAACTGCTGGTGGCAATGTAAATTAGTGCAACCACTATGGAAAACAACATAAAGATTCCTGAAAGAACTAAAAGTAGATCCACCATTGGATCCAGCAATCCCACTACTGGGTATCTATCCAGAGGAAAAGCAGTCACTGTATGAAAAAGATACTTGCACACACATGTTTATAGCAGCACAATTTGCAATTGCAAAGATATGGAACCAACCTAAGTGCCCATCAACCAACCAATGAGTAGATAAAGAAAATGTTTTATATATATATATATATATATATATATATATATATATAAAACACGTATATATATGTATATATAAATGTGTATATATGTATATATATCCATGTTTTATATATAGGTTATATATATGTTATATATTTATATATATATATCCATGTTTTATATGTGTATATATATATAACATGGAATACTACTCAGCCATAAAAAGGAATAAAATAATGTCTTTTGCAACAACTTGGATGGAGCTGGAGGCCATTATTCTAAGTGAATTAACTGAGGAATGGAAAACCAAATATTGTATGTTTTCACTTGTAAGTGGGAACTAAGCTATGAGGACGAAAAGTCACAAGAGTGATATAATAGACTTTGGGGACTCGGGGGAGATGGTTTGGAAGTGGGTGGGAGATAAATAATTATTTATTGGATACAGTGTACACTGCTCAGGTGATGGATGCACTAAAATTTCAGAATTCACTTCTAAAGAACTTATCCATGTAGCCAAAAACTACCTGTATCCAAAAACTACTGAGAAATAAAAAGAAAAAAAAATCCTCAAATTTGCATAGAACCACAAGAGACCTTGAATAGCTATAGCAATCTTGAGCAAAAAGAACAAAGCTGAAGGCTTCACACTATCTGATTTCAAAATTTACCAAAAAGCTATGGTAAACAAAACTGGGTAGTACTCACATAGAGAGATACACATAGACAAATGGAATAGAACAGATAATCCAGAAGTAAATCTACACATTTACAGCCAACTCACTTTCAAAAAAGCACCAAGAACATATATTTGGGAAATGATGGCCTCCTTAAAAAATGGTGCTGGAAGAATTGGATATTCATACACAGAAGAATGAAACTAGATTCCCATCATTCGCCATATACAAAAATCAACTCTGAATGTATTAAAGATTTAAGTGTAAGAACTGAAACTATTAAATTACTGAAACATTAAGGAAACACTCCAGGACATTGGTCTGGGCGTAGATTTTTTGGGTAAGGCCTCAAAAGCACAAGCCACTAAAACTAAAATAGACAAATGGGATTTTATGAAGATAAAAAGCTTCTTCACAGCAAAGAAAACAATTAAAGTGAAGAGACAACCTACAGAAGGAGAGAAAACATTTGCAAACTATCCACCTGACAGGAGATTAATAACCAGAACGTATAAGGAATGCAAATGACTCAATAATAAAACAAACACATAATCTGATTAAAAATAAATAATAACCTGAATAGACTTTTCTCAAAAGAAGACATGCAAATCACCAACCAGTATATGAAAAAACACTCAACATCACTTGTCATCAGGGAAATACAAATCAAAACCACAGTGAGATATTATTTTACCCCAGTTAGAATGGCTATTAACAAAAAGACAAAAAGCAGTAAATGTTGGCAAGGATGTGGAGAAAGGGAAACACCTGTGCACTGTTGATAGGAATGTAAATTAGCATAGCCACTATGGAGAACAGTATGGAAGTTTTTCAAAAAGCTTAAATGAGATCTACCATGAGATCTAACAATCCCACTGCCTAGTATATATTCAAAAGAAGGGAAATCAATATATCAAAGAGGCATCTGCACTCTCAAGTTTATTGCAGCACTATTCACAATAGATAATATATGGAATTGTCAACAGATTGTCAACAGATGAACAGATAATGTGGTATATATGCACAATAGGATATTATTCATCCATAAGAAAGAATGAAACCTTGTCATTTTCAGTAACACAGATAGAGCTGGGATCATCATATCAAGTAAAATAAATCAGGCACAGAAAGATAATTATTGCATGTTCTAACTCATATGTGGGATGTTATAAAGTGGATTTCACTGAGGTAGAGAGTAGAATGATAGTTACCAGAAGCTGGGAAAGGAAGGGGAATGAGGGAATAAAGAGAAGCTGGTTAATGGGCATTAAAATGCAGTCAGATAGAAGGAATAAGTTCTAATATTTGATAGTGCAATATAGAAATTGTAGCTAAAAATGGTTTGATGTATATTTCAAAATAGCTAGAAGAGAAAACTTTCAATGTTTCCAACAGAAAAGAAAGACAAATGTTTGAGGTGATGGATATCCCAGTTAACATGATTTGATCATTGCTTATGGTATACATGTGCCGAAATATCACATGTACCCCAAAATATATACACTATGCTGTATTAATAAAAATATAAAATTTCCCTTAAAAAGCTGAAATGGCTAATTAGTATCAGAGAAAGCAAACTTTATAGCACAATGAGGGAAAAACAGGGATATCACCTAATGATGAACAAGTTAACTCACCAACGAGAGAAAACAATCTTAAATGTGCATGCACTGAAAACAGAGGTTCAAAAAATGAAGCAAAACCTGACAAAACTTAAAATAGAAATAGAGAAACCCACCATTATAATAAGAGATTTTAACACTTCTTTGAACTGGTAGAAGGAAAATCAGCAGGAATATAGAACTGAATACCACCATCAACCACCTAGACACAATTAATATTAATAAAACACTCCACCAAATAACAGCAAAAAACACATTCTTTTCAATGGCACATGAGAGGTTCACTAAGGTATGTCCTATCCTGGGTCATAAAACAAATGTGACAAATATAATGTAAGCCATATTCTCTGATTGTAATGGAATTAGACTACAACTTTCTAACAGAAAGATAACAGAAACATCTCCAAACACTTAGAAATTATATAAGATATCTCTAAGCATTCAATGGGTCAAAGAGGGAGTCTGAAAGGAAGTTACAACATAGCTGAACTAAACGAAAATGAAAATATAATGTATAAAATTAGTGGGATGAAGCTGAAAAAGTGCTTAAAGGGAAATTGGTAGGATTAAAGGCTTACATTAGATAAGAAGATATGTCTCATTAGAAATTTAAATTTGCACATTCTGAATAGAGAGAAAAGTAAAAGTAAAAACCCAGATAACGTAGAAGAAAGGAAATAGTAAAGATAGGAGTAGAAATGAATGAGACAATAAAAATACCCCATCTCACCACTTCTATTTAAAATTGTACTTCAAGTTCTATTAAGTGCAGTAAGGCAAGAAAAAGAGACAAAGTTATACAGATTGGAAAGTGGAGAAAATCCTATTGTTATCTGTAGATAACATGTTTTATCTACATAGATAAACCTTCTAGAACCAACAAATGAGCTTAGTAAGATGTACTAGGCCATTCCTGTGTTGATATAAAGGAATACCTGAGACTGGATAATTTATAAAGAAAAGAGTTTGTTTAATTGGCTCATTGTTTTGCAAACTTTATAGGAAGCGTGGTGCTGGCATCTGCTTCTGCTGTGGCCTTAGGAAGCTTACAATCATGGCAGAAGGTGACAGAGAGCCAGCATGTCACATGGCTAGAGCAGGAGCAAGAGAGAGAGAAGGGGAAGGTCCCAAACTAGTTGAGTGAGAAGTCACTTATCACCAAGGGGATGGTAGTAAACCATTCATGAGGGATCCGCCCCCATGATCTGATCACTTTCCACCAGGCCTCACTTCTAACATAGGGAAATGTTTGGATTCTAAGATTTAGGAGTCCATTTGAGGTCCTTGAAGGAGTGTGCAGAGAGGAGGATAATCTTTCCAGGGCTGTAAAATGGACTAGAGGGGAGGACAGGGCTATGATGGCATGTAGCCCTGTTAAGCTTTGTAGCACTGATCATGGACTTGTGTACCCACCTCCAATCTCATATGTCTCCCTTACCATTCAGTATAAATTGAAAATATGAACCATTTTTTTATTCAAGTTGGGGGCACTTCCTCCATGGATTATTTGGAAAATAATATTACTGTCTATTATAGTGCATCTCAGTGTCCCCTGGAAAGAAAAATACCTGCTTCTTGCCCACCAGCAAGGCTGAACTTCTGGAACCCTGAAGGGAAAGGAGCCACGTTCAGAACATGTACTTGAAAAATTTAGGGAGAAAATGCTGCTCCCTAACTCATCTAGTAGGTGACTATGTCCTCAGGTACTTAGAATCCTTATTTAACATGTAATCTTCATAGTTTGGGATGATCTCAGTCATAATTCACACATAGTGGCATGACTGGAAGCTGGTGTGTGTGGGTTGTGTATTTGTGTGTATTTACACATTCATGTGTCTGTGGTGCATGTATGTGTGTCCTTTAAAGAGGCTGGGGATGAGGGATAATAAATTTGCCTGGTTCCCCTCTGATCTCTGGGAATCTGACTATTGCAGTGGGAACTGCAGGCTAAGCTGGGGAGATTGAAGAGAAGAGACAAAAGAGACAAGTTTTTTTGTTTGTTTGTTTGCATTAAAAATTGAGCATATAGCAGGTTGTCTTGTTTGCATGAGGAATAGAGGTGGTGGTGGGGACAGGTGAGAGAAGAGGATAATTTTTAATACCTTTTTGTAGGACCAGTTTAAATCACCTGAAACTATTCTAAGCTTTCCCATGAGATGAATACCAGTTTTTTGACAGATAACACACACAATGATAGCTTCTGCTTTCATTTCCTGTAACAAATAATGCATCTTTCTTTTCTCCAAGTTCCATATAATAAAACAAAGAACCTGCCATGTTGCAAAAAAGTGTGATGAGGGACAAGTGAAGAACATCAAAAGGGCCCATGAGCAGGTCTGGGTCTAGGGACAGAGGTGAGGAAGAAGATGCCACAGAATGTGGAGAAGCTGAGATGGTGTGTGATGGCTTAGGGAGCTCTGCTACAATGTCCTCACCAATAGGTGCTAGAAACAGCCAAAGTTTAATTATTTCTTTCCTCTCTGTTAAGATTGTGACAGTAAAATGAAACCTTTGCATGTGAGGTGCTTAGCAATGGATCTGACACATTCTAGGTCCTTGATCAATTGCCCCAGGGGGTCAGGAGAGGAAGGAGCCAAGGATAATACCCAGGTTCCTGGATGGGGCCATTTGCTGAGAATGAGAACACAGAAATAGGCTAGAAGGTAAAGATAAAGCAGTGAACACACTGAGCGTGAGGTGCCAGTGGAGACGTCTAGTAGAGAGCTGAATGCAGGGTCTGATGCTGAGCAGAGGGTAGGGGGTGGAGATACAGACGTGGGCATTAGCAGCATGGGAATGAACATTGAAAGTAGGGAAGTAGATGTCCTAGTGAGAACACAAAATATGAGATGAAAATCGGCTCATGACAAGACCCAGTGCTTGAGGGGAGCATGGAGGTGCAGAAAGAGGAAGCAGCAAAGGAGCCAGGATCCAGGAGAGAGTGATATCAGGGAAACCAAGGAAGAGAGTTCTCAGAAAGAGAAAGAGAAAGAGGTCAACAGTGCCAAATGCTGGGAGGTTCCTGGTCACCTGGTGGAGTTCTCAGGGGTACTTGCTGGTGGAGGAAGTCCGAGGATTCAGTGTCTTGGAGCAAGTGTAGAAGTCTAGCTGTGACATGGAAGATGAAGAAACAGGAGATAGTTGCAGGGTGAGGTTAAGGGGATGCTGAGAGGGGAGAGTCCTGAGAATGTTTAAGGGCTGTAGCAAAGGAGTGAGCAGGGTCCATGGAACACACCAGAGAAAGGGGAGCTGCATCAGAGATCAGTGTTCCTGAAACAGTGGGAGGAAAAGGGACTTGAACCACAGGAGAAGGCACTCACTTTAGATAACAGGAGCACATTGCTTTGTGTGGGGACAGGAGAGAGTTAGGACAGATGAATATAAAGGCGGGTCAGTGGGAAGTGTGCTGGTAGGAACTTGAAGACATTACTTTCTACTGTTCATTTTTCTCTGAAAAATGGGAGGTTCTGTCATTTGTCATGAGTGATAAGGTAGGTTGGTGTCTTAGTCTGCTCAGGCTGCCATGACAGAACACCATAGACTGAATAGGTTAAACAACAGAAATTTATTTTTTCACAATACTGGGGGTTGGACATCCAAGATCAGGGAGCCAGCATGGTTGGGTTCTGGTGAGGTCTCTCTGGCTTGCAGATGGCTGCCTTCTTACTGTGTGCTCATATGGTGGCTAGAGAGTGATGGGGGTGGGCTGGGGGTGGGTGGGGGGGAGAGAGAGAGAGAGAGAGAGAGATTCGTCTTATTAGAGACCACTAATCCCATCACAAAGACTCCACCCTCATGATCTCATCTAATCTAATTACTTCCCAAAGGTCTGATCTCCAAACACCATCACACTGGGCTTTAGGATCCAATATATGAATTTTGGGAGGGGAGGATAATGCATTTCAGTCAGTCCATAGCAGATGGAAGTTTGAGAGAATGTGAGAGGCAGTCAGCAGAAAGATGAAAATGTGGGCTCTGGATTCAAACTACCTGGATTTAAATCCTGGTTCTGATACTTCCTAGTTGTGAGGACTTGAGAAATGACTTAGTCTTTCTATGTCTCTTCCTTCATAATTTGTAAATGGGGATAGTGACATCTATCTCACAGAGTGCTTATGAGGATTAGATGAGTTAAAACATGCAGAATGATTAGAAGAGTCATGGCGCATAGGAAGCACTCAATATGTGATAGCTATTATTAGTTTATATTATCTTTAGCTGTCATGCACTTAACTGATTGTTGAATGGTGTTAACATTTTGTTCTGGTTAGGTATCGTGAATTTGTGATAGGTCATCCAGAAGACTGGTGTTCTGTTAGGCAGTGTGAGTGTTGTGCAGAGGTTGGATCAATACAAGGTTCATGATTTGCTAAGTAGGTAAGACCTGGTGGTAGTGAAACAGAGGTATTTAGGAGCCTGGCTGGAATGTTTGATGTGCTTATCTGTGAGGTTTTAGCAGGGTAGTAAAAGAGGTGTGCTAGATATAGTGAGCAGGTACTCAATGGAGTTCCTCTACCCTGGAGGCAGTAAAGCGAACCCCACATTTACCAGGCTCTGCGGCAGCTGGGGCTCTGAATGTGATTTAAACTTCATTGTCAGAGGTGGGATTGGAGGTTGGAAGTGAGGCAGAAGTCACCCTTTTGCTTTATCTGCCCTTCTGTGTTAAGGACAGCGATGGTGTCACTGGATTTTCTGCCATAGCAGAGGCCCACATGTGTCTCTCTATATCTGTGGGTGTCGGGAGAAAAGGTGTTGGTCTTTGATTTTTCTTGAATCAATGTGCATTTAGAAGGTACTGCATGGCTCTGCAGCCAGCAGTGCTGGTGGTGACTTCCTGACCCTGAATCAGAGCTGGTTATTTGCAGCCAAGTATCCTAGTTGATGCAGTCATGGGTGCTGATGTCATGCAGGGTGAGTACAGGAATTTGGCTAGAGAAAATGTCTGAGTTTGTTTTTGGTGAGAAGTGACCAGGGGGTTGGTAGATAGATAACTGCAATAAGGAGGTGTAGAGTGTGATATAGTCAGACATATCCTCAAAGGACTGGGTATCAAACATTTTGTGGAGAAACTGTGACTGGATACAACAGAGAAGAGTAAAGAAGGCTTGACTACCTCTCTATCCTAAAATATGTGAGTGTGATAAAATGATTAACAATCTTTTGAGAAGTTCAACGGAGAGAGGGAGAGACAGTCTCCAGTTAAGAATAACCCTTTTTACATTTATTCAAAAAAATTTAGTTTTGTGCATTGTATCTTTTCTTCTTCAGTTATGTTTTATATTTGGTTGTAATATATCATGTATTTTAATATGTTGACCTTAAATTCAGGACAGTTAAATGAATTCTGTTATGTAAATATTATATATTATATTATTAATGTTTATATTAAGCTGATATTAATACAATTCAGGTACATATAAATTAATATGTCAATTGTAATCCCCAGGAAAACCACTTAGAAAATAACTACAAAATATACAGTATAAGAAAGGAACTAAAATGACACCATACAAAATAATTGTTTAATACGAAAAAGGTGACAATGTAGGAATAAAGAATTATAATAATTATAAACATACATATACGCAACTAACAAAAGAGCCTTAAAAGATGAGGCAAAAACTGACAGAATCAAAAGTATGAATAGATAATTCAACAATAGCAATTTAAGACTTTAATAAAACAATTTCAATAATGGCTAGAAAATCTATTCAGAAAATAGAAGACAATAGAATACCCTAAACCAGTTAGACCTAACGGAAGTTTGTTGAACACTTCATCTTTCTTCTTTTGAACTGCTTGTTCGCTATTGAGCTAATCACACATTCTTTTCAACTGTACATGGAATGTTCTTTCAAAAAGACAACATATTAGGCCATAAAACTTTATTTCATAAGCTTCAATAAACTTAAAAAGTGTGAAATCATACAAAGTATGTTCTCCAAAGCCAATGGAATGAAATTAGAAATCAGTAACAACAAGACATTGGGAAAAATCACACATCTATGAAAATTTAAAAATGAGCTCTTCAACAACTAAAGCGTCAAAGAGGAAATAACAATGGAATTAGAAAATACTTTGAGATGAAAAAGTCTGGAAACACAACATACCAAAACTTACAGGATATATTGAAAGCAGTATGCAGAGGGCAGCTTATAGCTATTAATGCCTATGTTAAACAAAAGGAAAGATCTTAGATCAATATCTTAACCTTCCAACTTAAGAATCTAGAAAAAGAATAGCAAACCAAACCCAAAGCAAGCAGAAGGAAGAAAATATAAAGATTAAATATTCCATTGTATGCATATACTACAATTTGTTAATTCATTCATTAGATGATGAACATTTCCGTTATTTTCACCTTTATTATGAATAATGTCATGTTTTTATATAAATATGTTTTCAATTTTGTTGGAAGTTTACCAGGGAGTGGAATTGCTCAGTCATGTGTGAGCTATATGATTAACATTTTGAGAAACTGCCAAACTGCTTTCCAATGTGGCTGCATCATTTCACATTCCCTTCAGCAATAAATGAGGGTTCTGATTTTTCCACATGCTTGTCAGCATTTGGTATTGTGTGACTCTTAAATTATAATATCATGGTAGATATAAAGAAGTATCTCATTGTGACTTTGATTTTCATTTCTTTAATAGCTAATGATGTGAAATATTTTTTCACCTCATTTGAGATATGTCTATTCAAATTATTTGCTCATTAAAAAATATTGAGTTATTTATGTTCTTATCATTTAGGTATAAGAGCTCTTTATATTTTCTGGATAGTAGACTCTTATAAGGTATATGATTTGCAAATATTTTGTTCCATTTCCTGGGTCATCGTTCACTTTCTTGATAATGTTCTTTGCCGCATATAAGTTTTTAGTTTTGTTGAAGTCCAATTTATCTGTTTTTAGTTTGGTTGTTTGCGTTTTAGACATCATATCTAAGAAACTACTGCCTAATAAACAAATAATTTCATTCATGAAAGTTTTCAGCTATGTTCTTCTTAGAGTTTTTTAGTTTTAGCTCTTACAATCTAGTCTTTGATACATTTTGAATTAATTTTTGTTTATGGTATAAGGTATGTTGTATTTTCAAGGTTTTTTAAAAAATCTTAAAAGGGTTTTCTAATTCCACTGTGATTTCTTCTTTGACACATTGGTTGTTGAAGAGTACCTTTTAAAATTTTCACAGATTTGTGATTTTCCCAAACTTCTTAACATTATTGATTTCTAATTTCATCCTATTGAATTGTTCTGTCACCCTTGTTGAAAATCAATTGACTATTGATGGGTGGATTTATTTCTGGGCTTTCAATTTTATTCCTGTTATCAATCCTCATGTCAGTGCTACATCATCTTGATTATTTTAGCTTTCTGCTGAGTTTTGAAATTGTGAAGCGTATCTTCTGTCTTTATTCATATATTTATGTGGGCATAAAGGAAGTCTAAAAGTTGAAACAGTTAACAGAGGTTATTTTCTGAGATTTTTTTTTGTATCATCAGATTCTCTGTAATATTTAACAGAAAAAGAGTTTGTCTATCACAGTTTTTTAGCACACAAGTGACATGGTCAGTGCTGTGCTTCAAATGGATAAAGCCACATTATGTCAACAAGAGGCTTGTTATCTTGGTAACCAGTTACAGTTTTTATGTCCATTCTCCCCTTTTAGCATTCTATTGTGTTGAAACAACCCCTTCAGGATCTTTATTGAAATCACTCTTAATCATCTCTGGATTTGTGTAGACAGTACAGGCAAAGTGAACTTTTGGTCTAACTGATCCAAATGAACAATCCTTTGAATTGCTAACAACCCTGGCTGTTCATTAGAACACATGCAGAGTTTTTTTTTTTTTTTTTTTTTTTTTTTTTTGAGATGGAGTCTTGCTCTGTCGCCCAGGCTGGAGTGCAGTGGCGTGATCTCGGCTCACTGCAAGCTCTGCCTCCCAGGTTCATGCCATTCTCCTGCCTCAGCCTCCTGAGTAGCTGGGACTACAGGTGCCCGCCACCATGCCATGCAGAGCTTTTAAAAACACAGATGCCTGGACCCTATCCCCAAACTGTGGATCATCTGTGTTTCTTAAAAAGTCAATATGCAATTCTCATGCATAATTGCACTTGAGAACTCAAACGTGGTTTTCATGGAATCTTCATAAAATTCAAATGGGAATGTATGTAGCAAGGAGGGGCTGCCACATACATAAGACACAGCTTGTCTTCCAAGACAATCCTCAGCATGTCCTCAGTGTACAACACAATAATTAATGGCTGAGGAAGGAATGAATGAATGATGAGAACCCACAGGTTGGCCTTATACTGGTGTGTTCACCAAGGTTCTGAGTCTGACCCTCAGACCCTGAGACTGAGCCTAGTGGCTCCATGCTCCATCAAATAATGTCCAAAGCTGACCTGTCTTGGGGATGCAAAATCTTGCTAACAGATGTGATAGACTATGAATAGATGAGTCCAGAATGCATATTTATTAATTGACAGTAAGAAGTATACTTGTCAACGTGACTGGATATTTCTGTTACCCTAACCAGTGCACCCTCTTTCCAAAGACAGACAACATGGGAAACTAAGACATCCATAAGTTGCTTGGAGAGCTGGGAGTCAGGGCCAGTGAGCAGATGCTGCTAGTGTGGATTCCACCGACAATCTGGAGTCTGAGCTTTTCTTGTACATTGTAGGACTTACCGGATCAGGGCAATACGACTTACGGGATCAGTGCAAAATAATCTCCTCCAGCTTAACAGGGCACTTTATTTGTCTCTGTCACTTACCTTTCTTTGTGCTTCATTTCTTATTATCTGTCTTTCTGATTGACATATTGTTTCTTAGGTCATGTGAGATTAAGTCTTACCCTGGATTGTAAACTAGAATTTCTATACCTCTCCTGTGATCTAGCTATACAGAATTACATTTAACTGCTAAAACACAAACAAACAAACAAAACCACCCAACCATATTTCCCTTACTTCCAAATTCTTAGTAAAGGGAGTGGAGGAGGAGGACATCCCTCAGTGTATCACATACCATATAGTACCTGCTGAATCACCAAACTGCATTGGTAAACAGACCCAGTGAGAAAAACTGTGAACTGGTGAATGGGATTCTGTAGCTCTCAAGGTTAGAATCTTCACCAGATTTATCACTTAGCCTTTGAGCAAGCTGCTCTCACATATGAAATAGCCAAACAACACCAAGAACAAACTCTAAGAGATATAATATACAATTAACATCTATTTAGTGTAAAATGCTCACTAAATGAACAATTTCTAGAAAAACATACATTATTTAAATTGATTTACATGTGTGTATAAACCTCAAAAAACCAACACAGGAAATATTGTAAAACTTATATTAGTCTTTCCTCTTTCAAGCACGTAAGGACCAAATCCTACTGACAGTGGATTCACTCAAACTTGTAATGAATAGATCATTTTTGTAATAACAAATACAATGTATATCTTGGCAGAAGATAGAAAGCTTTCATTTGTGGTTCAGAAAACTTGATGAACAAGGAATAAAGTCCCATCCAGTTGTCAAGGCTGCTTGGGTAGTTCTTACTCCCCTTCTGCTGGAAACTCTTTCCTGGTGTTAGACTTCCAACTTCCCAAGGAGCCCGAGGAGCACAAGGCCTTTTGCAAGCATCGTCCACAGTAATGGGAATAAGAGTGAAGTTCCAGTCCCTGTTGGGTCAGACACAGAGCAGGGAGAGAGAGGCCGCTGGGTAACTGGGTCCTGGGGCTGCCATGCTTCCTGCAGGGGACTGGCTCAGTACCAGGCACTCTGCTCCACCTGACAGTTTGTGGCTGGGAATAAGTCTATGTGATTTTTGTCAAAGAGAGTTACCTAGAATCTAAGAATGTGCTGTTGGAAGGAAACTTACCATAAAGTCCTGCCCCCTTCTGCACTTATAACACCCCTATCAAATGGCCATGGCCGTGCTTATGCCCCACCAATGACAGGGACCTCAGTGTGTCCTAAGGCTTCCATTCCATTTTTGTATGACTCTGACCACATAAAGATCTTCTCTAATATTATGAGTTAAAACTTGCCTTTCTGTAATTTCTTCATGTTTCCCGGTTGAAATCACTTGCTACAAATATGACTCCTCACACACTCAGTGGCTGTTCAAGTAGGATTCAGAGCAAAGCAGAGGTAAGTGCCTAGTATAGCTGCTCTTTTCTCTTCCTAAAACCCCTGATTCCATTCCTTCCCCGGGTAGTTTCCTGGGGCATATGCAAATTTTTACTATTGGTGGGTCTTCCCAGCTGGCATTTATTGTCGAGAGGTGGCAAGGTTGGCATGAGATGGTCAGCACAACTCCCCTTCCCCCAGTCTCCAGGAAAAGAAGTGTCTTCTAAGCTGAGTATATTCACCTTGCTTGGCACATTTTTGAGCCCAACATACTTCCCCAAGGTTTTTGGTGGCAGTTTTCTGGTCCACGTAGTTGCTGACCACACAAGTGAGGCTGGCATTGAACTGGCTCGGGGGCAGGCTCACAGCCAGAATCCATGGGTTGGAGGCTGGTCCTAGTGTCCCTATCTGCTCCAGCTCCTGGGGAGGCCCTGGCTCTCTCAGGTCACGTTCAGGTCATCTGTGGTCCCTGGAACCCTTCACTCCATGGTGATGTTGCACCAGCCTGGTGTAATGGATGATGACTCAGCCAGGATCTGGGGGAGGGGCACAGACTCTGGGAAGGAGGAAATAAAATAATAATTATTATAATTCTAAGGCATGTTCTTCATTGATTATCTAACTTAGTTTCAGAGCACCTTGATGAGCAGGCAAGATATTTCACAGCCAAAGAAACCAAGATTTGAAGAAGTAAAATAGTTTGCCCAAAGTCATATCCTGAGAAAGTGATACAGAACCCCAGATTTAGAGAAGGTGTAACAGCCAAAGTCTTGTAGCTTCCTCCACCACTTCTGTGTCCCCTGCCTGTACTACACGCAGCTGAATCCACATTCATTGCCCTTCAAATGCCTCATCAGATCCTTTACAATCCTCAGAGAACTTGGAGGGTACAATAAAACCTCTTGGGAAAATGCCTTCCACTGAAGAATTTGCAAAGCTAGTTCTGAAAACTGGGTTTGAGACTCTTAAGCTCTCATTTATATTGAAGGCATAAAAACTTAGGATTTGGTGATCATGGGAAAAAAAGTTCTTTGGAAAGAGCTCTGCTATGGGTCCCCTCCACACCCCATGGGTACCTACCCTTCACCTCAAGCCTGGTGAGAGTGGCATCAATAAGACCATTCAGAGAACTTGATGTGTGTCCCCTGCAGCTTGGGGATGCACTGGACAGGTGCTTGACTCACATCTGAGCCTATGGCCGCAGAGTCAGGACTACCAGTGGGGAAACTGCATCCAAATTGAGGAGTCAAATGAAACTGCTTTTCATCTGCTGGACACGGGACCTTAAAAGAATTTGTCAAGAGGGTCACTTGAAGGAGCAATAGAACCCTAGTAGGGAAAGTCTGTATGAAAACGGACCAGCTGGGAAACAGGGGCCAAAGAGAGAGTCATCAGTGGTCACACTGAGAGTGCATTGTGAATGACAAAGTAGGTGACAGATTTGCAGCATGGGTGAAAAAGGCTATCTATCCAGGGAAGCTATGAAAATGCCCTGGGGGAGAAAGAATTAGCCTGCACACTATCAAGCCCAGAGAACCAACTGATGACCACGTAGAACTACTCAGGAAAGCCTTTCCCATCTCTTTCATCTCCATCCTCTTTACTGCTTCTCCCTGCCTGTCCTCATGGAGTTGGGGGAAGGAGGTCCATCTTTTGGCTCTTCTTCACCTTTGTAGGTGTTTGCAGGGAATTTTATCCTGGTCTTTGGGTATCACTCTCCACATCTGCTGCTGATGGGACTGGTCCTGCTTGGCTGGGGCTGGGGTGGGCAGGTGCTGCTGACACCTGTGGTTCCTGCCACAGCCTTTGTAATGAGGTTCATGCTCTCTGATATTCCTTATTTGAGCTCAGGCTTCTTCTGGCTCAGGACCCCTCTCAGTAATTCATTTCTCTATGGAGGCCCAAGAGAACTGCAGAATCTCCCAGCATCATGCACAAGCTGAGGAGAACTTGTAGCACTTCTAGAGGCCCTTGTTCTTCTGAAACATACCATGCCCCAATTTCTGCTCAACAGGGCCCCCTGGGAGGAGGCCCTGCCCTCCCTTGTCAAAGGTAAGTGGGACCTAATCCCCGTCTTTGTTTTTCCTGTCAACCTATCTGGAGGTCCTATCACCTGGCCTGCTCTGTTACCTTCTGCCCCACAGCGCCCTCTGTTGAGTCCTAGGAAATGGTGATATCAAGTCCCTTCTGAGTCATAATCAGAGTCTCAACTTTAGGCATTTCTTCAATGCTTACTTAGATACAGAACATTATATATAGATGGTGGAAAATTACTCATATACATATCTTACCTAGCATTTTTTAATTTTGTGACTTGGAAGAACTCTATCCTCTGAATCTGCAATCTTTGGTTTGGAACACACAAATCTATTTTTTTTTCTATCAATAAAATTTAGTTCTTGCCCATTTTGGCAGTCAAAAGGTGAACACTGAGTTCTGCATTCTCAGTAGGGTTCTAACCTCTGCCTGAAGTAATGGCTGACTGCATCCCAAATGTTGTATGCTTGTGGGCAATAAGAATTACAGAAATGGAAAAGATACTTTGGAAACTTCCAGAGAAGAAGGCACTTGAACTGACACAGTAAGCCCCTCCTAACACTCTGACCACACAATAGTGTTTGATAAAAACATAAAAAAAATTTTAATTATGTAACTTAGGTTCAGGAAAACTCCAGGTACAGAAACAAGAGGGAACTCCATGCTAAGGAGGTGAGTGGGATTTGAAGTTCTGGAGACCCAAGAAGTTATCAGAACCAGAAGCAGAGCTTAGACGCCCATGTTTATATCCCTACATGAGGATGAAGTCTAGGCTGTGCTTGTGCTTGTAGTGAAGCTGCGCAAAGCCAGATGAGGGGTTGGGGTGGATATAGGAGAACGAGTCTGTCTTCTCATTTAGGAAACCAGGTTGGGGAATGCCACCTGTCCTGTCTTAAAGATGGAATCTGTGAGAAATTGGAATCCAATCCTGCACAGTGCATGAATGTGGACATTAATTTTCACTTTGTGCTAGAACTTTGAGCCCAGAAACAACCTTAAAAATAGATGAAACCTATAGGACCCCAGCAGTGGAAACAATAAACCCATGAGGAGACTTCCTCATCTCAGGGCACAGTGTGGGCTCTTGTAAAGAACAATCACTGCTGAAGATATGATAACAGTAAAAAATTACCAACATGTTAGGAAATGCACAAGCTTCTGATAGAGAGTTAGCAAAGGCCACTAACCAGAAGTCTTAGTCTGGCAACCACAATTAACAGAGAAATTTGCAACGGAGCTTCAGAAAACCATGCTTAAACTCTAGAAAGAGCTAAAGGGAGAAGTCAAGCCTGTAATACAAAACAAAACATTTTGAAGAAAAAACAGGCAGGAGGGAATGAGAAGGAAAAATCTTAAGCGAAGAAACAGGTAAAAGACATGGCAAATATTAAAAAGTATTGATGGTAAATATATATCTATATAGTCAGATAATATTTCAAACTTACTTACTCAGTAGGGAAGTAAATCCAGGGAGTCATAACTCGGGAGCCTGTGCCTGTCAGAAGTGGACCTCTATTGACTGAGAATATCTCACTAAGGGCCACAGTGGGATCAGGTGCCTTCAGGAACCACTGGGGCAGGAGATGCTCTATCCCCAGCGATGGAAGCAGAAGGCTTGCTTAGCCCCAGACACCTTCTCTAGACATGGGCTCCTCACTTTTCCCAAGGGTCTTTAGTCATTTCTTATACACATTGTTTTCTTGGAAGCATTGATTGTATCATAAATATTATATTATTAATTTTCTGTTTTTTAAACTTATTGATTGTTCTAACTCAGATCTTCATTTGGCACTGGTTTTGCCTATGATTGGGTCAGCTATCAACCTGAATAAATATGTTATACACTATAGACAAAGATAAAATTGTACAATAGACAGAGGTAGAAAAGATAGGTTATCTACAAAAGAATGAAAGGAAAATTACAACACAGCAGGATTATAAATGTATAATGTCATTAGACATTATACATTCAATTCAATTAATCTTTGAATTATATATTCAATTGAACTATTACTCAACAAGGATAAAATAAAAAGATTTCCAGGCAAATTAAAACTGAGAATGCACACTACCGTTAGATAAGCACTAAAGAACTTCTTCATGACAAAGAAAAATGGTCCTAGAAGGAAAGTTTGAAAAGGGATAAGAAATAGTGAGCAGAGAAATTGGCAAACAGGGAATAAGTCCGAACACTGATTTCATAAAAAAAAAAAAATTTATAACTGTGGTAGTGGAAATACAGAAAAATAATATTGGATAAGACAAGAGGAAGATGAAAAGTTTGAAAGTGCTCCAAAGTCCTTTAATTTCTAGGAAGCGGATATAAAGAGATATTTATATAGGCTTTGTGTTAGAGATACATATAAAAATTTCAGGTCAAATCTCTACATGAATAGAAATACAGTGTATAAATTCCAAAAAAAGTAGAGAAAAAAATAGAATAAAGATTTAAATTTAATGAAGTTAGAAAAGAAAAATAGGTAAAACGTGACAAATAGAAGGAAATAATAAGGTGATAGAAATAATTCCATACACATCAGCAGTCACAATACCTTAAATGGGAAAAAGCTCACCAATTAGACACCAGAAATGAAGAGATTTGAGAGAAAGCTTTTATAAGAGACATGACAGAGTGAAAGGAGATTGTCTGAGTTCATTTGGGCTGCAGTAATAAAATACCGCAGACTGGGTAACTTATAAACAACAGAAATTTATTTTTCACAGTTGGAGGCTGGAAAGTCTAAGATCAAAGCACCCACAGATTCAGTGTCTGGTGAGAACTTGCTTTCTGTTTCAGAGATGGTACCTTCTCACTATGTCCTTACATGGTGAAGGGGGTAACTAGCTCTTTAGTGTCTCTTTTATGAGGGCACTAACCCCATTCATGAGATCTCTGCATGACCTAATCACCTCCCAAAGACCCTACCACCTATTACCATCATCTTAGGGGTTAAGTTTCAATGTATGAATTTGGAGAGGACACATATATTTAGACCACAGCATGGATCATATAATAATTCTTCATCTACTAGCAATGCGTAACAACAGTTGTAATAATATAGCCTTACAATATATAACACAAAATTGACAGAATTGCAAGAACTGAAAAACAAATCTATTTTCACAGTAGGGGATCTTAACAGGAATCTCAGTAATTGAAAAATACACATAAAAATATATAAGGAGAAAAATTCTAATTTGATTTAATAGGTAAATACCAAAACTAACACTCAATAACTAAAGGAAGGATTTTATTTTCAGGTACAAATGGAACATTTATAAACATTGACTATCACTACTAGTAGTCCACAAAGCAAATTTCAATGAATATTAAATAGTACTCTCTTTCTTTTCCAACTATAATGTCAGTTGTTTCCTGTCTGTAGGGATAATGCTTCATATATCATCTGTGTCCTCCACAGCCTCTATAGCACAATTATGGACACTCAATAAATATCTGATTACTTTGCAATATGAAAGGGCAAATTTAGAGAGATTTAGCAAAGATCCAGAAGTCTTGAGATTTCTTGGAGTCTGTTGATAATCATTCCACTCCTAATGCACTAGCAGGAAGAAGAGCTCAAGATAGCACCAGAATCTGTCTAGAATAGACCCCTGCTCCCCACTTAAAGGAAAAAAGGAACTAAGGTGTAAGCAATGTCCCTACTCTACCCTCCTCTTTCTGTCTCCAATATCCCCTTTTACAAAAATTTACTCTGCACACAAATTTGGGATCTCAGGCTCCGTTTTCTGACCGTGTGAGCCACAGTATCTATCTCACACCAGAAGGACCATGAATCTTCACTCCGCATGGCACTGATCTGGAACTTCGGGGAGCTGCTCCAGCCTGATCCCAGGGTCTGGCCATCTCCGAAGAAGCAGAACTGGAGCTGGACTTCTGATCTCTCTAGAGAGAGCCGGGTCTCACAGATCAGGGTCACTGGGCTCCCTTTGGTGGGCTGGGAGGAGCTGGCTCTCAGCACTGGACGTGAAAACAGCTCTAGAGAGAAGAATCACAACAGGCCCAGAGCAATGAGGCTGAGATGTGCTCTGGAGAAAAACACACTTCAAGCAGCAGCACATCCAAAAGCAGGCAAAGAAACGGATGCCATCGATCCCTGACTTCCTTCAGCCCAAAGCAATACTGTACTTCTTTTGGTCCTTGTAGGAGTATACCCTGAGGTTTAATGGTATTCCAGCCCACCCTGTTCCTCCTGTTCTACCTCTGTGTCCCCAGGGAGTCTCCTTTTGACCAACTCACTTCACAAAATAATGAAGGCTTTACCTTGGACTTGGATTTTGACTATGTTGGAAGAAACAGAGAAATTACTTCCGTTAAATCCAGTAAAGTGATATGCACCATTGTCTTTGAGACTTGCGTGATGAATATGGAAGTCAGAGCTTTTATTAAGGAATGTCAGGACGTTACCATTCTTGTACATAGTATTCAGTGTTACTTCCGCCTTTGCCCGGCACCTCAGAACCACGAAGTCTCCTTCAAACACAGAAAGTGGAGCTTGCAGGATCAGCGAAGCTATGAGAAACACAACAGCAGTTATTTGGTTCATCTCATCGTTTCCCTTTTCCTCTCATTGTTTTTCAAAATAGACTGTATTTCAAAAAATGGGTTGGGAAAAAGGATTGTTACAATAATTATAATTTATTTTTTTCTGTTTAAACACTTGAGCTTTGAGAAAAGTTCAAAAGCAAAAAGTTGACAGGTAAAAATCATCTAATGTCTCACCAGCCACATTTTGGCATATGTTTTTCCAGTTTTCTCTTCCATCTTCATATACTTGACAGTCTATGTGTATTTTTTATGGAATGGGAATTATAATTATAGATTTGATAACTTGTTTTTCAATTAGTATATTATGAAAATTTTTCTGTGCTATTAATATCATTCCTGAATCTGACTTTCAGTGGCCACAAAATGTTCCCTAAATGGCCGTAACGTAATTTATTGAATGAGTCTTATTCTTGACCATTTACAGTCTGCAGTTTTCAGGGATGGACATCTATAATTGTTTCAGAAGGCAAATTCTTAAGAGAGAGATTGTTAAGTCAAAGAGCATAAGCATTTTATTTGTTCCTTGCTACCACACTGCTTCTTTTCTCACTAAATTAAAGGACTTTAGGATGACATGGTTTCAATTTCAAAACAGGTGGTTTTAGGGCAAAAAAAGGAAATGTCTCTTCCTTTATCTCTCATTCTCTCTCTACTTCTCCATCATCTATCTCTCTCTCTCACTTTTTCTTTCTCTAAATAGAAAATAATACTCCTGCTACTTATTATTGCAAACAAATAATATAGCTTAAAACTATACATAGATTCAGGAACCCTTCAAATAAATTACTCCTCAAATATTCTTTTACTAAAGCAGCTTGCAAAAATACAAATTCCTGGGCCCTACTCTCATAGCATTTTACTCAGTAAATATAGGGTAGGTCCTCAGTATCTGCGTGATTAATAAGCTGCACAGGATATGTGACACAAATTGATCTTTAAGAACCACGAGTTTAGAGACATTAATGCACTCAGTAGAAATTGCAGTGTTTGCATGGTTCATCCATGTAAACTTTAGTTGATATTTATGAGAATTATATCCGTCTAGATACACTACTTGAAGTCAGTGTCCCATGGGCTGAATGAGTTTTATACAGATAATTTAAATTTTCATCATTTTAATATTTAAACTTAAGCAGCTAATCTCATTCCCTGTCTGGTTGTATTCTGAGGTTTGTACTCTCTCCCTGTCTTACTACAGTGTGAAATAAAATTGTCCACTCACAAAAGGTCTGAAGCAAACTTACTCATGTAACCAAACAGCACTTGTTCCCCAAAACTATTGAAATTAAAAAAAAAAGAAAAACCCAGCTCTTCATTTAATAAAGTCAAACTTTGCAGAATTACCTAAGTAAAAATAAAAAGTTTTACCATTTTCTTTATTTTTCAGAAATTATCTTTGTTGAGTATTTGGTGATACTTTCTTGATCTTTTCTATGTGTAAGTACACTTATATAGACACATAAATAAATACATTAAAAGCACACATGTGCATGGGATCACAATAACATAGTGGTCTACAACCTGCTTTTTCCCCTTGGCAATATATTATGGGCATCTTTCTGTGGTATTACTTAAAGATCTAAATCACTAACTTTTAAAATTCATCTGTATTAAGGCATAATTTACACACAATAAAGTACAACTCTTAAATTTGCAACTTGATAATTTTGGATAAGTATTACCTGATTATTCTTAGCAATGACAAAGTATTCCATTGTATAGATATGCTATAATACATTTAAGCATTTTTCCATTAATGGATATTTGGGATGTTGCTGCTTCTTAAATGTCAAGTAATGTTGTTTTAAGTAATTCTGTAGATATATTATTGTATATTTACACATGCATTTCTTAGGATAAATTCTTAAACATGGAATTTCTGGGATGAAGTATACAAACATTTTAAGTAATATCATATATTGTCAAATTGTTCTTCTAAAAGACTGGACCTTTTAAAATACAAAAGTACAGGCAACAAAAGCAAACATTGGACAAGTGGGATTACATCAAGCTGAAAAGAATTTGCACAGCAAAGGAAACAATTAACAGAGTAAAGAGACAACTTATAGAATGGGAGAAAATATTTGCAAAGTATATGCCTGACAAGGTGTTAATATCCAGAATATATAAAGAACTTAAGGAACTCAACAGCAAAAAAAAGAAAAAAAAAGAAACGGATTTAAAAACGGGAAAAATACTTTAACAGACATTTCTCTAAAGAAGACATAAAAATAAACAACAGGTGCATGAGAAAACATGCCCAATATCACTAATTATTGGAGAAACACAAATCAAAACTCCAATGAGGTACCACCTCATTCCAGTTAGAATGACTGTTATCAAAATGTCAAAAGAAAACAAGTGTTGGTTAGGTTGTGGAGAGGAAGGAACCCTTACATTGCTGGTGGCATTGTAAATTAGTACAGCCACTAAAAGAAACAGCATGGAAGTTTCTCAATAAAATAAAAATAGAGCTATCATATTATCCAGCAATTTCACTGCTGGGTTGATATTCAGAGGAAATAAAGTTGCTATGTTAAAGAGATATCTGCACTCTGAAGTTTATTGCAGCACTATTCACAATAGCCAAGATGTAGAAACAATCTAAGTGTCCACCAACAGATGAATAGATAAATAAAATGTGGTATATATACACAATGGAATAGTATTCAGCCATAAAAAATAATGAAATCCTGTGATTTGTAGCAATATGAAAAGACCTGGAGGATGTCATATTTAATGAAATTAGCTAGGCACAGAAAGACTGATACTGCATAATTTCACTCATATTTTGAATCTAAAAAAACCAAAGTTGATATTATAGAAGCAGAGAGTAGAACAGTGGTTATCAAAGATTGGGGAGGGGAGAGGGAAGAGGAGGATAGGGAGAAGTTGGTCAATGTGTACAAAGTTATAATTAGGAGGAATAAATTCTGTTCTATTGGACAGGAGGGTGATGATGGTTAACAGTCAGGTACAGTATATTACAAAAGAGCTAGAAAAGAGGCTTTTGAATGTTTTTATCCCAAAGAAATGATAAATGCATGAGATGATGGGTAGAGTAAATCTCCTAATTTGATCATTATACACCATGTATGTGTATCAAAACATCACTTCTATAAATATATACAATTACAATGTGTCAATTAAGAAGAAAATGTTGAACCAATTTACACTTGTAATAATGGTGTACAAGAGTTTCTGTTTCTTCTTTCCCTGATCATTTATGGCCATATCAATGCACAGGTTTATTTTTATTATTTATTTTTTGTCAGTCCTAATATCTATGGTTGCTCGACCCGAAGAATTCACTTGTTCTATCCTATGTGACATTACAGGCTGCTAGTTGGTTTTCCATGGAATTTTAGTGAAGTATAAACCATTAATGATGAGTTACTGTTGCCAAAGTATTCAGAAATGATTTACAAAATGGAGATTTTGAAATCTGTCATTAATTTTTAAAAACTGTCCATTCTTTTTCAATTGTGAAATAATTCACAATTTACTCTGAAATAATAATAATCATGAGAAAATGATTGTTCCTTTGCTTCCTCTCCTTCCTCTGAACAAGTGATTATTCTTTGTTACATTTTTTTTTTATATTTTCAGTGTTTATAATAGTTACTTTCTATTCTGTGACCATAATTCGCACAGTTGATTAGCCTTTGTTTCTGTATCTAAATCAGTGGTTTCCAGTCTTGTTCACAGAATATTCTCACCTGAGGATATGTCAAAAAATATTGATTCTGTGGCCCCATCTGTGAGATTCTGAATTGAATTAGTCTGGAGAGGGGCTTAGTAATGTGTCTTTTGCAAAGTTCTTTGATGGTTCTAATGTGCAGCCAGGGTTGAGAGCCAGTCATAATGCGGTTTCCTCATTATGAGTCCTTTATATTCATTTACATCTTGTTGGACTAGATTTTGTCATTAGGTGATTTTTCAAGAAGGGTTAGTGCATTCTCATTTTCCTGAATCCCTGTATTTTTGACAACGCCTTTTTGATTTCATATAAAATTCTCAGTGGTTATTCCTCCCTTGGAGGTCCAAGTCTGGACATCATTCCTCTCTTTTTGGCACTGAGTGCTCTGCAAAGTCTAAGACTAACTTGATATTTTTCTTTCTGAGATGACTGTTTTTTCCCCATGATCATAAACACATACGTATATTTTTAACCTCAAAGTTCAATAACCTCATCAACACATATGTTCTGATCTACCTATTCAAGTTTTCTTTACTTCCCAACAATTTCTACTACATCTTTGAGTTTAATTTTACTCTTTGGTTCAATTTTCTGAGGGTCTCCATTTTAATTATCCACATAACTGGATAATTGGGGGGGGCTCCATTGTCTGATTTCCATATTATAATTTTTCCTTTATTTCTGTATCTTTCTACTTTGCATTCTGTATTGTTTTCTCAGATTGGTTCTTCATTCAATTAACAGTTTTCAAAGGTATCCATAAATCACAAATATTGACTGAGGACCTACTGTGTGCCAAACACTAAGTAGGCACAAGGATGTTGTGGAGACCAAGATGGATGCAGTTCTGTTCTCATGAATCTTACATTCCATTGGCATTAAGGGTAACAGTCAAGAAACAGAAAATAAAGAGGCTTAAGATGCTGCTAAACATGAGAAGAAAGTAAAACATGGACAAAAACATGGTAATGGGATACAGAATGCATGAAGTGTAGAAGCTTCCTAGATAGATTTGGCTCTGACTTTGGAGTAGTCTCAGAACATTTAAACTTTAAAAATAACCTCTTTACTCAACAAGTTATACCACGAGCATGTCTGACACATCAGGCTCAAGATTTTTCTATCATACTATTTTGCTTCTCTGAAAAGAAAATAAACTTTCCCCCAGTTTCTACTAAACAAAGATTCAAGTAAAAAAAGAAGCAACTTAGCTCCCAAGAAGACACCAAATCATACAATTTGCATACGTTTCTTGAATGTATGTCACACTTCAATAAAAGTTTTTTTAATAATGCAATAAAATGATACTGATTTTAGTGGATTAGAAAACAAGGGATCATAAAAACTCTGGAAGTCTGAGGAGCTGGTTCCTAGGGAGCCATTTCCCCCTTTGTTCAAAAGCAGCCTTCTCCAAATCTACCATAGGAGTTCTAACTGCTTGGAAATCCTTTGGAGAATTTAAGGTCTTGACCAATATTTATCTATAAGACTGTTCTTGTAGCTAAGTTAATATGTAAATGTCAGTAGAGAAATAGGACATGCTCTGTGCATCAAGAAAAATTGGAGTACTGATATAACATGCAATAAATGAGAAGAAAATACAGTAAAGAAATTCATTTGCTAAAAGCTAGGGAAGCTACTGAGCTACTTTAGGGGTCTGGCTGAGCCAGGACTTATAAGTACTGAGAACCCCAGCTAGTTAGTTGAAGAGGAAGCCAAGAAGGGGATTAAGTTGATTAGGGGAGGAAACTGGACAGACAGATTTTTAAAGGAATGGGTGAGAGAGAACTGGGCCAGGGGTGGGTGACTGGCAGGAACCCAGCACTTACCAGTGACAAAGAGGCTCACCACCTCACTGCGCTGGGGACCAAAGCCATTGTCAGCTGTGCAGTAGTAATTCTCTGAATGTCCTTCAGTCAGAGAGAAGCTGAAGGACACTCTTCCCACAGAGGGTGTTGAGCTGCTCCCCAGGGGCACATCCTCATGATAAAACTGATATGGGATTCATGGAGAACCTCTCTGGACCTTACAGTGAAGTGTCACAGTGGCTCCTTCAAAAGTCAGGGCCTCAGCAGAGCTGAGGGTGAGGACAGGATGAGACACAGGGACTGAGGAAGAGAAAAAATGAGTCAAGAGTTGCTTTTGCCTCTTATTGTAGATTTTGCCTCTTATTATAGATTTCAATGCTTGGCCAGTGCCCAGATGCCCAGTCTCCAGTCCAGGATCTCCAGGCTTCACCTATCTGGAGGGCAGCCAAGCAACTTCTCAGGTTTCTTTGACCAGCTCCCCTATCCTCCATGCCTGTCTTTCCCTATCTGTTCATTTTTCCAGCAGACCAATAGTCTCTTCTTCTCTCATGGCTCCCTTTATACTGTGATCTGCCTTCCTTTTGCAGAGGAGAGGATGCTTTCAAGGAAGAAATTCCTTGTCTTACCACCACCAGACTCACTTGCACCAGCTCTTCACTCCTTCCTGCAACCATGCAGGCTTCCCTGCAACCATGGAAGACCCATGCCTGGCCTGCCCACGGGGGATTTTCCTATGTCTCTTGACCTACGCACACCTGCCTCTGTCCCAGACATGAAGTTCTTACCTCTACTGGCTTCTTCCAAACACCATTTTGATGTGTTTAACCATCTCCATATAAGAAAAACTATCGGACAATATAAAAACAACCTTATTTGTATTTGAAGTTCCTCACAATCTGTTTCTCCACTTTTCTGTGGACAAACTTCTGGAAGAAGTGACCTACATTTATCATCTCTACTTCATTATCTTATATCTCGTATGCACATTTTGTCCATTACAACTTGGATTTTATCCCCAATAATCTACTAAAGCTGATTTTTCAGGTTTATTAATGTAGTAATGACGATAATGATAAAAATAAAAAAGATATTTGTTATAAGACACTATAGTACCTTTAAGTTCTGGTGTATGTATATTTGTTGGATGTAATTTATAAATATTGATATGTATACAGACATTAATTTATTCATGAAAACAATTCAATGAGGTGAGTACTATTGTTGTCCCTACTTCACAGATGAAGATGCTGAGGCCCCGAATGGTTGAGTCACACAGCTAGTAAGTGAAGAGGCAGCAGTCAAACCCAGGTATCGTGGTTCTAGTCTGTGTTCTTCTGCCAAAGAGTACTTTGTGGCTAAATTCACTGGATGTGACTCAGTTTTGTTTTTGTTTTTGAGACAGAGTCTCACTCTGTCGCCCAGGCTGGAGTGCAGTGGCAATCTCAACTCACTGCAACATTCGCCTCCTGAATTCAAGCGATTCTCCTGCCTCAGCCTCTCGAGTAGCTGGGATTACAGGTGCCTGCCATCATGCCCAGCTAATTTTTGTATTTTTAGTAGAGACGGGGTTTCACTATGTTGGCCAGGCTGGTCTCGAACTCCTGACCTCAGGTGATCCACCTACCTCGACCTCCCAAAGTGCTGAGATTACAGAAGCGAGCCACTGCGCCTGGCTCTGATTCAGTTTTTATCATTCATCATCTCTTGGCTTTGCCTTATCCAATCTGGCTCACTATCTTCTGCTTAGAACACGTTCTGCCCTTGGTGACAGTGGTACCCACTCTCATAGCGCCTCTTCCCTCAGCCAGAGTCCTTCCTTCTCATGTCTCATCTCCCATACTGGGACTGGCCTGGGGTTTCTGTCCCACTGGACACTCTCTTGTTGGGCCCCCTCCTTCACTCCTGGCTGCTCCCCAAACTGTCTACTCTATGACCTGATCCTCACTGTGCTGCTGGAGTGGTTTTCCCCAACATTTAAAACCTTCATGGAGCCCAAATTCCCCTGTAGAATATGGCCCAAACCCTTACTCTGCTTCTAAGTAGGTTCTAACGATGTCATCTTCCCCAACCTTATCCTGCATTTCTCCACTGTTCCGTCTATGCTTCAGTCATCAAGAACTGACCACTCTCCAGTTCCTGGAAAGTGTCCTCCCTCCCTCACCACAATCCTCTTCTCCTGCAGGTCTCAACTCACCCATGAGCTCTTCTAAGAAATTTTTTCTCACTTCCCAACTCAGATTGGCCTGCCTTTCTATCTGCTCCTGCAGCCACCAGGTACTTCTATCCTCAGATTGATGTTTTCTCTATTACTTGTCTGCATTTGCTATTAGCCCCTATGAACCATGTGGGCAGGGCCAGTTTAGTCTAGTCTTAGATGCATCCTTAGATGTCAGTACAGTCTGGTCCATGAAATATATGCAATCAGTATTAGGTGAAGAAATGAGTCATTGAATAGGACTTTAAACATCTCTGACTGAGTTTGATCACGATGTCACTGTCTCCACTTTCCTTAGGCCTTTGGATGTCAGGGGCACAGTTCTCTTTCTAAGTCATGTGATATCTTCCCCCAGGTTCCCTGGTCCTCTCCTCCACAATCTCACACATCCATGTGGGAGGGACTGGACTCTCCCTCGTCTTCCAAGCTGGTATTATTGTTTCACAGGAGAGGAAACTGAGACTGCTTCCAGGCCCAGCGAAGACTGGACACTCTGTCAAAAGTATAGGCCCAAATCACACTGTCTCCTTAAAAATTGAACCTACCGGCCAGGCGCGGTGGCTCACACTTGTAATTCCAGCACTTTGGGAGGCTGAGGCAGTTGGAAAACAAGGTCAGGAGTTCAAGACCAGCCTGACCAACATGGTGAAACCCCGTCTCTACTAAAAACACAAAAATTAGCCAGGTGTGGTGGCAGGTGCCTGTAATCCCAGCTACTCGGGAGGCTGAGGTAGAGAACTGCTTGAACCCAGGAGAGAGAGGTTGCAGTGAGCCGAGATCATGCCACTGCACTCCAGCCTAGGTGACAGAGTAAGACTCCGTCTTAAAAAAAAAAAATTGAACCTGGCATTTAGCCACACACGGATAGTTCAAAACTGAGACCCAAAGCACCACATAAACTTTTTTGATGTCGTAAGTATTTGACAGCTACTTGAATAGCTGTGAGGGCACTAAGCCAAGCAAGCAGAGGTGAAGCTGTCTTCTGGCCTGCCCCCAGCCCACCCCTGCCTGTGCCTTTCTTACCTAGTGCCCAATCAACTCTAAAAAAGGCTTAAGCAAGAGGCACATGCTGAGGTAACTGATCCAGCTATTTGTCTTTGTATCTTACATGACTTTGCATCTGGTTATTCATTGATGTCTGAAATTAACTGGACAGAGGACATTTCTGTGCTCCTGGGAACTGAGTCTGAGTCTATATCTACTAAGAACAATTTAGTGAATGAAAATCAGGCATCAGTGGGATCTACAGGACAAGTGGAGAGCACAAGAAAAGCACTTGCCTGCTCAGAATTTGAGGAGCAGGGAAGAGAAAGCTGCTGTATCATTAGGCAGGGGTGGGAAGGCACCAAGACTGCAATGAGACGAGGCTGAAAGTGGCGGACAGCAGGTTCAGTGAGCCAGAGAGTGGAGGAGGACATTAGGTTGTCCCAAAGAGGAAGCAGAGGAAACCGGAAGGTACATGCTGACTTCTGAAGGACTGGGTTAGAGAGGACTCTTGGCCAGGAGTGGGTGATTGGCAGGAACCCAGGGCTTACCAGTGACAGAGAGACTCACCACCTCACTGTGCTGGGGGCCAAAGCCATTGTCAGCTGTGCAGTAGTAGTTCCCTGAATGCTCTGCAGTCAGAGGGAAGCTGATGGCCACTCCTCCTGCAGAGTGGGCTCACCTACTCCCCAGGGTGACATCCTCATGTTGAAACTGGTACACGATGGGGAGTGAACCTCTCTGGGCTTCACAGTGAAGTGTCACCTTGGCTCCCTCAAAATTCAAGTCCTTAGCAGAGCTGAGGGTGAGGACAGGATGAGACACGGGGACTGAGAGAGAGAAAAAATTAGTCAAGATTTGTTTCTGCCTCTTACTGTAGATTTTGTAAAAGGAAAATAAATCTTGGGAACCCCAAATCACTAAGCCAAAGGGAAAGGTCAAGCTGGGAACTGTTTCAGGCAAACCTGCCTTTTATTTTATTCCTTAATATGATAACTTCAAAGACTTTTTTAAAAGCTACATACCTCCCTCAAAATTTGTCCACTGAAATATTTCTTTGTGGGCCCCAAGATCTTTACCCTAAAATGGTTCTGTTTTAAAGGGTCCTGTTTTATCCTAACAGTGTAAATTGACAGCTGATTTTCACAAGTGCAGGACAAAAGACAGAACTTTAAGCCATTGCTGCTTACAGGAGACAAATGCATATCTGATTGTTTCCCTGACTTAAAAATGCAGACTCCTGGGCTAGAGGAAGACAGAAGTGACTATTTCCTCTGCCCTGCCTTTCACATGTAAATCGTAGATTCTGATAAAGGCTGATCAAAGACTCAAATGAGTGAAACTGTTTGTCTCTTACGTATGGACACCTTTTAAAAATTTCTTCCTCTTTCTCCAATATCTGCTCTTCCCTCTTTAAATATTGATGCCTTCAAAATCATCTTTGGAGAAGGCAGAGAGCTGAATCTGGGGCACATGTGTTTAACCATGGCAAACTAATCTTTCCAAATTGATTGAGACCTGTCTCAGGTAGTTTTTGGCTCAAAGATTCAATGTTTGGCCAATGCAGATGTTCAGTCTCCAGTCCACAGCCTCCAGGTTCCACATACCCACAGGGTGACCCAGCCACTTCCCAGGCTTCTTTCACCAGCTCTCCTATCCTCCATGCTGGTCTTTCCCTGCCTGTTCCATTTCCACCAGACCTCTCGTCTTTTCTCCCCTCCCAGCTCCCCTTGTTGTATGACCTGCCTCTCTCTTGCAGAGATGTTGCTTTCAAGGAAGAATTCCCTTGTCTTGCCACCAGCTGAACCACACCCTTACCTGCACCAGCTCCTCACTCAGTACTGTGCCCTGAGACCATGGAAGAGCCTCCCTGGCCTGACTGTGGGGGATTCTCTTCAGTCTCTTGATCCTGTGCACACCTGCCTCTGTCCTAGAAAAAACGTTCTTACCTCCACTGGCTTCTTGCAAACACCATTTGCATGTGTTTAACCCTCTCCATGTTAGAAAAACCATGAGACAATAGAAAAACAACCCTATTTGCATTTGAAGTTCCTCACAGTCTGTTTCTCCACTTTTCTGTGGTCAGTCTTCTGGAATAAGTGACCAACATTTATCATCTCTACTTCTTTATCTCATATCTCATATGCACATTTTCTTCATTCCAACTCTGTTTTTATCCCCAACAATCTACTAAAGCTGATTTTCATGTTTCTGAATATAATTATGATGATAATGATAAAAATAATAAAATAGATGTTTGTTTTAATGACACTACAGTGTCTTTAACTAAGTTCTGGTGTTTGTATATTTGTTGGATGTAATTTGTAAATATTGATATATATACAGACACTAATTTAATCATCAAAGCAATTCATTGAGGTGGGTACTATTGTTGTCCCTATTTCACAGGTGAAGATGCTGAGGCCCCGAGTGGGTGAGTCACACAGCTAGTAAGTGAAGAGGCAGCAGTCAAACCCAGGTATTCTGGGTCTAGTCGGTGTTCTTCTGCCAAAGAGTACTTTGTGGCTAAATTCACTGGATGTGACTCAGTTTTTATCTTTCGTCATCTCTTAGCTTTGCCTTATCCAAACCGGATCACTCTCTTCTGCTTAGAACTCGTTCTGCTCTTGGTGACAGTGGTACATACTCTCATACTGCCTCTTCCCTTGCCCAGAGTCCTTCCTTCTCATGTTCCACCTCCTCTACTGGGACCGGCCTGGGTGTGCTGTCCAATCGGACACTATTTTGTTGGGCCCTCTCCTTCACTCCTGGCTGCTCCCCAAACTGGCTACTCTGTGACCCATTTCTCACTGTGCTGCTGGAGTGGTTTTCCCCAACATGTAAACGATTCATGGAGCCCAGATTGCCCTGCAGAATGTGGCCCAAGCCCTTACTCTACTTCTAAGTATAGTCTAACCATGTCTTCTTCCCCAACCTTATCCTTCCTTTCTCCACTGTTCAGTCTATGCTGCACTCATCAAGAAGTGACCCCTGTCCATTTCCTGGAACATGTCCTCCCTCCCTCACCACGATCCTCTTCTCCTGAAATGTTCCCACTCATCCTCAGGTCTCAACTCACACATGAGCTCTTCTAAGACATTTGTTCTAACTTCCCAACTGAGATTGGCATGCCTTTCTATCTGCTCCTGCAGCCACCAAGTATTTCTATCGTCAGGTTGATGATGAAACAAAATCCCTTGCAAGTCGGAGTCACTCTCTCTCCTTGGAAGACTGTGGTCCATTGAGGCTGGAGGAAAATAACGGACTTGTGTGTCCTTGCTGACAAGGAAAGAGAAAAGGAGTCTGAGGTGTAGGTACCTGCAGATCCAGCCTCAGGGCCTCCTGATGCATAGGCTGAAGGACCTGGGTTTGGAGGATCTGAAAGAGGTCCTCTGGGAGGGTCACTGATAACTTAAAGCTCCCTGTCAGTCTATGGCCCTCACCTCGCCCAAGGGAGAAATTGACCAGGGATGGCAATGAGCAAAATGATTTCAGGAAGGTGACACCAGCAGGATTCGCCATCAAATATCACAGTTAGGTAGCCTTACATGGGAGTGGGTCCCAGAGAAAATCAACACTACGCTGCCATTTCATCATGTTCATACACTCATAAAAAACTCCAAAGGTGATGATAAAATCACAATTTTGCACTTTCCCTAAGAGAATAAATCATATTATCTTAAGATTTGTCCCTGAGAAAACCTTGAGAGCTCAACTTACCTAACATCTTTATTTTGTAAATGATGATTCAAATGCCCAGAAGAATCCCACCATAGCTAATTGTGTCAGAGCAAAGAAGAGACAAGTCACTCACTGACATCCAGAGGTGACCAGGACAAGGTTACAGCTGGGGCCACTGATTTGGACAAGGAGAGCGGTAGTAGAGGGTTCTTGCTGTTCATGGATTCTCAATTATCCACTCTGAGCCAAAGGAATGGCAGTGAGAGCCAGAACTAATTAAATGTGGGATGCAGATAACTTGTCTTCTCCCCATCTCCCCTTTCTGTGCCTTTCTTTTTTGTAAGGACCCAGTTATTGGATGTCCTGGAGGATTAACTCCAAAGTGTAGAAAACGCAGCATTCCTGCTGGCATCAGCACAGTGGAATGTTTTCAGAGGATTTTTCTGGCTCGCTGATTGGAGAGGATCCTATCCTGAGTCCAGCACACTTGCCATGGAGTTGAAGATGTCCTGCCTGGCTAAATGGGGTCTGTTGGCAATAACAGTAAATGCAGGGCCTAGCAAAAGCCAGGAGCTGCTTGGGCATTCATCCCTTCCCCCAGGGAGGGTCAGGGGGTGACCATGGAGCTATCCTGGCCCTTGGGCGATGCCAGTAAACCAGGCATCACTTTCAAATCCCTGCTGACCTCAGCAAGAAAACAGGAGATATTAGAGAGCTCAGGCAGCCATCACAAATGTTTTCTATTTATTAGGAAGAGACACTCTTTACCAGAGATGCTGAAGAGCCAAAGACAGGAGAACTCACCAAGCTGTCCACTGACAGGAGCTGCAAAAATAAGAGCCAGAGATGAACATAGAGCCAAGAGCATTTTGTTTTAAGAAGGTAATTCCTTTTTTTCCCATGCATGTATTACCTCTCCCATTAAAAAATTCATTTTTAAAAAATCTAATAATTATTCATCAAATGTTCATATATACTAAGGCATGGTGCTTGGATTTTTTAAATGAATTTTAAAAATGGTATCCGCCTTCAAGAAGTTGACTGGTGGAAAAACAGAAACACAATGTAAAGTAATATAATTGTAACACAAGGTGTAAGTGCAATAACAGAAATACACATCGGGAATCTTGGGGGCAGAAGAGCCACCTAGCCCAGTGTATAGGACATATGAGTGTGTGTAGGGTATGTGTTTGTGTGTATATTTGTTGAAGGGGGCAGATGGATCCTTGAAGGTACCTGAAGGAGATGATACTTCACAAAACTGTGAGTGAGAACATGAGTCTGCAGGTGGATGTTAGCATTTGTGTGTGGAGAGAGGTGATGGGGAGAGTAATCAAGGCAGAAAGGGCACAGAGGTGGAGAAATGACATTAGTACTCAGGAGTTGGGAGTGTTGGGGGAAATAAGATCATAGAAGCTTGCAGGGCCCACATAAGTGGCTCTAATTTTATTATAAAAGCCACAAGGTGTCATGGAAAGGTTTCAAGGAGGAGATTGAGAGGGATAGAATTTGAACTTCGATGGAGCACTCTGTCAGTGGATAGACTTCAGTGAGACACAATATGAAGCAGGGAGACTGATTAGAAGGCAGGGCAAGGAAATGGACATGAATTAAGCCTCATTTGGGCACCAGACTCCAGGCTATATTCTTTTCATGAGATCATTGAATCCAAGGGCTCATAATCATCATATTTAATTTTTAAATAATTAAATTAGCCTCAGGTCACTTTGCCTCTGGTCACAGAGCTAGAATGTTACAAAGATAGGATAAACCTCATTGTCTCTAAATTTTAGTACCATGATCTTTTTATTAAACTATGCTCTCTGAGAAAGTCAGAGAAAGAGACCCTAACATTAAGTAGGTTAGCAAAAGCCTTATCTCTTGCTCGGGGATGGCCAAGGAACCAGGGAGTACACATGGTGTAGGGTAGTTATGGGACTTTCTTCATATGATTTCATGTATCAGGGTCTCAAATGGATCAGAACAAATAAGTAAATATTTGGGGACAGGATGTTTCCCTTTTACATCCAAATGGCTTCTGACCCTTGTGCAGACTAGGGGCTAGGAAGTTGAACAAGGGTCAGTATCAAATACTGACTATGTAAGTAAAAAAGGAAGAGATGAAAGGAATTTGTTCTGAGCCTGGACCAAAGATTTGGATATAAGACCATTCCTGCGAATATCTTTTTTTCCAGAGTTGCCTCCCTGCTCCCCAGTATGGACTTCCAACTGGGTAGTCCCCAGAAGCCTCAGTGCATCTGTGACCAGGGGAACAGGCTGTCTCGATGCCTGCCCTTCCTTTGTCAGGTGTACAATTTTCCCTTTGTAGAAGGCATCAGAAATCACAACTCTTGTGCAGTGCAGAGCAGGAAGGTGTCAGAGAGAGTGAGTGAGGTAGGCAGAACCAAAGTGACTGGGCCCGGTGGAAAGGAGTACAGTTCCCTGCAGCTGTTGGGGACATGGGTTGGTGTGGACTTCCCAGGCTCCTCTGCTGGGCACTATTACTCCAAAGCCAAGGAGAAGAAACAGAGGGGATCTTACAGGACTGTCCTCTGATGGGAACTGCAGGAGGGACAGGCATGAGAAATTAGCCTCGGCTGCACACTCACACTTTCCCTTCTGTGCCTTCTCTGTGTCACTCTACTCCAACCCAAACAGCAAAGAACACTTCTCCAGTTCAACATCAGGACGGATTGGCACCTCTGCAGTTCTCTTTTTTTGGTATCAGATGCTGATGTGGAATTTCACGGAGGCAGGAAGGACAGAGGAGAAGGACGTCCAACCCTTCCCTTTCCTCAGCAGCTGGTTTCCCTAACTGCTCTCTGGTTTGGCTTTACTACACAAAGTGGGGTTTAGCAGATGCCTGATCTTACTAAGATCTTACCTGGCAGACAGTGCCTTTGCAAGAGCGCTCAGTGGAGGCAACTTCCTTGATCATTCATTCATTCACTCACTCTTCCAACAAACATTCTTTAAGCACTTACTATGCAGGCATTGGCCTAAATATTGTAGTTACCAAGAAGAATGAAATACTGCTCCTACCCTCAAGAAACTTATAATCTACTGGAGGAGAAACTAAGTTAATAAGCAGTATAACATAGTGTGGTAGGGCTATGATAAGGGGAAGTATAGAGCATTGTAAGAGCACTGAAAAGAATATCCAACTTCCCCCTTTTGCTGAATAAGAAAAGACCATTTATGCAGCTTGTGATATAACAGGAGTAAGTCAGAGTCAAAATGTTGAGCCTGTTTTGTTGAAACCTGAGATTCAGTTTTTCTATCATTTTTCAAATGTTTTAAATATTGTTTGTATTTTAAAAAGTGAAACAATCCATGCATACTCTCAATTTCATAGTTAATCTGGTTTCACTACTTGTTCCCTTCCAAACATTAACCTTGTATGTGCATAATCTTAACCTAGTTTTCGTGTTAAGACTCTGTTTTTTATTCTGCTCTTTTTCTCTCAATATTATCATAATAACTACAATGAATATCATTGTGTATATTATCTTCTGCAGTCTTACCCCTTTATCTTAGCTTTCTGGAACTGGGGGTACTGAGTCAAAATATACTTATTTATGTTATTTCTTGTTAACTGGCTTTCTAAATGAGCTTTACCATTTCCACTGCCACAGCAATGTATAACTTATCCAACCTTCCTACACTGTACAGTATCCAGCATTTGGGGGTTGTTGTTGCTGCAAATTTAATGACTGCAAATTGTACCTCTGTGTGCATTTCCTGAATGCATTTATTCATTAATATAAGACATATTTATTGAATGCCAGCTATGTGCCAGGCACTCTGCTAGGTTTGGAGGATAAGCAACGGGTTTTATGAAGCTTGCAGACAAGTAAGCAGCAGCTACAAAGAGTGTTTGTGTATTCTATAATTCTGACATTTATCCTTTTACCCAATAACATTTTCAAGTTTTTTTGGCCAATGAACATGAATTCTTTATATCATATCTCAATTATTTGCCTTACTTGCTGCAAATATCCTAATGCAACATTAGTTGCTATTAAGGTTATGTTATTATTGTAATACAAAATTTTTTAAGTTTTAGATTTAAAATCTCTAATCCTTCTACTACTTCAATGTTTAGGAAGAAATAATTTATATTAAAAAATAGTCTTAATTTTATTTTCTATCATGTTTTTGATAATTAAAAAATTATAATTATCTGAACTTTATTTTTAAATTTGTAGGAGAATTGTAAATATCTATTGTATTATGATGTCTATTTTTTGTATATTAAATAACATGTAATTAGATATATTTCTGGGTTTGTATTATTTTCCATTGACCTATATTTATATGGAATCTATTCTTTAATGTATATAATTAGATTTCCAATGTTTCTGTTTTTTTAGAAAAGAATCTATCTTTTGGCATTCTTACCAACATATTTTTCAAGATACACTTTTGAATATTTTATTGAGTTCCAAGGAAAATTCCACAGGTAGTTTGAAATTATACAGAATCTACAAATTCACTTGGGGAGAACTGATCTCTTTATAACATCTTTAATATTTCTATCCAGGCTAATGATATGTCCTTATACATTGAAGTATCCTTTGTACAGTTTTATATATTTCCTTTTCTTGGTTAAAAAACTCTAATTATTCCTATGTTTTCACTTTTATTGCTATTGTAGATGATATTTCTTTATTATAATCTCCAAGTGGTAATTAATAATATTCACAGATTTCATAAGTTTTGATATTTATGGTCAATCTTCCTAATTCATGAATATTCATAAATTTATAACTATACCACATAGATGATATGATCAAGAGCAGGGGCTGTATAATTCATAGCAATAATAGCAAACAAGCTGGTGATAAATAAATGCACTGGGAATGATTAAAGAATAAATAATACTTTTTAAAATCTTGGCTTCCTATATGTATGCTTCCTATTTTTGTTACTAATTTAGTGTGTTGGCCAGGATCTAAAAACTATTGCATATGATGATGATTGCAATCATCTTGGTTCTAGCTCCAATTTGAATGGCAATTTTAGTCTTGTTTTTAAGGTGTAATATTGGCTGTCAGTCTAGAACACATTCTTTATCATGTTAAGTAAGGATTCTTCTGGCTTAAGAATAATTATTTTTGGAATGGATATTGATTTTTAATACTTATGTCAATACTTTTGACACCTGTTGTCATTATATAATTTCTTTTGTTTGTTTTTTGTTTTGAGAGACAGGGTCTCAGTCTGTTGTCCAGACTGGAGTGCAGTGGTGTGATAACAGCTGACTGCAGCCTCAACCCCCCAGGCTTAAGTGATCCTGCCACCTCAGCTTCCTGAGTAGCTGGGACTACAGGCACACAACACCACACCTGGCTAATTGTTTCTGTAGAGATGAGGTTTCGCCATGCTGCCCAGGCTGGTCGCAAACTCCTGGGCTCAAGCGATCTGCACATCTCAGCCTTCCAAAGTGCTAGGATTATGAGTCACTGTGCCTAACCAACATAGTTTCTTTTACTTAGCATTTTGATGTGTTTTTTTTTTCATATAATAACAGTGAATTTCCATATAGTCTTCAATTCTGATACAAATCCTACTTGGTAGTATTTAGTGTAAAGATTTAAATGGATTAAAACATATAAATTACTAGTGAGCACTCAACAAATACTAACATTTCTATTATCATCATTTTGGTTTTGATGTGCTGCTAAATTCTTATTTAAGAGGCCAGGAGCTTATAGTCCAAAAACATTTGCCCAGTCCCCTCTCAGCCTAGAGACTGCCTTAGGACAAAATACAACAGAAGATTTTGTGAGCATCTGAGGTTAGCGCTCAGTGCCCACCCAATCCAGGTCTAGATTCACGGTGTCCACTCACCTAGAACCAGCATCAAAGGCCACAGCAACATGAGGACCTGTCCTGGAAAACCCAAAGGAAGTTTATCTTGGAGAATGACCATACAATTCAGGTCTGAGTACAGATGCTCTCCACAGTGGCACCCATGAGCATTGCCTAGAAGATTTCGAAAAAGGGAAGCCAAGGATACTGCTATTTGCTAATTGCCTTTCTTCTGCCATGGGTCCTAAGGAAATGAAGTTGTTTTCTTGTTTTTAAGTCTTCTTAAATACAGGGTGACATTATGGCTGAAGTAGACAAGAAGCTATCCAGGAACTTTAAGACCTGCTATCCTGTTAGAAAGTTTCAAGTCTCCTTAGCTTCTGTGTCTGGGGGACTTCATTCACTCATTTAACAATTATCTACTGAGTATTCACTGTGTTTCACTGGTTGCACAGTATTGACAAAAGTGACATGATCCTTATCTTTATGTAATTTCTAGTCTAATAAGGGTAGAAAGACTTTATAGAGAATAACATGTCCTCTATTTCCTATTAGAATCTAAAAACTTGATATCTTTCGAGAGTACTTCTTATCTGCCATTTTCTATATACCATTTGGTTCCTTATAGATTCTATTTTGCCTACACCTTGCAAAAAGTCCTATGCTCTAAAAGCTATTGGCTCTCTCCTTGGGCAAAAATCTCAACTTCTTCATCACTATTAAATGAGTTAATATGTGAAAGCCCTTCAAATAGTGCCTGGCATATATGATACATAAATAAATAAAAAAGAGACGACTATTTGTCTCAAACTTGGCATGCACTAAACTGCTCCAGTCCACTTCCAGAGTATATACTGCCCAGCTTTTCCTCACCCAGTGGGTCCTTAGTGCTCCATCGATTTTACAAGTATCCCAGGTTTCTTCTATGACAGTTCCATGGCTGAGTGTGTGGCCAGTGCTCTGAAGCTTGTGGGTGACAATGATACCATAACAGTGTCCAGGAAGCTTCTTTGGAAAGAATGTAAAATGGTCTTCCCAGTAGTGGATTCTACGGTTGAATGACCCTGGCGCTTCCTGAGATATAGACAGGCCCTGAAAACAGTGTCAGGGAGACACTGAGGAGCACTATCTGTTCAGGAGCAGATGACTACCTTCCTCCTTGACCCAAATCTTATTTTTCTTTCCTTTCCCCTCATTCTCATTCCAGGTCCATCCATCAGTGCTTTTGACTGCTGAACTCAAGACATTTATTCTCTTTTCCAAAGTAGAGATTAGTTGTCTATTAGAGAGCCCATAGAGGCTCCTAAAGAGCTATTTCTTCTAGAATTAAGGAGGGTTAAGTTCTTCAATCCCAAAGACCTGTTTATCTTCTTGTAGGTGGAGGTCACTGTTCCCCGAGCCATTCTCCACACTCCTTCCCAGACTACAAGTTCACACAAACATATGGAATCAGTACGGAGTGAGGACACTTTCTGTCACATTTTTGTTAAAAACCATAAAGTGGTCTAAGACTTTACTGGAACATATTGTTACATGTAAAATGATTCAGCACATAACAACTGTTTGCACAGGTAGAACTGACTTCTTGAATTTGATATCTACTTTTTATGAAGAGATATAGATACAATTACTTCTACCTCAGACATTATTTCTATTCTTTTACTCCTCTGATTGCAGTATGTTGCAGTTGGGAGGTGGAGAAGGGAAGGTTTTGGAAATCTAAAAAGGCCTTCTCTATGCAGTCTTGCTTAAATTTCAAGTATGGTAGTAATAATAAACATAATTGTCATCATCATCATAGCTCATACTTATTAAGCACTTACTTAATGTCATGTGTTGGGCTAAGGAATTCATTTTCTTCTCAGGAAACCCCTATAAGTTAGATTATGCTGTTATTCACATGTCAGAATGTCTTCAGAGTTAAAACAAATTGCTGCATCTTGCACCTTCTTATTACTAAAGAAGAGGCACAATACCTGGTGGATATCTTTGGAATTTGTATGCAATATATCCTCATTTACGTGCACAACTCTTACCCATTTGCTGAGGAGCCCATAACACTATTAATTCTGAGTGAGGCTCAGGGCAAGAGAAGGCTCTGCAATAATTCCAGATTGCCTTGAAAGCTGCTTGACCACTTGAGACTTGTGGTGTGGTAGATCCGATGTAGCCTGAAATGACTATAGAAAATATGGATGTTGTATAGTGCTTCTAAGGGTCAGAAAAGGAAAATTAGAGCACAGACTTCTAGAATTTTAGATAAAAGTTATACTCTCTTCTGGAGATAATGTTCTTTTAGGATACAGCATCAAGTTTGCCTAGACCTTACTAAAAACTTAATACTTAACATGGGACATCAAGTGACCACGCAATCTGCAATTCGAACTGCTCATCATGAGTGGGGTTTTATGTAGCCACAAGATTGTACATGCACAGCAGCAATACATCTATATATATATGATGTATATATGACTGGGTTTAACAAGGCATAAGTAAGTTGTATGAGCAGGTGGCTCAGACTGCTAAGGTACCAACTTTTACTGCATTCCCTCCTCTCCTGCAGTTCACATCTATAGCCTCATGTGGAACTCCTTTTAACTAGATAACTACAGAAGGAAAACCAGGGCTTGCTTCACAGATGATTTAGTAAAATATGTTAGCAAAACTGGAAGTGGACTGTTGTATTACTGCAACCACAATTAGTATTGTTCTTGAAAGAAAGTGATGAAGGAAATCCTTCAAAGGGGGCAGAACTTAAAGTAGTAGCAGTAGTAATGGTCATCTACTCAGTCTGGCTTGAAACTACATTAATCCTGATTGATTCAGCCTTATAGTTGAGGTTCACTGAGCTCCCCTCCTTGGGCTAGGAAGTCTGGCTTTTTGGCTAAGGAGATAGAAACAGCCCTGGGAAAGAGAGACAGTTACAACTTTCAGAGCAGAGGTACTCAGAGGACTGGGTCAGAAACAGGCTGAAAGTTCTCCGCTCCAGCAAACAGGACATGTAGCAGAACACTCATTGCCTTCCCTCTACTGAGGGTGTGATAAACCTTAAATACTAGAGGAGAAGACCCATGCTCTACAAGTCAGCAATTAGGTAAATTAGACAATTTCAGAAAGTGGCAAATTATTTAAAAGAAACAAAATAGAAGTCAACATACGTGGGCAGAAAATATGAAACAACCAATGAAATAACTAGTATTTGAGTGGCTAGCAAATTTCAGACCTAGATCCAATCTCTTTACTTGTTTAATTCATTCAATCCTCACAAAAATCTTAAAAGATGGATATCATTGTTCCCATTTTACAGATGAGGAAACTGACGCATAGGGAGGTTGAGCAGTTTGTCCAAGGACACAGAGGGCAGGTAGAGGAGTCTGTCTGATTGCAGGGTCGAGGTAGTTCCAAGGATCCCAACAACCTCCCACTTTCTGATTCCAGCTTGTTTATGACCTTCCTGCTTAGAATTCTGACAGCTATCCATTTTCCTTTACCATAAATTACCGTTTTTACTTAAGGTTGCATAAGTGGGTCCATGTTCCCTGCTACCAAAAGAGTCCTATCAGTATTTATAAATAAAAGAGTAATTTCCACTTTCAGTAGACTTAAACCTGCATGGAGAGGAAGGCTCTTCTCTTTTCCTTATTAGCATTGGACGCCTTTCTTTCCAACAGGTCCTGAGGGACAAAAGGAGATTGTATGAAGAAATATTTGAAGGATCCGGTGGACCTGAAGCTGAAACTAAATGGCAGGGTTGGATATTGAAAGCAGATAATGATTATAATGGTATTACTTTATTCTAGGCATGGAACACGGATTTATCTGTAAAATTCCTTTTGTGCATATTTGTTTTCAGGGTCCATCTCAATGGAGTTATATCAACTACTGCACCCTGAGAAGATTTATAACATGGAATTTGGTCCATCAACAACCACTTACAAAATCTGCCTTTCCCTTTGAAGATCTCTTCTGTCTCCCTCATTGGCATTTCTCAGCAGATACGTTTATTTTGTAAGGCAGGACCTGCTCGCATAAAATGGAAAGCAGGTGACCGGAGTGGAGATGAGTGTAACCACTGCGCTTCCTTGGCCTGAGATGATAGAAGACCAAACTCTGGCAGCTGTTAGAGAGAAAGGGCTTAGATAGATATTGATGAGTCTCCTGTGCACTGGTCAGAGAGTCAGTCTTGCCCGGTGGTCATGAAGAAGGTACAGAAGTCACAGATTATTTTTTCTTCCTCATGGAGCTGCCAAAAAGGAGACACCAGAGATTAGCATAGAACTGTTAATTTTTCAATCTTTTCAGTTTGTAACCTTTGGAGAACTTTCTCAAGAACCCACTAACCACTACTTCCTCTTTTTGTGACTACTTCTCTCTGTTCTTTTTTGACTCCACATGGTGTATGTAAAGCAGCCCTATCCTAGCAGAAGGGCTGAAGAAACAGTAGCTGCTAAAGAATAATCACAGTAATTGCCCATGGACAGGAAAGAGGGTAAAGGTCCATTTTAAGAGTAGTTTGTGTAGATAGGTTCACTCAACGAATCCAAGGAAGGGAGAGATAAGAATTTATAATTGTCAGGAAGAGAAGAATTTGTAAATATGATTTTACCACAAAAAGCAGAGTAAACAGAGGAAACTGAAGCATCAAGGGAACCTGTAAGAGGCTCCTACATTGTCAGTTATATTCTTATTTATTTATTTATTTATTTATTTATTTATTTATTTATTTTTTAGTAGAGTTGGGGTTTTGCCATGTTGCCCAGGCTGCTCTTGAAATTCTGGGCTCAAGCAATCTACTGGCCTCAGCTTCCCAAAGTGCTGGGTTTATAGGCGTGAGCCACCATGCCCGGCCTTTTGTCAGTTATATTTTTGACACACATGTCTCTTCATTCATCAGCAAGGCACTGTTTTTGTCTTGGATATTAAGAGTTTTCTCCTGTAAGTGTGTAGCACAGAAAATAATTAATACTTTAATCTATATGCCACCATATTCACTTTTGCAAAAAATGAAGCTGCTCTATAGACTGGGTGGCCCAAGGGTTATAGTTCTCTTGAACGGTAACCCTCAGTCCATGATTCTGAAATGGTCTTTTTCTGTTAGCAATTCCTATTTCTAATTCTTTCTCTCCTGGACCTAATTTTATGAGGTTTTGACCATCAAAACACCACACTTTAGAGAACACAATTGGAGAAGTGACTTGTCTCCACATTACCTGTGATAATTTCTTCTCTTAATCTCAAACTCAGATGAAGTCTTGGTTCCATATTTAGAGAAGTTTCAGTAGAAGTCCTCATGTCTTAACCTATGGCTAAGCAAGATATCTTGGTAAATTAGCACATGTTCATAATCTATTAAATAACCTTGGTAGGTTAAAGATACCATAAACAAAAGTAAAAGGCAAAAGACATACCATAGATATCTATATCACACATAATTAATTAAAGATTACTATCCTTAGTTCATTAAAAAACTCACATAATTTGTTAGGAAAAGAGTATCTTAACTTGTTGAAAATGTGAAAAATTTTTATCCTAAATGGACTATTGATTAAAAAAAGAACACTCCCTGAAACACATAAGATTATATTCTACTTCACTAATAGTCAAGTAAATTAAAATTTAAACAATAAAATGTAATTTCTGTTATCATTTTTGCAAAAACAATAAAGAAAGTACAGCACCCAGTGTTGGAACTCATAAATGATTTCCTGCTGGTGCCATACAATGTAAAAACTTTCTGGATTATGAGATGCAAAGTTCCGTATACTACTTTTCACAATAAAAGTTTATTCTGAGGAAGAGAGGAAAAGATTTCATCTCAAAGTTTTTACAAAAGCAAAAAAACAAAAATATACAGAAGAATGGTAAATTAGGGTACGTATATAGATGCAGTATTATAAAGCTATTAAACTCGCGTCTTAGAAGAATATTTTTAAAGCATGAAAAGTGTTCAAATATGTAAAATAAGCATTTAATACAATTGCAGTCCAAGTACGTAAAATGCATATACACACATATGTAGATACATCCTGAATAATGCAGACCTTACTGACCAATGAGTATAAATATGTCCATTCATAGTTAAGCTAGAATTTCACTTCTGGAATAATATTGTAAATTCCCTTCAGACAAGCCATCTAACTGGTAACAATCAGACAAGCCATCCAACTGGTAACAATTATATGTTACATAAAATACAGAAAATGACTACCTGAGAATTCTGAAGAGTAAAAGAGCAGCCAGGGTGTAGTGGGGAAATGAAATTTGGAGAAGTGACTGGCATAGCAGTTAGTTTTCCATTTTTATTGTAGATTTGATTTGTGGATTTGTTTTTTGTAGCAGAGAAGGCATATTGTAGGTTGGTAAGATTTTTGGTAGCTCATTGTCTTTCTGGCCAGAGGATCTAAAAAGGGAGTCTGATTAACCGCAGTTACTAGAAGGTGGAGGGAGAATTCCATAGAGGAGAGAGCCAGAGAAGGAAGTCCCTTAATTTTCTGTGTGGTTAAATACACAAGTTCAGGCTGACACCTGAGCCATATAAGCACAGGACTGTCTAAAAGCAGTACACCAAAGAACTAAATAATTGAATTAAGATTTAAACCACCACCTATGGAAGGAAAGGCAGAGCTTACACATTGAGTCTAACTGGGTTAAATGCCTGCTAAGACAAAAAACAAAAACAAAAACAAAAACAGCATGCTGGATGTCACAGAACACAGAATCTATACAACATAACATTAAAATGTCCAAGATAAAATGAAAAGTACTCAACATACAAAGAAGCAGGAAAATGAATTCAATTTTTCAGAATAAAGACAATCAATAGATGCTAGCTTCAGATGCATCTGATGTTGGAATTATTTGATGAGAATTTTTTTAGTAGGCACAATAACTATACTCAATGAGATTTTAAAAAATATATAAAATGAATAAAAAGGCAGGAAATCTCAGCTGAGATATATAAATAGAGAACCAAATAGAAATTTTTGAAATAAGTCTGTAACATATTTTAAAAATTTACCAAATGGACTTACAGTAGAATGAATAGGACAAAGGAAAGAATCAATAAAATTAAAACTATATCAATTAAATTATTCATCTAAAATATAGAAAGAAAGTTTGAAAAAATAAACAGAAACTAGGGACATGTGGGACAATATCAAGTCTATCAAAAACTGTAACATACATATATTTGGAATCCCAGCAGAAAAGGAGAGAAATTGGACATAAAATAATATTTAAAGAAATTGCAGCTGAAATCTCCTCAGATTTGGTGAAAAACATACATTTACAGGTTTGAGAAGTTCAATGAACCCTACACAGGATAAATTCAAAGAAAACCATACCAAAAACATAACCAGACTACTAAATATCCAAGATAAAGACCAAATCTTGATTGTAGACAGAGAAAAAACAAATTTTTAAAGAAAGGGACAACAATTATCAAACTTGGTTTTTATATTGAGCAAAAATATCCTTCAAAAATGCATGCAAATTTTTTTTTTTCAAAAAATAAGTAAAGCAAAATGTAGAGACTAACTGTCAGAAAACACTACAAGAGATTCTAAAGAAGTCCCTGTCGGAGACCAGCCTGGGCAACACAGTGAAACCGCGTCTCTACTAAAAATAAAAAATTTGCTGGGCATGGTGGCTCGCGCCTGTAATCCCAGCTACTCGGGATGCTGAGGCAGGAGAATTGCTTGAATCCGGGAGGTGGAGGTTGCAGCGAGCCAAGATCGCACCACTGCACTCCAGCCTGGGCGACAAGAGCAAAACTCTGTCTAAAAAAAAAAAAAGAAGAAGTCCTTAGGCTAAAGGGAAATGAAATTAGAAATAATGGGGATCATTAGAAAAAATTAACGACATTGTAAGTGGTAAATATCTAGGGAAAAATAGAAAAGACTGCATTTTTCTGTTTAAGTTATCTAAAATATAAGTACTTAACAAATTATAACAATTTTTCGTGGGATTTTTAAAACATACATTGATATAATGCCTATACATCCATCCTATAAATGATTGGACACTTATGGGATATAAATGAAAGGATAGGACAACCATCTTATAAATGATTGAAGGGGTGGACATATATATACCTATCAATTTCAAGATTCTACATTTTCAGTGGAGAGGCAGAGTATCAATTTTAAGTAGGCCATGAAAGATTAAGAATGTATATTGTAACCTCTAGATCAACCTTTGAAAACAATACAAGGATGTATTACTAAAAAGAAAACAGATACATTAAGATGGAATACTAAAATTTCAAATGATTCGAAAGAGAAAAAGGAGAAAAAATGAACAAAAAATGGTGGAGCAAATGGAAAATAAAAATTTTTTAAATTCAACCATATTAATAATTACCTTAACTATGAATAGTATAAGAATTTTAACTGAAGGAAAAGATTATCTAAATAGATTTTAAAAAGTAAGGCCAAAGTATATGATGCTTACAAGAAGCTCACTTGAAAAATAAAAACACAAACAGATTGAAAGTAAAAAAGATGGAAAATGATATGTTATTTAAACAGTAAACATAAGAGAGCTGAAGAGGTTACATTACTACTGAATTAATAAACTTTAAGACAAACAATATTATTAGACAAAAATAAGGTGTTTTATTTTAACAAAAGGGACTATTTCAGGAAGACATTACTAACGTGTGTGCATTTCTTACTAGGGTCTCAAAATATATGAAGCAAAAATTTGTGGTATAAAAACAGAAATAGAATAATTCTACAATCATGGTAAAAAATTTTTAACATTGCTTTCTCAGCCGTTGGTAAAATGAGATAAAAGCACAAAAAATTTGAACAACACTCACCACTTTCTTGATTTAATTAATTGATATTTATAGAACACTCTATTCCGAAACTGTAGAATATACATTATTTTCAAGTGCACATGTATGTCACCAAGAGAGACCATATGCCAGGCCATAAAACAAGTGCTGATAAATCTGAAAGGACTGAAATAATATTATGTTCTCCAACCACAAAGTAATTAAATTATAAGTCAGTACCAATAAGATATTCAGGAAAATCTCAAATACTTGAGAATTAACAACATATTTTAAAACAGCAATGTGTTGAAGAAAAAATGAGTATTAGAAACTATTTGGCACTGAATGAAATACTAAAATATGTACAAGTAATCTAGAAGAATGCTGGAAGGGAAAAGAAAAAAAAATAAAAATCAGAGGAAAACAAGAAACAAATAATAAGATGGAAGGCCTAAATCTAACCATATCAATGAGGACAATATTTGTGAGACACAGCTAAATGAGCATTAGGAGGAAAACTGATAGCTTTTAATGCTTATATGCAGAAGAATGAAACTAGACACCTATCTCTCACCATATACAATAAACAACTCAAAATGATTAAAGACTTAAATGTAAGACCTGAAACTAAAACTACTGGGAAAAAAAAAACAAAGGGAAAATACTTCAGGACATTTGTCCAGGCAAAAATTTTATGAATGAGGCATTAAAAACAAAGGCCACAAAAGCAAAAATAGGCAAATGGGATTTTATCAAACTAAAAAGCTTCTGCACAGCAAAGGAAACACTCAACAGAATAAAGAGACAAACTATTCGTCTGTCAAATGATCAATATACAGGATATACAAGGAACTCAAACAACTCAACAGCAAAAATGAACCAAACAAAAACAATCTGATTTAAAAATGGACAAAAATCTGAATACACATTTCTCAAAAGAAGACATGCACATGACCAAACCAGCATATGAAAAAATTCTCAACATCATTAATTATCAGAGAAATGCAAGCCAAAACCACAATGAGACATCATGTCACTCCAGTTAGAATGGCTGTTATGAAAAGGACAAAAAGTAACAAATGCTGGTGAGGATGCAAAGAAAAAGGAACTATTGGTGAGAATATAAATTAGTATATCCACTATTGAAAAGAGTATGAAGGTTTTTCAAAAAAACTACAAATAGGCCGGGAGCGGTGGCTCACGCCTGTAATCCCAGCACTTTGGGAGGCCAAGGCTGGTGGATCACTGGCGGTCAGGAGTTTGAGACCAGCCTAGCCAACATGGTGAAACCCCGTCTCTACTAAAAATGTAAAAATTAGCCAGGCAGGATGGTGGACGCCTGTAATACCAGCTACTCGGGAGGCTGAGGCTGGAGAATCGCTTGAACCCAGGATGCTGAGGTTGCAGTGAGCCAAGATTACGCCATTGCACTGCAGCCTGGGAAAGAAACATCTCTAAGTGGGTTCCCTGCTTTAGCATAAATGGAAGAGAATAATACAGAAGTACACCCACATTTATATAGGTAATTGGTTGTTGACAACAATGACAAGGTAATTCAAAGGAAAAACAAAAAACAGGTAATCTTCAAAACAGAGTGCTAAGATCATTGGATATTTGCAGGGGAGAAAAAATGACATCAACCCTGACCTCATGCCGTGATAAAAATTTACTTAGGATGCCTTACATAGCTAAACACAAGAGCTAAAAATATTACATTTCATAAGAAAATCTTTATGACATTTGGTCAGAGAAATAGTTCTAAACAGGACACATAAGGCATGAACTACAAGAAAAAAATGATAAATTCCATTAAACGAAAAAATTTGAAATTACAAATTACGGTTAAGAAACTGTAAAGGCAAGTCACCAAATGGGAGAAAATACTTGGTAGGCATTTATCTGACAAAGTTATATTGTATTGTATATTTTAAAACTTCATATTTTCTTGCTTCCTCAACAACCCACAAACAGGCTGAGAGCATCCTACCCAGACAACCAGGTGCAACAGTGTGGTAAGATTGGCCCCTGCCACAAGTTTCCTTTCCCAACCTCTCCTGACCATAACCTAGTAACATTTCAACACACCAGTAAAATTTTTCTTGTGTATCCCTTTTCTTGTGTGTCTCAACCTGAGTTCCAATAAAGGCACTTACCTTCTGGTGTTTGCCCGCTCTCTGCTCCCCACTTGCTTGGCTGAGCCTTTTTCCTTGGTGCTCTTTTCCACATCACTCCCTGTCAGCATGCAGTGACTCTGTCCCTCTAGGACCTTGAGTATAAGAAACTTGTTTTTTCCTTTGCCTCCTCTGTGTCTCCCTTGTGGTTGACCAGACTGACCATCACCAAAAATAACTCCTGCAACCACATACTAAGAAGACAACCCAAATTAACAAGAGGCAAAATAAAGTTTATTCAGTAAATAGTGTTGGAACAACAGGGTACTTATAAGAAAAACAAACAAACTTTTTTTTCTCACTATACGCAACATGAAAAAAATCACTTTATGTGGATTATAGATTTAAGTGTAAAAGTGAAAATATAATATTTCTAGAAAACAGACAAAGGAATTTTTTGTGTGTTTTAAATTAATACATCATAGTTGTACATTTTTGGGGGTATGTGTAATATTTGATACATGTATACATTGTGTAATAATCAAACAAGTGTGATTGGGATATCCATCACCTCAAACATTTATCTTGCTTCATGTTGGAAACATTATATTTCTTCTGGATATTTTAAAATGTACAATATATTATTTTATTTTTAAATATATAGTTTATTATTTAACTAAAATTTCCCCACTTTGCTATTGAATACTAGAATTTATTCTTTCTAGCTAACTGTATTTTTGCACACATTAACCAACTTCTCTTCATACCTCTCTCTCCCCTTCCCTTCCAAGCCTCTGGTAACTATCATTCCACTCTCTCTTCATGAAATCCAGTTTTTGGCTCCCACATATGAGTGAGAACATGCAATAACTGTTTTTCTGTGCCTGGCTTATTTAGCTTGATATGATGACCTCCACTTCCATCCATGTTGCTGCAAATGACAGGATTTCATTCTTTCTTATGGCTGTATAATATTCCATTGTGTATATGTACCACATTTTCTCCATTCATTTGTTGATGGGTACTTAGGTTTATTCTATATCTTTTCTATTGTTCATAATGCTGTGATAAACATGGGAGTGTCGGTATCCCTTCAATATATTGATTTTCTTTCTTTTGGATATACACAGTAGCAGGATTCCTGGATGGTAGAGCAGTTCTATTTTTAGTTTTTTGAGGAATCTCCATACTATTCTCCATTGTGACTTTCCTAATTTATATTCCCACCAAAAGTGTATGAGGGTTCCCCTTTCTCCACATCATCGCCAGCACCTGTTATTTCCTGTCTTTTTGATAAAAGCAATTTTATCTGGAGTAAGATAATACCTCACTGTAATTTTGATTTGCATTCTCCTGATGATTAGTGATGTTGAGCATATTTTTCATATATTTGTTGGCCATTGTATGTCTTCTTTTGAGAAATGTCTATTCAGGTCTTTTGTGCATTTTTTAATTAAATTATTTGCTGGGTTTTTTTTCTACTGAGTTTTTTGAGCTCCTTATAAACTCTGGTTTATTAATCCCTTGTCAGGTTGGTAGTTTGCAAATATTTTCTCCTATTCTATAGGTTGTGTCTTCCTTCGCTTGCTGATTGTTTCCTTTGCTGTGCAGAAGCTTCTTAGCTTGATGGAATAACATTTGTCTATTTCTTGCTTTGATTGATTGTGCTTGTGAGGTTTTACACAGAAAATTTTTGCCTAGACCAATGTCCTGGAGCATTTTCCCAATGCTTTCTTCTAGTAGTTTCACAGTTTCAGGTCTTAGATTTAAACCTTTAATCTATTTTTGTTTGTGGATGGTAAGAGATTTAGATCTAAGGTTCATTCTTTTGACTATAGTTAACCAAATTTCCCAGCACCATTTATTAAAGAGGTGGTCCTTCTTAGCACATTTGTTGAAGATGAATTTGCTATAAATGTGTGGATTCATAAATGAATTTTCTGTTCTACTCCATTGGTCTGTGTGTCTATTCTTGTGCCAGTACCATGCTGATTTGGTTACTATAGCTTTGTCATAAATTTTAAAGTTATACAGTGTGATGCCTCCAGATTTGTTCTTTTTTCTCAGAATTGCTTCAGCTAATTAGGGTCTTTTATGGTTCCACATAAATTGTAAGACTTTTAAAAATTTCTGTGAAGAATGTCATTGGTATTTTGATAGGGATTGCATTGAATCTATAAATTGTTTGGGGGTAGTATTGTCATTCTGATAGTATCAATTCTTCCAACTGATAATGAGTTTTTTTTTCATTTTTGTGTCCTTTTCAATTTTATTCATCAGTATTTCCAGTCAAGGGCTTATAGATATAACTCCCATCTCCCTGGGGCAGAGCACCTGGGGGAAGGGGCGGCTGTGGGCACAGCTTTGGCAGACTTGTTCTTGCCTGCTGGCTCTGAAGAGAGCAGTGGATCTCCCAGCACAGTGCCTCCTCAGATGGCAGTCTGACCCCTGTGCCTCCTGACTGGGAGAAAGCTCCCAGCAGGGGTCAACAGACACCTCCTACAGGAGAGCTCCAGCTTTCATCTGGTGGGTGCTCCTCTGGAACAAAGCTTCCAGAGGAAGAAACAGGCAGCAATCGTTGCTCTTCTGCAGCCTCTGCTGGTGATACCCAGGCAAACAGGGTCTGGAGTGGACCTCCAGCAAACTCCAACAGACCTGCAACAGAGGGGTCTGACTGTTAGAAGGAAAACTAACAAATAAAAAGGAATAGCATCAACATCAACAGAAAGAACTTCCACACCGAAACCCCATCCTAAGGTCACCAACACCGGAGATAGAGATCAAAGATAGATCAATCCATGAAGACGAGGAAAAACCAGAGCAAAAAGCTGAAAATTCAAAAAAGTAGAATGCCTCTTCTCCTCCAAAGGATCATAACTCCTCACCACCAAGGGAACAAAACTAGATGGCAAATGAGTTTGACGAATTGACAGAGGTAGGCTTCAGAAGATGGGTAATAACAAACTCCTCCGAGCTAAAGGAGCATGTTCTAACCCAATGAAAGGAAGCTAAGAACCCTGGAAAAAAGGTTAGGGGAATTGCTAACTCAAATAACCAGTTTAGAGAAGAACATAAATGACCTGATGGAGCTGAAAAACACAGCACGAGAACTTCATGATGCATACACAAGTATCAATAGCTGAATCGATCCAGCCGAAGAAAGAAATTCAATCAGAGATTGAAGATCAACTTAATGAAATAAAGCATGAAGACAAGATTAGAGAAAAAAGAATGAAAAGGAACAAATGAAGCCTCCAAGTAATATGGGACTATATGAAAACACCAAACCTACATTTGATTGGTGTAACTGAAAGTGACAGGGAGAATGGAACCAAGTTTGAAAACACTCTTATCCAGGGGAACTTCCCCAATCTAGCAAGACAGGCCAACATTCAAATTCAGGAAATACAGAGAACACCAGTAAGATACTCCTCGAGAAGAGCAACCCCAAGACACATAATTGTCAGATTCACCAAGGTTGAAATGAAGGAAAAAATGTTAAGCGCAGCCAGAGAGAAAGATTGGGTTACCCACAAAGGGAAGCCCATCAGACTAACAGTAGATCTGTCTGCAGAAACCCTACAAGATAGAAGAGAGTGGGGGCCAATATTCAACATTCTTAAAGAAAAGAATTTTCAACCCAGAATTTCATATCCAGTCAAACTAAGCTTCATAAATGAAGGAGAAATAAAATCCTTTACAGACAAGCAAATGCTGAGAGATTTTGTCACCCCCAGGCCTGCCTTATAAGAGCTCCTGAAGGAAGCACTAAGTACAGAAAGGAAAAACCGGTACCAGCCACAGCAAAAACATATCAAATTGTAAAGACCATTGACACTATGAAGAAAGTGCAAAATAATGGGCAAAATAACCAGCTAGCATCATAATGACAGGATCAAATTCACACATAACAATATTAACCTTAAATGTAAATAGGTCAAATGCCCCAGTTAAAAGACACAGACTGGCAAATTGGATAGTCAAGGCCCATTGGTGTGCTGTATTCAAGAGACCCATCTCACATGCAAAGACCACACATAGGCTCAAAATAAAGGGATGGAGGAAAATTTACCAAGCAAATGGAAAACAACAAAAAACAACAACAACAACAACAAAAAAAAACAAGGGTTGCAATCCTAGTCTCTGACAAAACAGACTTTAAATCAACAAAGATCAAAAAAGACAGAGAAGGGCATTACATAGTGGTAAAGGGGTCAATGCAACAAGAAGAGCTAACTATCCTAAATATATATGCACCCAATACAGGAGCACACAGATTCATAAAACAAGTTCTTAGAGAACTATAAAGAGACTTAGATTCCTACACAATAATGGTGGGAGACTTTAACACCCCACTGTCAATATTAGACAGACCAACGAGACAGAAAGTTAACAAAGATATTCAGGACTTGAACTCAGCTCTGGACCAAGGGGACCTAATAGACATCTACAGAACACTCCACTCCAAACTGACAGAATATACATTCTTCTCAGCACCACATCACACTTATTCCAAAATTGACCACATAATTGGAAGTAAAACACTCCTCACCAAATGCAAAAGAATGGAAATCATAGCAAACAGTCTCTCAGACCACAGTGCAATCAAATTAGAACTCAGGATTAAGAAACTCACTCAAAACCACACAACTATATGGAAACCGAACCACCTGCTCCTTAATGACAGTTGGGTAAATAATGAAATTAATGCAGAAATAAATAAGTTCTTTGAAAACAATGAGAACAATGACACAACATACCAGAATCTCTGGCACTAAAAGTCCACAGGAGAAAGTGGGAAAGATCTAAAATCAACACCCTAACATCATAATTAAAAGAACTAGAGAAGCAAGAGCAAACAGATTCAAAAGCTAGCAGAAGACAAGAAGTAACTCAGATCAGAGCAGAACTGAAGGAGCTAGAAACATGAAAAACCCTTAAAAAAATCAATGAATCCAGGATCTGGCTTTTTTAAAAGATTAACAAAATAGATAGACTGCTAGCCAGACTAATAAAGAAGAAAAGAGAGAACAATCAAATAGACACAATAAAAAATGATAAAGGGGATATCACCACTGATCCCACAGATATGCAAACTACCGTCAGAGAAAACTATAAACACCTCTATGCAAATAAACTAGAAAATCTAGAAGAAATGGATAAACTCCTGGACACATACACCCTCCCAAGACTAAACCAGGAAGAAGCCAAATCCCTGAATAGACCAACAACAAGTTCTGAAATTGAGGCAGTAATTAATAGCCTACCAACCAAAAAAAGCTCAGGACAAGACGGATTCACAGCCGAATTCTACCAGAAGTCAAAGGGGAGCTGGTTTCCTTCTGAAATTATTCCAAACAATAGAAAAAGAGGGACTCCTCCCTAACTCATTTTATGAGGCCAGCATCAACCTGATACAAAAACCTGGCAGAGACACGACAAAAAAGAAAATTTCAGGCCAATATTCCTGATGAACATCGACGCAAAAAACCTCAATAAAATATTTTTTAGTTTTCTTTGTATAGATCTTTTACTTATTTGGCTAAATTGATTTTTATATGTTTTATATTCTTTGTACCTATTGTAAATTTGATTTCTTTCTTGATTTCTTTTTTAGATTGTTTGCTGTTGGCATATAGCAATGCTACTTTTCTAATATTTCTGTGTTGGTTTTATATCCTGTAACTTTACTGAATTCATTTATCGGCTATAACAGTTTTCTTTCTTTCTTTTCTTTCTTTCTCTTTCTTTCTTTCTTTCTTTCTTTCTTTCTTTCTTTCTTTCTTTCTTTCTTTCTTTCTTTCTTTCCTTCTTTCTTTCTTTCCTTCCTTTTCTTTTCCCCTTCCTTCCTTCCTTCCTTTCTTCCTTTCTTTTTTTTTCCTTTTTTTCTCTTGACTAATTACTCCGACAGGACTTCTGGTACATGTTAAATAAAAGTGGTAAAAGTGGGCATTCTTGTCTTGTTCTAGATCTTAGACAAAAGGCTTTTAATTTTTCCCAGTTCAGTACAGTGTTAGTTGCTGGTTTGTCACATGTGGCCTTTATTAGTTTGAGATATATTCTTCTATATTTTGTTTTATAAGAGCTTTTATAAAAAAGTAATGTTGAATTTTTTCAAATCCTTTTTCTGCATCTATTGAGATAATCTTATGGTTTTTGTTCTTGACTCTATTAATTTGATATCACATTTATTGATTTTTGTATGTTGAACCATCCTTGCATCTCTAGGACAAATCCAATTTAATGATGGTGAATTATCTTTCTAATGTGTTGCTGAATTCTGTTTGTTATTATTTTGTGGAGAATTTTCACATCTATTTTCATCAGAGATATTGGCCTGTAGTTTTCTTTTTTGCTGTGTTCTTGTCTGGTTTTGGCATTGGGGTAATACTGGCCTTGTAGAATGAGTTTGAAAGTATTCTGTCCTCTTTAATTTTTTTGAAGAGTTTGAATAAAATTGATATTAGTTTTTCTTTAAGTATTTGGTAGAATTCAGCAATGAAGCCATCGGGTCCTGAGCTTTTCTTCGATGGGAGACTATTATGACTTCAATCTCATTACTCATTATTGGCTTATTTGATTTTCTATTTTTTCATGGTTCTGTATTGGTAGGTTGTACGTGTCCAGAAATTCGTCTGTTTTTTTATAGGTTTTCCAATTTGTTGATATGTGGTTGTACATAATAGTCTCTAACAATACTTGGTATTTTTTGGTCTCAATTGTTATGTCTCCTTTTTAATTTCTGATTTTACTCTTTTGGGTATTTTCTCTTTTTTTTAGTCTAGGTAAAGGTTTATCTTTTTTTGTTTATCTTTTCAGAAAGGTGTCCAGGCATGGTGGTTCATGCCTGTAATCCCAACACTTTGAGACGCTGAGGTGGAAGGATCACTAGAGCCCAGGAGTTTGAGACCAGCCTGGGCAACATATTGAGACCCCATCTCTAAAAGAAAAATAATAATAGTCAAGTGTGGTGGCTCATACCTCTGGTCCCAGCTACTTGGGAGGCCAAGGTGAGAGGCTCTCGAGCCCAGCAGATATAGGCGACAGTGAGCTGTGACTGGACCACTGCACTTTGTTGCCTGGTCATCAAAGCAAGACCTTGTTTCAGAAAGAAAACAAAAAGCAAAAAAAAAAAAAAAAAAAAAAAAAAAACCCAAAAAGATAACTTTTGATTTTGTTAATCTTCTGTATTTTTTTAGTATCAATTTCATTTATTTCTCCTTTGATCTTTATTGTTTCTTTTCTTCACTAATTTTGTGTTTGGTTTGTTCTTGCTTTTCTCGTATCTTTACATGCATTGTTAGTTTTTTATTTGAAGTCTCAAGTTTTTTGATGTAAGTATTTCTTTATATAAACTTCCTTCTTAATATAGCTTTTGCTGTATTCCATGGACTTTCGTATGTTGCATTTCCACTTTAATTTATTTCAAGAAATTTTAAAATTTTCTTCTTAATTTCTTCACTGGTCATTGAAGAGCTTATTGTTTAATTTCCATGTGTTTGTGAAGTTTTCAAGATTTCTCTTGTTATTGATTTCTAGTTTTATTCCATTGTGGTCATAAAATATGTTTGATATAATTTCTGCTTTTTTGAATTTGTTAAAACTTATTTTCTGGGCCGGGCACGGTGGCTCACGCCTGTAATCCCAGCACTTTGGGAGGCCAAGGCGGGTGGATCACGAGGTCAGGAGATCGAGACCATCCTAGCTAACACGGTGAAACCCCGTCTCTACTAAAAATACAAAAAATTAGCCGGGCGAGGTGGCGGGCGCCTGTAGTCCCAGCTACTCGGGAGGCTGAGGCAGGAGAATGGCGTGAACCCCAGGGGGCGGAGCCTGCAGTGAGCCGAGATCGCGCCACTGCACTCCAGCCTGGGCGACAGCGAGACTCCATCTCAAAAAAAAAAAAAAAAACAAAAAAACTTATTTTCTGGCCTAAGAAATGGTCTATTCTGGAGGATGTTCCAGGAACTGATGAAAAGAATTTGTATTCTGTAGCAGGTGGTGAAATGTTCTGTAAATGTCAGTTGGGCCTATTATTATGTCTAGTGTGTAGTTTTACTCTGATGTTTCTTTGTTGATTTTCTGTTTGGATAATCTGTTCACTACTGAAATTGGAGTGTTAATGTCCTCTACTGCTAATATATTGAAGTCTATTTCTCCCTTTAGATCTATTGTTGTCTGCTTTATGTACTCGGGAGCTCCAGTGTTGGGTGCCTAGATGTTTATAATTTTTATATCCTCTTGTGGAATTGACCATTTTTTCATTATATAGTGACCACCCTTTTCTCTTTTTACAGTATTTAAGTTAAAGTCTACTATATCTCATATAAGTGTAACTACTCCTGCCTTTTTTTTGTTTTAATTTGCATGGAATATCTTTTTACGTCTTCTCACTTTCAATCTATAGGTGAAATGAGTTTCTTGAAGGTCACATATAAAAGTGAAAGTCACTTCCTTTTTAATCCACTCAGCAACTCTATGTTTTATAATTGGAGAATTACATTTAATTCTCCAATTACATTTAATGTACATCTCGCTTATATTTAATGTTATTATTGATAGGTAAGGACTTATTACTGCCATGTTGTTACTTGTTTTCTAACTCCTCCCTTCCTTCTTTTCTTTTATACAGTATTCCTTTGTGCTTAAATGATTTTCCATGGCAGCATGTTTTCATTCATTGCTTTTTATTTTTAATATATCTATTACAGGTTTTTGCTTTATGGTTACCATGGGGCTTGCAAAAAACATCCCACAGTTACAGCAAATATTTAAGACTGATATCAACTTAACTTTGATCACCAAAAAGATAAAAGAAAGAAACAAAAAAATCTATACACATTAACTCCCTTCTTGCCCCCACATTTTGGTTTTTTGATGTACATCTTACATTTTTTATATTGCATATCTCTTATATGATTGTTAAAGTTATTATTCTTAACGGTTTTGTCTTTTAGTCTCTTACTAAGTATACACGTTGTTCAAATACAACAATTGTATTAGCATAGCAATCACATTAGCATCCTTTTCTTTTGGTTTAAAGAACTCTCTGAAGCATTTTTTTTTGTAGACAGTTCTGATACTGATAACTTTCCTCAGTTTTTGTTTGTTTGAGAAAGTGTTGCTCTTTCATTTCTTTTCTTTTATATTGCTTTTTTTTTTTTTGCGGTAGTGTCTCACTCTGTTGTCCAGGCTGGAGTGCAGTGGTGCGATCTTGGCTCACTGCAACCTCTGCCTCCCTAGTTCAAGCAATTCTCCTGACTCAGCCTCCTGAGTAGCTGGGACTACAGGCGCATGCCACCGTGCCTGGCTAATTTTTGTATTTTTATTAGAGACAGGGTTTCCCCATATTGGCCAGGCTGGTCTCGAACTCCTGACCTTGTGATCCGCCCACCTTGGCCTCCCAAAGTGCTGGGATTACAGCTGTGAGCCACCATGCTTGGCCTTCTCTTTCATTTCTTATTGATAACTTTGCTGGGTACAGGATTCTTGGTTGGCAACTTTTTTCTCTCAGCACTTTGACTATAAGGTCCCACTTTATCCTGTCCTGTATGATTTTTGCTGAGGAAGTTCCCTGCCAGACATGTTGCTTCTCCCTCATATGCTATTTGCTTCTTTTCTTTTACTGCTTTCAGGATTCTCTCTTTGTCTTTGACCTTTGAGAATTTGATTATAATATGTCTTGGGGTATTCTTATTTGAGTTGAATCTGGTTTGTGATCTTTGAACATCCTGTACCTGATATTTATATCTTTCTCCAAGTTTGGAAAGTTTTCTGTTATTATTTATTTCAATAAACTTTCTGCCTCTTTGTTTTCTCAGTTCCCTCCTTCACTCCAATAACCTGAATATTTGCTTTTTTGATTTGGTCTCAAAGCTCCTTTAAGTTTTGGTCATTGTTTTTTTCTTTTTTCTCTTCTATTTTCAAATAGTCTGTTTTCAAGCTCACTAATTCTTTCTTCTGTTTGACTAATTCTGCTGTTGATGCTCCCTATAGCATTTTTTATTTAATTTGTTGTAGTTTTCAGCTCTATAATTTCTGTTTGATTTTTTAAAATTATTTCAATTACTCTGTTAAATTTCTCTGATGAGTTACTGAGTCAATTCTCTGTTTTCCGGAAGTTTTTGGAGCTTTATTAAATTAGCTATTTTGAATTGTTTCTTTGAGAGATCACACATCTCCATCACTTTAGGTCAGTCTCTGGCACCTTATTTTATCTATTTGGTGAGGTCATACTTCCCAGAATGTTTTTTATCTTTATGGAAGTGTGATGATATCTGCACATTGATATACTGGGTATTCATTTTAGTCTTTGCAGTCTGGCTTTGTTTGTGCCTGTCCTTCAAAGGACCTTTCAGGGAGTCCACGCTGATGGGCTATTGTTATAAAATAGCTTTATCTTTCCTGGGGCCTCCAGGAGGAAAAAGTTTGGAGCAAATTTGAAGCACATATAGATTCCACTTGAATTCCTTAATCCTTCTAAAGGCCACACCCACATTTCTGGATTGTATTTTCCACCTTTCAATCTGGAAACAAGACATATGGGGCCCTATTATAAAATTAAAATATATATATATTTTCCTTTTTAAGAAGAAGTAAATTTTTCCTCAGTGAATTAGTTTGCTAGTTGAATTCATTTGCCTAATATTAAAAACTTCAAAGTAGATTGCATTTTTATATGCATTATACTTTCTGTTGTCTAAGCTATTGATACCAAATAGAAAAGCCATAAAATTTGAAATACACTTCATACTTCAATATTTGAATTATTTTTAAGGTTTTCAAAGCATTCTAGTGTTGTTTACATAAAGTCATGAACAATGGCTGATGTAAAATGAGTGATGTTGATAAATTGTATCAGTTGATGTTTATTGGTCATCAGTGAACTTATTAGCTTCTTAAGATTCATTTTTCTCAAAGCTAAAAAAAATTTAGTGTGATATCAAGTGATACAGGCTAACAATTTCAGTTATTCCTTTCTACCTCAGAGGAAATTATAAATAAAAGTAATTCTGTCCATTTTCCCAAAACTTAAGCACAGAGGGGGATTTTGTTTTATTTATCTTTTCAATGCTAGTTACTCAATGTACGTCAGTCAATTGAAGAATAGATGAGGAGTCTTTTGAGCAATGGGAAGAATGTCTTTTTTTGAGCCTATTGGTTGATGTTTTGCATCTATACATCTCCTGCCAGCTTAGTGCTGATGCTTCAGTAGCTTTCAAATAGTGAGTGCTGAAGTTAAGGAATAAAACTGAGATGCTACAGGTGGGGGGAAATGATTGATCCTGTGACAGAGGAGATATTTCAGAGACCACAACTTTTGTGCAGATCTACCTGTATGTACGTATGTATGTATGTATGTATGCATGTATCTATCTATCTATCTATCTATCTATCTATCTATCTATCTATCTTCATCATCATCATCATCATCTATCTTCTTTATCATTAATCATCTATCACCTACATATCTATGTGTTTATTTAATCAGACTACTTAGAAGCTCACTCTCCATTAAATAGAATTATTTTTTAAAAACTTGTTGGTTGTGATGTATATTTAATGAAGAAATAGTATATATGTTGATAAACAGAGACACAAATTACTGCAGAGACACCAATATTTCTACTAACATTGACATCTCAGGAAAGCAAACCTCTAAAAACAGACTTGATAAAGTTTCTGTACTTTGAGCAATTTTAAACACAGTGAATAAGAATTTGTTTTGCAAGTAACATTAAAATCCTGACAGAAGGGAAAAGTCATTTTGATGCAAATTGCATACAAAATGATCACTGAGGGAAGAAATAAAGGATCAATGAACAATGCAAAACCAAGACAATGAAAGAAGAGAACCTGCATTGTGTTTATTGGGAAGGGTTAGAGGTTCATAATAGAACAATCTTGAATATCATTTACACATGCTTAAGCCAGTTGTTTAGTAAACTGCATAACGTTCTCCTTCCATAAAATCGTTTGGTCCTTTTGAATTCTAGTATCATCCTTGTAACTAGAAGGCAATGTAGTGTGACAACGTAGAGCACAGATTTCAGAGTTGGTCAAATATGGGTTTGGATTTTGCTTTACTTTGCATATGATAAACTATTGGTTGAACTATTTAAACTACCTGAGCCTCAGTCTCATCTTTAAATAGGTATTATAATACTGAACTCTTGGAATCTTTTGTGAGTCTATGAGTCATGGACTATATTCACAGCACTTATGTATATAAAAACTCAATATAGTACATGACTCATAGTGTGTGCTCAACTTTGGTAGATTTGGGGCTTGGCTTTATCCATTCAGAGAAAAATGACCAGATTGTGTGGAGTAAAATTCATGATAGACTAATTTATAGAAAGAACTATTCTTTTTCTTTTCTTTTCTTTTCTTTTTTTTTTGATGGAGTTTTGCTCTTGCTGCCCAGGCTGGAATGCAGTGGCAAGATCTTGACTCATTACAACCTCTGCCTCCTGGGTTCAAGCAGTTCTCCTGCCTCAGCCTCCAGAGTAGCTGGGATTACAGGCTCCCACCACCACGCCCGGCTAATTTTTGTATTATTATAGAGACGGGGTTTCACTGTATTGGCCAGGCTGGTCTTGAACTCCTGACCTCAGGTGATCTGCCCAACTCTGCCTCCCAAAGTTCGGGGATTACAGACGTGAGCCACTGTGCCCAGCCAAAAGAACTATCCTTTTCAAGTATAATTGAGAATTTTTTCCCAATGAACAGAGGAGTTGTGTTGGCAACTCTGGACACCCTCTTCTCAGTCAAGCGTCTTGGAAAAAATAGAAAGTCTTGGGAATATTGCTTGAATAACAGAATGGCTCTGTTTATATGTTTATTTCCCTTTGAAATCTTATTTTTTAATTTCTAATATCAATTTCAGCTATATTAAATATATGAGATGAAGACATTTTGTTATCATTAATTATCTCAGGTAAGAACCAGGATATATTTTGTTCTTTAAATTTTTTTTAGCTTCATATTTTTTCTAACTTTTATTTCAGGTTCAGGGGTACATGCACAGGTCTGCTATATAGGTAAATTGCATGTCTTAGGGATTTGGAATACAGATTATTTTGTCACTTAGGTGATAAGCATAGTACCCAACAGGTTCTTTTTCAATCCTCAGCCTCCTCCCAACCTCCAACCTCAAGTGGGCCCTGGTGTCTGTTTTTCCCTTCTTTGTGTCCATATGTACTCAAAATTTAGCCCCCACTTATAAGTGAGAACAGGTGGTATTTGGTTTTCTCTTCCTGTGTTTGTTTACCCAGGATAATGACCTCCAGCTCCATCCATGTTGCTACAAACGACATGATCTCATTCTTTTTTATGGGTGCATAGTATTCCATTATTATATGTACCACATTTTTATTTTTATCCAGTCTACTGTTGATGGGCATTTAGGTTGATTCCATGTCTTTGTTATTGTGTATAGTGCTGCAGTGAACATACATGTGCATGTGTCTTTCTGGTGGAATGATTTATATTCCTTTGGGTATATACCCAGTAATGGGACTGCTTGTTCAAATGGTAATTCTGTTCTAAGTTATTTGAGAAATTACCAAACTGCTTTCCACAATGGCTGAACTAATTTACATTTCCACCAGCAGTGTATAAGCATTTTCTTTTTTCCACAACCTCACCAGCATCTGTTATTTTTTGATTTTTTATTAATAGCCATTCTGCCTAGGGTGAGGTGGTATCTCATGGTGGTTTTGATTTGCATTTCTTTAATGATTAGTGATGTCTAACACTTTTATATGTTCATTGGCCATGTGTAGGTCTTCTTTTTAAAATAACTGAGATATTTTTCTATCTTAGTTCAGGGTTTCCTTTATTTCTTATTTTTGGATGTTATTATTTATTGTTTATTTTCTGTATATGAACTTCTAGAAATGTAATCATCTTTATTATTGTCATAAATGTTATCTCCTTTTTAAAAGCAATTGAATTTCCTACAACTTACAACTGGCATGTATGGATATAATTAATTTTTATTAGTTTATCAACACTTTTCAACACTTTAACCTTTTTGTTTGACTTTTTTGGACTTTCTAGTTATATAATTATATAGTGATAACAGTCTACATATTATGGATGTACCATAATTTATTTAACCAATTTTCCGCTGATATAATTTATACAGAACCAACTTTTTCTTTATTATCAACAATCTTGGGTAGAATTAAAGGGCTAAAGGGATGCACATTTAAGAATATTGTTGCTGATTGCCAAAAAAGACTTAGTAATTACTCTTCCACCTGCAGAGTGAGTAACTGTCTGTTTCCCAAAACTTTTGTCAACATAGCACTATAAGAAATCAAAGTTTGAATAGATAATAATAAATACTGTTCATTATCAACCAGAAATAACCACTTTCAACAGTTTGATGAGTATCTAAATTTATATTTATAGCCACATCTATATATTTATTCAAATCCCTTTTAATTTTTTTTACAAGAATGGATCAATTTATAGAAACTATTCCAGAACACACCTGTAATAAATTATGTGATGCAAAGCCATTGATATAGTTTTGCTCTCAAACTCAAGTCTCATCTTGAATTGTAATCCCCATAATTCCCATGTGTCAAGGGAGGGACCTGTTGGGAGGTGATTGGATTATGCGGGCAGTTTCTCCCATGCTGTTCTCGTGATAGTGAGTGAGTTCTCACAAGATTTGATGGTTTTGTAAGGCAGTCTTCCCAGCTCTTGCTAACTCGCTGTTTCCTGCTGCCGTGTGAAGGTCTTTGCTTTTCTTACATCTTCTTCCATGACTGTAAGTTTCCTGAGGCCTTCCCAGCCATGTGGAGCTGTGAATCAAGTAAACCTCTTTTTTAAATAAATTACCCAGTCTTGGGTATGTCTTCATAGCAGTGTGAAAATGGACTAATGTATTAAGTTGGTACTGGGAGTGGGGCACTGCTATAAAAATACCCAAAAATGTGGAAGCAACTTTGGAATTGGGTAATGGGCAGAGATTGGAACAGTTTGGAGGACTCAGAAGGAGACAAGAAGATGTGGGAAAGTTTGGAATTTTCTAGAGACTTGTTGAATGATTTTGACAAAAATGCTGTTAGTGATGTGGACAATGAAGTCCAGGCTGAGGTGGTCTTAGATGCAGATGAGGAACTTATTGGGTATTGGAGTAAAAGTCACTCTTTCTCTGCTTTAGCAAAATGGCTAGTGGCATTTTGCCCCTGCCCTACAGATCTTGGGAACTTTAAACTTGAGAGAGATGATTTAGGGTATGTGCTGGAAGAAATTTCTAAGCAGAAAACTGTTCAAGAGGTGATAGAGCATAAAAGTTTGGAGAATTTGCCTTCTGACCATGTGACAAACAAGACAAACTTATTTTCTGGGGAGAAATTCAAGTCAGAGGCAGAAATTTGCACAAGTAATGAGGATCCAAATGTTAATTGCCAAGACAAAGGGGAAAATGTCTCCAGGGCTGTCAGAGGTCTTCAGAGAAGCCCCTCTCATCACAGTCTGGTAGGCCTATGAGGAAAAGATGGTTTCACAGGACAGGCCCGGGGCCTTGCTGATTTGTGCAGTCTCAGAAGTTGGTGTCCTGCATCCCAGCTATGGCTAAAGGGGCCAACATACAGCTAAGAGCATTGCTTCAAAGGGTGCAAGCCCCAACCCTTAGTGGCTTCCATGTGGTCTTGGGCCTGCAGGTGCACAGAAGTTAAGAATTGAGGTTTGGGAACCTCTCCCTAGATGTCAGAGGATGTATGGAAACTCCTGGATGTCCAGGCAGAAGTCTGCTGCAGGGATGAAGTACCCATGGAGAAGCTCTGCTAGTGCAGTGCAGAAGGGAAATGTGGGGTTGGAGCCCCCACACAGAATCCCTACTGGGGTACTGCCTAGTGGGGCTGTGAGAAGAAGCCCAGCATCCTCTAGACCCCAGAATGGTAGGTCCACTCACAGCTTGCATCGTGCACCTGGAAAAGCTGCAGACACTCAATGACAGTCATGAAAGCAGCTGGGATGGGGGCTGTACCCTGCAAAGCCACAAAGGCAGAGCTGCCCAAGGCCATGCAAGCCCACTCTTTGCATCAGTGTGCCCTGGATGTGAGACGTGGAGTCAAAGGAGATTATGTTGGAGCTTTAAGATGTAATGACTGCCCCACTGAATTTTGGACCTGCATGGGGCCTGTAGCCTCTTTGTTTTGGCCAATTTCTCCCATTTAAAATGGAAGCATTTATCCAATGCCTGTATCCCCATTGTATCTTGGAAGTAACTGACTTGCTTTTAATTTCACAGGCTCCTAGTTGGAAGGGACTTGCCTTGTCTCAGATGAGACTTTGGACTTGGCTTTTTGTATTAAGGCTGGAATGAGTTAAGACTTTAAGGGACTGTTGGGAAGTCATGATTGTATTTTGAAATGTGAAAACATGGGATTTGGAAGAGGTCGAGGCAGAATGATATGGTTTCACTCTGTGTCCCCACCCAAATCTGATCTTGATAAAATTAAAATAATCTTTTTAATATACGTTAGTGACAAAACCTAAGCTTCTCATGTGGCTTTCTATTTGGTAAACCATGAGTGAGAATAGGCTCTGATGTAAAGATATACTAAAAGGGTAAGTGTGAGAAAGACAGTGGAAACTGGTACTTTTTCCAATGGTCTTTTATTTTCAAAGGCTCCACTAAAATTACTTTTTTTAGATTTCTGGGCTATGGGTTTTTAGTTGTGAATTCAAAGATAAAAGTCAAGTAGAGCACTGCATGAGAATAATTCATTTTACAGGGCAATCAATCAGAATTTGCACATTTGTTATATCCGAGATGTACAGTTAGGACTCACCCCTTCTTCCACTCACATACTCTGATTTGCACAGGGCTAAGTGTTACAAAGACATGGAAAATCTTGAACTTTGTTCTTTCTTGGGTTCAGAATCTAGAAAATGGATAAACAATGATAAGAGATGACAGGTCCCTTAGAGAAAGTTCACTATAAGGCACAAAGGGGCTTGGCAAGGTAATTCCAAATCAGCAGCAGGGTTAGAAAGGAGGAGAGCCTCCATATACAGCCTGGTGGTTGGTACCCAAAACCGGTTTACATATTTTCACCATAGAGAAAAAAACAGCAGAATGTATCACATAGAAGACAGAGACATTTGCCTCCTCCCTCTTCAAGGGACCTTAAAATTTTAATGCCAATATGAACATGAACTGGCAGAGATCAGCATCTCAGTACGGGCAGGACATCATGCCCTGCACTCAAAGGCCAGGATAAGGGTAACAGAGGCCAGTGGGAGCAGTGTGGATTGATCATCACATTTTTTGAGGCCAGCAGCTGTGGCTTAGCTGGCTTTGCTGGTCGTAATGGAGGACAAAAGTGCCTTCTGGTGAAACTCAGCTTCCATAGTGATGGAACCTAAGGGTAGCAGAGTTTATGGTGACCCTGTAGTGTATCTCCAGAAATGGTGATTGTTTGAATGCATGTAAGACATTCCCTAGGGACTCCAAGAAATATTGATTAGAGGAAGATGTGGTGCTTTGAAAGGGACTTGGTGTTCCTACATGAACCAAGTGAAGGCCTAGAATTGGCAACATTCAGAGATTAATGTTAATATAATCTCAGTTGTCCCTAGGACTTGAGGTGTTCAGAGATATTTGGAAACATCAGGATTTCAGAATGGAGGTGAAGTCACTGAAAATTGTTGGTACATTTTCATTTTTGTCATATTAAAAATTCAACACACTGTGGAAAGAGTTTTTGATGGTGATAGCTAGGAAAACATTAAGCCAGATATTTTACACAAGTAAATACTAAACAGCAATAAAAACAAATGAACTATAGCAACACGCAACAATATGGATGAATCTTAGAAATACAACATGAAGAGAAAGTACTAAAAAAAATTATCTACAACAATATGGTCTTTAACTTATAGTTAAAACTAATATAAAAACATATTTAAGGAAAACATGTAGATACATTAATATGATAGAAATAGGAGAGCATGGGAATAATGAACATGAGATTTAGAATGGTTTTTTATCAGATGGAGTGAGGTAGAGGAAGAGAATGGGAGAAGCCACATAGATATAGTAGGTTATTGTCTCGGGGTTAATGGGTGCTTATAAGAATAAAACTGACTGACTAGAAATCTATCATGTATGGCAAATGATGAGACTATGTCATGAAGCAAAAATTACAATTAATGTGATTCTTCACACATAAGGTCTTTGCAGTGGGGATACAAGTCACATATTAAACTAGCAGAGTCTTTAATGAAATGCTGAAGTTATTTTTCATCATAACTAGGGTAATTTGGTTGGGAATGTCACCCTGTAAGTACAAAAATACACTTCAGATAGAGTCACCTTAAATTCTTGTTCTATAACTTCTTTTGGCTGTTCCCAATATGGTAGCAAGGATACAGCATATACACCAAAACATCAGCAATGCCACTACCAGCCACACAAAAAAGGGAAACAAAATATTTGGAGCAAATTGTTTATACAGAGAGCACATTAACAGCTTTCGATCACACTTGGATCAAATGGTCATGATTGTGCCCTTGTAACCCTGGCTAGACCATTTCTCTCTCCTCCTCTATTCGACAGCCCTAGGAGCTGAGGGCCCTCCTGCCTTGCCACGTGTCTCCACTGTGAAAATAACACAGTGCTTGCTCAGAGGCTGCCTGCTCTCTTCCTGGGGAACACACAGATCAGGCACAGGGGAGATTTGCAGACCTTTTGCTCAGCCTCACATACCCTGCAGCCCAGCCTCGTAGGAGGCAGAGTCTGGAGAGATGGATGATGTGTGGTTGGAGAGAACAGAAAAAAAAATGGTGCAGGCTGTTTCCTGTGGGCCACTCTGGGTAAGGGGCTAGTGGTCTGAGGCCAGTAATACACGTGGTACATTCTCATAGTTTTCTTCATCATCTTCTTCATGGGCCCTGCCTCTGCTGCTAGCCTCCCCTGCAGAGTCGTCTGGGTGTGTCTTCTTCAGTTCTGAATAGAGGACTGTAAGTTCCTGGTAGAAAAAAACACAAAAGGTAAGTACCTAAATACAGGAGAGGAAGGCCAGAGAGGAAAGAAAGCCAAGAAATGTGACTCACCTCATGCTCTTGATGCATCATTGGACAATTAGCTGTTGGGTAGGAGTAGCAAAGAAAAGTATTAAACTGTGGGCAATATATTCCAACTTACAACGTACGCACACTGCATTCCAAACCAATCTTCTTGATTTGCTTGATCTCTTGCTGTTTCCTCTGCTGGATTCTTCCAAACCCACATAGAAAAAGTACTCCAAGCCAATCTTCTTGATTTGCTTGATCTCTTGACTGTTTCCTCTGTTGGATTCTTCCAAACCCAAATAGAAAAAGTACTGCCCCAAGCACAAACACTAATAAAGACTTTCCTCTGCCCACCAAATGCCCAGAACTATTTTCATGACAATTTCCTTCTTGCTCCTCTGCTCATTATAACCCCAGAGGGGCACCCACCCCCAATCCACTGCAGACTTCTATGGCTGTATTGATCCTCTGGGAGAAGGAGGCAGATATGAGTCACTTCACTTGCACAGGGAAATTGGAAGAGACCAGAGAGGAGATTGGCATTCTAAGGCCACATGACAATTTCCCAGGAAGCCAAAGAGTTGCATTGGAGCATTGAGAAAATTTAGTGTGTGTGTATGTTTTCTACCTTTCCAAGGGGCTGTTTGTATCTCTTTTATTTATTTGTGCAGCCAATAAGCAATGCCTTCTATTAGGCATTAGGTAAGGTATAAGGAGATAGAAATGACAGAAACTCCTGGACAACATAGTGAAACCCTGTCTCTACTAAAAATACAAAATTTAGCTGGGCATGGTGATGCATGCCTGTAATCCCGGCTACTTAGGAAGCTAAGGCAGGAGAATCCCTTGAACCCAGGAGGCAGAAGTTGAAATGAGCCAAGATCGCACTGCTGCACTCCAGCCTGGGCGACAGAACGAGACCCCATCTCACAAAAAAAAAAAAAAAAAAAAAAAAAAAAAATGACAGAAACTCAGTTCATGTGATCAAGAATCCTATAATTTTGAAGGGGAGAAATGGACATAGAAATAAATGCAACAAGCATTATGGGCACCAAGACAGAAATACATATTGAACTATGTTGTTACCATAAAGAATAAATGTCTCCTCCCAGATTAGAATATGGAAAGGGTAGTTGGCATCAGTGTGAGTTTCACTGTTACCTGATCTATGTCTTGAAATATGAGTAGGGGTCACCAAGTAGACTAGAGGAAAGGACATTTCAAGACCAGTAAGAAACATGAGCACCAAGCATAAAGGTGCCAAGAGTTCAGTATGGCTAGAGGAAGAACATTAGGCAAAGCTTGCAGGAGGAGCCAGCGTGCAGAAGGCAAAGATCATGCTTTGGAATGGGTGTCATTGAGGGCAGTTAATCTAGGCACTGATGTGAACAATAGAGCACCTCAAAGGGATCATGCTGGAAATAGATTTTGGGAAGGCTGGAGGAGAACAGTAGTAGAAATAAAGAGACCAGTTAAAAGAATGACAATTGTCTCCACATTTGATTATTCACTCATTAATTCAAACAATATTTTAGGGGGCCTACAGTTTTCCAAGCATTGAGCTAAATGCTGTGAATACATTAGTGAAAAAGTCACAGTGTCTGTCCTCAAAGAATTTATGGGATCATGGTGGCAGTATGTAAAGGTAAGAAGAAATGGATAGATTCTACAGCTGACACTATGGGAGGCAAGTAATGCCTTGCGTGTTGGGCTTGTATTTGAAATAACTCTGATCAAAGACCCCTTGCCCGTTTCAATAAAACACTGCCACCTCACCTCTATTTGCCTGAAAGGCATCTTACCTGAGTTTTCTTTTGTATGCTGGATGCTCCAGATCTGGGAATAAATCGGGTTGCTATCTCCAGGATTTACTGTGAGAGAAGATATCATAGTTGGTTGCAGTCAAGAGCTCATATTCTAGACTCTACTTCCCAATCACCAAATTCATAACCAACTTCTATTCCCAGTGTAATGCTAGGAATGTCATTTTTAAATTTGTGACAGGGCCATGGGCTGTCGCTCAATCCCTCTTCCCTCCCTGGCTCCTCCCTAGAGCCTTCTGCCCCCTAGGGAGTCCTCACCATTGCTGTACATTGGCTCCAGCTCCATTGGGGCTAGTGGTTTAGAGTGAGTGGGCTCTTGAGGGTCTATCCTGGAAGGCCTGGACGAGGAAGGCTCCTGACACTCACTAGGACTGTGACTGTGACAGAGGGGGAGAGAATGGATTAAAAAGTATCTGTGGGTTACACAGAATTTCAGGGAAATCAATATTCTGGAAGTCCTCCAGTCCAGCATGATTCAAGTAAAAATATTGTGTCTGCTTCTGCTTGGGTCTTTTTTTTTAATTTTATTATTATTATACTTTAAGTTTTAGGGTACATCTGCACAATGTGCAGGTTTGTTACATATGTATATATGTGCCATGCTGGTGTCCTGCACCCATTAACTCGTCATTTAGAATTAGGTATATCTCCTAATGCTATCCCTCTCCCCTCCCCCCACCCCAAAACAGTCCCCAGAGTGTGATGTTCCCCTTCCTGTGTCCATGTGTTCTCATTATTCAATTCCCACCTATGAGTGAGAACATGCGGTGTTTGGTTTTTTGTTCTTGCGATAGTTTGCTGAGAATGATGGTTTCCAGTTTCATCCATGTTCCTACAAAGGACATGAACTCATCATTTTTTACAGCTGCATAGTATTCCATGGTGTATATGTGCCACATTTTCTTAATCCAGTCTATTGTTGTTGGACATTTGGGTTGGTTCCAAGTCTTTGCTATTGTGAATAGTGCCACAATAAACATATGTATGCATGTGTCTTTATAGCAGGATGATTTATAATCCTTTGGGTATATACTCAGTAATGGGATGGCTGGGTCAAATGGTATTTCTACTTCTAGATCCCTGAGGAATCGCCACACTGACTTCCACAATGGTTGAACTAGTTTACAGTCCCACCAACAGTGTAAAAGTGTTCCTATTTCTCCACATCTTCTCCAGCACCTGTTGTTTCCTGACTTTTTAATGATCGCCATTCTAACTGGTGTGAGATGGTATCTCATTGTGGTTTTGATTTGCATTTCTCTGATGGCCAGTGATGATGAGCATTTTTTCATGTGTTTTTTGGCTGCATAAATGTCTTCTTTTGAGAAGTGTCTGTTCATATCCTTTGCCCACTTTTTGATGGGGTTGTTTGTTTTTTTCTTGTAAATTTGTTTGAGTTCATCGTAGATTCCGGATATTAGCCGTTTGTCAGATGAGTAGGTTGCGAAAATTTTCTCCCATTTTGTGGGTTGCCTGTTCACTCTGATGGTAATTTCTTTTGCTGTGCAGAAGCTCTTTAGTTTAATTAGATCCCATTTGTCAATTTTGGCTTTTGTTGCCATTGCTTTTGGTGTTTTAGACACGAAGTCCTTGCCCATGCCTATGTCCTGAATGGTATTGCCTAGGTTTTCTTCTAGGGTTTTTATGGTTTTAGGTCTAACATTTAAGTCTTTAATCCATCTTGAATTAATTTTTGTATAAGGTGTAAGGAAGGGATCCAGTTTCAGCTTTCTACATATGGTTAGCCAGTTTTCCCAGCACCATTTATTAATAAAGTATCAGAAGACTTATGGCACAAGGTGAAGCCCAGGGAAGCATTACAAAACAGGACAGCCAAGGCAAGGCCAGAGGGCCAGCAGCCTCAGGGCCTCTTTGAAAGGCAAAAACTCATATTTGACTAATTTTAAATGTTATTTTTGAAGATGTAAATGATTAAACACTGATACACAAAGACCTCTGCATTCTTACAGAACTTAAACCTTGTCTTTTTTAAAAGGTCCCTTTCAGTTTTACACCTCATATTACAATAATCTACCTTTCCTGCAAGATGCCATGCGAGCTCTTCAAGTAAAGTGGATTTTTTTCCAATTTCATTTCCTTCTGCAGTTAATATTGTGAATTGAACATTGCCAGCATTCAATAATAATTTCCCAAATGAGTGGAAGAATGAGGAAGAAGGAAATGAATGCACTGTAGCCCTATGAAAGGTAATGCCATTAAGACATTAGTGGTCAAGTCTCTGCTGGAACACATTTAAGGAAGTAGATAAATTAACATAGATAGCCAATAACATGTATTGTGTTTAAGTAGAGACAGTGAATATCGTTCACAAATATAAGTGAAAGTGACATTCACTTATATCTACTTTTTTATTTTGTAAGAACGTAAAAATGCTACTAGGAAATCCATTGAAATTTAAAAAAAAACATAAACAAGTCTCGTGCATATAAATAAATCATGAAAATGTTGGCAGCACAAGAAGCAGAGACCTCACCTAGATGTTCCAGTGGCAGAAAGTCCTCCTGCAAAACAAACAAAGGAAGGTTGGTGGTAAGTGAGCTGTGTAAATAATGAACTCTCTGTTAGAACATTTTTTCCTAGAAATCAGATTCATTCTAGATCTAAGCTACGGAAAAACTCAAGGATTATCCAGCTCCACCCTCCTTACTCCCCCTATGTTATGTTATAGGTCAGGAAGGTGGGGTCTTGAAAGGCATTTGCCCAGAGTCACACTCATTCTGAATCATTTTTCAATCAGTAATAGGTGAATAGCAACTCTAAGTAGTTGTGACTGAGTAGGTCACAACCTGGGTCAGGTGCTCCCCTCAAACCCACTTCTTCATCCTGACTGCAGCCCTACAAAGTGGAGACAAGGAGACTGAGGCCTAGAGGGGCCAAGGGATGCTCAAAATGGATACAGAATTCCTTCACTAATATGAATCAATGGGACTACCATGATAAGCTCTACCTTCTCTTTCTCTAACTGTGACCCCTCACCCCTGCAAGTCTATTCCAGCAACACTGAACTGCAAATCATGTGGGTATGTAATGGCTTTTCCACACCTCTTCTCTCCTTCTCTTTCACTTGGCTAGCTCCGATTTATCTTTCTTCCAGAGCTGTCCCTGATGCCAACAGGCTGGATTAAGTAAACTGTCTCCATGCACATAAGACCATGTAATATTAAAATTACTATATTGTTTCGTAATTATTTATTTCTATTTGCCTCTATTTCTCTCTTTCATGAAAGGGTGTGCTACTTGAGGCTGTAAACCTCATCTTAAATTTTTTTGTATTCCTAATATCATGCTTAGCAGTTAAAAATATTCAACAAAGATGTGTTAAACAACTGAACAAAGTATTTACTTTGAGGACTTAAAAATAACAAATTGACAATTTTCTAAAAGGAGATTGCCTGTTAGAAGTCTATCCTTGAAGCCAAATCTATCAGACTTAAAAATATGGCAAGTTTCCGTCATCACCGAAATATTGAATCTTTCAGGCTTGCCCCAATACAAGCCTTATCCAGGTTCCCATCCTTGTCCTTTGCCTTTTTAAAATCTGTGGCTCTAATCGGTCTCATTGGCTTAGAGAATGCAAGTCGTTGCTCAAAATAAACATACCAGCCTTGACTCTCATGAAAAATAACTGAGTAACTCCCTGTTCCTCAGGGAGTGGGACTCCTGAGTTAAGCTAGAGGGGTATGATCAGGATCTGGTCCTGAATCTCCTCAGAGCAATCACAATCCACATCAGTCAATAACCAGTATCTTTTCTGTGGGTGGTTAGCTCCGACCTAGAATGCATCTGGGAGTCAGTCTATCTCCTTATCTGTAAAAGAGAAAACTGAGACCTAGACAGGTGGCTATTTATTATACAAGCTAATATTCCTTGAAGACATATGGGCCAGCACGGTGCTAAGCAGTTTACCTAGGTTGTGTCATAGTACCTAAAAGGTAGATACTGTTATTATTATAACCACTTCATAGATGAAGAAACTGAGTTTAGTGAGTTTAACTTATTTGCCCAATATCAAGTTGGCAAGTTTTGTTACTGGAATTTCAACACAGCCAGATTTACTATAGAGTCAAAAAACCTATCATTCCTTTTAGGAGTGATTCACTCAGGCAAGGAGCAGAGCCCTTAACTTTTAGAAAAATGTAGAAGGTCTGAGCTTCTTCCTGAGAAGTCTTGTCAATGGTGAGAAGGGAGACTTTGCTATGAGGAGGTACAATAAGCAAGATTTTGAGAAAAGAAGAGCACAGACCCTCTGCTTGGTGAACTGTCCTAATTCCTTAGTGAGTTTGTTATTTAAAATAACACTTCCCCTAAGTCTGGGGGACAGACCACCTGGGCTTCTGTTCACATGGATCATGTGAAATGATTGTCAGTTTTCTCTCCTGGTGCTGTGCTGACTGACAACCTCAACACTGAGATTCAAATGTCTTCTTTTAGTATGTTATAGATTAGAAAATGGCATCCCAGATAAACAATGAGAGGAAAAAAAGAAAAGTAATTTTGGAAGTAGGAGGTGTGACTAGCCTTCTATAAGTAATATAATTTCACTTGAAAACAGCAATAAGTTGAAGATGTATACTATAAGCCCTAAAGCAATCACCAGAGTAACAAAACAAATAATTATTGCTTCCAACAAGAAAACTTAACTATTCTAAATATATATGCACCCAACATTGCAGCACCCAGAATCATAAAACAAGTTCCTCTTGATCTACAAAAAAACCTGGACAGTCACACAATAATAGTGGGAGATTTCAATATCCCACTGACAGAGTTAGACAGATCATCGAGGCAGAAAACTGACAAAGAAACTCTGGACTTTGTCAGAAAACTGACAAAGAAACTTGACACTTGACCAAATAGACCTAACACACATCTACAGAATATTCTATCCGGCAACTATGGAATATACATTCTTCTCACCTGCATGTGGAACATATCCTAGGATCAGCCATATGCTGGGCCATAAAGCAGATATCAATAAATTTTTTTAAAAAATCATACCAAGTACACTCTTAGACTACAGTGCAATAAAAATAGAAATAAATATCAAGAAGATCTCTCAAAACTAACAAATACATGGAAATTAGACAACTTACTCCTGAATAACTCCTGGGTAAAGATAAAAATTAATGCATAAATAAAAAAATTTTTTTTAATTAATGAAAAAGGGACACAACTATGCATGTCCACTATCACTACGCCTATTCAAGATAGTCCTGAAATTCCTAGCCAGAGCAACCAGGCAAGAGAAAGAAATAAAAAGCACCCAAATAGCTAAATAAGTCACACTTTCTCTTTTCACTGACTGCATGACTCTCTAACTTGAAAGCCCTCAAGACTCTGCCAAGAGTAAGGTTTCAGGACACAAAATTAAGGTACAAAAACCAGTAGCATTTCTATACATCAACAAAGTCAGGCAAAGAGTTAAATCAATGGTACAATTCCATTTTGAATAGCCACAAAGAAAATGAAATACCTAGGAATACAGCTAACAAAGGAGGTGAAAGATCTCTGCGAGAAATTAAAAAAAAAAATGCTGAAATAAAGACAACACAAATAAATGGAAAAATATTGCATGCTCATAGATTGGAAGAATTAATATTGTTAAAATGGCCATACTGCCCAAAGAAATTTACAGATTCAATATTATTCCTATCAAATTACCAATATCATTCTTCACAGAATTAGAAAAATCTATTTTAAAATTCATATGGAACCAAAAAAGAGCCCAAATAGCCAAAGCATTCCTAAGCAAAGACAGCAAAGCTGAAGGCATCACACCTCACAACTTCAAACTATACTATAAGCCTACAGTAATCAAAATAGTATAGTACTGATACAAAAACAGACACATAGACCAACGGAATGGAATAGAAAACTCAGAAATAAAGATTCACACCTACAACCATCTGATCTTTGCCAAGGCTAACAAAAAGAAGCAATGGGGAAATGACTGTCTATTCAATAAATGGTGCTGGGATAACTTGCTAGCCATATTCAGAAAACTGAAACTAGACCCCTACTTTTCACCATATACAAAACTTAATTCAGGATGGATCAAAGATTTAAATGTAGGACTCCAAACTATAAAATTCCTAGAGGAAAACCTAGGAAATACAATCCTTGACATCAGCTTTGGCCAAGAATTTTTGGCTAAGTTCCCAAAGCAATTGCAACAAAAACAAAAATTGACAAGTGTGACTTAATTAAACTAAAGAGCTTCTGCACGGCAAAAGAAATTATCAACAGAGTAAACAGGCAACCTATAGAATGGGAGAAAATATTAGGAAACTATGCATCTGACAGAAGTCTAATGTTGAGACCTGTAAGGAACTTAAACAAATCAACAAGCAAAAACCAAATAACCCCATTAAAATATAAGTGAAGGACATGAACAGCCACTTCTCAAAAGAAGTCAAGCAAGCAGCCAACAAACATAAAAAAATGCTCAACATCACTAATCTCCAGAGAAATGGAAATCAAAACCACCATCAGATACTATCTCACACCAGTCAGAATGGCTATTACTTAAAAGTCAGAAAACAATAGGTGCTGGTGAGGCTGAGGAGAAAAGGGAATGCTTATACACTGTTGGTGGGAATTTAAGTTAGTTTAACCACTGTGGAAAGGGGTTTGGAGATTTCTCAAAGAACTTATAATAGAGCTACCATTCAACCTAGTAATTCTGTTATTGGTATACGCTCACAAAAAAATAAATCATTCTGTCAAAAAGACACATGCACTCATATGTTCATTGCCATACTATTCACAATAGCAAAGATATGGTATCAATCTAGGTGCCCACCAGTGGTAGACTGGATAAAGAAAATGTGGTACATATACACCATGGAATACTACGCAGACATAAAAAAATGAAATCATGTCTTTTGCAGCAACATAGATTTAACTGGAGGCCATAATCATAAACCAACTAACACAAGAACAGAAAACCAAATACCACATGTTCTCACTTATAAGTGGGACCTAAACATTGAGCAAACATGGACATAAACATGGGAACAACAGACACTGTGGACTACTAGATGGGGGAGATGGGGAGGAATGTGTGAGTTGAAAAACTACCTATTGGGTACTATGCTTACTATCTGGGTGACAGGATCTGTACCCCAAATCTCAATATCATGCAATATAACCATGTAACCAATCCACACATTTACCCCTTACATCTAAAATAAAAGTTGAAAATTTTTAAAAAGTTATGGCTATTATACTAACAAAGGAAGTAAAATAGAATTAAAAAATCAATTATTCCAAAAATAAGTCAAAGTAAAGCAAAAAATAGATGTGACAAATAGAAAGCAAATAGCAAAATAGACATGAAACCTAATCATATCAATAATTACACTAGTGCAAATGGTCTAAACACCTCATTTTAAAGGCAGACTACAATATTAAACTAAACAAAACCGGCAAGAATTAGCTGCATGCTATCTATTAAAAATTAACTTTAAATATAGGGGTACAAATAGGCTAAAAGCAAAAGGATGGAAAAAAATCACATGCTAACACTAATTATATTAACATATTAATATTAGACAAAGACTGTTTCACAGTAAGTGATTCAACCAGGGATACAGAGGGTCATTTCATAAGGATAAAGTGGATAATTCATCAAAAACATGAAAATTCTTAACACTTATCCACCTAATAATGAGCAATTCCAAATTCTGGAAGCAAAACTTGATAGAATTGCAGAAGAAATGGATAAATTCACAATTACAGTTAAAGATTTTAATTCCCCTATCTCAGTAATTGATAGATCAGGTAGACAAAAAATCAGTAAGGATATAGAGGAATTGAGAAACATTATCAATCAAATTCACTGGCAGGCAGTCATACTGTAAGAAATGTTAAAAAAAAAAAAAAGGTCCTTCAGGCAGAACAAAATTGATACCAGGTGAAAATATGGCTATATAAAAAGGAATGAAAAATTCTGGAAGTGGTAACTGAGTAAGTATTCCTTTGAGACCAAATCATAAAAAGACATTTCTAGAAATGAAAGCTAACAACAAATTTTCCTCATAAACATGGACGTAAACATCCTTTGCAAAATTTTAGCAAATCAAATCAACAGTCATGACCAAGTTGGGTTGACCCCAGAAATATAAGGCTACTTCGACATTCAAAATTCACCTTATCAATAGACTAAAAAAAATCTCATTACTATCTCAATAAATGTAGAAAAATCATTTTACAAAAATTTATTTGTGTAAAATCTCTCAGCAAATTAGGAATAGGAGGGACTTCCTCCACCAGATAAACAGCATTGAAAAAAACCCATGGCTAAAGTAATCTGTAATGGGGAGAGATTGAATACTTTCCCCCTAAGATCTGGAATGTGATAAGAATATTTTCTCTCACCACTTGCACTCAGCATTGTACAGGAGGTTCTAACCAGTGCAATTAAGCAAGAACAAGAAGTAAAAGAAATTAATATTGGAAAGGAAAGAGTTAAACTATCTTTCTTTGCAGACAACATGATCATCTATATAGAACATCTGATGAAATCTGCAAAAGAGATACTGAACTAATAAGTCAGTCTAGCAAGATTTCAGGATATAAAATTAATATTAAAATTAGTTGTGTTTCTATACACTAGCAACAATCGGAAATTGAATTTTTAATCTCATTTTTGGCATTCTTTATTTATTTTATCCAATTTCACTACATTTAGCTGGCATTCAAATATATCTCGGAGTTTATGGTCACCTCTATGATGATTTATTTATTTTTTGTTACAAATGAAGGACTTTCTTAGGGAGATAGAACATGAGTTAATTAATTTTCTAATTTTTAATTGGAAGCAAAACTCTGCTACCTAATATAAATCTCAAATTAAACACATGAGGTAAAAATTTTATTGAGAAGTTTATTCTATTGTTTTTGCTACAATTGCCTACAGAGTGACAGTGAGTAGTGGAACTGAGGGCCTAGTACTTGGAAGGGAATACTTGACCTTTATAGGGTGCACCAGACAACTTCAAATTATTATAGCAACGGCAAAATCACATCACAAGGTAGGACCTAGACACCCACCTGGTTTCCTTCGGGCCCTGGCGTAATGCAGCAGAGCAGCAGCAGCAGCAAGGACGAGGATGCTGAGCACCAGCCCCGTGATTCCCGCAGCGGTAAGGCCTGTTCTGTTCCTGGAAGTTCCTGAGTGGAGGGAGCTGTACTTGAGTTTCAGTGGCACAGGTTTTGGATACAGACAAAATCATGCAAGTAGGGTGAGTGTGTTCCAGTTTCTGATTCCTCCTGTAGCATCATTTGTAATTTTCAAAACTATGGCATATGAAAGGTATTCTCCAGCATCTAAGATTAAAATGTATTTCCTTTCCCTCTCCCATATAAAATCAGTACCAATCTCCAGAAGTCCCAAGCCTTCGTGTGCATGTTCAAAACCTCCTTGGTGCTAGTAGAATTTGTACAATCTGTCAGATAACTATTTTATTTACCATAACTGTGACCTCTAGCCCAGGTACTATTAACACACCTGTAACATTGAGTGTCACCACTTTACTGTGCTGGGCCCCCAGGCCATTGTCAGCCTCACATGAGTAGTTTCCAGAATGTTCTGTAGTCAGAGAGAGGTTGAAGGATGCCCCTCCTCCAGAGTGGGCCGAGATGTTCCCCAAGGTGTCATCCTCGTGATAAAACCAGTACAGGATCGGGAAGGAGCCTCTCAGGGACTCACAGTGAAGCTCCAGCAGGTCCCCCACCACAGCCTGGGCCCCGGGAGCCCTGAGGGTGAGGACGGGGCGAGACACCGGAACTGAGGGAGGAAAAATAGTTCACTGGCAGTTTTACTTAAGTAGGTATACAAGAGAACTTAATAAAGGAATATGCAGCATAGTTGAGTTGCGGGAACATGCACCTGGATTCTGGAGAACCTGGGCTTCAATCCTGTCTCTATCCTTTATTAGCTCTATAAGCTTGATTTTTTAAGAACTTTTTAATTTCTCTAAGTCTTAGTTTATTCCTCTGTAAAACTGAGTTAATGATACATTATATCTCAAGCTATTGTAATAAAAATCATATTGCATGTAAAGTACTATAAAAATTGGTTATTATTATTGATAAAAATATAGCTAAAATCAAGGTTTCTAAAATTCCTACACCTGAATCTTAGCTCTAAGACTGAGACTTCCATACCTATCTAAAGGCAGGACCCATTACTCTCTACCTAATCACCTTGCTTTATTTTTCTACATAGCATTTAGCACTACCTGACATCTGTCTATGTATGTATGTATGTATGTATGTATGTATGTATGTATCTATCTATCATCATTGTTTTATATGATTCCCCAATAGGATGGAGAATTATCTGTTTGTTCGTTGCTGTATTTATAGCTGTTGGAACTTTGCCTGGCATATAAAATTTATGCTCAATAATTGATGATTGAATGGAAAACTGAAGTGAACCAAACTGTCAAAAAAAATCCAGATATAGCTCTAGCAACAATGATTTCTATTTTAATGAACAATTAAAGAAATGGCATAGTGGGAAGAATAGAAAGCCCTTAATATCGAATGTTAACTGTAAGATTGCTGGTTCTGCAAAGTTGTGAGGAAAACTGGATGAACCAATCTGTGTGTAGTGCTTTAGATATAAGCCGTGTGCTTTATTGGCAAGGGTAACTTGATAAGGATCTTAAGCTCTGCTTTCCATCGCAGATGGGCTAAAGGGAATGAGTGTGAATGTGGAAACTATTCACTGAATGGCAATGATTAAACTTGAAAATGAGCCATCTGCTGGCTGCAAGAAAGATAGCACCAGCTGCCTCATCAGGATAGAGGTGCCAAGTCCTGATATTGGAAGTGTAGAGTTCCTGCTAAATTGAAACAGATGGTTTGAATTTGTCCCTTCTGTATAGCCTCTAAATATGAAGTGACCTGGGCGGGATGCAGAGGGCCTCAGGGGTGAGTCTTTTGTATGGTGCTTTGTGATCTCACTGTGCCTTTCACTCATGTCTCTGGGTGTTCGTATTCTGGAAAGAGAGATTTCCAACCTCTTGCATCCCCTCCTCTAGGGCTCATGGGACCTCTGGTTCTGAATGCATATTCCCCTAAAATCAAAGAACTTGAAGACTGAAAAAGACCATGGTTATTGTCAACTTAAGTGGTCTCCAAGATGGGCTATAAGACACCAGATTGAAGTGTAAGAAGAAAATATGAGAACATTTAAGAGTATTTCTTTTTGAGCTTGAAATTTAAAAAGATATTCAGCTTTACTAATATTCATGGTGGTGCTCTTGCTCAGGTAGATGTCACACTGTGTATTGGGATAGGACAGCGTTTTTTATGAAGGCAGGGCCACCCAGGCACGGAGGGTGGGACAGCAGTGCCTTGGCTTGTTAGTTAACTCTCAGCATATGGAACATAATGCCCTTTTAATTGGCTACTTAAGTGTTTTTACAGATTATTTTAATTTAAATCATAAAATATATTTTTTATTTTTTAATTTAATTTCTGTATTCTTTTTTTGTTTTTTTGAGACAGGGTCTCACTCTGTTGCCCAGCCTGGAGTACAGTGGTGCAATCATGACTCACTGAAGCCTTGACCTCCTGGGCTCAAGTGATCCTGCTTCTTCAGCCTCCAGAGTAGCTGGGATTACCGGATCATGCCACCACGCCTTGCTATTCTTTTGTATTTTTAGTAAAGACAGGGTTTCCCCATGTTGCCCAGGCTGGTCTAAACTCTTGGGCTCAAGCAATCCTTCCTTGGCCTCCCAAAGTGCTGGGATTACAGGCATGAGCCACTGTGCCTGGCCAAATCATAAAAGATTTACAATGCTTTGTAATGAGATTGGGGAGTGACCTCAAACCTTTTTGTATCACATGAAAGTTCACTTATTTTGTGGCAAAGTTCTAAAAAGAGGAATTAAATGTAAAGATACGTTACGTGTTTTTCCATGAAGAAAGATTAGTATTTAATTTTTGTTGACTTTTTGGTGATCAGTGGCTACTGACAATGTTAATACTTAGCAAACACTTTAAAAAGTGACTTTTAACAGTATTTCATATTGCTAATGCTTTTCTAAACTTATGCTATGGAGATAATATTTTGGAAAATAGTTGTTTAAAAATATTTACATTTCTATGTCGTCTTATTACCAGAAAATGTAAGTATGTCAACTTTAAAAATTTATATCTGCACCTTTAAAAATCCATGGAAACAGAACATGGCAACCAAAGTTTAAACATGTTCGATAGAAATTCAACATGCAGTGGCTGGGCGTGGTGGCTCATGCCTGTAATTCTAGCACTTTGGGAGGCTGTCGCGGGTAGATTCCCTGAGCTCAGAAGTTCGAGACCAGCCTGGGCAACATGACGAAAACCCGTCTCTACTAAAAATACAAAATTTGCAGGGCGTGGTAGCCTGCCTCTGTAATCCTAGCTACTGGAGAGGCTGAGGCAGAAGAATCGCTTGAACCTGGGAGGTGGAGGTTGCAGTGAGCTGAGATAGTGCAACTGCACTCCAGCCAGGGCAACAGAGTAAGACTCCATCTCAAAAAAAAAAAAAAAAAAAAAGGAAATTCAACATGCAGCACTTCCTACTTACTTTACAAGAACAACTAATGAACATCAACAAAAACATAAACTTATTAACCAAATTTCAATGAAAACCCTTGCATAGTTAGACTATGGGATTGAAAAATGAGTATCATGGAATTGAAAGAGCAGCAGTGATGATCTGCTTCCACTTGGATGTAGATATATTGGTAAGATAAAGCTTTAAGCAGTAACAGACACTAAAACTAATAGGAATAAGGCCAAACTCAGAACCAAACCTCAAATAATTGTACCACCATAAGTAAACTAAGATTTTCAAAGTAAATGAAGCATATTCAATTATAATAATTTTAGTCAAATATTCTAAATCAAAGATTTTAAAATATTGTTTATTTCATTTTCTTTCTCTCCTTCCTTCCTTCCTTCCTTCCTCCCTTCCTTCCTTCCTTTCTCTCTCTCTCTCTCTCTTTCTTTCTTTCTTCCTTTCGTTGACATGGTATCACTCTGTTGCCCAGGCTGGAGTGCAGTTGTGCAATCTTGGCTCACTGCAGTCTCAACCTCTTGGGTTCAAGTGGTCCTCCCACCTCAGCCTCCCAAGTATCTGAGAGTACAGGCGCATGCCACCATGCCCAACTGAATTTTGTATTTTTTTGTAGAGACAGGGGTTTCTCCATATTGCCCACGCTGGTCTCAAACTCCTAAGCTCAAGTGATTTGCCCACCTCGGCCTCCCAAAATGCTAGGATTACAGGCATGAGCCACTGCACCCGGCCCCTTATTTAATTTCTATTTTTTCTGTTTGTTTTGTAATGTGCCCATTAAGTTAATACAGTAGTACATGTATATAATTAACACACAAATATATGTTATTAATATACATATATGTGGGGTATGTGTTAAATACTTTTGATGGAGAGTGGTGCGAGATCCAGAATTCTTATACCCCCATGATTTGCTGACTCAATTACTTTATAAGGGAGGAAAATAAGCACAAGACTAGTAAGAAGACTTATTCAAGGTTAAACAAATGATATTTTCTTGTTCAAGACTCGAGTCTCTGTTTCAGCACACTGTCTGGCATTCCCAGATTTTAATACCTCCTTAAATCATTACCCAAGTTTGGCCTATAGGAAGGATTATTATTAACCAAAATGTCATAAGTGTTCTAATAGTCTGGAATCATTGGAGAACAAGAGTCCATGGCAAAATCCAGAGAATGTATGGGTTTGTGTGACTGGGAATTATTACCATATCTCTCTTATTTTGCCATCTTCTCCTAGGTCCCAGTGCCCTCTCCCATCCTCCAAATGCTGAGCCCTTTGGGATAACCATGACTTGGACTGGAGGTTCTCTTCTAAATGATTGGGCACATTGCTAATTGTTCTTAGGGGCTGGACATGGGAAATACGAGATGCCCTGGTGCCTCTGCTGAAGGAAAATTTTGTTAGGGGATACTGAGAACATCAGATTAAATGAGACCCAATCAGAAGGCATTTGAAAAAAGTGAGAAGGTTAGATAGGTCACTAGAATCTGGAGGCCATGAAAGAGGCCTGCTGCTGTGATCCTAGTGGCTGACAGAGAACCCACAGAAGTGGGTATCCATGAAGAGAGACACTTTAATGATCCAGGGAGCCAAGTGGGAATTTAGATTGAGATAGGGGCAGAAAACTGTGGCAAGGGATGATCCAGTCATTTTTTTCCTGGGCAAAGGAATTCAGAAATAAAGGCTTTCTGTGCCATTTTCCTTTGTCAGTAATTGCTGACCCATCACGTGTTTGGTATTCTGGTAAGCCTTCGTGCCTCTACCAGAAAAAAAAATGAATGGGGTATATGGATGGCTGTTGATGATAATTACAGAGGAATTAAAAAAAGGAATGGTCTAAGTTACTAAATGTGTAATCACTAGGAAGAATCCCAGAACTCCCAGGTGGAGTCAGAAAGAGTGGGAAGTCTATTGGGATATCAACCAGCAAATAGCCCAGTGGAGCTATTTCTGAGAAGACATGATCTGTTGTATTGGCTGTTAACTGCTGTGGGTATATCTTGCTTACCTGTGACCCTGAGACTCACTCCATGACTGTGCTGGGCCCCCAGGCCATTGTCTGCATCACAGGAGTAGTTTCCAGAATGTTCTGCAGTCAGAGAGAGGTTGAAGGAGGCTCCTCCTCCAGAGGGGGCTGAGCTGTTCCCCAGGGTGACATCCTCATGATAAAATCGGTACAGGATCGGGGGAGAGCCTCTCAGGGACTCACAGTGAAGCTCCAGCAGGTCCCCCACCACAGTGTGGGCCCTGGGAGCCCTGAAGGTGAGGACAGGGTGAGATACCGGAACTGAAGGAGACAAAAGGGCTGTCAGAGGATTCTGACGTTGTGACAGATGCACAACCTCTCTCAAGGAGCCTAGCAATGGATATGTCCCTTGTCCCTTGATTGTTTCTGTTTCCCCACTGATCACATTTTTCTTATCTAACAATCAGAAGCATTTCCCCAAAACAGTGAGAGGTAATCTTGGGTAGTTTTGTTTTCATCACCACTCAGTCTTCCCCGCAAGAAGTAAGGTGCTTCAACTTATTTTGCCATCTTTCCATTTCTTGGATAGCTTTTAAATATCTCTCTCTCTCTCTCTCCCCCTCTCTCTCTCTCTGTCCCCACCCCCCTCCCCTCCCTCCCTCCCCGTGCCTCTTTTAGGAGACCTTAGTGGCTGACAGAGAACCTAAACCCTGGCTTGCAACTCGAGGCTGTGTGAAAGGAATCGGAACTTACTTCTCACGGTGACTCGAATCCACGTGCTGAGGATGGGGCTGTGAACGTTATCAGCTGCACAGTAGTATCTCCCTGCATCACTCTCCTTCACGGTGAGAACATGCAGCTCTGCCAACAGGGAACGCTGGGTCTTTCTACCCAGGCTTCTTACTCTTCCTTCTTTGTGCCAGGAGAATGTGACAGTCCCTGAACCCTGGGCTACTGAGCAAATAAGGACCATATTTTCTCCTTCAATCAGCTGCCCTCCGGTGGGCCGGATCTCTAGATTCACATTAGACACAGGGACTCCTGGGGGAACACAAGATGGCATGTGAAGGTCCTGATGGCAGGGACATCAAGGTCAAGGGGAAGGCTGGAGCTACCATGAATAGGCCAATAGCAGCAGGTGCAGCAGGCAGAAGCCCAAAGTAGGAAATAAGAAATTAATTGTGTATACGATTATAAAGGAAGCAACATCCCTCTCACTCCCACAACATTCCCATCCTTGAGAAATGTGGGCACCAAGTCCATAATCTCCATAAATCCAATGTTTTCTGGTCACATTTTATATGCATTTATCTCTAAGGAATCTTTGATGCATCAATAAACCACAAAATAAAAGAGAACACTGGAGATCCTCTGTTTTGAAGATCAAAATAGAATCCAAACCCTTCTCCTATTCTTCAAGACTTCTCCAGATTTACATCCATGTCTCCATGTCTTTCTCTGACTATTACAGTTCATATTCATCTTCCCCTTTTCGGACTATTTTGTTGTGAGTTCAGGTTACCAAATGGAAGCACCACAGGGGCCTCTTAAAACTGCATGTGTTCAGTTGTGCTTCTAGTTGTCTCTTGATTCATGAGAGAACCGATCTTGTACATCTCTGTAACCCCATAGGGTTGGGCAATCAGTAACTGATCAATAATTACTATTACCTGACTCAAGTGGAAGAAAATGTTCTAGGGCTGTTAGACCAACGTTGAGCTTAAAGAGAGAAGATTACCAGAATAGCTGGACACTCCTCTCTGTTATGTCCACCATCCTAGGGGTGCAGGAGATATCACTGGCCTTCCTCTCCCCAGCTCTGACTCTGGAAGAGCAGCCCCTTAGACACTCACTCTGTACACGTATCTGAGATCTCAGGCTCCTTTTTTTGATGCTGTGAGTCACTGTCTCCACCTCACACCAGTAAGACCCTGAGTCTTCAGTCCACATGGCAGGGATCTGGAGTCTGGGGGACCTGCTCCAGCCCAATCCGAGGGTCTGGCTATCTCTGAAGAGGGAGAATTGCAGCTGGACATCTGGCCTCTGTGGAGAGAGCTGGGTCTCACAGGTCAGGGTCATGGGACTCCCCTCTATGGGCGTGGAAGAGCTGGCTCTCAGCACAGGATGTAGAAACAGCTCTAATGAAAAGAAACAACATAGTCTCCAGGGTGGTGAGGCTCAGAGTTCCTAGAGAGATGCATTTGTCATCTCAGCACCAGCCATCAGGAGATAGAGAAGCATGCAGAAGGAACCATCTCCCTCCCATGGCTGAGCCATAGGAGACTCTTTATGAAATTCCCACTGATAAACATCTTCCCTTTATCCCCAGTTTCCCTAACAAACCCAGTAATCCACAGGAATCTAGCCATTACCTTGAACTTGGATATTTAGGGGTTTTGAAGTTACTTCAATGTCAAGTATGTAAAACTTCCTATAAGCAGTACAATGATATTTGCTATTATCCCTGGAGACTGAATTCACTGTGATCTTCTCTAAATTATAACTATTAGGAAGCTGTTTTCCATCCTTGTAGTAAACCTTTTGATGAGTGTTTTTGTTGTCTTTCCCCTGACATCTCAGAATGACATTGTCTCCTTCAAAGACAGGATGTAAAGCCTGCAGGATCAGCCAGTCTGCAAAGAGCACAGGAGCACACTCAGGTTATCCCCTGCTGTTTCTGCCTTCACTTTCATTTCCACCCATGAGGCAAGAGCCACAGTTCTATACACACCTGCAAATGGCCCCCACCCACATTGCCATGTGGCCCCAAATACCTGATTCTTCCTTGCCCTACAAGGGTGAACCAATTCCCAGAAAATGTTCTTGAGAAATCTTCACATGTCTTTTCACAAAAGAGGAATCCCAGACTTGAACCCCTTTTTGCCTGATGGCCCCTGGGTCACCCACAATTCTTTGGAGGTAGATGGATAGACAATCCAGCATCATGCTGCTGCCCTATCTCTTTATTTTCCCCACTGGGGTCAGTGCATCAATCCCCATGTCTGCTTACAACTCTGCCTAGGATCCCTGCATTAACCCGGCCCTCAGGCATTCTGCCTGGTGGCTTGACTTTAGACACTCCCCTTCCATTCCTCACCAGGTGAAAATTCCACATGCACGGCATCACTGAGGGAGGATCCTCGGGTCTTACATTGGTAATTTCCAGGCTCTGTAATTTGGATCTTGTCATGTTTTATTTTCAACAACTTCTCATCGTGATACCAATATGTGTCTCCCTGGGCTAGGGAATGTGATATGCTGCTGCATATGAGAGCCACTTTTTCTCCTTTGAAGGCTGTGGACCATGGAGGATTGAGGAGAAGTACAGCTTTTGGGGCCACCCCTAAACAGGAAATAGAAAGATGAAGGCAGGGGAAGGTCAATGGGAGGTGGGCACAGCACATGGGGAGCCCAACCTACAGTCAGGAGTTTTCCTGGACTAATTTCCAGTCAGGACCAGGGTGGAAAATTGAGCAGAAATAACCTAGGGAAATGCCTGGGAAAGAATCTGTTCTTCCTCATCCATTTCCTGGAGGTGGGCAGAAGGGTATTATAGGGGAGAGGTCTCAGTTTCCTGGCATAGCCTCAGAAAAGCTCAGGAGATGTGATTTGCCATTGGGCAAAAACTGCGAAGGCCTCAGAATGTGGCTGATCCTGAAATTCTCTTGTCCTATACATTTCTGTCCAGATAAAGGTGAACCTGGGATGTATATACCTCAGAAGTAGTTTCTAGACTCCAGAAAATTACTTCCTACTTGTTAACACTTAAAATGAATAAGATTTTCTCACTTGTATTACTTTTATATCTCTCTTAGCTTTGAAAGTCTATGGGGAAGGCAACTTTACTCTCCATTTAAGTTGGACACAGTAAACAATGGAGGGATATAAAGAATTTAAATGGAGGAGGATGGGTTGCCTGAGAAGTCAGACTTGTGTATGGAATTGCAACTGACTGACAGGCATGGAAGTGAGGTGTGGCAGTGGCATGAGCTCTTTTTGGAGATTTATAAGGATTCTGCTGTAGCATCTTCCTCCGTGGATGGGATCTATTTCTATGTCCTTTGATAGCAGCACTAGCTTGGACATTCAGAGGGAGATGTACTAGAGAATATGGAGATCACATATGAGATTCCTTCATCATCAGCCTCTTGCCTCTGTCCTTTGCTCTGCAAGTGTTTCCTTCCTGTAGTCTGAGGAATACCGGTAATGTAGGGAGAAAAAAAAAAAAAAACCTAGAGACTGAAAAAGTCGGAGGAGGCTCTGTTCACCCAATATAGTAGCAGATGTGACCCCAGAGCATTAGCATTGCTGATGGGATGCGTGCCTGCAAGGGTTAGGGCAGGCTGTGTGGGCTGAGGGGACCAATATCCAGAGACCAGAGGGGCAGAGAGAAGGAGAAACTTACCTGATTGTTCTCTTCCAGGAGCTGTGAGGGAGCAGAAAATGACAATCAGACACTCTCCGAAACATTTTCTAACAACCTAACCACAACCACTTCTTTTGTTTTTCCTTATCATTTCTTTGCTCCCTTTTTATATCATCCAGAGCCCCTAAACAACAAAGAAAATGTCATATAATGTATTTTACAAACGTGATGGCTTATGTCCAAGGCCTGACCTCATCTCTGCTATTATTTACTTGGCCACGGCACACTTTATTCTCTCCTTCTCTTCTCTGAGTGCAGAGGCAGACAAGGACTTACAGAAATGGTTTATCCTCCTTTCGTTCCTTGGGCTCCTATTGTTCCCCTCACTTTTTCAATCTCTGATTAAATTTTGGCTTAAAACTTCTAGAAAACAGTGATGTTTCTCAGTAAACCTTCCTTCACGTGCCTAGGTTTTTAGAAGTAACTGCTCATCTGAAAAATTATTTAGTCTGAGGCTTAAGAGGGAGGGTGGGATATAGAGTTGTGGTTTGGCAGAAGGAAAAATCCAAGTTTCCTATGAGGTGAGAAAAGCAGTGGGTGAGAAACCAAGGTCAGGATATCTGGCTTGCTCTGATGGTTGCATTTGGAGCCTCTTGGTTGTCCAGGGAACCCAGCTCTGCTCACTTCCCATCCCTTGCTATCTGTCTCTGAACCCCAAGTAGAAGCAGAGATAGAAGCTCCTTGAGTTTTTCCCTGGTCACCTTTAGGAACTGAGGCCGTGGCCCCATTATAGCCCATCTACTCACTCAGGATCAGCAGCAGCAGCCACAGAAGCATGGGCACCGGCCGGGCAGAGGGTTGGGAAAGTCTGTCTCACCAAAAGCCCGACTTATCTCCAAGAAGGAGGGCAGGAAGCTGCTACTCAGATGAGACCTGCAAGAATCAGAAAAGGGAAGAAGAGCTTAGTGTCATATTTTGCTTTGGGCTCTGAAAATGTGAATGTGGCTACCTTCCTAAATGCTGTTTGTATCTCAATCCCGGTAGTGATACATTTTTAGAAGTTGGGGCTCATCTTCCATCAGCTGCAGTCTCTCAGGAGTAATGTCTCCAAGACTGTGCCTGGGTTCTCTAGAAATATCAAGTTGTGTATTTGCTAGTATTCAAATAATTCTTTCTGTATTTTTCATATGGGAAACCCCTTCACTACCTTGTCTTCACACAGCCTTTGGTTCTGCATGCAGCTCCTAATGTAGGCAAGCTTAATGAGCGTGGTGTGAATCACACAGTCAAGGTGTCAAGCATATGCCTTTTTGACTTTCACATAAGTTGTTATGAGGCTTCTGAACAGGAAAATAATACAAATGTACAGATCAAGGACTTCCCGTAATCTCACCCAGATCTGCAAATTAGGAGATAAATCAGCAAGCGTACCACCGTTTTTAAAGCCAAAGCCCTTCTCAGAAAGGGCTTTGCAATCAAAGAGGTTCCACCCCATTATTTTGTTTCAGGTCCTTTGTGTTTTTTTCACAGTGTTTATAACAATTTGCAATTATTTTCTCTATTTCCTTGTTTGCTTTCGTGTCTTCTTTCCCACTAACATTTAAGGGCCCCTTTTCTTACCCCTTATATCCCCCGCACCTCTAACTGTTCTTTCTTGAAAGCATTCCTTTAGTAAGTATTATTTGAGGGACTATTGAATAAAAACTCTGAACCAGTGTTTCTCAACCATTTTTTCGTTATTGCTCCCCTAAGGATCTTTTTTAGACAATTTTGTTTTTAGCCACCCCCTTTTTCCATGAAAATTTAATACCACAAATATACTATGTATGTGTTTATGTGCTGCATGTATAGCTGTGTTTGATACATTAAAAAATTAGTTTTTTTCATCTTCCCAAGAGTCAATTCTTGCCCCTTTGAAGGTGATATAACTTCTGTTAGGAAGGCGTGTTTTAGACTTAGAGGTAAGCCATTCTTGGGAATCTACCTACCAGGATAAAGTTGTCATCATTCAGATACCTTTACATTAGAAATGGGAGATGATCTCAGATCAAATGTCCCATCCTCAGGGTGCCCAACCTTGGCAGGTAATGGAAAGAGGGTCCTCTTTTTTAACAAATATTATTATGTTCTTTCTCCCATGGAAGTCACCAAATTTTATCATTCTCTATATGTTTATGTGATTGTATAATGCCTATTTTTCTCATTAGATAGTATTACAAGGTTTGGGAACAAGCCTGGTTTGTTCTTCATTTTGTTTCAATGCCTAACAGAGCACTTGTCACATACCAATTTGTCAATAAGGACTTGCCAAATGAACGACCAACAAACAGTAAGGAACAGGATGACAATAGAAGAGGATTGGATGTGTTTCAATGTGTGCTTAGTCATTCCTGGTTAGAGATTTCTCCAATATTCTGGAGAAGATATATTGGTTATATCAATTTATTTAAATTAAATTAAATTATTTATTTAAACTATACCCAGTTAATCCACACTACAGGGTCTTTGTAAACTTGTAATTGTAGAGTATGGTGCCACATCTACTGAGAGGTATTCTCTGACCTCCCACATTTGGGCTGGGTGTTCCTCTCATGTGCATCAATAACACTTGGATTTCCTTCACTCCAGAACCGATCACAGTGAACTGAAACATCCTGTCCCTTTGATGGTATTCCTCAATGATCTAAGTATCTTTAGGGAAGGGAGCGGTTAGGGCTTATTTTTTATTTCTCTGAGGACAGCATGCTCATCAACAAAAGGAAGGTTCAGTGGGATATGGATAGCTTCGAGATTCAGTGTGTCATTTCAGACTAATTCAAAATATGAATAAACCTCAAATATACTTCATGCTCAAAGGTGACGATGTTGTTGATGACTCTGAAGTATTGTTTCCTGTGGTTGGAAAGATATGCTCAGAAAAGAGTATTTTGAATTTAATTGCTCATCTGTAGCCAAAAATGTTACATTTTTCTACGTCTCTCTCTGAAGACAGGAACTATGTCATATTCACATTATTCTAGCACCTAGCACAGTGCCTAACACTCAGTAGAGGATTGCCAGATAAAATGCAAGGGTCTCATTTAAATTTGTATTTCAAATAAAAAACAAATAATTTTTACTATAATTATGTTCCATACAATACTTGGGATATGTATGAGTTCGTTTTCATGCTGCTGATAAAGACGTAACAAGACTGGGCAATTTACAAAATAAAGAGGTTTATTGGACTTACAGTTCCACATGGCTGGGGAGGCCTCACAATCATGGCAGAAGGCAAGGAGGAGCAAGTCACATCTTACATGAATGGCAGCAGGCAAAGAGAGAATGAGAGCCAAGCGAAATGGGTTTCCCCTTATCAAACCATCAGATCTCGTGAGATTTACTCACTACCAGAAGAACAGTATGGAGAAAACTGTCCCCAGGATTCAATTATTTCTCACTGGGTCCCTCCCACAACACATGGGAGTTATGGGAGTACAGTTCAAGATGAGATTTGGGTGGAGACATGGAGCCATATCAGGATATAATTGCATTTAAAAAGTAGTCACTGTTTATCTGAAATACAAATGTAACTAGGAGTCCCATATTTTTATTTGCTAAATACGCCAAATCTAATTGAACAGAATAACTTTTCATTTGCCTGAATATATTAATGAATGGTTGTGTTGGGGGGACATCTATTTTCTTCCATGTGCATGCAACTCCTACTCCTGTTCCTCCTTCTGCTCCTTAACTCACTCCATCCTGGAAGAAGTGACGTGCCTTATGTGATCAGTAAATTTGGGAAGAATAATTGAGTCATGATAAACTTATTATTATTATTACTATAATTTTTTGAGAAAGAGTCTCACTTTGTTGCCCAGGCTGGAGTGCAGTGGCACAATCTCGGCTCACTGCAAACTCTGCATCCTGGATTCAAGCGATTCTGGTGCCTCAGCCTCCCGAGTAGCTGGGACTATAGGCACGTGCCACCACGCCCAGCTAATTTTTGTATTCTTAGTAGATACTGGGTTTCACCATGCTGGCCAGGATGGTCTCGATCTCCTGACCTCATGATCCACCCACTCGGCCTCCCAAAGTGCAGGGATTACAGGCATGAGCCACCGCACCTGGCCCCATGCTAAACTTAACTCCATGCTCTTCCCCCTGGATGCAACTCTACTGGCAGAAGGGTTTATGAACAAGTATACGCCTTCCCCTGTGTGGAGATTTAAGTGGGGAGGGAGTGAGGGAGTCTAAAGTTCCAGAGCAAATTTTCAGAGACACAAACAATTGGGGCATGGGTTTAGATGTAAAAGAACTAAAAACAAAAGAACAAATGTATGAGAGCTATATATTTACAAGGAGAGGCTTTTGGTGGGAAGAGATCCTGTCATTCTCAGCCTTGGGATTTGTTTAGTAAGAGAGACGGGCATTTTCCAGATTGTAGAGGCCTATTCTGAGCCACCTTTTATACTTAACTACTGAGCCTGGGCAAGATGCTTGCAGTCTTAGGGCATATGGTTTTGTGACACGACTTGTGGTGGCTTTGTTCATAGGTCAGTGGTTGTTTCTATAGAGGCAGGACTGTACCCATGAATGTCAATAAGCAAAAGGCACAAGAAACTTGTGAGGGCCTTCAAGATTGCTGCGAAGCCCTTGTAAGCAGGGACAGACAAGGCAAGGGCTTACGTATGGGCAGTAAGTGCTTGGAAGGACACAAGTGCTGCCTGGCAACAGAACTTTGGGGGCTGCAAGATGGTTCAACAGAGGCCCACAGTAGGCACAGTCACATTTTCTAGGTAGTCATAGCTGAAGCAGATAGTCTTTTGTTTTGTTTTTTTTGGGGGGAGGGAGGGGCAAAAATAGAAATCTCTAAAGCATTTTTAGGCACTGGTGACTGGAATAATATTTTTGGCTCCAAGATTCCTTGTATGCTACAAAACACCAATGAGAATCTAGTTTTAAATTGCTAGAATGAAGCCTAGAAAAGCTTCCCATGTCTCAGTCACCCCAAATCTCACCCTGCTTTCAGGTCCAAGCAGCAAACTGGATGGATTACTCTTGAATTCATGTGGCATTCTCTTGGCTCAAGGGTGGAAAACATTTAAACAATTACTGACATGATTACATAGTTATTGTAGGTGGCTTAATTTTTTAATTCTTTCATATACAGATGGGGCTGTGCTCCCCAGACTGGTCCTGAACTCCTAGACTCAAACAATCCACCCACCTCTGCCTCCCAAAGTGCTGGGGCTCCAGGTGTGAGGAAACACACCTGGTCAGTTATATTTTCTAACTGAACTAAATGTAAGTACAAGGTGAAAATATTCCCTAGGAGACAGTCTTCTTAGGCCAGTACAATTCCATATCAAGCAGAGGTTGGTCTGCTCACTTGAGAGAGTAGATGCTGTGTCACATAAGAGGTCCCTCACTGAATTCAGAGCTGAGGTGTCAGGAGCACTTCACTCAAAGAGGAAGTGAAAATCAAGATGCTTTGAATAGATTCAATGGAAAAGAAAGACACAAAATGTTATTTTAACATAGGTTCCTTCAATGTCTAGTTTATTGAGAGGTTTTAACATGAAGAGATGTTGAATTTTATTGAAGGCCTTTTCTGCATTTGAGATAATCATGTGGCTTTTGTCTTTAGTTCTGTTTATGGGATGAATCACATTTATTGATTTGCATATGTTGAACCTTGCATCCTAGGGCATAAGAAACCCACAGCCAATATCATACTGAATGAGCAAAAGCTGGAAGCATTCCCCTTGAAAACCGGCCCAAGACAAGGATACCCTCTCTTACCACTCCTATTCAACATAGGATTGGAAGTTCTGGCCAGGGCAATCAGGCAAGAGAAAGAAATAAAGGTATTCAAACAGGAAGAGAGTAAGTCACACTATGTTTGTTAGCAGATAACGTGGTCCTATATCTAGATAACCCCATCATCTCAGCTCAAAAGCTTCTTAAGCTGATAAGCAACTTCAGCAAAGTCTCACGGTACATAATCAAAGTGCAAAAATCATGAGAATTTCTATACACCAACAGTAGACAAGCAGAGAGCCAAATCATAAATGAATTCCTACTCACAATTGCCACAAAAAGAATAAAATACCTAGGAATACAGCTAACAAGGGAAGTGAAGGACCTCTTCAAGGAGAGCTACAAACCACTACTCAAGGATAGCAGAGATGACACAAAGAAATGGAAAAACATTCCATCCTCATGGATAGGAAGAACTGATATCATGAAAAAACAATTTATAGATTCAATGCTATGCCCATTAAATTACCATTGACATTCTTCACAGAATTAGAAAAAAAAATTTTTTTAATGTGTGTGGAACAAAAAAGAGTCCAAATAGACAGGACAATCCTAAACAAAAAGAACAGACCTGGAGATATCACACTACCTGACTTCAAATTATACTACAAGACAACAGTGACAAAAAAGCAAGGTATTGGTATAAGAACAGATACATAGACCAATGGAACAGAGTACAGAGCCCAGAAATAAGACCACACACCTAAAACCATCTGATCTTTGACAAACCTGACCAAAACAAGCAATGGGGAAAGGATTCGCTATTTAATAAATGATGCTGGGAGAACTGGCTAGCCATATGCAGAAAATTGAAACTGGACCCCTCCTTTCACCATATACAAAAATTAATTCAAGATGGATTAAGAACTTAAATGTAAAACCCAAATCTATAAAAACCCTAGAAGAAAATCTAAGCAATACCCTTCAGGACATAGGCGCAGGCAAAGATTTCATGACAAAGACACCAAAAGCAATTGCAGCAAAAGCAAAAATTGACAAGTGAGATCTAATGAAACTAATGAGCTTCTGCTCAGCAAAAGAAGCTATCATCAGAATGACCAGACAACCTACAGAATGGGAGAAAATATTTGCAATTTAACCATCTGACAAAGGTCTAACATCCAACATCTACAAGGTACTTAAACAAATTTACAAGGGAAAAAAATAAAAAACAACCTCATTAAAAAGTGGGTAAAGGACATGGACAGACACTTGTCAAAAGAAGATATATATGTGACCAACAAACACATGAAAAAAAGCTCAACACTACTGATCATTAGAGCAATGCAAATCAAAGCTACAATGAGATACCATCTCACACCAGTCAGAATGGCTACTATCAAAAAGTCAAAAAACAACAGATACTGGCAAGGTTGTGGAGAAAAAGGAAAGCTTATACCCTGCTGGTGAGAGTATATATTAGTTCAATCATTGTGGAAGACAGTGTTGTGATTCCTCCAAGACCTAGAGGCAGAAATACCATTTGATCCAGCAATCCCATTACTGGGTATATACCCAAGGGAACATAAATCATTTGATTATAAAGATACTTGCATGCATATGTTCATTGCAGCACTATTCACAATAGCAAAGACATAGAATCAATCTAAATGCCCATCAATGATAGACTGGATAAAGAAAATGTGGTACATATACACCATGGAATACTATGCAGCCATAAAAAGGAACAAGATTATGTCCTTTCCAGGGACATAGATAGAGTTGGAAGCCATTATTCTCAACAAACTAATGCAAGAACAGCAAACGAAACACTGCATGTTCTTGCTTATAGGTGAGAGCTGAATGATGAGAACACATGGACACATAGAGGGAAACAGAACACACTGGGGCCTGTTGGAGGGTGGGGGGTGGGAAGAGAGAGAGCATCAGGAAAAATAACTAATGAATACTAGGCTTAATACCTGGGTGATATCATCTGTACAACGAATTCCCATGATGCATGTTTACCTATGTAACAAACTTGCACATCCTACACATGTACCCCTGGAATTCAAATAAAAGTTGGGGAAAAAAGAAAAGAAACCACTCAATTACAAAGTAGGGCATCCTCAGAAAGCAGGAGAAGGAATGCTGCTACCTCATGTGCGATGCTTGCTTATACAGGACATTAAAGCTAAGAATAGTGTACTTTATTATAAAGGCTTGTGATCAGCCTGTGACAGGCTATAAGTATTTTTTTGTTGCTATGTAATTTTTGATTTCAGTAAGAATTTACAGGTGTACTACTATCTTTGAAGTGAAACTTATTCTTAAACTAAAAATGCTTTCTGTTCTTAAAAAAAAGGCACAAAATTAATGGTTCCCACCCATCCTTAAAATAGTAAATGCTTTTAGTGTCAACGTTAACCTTGTGAGTGCTGTGAGTTTCCTCACAACTAAGTTTAAGTTTAAAGGCTCTGAGTCCACTGGCATCAACTGGCACCAACTGACTGGCATTCTGCGAAGCTAAACAATGAATTTCTTTATCTACTTTTCTTTCTTCATATGTGAATGAATCTCCATCAGGGTCTGTAGAGACATTAAATAAGGGTTCTAAGAGTGTAAGCCTGCTTAGTATTATTGCTCTAGAATTGGGGGTTGGCTTTCTAGAATTCAGTGGCTACGGGGCCTGTGCTGTGATAATCTTTTATCCCCTATTAATCCTTTGAACTTGTTAAAACTGTGGCTCATGAGAGTCTTGGCACTGAACCAACACAATCTCCAAGGTTCTGAAAGAAATGATTCCATTCAGCTGTGAGACAGTACAGACAGCAATTGCTTAAACAAACTTAGCTTCATCCAGACATTGAGAACTTACACTTAGTTGAGATTAAGCAGAATATAATAAATTGGGGGTCAGAGGTTACTTTAAGTTCTTAAAGACAATTTGATTTAAGGCTTTAGTTTATTTGGATTTTACTGTGTCTGGAATTTTTCCTACAAAACGATTTAATCTTTGAACTTCAATTTCTTCCTAGGGATATTAACAAGGGGAAAAAAAGGCTTGTAGTAAAAATTTGTGGCATCTCGACATTGTTATAATTTTGCTATTGGAGGATCTCATTGTTTAATCTTATTGCAGAACCTCTGAACTGCTTATCAGACTTAATTTGGCATGAAAAATATAGAGCAAAATTTTAGCCTTGGATTCCAATAGATATTTGTGTTATATAGCTAACATATGTTTCTGAATTTTCTTGAAAAATTCTACACCACTGCCCACCAGTGGTCCCATGAGGATACCCACAAGGGCAGGGTTTGTCCTGGGGAGAAGCTTTGTGAACATGGGTGACAACTTTCGGAAATTCTGATAGCTACTGTTGGCAATATAAAGAGAAATGAGATAGGATCCCTAAAAAAAGAAAGTATACAAGATTTTATGAAGAGTGATAGATATGATAAAGTTGTATACACAAATTTCCATGTGAAAACCAAATATGAAATAAGTACCTTATTAAACAAGGTAGTAACATGATATAAATGTCAAAGAAAAGGTTCCACATGAGTGGAGAGACGAAAGAAAGTCATAGACATTGCACGAAACCCAAGTCGTCAGAGTCGGAGTCATACTCCAAGTCGTCGACGAAGGTCTAGTTCTGTGGGTAGAAGAAGGAGCTTTAGCCTTTCCCCAAGCCGCCGGAGCCACACCCCCAGCCGCCAGAGAAGATCAAAGTCTGTGGTAAGAAGACGAAGCTTCAGTATCTCACCAATCAGATTAAGGCGATCAAGAACACCCTTGAGAAGAAGGTTTAGCAGATCTCCCATCCGTCGTAAAAGATCCAAGTCTTCTGAACAAGGCAGACCATCCAAACGTCTAACAGATTTGGATAAGGCTCAATTACTTGAAATAGCTAAAGCTAATGCAGCTGCCATGTGTGCTAAGGCTGGTGTCCCTTTCCCGCCAAACCTAAAGCCTGCACCTCCACCTACTATAGAAGAGAAAGTTGCTAAAAAGTCAAGAGGACCTACTATAGAAGAACTAACTGAGAAATGTAAACAGATCACACAGAGTAAAGAAGATGATGATGTAGTAGTGAATAAACCTCATGTTTTGGATGAAGAGGAAGAAGAACCTCCTTTTTATCGTCATCTCTTTAAACTCAGTGAACCCAAACCCATTTTTTTCAATCTGAATATTGCTGCAGCAAAACCAGCTTCACCAAAAAGCCAGGTAACCTTAACAAAAGAATTCCCTGTATCATCTGGATCTCAACATTGGAAAAAAGAAGCAGATAGTGTTTATGGAGAATGAGTTCCTGTAGAGAAAAATGGTGAAGAAAACAAAGATGATGATAATGTTTTCAGCAGCGATTTGCCCTCAGAGCCTGTGGACATCTCTACAGCAATGAGTGAACGGGCACTCGCTCAGAAAAGACTCAGTGAGAATGCATTTGACCTTGAAGACATGAGCATGTTAAATAGAGCTCAGGAAAGGATTGATGCCTGGGCTCAGCTGAACTCTATTCCTGGCCAGTTCACAGGAAGTACAGGAGTACAGGTTTTGACACAAGAACAGTTGGCCAATACTGGTGCCCAACCTGGATTAAAAAGGATCAGTTCTTAAGAGCAGCCCCGGTAACTGGAGGAACGGGAGCCGTTTTGATGAGGAAAATGGGCTGGAGAGAAGGAGAAGGATTAGGAAAAAACAAAGAAGGCAATAAGGAACCCATCCTAGTTGATTTTAAGACAGACCGAAAAGGTCTTGTTGCAGTAGGAGAAAGAGCAAAAAAGAGGTCTGGGAACTTCTCTGCTGCAATGAAAGATCTGCCAGGCAAACATCCTGTGTCTGCTTTGATGGAAATCTGAAATAAGAGAAGGTGGCAACCACCTGAATTTCTATTGGTCCATGATAGTGGCCCTGATCATTGCAAACGTTTTCTCTTTAGGGTATTGAGAAATGGAAGCCCTTACCAGCCCAGTTGTATGTTTTTCTTGAATAGGGATTGATAAATGGAAGTGCTTACCAGCCCAACTTTGCCAGCCTTAATAAGAAGCATGCTAAAGACACAGCAGCTACTGTGGTTCTTCAAGCAATGGGCCTTGTACCAAAGGACCTCATGGCTAATGCCACCTGCTTCAGGAGTGCCTCACATAGATAGATTGAGGTTTTATAATAATCATTTCAGATAATTTTACTCTGCCTCACAATGTGTTTCCTCTTTAATGTTGTAAATATTTGGCAATTTAAGACATTGTGTAAAAAGCAATCTGTAGAAACATCTCCAGGCTTTGATTTTTGTACCATGGAAATTGTATTTAACCATACAGGGTTTTGGTATGTTTATATTGTTTATCTTAGTGATGTATTTGTTTAAGTGGCTAACATCCAAACGATTGTTTGAAGGCATTAGAGTAATCTTCAGTGTGGAATGTTAAATAACGCTTTTATACTGTATTTTGTACTATGATGTAACTCCCCTTCCTTATGGCTAGCCTACTGTAACACTTGCCTGTAATCAGTGAAGGGCTGTGCACCTTGTACTATTTCACAGTGGGTTCTGCTGGACAGATACTGGCCCAGTGTTATTGAGGTGATCAAGCAAGAGCTGTTCCACAGGGCTAAAGCAACCATCTCCCCTCAAAATTTTGTAGAGGTTCTAAAAAGAAAGGGTATGAGGTGTGATGATCAGCACTAAGTCCTGCATTCCTGTTAAAGCCACTTGGGTCATAAGAAGGGAGTAAAAAATGAAGTCTGAGTAGAATTCTACTATTGCTGAGGCCAAGTACATTTAGTATGGCATCGAGTTGTGATATAGTTTTACTTTGATGTGCATTTTGAATTTCAGCTACACCTAGATAGACATAAAATGATAATTAAAATGCTGTAACCAACTTATCTAATAAAATTGGCAACCAGCCACTATTCTGTTGACTATGAGAAAGTTAAAGTTTATGTTAATTTTTAGGGTCTGATAGGATATTTCATGTGTATTACAGTGGTATTCATATGCTATGTTTCTAAACTTTATTTTCAAAAGCTTAAGGCCCAAATACTAACTTCTCTGGAATAATAAAATAAAAAAAAAAAAAAGAAAGTCATAGACATTGCATGGCCAGATAGGGTAGAGATCTAACCTCACTTGTACTTCATTTTAGAATGAGACATCCCGGCTTTATGATCCTAACAACATTTGAAAGCTTAACACTCAATAGAATAAAATGCAAATAGAATAAAATTCTCTCTCCCCTACTTCACCTCCCTCTTATTTTCCTCTCCCTTTATATTGCCCTTTTTGATTCAGACAGCTGGCCATAATGTTCTATTAATGAGCTAAAATACAGTATGAAGGACACACACAGATGGGACAAAAAAGCAGGATGTACATGTAGAGCCCAAGTGCAAAGGCACTGCAGCTTTGTGTTTTACTCACTGCAAAGCTCTGGAAAAGACTTGAAAGTAGCTAAGTTCTGCCTTAGGGTCAAATGTCCCTTGGGAGTCCAAATGGTAGAGAAAATACATCTGACTTCAAGCCCACATAAAGTGGGCACAGAATGGTTAAAAAGCAAAACCTTGAACATCTACATAAGTGAAATTAGATTTAGTTTTATTACACACAATGTGGAGGCACTTGACACCTCTGTGCAGTGGTAGGATTATTTTGAGATCAGATGTTTTTCAGAGCATTTGATTTTCCCTTCATTAAATAGATTTCTTTCTTTAGAGCCTAGACCAAAATAGCCAACATTCACTGAACATTATCATTCATGTGTTTAATGGTACCTCCAGATTAACATATCCAAAATTGAAGCAATCTTTTTTTTTTTTTTTTTTTTTTCCGACACGGAGGCTTGCTGTCACCCAGGCTGGAGTGCAGTAGCGTGATCTTGTCTCACTGCAACCTCTGCCTCCTGGGTTCAAGCAATTCTCCGGCCTCAGCCTCCCAAGTAGCTGGGATTACAGGCATGCACCACCAGGCCCGGCTAATTTTTGTATTCTTAGTAGAGATGGGGTTTCACTATGTTGGCCAGGATGGTCTCGATCTCCTGACCTTGTGATCCACCCACCTTGGCCTCCCAAAATGCTGGGTTTACAGGCGTGAGCCAACACGCCTGGCCTCTTTTTTTTTTTTTTTTAACTACATGTACTCCCTCAGGTGTCACCATCACCATTCACTCAGATGCTTAAGTCAGAAACCTGAAAATCATGTTTGATTCTTTTCTATTATCATTCCCAGCTGTACCATTGCTGTTTGCTAAAATTACTCTTGACTCCTTTAGTTTCTCTTTTTATTGTCATGGCCCTATTCCAATCTCTCACTACCAGTCTATTCTTTTTTAAGTCTTTTTTCCATATGTAATATATATGTACAGCATAGTATATATAACAAAAGCGTTTAGCTTAATAAATTATTGTAAAGCAATCACCCATATAATCACCACCAGATCATAAAATAGGATATTACAAAGATTCCAGAAGTCCTTGCCTGCCTCTTCCTCATCACAACTCCCTGCTTCCTGGGTGTTAGCTTTTATGGTAATCACTTCACTTTGCTCTACCCATTCCTAATCAATATTGATTAGTTTTTCCTGTTTCTGAGCTATATATTCATTTAATCAAATTATTTATATTCTTTTGTATCTTGCTTGTTTCATTCAACATGATGTTTGTGAGATTTATTCATGCATTTATTCTAGTTTATTTTTATTGCTGTGTTCTAACTTTTTATTAAATTCATTCTATTGTATGAATGCATCACTTTTATTTGTCCATTGTACTGTTTATGGCCATTTGAGTAGTATCAAGTTTTTGCATTATTACAATGATATTATGGATATTGTGAACATTTTGGTATATATAAGCACACACTTATACAGAAATTGAATGTTGGGTCACAGGGTAGTATATATGCATGTCAGCTTTAGTAGATGATGCCAAAAAGTTTTCCAAAGTGGTTGAACCAATTTACATTCAGCCTAGTTCTCATTGCTCCACTTAAATTTAGCCATTGCTATCGGTGTGTAGTAGTAGCTCATGATTTTATTTTGTATTTCTCTTATTATTAATGAGGTTGACCATATTTTTACAGATTTTTTGTCTTTGGATTTTCTTTTATTGTAAAGTGCTCAAGTCTTGTGGTGATTTTTCTGTTATTTGTCTTTTCTTTATAAATCTGTAGTTCTTTATGACTTGTAGTTTTGGATTATGTAATGTAAATATTTTCTCTCACCCTGAGGCCCTGCTTTGCACTTTCTTCCTTGTGTCTTTGGATAAACAGAAGTTCTTAATTTCAATGTAGTCAAACTTACCAATCTTTTCATTTATCTTTGCTGTTTTGTTTAAGAAATTTTCTCTACTCTAACTTATAAAGATACAGTACTAAGTTGTGTTTTAAAAACCTTTTCTCTTTTCTCATTTAGTTTTATAGTTCACTAGAAATTATTTTGTGTTGCTTGCATATGTAATAATGAAGAGATTAAAATTTATTTTACTCTATCTTGATATCTAATTATCCTAGGATCAATCATAGAAAGTTCTTCTCTTCTCTGTACTACATTTATTTTTTTAATTTTTAATTTTTATTTGTTGTGGGTATATAGTAAGTGTATATTTTTATGAGATACCTGAGATACTTTGATATAGACATGCAATGTGTAATAACCACATCATGGTAAATAGGGTATCCATCACTTTGAGCATTTATCCTTTCTGTTACAAACAACCCAATAATACTATTTTAGTTATTTAAAAATATACATTTAAATTATTTTTGACTATAGTCACCTTGTTGTGCTATCAAATACTAGGTCTTATTTATTCTTCTGTTTTTTTGTACCCATTAACCATCCCTAGTTCCCCCTCATACCTCTACTATCCTTCCCAGCCTCTGCTAACCATCTTTCTACTCTATCTTCATGAGTTCAATTGTTTTGATTTTTAGCTTCCACAAATAAGTGAAAATATGTGTTTGTCTTTCTGTGCCTGGCTTATTTCACTTAACATAATGATTTCCAGTTCCATCCATGTTGTTGCAAATGACAGGATCTCATTCACTTTTATGGCTGAATACTACTCCATTACGTATGGGTATCACATTTTCTTCATCCATTCCTCTGTGATGAACACTTAGGTTGCTTTCAGATCTTGGCTATTGTAGACAGTGCTGCAACAGACATAGGAATGTAGATAGCTCTTTAATAAACTGATTTCCTTTTAGGGGTGGTATATACCCGGCAGTGGGATTGCTGGATCATATGGTAGCTCTATGTTTAGTTTTCTGATGAACCTCCAAACTGTTCTCCATAGTGCTTGTACTAATCTACGTTCTACCAACAGTGTGTGAGGGTTCCCTTTTCTCCACATCTTCACTAGCATTTGTTATTGCCTGTCTGTTGGACATAAGCTATTTTAACTGGGGTGAGATGATAACTCATTGTAGTTTTGATTTGTGTGTCTCTGATGATCATATGCCTGTTTGCCATTTGTATGTCTTCTTTTGAGAAATATCTGTTCAGATCTCTTGCCTATTTTTGATTAGATTATTAGATTATTTTCTACAGAGCTGTCTGATCTTATATATTCTGGTTGTTAATACCTTGTCAGAATGGGAGTTTGCAAATATTTTCTCCCATTCCGTGGGTAGTCTCTTCACTTTGTGAATTATTTCCTTTCCTGTGCTGAAGCTTTTTAATTTGATGTGATCCAATTTGTCCATTTTGGCATTAGTTGCCTATAAAGCTCACTCATTCTTTCCTCTGTTTGATCTATTCTGTTATTAAAAGATGCTGATGCATTCTTCCATATGTTGATTGCATTTTTCAACACCAGAATTTCTGCTTGATTTTCTTTTATTATTTCAATCCCTAGGTTAACTGTACCTGATAGAATTCTGAATTCTTCCTCTTTGTTATCTTGAATTTCTTTGCGTTTTTTCAAAATTGCTATTTTGCATTATCTGTCTGAAAGGTAACATATCTCTGCTTCTCCAGTATTGGTCCCAGGTGCCTTATTCAGTTCATTTGGTGAAATCATGTTTTGAGAGATGGTCTTGATATTCATAGATGTTCCTTAGTGTCTAGGCATTGAAGAGTTAAGTATTTACTATGGTTCTTTGCAGTCTGGCCTTGTTTGTGCCTGTCCTTCTTGGGAAGGTTTTCCAGGTATTCAAAGGAACTTGAGACCCAACCCCAGTAGTGCTGTGGTTCCTGCAGACTCATAGACGTACTGACTTAGTGGTCTTGGATAAGTTCCGGAAGACTTCCCTGGATTACCAGGCAGAGACTCTTGTTCTCGTCCCTTATGTTCTCCTAAATAAACGGAGTCTCTCTTTGTGCTGTGCCGCCTGGATCTGGGGGTGTCGTGATGCAAGCACCCCTGGGGCCACCACCACTGACTGTGCTGGGTCAGATCTGAAGCCAGCCCAGCATTGGGCCTCACTCAGGGCCCACTGTAACCACTACCTGGCTACTGCTAATGTTCGCTTAAGGCCCTAGGGCTCTACGGTTAGCAAGTTGGGAAGCCAGCCAGGTTTGTGCCTTTCTTGCCCCGGTCATGCCCACAGATGCTGTCTGAGAGCCAGGGACTGGAGTCAAAAATCTTAGAAATGTACCTGGTATTTTATTCTGTTGAAGCTAAGCTGTTCCTTGGTCCACAAGACAAAGTCCTTTCCGCTCTTCCCTGCCCTTTCCATAGGCAGAGGATCCTTTCTCAGTGGCCACCACCACCACTGGCCCATGGGTAATTCTGTCAGTCCACTGCCAATATTCACTTAAGGCCCCAGGGATCTTCACTTAGCCAGGCCTGGGTGGTGAAAGCTGCCAGGCCTGGGACTCACCCTTCATGGCAGTGGGCTTCTCTCTGGCCCAGGGCAGGTTCAGAAATGCTGTTTAAGAGCCCAGGCCTGGACTTAGGGTCCCCAGGAGCCCACTTGGTGATCTACCCAACTGTGGCCGAGCTGGTACCTAGGGTACAAGACAAAGTCCCCTTTACTTTTCTCTTTGCTTTTCTCAAGCAGAAGGAGTCTTTCACCATGGCCTCCACAACTGGGAGTGTACTGGGTCTCACTTGAAGCCAGGATGTCTCAGAGTCTCACCAAAAGCCCAGTACTACCTGGGTATTGCTGCTGGTTATTGAGGGCCCAACGGCTCTTTAGTCAGCAGGTGATGAATCTTGCCTGGACTGGGTCCTTCTCTTCAAGGCAGCAGATTCCCTTCTGGGCCATGATGTGTCTAGAAATGTCATCTGAGACCTAGGTCTTGGAATGGGGGACTTACAACTCTGCCCAATGCCCTACCCTACTGTGGCTGAGCTGCAAGACAAAGTCCTCTTTACTCTTCGCTATCCTCTCAAGCAGAAGAAAGGAGTCAATTTCTTTGCTACAAGCAGCTCTGCCTGGGGTTTTGAAAGGGGTGGCACAAGCACTCCCTTAGCCCACTGGGCTGGTGTCTCTCTGGGTCACATGCTACCCTAGTTCACTGGCTCTAAACCCAGCCCAGCACTAGGACTTGCCTAGGAATTGCAGTCCTTGTGTCCTAGACTGCGTTTCAGGCTTATCTAGAACCCCAGAACACTTTAGCCCACAGTGACAAGGTTTGCTGAGAAACTCAGGTTCTGACCACTGGGATGCACTATTCTGTTCCCTCCATGGGTGGGCACTGGCTGAACCCAGCATGGCTTTTCTCTCAGTGTTATGACAGGGCCACACTGAGTTTAATGCCAAGTTCCCTAGTCACTGTGCTTTCCCTCTCCCAACTGCACGAATTCTCTCTATGTATCATCCAGCTGCTGCCAAGGAATCGGGGAGGGGTGGTGTCGGCAATTCAAAACTGTCTTTCCTACTCTCTTCAGTGCCTGTTTCAGTAATATAAAGCTAAATTAGGTACTGTGATTGCTCACCTGATTTTTTGTTCATGTGTAGTTGTTGAAATTTGCAGGAGGGATGATTGGTGAAGATTTCTATTTGCTCATCTTCCTCTGCCTCCTTCTGTACTATGTTTATTATAACTGAAGTTTATGCATATATATGGATCAGTTTCTGAATTATCTATGATTACATTGTTTCATTTATCATTGTGGCTGTATCACCCTTTTTATAGCTTCAAAATATATTTTATTCTGAAATCTTTTGTCTTTCTCTTTTTTTTCAAAAATGTCTTGCTATTCTTTGCCCTTTGCATTTGTATATGCATACCAATTTTAAAATTAACTGTTAAATTCCATAAAATATAAACAAATAAAATCTTTCTAGGATTAAGATTGAGATTTCATTAAATTAATACAGCAATTTGGGAAAAATTGAGGTTATTATCATATTAAACCTTTAACTGCTATTATCATATTAAAACCTTTAACTGCTAAATATGACATATTTCTCTATTTTCTAGGTCTCCTTTAATTTTTTCTAATGCTTTTATAATTACCTTTGTAGAAGCCTAAAATGTCTCTTCTTTTCCTTATTCTTAGGCATGCTATCAAAAATAATATATATATAGTGCATTTCATTTTTGTTGATGTGATAAAGACACTTACTGATTTTTATATACTAATTGTTTTTATTCAGCAATTTTTCTAAACTTTTGTGTTAATTCCAACAATTTATCTATATATTCTTTTGGATTTGCTACATTTGCATTCATATTATTTGTGAATAATACTTGTTCTTTTACTTCTTGCTTAATCTTTATTTTTGGTTTATTTTTCCTGTCTTTCTGCAATGAAAGGGCCTCCAGGCACTGTTGATAAGAGTGCTGGGCCACTGTGGTGTTGTGGATTTGTTTTTCTTTTCCTCAGATTTCTCCCTTCTAGGTTTACATGGGAACTTATTATTATGTTTTAAGACACAGACCAGCGTTATTTTGTCTATTCCAATATATGTTATTGTTTCTCCCATAGTCAGAATACTTAGATTTGAGAACTAAGGAGTGAAGTAGGACACAACTTATGACATGTCTTTTTTATGACCCACTGCCAACATTTTCTTCCCATACCTATGACTTTGGGCTCTGCTTAGAAACCTTGGAAGAAAGCCTGGAATTCAGGACCTCTCCAGGGGTACCTCCTAATATATTCAACAGTAAAACTTTCAAATTTATTGACATGCAATTATTTATTATATCTTTTGTTAAATCTTTATATGTTGTAGCTAGCTAACCTTTAATATTACTAAAGGGTAATTTTAATATTAATATTACATTTTACATTTTACAAATTTTAATTTTTAAATATTAAATTTCTAATATTTTATTAAAGGGTAATTTTTACCTGCATTTTTTCTTTTTCTTTTCTCTTAATCAGTCTTGCTAGGTGTTTGTTAATTTTATTAGTCTTTTTATAGAAACAGCTACTGGTTTTGCTGGTTCTCCTTTTGAGCTCTTTTTTAGTATTCTATTATTTTTTGTTATTTCTTTACTATTCCATCCCTTTTTGGAGGGAAGAATTCTGTAGTTCCATTTACAAGCTTTTTGAGTTCAATGGTAGGTCTCTTGACTTTAATTTTTCTTTTTTTATTAATTCAATAAATAATTGTGAATTAATTCAATAAAATTTCCTCTAAGTCTTGCTCTAGCTGTATTCTATATTTTTTCACATCACACTTTTATTATCATTCTCTTATATTTTATAATATTCTTTATGATTTCCTCTTTAATTAAAGTATAATTTTGAGTAATTTTTTTCCTTTTGCAGTTATGAGACTATTTTTACTATCTTCTTTAATCAATTTTAAATTTATTGCATTATGGTTTAAAAACATATATTGTTAGCTTTTTATTGAATTTATAATTGACTCATTTGAATGCTCCATGTGTACTCCTAAACAAAGTGAATTTTTGGTTCCATATAAATTTATCTATATTTGAATTTATTACTCATATCTATAGTTTTGTTTAGCTTTATTTTATCTATTGGTTTCCAGAAGGGTTACATTAAAATCTTCAACGACAATTGTTGATTTAAATTTTCTTCTCCTGTAGTTCTGACTTGTTACTGTATGTTTGGAGACTATATTGTTACATGAGTATATACGCATGATATATGATATTTTTTGGACCAATATTTACTTTGAATATTGGTTCCTTATATTTTTTATTCAACTTTTCTGGGTGTTTTAACTGTATAACAAGTGGTTAAAATAAAAGTTTTGATTCGATATCATGATTCAATAGCTGTTAATTTTCACAATAAGATGGCAAATATCCATATGGGACTTTTAAATTATATTCTGATATGTTCCATGACTCCTAAACTCCTCATCTGCTTAAGGAATATAAAAGGGTTCAGAGAGAGAAAAAAGAGATTGTTAAATGTACTTCCTTGGGCAGAGTTTTTGTACTGGATTTCTTTCCCTTATCCCCACTACAAGAGGACTGGTTTGGGGTGATACTTCCCTTGCCTTGGGTCTGATACTCTTTAGAGTTGAAATGTGTTTCTTGTATTCAGAGGAGCACAGTGGACTCTCATCTGACTCCTTTCTGAGAAATCTAAAGGCAAAGAAAGGGCAGATTAAGTGTTTTGATGATGGGCCTGGGAGAGAGCTTTCTACCAATTAGAGCCTCCAAAAAAAGGAAAGACAACAGTTTTAAATACTTGTATGCCTACGTCATGTCATCAGAAACCTGAGCTTTTCTAATCCTGCCTTCCTATGCCAAAAATTGTTGATGCCAGCTAGAGGGGCAAAATGGAGAAAAGAGCTGAAATTAAGCACATTTCATACTCTGTTTTTACTGTAGGTTTTTGGCATAAAATAAACTTAGGCTGAAAGAAGAGGAAGTTTCAAATTTTGGTTAATGGCTTGAACTTAATGTCCTAATTAGCCAATTGAGAGTTAAATATTTACCTTACCTATTACCTAAGAAAAACCATGGAACTTGCTTAAATTTCTGGGAGAAAGAGAATTTTATTACCACGACATTCATTTTTATGGTAAAATGAGAGGCAAAAATAGCTTCAATTAGAAGTAGTACCCCAAATAGTATTATTTCAATTGAATTATATCAAACGAAATTGATATTATTTGTTTGTTTAGTGTTGTTATAGATATGTTTCTCAATGTACTGTTGGATTTCTGAAAATACAATCTAAGAGTCTATGCTTTATTATTGTTAAGTTTAACTCATTTACAGTATTGTAATTACTAGGCTAATGGGACCTAATTTCTGCTGCTTTATTTGGTCATTTCTGTTTACCTATTTAAAAATGTCTACTTATGCCTACCAGTTTTTATTATAGACTTCGAATTTTTAATATTTTATTTAAATTTTATTTAAGTGACATTAATTATAGCATTTGAAAGGGAGAATCTAATTCCACACAAAATGGAAGACTGTAAACCGTACTCATTAAACTGTTAAGAATATAAGTTAGTGAGAATGTAGCAGAAGTCCACTTTAGATTTTAAGTGTGATTATGCCACAGAGACTCTTCCAGGCTTGCATTTAGTATTTTTGGAATCTATTTCATTATCTGATGCAAGGACAATAAAACTACAACTTGAGAGGAAATTAAGTCTTTGTCATAGTCTGTTTGCACATTGCTATAAAGAAATGCCCAAGACTGGCTAATTAATAAAGAAAAGAGCTTTAATTGGCTCACAGTTCTGCAGGAAGCATAATGGCTTCTGCTTCAGGGAGGCCTCAAGAGGCTTTCAATTATAATGGACAGTGAAGGGGGAGCGAGATGTTGCAGATGGTTAGAGCAGAAGGAAGAGAGAGACAGGGGAGGTACTACACACTTTTAAACAACCAGATATGCTGAGAACTCAATCACGAGAACAACACTAGGGGGATGATGCTAAACCACTAAGCCGTTAGAAACCATTGCCATGATCCAACTGCCTCCCACCAGGTCCCACCTCCAGCATTGAGGATTACATTTCAACATGAGATTTGGTCGAGACACAGATCAAAACTGTATAATTCCACCCCTGGTCCCTCCCAAATCTCATGTCCTTCTCACATTGTAAAATACAATCATACCTTCCCAACAGACCCCCAAAGTCATAACTCATTCCCACATTAACTCAAAAGTACAAAGTCCAAATTCTCATCTCAGACAAGCCTAGTCCCTTCCACCTATGAGACTGTAAGAGAAGAAACAAGTTAGTTACTTTCAAGATACAATGGGAGGTATAGGCATTGGGTAAATACTCCCATTCCAAGAGGGATAAATTAGCCAAAAGAAAGGGGCTATAGCCATCAGGGAAGTCATTAAATATTAAAGCTCCAAAACAGTCTATTTTGACTGCATGCCTCACCTCCAGGGCATGTTGGTGCAAGGAATGTGCTCCCAAAGCCTTGGACAGCTCTACCCCTGTGGCTTTGCAGTGTTCAGACCCCACAGCTACTCTATGGACCGGCATTGAGTGCCTGCAGATTTACCTGGAGCATGGTGTAAGCTGTCAGTGGATCTACCATTCTAGAGTCTGGAGGATGGTGGCTCTCTTCTCACAGCTCCACTAGGCAGTGCCCCAGTGGGGACCCTGTGTGGAGGCTCCAACCCCACATTTCTCCTCCCTAGTAAAATCTCTCCATGAGGGCTCCACCCCTACAGCAGGCTTCTGCCTGAACACCAGGATTTTCCAAAAATCCTCTGAAATCTAGGTGGAGGCACCCATGACTCAAGTCTTGCACTCTGGAAGAATGTACCCACAGGCTTAACACCATGTGGAAGCTGCATAGTCTCATGGTTTGCACCTTCTGAGGCAGTGGCCCAAGCTGTATCTGGGGCCCTTTGAGCCATGGCTGAAGATGGAGTGGCTGGGATGCAGAGAGCAATGTCCCAAGGCTGCACAGCGCAGCAGGGTCTGGACCCTAGGCCACAAAACCATTTAGTCCTTCTAGGCCTCTGGGCCTGTGATGGGAGGTGTTGTCAAGAAGGTCTCTGAAATGTCTTGGAGGCTTTTTGCCCATTGTCTTGGCTATCAGCCCTGGACTCCTTTATACTTACACAAATGTCTGCAGCCTGCTTGAATTCCTCCCCTGAAAATGGGCTTTTCTTTTCTACCACACGGCCAGGCTGCAAATTTTCCAAACTTTCATGTTCTGCTTCCCTTTTAAATATAAGTCCCAGTTTTACATTAGGCTGTTAGAAGCAGCCAGATCACATTTTTAATACTTTCCTTCTTAGAAATTTCTTCTGCTGGATACCCTAAATCATCACTCTCAAGTTCAAAGTTCCACAGATCCCTAGGGCAGGGGCACAATGCCTCCAGGTTCTTTGCTAATGCATAACAAAAGTGACCTTTTCTCCAGTTCCCAATAAGTTTCTTACCTCCATCTGAGACCTCCTCAGCCTGGACTTCATTGTCCATATCACTATTAGCATTTTGGTCACAACAATTTAACAAGTCTCTAGGAAGTTCTGAACTTTCCCTCATCTTTCAGTCTTCTTTTGAGCCCTCCACACTCTTCTAACCTCTGTCAGTTACCATTAGCTGCTTCCAAATTTCCAGGTATCTTTATAGCAATGCCCCACTTCTCGGTACCAATTTTCTGTATTAGTCCATTCTTGCATTGCTATAAAGAAATACTTGATACTGAGTAATTTATAAAGAAAAGAGATTTAATTGGCTCATGGTTCTGCAGGCTGTACAGGAAGCATAGCAGCTTCTGCTTCTGGGGAGGTCTCGGGAAACTTTCAGTCATGGAGGAAGGTGAAGGGAAAGCAGGCATATTGTACTTGGCCAGAGCAGGAACAAGAAAAAGAGGCAGGGAAGGTGCCACCACTTTTAAACAACCATATCTCATGAGAACTTACTCACTATATAGTACCAAGGGGATATTACTGAACCATTCATAAGCATTTTGTCCCATTATCCGATCACCTCCCACTAGGCCCCACCTCCAACACTAGGGATTACAATCCGACATGAGATTTTGTGGGGACACAGATCTAAATCATATCAGTCTTGAGTTATTGGCTTCATCACCCTTGCTGCCCACAAATGTCACAAAGGAAATAACTTACCACACCCTGAAAACTACTTTTGGTATAAAAGAGGTGATAGAGTAGAGTGGAAATAGATCATAAACATGCATCTAAAAAAGTGTCCCTCAGATATATTTGTACATGACTTCAAGAAATGAGCCTCTCATTAGGATAGGAAACCAAAGTTCAATTCTCAAGAAGTCACAAGTTCATTTACTCAATATGATTTTACAAAGTGCCTGCATGTTATCAGTTTCCACGTGCAGCTGTTTCTAAATGAAAAAAAAAAAGAAAAAAAAAACCAGATATCTCTAGAGGGACCACCAATTCCTCCCAAATTTCTAACTGAAAGGACCTTTTGGGAATCAGGTTCCTTCTATACCTCTGAAAAGGTGACATCTTAAAGATCAAATATCTTTAACCTAGAGATTTATCATGATACCTAGCAATACTTGAATCTTAGACATACAACATAAGAGGGTACATTAAATTTTGAAGGTAGCTATGCTGCACAATACTTTAAAATTAAATAATTATACAGTATTGATTTATGCTTAAAATTCCAGTCTTAGGCTGGTGTGGTGGCTCATGCCTGTAATCTCAGCAGTTTTGGAAGCCTAGGTGGCAGATCACCTGAGGTCAGGAGTTCAAGACCAGCCTGACCAACATGGTGAAACCCTATCTCTACTGAAAATACAAAAATTAGCTGGGCATGGTGGTGCATGCCTGTAATCCCAACTACTTGAGAGGCTGAGGCACAATAATCGCTTGAACCCAGGAGGTGGAGGTTGTAGTGAACCGAGATAGTGTCACTGCACTCCAGCCTGGGCAACAAAACGAGACTCCATCTCCAAAAAAAAAAAAAAAAAAATCCAGTCTTAGACCAAGCTCGTTTTAGACCAGCACTGACGTTTTTGTCATCTCTCAGGACTCACAGAATTAGTTCGATAACTGCCTTGGAGTCTGAATGTATCCTAATCCTCTCATGGGAGTTGTTCACTTTAGCTGAGAAGAAGCTGTCAGGATCTATGTGCTACTTGGCTGCTGTTCCAAAGCAAGTGTTATTGTTTCCTAATGTCCATGCATGATTGACAGTGATCTCCAAAGTCTTGCTCACCTTCTGGTAAGTGGAGGTGCCAAACACTGTCATTTATATTAGTGTGATGCTGGAATTCATCAGTCTTGAAGCCAACCACAAAAAGTCATTTTAGGTCACCTGGGACTCTTTGATCTCAAAATGTATTTGGTATCCAGCCAGCCAGTCCTTGTAACTCAGCATGAGAGCACCTTGGATGAAAGTCCTGGAGATGTCAAAATCCACGTTGCAGCCCAGGTTGATGTACTCTCACTTGTACCCTGTCTTGATTTTAGCATTTTGCCCCCAGTGTTAGGTGAGGAGGCTGAATCACAGGTCAACTTTAGTCCATGTAAAAAGCTCATCTTCTCCAGTAACTCTGCACCTAATGTCTTGTCAGTGTTCCACTTCTCTGTAAATGTCAGGCCACATTTGATCCATCTGTTCTTGGTTTCCAGACTACCTGTCACTTTGATGGCCTCAGGATTGGCTGAGCCTGAGCTTGTAACATCCAGTCTATTCCCATATTTTGTTTTCAAATGAAGCTTTATTAATCCTAATCTATACCGCTTGGTGAAGACATCCCTGGTACATTTGTCAAGATCAGTGTACATGGGAGGGACAGCCATATTCTGCTCAGTGGCAGCCACAGGAGGCTCAACAGGGTAAGGGGGTGGATTTTCCTATGCTGCTTTGAAGGTCATTCTATTCTTGTTTCTGGTGGTAATTACTCACTTACTAAGATGAATAACAACATTCATTTACATGTCTTCAAAACAACTTCCTCCCCACTCTTCTATCACATTATCATTCTTGAGTTTAAATAATAGAATTTTATTTTACTTCTTCTTTCCATGTGTGTTTCTCATGGTTTAAAGAACAAAATTTTATTATTTTATTTATTCAAACTCATTTTCCCTATCTTGTGGCCTATTTCTGCATTTATTTTTCATCTTGCTGTAGCACTTCCTCTAAAAGTGTTTTTAGTGGTTTGCATGTGTGTGTGTGTGTGTGTGTGTGCATGTTCGTGTGTGTCTTAAGATTTTGAGGGCTGTAATACCAAAGAAAAAATCTTCATTCACCCTCGCAATTAAATAAAAGTCTAGATGGATATAAAATAACAAGTTTGCCTTTTTTCTTTGAACACTTTGAAAACATTTTCCATTGACTTCTTACATTTAATGTTATTGTTAAGAAGTCTTAGGCTATTCTCATTCCTGTGACTTATAGATAATGCTTTATGTTCTTTAGTATTTCAAAATTTTTCCTTGTTCATTGATATTCCCAAATTTTACTTTAATATTTAGGTTTTTAAAATCAATTCAGTTAGCAAATTATGATACTTTTCATTGTGAAATCTTTAGTCTTTCTCTGATTTTGTAAAATTTGGGGTTATTATTTTTTCCATAAGTTTTCTTCTCTTATTTGTACCTGTATGCAGTACATGAATCATACAGATACTGACACTTCCTATGCCATCATTCATATTTCTTAACTTGTATACTCTCCTTCTCTGTACCTCTTCTTGGTATTTTTAGGAGAGTTTTTCCTGGCCTTCCAGCTCACTATGTTTTTTTCTTTAGTATTATTCTGTATGCTAATCAATTCATCTGTCAGGTACTTATTTTGACAATTATAATTTTCATATTTATTATCTCTTGTTGGCTGTTATTTAACTTGTCATGAATTGGTGTGTTGAGAGAGTGTTGAGGATTAGTCTCGGGCAGAAAACCTCTAGAGCTCTAGCTGGACACAGTCATTCCCTAGTTGCCCACCCCACTGTGTATGGTGGTGAGACAGGAATTCTTGGGAGCAGTACATTTGTGCCTATTGCTATCTGCTTCCCACAGTGGCTGGGTTCTAATACCATCCTAGTAATTACTCCACTACCACTGGTTGGTAGAATAATTGCCCTGCTGGAATAGGAAATGAGCAGCTTGGAAAGATCTGGGGGAGAGAAAAGATCTCATTCAGAAAGCATTCTCTTACCTCTAATTTGCCTCTTCCTCTCTAAGCAGCTTCTGCTTCCCTGTGTTTGTTTCCTCATGTATTTATGACAATTTTACAGGTTTTTTGATAGGCAAAAGTTTGTCTCTTGTTTATTTGGTATTTCCAAGGTACAGTTTAATAGTAAGAGCCTGAAGCCATCTTGTCAACAAATGTAAGTTTGTTAATGCAAAAAAAGTGCAAGTAAAACAAAATAAATCTGTGGGCTGAAACAGGATTAGATGGCTTTTTTACTTTCATTTTTATTTTATTTTATTTTATTTCATTTTTTGAGATGGAGTCTCGCTCTGTCGCTGCAAGCTCTGCCTCCCCGGGTTTATGCCATTCTCCTGCCTCAGCCTCCAGAGTAGCTGGGACTACAGGCACCCCCCACCACACCTGGCTAATTTTTTTGTATTTTTAGTAGAGACGGGGTTTCACCGTGTTAGCCAAGATGGTCTTGATCTCCTGACCTCGTGATCTGCCTGCCGCGGCCTCCCAAAGTGCTGGGATTACAGGCTTGAGCCACCGCGCCCGGCCGATTAGAGGGCTTTAAAAGACCAGACAGTGTCTGCCCAACCAGAAAAACTGTGTATTTTCAGAGCAGGTGTATGTGAAAGCAGAACAATCAGGGCCTGAGGAAACCACCGAGCATTTGCATATCTGAGGGTTCTCAACCTCACATGTCTGAGACAGCATCTATATGCCTCCTGAGCTGGTCAGAAGGACAGTGTTACTGAAAATCTATGAGAAAGGACCAGCAGGGAAACATAGCAAATTGTCCACTGAATGAAGCTGCAAGCGAGAGAAGAATGAAAAGTGAGCACAGAGCAGTACATCATCTTTTTTCACTCTGTAATTCTGAGGGTTTTTTGGCACCCGTCCATACCCTACTTCCCTGCTTTTTTTCAAATTCCTTCTCCCATATTTAATATATCCCCAAAAGCCACACCTTTCCCAACAACACTATAACCCATGCTTTATTTTATGCTCACAAGGAACTTTCCAACATATGCCTTGCCCATTACCAAGAGCTCTTCATTTTTCACATGTTCAGCATCTCCAGTATTTATTACTTTCACTGCAGCTTCCACATCTTCAGGGCACTAGTATAATTTAAGACATAGAGTCTCAGGTTACAAAGTCAATGGCATAAATTCGTAGCACTGCTGTACACCAACAACAACCAAGCTGAGAATCAAATAAAAAATGGAATCCCTTTTATAATAGCTGTAAAAACAAACAAACAACAACAATAACAACAAACCCTAGTAATATACTTAACCAAGGAGGTGGAAGATTTCTGCAAGGAGAACTACAAAATACTACTGAAAGAAATCATAGATGGCACATATAGATGGAAACACATCCCATGCTCATGGATTGGAAGAATGGTTATTTTCACAATTTTGTGATTGCCCAAAGTCACCTACAGATTTCATGCAAATTATATCAAAATACCATCACCATTTTTCACAGACTTAAAAAAAATCTTAAAATTCATATGGAACAACAACAAAAAAAGCCCAAATAGCCGAAGCAATCCTAAGCAAAAAGAACAAACCTGGAGGTATTACAAGACTTGAATTTATACTACAAGGCTATAGTTACTAAAACAGCATGGGCACTGGTATAAAAGTAGGCATATCGTAACCAATGGAACAGAACAGAAAATCCAGAAATAAAGCCAAATGCTTACAACGAACTGATGTTCAACAAAACATACAAAAACATAAATTGGAGAGAGGACACCCTATTTAATAAATGGTGCTGGGAAAACTGGCTAGCCACGTGTAGAAGAATAAAACTGGATCCCTATCTCTCATCTCATACAAAAATCAACTTAGGATGAGTCAAAGACTTAATCTAAGACCTGAAACCATAAAAATTCTAGAAGATGACCTTGGAAAAACTCTTCTGGACATTGACCTAGGCAAAGAATTTATAACTAAGACCTCAAAAGCAAATGCAACAAAAACAAGGATAAATAAATGGGACCTAATTAAACTAAAAAAGCTTCTGCACAGCAAAAGCAATAATCATCAGAGCAAACAGACAACCCACAGACTGGGAGAAAATATTTGCAAACTATCCGTCTGACAAAGGACTAATATTTAGAACTACAAGGAACTCAGACAAATCAGCAAGAAAAAAAACTCATGAAAAAGTGAGCAAATGACATGTATAGACATTTCTCAAAAGAAGATATGCAAAAGGCCAACAAATATATGAAACAATGATCAACATCACTAATCATCAGGAAAATGCAAATTAAAACCACAATGAGATGCCACTTTACTTTTGCAAGAATGGCCATTATTAAAAAGTCAAAAAATAATAGATGTTGGCATGGATGTGGTGAAACGGGAACACTTACACACTGCTGGTGAGAATGTAAATTAGTACAACCTCTATGGAAAACAGTATGGAGATTTCTTAAAGAACTAAAAGTCCTATGTCAGGAAACAACAGGTGCTGGAGAGATGTGGAGAAATAGGAACAATTTTACACTGTTGGTGGGACTGTAAACTAGTTCAACCATTGTGGAAGTCGGTGTGGCGACTCCTCAGGGATCTAGAACTAGAAATACCATTTGACCCAGAAATCCCATTACTGGGTATACACCCAAAGGATTATAAATCATGCTGCTATAAAGACACATGCACAAGTATATTTATTGCGGCATTATTCACTATAGCAAAGACTTGGAACCAACCCAAATGTCCAACAATGATAGACTGGATTAAGAAAATGTGGCACATATACACCATGGAATACTATGCAGCCATAAAAAATGATGAGTTCATGTCCTTTGTAGGGACATGGATGAAGCTGGAAACCATCATTCTCAGAAAACTATCCCAAGGACAAAAAACCAAACGCCGCATGTTCTCACTCTAGGTGGGAATTGAACAATGAGAACACATGGACACAGGCAAGGGGAACATCACACTCTGGGGACTATTGTGGGGTGGTGGGCGGGGGAGGGATAGCATTAGGAGATATACCTAATGCTAAATGACGAGTTAATGGGTGCAGCACACCAACATGGTACATGTACACATATGTAACAAACCTGCACATTGTGCACATGTACCCTAAAACTTAAAGTATAATAATAAAAAAAAAGAACTAAAAGTAGATCTACCTTTAATTTCAGCATTCCCACTACTGGGTATCTACCCAAAGGAAAATAAGTCATTGTGTGAAAAAGACATATACACATGTATGTTTATAGCAGCACAAGTCACAATTGCAAAGAGATGGACCAATCTAAGTGCCCATCAACTAATGAGTGGGTAAAGAAAATGTGGTATACATGTATACCATGGAATAGTACTCAGCCATAAAAATGAATGAAATAATGTCTTTTGCAGCACTTGGGTGAAGCTGGAGCCACTATTCTAAGTGAAGTAACTCAGGAATGGAAAATCAAATACTGTATGTTCTCACTTAACAGTGGGAGCTAATCTATGAGTACACAAAGGCTTACAGAGTGGTATCGGGCATTGGAGACTCAGAAGAAGGAGGGTAGGAGGGGTATAAGGAACAAACCCCTACATATTGGGTACAATGTACACTAGTTGGGTGATGGGTGCACTGAAATCTCAGAATACACCACTGTATAATTCATCTATGTAACCAAAAACCACTTATACCTCTAAACTATTGAAATAATAAAATATTAAGATATTTTAAAAAAAGACACAGAGCTAGGGAGAGAACATACAGAAGAAGAGTGGTCTCTCCCGTGTTCTGTAGGTTGTATAGGTCCTCCTTTCTTGATTTTAGGTCAACTTTTTGCTTAGGAGTCCATTTTTCACTCTAAAATTATGTACAGAATGTGTCTACTAAGTACAGAGAAAGGAATTGTGTTTCTTAGCAAAGTTTTTATCTTCCCTTGTGTACAAATAAACAGTGATGCCAAATGGTCTATTGTTTAATACAAATTTTAATCTGTTATCTAAAGTGTGTTGTTTCATTTTGGAAGGAATGGATTACTGGAGTGTGGTATTAAAAAAAAGCCAATTACATCACGTATAAAGTTTCCTATAAGATCAGAACAGAAATTTATTAAAAAGAAAGATTTCTGTTTTTCCTAGCAGAATTTGAAATGCATTGCTTCTACATTTTCTTGGAAATCTAAATCATCTCATTTTCTTTATTCTCAAATATCTCTGGAGACTGCATTGGAAGTGAGACCCAGCGTTTCTGCTAGACAATGGCCACAGACTTGGGCTCTGAGAAAACCTCAAAGATATCCAGATCCCAGGACCTCCATTCTCTTCCTGTTCCACATCTCATTCCAAGTGGTCCAGCTCATAAAATGCCAGCAGCAATGACCACAGTACCATGAGGCCTCCTCATTCAGCTATTTGAAAGGAGATTGTCTTAGTGACTGACTTGAAGGGGTCTATCAAACAGTAACCAAAAGCAAGGATCACAAACAGGCCTTCAGAATATTTTACCTAGATAGAAAGCAAGGAAGTAAGACTCCTCCAATGTTTGATCTCTACTTCCTCATATAGTATACAGAGCTCTTTTCTATAAGATTGTTTTGATTATATATCTCAACAGTAATGTATCATAAGCTGATAGACCCTCCACACAACCACTGGGATATCTCAGGGGAAATATTGCCAAGTTATTGTCTGACTGCATAGAGTAACAGCCTTTCATTTCTCTAAACTAGTAATGCTACTCAAAATGTTGACTTAAACACAAAGATGTTCATTGTAACACTGTTTATCATAATGAGTAATTGTCAATACTATAAAGGCCCTCAAATAAATCATTTACAAAATAAGTTTGTACGTTTTCAAACATACCAGGCAATACACAAATATCTTAGAATAATACTTAATGGCATGGAAACAAAACAAAATTATTAAAAGAAAAAATGAGATTACTGTTATCATTATTTTTAAATTGTATATTTATGTATACGTGAGCACATGCATAGAAAATATTCTGGCTGATGGATATTGAGATATTAGCAATTATCTCAGAGTTAATGGAATAAAAGTGATTTTTAATTATCTTTTTTTATTTCTCATGTTTCTAATTTTTCTATAATGGATACCCAAACACACACACAAACACGCACCATAGGTTCTTGTGGCCCTTCTCAGTTCTAAGGGGTTCAGGTTCAGGGTCCAGATTCTCAGATTTCAGCACAGGCAAGTCATATGTATGGATGTTAAGCATGTGGAGGAAAGTTAAATGGTTAAGTGACATCTCATCATCAGATAGTTTCCATCTGAGACCAGAGAGGTCACTGGCAACTTAACCATCAGTCCAGACCTTGAATTTCTGAAAGCCTGCAGTTCCCACCAGATTTAGCCAAGCCAGAAATATGTAAAGTAATTCTTAACAGATAAACGTGAGTTTGAGGTGGTTGTTTGTGTGGGGAGTCACTGATCGGAGATATATTAAGTGCCTGTGTTGCCATGTATACTTTAATATATTCCTCTGGAGCAATTTACTCCAGAGTTACTATTAATAAAGGGAGTATGTACTATCTCCCAAGGATGGTTGGGTGTAAGTAATAGCTAAGAGTAATTTTTCACAGCTGGATGCAGTGGCTCACCACTGTACTCCCAGCACTTTGGGAGGCCAAGGCTGGAGGATCACTTGAAGTATCTGATGAAGGAGTTTGAGACCAGCTTGTGCAACATAGTGAGACCTCATATCTACCGAAGATTTTTTTTAAAAAATTAGCTGGGTGTAGTGGCACAAACCTGTGGTCCCAACTACTTGGGAGGCTGAAGTGGGAGGATCACTTGGGTCCAGGAGGTCAAGGCGGCAGTAAGCTGTGATTGTGCTACTGTACTGCAGCCTGGATAATGGAGTAAGACTCTATCTCAATAAATAAATAAATAAATAAATAAATAAATAAATAAATAAATAAATAAATAAATAAAAGAGTAGTTCCCCATTTCTAGGGTGGTACCAGATGCTGCTATGAAGTTCATTTTGGATCTCTTGAACCAATGGCTCATGCATGATTGGCTAGGAGGAATACACTAGGAGGTTGTCTAGGTGAACTCCTTTCAAGCCTCTTGGTTCATGGACTTTTATTTTTAAGTTAGCATTTAGAATGTTTCAACCTAAATTTATATACCAGTGTATCTTGTTTTATTGTGCTTTGCAAATACTGTGTTTCTTAAACATTGAAGGTTTGTGGCAACCCTGCATTCAGAAAGTCCGCTTGTGCGATTTTTCCCACAGCATGTGCTCACTTTGTATCTCTGTGTCACATTTTGGTAATTCTCATAATATTTCAGACTTTTTCATTATTATTATATATGTTATGATTATCTGTAATTAATGATCTATTGTAATTGTTTTGGGGCTCCACAAAACCATACCCACATAAGATGGTGAACATAACTGACAAACGTTGTGTGTTTTCTGGCTGCTCCACAGACTGGCCTTTCCCCTGTTTCTCTCTTTCTCCTTGGGCCTCTCTATTCCCTGAGACAAAAAATATTGAAACTAGTCTAATTAATATCGTTACAATGCCCTTTAAGTGTTCAAGTGAAAGGAGGAGTCACATGTCTTTCACTTTAAGTCAAAATCTGGAACTGACTAAGCTTAGCAAAGAAGGCATGTCAACAGCTGAGATGGGCCAAAAGCTAGGCCTCTGGTGCCAGTTAGCCAAGTTGTGAATGCAAAGGAAAAGTTATTGAAGGAAATTAAATATTCTACTGCAGTGAACACACGCATAATAAGAAAGCAATACAGCCTCATTGCTGATATGAAGACAGTTTTAGTGGTCTGGATAGAAGATCAAATCAGCCACAACATTCCCTTAAAAGCCAAAGCTTAATACAGAGTGAGGCCTTTAACTCTTTTCAATTCTATAAAGGCTGAGAGAGGTGAGGAAGCTGTGGAAGAAAAATTTAAAGCTAAGAAATGTTGGTTCATAAAGTTTAGGGAAAGAAGTCGTCTCAATAACATAAAAAATACAAGGTGAAGCAGCAAGTGCTGTGTCGAAGCTGCAGCAAGTTATCCAGAAGTAGCTAAAATAAAGGTGGTTACACTAAACAACAGATTTTCAATGTAGTGAAACAGCCTGATCCTGGAAAAAGATGCCATTTAGAATTTTCACAGTTAGAGAAGAGAAGTCAATGTCTGGCTTCAAAGAATCAAAGGACAGGTTGACTCTCTTGTTAGGTACAAATGCAACTGGTGACTTTAAGTTGAAGCCAATGCTCATTTACTATTCTGAAAATCCTAAGGCCCTTAAGAGTTACACTAAGTCTAATCTTCTCGTGTTCTACAAATGGAGCCAGAAAGTCTGCATAATAGCACATCTGTTTACAACATAGCTACTGAATATTTTAAGCCCACTGTTGAGACTTACTGCTCAGAATAAAAGATTTCTTTCAAAATATTACTGCTCCTTGGCAATGTACGTGGTCACCCAAGGCTCTGATGGAGATACACAAGGAGATTAATGTTGTTTTCATGCCTGCTAATATAACATTCATTCTGCAGCCCATGGATCAAGGGGTAAGTTAGATTTTCAAGTTAAGAAATACATGTTGCAAGACTATTACTCTCTTAATGATTTCTCCTATGGATCTAGGCAAAATAAATTGAAAATGTTCTGGAAAGGATTCACCATTCTTGATGTTATTAAGAACATTCATGACTTGTGGGAGGAAGTCTGAATATCAACATTAAACAAAAGTTTGGAAGAAGATGATTCCAACTCTCATGGATGACTTAGAGGGGTTCAAAACTCCAGTGAAGGAAGTAACTGAAGATGTGGTAGAAACAGCAAGAGAACTAGAATTGGAAGTGAAGCCTGAGATATGACAGAATCGCTGCAATCTCATGATAAAATGTGAATGAATGAGGAGTTGCTTCTTATGGATGAGCAAAGAACATGGTTTCTTGAGCTGGAATCTTCTCCTAGTGAAGATGTAAACAATGTTGAAATGAAAATGAAGCATTTTGAATATCCCATAAACATAGTTGATAAAGCAGCGGCAAGGTTTGAGAGGATTGACTTCAATTTTGAAAGAAGTTCTGTTGTGGGAAAAATGCTTTCAAACAGCATCACATGCTACAGAGAAGTCTTTTGTAACAGGAAGAGTCAGTCAATGCAGCAAATGTCATTGCTATTTTAAGAAATTACCAAAGCCACTTTAGCCTTCAGCAACCACTACTCTGACCAGTCAGCAGCCATCAACACTGAGGCAAGACCTCCCCATCAGAAAACAGATTACAACTCACTTCAGGCTTATATAATCATTAGCATTCCTTAGGCAATTAAGTATTTTTTAGTTAAGATAAGTACATTGCTTTTATAGACTTAATTCTATTGCACACTTAATAGACTACAGTATTGTATAAACATAACTTTTTTTAATGTTCTCAAAGCTTTAATTAAGAACACTTTTCAGGAAATAATATACATCACACTAATTGTCCTTGCAGATTTAATTGGTATTTGAAGAAATCTTCAGATAATTCAATGTATCTTTAACTCTTTTCTTTTTTTAAATTTCAAATTTTATTTTAGATACAGGGAGTACATACGCAGGTTTGTTACATGGGTATATTGTACCCTGGTAATGAGCATAATACCCAATAGGTAGTTTTTTGACCCACGCTCCCCTCCCTCTCTCCCTGCTCTAGTAGCGCATAGTGTCTGTTGTTGCTATGTTTTTGTCCATATATACTCAATGTTTAGCTCCCACTTATAACTAAGAACATGTGATATTTGGTTTTCTGTTCCTGCACTAATTTGCTTAAAGTTATGACCTCCAGCTCCATTCATGTTGCTGTGGAGGACATGATTTCATTCTCTTTTATGGCCATGTAGTATTCTATGGTTATATGTACCACATTTTCTTTTTTGTTATTTGACTTTTAAGTTCAGGGGTAACTGTACAGGTTTGTTATGTAGGTAAACTTGTGTCGTGGGGGTTTGTTGTATAGGTTATTTCATCACTCAGGCATTAAGCCTAGTACCCATCGTTTTTTTCTGATCCTCTCCCTCTTCTCACTTTCCACCCTCTGATAGGCCCCAATGTGTGTTGTTCCTCTCTATGTGTCCATGTGTTCTCATTATTTAGCTCCCACTTATAAGTAAGAACATGCAGTTTTTGGTTTTCTGTTCCTGTGTTAGTTTGTGAAGAATAATGGCCTCCAGCTCCATTCATGTTCCTGCAAAGGACATGATCTCCTTTTATATGGCCACATAGTATTCCATGGTACATATGCACCACATTTTCTTTATCCGGTCTACTATTGATGGGCATTTAGGTTGATTCCATGTCTTTGCTATTGTGAATAGTGCTGCAATGAACATATGCATGTATGTGTCTTTATAATAGAACAATTTATATACCCTTGGCTAGATAGTGGTATTTCTGTTTTTAGGTCTTTGAGGAATTGCCACATCATCTTCTACAATGGTTGAACTAATTTACACTTCCGCCAACAGTGTATAAGCATTCCTTTTTCTTCGTAACTTCACCAGCATCTGTTATTTATTTATTTATTTTTATTTTTATTTTTTTGAGACGGAGTCTCGCCACGTCACCCAGGCTGGAGTGCAATGGCTTGACTTCAGCTCACCGCAACCTCCATCTCCCGGGTTCAAGTGATTCTCCTGCCTCTGTCTCCCAAGTAGATGGGATTACAGGTGCTCGCCACCACTCCTGCCCAGCTAATTTTTTGTATCTTTAGTAGAGCCTGGGTCTCACCATGTTGGCCAGGCTGATCTCAAACTCCTGACCTCATGATCCGCCCACCTCAGCCTCCCAAAGTGCTAAGATCACAGGCGTGAGTCCCCGTGCCTGGCCACATCTGTTATTTTTTTTAACTTTCTAATATTAGCCATTCTGACTGGTGTGAGATGGTATCTCACTGTGGTTTTGTTTTGCATTTCTTTAATGATCAGTGATGTTGAGCTTTTTATCATATGATTGTTGGCTGCATGTATGTTTTCTTTTGAGAACTGTCTGTTCATGTCCTTTGCCCACTTTTTAATAGAGTTGTTTGTTTGTTCTTTTCTTGTAAATTTGTTTAAGCTCCTTATAGATGCTGGATATTAGATCTTTGTCATATTCAGTTTGCAAAAATTTTCTCCCATTATGTATTTGTCTCTTTACTCTGTTGATAGTTTCTTTTGCTGTGCAGAAGTTTTTAGTTTAATTACATCTCATTCATCAATTTTTGCTTTTGTTGCAATTGCTTTTGGTGTCTCTGTCATGAAATCTTTCCTCATTCCTTTGTCCAGAATGGTATTGCCTAGGTTGTCTTCCGAGGTTTTTATAGTTTTGGGTTTTACATTTAAGTCTTTAATCCATCTCGAGTTAATTTTTGTATATGGTGTAAGGAAGGAGTTTTAATTTTCTGCATATGGCTAGCCAGTTATCCTAGCACCATTTATTAAATAGAGAATGCTTCCCCCTTGTTTTGTCAATTTTGTTGAAGATCAGATAGTTGTAGCTGTGTGATCTTATTTCTGGGTTCTCTATTCTGTTCCATTGCTCCATGTGTCTGTACGAGTACCATGCTGTTTTGGTTACTGTAGCCCTGTAGCATAGCTTGAAATTGGGTCGTGTGATGCCTCCAGGTTTGTTCTTTTTGCTTAGAATTGCCTTGACTATTTGGGCTCTTTTCTTTTTTTTTTGGTTCCATGTGAATTTTCAAATATATTTTTTTCTAGTTCTGTGAAGAATGTCAATGGTAGTTTAATAGGAATAGCATTGAGTCTATAGATTGCTTTGGGCAGTATGGTCATTTTAATGATATTGATCCTTCCTATCTATGAGCATTGAATGCTTTTCCATTTGTTTGTGTCATCTCTAATTTCTTGGAACAGCAGTGTTTTGTAGTTCTCCTTGTAGAGACCTTTCATCTCCCTGGTTAGCTGTATTCCTAGGTATTTTATTCTTTTTGTGGCTATTGTAAATGGGATTGTGTTCCTTATTTGGCCCTCAGCTTGATTGTTATTGGTATTTAGGGATGCTGGTAATTTTTGTACCTTATTTTGTATCCTGAGACATTGCTAAACTTGTTTATAGCTTAAGGAGCTTTTGGGCTGAGACTATGGGATTTTCTAGATATGGAATCATGTCATCTGAAAACAGGGACAATTAGAATGCTGGAGAAGATATGGAGAAATAGGAACGCTTTTACACTGTTGGTGGGAGTGTAAATTAGTTCAACATTGTGGAAGACAGTGTGGTGATTCCTCAAGGATCTAGAACCAGAAATACCATTTGACCCAGAAATCCCATTACTGGGTATATACCCAAAGGATTATAAATCATTCTACTATAAAGACACATGCACATGTATGTTTATTGCAGTACTGTTCACAATAGCAAAGACTTGGAACCAACCCAAATGCCCATCAATGACAGACTGGATAAAGAAAATGTGGCACATATACACCATGGAATACTATGCAGCCTTAAAAATGATGAGTTCATGTCCTTTGCAGGGACATGGATGAAGCTGAAAACCATCATTCTCAGAAAACTAACACAAGAACAGAAAACCAAACACCACGTGTTCTCACTCATAAGTGGGAGTTGAACAATGAGAGCACATGGGCACAGGGAGGGGAACATCACATACTGGGGCCTGTCAGCGGGTGGGGGTCTAGGGGAGGGACAGCATTAGGAGAAATACCTAAAGTAGATGAAGGGTTGGTGGGTGCAGCAAACCACCATGGCACATGTATACCTATGTAACAAACCTGCACGTTCTCCGCATGTACCCTGGAACTTAAAGTATAATTTTAAAAAAAGATTTTTTTCTTTTGCATTGACCTCGGTGAATCTGATGACTATGTGCCTTGGGGATGGTCATCTTGTATAGTGTCTAGTCAAGGTTCTCTGTATTTCTTGGATTTGCACGTCAATCTCTTTAGCAAGATTAGCGAAATTTTCATGAACTATATCCTTAAATATATTTTTCAAGTTGCTTATTCTCTCTCCTTCTCTATCAGGTATGGCAATGAGTCATAGATTTTGGTATCTTTACATAATTTCATATTTCTCAGAGGTTTTGTTCATTTTTATAAATTCTTTTTTCTTTATTTTTGTCTGACTGAGTTGGGTCGATGAACTGATCTTTAAGCTCTGAGATTCTTTCCTCAGCATGTTCTATTCTGCTGTAAATACTTCCAATTGTATTATGAAATTCTAGTAGTGAATTTTCAGCTCTAGAAGTTCAGTTTGGCTCTTTCTTAAAGTTACTACTTCTTCTTTCAGCCCTTGGATCATTTTACTGGATTCCTTGGATTTCTTGGATTGGATTTCAACTCATTCCTGAATCTTGATGAGCTTTTTTGCCATTCAGATTCTGAATTCTATGTCTGTCATTTCAGTTATTTCAGAATGGTTAAGAACCATTGTTGGGAAGCTCCAAATGAGTGGACTCATTTGGAGGTAAGGAGATGTATTAGTCTGTTCTCACATGGCTAATAAAGACATACCTGAGACTAGGCAATTTATAAAGGAAAGAGGTTTAATTAACTCACCGTTCCACGTGGCTGGAGAGGCCCCACTATCATGGCAGAAGGTGAATGAGGAGCAAAGTCATGTCTTACGTGGCAGGAAGCAAAAAGAACATGTGCAGAGAACTCCTTTTTATAAAACCATCAGGTCTCGTGAGACTTATTCACTATGACAAGAACAGCACAGGAAAGACCTGCCTCCATGATTCAATTACCTACCATCAGGTCCCTCCCACAACACATGGGAATTATGGGAGCTACAACTAGAGATGAAATTTGGGTGGGGACACAGCCAAACCATATCAGGGTATATTCTGGCTTTTAGAATTGACAGAGTTCTTGTGCTATTTCTTTCTAATCTGGGAAGGTTGGTGTTCCTTTAACTGTGGTGTAAGTTGGATATAGTCAGTTGGCTTCATTTCTGGGTGCTTTCATGGGGGCAGGGCTCTGTATAGGATCTTTATGCGTGGTAAAGTCTTGCACTTGGTTTCACAAGTGTATATATAAGTAGGGTAATTTTTGCCATCAGTAGATGGCAGAGAGAGTAATGGCTGGTAGCTAGGATAATACCCAGCCACAGGGCTCTTTGGTACTTTCTCATATTCGCAGACATGCTCCACAGTGGGAGGTGGGGGGAGATTGCTCGCTCACTAAGTACATTCCTGGGCTTTGGGGGAGCCCCCTCTGGTCACCGGCACCACGTGACATTTCTTTTGTTAAGTGTTCCAGGCTGTGTGAGCTCTCTTGGGCAGAGGCCCTGACAGGAAGACAGGCTATACCTTTTCTGAACCAGCCCTGTGAAGGGAGGCATGCCTCATTCCTGACTCAGCCCAGGGACTCATGCATCTTGCCCCTGTCAGTATTCTGAGAGTGGGGACTCCTCCCCTACTTCAGTTCCAGTCAGAGATCTTGGCTTGGTACTCCTGAGCTGTGCACCACAGCCCTGGGGATGCCAGGACATCCTGCAGCTAGGGGTCAGGCTTCAACTGCACTGGAGAATCCAATGTGCTCCCAGGTCACTGGAAAATTACTCAGGTGGAGCAGCACACTCAGGCTGGGCTATAGAAGCTGCAGCATACACCCAGTACTGTGAGGTGGCCAGCGGGGCATGGCCCCTGGAAGGAGCCATTGGTCAGAAGGGCTTGCAGAACAAACATACCCTGGTCCCACAGGGTCACTGGTCTTACTCTCTCCCTGGCTCAGCCATCAGCTGAGGCCATTGCCTGCTGGAGGGTGATGGGGAGCCCAGAGGGATTGGAGCCTATGGCTATGCTCTGCTGGAGCTGCCCAATGCACAAAAGCTGCTCCCAGGCTTTGTATCATCTGAAGTCTGTCTCTGCTCCCTGGGGAGATCCCCCTGCCAGTTCACATGTAAATGGGGGACACAAGGCCCCCTGTAACTAGGGGTCCAGAGGTCCACGGTGAGAGTGAGCCATCTCTCAGTTCTCCTGCTCATCCATTTCCCAGGAGTCACTGGGGCCAGGAGCTAGCTCTGGTGTTCAGACACCTCACACAGGGTTCCCAGCTTCCTCCTTCAGCATCTGCTTCAGTGTCACCTCTTTACCCACTCTTGACATTTTCTCTCCATAGATCTGACCAAATTATGCTGATTTACTCAATAATTTGTCCTCTCTCAGTGGCAGTGGTGCTTCTTGGCTGAGTCTATTAGAGAATCTTGTCCAAAAACCCAATTGCATATTTTGAGCAAACTACTTAATCTCCCTATCCCTCAGTTTCCTCAACTATAAATGGGGGAATAACCCATAAAATAATTATAGAGATTTAATAAATATTTGTAAGTTGCCTAGCCCCTGACATATAAGTAGCACAATATAAGTGGTTATTACATAAACTATGCACAATTATTACTCATACTTCAAATTCAGTATAAGAAGTTTCAAAAAGCTGAGAAATGAGGATCTCTAATCAAATAACTTTCAGAGACAGCAATCAGAATTTTAACCACAATGCCTCTTTGCTTAACCATTGTATAATTCCCTCTCCTGACAAAGGTAGTTCACCAATGGTAATGACATAGCTGACTGTGGGCTTGGGTTTGATATTTAATTTGCCCAGAAATAATTTAGTATGCTGTACAAACTACATAGAATAAAGTTCATCAGAAAAAAATAAATAATCTAGAATGGATATAATTATTGTAAATATTAAAATTTTTATATTGAAATGATTCTATACACATAGGAAATTGCAAAATAATGTACAGAGAGGCCCTGTGTAAGCTTAACTCAGCATCTTTCTATGAGAACATCTTGAATAACAGTACAGCTATATCAAAACCAAAAAATTGGTATTGTTACCATCCACAAATTTTCTTCAAATTTTTCACGTTTTTAAAACTTGTGTGTGTGTGTGTAAGTTTGCATGTGTGTGTATGTGTAGTTTTATGCAATTTTATCCCATGTGTAGCTTTATGTAATGACCACCATAATGATCAGGAGAAATAACTGTCATCACCAGAGGACTACTCTCTTTTGCTACATGTTCACAGTCACGCTGGCCTTCCTCCACTCTTAATCTCTGGTTTCAACCACTGATCTCTTCCCCATCCATATAATTGTGTTATTTAAAAATGTTATATTAATGGAAGTATGGAAATAAGTGGAAATCAATCTTTTTAAATAGATTTTTTTCACTCAGTACATTCCTTGAGAACCATCTTTGTGTATATCAATAATTTGTTCCTTTTTATTGCTAACATTCCATGGTATCAATGTACCAAAACTTGTTTATTCATTCAGTGAAGGACTTTGAGGTTGTTTCTAGGTTTTAGTTATTATGAATAAAGCTTCTATATACACACATATACAGATTTTTTATGAACCTAAGTTTTCATTTTCTCTGGGATAAATGCTCACAAGTGTGATTGCTGGTTCTTATGGTATACACATGTTTAAAAAGGAAATGCCAATTGTTTTCCAGAGTGGTTACCATTTTACATTCTCACCAGAATTGAATGAATGATCTAGAATCTTTGTTTCCTTGCCAGTATCCCTTGTATGCCAGCGCTGAGAAACCTTATTCACGAGAATAGGTAGATTGGAATAAAATGACTTTTTACTTAAAAAAAATAAAAATTTCACACAATTTTTCTAAGGATCATTAATGTGTCTTTATCACTTAAAGACACCTTGTTTAATCCAAGTATACAGGAAACATTGAGAAAAATAAGAATACCCCAACCTGCTTGACTGTCCTCCTTAAAAGCTCATTTAAACAGTGATCTCCTTTAACTGGCCGTTGGTCCTGTCCAGTGATGGCTGTAGGTAGGCACCATGGCCATGCCTTCGGTGTTCTGATAGCTGCTGGCTCTAGGGTTAATTGTAGGGATGAGGTTACCCCATTTTTTTGATAATCCCATGGGACATCCCAACTTTCAGTCCTGGATGCTTAGAGAATGTCATATCTCCTTGTAAGGCGACATGATTACCATTTTTCATTTTAGCCATTCTGATAGATGTGTAATGATATCTCATTGTTATTTTAATTTATATTTTTCTAATGGCTAATGTTGAATAACTTTTCATGTGCTTATTATCTATTTTCTGTATTTAAATCCTCTTTGGAGAGTGTTCACGTTTTGTCCATTTTTAAATTGGATTGTTTATTTTTACTGTTGCATTTGATAGCTCTTGATAATGTCTAGATACAAGTCATTTGTTGGATATTGGATACAAATGTTTTATCTAAACCTTTAAATTGCTTTTTCATTCTATTAACAGGATCTCTTACAGAGTAAGATTTTTAATTTTGAAGAGATCCAATTCAGTGACTTTTTCTTTTATAAATGTTTTCTATTCTTTATTTTAGTGTCAACTCTAAGACCTCTTTACCTAACCTTATGCCATCCCAAAGATTTTTTTCACATGTTTTTCTCTAAATTTACTAAATTTTTACATGTTACACTTAAGCATGTGATCCATTTTGAATTAATTTTTATATAGGATGTGAGACTTAAGTTAAGGTTCATTTCCTTTGCTTATGGATGTCCAATCTCTTGAGTACTATTTATTGAAAAGATTACCCTTCCTCCTTTCGATTGCTTTATAGACTGTCAAAAATCATTTGAGCATATTTGTGTAGGTCTGTTTTGGAGTTCTGTGTTCTGTTCCACTGACCTATGTGTCTATCCTTCCACCAGTAACATCCTGTCATTATTACTGTAGCTATATAATAATCCTTAACATCAGGAAGAATAATTTCTCCCACTTTAGTAATTTCTCTCAAAACTCATTTTACTAGCTATTATTTTTAACAATGGCTAACGAGGAAATATCAGCTATAATATAATCATACATCTTAAACTCTAAAAATAAAATTAGCATGATAGCTGCCAAGAATGGACAGACCAAAATAAGGGAACAGAATTACAGTTCAGAATAGACAGTGAAGATGAGAAAAAAGTGATATTTATATAAATTTAACAAATTATGACCATGAACACTGGCTCATGTCTATAATCTCAGCACTTTGGGAGGCCAAGGCTGGAGGATCACTTGAGGCCAGGAGTTCAAGACTGGACTGGGCAACATTGTGAGACCCTCATCTCTACAAAAATATCTTTAAAATTATCTGAGCAAGGTGGCATGTGCCTGTAGTTTCAGCTATTTGTAAGGCTGTGGCAGGAGGACCACTTGAGCCCAGGACGTCAAAACAGTAAGCTATGATCATGCCACTGCACTCCAGTGTGGGTGACAGAGCAAAACCCTGCCTCAAAATAAATAAATAAATAAAAAAGCAGTAAAGAAAGTATCATAAAGAAGAGAGATATTTGTTTCAAGATTATTATCATCCTCATTATTATTTTTATTTTCATGCTGAATTTCTTTTCATATTACCATTAAAATGACCAAAGAAACAAAAATTAGGAGAAATGTGTGTAAGCACAATGACACATATACAACAGAAATTTTGATAAGATTTCATGTAGATAGAAGCAAATAAATGGAAATACCTTTGAGTGTCCCTGGGAAAGAACTTCATAGGAATTAAGCACCCTAAACATCCACCACCTAATTTCTCATCTCTGAGCATCCGGGACTGAAAGTTGGGATGTCCCATGGGGTTATCACAAAATGGGGTAACCTCATCCCTACAATTAACCCTGGAGCCAGCAGCTATCAGAATACTGAAGGCATGGCCATGGTGCCTACCTACAGCCATCACTGGACAGGACCAATGGCCAGTTAAAGGAGATCACTGTTTAAGTGTGCTTCTAAGGAGGACAGTCAAGCAGGTTGGGGTATTCTTATTTTTCTCAATGTTTCATGTGTATTTGGGTTCAACAAGGTGTTTTTAAGTGATAAAGACACATTAATGATCCTTAGACAAGTCTTAAAAAAATTGTGTAAAACTTCTATTTTTTAAAAATAAAAAGTCATTTTATTCCAATCTGTCTATTCACGTGAAGGTTTCTCAGTGCTGACATCTGTAAAAAAGAAAATTAAAATAAAATCGAGGGTTGAGATTTTTGCAGACTTACATTCTATATCCCTAACACTTGGTTCTTGTAGATTTTCAATAAATGTCTGGTGAATCAGTTGACTAAATTTATTTGTGGATACATGTTTCAATTCGAAAATGTTAAAAAGTACTCCAATGAGTCATTAAGAGGTGGATTTTAATACAATTTACCTTTTTATGTTTAATAATTTTTGAAAAAATGTGTAATTTATTCCCATAGTTTTGATCAGTTTTGTACCTATAATAATTCTAAAGATAATTCAAAGCAGAAGAAATGTTTTAACACAGAGCCTTATGATCACAGAAATTTTTTTAAATTAAAGTGATCAGTAAAACATTTTCAGAAATAAAGATGAATTACATTGCACCTAAAATTTTGAATGAAAAAATGCCAATGAAAATGTGCATTCACAGCCATAAAATTTTTAAAAAAAAATCACATGCACGCAGCGAAGGGAACAATAGGGGGCAAGGTGGGGATGGTTAATAGGTACAACAAAATAAAAAGAATGAATAAGACCTACTTATTAATAGCACAATTATAATTGGTAATAACTTAATTTTATATTTTACAATAACTTAATGTAACTGGATTGTTTTAAATGCAAAGGATAAATGCTTGGGAGGATGGATACCCCATTCTTCATGGCATGATTATTACACATTGCATGCCTGTATCAAAACATCTCATGTACCCCATAAATGTATATACTTACTAAGTATCTCATGTACCCCATAAATATATACACTTACTACATACCCACAAAAATTTAAAATTTTTCTTTGAAAAAGAAGACAACAATAGACGCTGGGGTCTACTTGAGGGTGGAGGGTGAGGAGAGAGTGAGGATTGAAAAATTACCTATTGAGGGCGCATTGGCTCATGCCTGTAATCCCAGCACTTTGGGAGGCCGAGGTGGGTAGATCACGAGGTCAGGAGATCGAGACCATCCTGGCTAACACGGTGAAAACCCGTCTCTACTAAAGATACAAAAAATTAGCCGGGGGTGGTGGTGGATGCCTGTAGTCCCAGCCACTTGGGAGGCTGAGGCAGGAGAATGGGGTGAACCCAGAAGGCGAGCTTGCAGTGAGCCAAGATCATGCCACTGCGCTCCAGCCTGGGTGACAGAGCAAGACTCCGTCAAAAAAAAAGAAAAAAAAAAAGAAAGAAAGAGAAAAATTACCTATTGAGTACAATGCTGATTACCTTGGTAACAATCTATACCAATCTGTAATCTGTACACCAAACCCCTGTGACATGCAATTTACCCATATAACACACCCACACATGTACCCCCTGAACCTAAAATACAAGTTGGAAGAAAGAAAAAAAGGAAAATGTGCATTCACAGAAAAAAGAAAATATGATAGTATCAAATCTATAGATTATTTACATTTTATTCTATATACTTACAAAAGTAATATCATAGTTTATTGCAAATACTCATATTTACTATGTCAAAAATCACATTTTTGCAACTATATGCATACTTTGGTGATATTGCAGGTTCAGTTCCAGACTACCAAAATAAAACAAATGCTGCAATAAAGCAAGTCACACAGATTTTTTGGTTTCCCAGTGCATATAAGTTATGTTTACACTCAAGTCGATGCACATAAAGAAGAAAATCTGGAGGAAACGGCTAAATTCCTGGAAACACACAATCTCCCAAGATTGAACCAGGAAGAGACAGAAACCCCTCCTAGACCAATATCAAGCGCTGAAGTTGAATTAGTAATAAAAAACTTACCAACCAACACAAAAGCCCTAGACCAGATGGATTCATAGCTGAATTCTACAAGATGCAGAAAGAATAACTGGTACCAATCCTGCTGAAACTATGCCAAAAAATCAAGGAGGAAGGGCTCCTGCCTAACTCATTCTATGAAGCCAGCATCAGCCTGATACAAACATTCTGGCAGAGACACAGTGGAAAAGAAAATTTCAGGCCAATATTCCCAATGAACATATTTGCAAAAATTCTCAACAAAATATTAGCAAACTGTATCCAGCAGCACATAAATAAGTTAATACACCACTATCAAGTCCTGTTCTCATCACTTCACAGTAGATGAAGGTGAGACCTTGTATCTCTTATTCATTCTTCCCTCAAATCTTTACACACTGATTGCTTAAGAGAAGGTAGCAGAAATAATTTATTTGCACAGTGTCTGGATGTAGCAGCAGTTCAATGAATATTGATAGGTAAAAGAAGATATTGGAGAAGAAACATCATCAGGACAAAAATGACAGGAGGTGCCTCCTGAGGCACGTTCTGGCTGTGGCAGGTGATAAGCCTCAAGCATTTTCATAAGGTTTTATAGCAAGTCTTAATGATGCCCCATCCTTGCTGTTGATCTTCCCTTCTGATTCCTCCAAGTGTTATGATTTCTTCACAGAAGAGTAGATGACTTGGGAGTCCTGGGAGAGACACACAGGAATAAAGACTGAGGTGATCAAGAAAATAAATAGGGAGAAGGAAGGAAAGATGAAGAAATTCCAAGGTGTCTAGCTCACCTTGTTCTCCAGAAGTGTCCTGATGTTTGCTGTTAAGGAAAAAGTAATAGTTCTGAGCTCTTGCATTCTTAATTAGGCCTCACTCCCAGACTTTATGCCCCAGGGCATAGAACTACTATGCTTAGTATGTGGAATCCCATTTTCTCCTGTTCTGTAAAATCCTTTCTTAAAGTTGTTAATACTGAAGTCCTTCTAAGACTCTATCCATCTTCCAAGCCCTCCACCAGCACTTACTAACAAAGCGCTTCCTTTCTCTAATGCAACTTCCCATAGGTCATTGTCTTTATAATTTTTTCCTCTTGACTTCTCTGTTGCAGCATTCTGTCAGGGCTGTTTCCTGTTCTTTCTCTATGTTCCTGAGATAACCAATCATGTGTGGTTCACCTCACTACATAGAAGGAAATTGGAATAGAAGCATAGATAACAGAAGACAGACTCTGAATCACATAGTATTTTGAGTCTGGTTGCAGGAGCTGCTTAGTGATGTCTGCTTCTTTTCCCCTTTTTCCAGGTAGGCATAGTGGGATGACATCCCTTTCCTTCCCTTGAAGATTTACAGCTAGAGGGCTTGGAAAGTGACTGCACTTTTTGATTCTGCTAGGCTGGTCAGATAGAGAAAGAGAATGATAGGGTAATCAACTCCCTATAGGAAGTTGAAGTGGCAAATCTAAGCAAGGCAGACAGAGGACCCACCTTCAGAGGCTCAGAGGAGAGTAGCTAGATGACCACTGACCAGGAAATCAGCCAAGCTGTCAACAGCCACTGGCTCCATCAGAGGCAACCAGGAGTACAGAACAAAGGACAGCTTTTAGGGTTGTTGATATAAGCATTGTAGTTTTAAGGGCACTGGAGCAGAAGCTTAAAGGACACTCCTCTGCACTGCTGCAGAACTCAGCAGTTCCTGCAAAGCTACGTGTCAAAGTGAAAATTCTCTAGGTCATGTTGATTTATTCAGTTATTCCTCCCATCCCATATGAAGACTACAGATCCTTCAAAAGAGACACTTTAATGACCCTGTTCACCTGAGAGAATTCCTCTTGGACTTTAGACATGCTCACTCTTGCCTGATTTCCTTCTTTTGCCTTGAATCTTAGATTCTCCCTGACTATCTAACCCGATTCAAATGAAGACTCATTAGACCATCACCCTATTTTTTTTTTTAAGTTTGCTCTCTTCACAAGAGCCTACCTCCAGGTGTCTCTTGCTCCCTCCTGGATCAACAGATTTCCTATCAAGGGCAAGTGATGTATTAAAGCCTCTATTGCTGGCTGGGTGCAGTGGCTCACACCTGTAATCCCAGCACTTTGGGAGGCTGAGGCGGGTGGATCACTTGAGGTCAAGAGTTTGAATCCAGCCATGGTGAAACCCTGTCTCTACTAAAAATACAAAAATTAGCTGGGCGTGGTGGCGCATGCCTCTCATCCCAGCTACTCAGGAGTCTGAGAGAGGAAAATCAAGCAATTTTCCTGTATCAGCTCACAGGCAGAGATTGCAGTGAGCTGACATTGCACCACTGCACTCCAGCCTGGGCAACAGAGCAAGGCTCCTCAAAAGTAGATAGATAGATAGACAAATAAATAAATAAATAAATAAATAAATAAATAAATAAAGCCTCTATTGCAAACAATGCATCACTTTCCTGTGAATATGCATCTGACAAGAACTACTTTGCAGTTTCTCACCTGAGCTTTCTGGCTGCTGCATGCTCCAGACCTGAGAATAAACCACATCCACATCTACAGAGCCCACTGCAGGGAGAAGACAAGAGTTCACAGATGTTGGTGGCCCAGGGTTCACACTTCATACACAGCTTCCCAGGCCCTGGCTTAATGATTATATCCTTCCTCTCAACCCCAACATGATTCTGAGAGAGTCTGTTATTTATTGGGAATGGCTGGGCCTCTGGTGTTGGGGTGTCTACACCACCCACCTAATGGTCTCCGCTCCTGTCTCCTCTTTCTTTTCTGACTCAGCCTCAGAGCCCTTCCCAGTGGAGACACTCACCATTGACATACACTGGCTGCAGCTCCTCCATGTCTGGGGTTGGGCTTGAATAGGTGAACTCTTGAGGATTTGGCCTGGAAGCCCCTCTGTGAGAAAGTGAATTAATTGTATGATAATCCCCAGGGCAGTGAGTGAGAACAGAGGGGAGACTGGCTGAGGAGAGAGCAGGTGGAAGCCCTGCAGCCATGGCTCTCTGCTTGGGTGATTTTATGGCCCTTTGTGTAGACTATCTACTTTGATATGGCCAAAACTTCTGTTCCTTATCTTTGGCTTTTTCAAAAGTTATAAATAAGACAATGATATTGCTCCAGAATCTTTTTTTTTCTTATAAACTGTCATAAAACTTTGCCTGCCTTTTTCTCATTACTTTATCTCTCTCACTCCTTCTTGTACTCTGGACATATACTACATACCTATAGCACAGTATGTCCCTGGAGGAAATACACATTTTGTGTGTATGTTCTTTCCTCTAAATATCTAACAAAAACTTACTTATACATTATAGGTATTCAATAATCTTGAATATATGAATTTATATATTAATTTAAATGTATGTAATCCTATACAAGATAACACCAAGGATCATGTGGACCACCTTAAGACAGTGCCCTGGTGGCAGAAATGTAATGCAGTAGAGACAAGAGTAAGTATTATAGAAAGATACCATGTTAATTACATAGCTTCAGTCTCAACGTACAAGCAGAGTACAGTAGGTATTTAAAACTGAATGAAGGAGACCTCTAGAATTAAAATTTTTACTAGGAAGAGTTCTCACCTGGGTTCATTAGTGGCAGAACTTTCTCCTGAAATGCAAATAAAACAAAATTCATTTCAGAGAAGGAAGCTTTATCTCTTAAAATTTTGACATGATTTAACTACGTATAATCAGCTGGTAAGACATAAGATATAGAAGAGTAATCCAATTGTATTTCATCTAAATGGCTACTTATTTATTCCAACACAACTAGTTGTTAGTAAAATAATTCATTCTTTTTTTCCCACTGATTTAAAATGCCACTTCAAATGGCAAACCCGTCATGCACTGGTAACTGTTTCTTTATTTTCTATTCTGTTCTATTGTCTCTTTGTCTATTCATGTACCTGTACAATGTTGTTTTAACTATCCTAATGTATAACATATTTTAACCATTGATGACTAATTTTATTTTATTGCTCTTCTGTATTAGATTTTATGCAGCCATTCTTAATTTTTAAATGTTTGATATTTGCAACACTTAGTCTTTAGGAATGATCTTGGGGCTAAGCTGGATGTTGACATTCGTAAGGCGAACTAGGCCATCTCTTGTACCATTTTGCTTTGTGGAGAGATGTAAAACAAGAAACGCAGTATATTAGCATAGATGTATCAGCTGTGTGTTTAAAGAGAATCCTCATAGCGATCCAGGAGATATTTTCTAGTCCTCCATTAATACCTCAGGAAACAATGCCACATAGATGTATATAGAGGCCACCCCAGCTCAAAAGCTTCATGCTTCGTAGAAATCAGTATCGCTTGTAACACCCATGAGTGTATGTGTGTAGCTTCCAGAGGTCACTACTACAAGAGACATGCTAAATTTCAAGAGTTACATTGCATTTGGGGATACCCCAGTTGTGCTTCCCATCAGGCTTATATAATCGTGGTCAAAGTCCTCCCAGTGTAGAGGCAGTTTGCCTATCATGGAAAATACTGCTAGTAGCTCAGCCAATATTTCAACTTTGTTAGGCTTTACAGAAAACAGTGCTAGAAAATTAACTTTGATTTAGTTTTCCAAGGAGAAGGTAAAACTTCTTTATAATTAGCTTGTTTAGTCTTCATGGAAAGGAATGACCTCAGAATTGTCTACCAAGCCAAACTGTCATTAAAGCATAAGTAAGGGGCAGTCAGTCATATTCAAACATGTATTAAATTAGTGTATATGTTTCCAGCAATTCCTTCTTGAAGAAATTATTTTAAAATGGACTTCAAAAATAGTTCTACTATCTAAGCACTTTTGAATAATAACAAAATGTGATGATACATTGGTTCACAAAGAAAACCTCCAAAATATTCCAAAAATCGACATGGTACAAATAATATTCCTTGATCATAATGGAACTGGTAATTCATAACAAAACTATGAAAAAATTGACATATGTCTATAATTTGTCAATTTAAAGGAAGCAAGTCTTAAGCAACTGAATACGTATACAAATATATAAGAAAAAAAGGAAGACTCAATATCCAATTTGTTCAAAAGAATCAAACTAACAAAAATAGAAGGCAATAACTAACAAAGATAAAAGCAGAATTCTAGAATTAGAAAGAAATATTGGTAGATCAAATAATAAATTCTAAGAGTTTTACCATACAGGAGATAGAGGCACTATCTTTCTAGATGGTTACATTTCAAAGGGCTGGCTCCCAAGTCTTAGAGATAGACATTTCTGGGTTGTAAAACTGGCAAGAGGCTAAGAGAAGATTTATATCTCAAGGAGGCAGAGAAAGAATTTACAATTGCAAGTTTTCTAAAGTAAATGCTCTAAGAAAAGGGAGATGAGGAGCCTATAGTCAATCGGAGGACAATATTAAGGCCAGCTTGGTGTGGGGAGGAGTGCCCCGTGTGGACACATGCCTGAAAAATCTTAAGGAGCCTTGAAAAGCAGATAAAGGAACATTCATTTCAGGGGAGATACGGTCATCTGCCTGAGGCAGGAGCTGCATATTTACAGGTGGGTGCAATGGTGTGCAAGTGTTTCTTGTGGATGGATCTGAGCCCTGTGGAAGAGAGGCAAAGCTTGAAGCCATTTCAAAATCTGGCCAAGAGGACTTCCTGAAGAGGTATAGGGTTCCAAAATAAGGGTGGAGGGGAAGAGGAAGAAGACTTTAGATTCTTGGAAACTGAAGAGAGATGTTAAGTGCTCAGCTGGAGAAGAATGAATCACCTGCATCACAAGATGCAGGTAGGTAATGTTAATAGTTGGGGGGCTCTGGAGAATCCAGAAACACACCCCCAAAATAGGAGCTGATTTTCTCAACCGAGCAAACCTGGAGAGTCAGCTTTTTCAGAGCCAGAGGAAATCAATGCCAGCCATGGGGGTTTCAAAAACAGAAGCAAGTTGAGGAAAGAGAGAAACATCTGGCCAGAACCCTTTCCATATTGCAGAAGGCTGGCCTGAAGAGGGTCTGAGCTGAGTGGGTGGGAGGTGAGTGCTTTAACTTTGAGATTCAGAAAGCTGCTTAATGAACAAGCGCTCTTTGGAGAAACTATGTTTTTGTTGTTGTTTGCCTAAAATTATATAGGAGTGATATGGTGTGGCTGTGTCCCCACCCAAATCTCATCTGGAATTCCCACATGTTGTGGGAGGTACCCAGTGGGAGGTAACTGAATCATGGGAGCAAGTCTTTCCCGTGCTGTTCTCATGATAGTGAATAAGACTCACAAGATCTGATGGTTTTAAAAAGAGGAGTTTCCCTGCACAAGCTTATCTCTTTGCCTGCCGCCATCCACATAAGATGTGACTTGCTCCTCCTGGTTTTCTGCCATGACTGTGAGGTTTCCCCAGCCATGTGGAACTATAAGTCCAATTAAACCTCTTTCGTTTGTAAATTGCCCTGTCTCAGGTATGTCTTTATTAGCAGCATGAAAACCGACTAATACAAGGAGTAAGTGGATAGACTATGGGCCTGCCTGCGATTTCAACCAGAGTCAGGGAAAATATAATCCTCTAAGACTGAGTGTGAATGGGCAGTAGGAAGAGGAAGATAAAAAATTAAATTTTATGGTTGCACTCTAAGAGTACCCTTGTTAGATGAATCAGTTATCATAGCAAAAATTAATCAATATCTCAGGAGTAAACTTAGCAAGAAATGGTGAAAGCCTATATAAGTAAAACTCTAAAATACTATGACTCAAAATTTACCAAAAGTAGACACACTCTTGGATAGAAACATTTCTCATTATAAAGCTGTCAATTCTTCCTTAATTAATCTCAAAATTTAAGAGAATCCTAACAAAACTACTTTGTTGAGAGACACTGATTATATTGTTTGTAGGGAAAATAAGTAAGCAATAATATCCAGAAAAGTTCTGTAAGAATAGCATAGTCATGATGGGAACAACCTTGATGGAATAAAAAATGTATTGTTATAAAGCGAAGGCATACAAGTCACACACACAAACACACGTATGCACACACTGACATACACACAAACAGAATAGGGCATCAAAGTTAGATCTGAATAGTATCAGATATTTAGTATAGCTGAACTGCTTTTATCCATGACCCTTCTGTTGCCGTGTGTGTGGGGTTTTTCTTCCCCATACCAGTCAATTTTCCAACTCTTAGGACACTAATTACAATTAAACTCAGTCCTGATACTACTCAGAGTTAGTGCAGACCCCATAGGTAAAGGGGTGTGTCCCACAAAACTGCCCCCAACCCCAGATGCCAATAATATGTCATGGGCCTCATATCTTTCTGACCAAATGGCTATAAACTGGGGATTCCCAGGACTCTTTCCTCAGTTTCAATAATTTGCTCTATAGAACTCGAAGAAACACTTCAGTTACTTTTACTGGTTTATTACAAAGGATGTTATAAAAGATACAAATATACAACCAAATGAAAAAGTTTAGGTAAGACAATGTCTGGAAGTGTACTGAACACTGGAGTTTCTGTTCCCAAGGGAATGGGGTGCTCTACCCTCCCAGTACATTGATGTATTCACCAACTGGCAAGCTCGCCAAATCCCATTGTTTAGGATTTTTATAGCGGTCCCATTACATAGGTATGATTGATTAAATCATTGGCAATTGGTGGTTAGATGAATCTTCAGTCCCTCTCCTGTCCTCAGAGGTCCAGGGGTGAGGCTTAAAGTTCCAACCCTCTAATCACAAGGTTGGTGTTTCTGAAAACCAGCTCTCATATTGAAGCTATCCAGGAGCCCCTCTGTTGAGAGTCATCTCATTAGCATACCAAAGACACTCAACACTCAAGGAATTCTCAGAGTTTTAGGAGCTCAGGGGTCAGGAACTAGGGACAAAGACCAAATATATTAAATAATTTCTTCTTATATCACAATACCATAGGGTATTATAAAGGCATCACTTTACTTAAAAAAGATAATTAAATAAATCACATAGAAATAATGAAATAGCTATCTGAAAAAAAAGATTAGATTCTAGTTCAGTACCTATTGAAGAATATTTCTGGATGTGTCACAGGTATTTGAACCAGAGCAACTCCATCTTGAACAGGAGTTGGGTAAAATGAGGCTGAAACCTACTGGGCCCCATTCCCAGACAGTTAGGCATTCTAAGTCACAGGATGAAATAGGAGGTCGGCACAAGATACAGGTCATAAAGACCTTGATGATCAAATTGGTTGCAGTAAAGAAGCCAGCAGAAACCCACCAAAACCAAGATAGAAACAAGAATGACCTCTAGTTGCCCTCACTGCTACACTCCCACCAGTGGCATGATGGTTTACAAATGCCATGGCAATATCAGGAAGTTATCCAATATGGTCTAAAAAGGGGAGGCATGAATAATCCACCCCTTGTTTAGCATATCATCAAGAAATAACCATAAAAATGGGCAACAAGGAACCCTTGGGGCTACTCTGCCTATGGAATAGCCATTCTTTTATTCCTTTACTTTCTTAATAAACTTGCTTTCACTGTACGGTATGGACTCGTCCTGAATTCCTTCTTACTTGAGATTCAAGAACCCTCTCTTGGGGTCTGGATCCAGACCCCTTTCCAGTAACAGATGGATCAAAAATTTAAGCATAAATATAAAGTGATACAATTCTAGAAGAAAATATGGGCCTGGCACAGTAGCTCACACCTGTAATCCCAGTACTTAGAGAGGCCAAGACTGGTAGATCACTTGAGCTCAAGAGTTCGAGACCAGCCCGGGCAACATGGAGAAATCCCATCTCTATAAAAAATACAAAAATTAGCCAGTCACGGCGGTGCATGCCTGTGGTCCTAGCTACTCAGGAGGCCGAGGTAGGAGTATCACTTGAGTCCAGCAGGTTAAGGTTGCAGTGATCCGAGATTGCACCACTGCACTCCAGCCTAGGTGACAGAGAGAGACTCTGTCTCAAAAAAAAAAGAAAAGAAAAGAAAAAAAGGAGAACTTTTTCTATCATCTAAGAATGGGGAAGACCTTCCAAAATACGTTACCAAACCTAGAACCCATAAAAGAAGATACTGATAAGTTAGACCACATAACAATAATTATTTTTATAGTAAGAATTTCAATATGAAAGGCAATGCAAACTGCAGACTGGGGACACTTTTCACTCTTCATACCTCAGACAAAGAGCTAATACATTTAGTATAAACAGATCATCTACAAATCACTAAGAATGAGATAAAAAACCCAACGTAAAACGATGAAACTATGTGAACAAAGAGCTCACCATAAACAGAAACATAAATCAAAACTACAGGGCAGTAATGTTTCTCAATTGAGAAACAGGCAAAAAAATCAAAACTTACAATACTTTGTGTGGCTGGTGTGTTATAAACAAGCATGTTTATGACATGTCCTTACGGGAGTATAATTTTGTACAACTATGAGTAACCCTTGACAATATCTATCAAATTATAAAGGTATCTAATTTGAATATAGAAATTTTATTTATAAGAATTAATTCCACAGGCATACTGTACATGTAAGAAATGACATCTAAAAGAAAAATTATCGTAGCATTGTGTGTCATGGAAAACAACTTGAGATCATCTAAATCTCCATCAATAGGTAATCATTAACATTAAGATAACTATTGCAAATCCATGAATAGAATTCTTTGCAACCATTAAAAAGATGTTACAGTTCTATACATATTTATATCAAACAGTTCTCAAATAATATTCATAGAAAAGTGAAGTGTAGCACATAGTATGTTATTATTTGTGTGAAAATAAAGAACATGTATGTATACAATGACATCACATAAGTCTAAAATATCTCTGGAAAAATAAATGAGATATTGCTAAGAGTGGGAGCCTCTGAGGAAGGGAACCAAGAGGTCCAGGAACAGTTGTGAGAGAAAGGATTACTTTTTACTGTCATATTCTTTGATATTGTATGAATGTTTTACCAGATGTATTTGTAACATATTTATTCAGTTATTTATTTTAAAGAAAAAATAAAAGGTATTGGGCCACTCTGAAAGGGACTATGTTAATAGTTTATTTTAGTTTATTTTAGGTTGACATAGAGGTATCATGGTCCTCATGATAAGAGATTAGCCAATGAAAGAAAGCATTGCTTTCATTAGGCAACAGCCACTGCCTTGTCCTTATATTTCTATGCTGTGCAAAGCACAAAAGTTAATGATTTAGGGTATGGCTAATTTATGTAGGGGTCCGAGGACCTTCATGGAAGGAAAGGGATCAAGATGCTGACTTTCTTTAGTTATTAGATCATCTTTTGATAAATTGAGGTGGTCCCAATTAAGTCATCTACTTGAAAGAAAGAATTGTCTTAAGTGAAACTCACCATGAAATAAATTGCCAGTTTGGGATATCTGGCCAGGCATGGTGACTCATGCCTATAATCCCAGTGCTTTGGGAGGCCAAGGTAAGAAGATCGCTTGAGCCCAGGAGTTCAAGACTAGCCTTGGCAACATATAGAGTCATCTCCAGAAGTAATTAAAAAATTAGCAAGGCATGGCGAGCATGCCTGTGGTCCCATCTACTTGGGAAATTGAGGCAAGAGGATCACCTGAACTTGGGACATCAAGCCCGCAGTGAGCCATGTTCATACCACTGCACTCTGGCCTGAGTAGCACAGTGACACTTTGTCTGGAAAAAAAAAAAAAAAAGGTTGGATATCTGAAGGTCAAAGCCATGACCTGAGACTGAAAACTTCTGAAGCAGCCTAATTTTGGAAGCAAATTTAGTAAAAAATAATTTTGTGTGGTTGTGTGCTTGTAAACTAAAATGTAATAGGAAGATAGTATGTGAGGCAATACATATATTAATTAGTTCAATCTAGCAATTCCACAACGTATACTTATTTGAAAACATCATGCTGTACATAAATACATGCAATTTTTATCTGTCAATTAAAAATCAATTAAATTTTTTTAAAGTTACAAGAGTGGAAGTGCAGGTCAAAAACCATGTGGTACATCCATGCAGTAAAGGTTCCCAATTTGTTCCTATCTTCTTGTATGCATTGTTTTGCAGTGTGACTCTGTCATTTGTCAGCAAAGAGGTAGACACTTTTTCTCTACCACTTGCATTTGGTTATGACCATATGACTTACTTTTTGATCAATGGGACTTTTTGATCAATAACAAAAGTGACAGATTAGGAGGCTTATATTAGCACTTGTCCTTGCTTGGGCACATTTATAAGCTGAATGTTTGTGTCCTGCCCAAACTCCATATATTGAAGTACTAATGCCAAATGTGATTACAGTTGGAAATGGAACCTTTACAGAAGTAATTAATTTTAAGTGAGATCATAAGGGTGGAGCCCTGATACAATAGGATTAGTGTTCTTATAAGAAGGGACGGGTTGAAGGGTACAGCAAACAACCATGGCACGTGTATAGGTATGTAACAAACCTGCACGTTCTGCACATATACCCCAGAACTTAAAGTATAATTAAAAAAAAAAGAAAGAACAACAGAGAATTTGCTCTTTCTCTCTGCATGTACACAAGAAGAATTCGTGTGAGCACATAGCAAGATGGTAGCTGCCTGCAAGCTAAGAGAAGAGGCCTCAGAATGAAATTTATCTTGCTGGCATCTTAACCTTAAACTTCCCAGCCTTTAGAATTGTAAGAAAATTAATTTTGGGGGCTGGGCACGGAGGCTTACACCTGTAATCCCAGCACTTCGGGAGGCCGATGCAGGTGAATCACGAGGTCAGGAGATCGAGACCATCCTGGCTAACACAGTGAAACCCCGTCTCTACTAAAAATACAAAAAATTAGCCAGGCGTGGTGGCGGACGCCTGCAGTCCCAGCTACTGGGGAGGATGAGGCAGGAGAATGGCGTGAACCCAGGAGGCAGAGCTTGCAGTGAGCCTAGATGGTGCCACTGCGCTCTAGCCTGGGTGACAGAGTGAGACTGCGTCTCGAAAAAAAAGAAAATTAGTTTTTGTTCTTTAAGCCACCCAATCTGTGGCATTTTGTTATGCTATCCCAAGAAGACCAACACAGACACCCTACACTGTCTTCACGGGAAAGAACAACTATTGTCTTTTGTAAGTATAAAAGAGTTGAAGATGGGCTTGGTGTATCATGGCGTACATCTGAGGTAACTTTCTCGTTTTGTAAGTGAGGAAACAGAACAGAGTTGGTTACCCAAATAGAGGGTGGCCATTTCACCCTTGAAAGAGCAGTGATGAGGCAGGAGGCTCTGTAAAAGAATGAGGAACTGGGAAAGATATTTTGGGAATAAAGTAGCAGAGAGGGGTAAAGAAGCGTAATATCAGACTTACTTAGATCATCTGTTTAAAAAATAAAACTTCCATTGAACTTGAGAATACTGGCTTGCACAAAAGGGAAAAAATACCTAGGAATACAACTAACCAACAAGGTGAAAGAACTCCACAGCAAGAATTACAAAACACTGCTGAAAGAAATCAGAGATGACACAAACAAATGAAAAAATATTCCATGCTCATGGATAGGAAGAATCAGGGTTGTTAAAGTGGCCACACTCTTCAAAGCTATTTACAGATTCAAGGCTATTCTTAGCAAACTACCAATGACATTGTTTGCAAAATTAGAAAAAAAAATCTAAAATTCATTTGGAACCAAAAAAGAGCCCAAATAGCCAAAGCAGTCCCAAGCAAAAAAAAAAAAAAAAAAAAAACAAAGCTGGAGGGCTAACACTATACAACTTCGAACTATATGACAAGGCTACAATAACCAAATAAGAAATAAAGCCATACATCTACAACCATCTGATCTTCTACAAAGCTGATAAACACAAGCAATGGGGAAAGGACTCTCTAATAAATGCTGATGGGATAACTGGCTAACCATATGCAGAATATTGAAACTGGACAACTACCTTTCACCATATACAAAAATCAACTCAAGATGGATCAAATTCTTAAATGTAAAACCTAAAACTATAAAGATTTGATATGGTTGGGCTGTGTCCTCACCCAAATCTCATCTTGAATTGTAGTTCCCATAATCTCAATGTGTTGTGGGAGGGACCCGGTGGGAGGTAATTGAATCATGGGGCTGGTTACCCCCATGCTGTTCTCGTGATAGTGAGTTAGTTCTCATAAGATCTGATGGTTTTTTTCCCACTTTGCTTGGCACTTCTTTCTCCTGCTACCCTGTGAAGAAGGACATGTTTGCTTCCTCTTCTGTCATGATTGTAAGTTTCCTGAGGCCTTCTCAGTCATGTGGAACTGTGAGTCGATTAAACCTCTTTCCTTTGTAAATTACCCAGTCTTGAGTATTTCTTTACAGCACTGTGAGAACAGACTAATACAAAACTCTAGAAGAAAACCTAGGAAATACCGTTCTGGACATTGGCCAAGAAAAGCCTTCATGATGAAGACTCCAAAAACAATTGCAATAAAAACAAAAAATTGACAAATGGGACCTAATTAAACTAAAGAGCTTCTTCACAACAAAAGAAACTAACAAAGTAAATAAACAATCTATAGAATGGAAGAAGATATTTGCAAACTGAGCATCCAACAAAGCTTTAATACCTAGAATCTACTAGGAACTCAAGCAAATCAATAAGTGAAAACCAAACAACACTATTTAAAAATGGGCAAAGGACATGAACAGACACTTCTCCAGAAAAGACATATATGCAGCCAAAAATCATATGAAAAAGTGTTCAATATCACTAACCATTAGGGAAATGTAAATCAAAACCCCAATGAGATACCATCTCACACCAGTCCGAATGGCTATTAAAAAGTCAAAAAATGAGATGCTGGTGAGGTTGCAGAGAAAAGGGAACAATTAACACATTGTTGGTGGCAATGTAAATTAGTTCAGCCACTGTGAAAAACAGTCTGGAGATTTCTCAAAGAACTTAAAATAGAACTACCATTTGGCCAAGCAATTCCATTACTGGGTATATTCCCAAAGGAATATAAATCGTTCTACTGTAAAGACACATGCATGTATATGTTCATTGTAGCACTATTCACAATAGCAAAGACATGGAATCAACCTAGATGCCCATCAACAGTATACCAGATAAAGAAAATGTGTTACATATACACTATGGAATACTATGCAGCTATAAAAAATGAGATTATGTTCTTTGCAGCAACATGGATGGAGCTGGAGACCATTATCCTAAGTGAATTAACACAGGAACAGAAAACCAAATATCACATGTTCTCACTGATATGTGAGAGCTAAACGTTGAGTGCATATGAACACAAAGAAGAGTACAACAGATGCTGGGACCTATTTGAGGGTGGAGGGAGGGAAGAGAGTGAGGATTGAAAAGCTACCTATTGGGGCCAGGCGTGGTGGCTCACTCACTCCTGTAATGCCAGCACTTTGCGAGGCCGAGGCGGGTGGATTACTTGAGGCTAGGAGTTCAAGACTAGCCTGGTCAACATGGTGAAATGCTATCTCTTCTAAAAAAAAAATACAAAAATTAGCTGGGCGTCATGGCAGGCACCTGTAATCTCAGCTACCCAGGAGGCTGAGGCGAGAAAATCGCTTGAACCCGGGAGGTGGAAGTTGCAGTGAGCCAAGATTGTTCATTGCACTCCAACCTGGGAGACAGAGTGAGACTTTGTCAAAAAGAAAGAAAGAAAAGAAAGAAAGAAAGAAGGAAGGAAGGAAGGAAGGAAGGAAAGAAAGAAAGAAAGAAGGAAAGAAAGAAAGAAAGAAAGAAAGAAAGAAAGAAAGAAAGAAAGAAAGAAAGAAAGAAGAAAGAATGAAAAAAGAAAGGAAGGAAGGAAGGAGGGAAGGAAGGAAGGAAGGAGGGAAGGAAGGAAGGAAGGGCTGCCTATTTGGTATCATGCTGATTACCTGGGTGACAAAATTATCTGTACACCAAACCTGCAAGACAACCAATTTACCTATGTAACAAACCTGCACATGTACCTCTTGAACCTAAAATAAACGTTGGAAGTAAAAAATAAAATAAAATACTAGCTTAAATGTTTACTATGTGGAAGAAAATTAATGAGTTCCAAAATTTATTTCACCTGTTGCAGTAGATAAGTGTAAGAAAGCGTTTTACAAAAGCTTCAAAGCTATCATTGAGATTCTGATGTGCCCCATGTTTGTCCTGTATCTGATAGGTTAAAATAAATAACACCTTACTGACATAGGTGAAACTTATGGGAGGAGAATAGGTAAAGCCAGGTGGTGCAACAAAGTTAGGTTTGAGGCATAGTAGTCAGGCAGATACAGGTTCTGGTCTGCCCTTTACTGGCTGAGTGAGCACAAAAAAACCCACTTAAATTCCCCAAGGTTGTTAGACATAGAAAACAGACACTTAGGCTGGGAGTGGTGGCTCACGCCTGTAATCTCATCACTTTGGGAGGCTGAGTCAGGCAGATCGCTTGAGCTCAGGAGTTCGAGACCAGCCTGGGTAACATTGTAAAACCCCATCTTTACAAAAAAATTAGCTGGGTATGGTGACATGGGCCTGTAGTTTCAGCTACTCAGGAGACTGAGGTGAGAGGGTGGTTTGAGCCTGGCAGATCAAGACTGCAGTGAGCCAAGATCGTGTCACTGCACTCCAGCCTCGGCAACAGAGCAAGACCTTGTCTCCCCCAAAAGGCACACTTTTAAAAATAACTTTTGATAATTACAGATAATATATGTAAACCTGCCATATGTGGATGACACAATAATTGGGTCACTGGTAATTTTTTTTGACTTGTGAAATATTAATAGGGCTCAGTATGACAAATCACTCTGATTTGTCTAAATTCTTGACAAATTAGAAATAATACATTACAAAAACATATAGTCATGCTGAAAATGCCAAAAGACACGGCAGCTTAAGGAATATGTTGGTTGTAAAAGGTAGATGTCTTCAAACTTCCAGTAATGGTTAATGAATGCATTTGAACCAATCTTCTACTAAGGACAACTAGAAAGGCTGGGCAAAAGAGTTTTAAAGTCTGTTTATAAACATTGAAGTGGTAAGAAGATAGTGAAGAATTGCTGAGAAAAGAGAGCAGAGAGGATCAGGGAGCATGAGGATAAGCCCACCCAGCATGGTTTTGCCCTTCCCCTGACCATGCCAGAGCACACAGCCTGGAGACCAGGGAATTGCCCAGCCCAGTCCACCACGACGGCACCTAACACTCCTCCAGGGGACCTGAGGTTGGGCTTACCAATTCTGCCACTATCACCACAACTGATACCTACCCGCATGCACCATCTGCAGGTCTGGAGTCTGACCTGCCCAGCCTATCACAGCCACTACCAACACCAGTATCCATTGTTTGGGACTCAGAGGGTGGACCTGCCACTGCCACTGCCATTGCCCAAACCATGCTGGCTGCCCAGGGGCCTGAGAATCCTTTCACCTGCCTGGCCCAGCATAGCCACTTCGGGTATGTGATTAAGTCACTTGGAGGACCAAGAATTGGCACATTTTTGAATACTTTTGGAAAAGTATTCGAATTATTGGGGTCCCAGATGGCAAAGACAGAATGAAAAGGTTAGAAAACCTATTTAATAAAATAATAGATGAAAACTTCCAAAGTCTAGCAAGAGATTTGGACATCCAGATACAAAACCTCTGAGATCCCCAAGCACATACAATGCAAAAAGGTCTTTTCCATGGCACATTATAATAAAACAGTCTAAAGTCAAATACAAAGACAGAATTTTTTAAATGGCAAGGGAAAAGCCTCTAGTCACCTATAAAGAAAAACAAAACAAAACAAAACAAAAGATACACTCCAACCTTCCAGGCCAAGAGAGAATGGTATAAAATATTCAAAGTGCTAAAATAAATAAAGTGCCAGTGAAGGAAACTAAATCCAGCAAAATATCCTTCATAAATAAGGAGAAATAAAATCTTTTCCAGATAAGCAAAAGCTGATACAGTTCATCACCACTAGCCCAGCCCTGTAAGAAATGCTCAAGGGAGTCCTAAGCCTGAAAGCGAAAGGACAATACTTACCATCATGAAAATGCATAGGTAAAGCCAGGAGGTGCAATAAAGTTAGGTTTGAGGCTTGGTCGTCAGGTACTGGCCGAGTAAGCATTGCAAACCACTTAAATTCCCCAAGATTGTTAGACGTAGAAAATACACACTAAGAGAAAAAACAACAAGGAATACACAAAACAACTAGACAACAATTAACAATATGACAGGAAGAAAACTTCACATATCAGTAATAACCTTGAATGTAAATTGATTAAATTCTTTACTTAAAATATATAGATGGGGTGCCGTGGCTCATGCCTGTAATCCCAGCACTTTGGGAGGCCGGGGCAGGAGGGTCATTTGAGGTCACGAGTTTGAGACTAGCCTGGCCAACATGGTGAAACCCCATCTCTACTAAAAATACAAATAAATTAGCCAGGCATGGTGGCGGGTGCCTGTAATCCCAGCTACTCAGGAGGCTGAGGCAAGAGAATCTCTTGAACCCGAGAGGTGGAATTTGCAGGGAGCCAAGAACACACCATTGTGCTCCAGCCTGGGTGACAAGAGTGAAAACTCCATCTCAAAAAACAAACAAACAAAGAAAAGATATATTTATAGACTCGCTGAATGGGTATTAAAAATGTTGCCCAACTCTGTGTTACCTGTAAGAAACGTACTTTACCTGTAAAGACATATATAGACTGAAAGTAAAAGGATGGAAAAAAATAGTTCACACAAACAGAAACCAAAAATGAGCAGTAGCTATACTCATATCAGATAAAACAGACTGAGTCAAAAACAGCAGGCTGGGCACGGTGGCTCATGCCTGTAATCCCAGCACTTTGGGAGGCCAAGGCGGGCAGATCAGGAAGTCAAGAGACAGAGAACATCCTGGCCAACATGGTGAAACCCCGTCTCTACTGAAAATACAAAAAATTAGCCAGGCAGGGTAGCAGGCACCTATAATCCCAGCTACTCGGGAGGCTGAGGCAGGAGGATGGAGTGAACTCGGGAGGCTGAACTCGCAGTGAGCCGATATCGTGCCACTGCACTCCAGCCTGGGTGATAGTGCGAGACTTCATCTCAAAAAAAAAAAAAAAAAAGCAAAAAATAGCCGGGTGTGGTGGCACACGCCTGTAGTCCCAGCTACTTGGGAGGCTGAGGCAGGAGAATCACTTGAACCCAGGAGGTGGAGGTTGCAGTGAGCAGAGATTGCGCCACCGCACTCCAGCCTGGCGACAGAGCAAGACTCTGCCTCAAAATAATAAATAAATAAATAAATAATGGTGAAAAAAAAACACAAAAATAAAGGGATCAATCCAGCAAGAGAATATAGAGGATATATATGTACTCAACACTTGAGCACCCAAAATCATAAAGTAAATATTGCTTAAAGAAAAAATAGAGCTAGACTTTGATACAATAATAGTGGGGTAATTCAACACTTCACTCTTAGCATTAGACAGATCATCTGAATAGTAAATCAACAAAGAAACATTGAAATTAAACTGTACTTTAAACCAAATAGCCTTAACAGGCATTTACAGAACATTTTGTTCAACAACTACAGAATACGCATTTTTCTCACTTGTACATGGAACATTCTCCAGAATAGACCACATGTTAGGCCACAAAACAAGTCTCAACAAATTATTAAAATCAAAATCATATCAAGTATCTTCTCAGACCACAAGGAAATGAAGCTAGAAATCAATACCAAGATAAATTTTGAAAACCGTACAAATAAGTGGAAATTAAACAACATGCTGCTAAACAACCATTGGGTCAATGAAGAAATTAAGATGGAAATCAAACATATTTGAAACAAATGAAAATTGAAACGTAACATACTAAAACCTGTGGGATACAGCAAAGTAGTGCTAAGAGGAAAGTTTATAGCAATAAACACCTACAACAAAAACGTGGAAAGAATTCAAATTAGCAATCTAATGAAGCACCTCAAGGAACTAGAAAACCAAGAACAAACTAAATTAAAAATTAGCAAAAGGAAAGAAATGATAACAGTCAGAGCACAACTAAATTAAATAGAGACTAAAAAAAATACAAAGGATCAATAAAACAAAAGCTGGTCCTTTGAAAAGATCAACAAAATTGATAAACTGCTAGCTAGACTAGCCAAGAAAAGAAGACTCAAATAAACATAATCAGAAACGAAAAAGCAGACATTGCAACTGATATCAAATAAAAAAGATCATCAGAGATTATTACAAATGAACAGGAAAGTCTACAGGAGATGGATAAATTCCTGGAAACATACAATTTACCAAGATTGAATCAGGCAGAAATAGAAAACCTGAATAAACCAATAATGAGTGGCAAGATTGAACCATTAATAATCAGCTTTCTAACAAAGAAAAGCCGAGGACTGGATGGATTTACTGTCAAATTCTACCAAATGTATAAAGAATTAATACCAATCCTCCTCAAACCATTCCAAAAAAATTGAAGAGAAGGCAATTCTCTCTAACCCATTCTACAAGGATAGAATTACCCTGATACCAAAATCAGACATGAATACAACCAAAAAAGAAAACTACTGGCCAATATCCCTGATGAACACAGACACAAAGATCTTCAACAAAAGACGAGAAGGGGCTCAGGGAGAAAAACCTAACTTCTGAAATCACTTGTTCCATGGAGCATTTGCTGATTCCGGAGAGGACAGCCAAGAAGCTTGTGCTTTTGACAGTGTTGTGGGGTTTGGAGACATAGCAGATTCAAACTCTTGGTGTTATATGTGGAAATTTAAAAAATATGGCTTAAAATTCTTTGACAGTTCTCCCATTTAGAGGTGAAGTCTGTGCCCTCTTCACTGATACCTAGGCAAGTTTGAAGCACCAGGACATAATAAAATTGTTGTAGAAGTGACAAAACATCATACTTTTTGAAATTCATTGATTAAATGTATTGCAGCTTCATTATCACACTTGCTTTTTGGAGCCTGAATCAACATGTTAAAAGTCTGACTACTTTAAGGTCATCATGCTGTGAGGAAATCCAGGCCATGTTGAGAGGCTGCGTATATGTGCTCTAGTTGACTCTCAGCTGAAACTGCAAACTATGGCCAGCATCAATGGCCAGACATGTGGGTGAAGATGGCTTCTTATGATCTATATCATGGATCCAGGAATTCAAGGAGTCATCGCTCTTTTTATAAAAAAGGTGGCTAAAAAGAAATGGATAAATAAAAAGAAAAAAGAGCACATTAAATTGTTTGTGTTCCTGGCCAGGCGCTGTGGCTCACGCCTATAATCCCAGCACTTTGGGAGGCCAAGATGGGCGGATCAAGAGGTCAGGAGATTGAGACCATCCTGGCTAACATGGTGAAACCCTGTCTCTACTAAAAATACAAAAAATTAGCCGGGTGTGGTGGCGGGCGCCTGTAGTCCCAGCTACTCGGGAGGTTGAGGCAGGAGAATGGTGTGAACCCAGGAGGCGGAGCTTGCAGTGAGCTGAGATCACGCCACTGCACTCCAGCCTGGGCAACAGAGTGAGACTCTGTCTCAAAAAAAAAAAAATTTTTTTTGTGTTCCTTTAAATCTAGCTCCTTACTACATTTTGCTCCGTTGTACATAAGCTAATTATATCTATTGAAAATTACTAAATGGCAATTAAGAATTAGACTTTTCATTTTAAAAGTCAAGCATGGAAAGAATGTGTAAATAATTTAATCTCCAGTGACTATGCACAGGGAACAGTGACATATTGTATAATTAGCAGTATGACCACATTGAGCATTGCACAGAGCCTTGCAGAATTATGAAGCATAAAAAGAAATTATTGGCTTTTGGAGAGTTTTCTTTTCTCTCTTCTTTTTTTGTAATTTCAATCTATATCAGTAGTGGAAAGGTCATAGCAAAATATGGAGAATCCAAATGGTAGATACAACCTGATATCTTGTGGAACAAGGCATACAACAGCAAAGCAACACCAGTGAAACCAAGGACACCAAACAGTCCCCAGAGAACTCCAGCTGTCATGAGGTCTCTTCTATAGCCATCAGGTCCTGAGGAAAGAAAGCAGTGCTTCAGCCCCAGAGGTTTAAGACTTGGGCCCTTCTTATAAATGCTATATAGGGATGTTAAATACAAATTCAAGTAAGAGATCATTGAAGTGTAGTCTGTACTCTTCAGGTTAGTGTGGGGAGAAGAGAAGCCACTGGACACTGAGATCACCTTCCCCCTCTTCACACACAGCAGACATCTCCAGGCTGGTGAGACACAGCCATTGACATCAAACTCTGTATCCAGGTAACACCCACCCACCTGAGATGGAGACTGGCACTGCCTCACTGCACTGGGCCCCCAGGCCGTTGTTGGCCTCACAGGAGTAGTTTCCAGAATGTTCTGCAGTCAAAGAGAGGTTGAAGGAGGCCCCTCCTCCAGAGGGGGCCGAGCTGTTCCCAAGGGTGACATCCTCATGATAAAATTGGTACAAGATTGGGGGAGAGCCTCTCAGGGCCTCACAGTGAAGCTCCAGCAGGTCCCCCACTGCAGCCTGGGCCCCAGGAGACCTGAGGGTGAGGACAGGGCGAGACACTGGAACTGACAGACACAGAGGGGCTATCAGAAAAGATTTGTGATGCCTCAATAGATTCACAAACTCCCAACCTGCAGGCTCAGCAAAGGGCCTGGCCCCATGGCTGTTGCATATTTTCCATTCCCACATTCCCACTAGAACAGTTAGAGATAATTTTCTCAACAATATATTTAGACGTTTGAGGGGAATATCAGTTCTGGGTGCTGCCTGCAGACACGGTCATCTGTTGTTCTCATCTGATTGTTTTCCTGTGCCCATCCAGCCCTCTTCATATTTCTTTTTTTTCTTTTGTATCCTATAATTTTTTATTAGGAAATAATTTTAAGATTTCTATAATATTATAGTTGTTCCTGGGAAAACTGATACATAGGAGCATTTCTAAACATATATTTAGGTATGTTTATTCAGCCCAGTTCAGGACTATAGGACTGGGTTAGAATGGAAATGGCTACTTGGCTACAACACCAGGTAATTTTCCACACCAGTAAATCACCAATAACATGGCTCCAAATGTCTCCCTTTGGGTGCAGTTTCGGCAAGCTAGAAACACTCTAATCACTTTGAAGGAGATGACATAAAATGAAGCAGGCTGTTACCACTATGAACCTTTTAGATCCATGACACTCCCTGGCCCAGAGCCCAAAGGTTTCATGTAATAGATGTTTTATCATCCTATCGTAGGATTGCAAGAATGCTTATGCTTCATAATCGATTACAGCCCTCTTTATATTTCCTTCCACAAAAAGAAACAGGTCAGCAGTCTAACCTGCAAGCGTAACCCATTTTCAAATTGCTTTTGGTTCTCCACAGCACTAATCCCTGGGGCCTCCTGAAATTTCCTCAGGACACATGTGTATCATGACCTTGGTCTGGGAATTTCTGGAAGATATGAATGAGAGTGTCACTCACTTCTCACAGGGATATTCACCACCTTGCTCTGGATAGGCACATGGCCGTTGTCAGCTCTACAGTAATATTTGCCGGCATCACTCTCTTTCACAGCTGGGATCTCCAGCTCTGCTGACAGGGAACGCTGGGTTTTCTTTCCCATACTGGTTCCTGTGGCCTCTCTGTACCAGGAGAATGTGACATTTCCTGTACCCCCAGCCACTGAGCAGAGCAGGATCAGTTTTTGTCCTTCAGTCACCTGTCCCCCGGGGGCCCGGATCTCCAAGCTTACATTAGAGATGGGGATTCCTAGATGGATATAAGACAACAGGTGAGAACTCTAAGGGAAACTCTGGGAACAGGGTTTGACTGATTCCATTCTCTAATGCAAAATGTGGGAATGTGGAGATTGTATAGATAATCCATTATAAGCATTCCTATGGAGGTAGGGAATCTATAACAATTATCCTTCAGGAATGTGGATAAAGACATTTGAATGTCCTAACCCTGGCCAATTTCATGGGTAGTAATATTTAAAGACTTTGTGATAGATCTCCATGAGACAGGAAACTGTTCAATTTTTTGGATGAGTCAAAGACACCTTTTGCACAGAATATAGAGGGGCACTGATATCTTCAGTCTTGCAGTGGAAAAGTCATTATTCCTAACAACGGTCCCAATAATAATTCCTCTATCATTTTTAATTTCAAGGTTCAACCAAATACAACTTCTCCTCTGACCACTCTGTTCATTCACATCTACTTTTCCTGATGCTACATTGCCTTCTAATAAGTCAATTTGTGTTGCAATCTCATCATGTGGAGACATTTGGAGAGCCATTAGACAGCAGGTGGTTTGCCTTTTGAAGTGTCCCACCCACTACTAAATGCCAAGGCATACAGTCAGTGATCAATGGAGTCTTGATCAATGAATATTACTTAACTAACAACAAAAAAAGAAAGATTATAAGGGGCTTAGTGCATTTCTGATTCTTATGAAGTAGGAAGCCAGGAGCAATCTGGAGGGGTTTTTGTTATGTTTTGTTGTTTTTTTGAGACGGAGTCTCGCCCTGTCGCCCAGGCTGGAGTGCAGTGGCGTGATCTCGGCTCACTGCAAGCTCCACCTCCCAGGTTCACGCCTTTCTCCTGCCTCAGCCTCCCTAGTAGCTGGGACTACAGGCGCCCCCCACCAAGCCCAGCTAATTTTTTGTATTTTTAGTAGAGACGGGGTTTCACCGTGTTAGCCAGGATGGTCTCTATCTCCTGACCTCATGATCTGCCCGTCTCAGCCTCCCAAAGTGCTGGGATTACAGGCGTGAGCCACCGCGCCCGGCCGCAACCTGGAGGGTTTTTCTAGCTTAATTTTCACTTTCCTCAAGGACAGGAGTTGAACAAAGAAACAGACTAGTAGTCCAAGCTGAAGCTATAACACTCCTATCTTTTTTTCTCCAGGCTCAGCCTCACTGATACTTGCTCTGCACGTGAATCTGGGATTGGAGGCTCTGTTTTCTGATCCTGTGAGTCACCGTTTCTGCCTTGCACCAGTAAGACCCTGTGTCTTCACTCCACACGGCAGAAATCTGGAGCTCCGGAGAGCTGCTCCAGCCTGACCCCAGGACCTGGTTTTCTCTGAAGAAGCAGAACTGGAGTTGAACATCCAACCTCTGTGGAGAGAGCCGGGTCTCACATTTCAGGCTCACTGGACCCCCTTCGATGGGCTGGAAGGAGCTGGCAGTCAGCACAGGACGTTGAAAGAGCTCTAGAGAGAAGGATCACAATAGTCCCCAAAGCAGTGACAGCTAAGATTCCTGCTGAAAAGCCTCTGGCAAGAAGCAACCCCAGCAAACAGGACATTCAGAGCTAGACACCTCTCACCCATCATGGCTCCTTTGATGATCAAACCACAAGCACTCCCGTCTATATTTAGCCCATGAGCAGCTTTCCCCTACCCAGTACCCACCCTGCCTTGCTGCCGTGGTCTCTCACCCAGCCCATCCCACAGAAGTCAGGGTTTTACCTTGGACTTTTATCTTTACTATATTTGAAGTTTTATCCCAGAGAAAGAGTTGTCCTTTGGTACTACAGAAATAGTTACCACTGTCACTTAAAACTGCACTTTGGATAAGGAAATCTGAGAATTTTTTGAAAACAGATAACTCTTTGTTATCCTTATGGTAAGCCATCTTCTGAATTTTCCAGTTCTGTTCTCCCTGGCATTTCAGAACGATGCTGTCTCCTTCGAAGACAGAAGAGGGCGCCACAAGGGTCAGCGAATCTGGAAGAGAAGGAGGGAAACCGGATTTGCCATTTCTGCAGAGAACCCAGACAGACTCCATTGGCAGTGAGGTGGTCTCAGGCATAGCCTCTACTTCTTTAAACAAGATGGAAGTTCCAATCCATGCCTTAATTACTGAGAGTTTCATCCCATGTTTCCTGAGGGGATATCTTAGCTTGTGCTGCTATCACAAAATTCCATAAACTGAGTGGCTTATCAATAACAGAGATTTATTTCTCACAATTCTGGACGTTGAAAGTCTGAGGTCAGGGTGCCAGCATTGTCAGGTTGTGATGACGGCCATCTTCTGGGCTGCAGACTGCCAACTTTTCGCTCTACCGTCACATGATGGAAAACTAATCAGCTAACTCTCTGGCCTCTTCTTATAAAAGCATTAGTCCTATTCATGAGGGTTCCACCGTCATGACCTTATTACCTCCCAAAGGCCCCACCTACAAATACCATCACACTGGGATTAGGGTTTCAACATATGAATTTGAGGGAGATACAAACATTCAGTCTATTGCAGGGGTGTCAAGGTAAACATGGTTTTTTAATGTTCATGAAGGAGTGTTCTGATAAACACCTCATCTTCAGCCTTCTCCATCGGTGACACCACACAGGGAAACCATTGTCCTTAGCGGGCACTTTATTTTTTCATCCTCCATGCTGTCATCCAGCCCTCAGAGCTCTATACTGTGTTATAAATTCAGGTCCCATCCCCTCTTCTTACCTCACCAGATAAAACCATCAAGTGGCGTAGATTATTGGGAATATGCCTGTTACTGGAATAAGATCCAGTATCTTTAATTATCTACTTGAATTCTCCACTTGAATGCCTTCAGAAAATTTTTCTCATCCATTCAGTGAAGTAGAGATTATTTTTAATCCAAGGCTTAGTTCCTAGAGACTGATCATATAAAGAAAAAAGCTATTGCCAAAGACAAATGTCCTCCCCAGAGGTTGTTTTCCTTAGATTGGTCACAGGTTCTCTAATTTTGACCCCGTCACTTCATTTATTTACGGTACCAGACTATGTTTTGTGTCTATGACATCTTCATATTTTATGATTATAGTAGAGGATTCTGACCACAAAGTAAGGAATTAAGTTATATCTCAAATAAAAATCTTTCCTGTCACTATTCAATTGTATCATGACTGTCAGATGTGTAGTAGAAGGAAGCAGAAGTCAATAAAATAAGAGATGTGGTGACTCATAAAATACTACTGCAGAGCTACAGCCAAAAAGCCACAGGAAATCTGTGGCATTTGGAGGTATAATTTTTGGCAAAATGTATGGTTCGCTACTGGCTATTTCAGCAGAACCAGAATTACTTGTTAGACATTGGGGAACAATCTGATTATATATATATATATATATTTAGCAGGGCAGAAAAGGTTGGTTGGAGAAACAATTAACTTAATTCAAGATTTGTGGCCTCCTTTGCAAATGGATACTAGATCTCATGGAAACGCCACCGTGGGACTCGGAATCAAGCCAACTTTTAAACCACTGATACAGTCTTCCTCCACAAACAGGAAAGATTCCTGTAGAGAACACCACTGGGGATAGGAAGACGAGTCATGATTAGAGACACTGTTGCAAAGGGCATGACAGGCAGCCTCACTGGCTCTGGCTGCCACTGACAAAGTGAGACTTTGAGTTGGTCGTTAGGAATTATTCATATCCTCACACTGCATGGTAAGAGGCAGACTGCCCCAAGAGCAAGCCAAAGGATGGAGAGCAGTGAGGAGTGGATGATCTTGAGTCCATAACAGCAGACCAGCAAGTGGGAGCAGCAGGGTGAGCCGGCTTGCAGCTCTGAGAGGAATCCACTGGGGAGAGATGCTAAAGCTCGGAGGCCTGGAAGTGAACTTGCGGCCAGAGAGAGTCATCGTCACCACCAGGAGATACTGATTGATTTCAGTTCTCACAACGTTTAACCTAGTTGTGAAGAGCCAGATCACACTGTTTTGAATCCAAGTCTACTATTATTAGCTGTGTGATACTGGACAAAGCACTTTACTCTTTGGACTTTGGTTTTGTAACCAAGTATCCCATTTTTCTAAGAAAAAAAGAGGAAGTATTTTTACCTTTTTCATGCACTTATAATTTTTACCTTCTCTCCATCATCCACTCCTTGCACTGAAAGCATATCTAGCTATGTGTTTACTTAAGAGGTTCCAGAGACAGAAACTCAAAGCAAACCAGGTGCCTCTAGAACTCTCTCTCACCAGAAGAGTGCCTCAATTTACAACCTAGTTCTGCCCACACTGGTGCCAAGCCAAATCACTTCAGATGACATCCAAAGCAAGTCATGTAGACTTGCACCACCTCGCTCCCTCCCCTGCATGCTGTTCACACCAAGTCCCCCTTTAAAAGCCCTTGCCTTCTGCCCGAGAAGTAGAAGTGGTACCCTCAAGGCAGAAGCCTGTACTACTTCCCCTCAGCTATGTTTTGGAATTAAAAAGTCACTTTCTTTCTACCAGATCTCTCTCTTGTTAATTGGACTTTGCAAGCAGTGAGCAGCTGGACCTGTGTTCAGTTACAGTTTCTCAACTGAGAAATGGAACAACAAAGAGCATTTGCCTCTCATCAGGCAGTCTTAAGGATTCTGTGAGAGAAGCACACAATGGTGCTGGCATTTATGGACCACTCAGTGAGCCACAAATCTCACAGTCTTGATGGGGGATGTCTTTGTAGCAGAAGCTAATGATGGCTGAGGAGGAATAAGAGGTCATCATAACTGCACTTCAAGAGCAACCAAAATAATGGGTTTCAGGTCTGTGAGATGGGGTGGACTCGGGAATACTGAATAAATGAAGGTGACTTGAAGTCAAACCCTCTGAGAGTGATGTCCTACCTATAGGGTAGACATAAGTTGGTTCATAGTTTCATATCAGGGAACCCCAAAGAGTCATAATGGGTTTGTGTGACAGTTTGTATCCACTTGCTTCTAGCATGGCTGTGATGGCTCCAATGCCAACCACCTGGCAGTTTGAAGGCCTCAGCAGAAGTGTGCTGGCTCTACACTGGCTGTCATTGTGGTGCAACCTCAAGAGTTCTAATCTGTATGCACCATTAGCAGGGTACAAGGAGTCAGAGGCCCTAGAAGGGGAGGGCAACAAGTCCCAAAGCTGACTTGTTCATCCTCAGGGAGTTCCACATCCTCCAGAAACTGGCTGAGAGTGGCTCTACCTGCAGAGGTGCCCAATAGAATCATGCTGACCCCCAGAGGGTATAGAGGAGAACTGCAGTGGAGGGACAGTGGTAGGGGGCAGGGAGAAGGGTAGGTTGTGAACGAGAAGTTCTTAGGCAGAGCAAATAAATAGGAGCACAAAGATTTAACTCAGAGCAAGATGTACAGGACTGAATAATGTTTTTTCACAAGAATTTCAGTGAAAAATATCTTTACCAGAGCAACAGCAAAAACTAAAAGCAAATGGTATTCAAAGCTTTGCAAGGGCAAAGTCCCAGGTGGTGAGTGCAGTGTATGGGTGGGGCTGAAAAGAGGAAATGGGGTGGAAGACTGCATTGAGGCAATGGATGGGGACAGAAAGACCTTTTCAGCTGCTCTGCTGAATAGCATTTTCAAACCTTGCAGGGGATTGTAATTCTCAACAGGCCAGAAACTTTTCCCCAGAGCCAAGACTGGGGTTCAGAGGCCAAGTGACTGCCCAGCCTACATAGCAGGTATATAGCAAAGCCATGATTTCAATTTGGTCTTTCTGGCTATATAAGTCCTGCTCTTTCCAGTACATCATGCTGAACTAAGTTCTCTCTTACTCTTTTTAAAAAGAAAAGATCTCAAACTTCTGAAGAACATCTCAGTTTTCTGAGAAACTCTTGCTAAAGGAAAAGAAAGAGAATGAAGTGGCTGTTGCCCTGTTCTCTGAATGGTCGTAGGTGATTCACTTCAGGGAGCCTGCTGTCTTGGCATGATTCCACTAATGGTCAGAAACCTCCTGAATATTGATCGAGGTTTCCTCTAATTTCCATCCAGACAGACAGTGGAGTGATGGGTATCACAGGGTGGGACTCCTGGACCTTATGTGGGACAGAATGAATGCAAGAGACCAGACTTGCTCCTGAGCAAGTTCCAGGTAGGACCCCTGAATGTCTCCCTGGACACTCTTGTTCCATTCAAGGTGACAGCAGGATCTGCTTTTCCCACACTGTTCCTTAGAGCCCAAAGAGCCCCTTCCACTTGGTAGCCAGCATTCAATGGGCAAGGGAACAAGTCTCCCTTTCTTTAGATTTTGTCTTGGCTCATGTGAAGATTCTGTATATAGAATAAAATATTTTTCCCATTGACTTCCTTCACTGAGCACAGATTTAACTCAGAAAGAGTGAAATAAAATTAGCTTTATTTCACTCTTTATGATTAGAACAGTAATACATGCATTTTTAAAAAATCAAAACTAAATACTAAATCTAGAGCACGGGTTGGCAAATTATGGCCTGTGAGCTGGCCAACACTGTTTTGGTAAATAAAATGTTATTGGAACACAGCCATCCTCATTCGTTTACATATGGTCTATGGTTGTTTTCCTGCTACCACAGCAATGGCATTGAGTAGTTACGGCACACACCTGAAAAGCTTAGCCTATTTACTCTCTTGCCTTTTACAGGAAAAGCTTGCTGATTCCTGAGCTAGAGCTAGAGAAGCAATGAGGACACATGTTTATTCTGACCCTGCAGAAGTTTGTAGTTCTGACACATTCCTCTATAAATAGCTGTTTTCAGAGCTGTAAAAACATTCAGCATTCAGCCAGACAATAAAGAGGCATTACAGTCCTATGGGCAGGAAAACAATTCTCTCCAAATTGTTCTTTTCTTCAATCTGCATGTTATTGCCCTTCTTAAAGCCAGGCTTTTAAGGAAGAGGCAAGCATGTGGGGTCTTGAGAAGGCTAGGTGGTACCTGGTCACCCAGACATGCAAGTGGTGTTGGAAACAGGCTGCGTGACCTCAGAACATGTCAGCCTAGAGGGCAGTAATATTAGGACATCTTCACAGGCTTTCCAGAGCCACCTCTATAGAATCCTGGGGTAGTGGGGTGACTGATATGCCAGAGACCAAGAACAACAAAGACAAGGAGGACTCACCTGCCTGTTCAGTGACTGCATCTGTGAGGAGATCAAAAGCCAGAGATTAGCACACAGCATTTGCCCTCATAATTTATAAATTTATATTACTCTGGTAAATTGCTCAAAAACTTCTTTCCATTTTCCCTTTCTTTTCTATTTCCCTAATCTCTTATTACTAACAATTCAATCTCCCTCGAGCACACATCTAACTGTCATTCATTGTAGTCAAAAGGCAAGTTGCAAACCCAATGCTTGACTAAAGGGATTGTCGAGAATACCCATGTTGGATATTTAGTGACTCTCCTTGATTTCATTTTCCTTCCACCATCCCCACCACTCTATCTCACACTCTGACTTTTCAAGTGGTAGATAGACATGACAACACGATCACAAAGGGCTCATCAGGAAACATACATTGTGAGAGTTCCAAGAAATCAACAAATCAGTCTCTTTCCTATGGCCATATTTCACGTTAGAGCCCTTTGTATTCCAATAACAAATATTTATTTAGTGCCTACACAGCATAGAGAAAGGGATCTTATTTACTCTCTCACCCAGGCTGGAGTACAATGGTGCGATCTTGGCTCACCACAACCTCCACCTCCCGGGTTCAAGCAATTCTCCTGCCTCAGCTTCCCGAGTAGCTGGAATTACAGGTGCCCACCACCACGCCTGGCTAATTTTTGTATTTTTAGTAGAGATGAGGTTTCACCATGTTGGCCGGGGTGGTCTCGAACTCTGACCTCAAGTGATCCACCAGCCTTGGACTCCCAAAGTGCTAGGATTACAGGTATGAGCCACTGCACTCACCCAGGAATCTTATTTTCTAGCAGCAGCTGTCATCTCCCTCATTGTCCACGATTAAACAGAGGAATATTAGCAAAGGGTCTCAATGCATCTGCTGAACCCAAATCTTATAGATAACAATTGAATAATCGGTGTTCATGGAGGAGAAGGGCATTGCTAAATGCTAATATTATGAACATTTTACTATGAGAACATTATATTACTCAATGAGATCTAAGATATCAAAATAGCAATTCATGACCAGCAAATGGAAAAGTGGTCCACCTTGAACATTAAGCATTGTGCTTAATGCTTAATGGATGTGCTGCAAATTCACTGTCCTCAGCCTACTTCTTTGCATCTGCCTTTGAAGCCCAAGCTGCAGGCAGGACCTGAGCATCCCCACCAGTCCCTGGGCTCCAATAAAACCTCCAACCTTTTGGGAGCAGTAGACCTCATTCAGCTGCCACCTCACTTCTCAGTCAAATTATTGAACTCACCAAAGATGACCAGCAATGACCACAGCAGCATGAGGACCTAATCCAGCTATTTGAAAAGAGATGTACTCTTGGTCACCAACTGGAGACTCTGAGCAGGCGATGAAATGTGGTTTTCAGAATAGGTTTTGTATAATTAGCAAAAAAGGAAGTAGAATAGTGCCACTATGTTTAACCATTATCTTTGTCCTGGAAGGGCTAAAACAATTATAGCTGATCCTCTCAATGCCAGAGAAATTTTGTAACTTGACCCTCATTATGATACCTAGCATTTACATATGGGTTGCAATGAGTCAGACACAGTTCTAAGTGCCTCATGCTTACAGAGTTATTTATTACCTTCAGCAAGTTTCTGAATTGGCACTATCCCCTTTCACATGAATAAGGAAATTGAGGCACTAGTAAAGGTAAGTGTCTTAGTCCATTGGGGCTGCTATAAAGAATACCTTAGACTGAGAAATTTATAAACAACATAAATTTATCACTCATAGTTCAAGAGGCTGGGAAGTTTAAGATCAAGGCACCAGTAGATTCAGTGTCTGATGAGGGCCTGTTTCTCATAGATGGTGTCCTCTATGTGTCTTCACATGATGGAAGGAGCAAACAAGCTCCCTCAAGCCTCTTTTACAAGGAGACTAATCCTTTTCATAAGAGTTCCACACTCATGACCCCTAAAAGGTCATGTAATAAAAGGTGGGTACCTTTTATTACTATTGCATTGAGGATTAAGTATCAACATAAGAATTTTGCCAGGACACAAACATTCAGATGATAGCAGCCAGTAAAATGACCAAGATCAGCTTAATCAATTTCTAGTAGTAACAGATCTGGGATTCAAACCCAGGCAGCCCAGTGTCACAGTCTGGCTCTTAAACATTGTGCCCTATTATCTTGATATATTGCTTCTCAAGGTTCATAAAATAATAAGGCCATTGTTTCAATAGCTCATATTTCTTAAGTAAAATTTTTCGTAGTCATTCGATGACTTTCTAGAATGAGATTTTACTAAACTTCAAAACACTTGCACTATATTGCTGAAAACATTGCCATCTTTCTAATCTGTAATCACAACATTGCCTATTTCTAATCTGCATTGCTTTTTGTACCCCAGGCTGATCCTAATACAGTTATCTCACACAAAGCAAAGCGCGTGTTATGTGAACACCTATTATCATGCTCACTTTGATTAGATGTAGTCCCAGTAGATGTTGTCTCATCAGTGAACCTTATGCAGGATGAAACTCTAAACCAAAAAATCACAGGTGCTTATAAATGAGGGACTGACTGAAAATATTCATAGACTCAATGTTACCTGTTCAGGTACTTAACATTTACCTGAATACTTAACATTGAATTTTTAACAATTGGATACTTAACATTTTATTCTCACTATTATCATAGTTTTACTTTGAGAAAGGCTAATATTTATATGTGATGGTCATTAAAGCCTTGCTTATAATAATGTAAAAAGAAAATACTAAAAATATATCACAAGGAGAGATGTGTGTTAAAAATAAGTTATGTGTCAAATGCTGTGGAAAACCAAACAGCCATTAAAATAATTCTGTGGAATAATATTTAATAGCAAGATAAGATGTCTAGGATATATGATTAAGAAAAAAGTGGGCTGGGTGCGGTGGCTCACGCCTGTAATCTCAGCACTTTGGGAGGCTGAGGCGGGCGGATCACGAGGTCAGGAGATCAAGACCATCCTGGCTAACACGGTGAAACCCCATCTCAACTAAAAATACAAAAAATTAGCCGGGCGTGGTGGCAGGTGCCTGTAGTCCCAGCTGTTTGGGAGGCTGAGGCAGGAGAATGGTACAAACCCGGGAGGCAGAGCTTGCAGTGAGCCGAGATCGTGCCACTGCACTCCAGCTTGGGTGACAGAGCAAGACTCCGTCTCAAAAAAAAAAAAGAAAAGAAAAGAAAAGAAAAAAGTGGCTGCAGAGTGCACTTTATCTGCTGCACATTATCCCCTGCTCTCCAATAAAAAGTGTCTGAGACAATTCGCACCACAGAGTTACTGTAATTATATCCAAAAAATCTAATTAAAGCTGATTTTTATTTTCCTTATTTTGCTTATCTGTGTATTCTAGTATTCTTACAATAAACATATGCTATTTACGTACTTTTTAAAGATTCATTATAAGAAACTAGGTTTTATGGCCTCTCTCATCTTAAAGTGTTGAAAACAATACTACTTTAACTTTCTGCATAGGCAAACGGTTTGTATGTGTTTGAAAGTGTAAGTTACTCTTTCCCAGGACCAAAGCTAGTCACTGATCATCAAATCTTGCCTACTGAATGGGTTTCTAGGTGGCCTATAATTCCTTCCCATTCTGACCAACCTGGAAGCTATAGAAATTTTGTGGATGGGAGGGAATTAAGGAAAGGAGTACAAATAGGATCATGAAAAAGTTGATGGTAAATTGATGGTAGGTACAAGTTTTTCATAGACATCAAGGAGATTTTTCAAAATAATCCATATCCCTTCACTGATTTCTATATACCCTCTATGGAAATGTGGCCTCTTCAGTTAAGAATCAATATTTCTTAAGGTGTTACCAAATGATATGAGGTAAAATTCACAGTTGGTATAAAAGGTGCAGGTGGAAAGCAGCAGTAATGAGGTGTGTGGGCCACAGAGGTGGCAACAAATCCTCTAAGATGGCTAACATGTTTCATGTGGGTGCTACTCTGTATTTGACAGACGGCAGTAATTTACAAGTGAATAGGCATATCCTGGAAGCGTAGCTAAACTTGAATGCACAGTAGGCACTGTGACCAGAGATTAAGAGGCTTAATAGACACTTGGTGGGGGGTGGGGAAAGTAACTTAAAAATTAAGGCAATAGTGGCAGAAATAAAATTATGTTTGTAGGTTTGATCAAAGTGAGAGATAATACTTTTTGTGCAAGGATATTTTGCCACCAACAGGATGGAGTCACAGGTATCAGAAAGAACCAGCATTAGACATACATATAAATGCCTCTTGGATCAACCAGGTAAACCCTTAACATGGAGATTCCACAGGTGGTAACATACTGAAGCCTATTTTGCCAGATGCAGAGCAAGAGTCATCTCTGTGAACCGTGTTCAATGTCTTGAATGGAATACAAAATACAGTGCCAAGTTGGGGCATGCCAGAACTGAGACAGAGACAAATAGAGTCTTCATAAAATATGTCAGAATAAAACAAATCACACTTCCTGCTTGATGAATTTGATTACTAGGACAGTTAGAGTGGGAAAATAAGAAAATGAAACAGGCTAACTTCCAAGATCCCTAGATATAATCTTTTGAGCTTGGGGTTCCAAGGTCACTATGAGAGAATTAAATGTCATAATATATATAAATTACTTGTCATAATAATTGCTACATAAATGGCAGTAGAAGTAGTCATAGTCATGGTCATCATCATTGTTATGGCAGTAGTGGTAGTAGCAGTTTTAATAATTACAATAATTACCTTGAGCAGCATGATATGTCTTTGTTGAGTGGGGCTTTCCCTAATAACTTCCTGTCCAAGATAGTAACTAGATACTTTCCGAGTTCTATGGAGGTGATGTTGTTTGTTGAAGAACTTCTGGGACAGAACTGGCTAGACCAAATGTTGTCTATGCAGACACTCTCCAATGTAATTTAGACAGAGCCAGGCCCTTCTGCCCAGAAGATTTTTTACAATTAAATTTATTATATCTAGAAGTCCAGTAGGGCTCTGCATGGAGCAAATAGCATGAAAGAGAATTCAGAATGGGTATAAATGCTTGGAAGCTAGTGGTCATTACCTCCATGGAAGATAATGAAGATAGTGAAAGCCCAGAGAATCAGAGAAGGCCAAGAGTAAGTTGAAGTTTTAGATAGTGTATCTCTAGGGGACTGGAGTTTAACAAAGTTCGATTTTTTCCTTCGTCATGAAGATTATCAGTTCCTTTAGTAGCAATGGAAACTATGGTAAATCCTTACTAAAGAAGGTATTACTATTCCTACAGTGGAGGTGGAGGGGAACCCAGCCTTGGTGTCTGAGGGGAGGCAGAGAGGCAGAAAGACTTAGGGAGGCTCATAGAAGACATCAGAGCAGCACCTGTGGTGGTGAGCAGTCTTCTCTCCGTGTATGAAAATACTTCCTGGCAAGTTGCCTGGGTTCCATGAGAACAACAGGTGGGGAGGGATGTCTAGAGGTCAAATTCAGTTCAAAGCTTTCTGCTTCCTGTTTTAATTGTATATGTGTGGGTTTTCCAGAAGGTGGATGGGTTATGACTTTTCAGGCCAAGGGGAGCTGTGAACCATGGGTCATCAACTACACCAACCGTTAGTAGAATCACCCACAGCAGCTTTCTGTGGGTGTCTTTCTGGCAGGCTGGTGAGTATCAGTTGTAGTAGAAGAAAAAAGCAAGAACCAAGATCGAGATTACACTGATGGCTTTCTGTCTTGTTTTACCATGCTTTTTTTTTTTTTTTTTTGCTCACTCTTCTAACACACTCTGCTAATAACTTTTTCACAGTTCATAAAGATATGATTCCCAAGCAGAATCATTATTCATTCAGTCATTAATTCATGCATGCATGAAGCCATGCATTCAGTTACTCAGTGGAGTTTTATTCAATGCCCCTGCTTGATGGGCAATACACTTGGCACTAGACATACCCAGATAAAAAGATATGGTCCCTGCCCTGATGGAAATTGCATTCTAGCATCAGAAGACTAATAGAAAAGAGTAAACATACTTGTGTCCCACTGCTGTGGTGGAGCTCTGTACAGCATGTGAATGGACACAGTGGAGATTAAGGAGTAAAGGCTTCCAGAAGAAATGAATATTGAGAGATAGGTAGGTTTCAATCAAGCAAATAAGACTTAGGAAGATGGAGAAGTTCCAGGCCTAGAAAGCATCAGGAGCATGGTAAGAGGTCAGGGACCCATTCGGGCTGCTCAGGTATCCACAGGCACTTTAGAATGGCAGATCCAAAGGTATGAGGAAGAGCATCACAAGAGGTAAGGCCCAAAAGTGGGAAGGTGGGAAAATCTTTATATTTTCATAGGGTGGAGGAGACACCCACTCCATTCCCAGGAAAGAACACCACTAGATAAAACTCTTTTGGTCCTTTTACCATTGTCCTTTTATTCCTACTATTTGTTCCTCTGCATGGGAGAAGAGGCTCATCTGATTGGTGAGTTGGGTTGAAGATGTCAGCTCATGACCTTGTTCTCTCTCTTCACTTGTCCTCAAACAGAAAGTAATCTCTTCCTGCTTATTTTCTTATGTGTAATTATCTCAATGAGTTATCACAGAAGCCAGGGTCCTCTGCTGGCTAAACACAACTCTCCTAACAGTAAGTCCCAAAGCCTATTGATAGAAAAGTAGAGAAAATCTCCATTTGGCTGAAATATAAGTCACATGATCTAGTCTAGTATGGTCATTATTAAAGCTGATATTTTGTCTCCAATCTGACTTTGTCAACTTAGTTCCAAACCTGGAGAAGAGACATAAGGTGAGTAGCACCCATAAACCCTAAATATTTCAAGACTAATGGTGGCATTTCAACCATGATCAGAACATGATCATTTTGAATTTGGACAGCAGGGTGTATGTGGACTAGAAGGAATAAAGCTAGAGATAAATAGAAGAGCTGTATGGCCACTGATACAGTCCAGGATAGAAAAGATGAAGGCTTGAACTAAGGTGGTTCTGATGAAGAGGAGGAGATAAATTTTGCCAGAGTCAAAATCTGCAGAGCTTCATGACTGATTAGGTGTGGGGTGTAAGAGTGGAGCCAGAATCCAGAAAGATACCTAGGTTCCTGGACTTTGTTTTTACTAAGTTACAAATCTGCTTTAATTTTATTTACGGCAGCCTGCTCTGCTTCTCTGGATTGAAGTCTTATTTTTTTCCCTCATAATCCTTTATCCCCAAGATTCTTCTTAGAAGGTATCCCATACTTCCTGTAACCAAGCTCATTGCAATCTCATTATATAAATTTTTCAGGGTTCTCCCAGATGAGCCGCTTCCTCATATTTTGTCTCAGCTTTAGCCTCCTTTCTTCTTTCTTCTCTCTTTAACCATCTCACTCAAATTTAGCATTGTCATTTCCTCAATGCCATAGTGGCAGATTTGTCTGTGTCTTACAGGAAGCTTACATGCCTTGTGACAAGAAACCACCATTATTGACCTGTCCAGGAAAACTAGTCATAAGAAAGTATATGGCAAAGCTATCAATGGCCCACTGGTGAAGGAACCCAGAGCTGAGACAAGGATAAGGCAAAGGGTGGGATCAGTTCTAGAGCTAACTTCTAACAATTTCAGTGTTTGTGCATAACTAAAAATAGAATTTTCTTCCAGTGTTTCTCAATTAATTAAATTTTTCACTTTTATCTGGCATCAGATACATAGGAAACTATAAAGAAAAAAAGTTTAAAGATATAATTGTGGTATTGGTGGACACACTATTGGGAGAATGAAAAAGGTTTTGGTTGCAAGGGAAAGATGATTATAGAATAACAGAACTCCACAAATACAGAGAAAATTAAGGGTCATCAATATTATCAGAAAGCCTGTGACTCCAGCCAATTGGATCAATTACTTATAATGGAAGACATGATCCAAGATAGCAAACTAAGCACTGGTATTTAAATTTTCTTACTTTCAAAATCCCCTTAGATGATGAAAAAATTTAAAAATCAAAATAAAATCCACCACCACTTGGAAAACAAGAAGTGGGGAATACTAGTTCTGGCAGGTTTGGTTAGACTAAAACACCTGAAAATTCTCCCACTTTAAATTCTCCCACTTAAATGCTTATAAGTGATGAATAAATATTACATAATTTTTAAATACATAACTATATATGTAAGAAAGGAGAGAAATCCCCCCATTGTAGATAAATGATGAAGTGAAAGCAGAGTGTTAAACATGTAAATTGGCATTACTGATCCCCTGGGAGGTGTAACGGAGGAAATTAAACAGTAGCTATGTATTTTTTTTTTTTTAGATGGAGGCTTGCTCTGTCCCCCAGGCTGGAGTGCAGTGGGGCGATCTCAGCTCACTGCAACCTCTGCCTCCCAGGTTCAAGATATTCTCTTGCCTCAGCCTCACAAGTAGCTGGGATTACAGGCGCCCGCCTCCACGCCTGGCTAATTTTTGTATTTTAGTACAGACGGGGTTTCATCATGTTGGCCAGGCTTGTCTTGAACCCCTGACCCCAAATGATCCACCAGCCTCGGCCTCCCAAAGTGCTGGGATTACAGGTGTGAATCACCATGCCCGGCCAATACTAGATACTTTTTATGGGCTTAGTGTTTAAAGTCCATGTGGAACTAGGAAACAAAACCTTAAGGCTTCAAAAGGAAGAAACTTGAAACTAAAACACCTGCATACAGTGTAGACCCTCAAAAACTACCTTTTAATAAATGAATGGTGGGTGGGGGAAAAAATCCACCCATTAGCACAGACAGATGATAAGCAAGTTTGTCTTTGTATGAGTTCTGGGAAAAACATAAAATTTCCCCTGAAATAACTAAAGCCCAGGACCATGCCACATTAATGTGTGTGCTCTGGGAAAGCCCAAATAAGGAATTATCATAAAAATTGTTCCTAGGCCAATGAAATTTCCAGGGCTTAGCAGAAACAAATGCAAAATGGATTTTGAAGGATGCAGCAGAAGCCCAGGCCACAGTGACATCAGCAAGATGGCAATCTAAAAGATGTTAGCCTTCATCCTCCCCCTCACACAAAAAAAATAGTTATCTATGAATGATAATAGCCTTAAGAGAGTTCTAGGGTCCATTTAAGAATTTACAGCCACACATTAGATTAAAAAAAAGAAGAAGAAGAAGAACGACTACACAGAAATAATTTCTGGGGAGAATGGCGTACCTAAGACATCTGGAGATGGCTAGAAACAAAGAAGGGCAGGGGCTATTCAGATCAGCCAGGCAGCAGGTGTTATTCACAGTCCCCAGTGGCCTGCTCTGCAGAAAACATGGGCATCTTTCACCACTAAGGCAATCAAGAGCCATCCCTGCTGCAGACTCCCAAGAAGGAGATGCTGCTGCATGCCACCTTGCACACCATTATCAATGCAGCAATGAGGATGCCTGTGCCCTGAGCACACCACGCCAGACTCAAGCCATGGTTCCTCCACATGTGACCATGTTTCAGACCCCAACTCTCTGCCTTTTTTCCATGGACACTATAATCAGACACTGGTGCCACTACCACTGCAAGCATGCCCTCAAGCTGAACCTGGCATAAAAGGAGAGCCTCTTGGCCATGACTTCCCAAGTGGAACAAAAAGAGATTGGAAGGACCACAATAGCCTTCACCACTGAAGATCCTAACAGCTCTCACTATTGCTGAGGACACCCACAGCCTTGGCCACTGAGAACATCTGCAATCTTTGTCAACACCAATCTCAGCTGACAGAGCTGCATGCAGACTAAACTTCTGCATCCTCACTGGAGCTAGAACTTCTGCATTCCTTCACTCTCAGCTGGTACCTTTAGTCCTATCTCAAGGGGACGATTTTTCTCTGCTAAAATCAGTCTATAAAGTCTAGAAGAGATCAATCCATCAATGTGCAGACATCAAAGAAAGGCAGCAAGAAAAAAACAGGGAAACAAAATACCACCAAAAATTGTATGCCTGTAATCCCAGCTACTCAGGAGGCTGAGGCTGGAGAATCACTTGAAACCAGAAGGCAGAGGTTGGAGTGAGCTGAGATTCCACCACTGCACTCCAGCCTGAGCAATTTAATGAGACTCTGTCTCAAACAAAACAAAACAAAAACAAACAAACAAACAAACAAAAAACAATGATTTTCCAGTAACTGACACCAAAGAAATTGAATTCTAAATTTACCTGACAAATAACTCAAAATAATTGTTTGGAGAAGCTCAGTAAACTACAAGAAAGCACCCAAACAATTTAATAAAATTAGGGAAATAATATATGAACAAAATGGAAAATTTAGCAGAGATTAAATCATTTTTTAAAAAGATAAATTCTAAAGCTGAAGAATATGATGATTGAAGTGAAAAAAGGCAATAGAAACATCAGTAGCAGAATTGAGAAGCAGAATTTGTGAATTTAAAGACAGAGTATTTAAAAATATCCAGGCAGAAGATAAGGAAGAATGAAAGAAAATGAGGAAAAATTCCTATGGAATTTATGGAAAAGCATCAAGGGAGCTAACATTTGCATTGTAGGAATTTAATAAAGAGAAGAGACCGAGAAAAGGACCAAAAGTTTATTTGATGAAATAATGTCTGGAAACTTTCCAAATCTAGGAAAAGATATAGACATACAGGTGCAGAAAGCTCAAATATCTCCAATCATATTCAATCCAAAGAAGGCTACACCAAGACATTTTATAATCAAACTGTTAATAGTCAAAGACGAAAAGAATCTTGAAAGCAGTAGGAGAAAAGAAGATCCTATTATAAGGGGATCCCTAAAAGTCTATCAGGGGATTTCTCAGCAGCAATTCTGCAGGCCAGAAAACAATGGGATGATATACTCAAAGTGCTGAAAGAAAGAAAATGTCCAACTGGCTAGGTGCAGTGGCTCATGACTGTAATCCTAGCACTTTGGGAAGCTGAGGCTGGAGGATTGCCTGAGGTCCGGAGTTCAAGACCAGCTTGGCCAACATGGTGAAACCTTGCCTTTATTAAAACACAAAAATTAGTCGAGTGTGGTTGTGGGTGCCTGTAATCACAGCTACTCAGGAGGCTGAGACAGGAGAATCACTTGAACCTGGGAGGTGGAGGTTGCAGTGAGCTAAGATTGTACCATGGCACTTTAGACTGGGCAACAAGAACAAAACTCCAACTCAAAAAAAAAAAAAAAAGAAAAAAGAAAATTTCAACTAAAAATACTTCATAGAGCAAAGCTGTCCATCAGAAATGAAAGAAATACTTTCCCAGATGTGCAAAAGCTGAGAGAGTTTATCATCACTACATCTACCTTATAAAAAATGCTCAGTGGAGTTCTTCAACCTGAAAGAAGGGACACTAACTGATAACATGAAAACATGTAAAGTAGAAATCTCACTGGTAAATATTAGTACATAGTCAATTTCAGAATATTCTAGTACTGTAATTGTGGTGTGTAGTATAAAGGTTAAAATGGAGAAGTATTAAAAATAATTATAGCTACAATAATTTGTTAATAGATACACAATATAAAAGGATGTAAATTGTGACATCAAAAACATAAAATGTTTGGGGAGGTAAAAAGTATAAAGTTTTTGTATGCAATCAAAATAAAGTTATCAGCTTTAATTGCTATAACTACAAGATGTTTTGCATAAGTGCCATGGTAACCACAAATAAAAACCTATAATAGGTGTATGAAAGATAAAGAGAGAAATCAAAGCATACCACTACAGAAAATCATCAGATTACAAGGGAAGACAGCAGGAGAGGAAGAAAAGAACAAAGGATCTATAAAACAATCAGAAAACAATTTAACAAAAGGCAGTAGTAAGTCTTTACCTATCAATAACCTTGAACGTGAATGTATTGAATTCTACAATCAAAAGATATTAAATGGCTGAATAGATTTTTTAAAAGACCAAACTATGTGCTGCCTACAAGAGACTCACTTCACCCTTAAGGGCACACATAGAGAGAAAGTGAAAAGATGAAGAAAGGTAGCCTATGCAAATAGAAACCAAAAGAGAGGAAGAGTAGCTATACTTATATCACACAAAATAGACTTTCATTCAAAAACTATAAAAACAGACAAAGAAGATTATTAATAATAAAAATGGGTCAATTCATCAAAAGAATATAGCAATTATAAATTTATAACCACTCAATATCAGAGCACCTAAATATATAAAGCAAGTTGAATTATATTAAGGGAGAGATCAACTGCAATATAATAATAGTAAAATTATTGAATACTCCACTTTTGACAATGAATAGATTGTCAAAATCAATAAATCCTATAGGCTTTCTTTATTCCTTTTCATTATTTTTTCTCCTCTGACTGGATATTTCAAATAACCTGTCTTTGAATTCACACATTCTTTCTTCAGATTCTCAATTCTACTGTCGACGCCTCTATATGCTTTAGACACAAAATCAGTAGAGAAACATCACACTTGAACTACACTTTAGACCAAATTGACCTAACGAACATCTACAGAACATTCCATTGAACAGTAGCAGAATAGGTGTTCTTCTCATGTACACATGAAACATTCTTCAAGATAGATCATATGTTAGGCTACAAAACAATTGTTAATAAATTTAAGAATATTGAAATCATATCGGTGATTTCAACCACAACATTCCAACCACAACGTTATGAAACTAGAAATCAAGAACAGGAGGAAAATTGGAAAATTTACAAATATATGAAAATTAAACACCACATGAACAATCAATGGTTTGAAGAATAAATCAAATAGAAAATTAACAAAATCTCAAGACAAACAAAAATGAAAATACATTCTAAAACTTATGATATGCAGCAAAAGCAGTTCTACACAGAAAATTTGTAGAAATAAATGCCTACATTAAAAAAATAAGAAATACCTCAAATAAACAACCTAACATGATACCTCAAGAAACTCGACAAAGAAGAACCTATTAAGCCTGAAAACTAGTAGAAGGAGGAAAATAACAAAGATTAGAGTACAAATAAATGAAATAGAGACTAGAAAAAAATAATTGAAAAGATCAATGAAACTAATGGTTGGGTTTTGAAAAGATAAACAAAATTGACAAACTTTTAGCTAGACAAACATAAAAATAGAGAAAACTCAAATAAATAAAAATTATAAATGAAGGAGGAGACATAACTGATATCACAGAAATATAAAAGATTGTAAGAGACTACTATAAAACAATTATATTCCAACAAATTGGATAACCTTAAAGAAAGAGATTAATTCTTGGGAACACACAATCTACTGAGACTGAACATGAAATAATAGCAAACCTGAATGGGCCAAAAATGAGTAAGAAAATTGAATCAGTAATTTAAAGAATCTCCCATCAAAGAAAAGCACAGGACCTGTTACCTTCAGGCCTGAATTCTACCAACAATTTAAGAACTAACACCAATCCTTCTCAAACTATTGCAAAAACTTTGAAGACAGAATACTTCTAAACTCATTTTACAAGGCCAGCATTACTCTAATAACCCAACAAGACAAGGACACTACAAGAAAAGGAAACTACAGGCCAAAATCCCTGATGAACATAGATGCATAAATCCTCAACAAAATTCTAGCAAACCAAATTCAACAGCACATTAAAAGAGTCATTCACCATAATATCAAGTGGGATTTATCCCTGGGATGCAAGGATGATTCAACATAAGCAAATCAATAAATTGATATATCACATTAACAAAATGAAGTACAAAAACTACATAATCATCTCAATAAATGCAAAAAAGCACTTTAAAACATTTAGCATCTTTAGCACCTTTTATAATAAAAACTCTCAACACATTAGGATAGAAGGAATGTACCTCAACGTGATGTAGGCCATATATCACAGCCCACAGCTAACATCATACTCAATGGTGAAAACTTAAAGCTCTTTTTCTAGTACTGGAAGTCCACACCAGAGCAATTAAGCAAGAAAAAGAAGCCAAAGGCATCAAAATGGAAAAGGAAGAAGTACAATTGTCTCTGCTTGCAGATGACATGATCTTACACGTGGAGAACCATAAAGACTCCACCAAAAACTGTTATACAGTAATATACAGGATATAACTTTAACATGCAAAATCAGTAGCATTTCTATACACTAACAACAAACTATCTGAAAAAGAGTTCAAGAAGACAATCCCATACTATAAAAAATAAAATAAAATGGAATAAAATACTTAGGAATAAATTTAACCAGGTAAATGAAAGGTCTCTGTACCAAAAACTATAAAATATTGGTGAAAGACATTGAAGAAGATACAAATAAATGGATTGAAATAATTAGTATTGTTAAAATGTCCATAATACCCAAAGAGATCTACAGATTTAATGTAATCCCTATTAAATTTTGAATAATATTTTTAACAAACATAGAAAAAAATTCTAAAATTTGTGTGGAACCACAAAAGGCCCCAATACAAAAAGCAACTTCGCAAACCAATTCTGCTAAAATTTAATGCCATTTAATTTGGCATAGTGAAATTTGTTCTTGAGAAGAAATAACAAAGCTAGAGGCATCACATTACCTAATTTCAAAATGTACTCAAAGCTTAGTAATCAAATGAGTATGACAATGGCATAAAAACAGAAATATAGACCAATAGAACAGAGTAGAAAGCCCGGAAATAATTTCACAAATTTATGCTCAAGTGATTTTTGACAAAGTACACACAAGAACAGGAACAAGAACACACAATGGGGAAAGGGCAGTCTTTCCAATAAATGGTGTTGGGAAAACTGGATATCTACATGCTGAAGAATAAAATTGGATCCTTATCCTACACCATACACAAAAATCAACTTAAAAACTTAAATGTTAAGACTTGAAACTGTAAAATACTGGAGGAAACATAAGGAAAAACTTCTTGACTTCAATCTTGACAAAGATTTTTTGGATCTGATCCCAAAATTATGGGCAAAGAAAAAAAGACAATATTTGCAAACCATATATCTGACAAGAGTTAGTATGCCAAATATATAAGAACCTCAGGTCAACAACAAGGAAACAAATAATTCAGTTAAAATATAGGCAAAGAACCTGAATAGATATTACTCAAAAGAAGACATACAAATGTCCAGCAGATATATAAAACAGGTATATGTTAAACATTACTAATCATCAGGGAAATGCAAATTAAAACCACAGTGGAATAGCACCTCATACCTGTTAGAATGGCTATTATCAAATAGACAAAAGGTTACAAGTGTTGCCAAGGTTGTAGAGAAAAGGGAACTGTTGGTGGGAGTGTAAATTAAAACATTCATTATAGAAAACAGTATAGCAGTTCCTCAAAATATAATAATAGAGCGACTATATGACCCAGCAATCTCACTACTGGATTTATATCCAAAGGAAATGAAATCAGTGTGTCAAAAAGATATCTGCACTCCCATGTTCACTGCAGCATTACAATAATCGAGATATGGAATCAACCTACATGCCCATCAACAAAATAATGGATTTTAAAAATGTGGTATATATACAAAATGTAATACTATTCAGACTTTAAAAAGAAGGAATTTATGTCATTTGTGACAATGTAGATGAACCTAAAGAGCACTATGTTGAGTGAAGTAAGTCAGCCACAGAAAGACAAATACTGCGTAATCTCACTTACTTGTGGAATCTAAATAACTCCAATTCATAGAAGCAAAGAGTACAATGGTGGTTGTCAGGGATTGAGGGGGAATGGGGAAATATTGAACAAATGATGTAACATTTCAGTTAGAAAGTTTTGGAGATCTATTATACAGCATGGTGTTACAGTTAATAGTAATTTATTCTATATTTGAAGACTGCTAAAAGATTACATTAAAAATGTTCTCACTATAAAAAATGGCAAGTATGCAAGGTGATGTATATGTTCATTAGCCAGATCTAATCATTTCACAATGTATACATATATCAAAACATCACATTATACACCATAAATATATACAATGTTTGTCTGTCAATAATACCTTAATTGCCTTCACTTAAAAAAAAAGAAAAAAAGAGGAACCTAGGCCACATGGAATCCCCACATTGCGCAGGATGCTGCACAATGTAAAATCACAAAATCTATGAAACCACCATAAACAAGATTTAAAATATGTGAGAGGAAGAAAGATCGCTAGAGGCCAGGAGTTCAAGACCAGTCTAGGCAACATAGTGAGAAAGACCAGTCTGGGCAACATAGTGAGACCCCATCTCTAGAAAAAGAAAATTAAAACTTAGCTGGGCATGGTGGTGCACCTCTAGTTCCAGCTACTTGGGGGGTTGAGGTGGGAGGATTGCTTGAGTCCAGGAGTTCGAGGTTGCAGCAAGCTATGATCATGCCACTGCACTACAGCCTGGGTGATAGAGTGAGATTCTGTCTCTAAAAATATTTAATAAACATAAATAAAATATGTGATAAACTGAGGATTAAATGCCTAAAACTTCAATTGGTAGATTTATCTGGGAATTACAGTTTATTTAAACTATTTTAAGCTTGTTAAAAATCATAAAATCAAGTGTTAAACCAATAACAGCAAAACACAACAAATAATAAAAACACTCTGTGAAGGAATGATAATAATAATTTATTTTTTGAGGACTCAATGTCATTTCAGGCCCTGTCTTAAGCATTTTATGCAAATAATTTTAATTAATTACCAAAAAACACTATATTTATATACAATTGTTACTTCAATTTTACACACCAAGAAGCACAAAAGGTTAATTAATTTAACCAAAACTGGAGAGCTAGTAAATAATGGAGGCAAAATGTAAATCCAGACAATCCTCTGAAACCATGCTTTTAACCATTTTGCTAATAAAATCTCAAAAAATGTAATCATTGAAATAGAAAATAAATAGGTTAAACAATAAAATAGATACAGCTGAAGAAAGAACCAGTAAACTGGAAGACAGAGATTAAGAAATTACCTAAAATGCAATAAGTGATAATGAAATGAAAATTTTGCAAGACTAATTAAGAGTCATGAGACTAGAATGAAGTCTAGCAAACTTCTAATATAAATTTCTGAGGGAAAGAATTCAAATAATGCTGTAGCAGCATGATAATAAAGAGATAATAGCCAAATATTTTCTAAACTTGAAAAAAGACATGATACCTTAGACTTGAGTTATTAATCTCTAGCAAAATAAATGCACATTTAGACAAATCATAGTGAAATTGCATAATATCAAATATAAAAAGTCTTAAAGGCAACTGGAGAGAAAAGATAGATTAATTATAAAGAAACAACAATTACATAGATTTCTCAAAGAAAACAGAAGAAGCTAGACGACCATGGAAAAAAATATTACAACTGTTGAGCACAAAGCTATGCTATCAATCTTAAATTCTGCTTTTGGGCTTTTTGGACAAATAAACTCACAGACCCTATCAAAAATGATGGGAACGTTTAAGTTCATGAAGAAAGAAATTGATTAAGAAGAAGTGGAATGTAAGAAGCCATAGATAGCATTTCATGTGAGTATTAAGGTAAAGGGATGATCATACAATACAAAGAAGTTCAAACTTCTGATCACACCATACTCCAATTTCATCCTTTGAGGCCCTCCCTGAGCTCCAAGCACATAGCAATGGCAGGAAAAATACAAAATGTAAAAAAGCTGTGTTTGTTCTATAAAAAGAAAATAAAAATGTCCATGGACCAGAAACAGAAAATCAAAGCAGAAATGCAAATGAAGGAAATAAGAAAACAAGGATATCAAGAGAAAGAACATTAAAGCATGGAAATAGAAAGTACAGAGTTCCTGAGCTGGGACTAAATTTGGTGTGCTTGAGGAACCCGGAGGCTAATGTGCTTGAAGTTAATTATGCAAGGGGAAGAGTGGTAGGAAGATCTGTAGTATTAGTTGGAGTCTAAAACAGGCTTAGGTTGAATTCAAGTGAGATAAGATAGCATAATAATAAAAGGGAAAAGAACAGACTATTTAAATAAATAGTAGTGCACAATTTATATGTGTTTGAAAAAAGTTAGATCCCTACCCCACATTTTAAATTAAAAAAAATGCATAAAGATAAAATCAGTAAAAGTTAGATTCTTACCTCATACCACATAGAAAAATGATGTATTGAGTGAATATATAATAAAACTATGGAGGCATTATAAGAAAATATAAGAATATTTTATAACATGGCAACATGGTCTGATAGAAGATGACAGAAATATAGGAAAGTTAGAAACCAAGATTTGAAAAACTTGAGTTTAGCTGTGCAAAAACTAACCTTCAGTATTTTAGAATTCACTGTAAACAAAAAGTGAAGTGAAAGATTGCACAAAAACATTGTCATCGCATACAATGGAGAAATGGTCAAAAGCATAATGTTCAGTAGTTGTTTCTAGAGTGGCATAAATAGACTGGACATGAGTATGAGGGAACTTTCTGGAGTGATGAAAATAGTTTATCTCATGATAAGGGTTTGGATTACTCAAATGCATGCATTTGTCAAATTGATGGAACTATGCACATAAAATCTATGCATTTCACTGTTATAAATTAAGCCTTAATAAATCATTCCTATAAAAACTGTAAGAAAAACACAAATGACATAGAAGATGGGCAAAGGCTGAACAGAGGACAGTTTCTCTCTCCTGCTGCCATGTGAAGAAGGACATGTTTGCTTCCCCTTCTGCCATGATTGTAAGTGTCCGGAGGCCTCTCTAGCCATTTGGAACTGTGAGTCAATTAAACCTCTTTCCTTTATAAATTACCCAGTCTTGGATATGTCTTTATTAGCAATGTGAAAACTAAGTAATACACCCCACAAACTGATTTCCCAGACGTTGTTGGTGAAGATATAAATTGATACAGCCTTACCTGAGAGACATTGAAGACTATTTAACAAGAATATTTAATATGCATAATCTAGCAATACTAGATTTACAAATTTATCCTTCAGATAATCCAGCAGGAGTGCCATAATATGCTAGTACAAAGACATTTGTTTGAACTTTGTTTTTATAATATGAATTTTTTGAGAGTCTCCTTAATGTCCACCAGTGATGAGAAGGATTAAAATATATTATGATAGTACTTAATGCCACTGAATTGTACACTTAAAAATGGTTAAAATGATCAATTTTATGTTGTGCATATTTACTACAATAAAAAAAGAAAAAAGTTATGATTTATCTATATAACACACTACTATAGAGACTTTTAAAATAGTATAATAGATCTATTTACAGATTTGAAAGTATTTCATAATAGTTTGTTAGATAGGTACACTTCTAAATGTTTATATACTTACATGTATGCATAAGTATACATACAAAAATAGAAAAATATCTAGAGAGCTACCTGTAAAGTTTTTAACAATAGTTAACATTTGTGTTAACTTACAGGAAAGACTTTAACTTTTTACTTTATATACCTCCAAATGTTTATTAATTCATAAGAGTGAGTGCCTGGTTATTTTAAAATTCAATACATTGCTTGAGCCCAGGAGTTTGAGACCAGCCTGGGCAAAACGGTGAAATCTTGTCTCTACGTAAGACAAAAAATGGCCAAGTTTGGTGGCATGTGCCTGTAGTCCCAGCTACTCAGCAGGCTGAGGTGAGAGGTTTGCTTGAGCCTGAGAGGCAGGCGTTGCAGTGAGGCAAGATTGTGCCACTGCATTCCAGATTGAGTGACAGAGTGAGACCCTGTCTCAATTTAAAAAAAAAATAATTAAGATACAGGTTTCAAACCATATTACCACGATTTCAAAAATTTTGTGAATAAAAGAAGACACACTGTATTTATAAAGCTTCTAGGGGCTGTAATAGATACATAATTTTGGATGTGGTATAGGTTGGCCTATATATACAAAAATACGTCACTAAAATTAAGTGGAGTCACAATAACTTTTTATGTAACTTTGTTTTAGTTCTAATTTGGTAACAGTGACTCAAAATAAATAGAATCATATTTTAGGTGGAAACTCGATGATCCATGTAAGTAGCGGGGCTGGAGTTCTGTGCTGTCTGGGCAGAGAAAGCACTTGGACTGAATGATGGGCACAGCTCTCTCTGTGAAGTCCTGCAGAGTCACTAACCTTGAGTTCATGTGCTCTAAGCTTCACTGTCCCTCCAACCCAAGATCCCAATTTCTTTTATTCCATCTTGTTTCCTCTTGTAAACAGAAGAGCACAATATGACCTGTTTTCAAAGGAGCCGGCAGGAATCTGGTTCTGATAACAAAGTCCCTGTCACTCCTGTGTCTATTAGTTCTCCTAGGTAGTTTCTTCAGGGCTGCGCCAACTTCACTTCACAGTAGATGAAGGAATAGTGCCATGGAGAATGGCATCCAGAAGAGGTATACTGGAAAGCTAATGCCCCAGGATCTCTGAAGAACATATCAGGCCTGAGGCTTGGGGTCATGGATGGTTTTCAAAGAGCAGAATCTTCCATAACCTTACATAGCATCTTCATAGTCCACATCTGTAATGTTTGCTTTCCTCAGCCTGGAATAGATGTCTAAGGAAACCTGGAAGCAAAGATTAGGACTAGAGCAGGGAAGACAAGCAGAACATGCCTCCACTGGTCCCCTTCCCCAGTTAGCTTGGATGCATCTTATCATGGCACATCACGCAATGCAAAAATAAGGGCCTCTTGGAAAACTGTGGTCCAAGGCCAGCATTTTTAGAGTGCCTGTATCCCACTGGTGGACTACAAAGATGCTCCTGATAAGCTGCAAACTGATGCAAACATACAGTGCCTTCGCTCATTCTTATGGGCCTTTGTTAGGCAGGCCCATGGGCTGTCATTTTTTAAAAGGTTGTCAGAATTTTATATTCATAAATTAAATGTAGCATGTCACTGGACTTCACCAAGGATTTGAATTTTGTTCTGAGATATCTGGCTGCCACACCACACTAGACAAAACTGCAAAGCACCTACTGTTTTTGCACACATGCACAGAGCTGGAATTTCTGCAGTTTTAAGAAAGTATTTTTGTATCAGTGGTGATACCTTGAATTATTCAAAGTTTACCAAATGCTAATTTTTAGTGACACAAATTACTATTAGCTTAGGTTTGTTCAATATTAATTTAGTTGCTGTAGATTGTTTGGTTAACCTTATAGTACAAAGTGATGGATGTATGGCTCAACAATATTTTAGGATAAAGATTTTCCAATAAATAGAATTTTTAGACTAGGTATGCACTGCAGTTTAGCTAAAAATCATTCATGTGTCCATTGCTAAAGTAAATGTATTTGTAAGCCTTCAAACTTTCCTTGTACAATGACCCCTTATTGTTGTAACTATGTGTTTTTACCTCCATTGCTTTGGGATGTAGGGAAGAGGTAGACCATGGGATTTTTGCTCTTTCTAAGTGGCTATAATTTAAGAAGTTTGAGAACCAGTCCCCAGAGGAAAGAAAGAACATGGAAGAAAGAACAATAGAGACTCTTACCTTGTCCTCCATATGTGTCCCCAGGGTTTCTGCTGTGGAGAAAAGACAAGTGCTGTGACATTCCACTTATATTTAAAGTCCTTCACTAAACTTGTGTTAAGAAAAGCTTCTTCCTCTCCCATCTATTTCCCATGAATTGATTTCCATTAATATTTTCTGTCTTGCTTTTCTGTTTATCACAAATGTGATTCCCTTAGTAGCCAGAGGAAAATTGGTAGCCTGGGGGTGGGAGGGTAAGTAGACCCTCTATGCCAGGAGGGGCCTTTATACCTCTCAGCTATTCTGGGCTCACCATGTGTAGGATGGGACAAGAGCACCAGCTAGGCAGCTGTGATGGGGTTATGAGGAGTATGTCAGGCTACTTAAAGAGGGCAGGCAGAAGCCATCACCTCTGATGCTGCCACATGACTGGGGAGCGAGGCATAAAATGTAGGCCATACAATGACACCTTATTGTAACTACATGTTTTACCTCCATCGTGTTGGGAGGTCAGGAAGAGGTAAGCCATGGGATTTTTGCTCTTTCTAAGTGACTATAATTTAAGAAATTTGACAGCCCATCCCCAGGGGAAAGAAAGAACCTTAGCATTAGCTCTGGGCTCTACTCAAGGTAGCTCCAGACCCAAGGACAGCCATTAAGTACACACAGTGATGCTCACAGCCTTCTGCTCTGAGGAATGCTGTTGTCTGCCATGCACAGCCACTGATTGTTCTCTTGGTTCTGGGAAAGACAAAAGTCAGAGACAAATTTACTCCCCCATGTCTCACCTGCTACTGATTCCTGCTCCGGCTGGTTATAGTACGCCAGTGAATAAACCTCATCCCCACTTACAACATTCACTGCAAGAGAAGGAGGGAGACTTCATGACACAGCCCCTGATTCCTGTCTTTCAAATTACTCCATACCTTCCACCTGTCACAGCCATGAAGACAGATGAGTCATTTGTTTGTAGCAGAGGCTAGGGCACAGCAAAGTCAGGTTTGGCTAGCAGATGTTATCCCATTGTCCCTTCCCTAGCTTGCTGTACCATCGTTGGCCTGGGCCATTTGGGAAGGCTCACCATTTTCATATATAGGCTGTAGCTGCCCTGGGGTAGGTGAGTTGAGGTAGGTGAACTCTTGGGGTAGAGGGCTGGGAAGGCTCCTGCAAACACAGAGACACATGTTATTTATCTGAAATTGCATCCCAGATCATGCAGATATCACACTGAAGGAGAGAAGCCTGTGACAAATTGTCCTGAGCAGAATACTAAGTTACGGGGAAATGAGCAGCTAGAAGGCACAGCAGTGTGGTATGAGTCACGGCTCTGTGCACATGCTGAGTGGGGCACCGCAGAGCATGCACCAGCGGGTAACTCCATGAGCGTAAGGTGTGGTATTTCCCATTCCCAGAATAGTGTCATTCACATCATGAGTGCTCCCTAAATATTAAATGAATAAATATTGATTCACTCCAGATGGAAAACACTTTGCTGGGCAGAACAAGCAACTTGAGGAAGGGGCAGAAGAAAATGCTCCTTCATGTGCGGGTACCAGTGAAAAGTGCTACTCTCATTTGAAAAAAAAAAGAATACCTGTTTATTGTTGGCATAAATGATAATACATTATATTAAAAAGACAACTAAACATTGGGATCTCTAGATGGAAGTAGTTTAAAAAATATTTTCTTCCTCTAAACATCTAAAGAACTTCACCAATAACTGTTCAGTATGTTCATTCCTGTCTGTCTTACATTCCAGAAATGTACATGTATCTTACCTACCCTAAAATACTTTAAAACTCTCAAGAGTTTTTTATATTTTCACATTTGTCAGCACTCAACAGAATGACTTACAGATCCTCAAATATTGGTTGACTGATTGAGTGAATGCATGATCCTGGTGAAAGCTATGTGATTATTTACTTATTTATTTATTTATGAGACAGAGTCTTGCTCTGTCACCCAGGCTTAAGTGCAGTGGTGCCATCTCGGCTCACTGCAACCTCCACCTCTCGAACTCAAGGGATTCTCTTGCCTCAGCCTCCTGAGTAGCTGGGACTACAGGCGTGCATCACCACGTCCAGCTAATTTTTTGTATTTTGGTACAGACAGGGTTTCACCATGTTGCCCAAGGTGGTCTGGACTCCTGAGCTCAGGTGATCTGCCCGCCTCAGCCTCCCAAAGTGCTGGGATTACAGGTGCGAGCCACTGTGCCCAGCCGCAATGTGATTTTAATATTCTGCAGTGGTCAGTATGGCCATTTTCACAATATTGATTCTTCCTACCCATGAGCATGGAATGTTCTTCCATTTGTTTGTATCCTCTTTTATTTCATTGAGCAGTGGTTTGTAGTTCTCCTTGAAGAGGTCCTTCATATCCCTTGTAAGTTGGATTCCTAGGTATTTTATTCTCTTTGAAGCAATTGTGAATGGGAGTTCACTCATGATTTGTCTCTCTGTTTGTCTGTTATTGGTGTATAAGAATGCTTGTGATTTTTGTACATTGATTTTGTATCCTGAGACTTTGCTGGAAGGGGAACATCACACACCGGGGACTGTTGTGGGGTGCGGGGGAGGAGGGAGGGATAGCATTAGGAGATATACCTAATGCTAAATGACGAGTTAATGGGTGCAGCACACGAACATGGCACATGTATACATATGTAACAAACCTGCACGTTGTGCACATGTACCCTAAAACTTAAAGTATAATAATAATAAAATTAAAAAAAAATTCTGCAGTGGTATTGAAGGGGATCAACAGGAAAAATAATGAAAAGATTTAAAATCATTAATGTACGAAATCTAAAAGAAGGGAAGTGACAATGAATTGTTCAAAGTTGCCAGTGGGAGAACTCAGGAGTGAGTTCTGGGTATAATAAAGCCGGAAAAAAAATGCTCAGGAGAGAACAAATCTAAATCTATTTTTAAAATAGATTTTTCTGCATTATTGACACCTATAGTGAAAACAGGCCTCACCTGAGTGGATCCCTGGCTGAACGTCTTCCTGAAAGAAAAACAAATGAGCATACACATAAATGGAAGAACCCTCACTGTCAGCACTGTCAGTGTTTTCATACCCCCTGCACAGGGATATGCCTCATGCTCAGATGCCCATTGTGGGTGCCACTGTGTGCCCAGCAGACATCCTGGCAATCATTTACAGAGCCTTCATTTCACAGATGGAAACTCAGGTCCTGAATAATTAAGTGAGATTCCCAAAGCCAATTAGTACCAGATCTAGGACTTGGGACCCAAGTCTCTAAACTTGCACATTTATTGTATGTTTTGGTTTTGTTTTACAACCACACCACCCAATCTTATTGTGACAAAAGTCCTTGGAGGCAGATGCTGCCACAAGCATGATATAGACGGTGTGAGGTACCCAAATATGTCAGAAAAGCTTGGAATTTAAATGAGAATTTCACAGTGTCCTCTCTTGCCTTGTCTCCAACTTCCTCAGTGAAGAGAAGACCAAGGTTAAATATACAAATAAATATGTAATTACCAGTTGTGATAACGTGTGAATCTAAATAACTTGGAACTCATAATAGGAGAGAACAATTGCAGGCTGTGCACGCCAGGTGAAGCCTCTTGGAGAAAATGTCATTTCAGAGGACAAGTGAGAAAGTTCCAGCAGTAAGTGAACATGTGGATGTGTGAATGTGCGGTTCAGAGAGAAGAAAAAGCATGTCACAATACTTGAAGGTGAATAAGAATTGATGCACTGACTTTAGTACTGCGATATAGTCAGGATAGCTGGAACTGCTAACAGTATTTCTCTTCTGTGGCAGATTATGTTAAATAGTTACATTCGTTTGTTTGTTTGTTTGAGACAGAGTCTCACTCTGTCACCAGGCTAGAGTGCAGTGCCGTGATCTCAGCTCACTGCAACCTCCAACTCCCTGGTTCAAGTGATTCTCCTGCTTCAGCCTCCCAAGTAGCTGGGATTACAGGCATGCATCACCACGCCCAGCTAATTTTTGTATTTTTAGTAAAGATGGGGTTTCACCATGTTGGCCAGGATGGTCTCGATCTCCTGACCTTGTGATCTGCCCACCTCAGCCTCCAAAAGTGCTGGGATTACAGGCGTGAGCCACCGCCCCCGGCCAAATCATTACATTTTTGTATAAAAATTAAATCACAGAAGCACAAAATATCACTCGAACCTCAACTGATAGCACATGAGGGATGGAGAACTTTACCAAAAATGTTACACTGTATTAATAGGCACTGTTCCTACCCGCTGGCTTTGTGGGCAGAAACATAGGCAAGGTGTTAACAGCATATACATCTTTTGCAGTATACATGTCACAATTTCAGCCTATTTCAGTGAAAACAAAGATCACAGTAACAAAATGCCACTCTCTTTAAATACTAACCTATTTTTCTTTTGAGGCCGTAGCAAAATAATAAGGCCACGGTGGCTGGACCAAGGGTGCTGAGCAGCCCCTCAATGACTCCTGAGGTAAGATGATTGCTTCTGGCCCCAGTAGGCACTAGAGGGAGAGACCTGTGCATGATCTGCTCAGAGGAAGGGCTTGGGGCTTAGAGAGCAGACATCTTGGGTGTGGGTTGTGCCCAAGGTCTGCTCTTCCAAGTGGGGATTTATTTATTTGTCTAGGGACTTGTGGCTTATCATCTTTATGACAAGAGAAGAGCTGCACCCAACCTTGAGTTCTCCATGCCCCTCCAATACATCACTCATGACAGCACCTCACACAGAGGCCCCACCATGGGTAGCAAACCCCCGGAAGCACAGTGGCACCAGCAAAACTCTCCCAGGACGCTGGGAAGGAGACATTGACCAAGACAGTTCCATAGCCTGAGCTATACCTGTGAAGTTGAGTGTCACCGCCTCACTGCGCTGGGCCCCCAGGCCATTGTTGGCCTCACAGGAGTAGTTTCCAGAATGTTCTTCAGTCAGGGAAAGGTTGAAGGAGGCTCCTCCTCCAGAGGGGGCCGACCTGCTCCCCAGGGTGATATCCTCGTGATAAAACCAGTACAGGATCGGAGGAGAGCCTCTCAGGGCCTCACAGTGAAGCTCCAGCACATCCTCCACTGCAGCCTGGGCCCTGGGAGCCCTGAGCATGAGGATTGGGCGAGACACCGGGACTGAGGGAGACAGTAGACTGTAAGAGACAGTCTCTGACAATGCAGCAAACTCATAATCCCTGCCCACCGATGCTCAGCCCCATTGAACTTCCTCAGCATGCCCCAGGGAAACTTTGTGTGCCCCAGGGAAATGTGGAGCCCAGTTTGTGACTGGCTGGCTGAACGAAGGGTAGTGGAACTTACTTCTGACAGTGATGCTCACCAGCCCACTGGGGCTGGGACCATAGCCATTTTCAGCTACACAGTAATATTGCTCAGCATCACTCTCCCTCACTGAAGGAATCTCATACTCTGCTGTCAGTGAACGCTGGGTCTTTGACTGAAGGTTTAAACCTACAGCCCCTTTGTACCAAAGGAAGGTGATGTCTCCTGTGCCCATAGCAACTGAGCAGATGAGGACCAGCCTGTCTCCCTCCATCACCTGTCCTCCTGGGGGCTGAGTCTCCAAGCTCACATCAGCGACAGGGACCCCTGTGTGGACACAAGATGACATAGGAAGACCCTGTGCAGGGAGAGTTTCAAAGACAGTAAGTAGATATGACGGTCCTGAAAGCAAAGAGCATGAGTGAAGTCAATGATGTATATAGCTTAATTTGGGTGAGGTGGGGAGGGGTCTGCTGATTGGTTGGGTGATGGTGGTAGGATAAGAAAGACACCATAGTATTACCATACAAGGCATAGCATCACCTCTCTCCCTAGAACAACATGACTTCCACTACCTTAATCTCTCAAACTTTCATTTTTTCAAGAAACAATAGTATAGTGAAGTGATTACAAGTCTAAATTGTAAATCGAACTGCCTTATTTGAAGAGTGGTTCCAACTCTTTTACTCGTTGTGTGTGCTTGATCAAATTACTCAACTTCTCTGAAGTACAATTTTCCATATGTAAAAGAGAGCTGGTAATGATAGTTATCTCCTGCAGTTGGAGGGTTCAATTACACAATATCTGTGAAGCATTAGGATAGGGACTGCCATGTATAAATTGCTCAGTGATTATTGTGGTGGTGGTGGTCCAGTTTCACCAGTATTGAGTTTTTAGCAAGCGTGGGAGAGCACAGCCTTTTGGAAGTATTAGACATTTGCTTCATGGCACGACAGAATGGGAGAGGATGTTGGAAGTGTCAACACTGACATGGAATAACAAGATGAATTATGAAGCACTCTTTTCTTTCTATTTTTTGGAAATCAAGCTCCAACTGCCCTTCCATAAGCCCTGCTCCAGTAACCTATTCTACACACTCCTTCAGCAAAGCCTTCTCTGAACATCTCAGTCCTTTATCCCCCTTCTCTGTAGTCAACAGCCAGTCCTACACAATGCAGCACCACATATTTAACCCTAGTTATTCAGAGTGCTGGCTAAGCATCAACTTCGTGTAGTCAGGGACCAAATATTATGCAGCTCTTCCCCCCACACCCTCCAGCACAGTGAAGACACACAGTAAGGGTTTCCTAAGTACTCTCTGTTTGCCTGAATGGAAACAGAGTGAATAAGGGAAGATCCCTTAAGGATCCTAATAATGAGAGAAACTCAGGAATATCTTTCAAACAGCTCCTACTCTTGCAGAGATAGAACCCATAACAGTGAGGATTAGCCTCTTGCCACTGCCCTTCTCAGCCTATCCTGGCAGACTGACCCCACTGACACTCACTGTGCACATTTATCTGGGATCTCCTGCTCCTCAAGACTTTGGACGCCATTGTCTGTGCCTCGCACCAGTATGACCCTGTGTCTTCTTTCCACATGGCAGCGATCTGGAGCTTGGGGGAGCTGCTCCAGCCTGGGCCCAAGGCCCGGGTGTCTCTGAAAAAGCAGAACTGGAACTGGGCATCTGAACTCTGTAGAAAGGGCATCTTACACGTCAGGGTCACTGGGCTCCCCTCTGTGGGATGGGAGGGGCTGGCTATCAAAAACAGCTCTAGAGAGAGGAATTAAACACAAATGATTAATGCGGTTCGGAATTTCTGGTAAGAGGCAGTTTGTGTCTCAGCACTTGCCAACAAGACTCAAAGAAACAGCCAGTTGGACACACAGGCCACCCTACATGTCTCCACCCCCCCCCCAGTGGCCCATGGGCTTTCCTTTGCCATGAACTCACCCTGCTCACCCCTGGTACATCCTGCCCCTGTGCAGTATTATCTTTCAGAAAGTAACTCTTACCTTTGACTTGGATCTTATTATTTTTTGAAGTTTCTATCCATAAACTAAAAACACCTTTCTTGAAGCCAGTACAATAATACTGAAGACTGTTACTGGAGTCGGCATTGGAGATGATGAAGCTTGAAGTTTTATTCAAAGTGAATATGCTTCTTTTATCCTTCTAAGCTATGTTCATTATCTTCTTCTGTTCCCTTTCCCCTGGCATCTCAGAACCACAACCACACTATCTTTTTCAAAGACAGAATATGGGACCTGCAGGGTCGATCTGTCCAGGAAAGACGTAGAAGAACCCAATCCCCTCATTGCTGACTCTGTCCTCCCCCTATTATTGCTATTTCTATTAGAAGAAATGGGGTGTATTTGCTTGGAAATGCCCAGTACCCACCATCCACACAGCTTCTTTACAAACCTCTGTAGAAACCATGATCTAAAGAGCTAATTTAATTCATATCTTAATTCTCAGGGATGTGTCCCTTTGGGGTGTTAGGGGCTCTTTTCTTTTTCTTTTTTTTTTTTTCCTTTTTGAGACAGGGTCATGTTCTGACTCTCAGGCTTGAGTTCAGTGATGCGATCTCAGCTCACTGCAACCTCAACCTCCTGGGCTCAAGCAGTCATCCCACCTCAGCCTCTCAAGTAGCTGGGACTACAGGCACATGCCACCAAGCCCAGCTAATTTTATTTATTTTTTGTAGAGATAAGATTTTATGATGTTGCTCAGGCTAGTCTTGAACTCCTGGGCTGAAGTGATCCTACTGCCTTGGCATCCCAAGGTACTGAGTACAGGTGTGAGCCACCACTCCCGGCCTGGGGCTCTTTTCTGGTGATAAGATGATAAAATTGTGCTCTGCTCTCTCCTCGTCTCCCCAACTTGCAGCAGCCCATAAAAATGTCACAACCCCTAATAGCTATGGGCTGTGTGGGCATTTGTTTATCCAACCCTCAGAGCCTCTGCCCCTTGAAAAATATTATACTTTCCCTAAGACAAAACTTTATTCTTTCCTTACCAGATGAAAATGACAATTGCTTTGGATTACTAAAGGGTGAATTACTAGGAATTCAGCTTTTCGGCTGAAATGTGTTTTTTTGTTTTTGGAAACTTTTAAACATCAGTTCCATCCATAGTACCAGAATATTTGCTTTGTCCTGAGGCATGGAATATCTTAGAGTCACTGTCTTTCCTTGGAAAACTGTGGTCCCCAGAAGACTGACCAGTAGCACAGCTCTTGGAGCTAGGCAGGGCAATAAATAAAAAGGCATTTAGGCCAGGTGTGGTGGCTCACGGCTGTGATCCCAATACTTTGGGAGGCCGAGCCTGGTGGATCACCTGAGGTCAGGAGTTCAAAACCAGCCTGGCCAACACGGCAAAACTTCTCTCTACTAAAAACACAAAAATTAGCCAGGCGTGGTGGCATGAGTTTGTAGTCCCCAGCTACTCCAGAGGCTGAGGCAGGAGAATAACTTGAACCCAGGAGGCAGAGGTAGCAGTGAGCTGAGATCACACCACTGCACTCCAGCCTGGGCAACAGAGTGAGACTCTGTCTCAAAAAAGAAAGGCATTTAGCATTTGGGCATCTGTAACCCACTATTCTCAATGGGGCTAGGGTGGTAATGAAGTGGGAAACTGGACAGGGTGGATTGCAAGGGTCTGGAGCTCAGTCTTACAGCTCAGAGCTTGTTTCAGATAATTCTTAGATAGCAGAGACTATCTGGAAAATACCTGGTGACAGAAACTTGGTTTCTTCATCTTTGATATGGCTTTGGATTTCTGCTTAGGCTGAGATTGGGCACTTGGGTTTAGGGGTAAAGATGAGACCAGACACAAGGCATGCATGGTGTTAACACAAGTCATCAGTTATACTTGGACAAACATTAGATAAGGAACCTAGAAGGCTAGATTGACCCTGAATCTCTCTGAATCTTTCTGGTCACAGGAATTCCTAGGGAACTTGGGAACTTGTGTTCCCTACTTGCACTTGCAGCCGATGTTCTTGAGGTGGCAGGACAATCTCTTTTAACTCTGTGGCTAGTATTTTCTGCACAAGATAGCAATTTTTACATTTTATCATTGAGCTTGATCTAGTGAAGAGTCCTTCGTGGGGAAAGGGATTGCTTACTCTCCTTCTTTGGTAAAGGTAAGACTTTGAATCAGGACCAGTGCAATGAAGTAAGTTTGCATAAACCAGAGTCCGAAAGAGAAAATGAGCTGGGGTAACAGGTGTGGCTGCAGAGGAGAGCTAAAAATAGGAAGGAGGCAGCAGTACTACTTCATTCCACACATGTCTGGAGGATTCTCTCTAATGTTCTCCGTGGATGTGTGATTTTGGCATTTCCTTCATCACCCATGGTGACACACCCAGCTGAGAAGCACAACTGGGAATTGGAGCTCCTGAGGCTGGGAGGACAGAGATGCTTCTAGCATGAATCTTCAGCACCCTTTGCCTTCCTTGTGCAAACAGTGTCTCCCTCCCTGTGCTGGGACTTCCCGGAAGTAAGACTGTGTTCTTGAGAAGGTCAGAGCAAGACCTGTTCACCCCACTGAGCAGACACGTGTCAGGTGCAGAGACTGATGTGAAGACAGAGCAGCCCAGGCCCAAGGGAGCCACTGATGTTTGTACACCTCAGCAGCTGTCACCCTGATATGTTTTGGGCAGGAAGGGGCTGCTAAGACAGCAATCTGCAGGCCTCCTGTGCTGACCTAAGTAACAAAATACCCACAGACCTTGAAGAAGAAAAGGAAGTGCAACTCACCGGCAGGTTCACAGAGTGGAGCTGGGAGAGAATTCAGCAGAGATCAGTACAGAGCAGCAAATCCCACAAATCTCCAAAGTTTAAATCCTTTGAGAGCTTCCCCAACACCACACCCTCCATCCCCTGGACCCTCCCTGCATCTCTCTCTTCCTCCCTCTTTCCCTCTTTCTCTCTTCTCCCCTTCCTTCTTTCATCTTCTCTTCCTCCCTCCTTATCTTACCCCTGCTTCTTTTCTTCTTTCTCTCTGCTCCTTTTCCCATATTCTGCATCACCCACAGAGCACCTGCCCACAGAACAACACATCGTTCTTTTTTATGATCACAAAGTAATTGCCAATGACTTGTGTTGTCTGTGACTAGGAGGTGGCATCTTTGCTAACTACTTAGCAGCTCCTTCTTCAAGCTCCTCATTCCCATTCCCACCGCCTCCTTTCAAAAGTCTTGAGGATCCAGCTTTGGATTGACTCTCTCAAGGGAACAACAGAGTCAGGCAAGGAGAGTGCACAGCCTCATACTCAAGGCATAGAGACCCTTTGTTTACCAATTTCAGATCAGAGGAGGCTTAGGTCCAGAAAAGGAATTCAAATTTCTCCAAAAATTCTCTTCTATCCCAAGGACTTGACCATAATATTATGGCTCAATGATCAAGAAAAAATAATTCTGGGGAAAATGGAGGCTTTGTAGCTGGATGACACAGATTTGAGTACTGGCTCTTCCTCTTACAAGCTGTGTGACTGTGGGAGAAATGTTTCACCTCTCTGTGCTTTAGTTTCCTTGTCGGTAAAGTGTAGATAATTGTGGTACCTACCTCACAGAGTTTTTGTGAAGATTAAGGAGCTTAGACTAGTGCCTGGAATTTACTTATTCAGTAAATATTGTGTCATTACTATTATTTATTTTAGCCAAGCTTGGTTTGAGATACTTACTTTTTCTTAGGTTAAATGTTTACTTGAATAATTAGTTCCTTAGGTAGGAGAAAAGTGTCAATAGGAGAGAGCATAAAATCATATTCCATACACTTGTCCATACAGCAAATAATTTGAAGTGCTCACTGTATGCCAGACGTTGTGCATGGCCCTGGAGTGATGGGAGTAAACATGAATGACAATCTTTGATGTCAAGAAATTCATATTATAGTGGTAGAGAGCCAATTTAAAAATAAGTATATAATATTCTTTCAGAGGGTGATTGGTTCTCTAAGAAAAATAAAGCAGAGAAATAAGATACAGAGCATCTTAAGATGGTCTTAACTGTTTAGATAGATTTAGATAGATTCAGTAAAAACCTAAATGAAATCAGGAAACAAGCCTTCTGAATATTTGGGAAAGAGCATCCCTGGCAGAGAAAACATCGAATGCAAGTATCCTGAGGAGGAAATACGCTTGTACAAGGAGGAATGAGAAGGCAAGGGCACCTGGAGCTGACCAAGTAAGGGGGCAGGGGTTAGTTATCGGTGTCTGAGAAATAGGAAGGATCCAGTCATGGGCACTTTATGGACTTGGCAATAGTTTTGGATTTCATTCTAGGTGTGATGGGGAGCTATGGACAATTCTTACTTAATTTACAATATCACTCAGACACTGTGAGGAAAGCAGTATAGAAGTGAAAGAAAAGCAGGGAGAACGTTAGTGGGAATTTAGTGTAGGAGAGTAAAGATAGTGGCTAAGATTAGACAGTGCTGGTGATATGAAGTGGTCAGACTTTAGTATAAATTCTGAAAGTAGAATTAATAGGAATTGCTTATGGATTAAATAGAAAGTGCAAAAGGAGAGAGAGGGGAATTAAGTATGACTCTTAGATTTTTGGCCACAGCAACTGGAAGAATGGTAGTGACATTTCCTGAATTGGAGAAGTTGTGGGGGAAAATAGGTTAAGTTTTGTGGTGGTGGTAGTACAGGTGGAAGATCAAGAGATCTGTTTGAGTTTAAGATGCCTGTTAAACACCTGATGTTAAGTTTAAGATGTTTATTAAGATGTCTATTAGATACCCGAATGCAGTTAAGTACATAAGAGGTATTTAAAAGAGAGGTGAAAGCTGGAGAAATAAGCTTGCATTTAAGCTTAAAGTGGCACATGAAGTGACATAATTATATAATTTGGGGAAGTGAGTATGGATGAAGTCTAGGTATCAACTTTGAGGATGTCCAACATTTTGAGGTCAGCAAAAGATCCAAGCCAGATGCAGTGGCTTATGACTGTAATCCCAACACTTTGGAAGGCTGAGGTGGGAGGATTGATGGGGGCCAGAAGTTTGAGATAAGCCTGGGTGGCAAAAAATAAATTAATTAATTTAAAAAAAAACCCTGTTTGTAAAAAACAAAAACAAAAACAAAAACAAACAAAAAAAACCACAAATGATTTGGGGGAGATGGAGTTTCACTCTTCTTGCCCAAACTAGAGTGCAATGGCACAATCTTGGCTCACTGCATCCTCCACCTCTCGGGTTCAAGCGATTCTCCTGCCTCAGCCTCCTAAGTAGCTGGGATTACAGGCATGTGCCAGCCACCACACCCAGCTAATTTTGTATTTTTTTTTTCTTTAGTAGAGACTGGGTTTCATCATGTTGGTCAGCTTGGTCTGAACTCCTGACCTCAGGTGATCCACCCACCTTGGCCTCCCAAAGTCCTGGGATTACAGACATGAGCCACCATACCTGGTCAAAAAATTGTTTTAATTAGCTGAGTGTGGTTGCATGTGTCTCTGGTTCCAGCTACTCAGGGAGCTGAGGCAGGTGCATCACTTGAGACCAGGAATTCAAGGTTGCAATGAGCCATGACCATACCACTGCACTTCAGCTGGGGCAACAGAGTAAGACCCTGACTCTAAAAAAATTAAATAATTTAGCAAAGAAACTGAAAAGTAGCAGATACTGAATTAGAAAGAAAGCCAGCAGAATATGATATTCCAGAAGCCAAATTAAAAGTGTTTCAAAAAATAAAGAGTGATCAAATGCCCCTGAGAAATTGAGTAAAATAAAAAATTAAAATTGACCCCTTGATGCAGCAACATGAAGATGGTTGATGCTATGTGCAAGAACAGTTTCAATGGAGTGGTAAGGATGAAAGATTGATTTAAGTGGGTTCAAGGAAGAATGAGGAAGAAGTGTAAGGACTTAAATGAGTTTACCAGGGGTTAGGAATGGGAGAAGATTTGACCATAAAAGGGAGTGAGGGCATAAGTAAATTTCTTTTTCTTTTTTCTTTTTTTTTTTTTTAAGACAGAGTCTCTTTCTGCCACCCAGGCTGGAATGCAGTGGCATGATCTTGGCTCATTGCAACCTCTACCTCACAAGTTCATGCAATTCTCCTGCCTCAGCCTCCTGAGTAGCTAGGACTACAGGCTTGCACCACCTCGCCTGGCTAATTTTTGTATTTTTAGTAGAGATGGGGTTTCACCATGTTGGCCAGGCTGGTCTTATACTCCTGACCTCAGGTGATCCACCCACCTCGGCCTCCCCAAGTGCTGGGATTACAGTCGTGAGCCACTGCACCCAGCCGGGAAATTTTTGAAGGGATGAAAATGTCCTGTATTTTGATTCTGCTGGTGGTTATATGGATCTAAATCTTTGTCAAAAATTATAGACAGTCTTTCAAAAAAGTAAATCTTAATGTAATGTAAATTAAAAATAAATATTAAATAAAGAATGAAAGGAAGTGAAGCAAAGACAGCAATTCACTGAAAACTTTTTGTTTTATTTTACTTTTTTGAGACAGGATCTTGCTCTGTCACCCAGGCTGGAGGTCAGATCACTGCAGCCTTAACCTCCTGGGCTCAAGTGATCCTCTTACCTCAGCCTCCCAAGTAGCTGGGACTACAGGCATGTGCCACAATGCCAGGATAATTATTTATTTTTTATTTTTTGTAGAGACAAGATTTTGCTATGTTGCCCAGGCTGGTCTGAAACACCTGATGTCAAGCGATCCTCCCGCCTCAACCTCCCAAAGTGCTGAGATTATAGCATGAGCCACCACACCTGGTGCACTGAAAACTTTATAAAGGGAAACAGAAAACTTGTGTAGTAAATGGAAGCCATATTTCTATTATTTTAAGAGAAAAGACATTGTCGGTGATGTCGGCAAGATGGCTGACTAGAGGTGTCTATTACTCATCCTCCTCCCCGCCTAAAAAAAGACTGAAACAATAAGGAAACAACTACATTTTGACTGGAGTGTCTAAAGGAGAGCACTGAAGTACAGCAGGGGAATGGCAGAAATCTTGTGGATCACAGAAACTCAGGATGGCTACATAAAGAAGGGAATGGAACCCTGCAACCTGCCTCTGCAACTCTGTCTCCTCAGTCAGGATCAGCTTGGAATGCAGGCTGGGATTCAAGCCTAGGAGGGGCTTTTCCCTGAAAACAAAAGGTAAAGAAGTCCCCAGAAGCCCCCATTATATCTGTGGACACCAGCAGTCTTTGTTGCTGGAGAATCCTGCAGTTCTCACAGGACCTAAGTCCAGTTTTGGAAGCTGCCTGGAGTTCATATGGCTGCATTATTCTAGAGTAAGAGCCCATACTGTGGCTCCTCCCATCCCATGACCCAAGCTACTACTGCACAGCACCATCTTGAAACTAGAGCAACTACTAGAGTGTGTTCTGTTCCTGGGGGCAGTAGTCACTGCATCTTTTCATCCTTGAGGCTTCACCATCCTTGCATCATGCTTACACACAGTAGTACACCATTTGCTAGCCAAGCTTCCCTGCTTCCTAATCCATGGGAACAAGCTGTCTAGGAATCACTCCATTTTCTCCATCCTAGTGGCTTCAGTGCCCCAACCCCAGGGACTCAAAACCTAGGCTCAGGGGGACAGCTGTGATCCTGTCACTTGAGTCCACATGACACTCTGCCCTGCCAAGGAACAGGCTGTCCTGCCCAGTGGAGAAGTCAAGCCTTATCCAGAAGACCAGCCATGTGCCTGCCTCCTTGGCATATGACCCAGTCAGGCATCCTGCCCCTAGGGAAGCCACAGCTGAGCCAGCAGACCAACTGCATGCTCCCTTGGTGTGAAAACCAGCCTGGCACCTCACCCCTGGGGAAACACAGCACCTGCCAATCTGTATTACTCTGCCCTTCTCAGCCAAACAGCCTAAGTGTCCTGCCTGAATCTGGACTAGCCCTCTGAAGCCTGAGCTGCTGAGGCACACCATTTCCTTGGTGTGATGGTGTGATATTGGGGAGTGAACCCAATATTGCACTGTTCCCTGCTCTCCAGAGCCAAAGCCACAACTGCATCCTATCACCATTCCAGGGTCTTTCCGGTCACTACACCTGGCATCACAGAGCAGGGGCCACTACTGTGTCCCACCACTCCAGGGTCCAGAGTCACCAGTATGTAATACACTCTCTCCTGGTGCCTAAGTTGCCCCTGTGTCTCATTGACTCTGGGATTTGATTTGTAGTTGTGATCTGCTTCCCAGTATCTGAGCCTTTGGAAAGCCCTTTATCCTTAGAGCCATGATAGTGCTGTATCTTGACCCCCAGGATCAAAGTCACAGGTACAACCTTGCCTGTTGGGCCTGAGATACTGGGGAGTGCTTCAGAGTCACATTCTTTGTCTTGGTGGAAGAGCTGTGTCCATCTATACCTAAGACAATGAACCTGCATCCAGGCACAGATGCCATAGTAGTGGCACTGTGTGCAGGACACTGAGTGCAGGACCACAACCACCTCAAGCATCTGTGCCCTGGAACATAGTACTACCATGCCTGCCTGTGACCCATGCCAGGGCCAAACACCAAAAGACACCCTCTCAGGTATGATGGTCTATGAGGAAAAGAACAGGAAGATCCCTAAAGCTCTTGCCACTGAGAACTGTAGCAATCTATCTTGCCACCACCACCCTCACAAACTCCTACAGCCTAGGCCACTGAGGCACACACAAGCATTGCTGACATTGATTGCTGCTGAAGAAGTTACACAGAGACCACACTACTATGCTCACCTGGAACCAAACCAATGAAACTTCCTAAACTAAGGATCCATCGGCACCCTAGGATCAATCTGCAGGTGAAAGTCTTTTCTTACAAAAGCCACTCTATAAAATTGAAAAAGGTGACTCTTCCACCAGATGCACAAATGGTAAAGCAGGAACACAACAAACATGAAAAAGCGAGAAAACATGACACCAATACAAGAACAAAATAATTTTCCAATAACTAACTGGAGATTTATTAATTGCCTAAAAAATTCAAAATTATAATCTTAAGGAAACTCACTTATAAGAGAATACAGATGAAAAGTTCAATAAAATCTGGAAAACAATTTATGACCTAAACAGGAAATTTGAAAACATATAGATATCATGAAAATAATCCAAACAGAATTCATAGAGCTAAAGAATTAAATGCATGAAATAAAAATTACAATTGAGAGTTTCAACAGCAAACCAGATAAAGAAGAAGAATTTCTAAACTTGAATATAGATCTTTTGAAATAACCCAGTTAGCTGAGGAAAATTTTTTTTCGAAAGTGAAGAAAGCCTACAGGACTTATGGGACACCATTAAGTGGGCAAATATTTGTATTATTAGAGTACTAGCAGAAAAAGATATAGAGAAGGTTTTGGAAAGCATATTTGATAAAATAGTAGCTGAAAACGACTCAAGTCTTGGGATGGATATGAACAACCAAATCCATGAAGCTCAAAAATCCCCAAATAGATTTAACCTGAAGAGGTCCTCTCCAAGGTCATTATAATCAAATTGTTAAAGGTCAAATACAAAGAGAATTCTAAACACAGCAAAAACATCAAGTCATACATAAGAGAATTTCTATAAGAGTATCATCAGATCTATCACCAGAAATCATGCAGGCCAGGAAAGAATAAGATGATATATTCAAAGTGCTGAAAGAAGAAAACTTTCAGCAAGAATACTATACACAGAAAAGCTGTCTTTCAGAAATGAAGGAGAGATAAACTCTCACCCACACAAGCAAAAGCTGATGGAATTCAAGACCACTAGACAAGCCTTAAAGTAACTGCATAAGAGAGTGTTCCAGCCAGAAGTGAAAGGACAATAATTACTCCACGAAAACATGTGAAAGTGTACAATTAACTAATAGAGGTAAATTGATCATTAAATTCAGAAAATCTCATTACTGTAACGGTGATTTGTAAATCTTTCAAATATCTACTATGATGGTTAAAAGTCAAAATGGTCAATAATAACTATAGCTGTGATAAGTTGTTAAGAAATACACAATACAAAATATGTAACATAAGGCAACAAAAATATAAATAATGGCGGCAATGGTAAATGTCTAGACCAAAGTTAAGCTGTTATCAGCTTAAAGTACTCTATTATAACTATAAGATTTTTTATATAAGCCTCATGGTAACCACAAAGAAAAAACTGACAGCAGATACGTAAATGGGAGAGAGAAAGGAATCAAAGCCTAGCACTACAAAAAATCCACCAAAACACAAAGATAAACAACAGGAGAGAAACAAAGGAATGAAAGATCTACAAAACAATTAGAAAACACTCAACAAAATGGCAGGAGTTAAGTCCGTACCTATCCATAGTAACCTTGAATGTAAATAGATTAAATTATTCAATTAAAAAATATAGAGTGGCTGAATGGATTTTAAAAAACAGGACCCAACTATATTCTGCCTACAAGAAACTCTACCTGTAAGGACATACATAAACAGAAAGTAAAAGGATGAAAAAGAAATACCATGAAAATGGAGAACAGGAATAGTTATGCTTATATCTGATATAATAGAATTTAAGTCAAAAACTATAAAAAGACACAAAGAAGGCCATTGTATAATGATAAGGGGGTGAATTCATCAAGAAGATATAACAATTTTAAACATATATACATCCAACACTAGAGCACCCAAATATATAAAGCAAATATTATTAGATCTAAAAGGAGATATAGACTGCAATATAATAATAGTAGGGGACTTTAATACTCCACTTTCAGCAATGGAAAATCATCCAGATGGAAAATCAACAAAGAAATATCAGATTTAAACTACACGCTAGACAAAATAATCCTAATGGACATTTATAGAACATTTCACCCAATATCTGCAGAATTCACATTTTTCTCAACTGCACATGGAACATTCTCAAGGATAGATCATATTTGAGGAAGCAAAATGTCTTAACAAATTTAAAAAGATTGAAATTATATGAAGTCTCTTCTGACCACAATGGTATAAAACTTGAAATCAATAACACAAGGTACTTCAGAAACTTCACAAATACATGAAAATTGAACATCATGCTCCCAAAGAACCAATGAGTCAATGAAAAATAATTCAAAGAGAAATTTTAAAATTTATTGAGGCAAATAAAAATGGAACCACAACATACAAAAATCTGTGAAATATAGCAAAAGCAATTCTGAAAGGGAAGTTTATAGCAGTGAATGCCTACATCAAAAATAGAAGAAAGATCTAAAATAGGTAACCTAACGTTTCACCTCAAGGAACTAGAAAAACAAGAACAAACTCCACCCAAAGTTAGTAGAAGGAAGGAAACAATAAAGACTGTGGCAGAAATAAATGAAATAGAGACTAGAAAAACAATACAAAAGATCAATGAAATGAGTCAGTCTTTTAAAAAGATAAACAAAATTGACAAACTAGCTAGACTAAATAAGAAAAAGGAGAGAAAATTCAAATAATAAAATCAGAGATAAAAAGGGAGCATCACAACTGACATCACAGATTATAAAGGATAAAGGATTATAAGAGACTATTGTGAACAATTATATGCAAACAAGTTGGTAACTTAGAAGAAATATACAAATTCTTGCACACATATAACTTCTCAAGATTTAATTGTGAAGAAATAGAAAATCTGAACAGACCAATAACAACTAAGGGAATTCAATCAGTAATAAAAAGTCTTCCATCAAAAAGGAACCTAGGATCTGATGGCTTCATTGCTGAATTCTACCAAACATTTAAAGAACTAATACCAATTCCTCTCAAATGATTTCCAAGAAATTAAAAGAAGAAAACACTTTCAAACTCATTCTAAGAGGCTAATATTACTTTGATGCCAAAACCAGACAAAAACACAACAAAAAGAAAACTACAGGCTGATATCTCCGATAGACATAGATGTGCAAATTCTCAACAAAATAACTAGCAAACCAAATTCAACAGAACATTTTAAAAATTCATTTACCATGATCAATGGGATTCATTTCAGGGATGAAAGGATGGTTCAACATGCAGATCAATAGAAATGATACATCACATTAACAAAATCAAGAATAAAAACCACATGATCAATACATGCACAAAAAGCATTTGACAAAATTCAACATCCATTTACGTTAAAAACTCTCAGAAAATTAGGTGTAGAAGAGATGTACCTCAACATAATAAAGGTCATATATGACAAGTCTGTAGCTAATATCATACTGAATGGGGAAAAGTTGAAAGCATTTCTCTAAAATCTAGAACAAGACAAAGATGCCCACTTTGGCCACCTCTATTTAACATAATAATTGAAGTCCTAGCCAAAGTATTAGGCAAGAGAAAGAAAGAAAGGGCATCCAAATTGAGAAGGAAGAAGTTAAATTGTCCCTGTTGGCAGATGACAAAATCTTATATATAGAAAACTCTAAAGACCCCACCAACAAAATTTTATCTAATAAATGATAAAGCTCTATGTCACTGATTTGGGCAGCAACTTCACTGATGAAGTTGCTGGATAATAGATAGATAGATAGATAGATAGATAGATAGATAGATAGACAAAATATGTAAATCAGTAGTGTTTCTATATACTAATAGTGAACTACCTGCAAAAGAAATTAAGAAAACAATCCCATTCACAATAGTTATAAAATAATAAAATACTTAGGAATAAATTTAACCAAGAAGTTGAAATATCTCTACAGTGAAAACTATAAAACATAAATGAAGAAATTGAAGAAGATGCAAATAAATTGAAAGATATCACATGTTCATGGATTGGAAGAATAAATACTGTTAAAATGTCAATACTACCCAGAATCATCTACAGATTCAATGCAATCTCTATCAAAATACCAATGACATTGTCTTCAGAAATAGAAAAAGCAATCCTAAAATTTGTATGGAACTAAAAACAAATAAACAAACAGAAAACCCTGAATAGCCCAAACAACCTTGAAGAAAAGAAAAGCTTCAGGTATTATACTACCTGACTTCAAAAACTCTAATAATCTACAAACCTATAATAATCAAAACAGCATTGTACAGGCACAAAAACAGACACATAGACCAATGAAACAGAATAGAGAGCCCGGAAATAAATCCACACATTTATAGCCCACTGATTTTCAACAAAGGTGTTAAGAATACACGATGTGGAAAGGACAGTGTCTTCACTAAATAGTATTAAGAAAACTGGATATCCACTTATAGAAGAATGAAATTAGATTCTTATCTCTCACCATAGACAAAAATCAACTCAAAATGGATGAAAGACTTAAATGTATGACCCTGAACTGAAACTACTAGGAGAAAACATTGGGGAAAGCTCTATGTCACTGATTTGGGCAGTGATTTTTTTGGCTAGGACCTCAAAAGCAAAAGCAATAAAAGCAAAAATAGACAAACGGGATTACACACAACCAAAAGGCTTCAGCATAGTAAAAGAAACAATCAACAGAGTGAAGAGACAACCTATGAAATAGGAAAAAGTACTTGCAGTCAATACATCTGAGAAAAAGTTAATATCCAGAATATATAAGAAACTCAAACAACTCAATAGTGAGAAAACAACCCTATTAACAATGGTCTAATTCTCAAAAGAAGAAATGCAAATGGCCAACAGGTATATGAAAAAATGCCCAATATCACTAATCAACAGAAAAATGCAAATCAAAACCACAATGAAATATTACCCCATACCTATGAAAATGACTATAATCAAAAAGACCAAAGATAACTAGTATTGTCAAAGATGTCGAGAAAAGAGAATCCTCACATGCTGTAGGTGGGACTGTAAATTAGAACAGCCATTATGGAAGACAGTATGGAGGCTCTTAAAATATAAAAAATGGAACTACCATATGGTTCAGCCATCCCACTACTGGACATGTATCCAGAGGAAATTAAAGCAGTGTGTTAAAGAGATATCTGCACTCCCACATTTATTGCAGCACTATTCACGATAGCCAAGACAGCATCAATGTAGATGTTCATCAAAAAATTAATGGATAAAGAAAATGCAATATACATACATGATGGAATACTATTCAGACATAAAAAATAATGAAATCCTATCATTTACAACAACATGGGTGAGCCTGAAGGATATTATGTTAAATGAAATGAGGTAGGCACAGGATGACAAGTACTGCATTATCTCACTCATGTGGAATCTGAAAACGTTGATCTCATAGAAGGACGGTGCAGAATCATGGTTACAAGAAGCTTGGGTAATAGTGGGGAAGGAGGAATGAGGGAAATGTTGCTCAAGGGATATATAATTACAGTTAGATATGGGGTGTGTGTCCAGAATAGACAAATATAGAGAGACAGAAAGTAGATAATGATTGCATGTGGCCAGAAAATAGAGGGGTGAGGATAGGTGAGGCGTTGGAAAAAAAATTGGGGATGCCTGCTAGTGGGTATGGCGTTCTTTCTTGGGTGATGAAAACATTCTGAAATTGATTGTGGTGATAGTTGCACCACTCAGTGATTGTCATAAAAAACCATTGGATTGCATAACTTAAATGGTGAATTGTATTATATGTGAATAATATTTCAATAAAGCTGTTTTTAATAAAAGATACTGTAGCATGTTTGTATACTTATGGGAATAATTTAGAATGAAGAAACATATTGATGATGGAGCAAACTTTTTGAGAAAGTAAGAGGGTCATGGGCCTAATGCACAAGTGGAGAGTCTTGTCATCAACAAGATGAGGGGCAATATATTCGTGGTAGGGGAAGAGAAGGCAGTGTATGTGAATGCAGAGGTGAGTAGGTCAACAGCAACAGAAAGATGAGAGAGTTTTCTTCTGACTGCTTTTATTTTCTCAATGAAATATGAAGCAAGATTACACAATGAGAGTGAACAGAGAAGTATGAGGTGACAGGATAAGGTATGCAATAGTGATAATGGAGCAACATGGACTGTGAACATGTAGGATAATTGCCTGGCATTGCTGTTGGCTACCTGAGATTTGGGGGTCCTACACTTAAAAGGGGATAAGTCATCAGGGTTGTGCATTTAAAAAAAAATCCCATTCAGCTGTTTATGTCCAGGAGTGAAGCATGCAGAAGGGCGTGTAAACCAGGAGAGTGCTATGGGGGAAGAGAGATGAAGGTGTGCTCGAGGGAGTGTTGTGGTGGTGAGCTGCAGAATCTGAGCTGAGCACCATGAGAAGTGAGCACATGAAGTGTAGTTACTGATAATGGAAAAGTAGCCCTGGGGTAATTGAAGTCATGTTGGAAATAGAGTGCAGGAGAAAGTGAGCTAGAAACACAACTTAGTGGGGGTGGGGGATGTATGCTGAAAACAAAGGAGTGATGATAAGTTCTAAGGTTTGACTGTGGGAATGGGGAGTCAGAGAGGGATAAAAGGAAATAACGTTGGTAGTAAGAAGGGCAAGGAATTCAGAGGCCTATTTATTATACAGATTTTTCTTTTGGCAGCTGTTGAAAACACTGAGAACAAAGACAATTATTGATGGAAAGGAAGACAGACAGTGAACACTTCCTATGAGATAAAAACTGAAATGATAGTTTTCTTGAAAACTCTGGCTTTTTGAAATATCTACAACTTTTTGCCTGACTCTGAGCCCTCCGTGGAAGTGGAGATCTGAGCACCCCTGAGCATTACCTGACAGAACCTTAGTCCTAAGAAGTCCTTACAGCCCTTCAGGAAGCAGAGCCCAAGCATGATTGCATCCCATGCCCTGCTCTGAGTTGCCCAACTCACCACAGATCAACAGCAACAGCCTCGGCAGCATGAGGACCAGGTCAGGGATGGTACCTAGAGATGCCTCTCATCAAAAAAAGAATGCACCTCAGAGTCGAGCAGCAGCAGCTCATCAGAGGTTTGAGGAAGTTGATATCGGAAGTTACCCTTCAGCAGAAGTAGAAGGAAGAAGAACCCTCTAGTGACCAGTCTCCATTTCCTTTTCTATGAAGTCTGAGAAAATTAAAGATGCTCCTTTTTAAATATAGTTTGATTCAGTTCCACAAGCTGCAGATAGTACACATCAATATTTGAGGGACTTTTTCAAGAATTCAGGTATTTCAAAGGAAGTTTTCTAAAGGCAGTTTCCTACTTTGATGAGTCTCATCAGGTTATGGTCCTGCTGAAATTCATCTTTGATACATCTACAATACTTTTCACCTTTGATAGGGATGTCTCCTGGATTGTTTCTAATTGGCACATTCTTCTTGCTCAGCAATATAGTCCCACTATGCAAACTTTCTCTAGTATAGTCATATTATGCAAACATGTCATTAAATCAGGGACTGATGGGGCTGTCACCCCGGTTATGTGTAGTGTCTGACCCTTGCTGCATATGATGACTTATGTACAGGGTCAACCTATTCATACAGATATACGCTTTGATATTCAAACTTTCAGTGTACCAGTAAATGAGCATGAAATCACTGAAAAATAAAATCACGGCAAATTACAATCTGGGGGATATTTGAAAATGAAATACAGAAAAGAAGTATATGCAAATTAGCTTCAGGGCACTTGAGAAGGGTTCACCATTAGTACTAACTCTGGCATTTGTAAAATTGCCCCTCTTTTCCCTCAAAATCAGGGCACCTATAATCTCTCCCATTGCTACCTTTAGCACATTAGGGATACCAGTTCTAGGCAAGTGAAGCCTAGATTAGGGATTGGAGGAGAATAAGCTATCTTAATTTTCAACATTTCTTAAATCCGTGAGTGTCTAGGATTAAGAATAACTAGAATGTGTGGAAAGTAACCTATTAGGGGAAAGATGCTGTCAGGCAATGATGTCTAAGTCCAGGTATCCAGCTCAATGAGTATGACTGAGAAAAGAAACTATTCAGTGATACGCAAAACCAGAGGGAAAAGGGAGCAATGTTGGTAACCAGGCTAACAGCGAAAGTGCTGAAAACGAATAGGTATTCCATAGCTTTATTTATTGGCTTAGGAAAGCCTGTGTGGGGATAAGCTTGTTTAGTGTAAAGTTTCAGGACCAATGCAAAAAAATCTCCTGAATGAGAATGTAGAGCCCTTTAAATCCAGGGTGTAAAGCTGTTTTTGCATACACTCTGCTGTTTCATCTCTCTCTTTTTCTTTTAATCTGTTGGTTTTTTTAATGTTTTAATTGACACATTGTAATTGTACATATTTATGGGGCACAGTTTGACATTGCAATATAATACATATATATGTTGTACAGTGATGATCAAATCAGGGTGGTTGGCATATCCATTGTCTCGTGCAGTTTTCATTTCTATGTGGTGAGAACATTCAAAAGCCTCTTTCCTAGCTATTTTGTAATATATAATACCTTACTAGTAACCATAGTTACCCTACTGTGCAATAAAACACCAAACCTTATTCCTCCTATCGAATTGGCACCTTGTACCTGTTGACCAATCTTTCCCTCTCTTCCCTCCTCATTCCCTCCTCAGTCTCTGATAGATGCTATTCTATGCTATACTTCCATAATATCAACTTCTTATTTTTTTCAGATTCCACATATAAGTAAGTTCATGTGGTATTTGTCTTTCTGTGTCTGGCTTGGTTCACTTAACATGATGTCCTCCAGCTTCATCATGTTGTCACAAATGACAGGATTTCATTTTGTATGGCTGAATGGTATTCCGTTGTATATATACACCACATTTTCTTTATGGATTCATCTGTTGTTGGGGTCTTAGGTTGATTCTCATCACATCTCTTCCTGTGTGTCCTGCTCCAGTGCCTTCACAAGATGTTCAGATTAAAATGTGTTTCCTCCTCCACAGATATAAAGGCTATAACATTTTATTTGTTAAGCTCTCTCACACTTTTATTTTTATAATGTGATAGTTCATGCATGCATACAAAAAAGTAACATGAATATAAATTATGAAATACTACGATGAAATGAAAAGCCATGAGCCTATCCCCAGACTGTTTTAAGAACTTGAACATAAGGCGGGCGGATCACGAGGTCAGGAGATCGAGACCATCCTGGCTAACACAGTGAAACCCCGTCTCTACTAAAAAACACAAAAAATTAGCCGGGCGTGGTGGCGGGCGCCTGTAGTCCCAGCTGCGCGGGAGGCTGAGGCAGGAGAATGGCGTGAACCCGGGAGGCGGAGCTTGCAGTGAGCCGAGATCGCGCCACTGCACTCCAGCCTGGGTGACAGAGCGAGACTCCGTCTCAAAAAAAAAAAAAAAAAAAAAAAAAAAAAAAAAGAACTTGAACATAACATGATACTATTACATCTACTTGAGTGTGCCTTTTCTAACCCACTCCTCGTGTACTCTCCAGAAGTAATTACCACTCTGAATATTTTGTTTATAGTTCTCTTTCTTAAAAATCAGCTTATCGAGTTATAATTAATATACATTGAAATGAACCCATCATAAGTATATGATTCAATGATTTTTGACAAACATACACACTGATGTAAAAGCAATCACTGTCATGATCTAGAACATTTCCATCATCTCAATGGGTTTCCTTGTGTGCCTTCCCAGTCACCCCAAACCTCCCAGAACCAGGTAACTCTCCATCTGCTTTCTATAGATTTGATTTGCCTTTTCTAGAATTTCCTACAAATTGAAACATATAATATTTACTCTTTTGTTTCTAAGTTCTTTCCTTTTGCATAATATTTTTGAGATTCATCCATGTAGTATGAATAAAGCTGCTATAAACATTCATGTACAAAATTTTGGGTGACTATTCCAGGGTGGAATTATTGAATGAGAATATGCTTATGTTTTCAGGAAACTTAAATTACTTCCCTACTTGATTTTTACTATTTTACATTCCCACCAGCAGTCTGAATTCCAGTTTCTCCATATCCTCTCCAACTCCTTTTTTAAAGCCAATTCAATGCATGTGTAGAGATATCTTATGAGTTTAATTTGCATTTCTTGGCGGCCAATGAAGCTAAACATTTCTCATGTGTTTATTAGCCCTTTGTATATTTTCTTCCTTGAAATGTCTCTTCCTGTTATTTTCCTATTTATTCATAAGGCTGCTTGTCCAATTTTTGTCAAAAAACAAAAACAAAAAAGAGATCAGAATTATCTAATTTTGGTGAAGCCCAATTTATCTTTTTTTTCTTGCATGGTTAATGCTTTTTTTTTTTTTTTTTTTTTTTGAGATAAGGTCTCACTTTGTGACCCAGGCTGGAGTGCAGTGGTATGATCATGTCTTTCTACAGCCTCAACCTCCCAAGCTCAAGCAATCCTCCTGCCTTAGCCTTCTGAGTGGCTGGGACTACAGGAGCGCACTATCATACCTGGCTAATTTTTTAATTATTATCTTTAATAGAGACAACATTGTGTGTAGTAAAGACAAATCTATATCCAGAGTAAGTGTCTATTCCAGTAAGGACAAAACACTACCGCTTCCATGATGGAAGTGGCCCCTTTTAATCAACCTGCCACCTGGTAGCTGGCTGATTACTCTGGGAAGTAGTGTCATATTAGGGACTCAGCGTGGTCTCCACTGCTGGCATATTAGGCACTCCAAGGCAGCTGTAGCCAGGTTGCCCTTGGAGAGTGCAAGTTCATGATGCTGAGCCCCTGCATTAACTCCATCTTTCCACCATGGCCACTTTGTTCATGAGCCCACTGGGCCACAACACGGGTGGCTGGGGAAGTGGGCTGACCCACTTCCACAGAATGGGTCATTTTATCCACTTGATTATTAAAGTCCTCCTCTGCTGAGGTCACCCTTTGTTGAGCATTTACATGGAACCCAAATATCTTCACATTCATTTTGCTCATTCAAAGAGGTCTATCTACATACCCCTTCCCCAAATTTCCTTATTCACCAATTTTCCAGTCATCTTTCTTTCAAGTCTCTGACCATCCAGCCAAACTATTGCCCACAGTCCATGAATCTGTATAGAATTGCACTTCAGGTCATCTCTCCTTCCAAGCAAAAGTGCACAACCAGGTGCACTGCTTTAAGGTCTGCTGACTGAAGATTTTTTTTCACCACTGTCTTCTAGGAATGTCTCAGGAAGGTGCTGCAGCCGTCCACTTTCATGTGGTGACTGCATATTACATAGAACCGTCTATAAATCAGGCCAGAGAGTCTTCTCCTCCTCTGTCAACTGATTGGAGGGAACTCCCCATGAAGCCACAGGTGCAGGCTGGGAGAGAGACGGCAGTGTAGCAGGAATGGAGATTGTGGATATTTTAACCACCTCTTCATGTAGTATCACTGAGGTACAGGGCCCCTAAATTATTTTCCGATTTATTTCCCATCCTCTGAAACAAAAATGCCTTACCAATAAGTCTAGAGCAGCTGCTACTTCTCGCACACTAGATTCAATCAGCATAATGTCATCAATGTAATGGACCAGTGTTATATCTTGTGGAAGAGACAGACACTCAAAATCTCTGTGAAGTACGTCATGATATAGGGCTGGAAAACTGAAATGCTCCTAAGGTAGGACAGTGAAAGTGTAGTGCTAGCCTTCCAGCTGAAAGCAAAATGTTTCTGGTGAGCTTTATTGACAGAGATGGAGAAAAGGGCATTTTCCAGATCAGTAGCTATATACCAGGTATGAGGGGATGTGTTAATTTGCTTAAGCAATGAAACCACATCTGGTACAGCAGCTGCAATTCATGTCTCCTCATGGTTAAGCTTATGATAATCCACTGGAATTCTCCAGGACCCATCTGTCTTCTGCACAGGCCAAATAGGTGAGCTAAATAGAATTGTTGTAGGAATCACTACCCCTGCATCCTTAATTGTGTCACTAATCTCCGCAATTCTTCCAAGAATGCAGTCTTGCTTTTAACTTACTATTTTTCTAGGCGGAGGCAGTACTATTGGATTCTACCTGGACTTTACCATCATAGTAGCCCTCATTCCACAGGTCAGAGAAACAATGTAGGGTCTTTGTCAGCTGCTGAGTATATCTATTTCAATTATGCATTCCGGAGCTGGGGTTATAACCACAGGATGGGTTCAGGGACCCATTGGGCCCAATGTGAGACAGACCTCAGCTAAAATTCCATTGATCACCTGAACTTCATAAGCTCCTACCCTGACTTCTGGAGCACAGTGATGTTTTGGGTCTTCTTTACTCAGAATGAATTAGGGCTGGAATCCAACCGTCCCCAAGAAGTCTGATTATTTTATTTTCCCCAGTGCACAATTATCCTGGAAAAAGGTATAGATCCCTTTAGAGAGGCTTTGGAGAAAGATTAGTAACAAATTTTTGGTATTGTACTAGTTTTCTTCCTCAAAGGCACCTACCCTTTCCTTCATTCAGGAGGTTCTAGCTTTGTAAATTGGCTCAAATCTAGAAATTGATTGAGGACTGTGACTCTCTGTTTCTATGATTTAGGTTAGACTGTTATTTGCTTGACCTAAAATGTTTCTGTTTATATAGATCAAGTAAGAAATTAGTAGGCTTCCTATCTACTTCAATTCCAGAGACCATGATGATCTAGTCAGTGTCATAGGTCTCTGTAAGTCAGATTATTCTGATGATTGCTCTGACTTTGTTGTCCACTTTGGTAACCACACCTACATAGCCTTTGGCAGTTGAATGCTATCACTTGGCCCTGCCATCCTGGGATCCAGTTACTCCTATTGCATTTTAATTTCCCAATTCAGTGACTGCAATTTCCACTGTAAGGCCAGCCTACAGAGAAGAGCGATGAAAGAGTTTTTCAGATGCCAGGGCTCCCCTCAGAAATTTATTTCTCACAGCTAATGATAAAATGTGTGTCTTCTGAACTATTCCAGTGTGTGTGTGAGTAGGTCTTAAACGATAAAACCTCTTTAACAGTCCACTTTCCCTAAGTTGTTCAATCTCTTCTTCTACATTAAACCAAGGCAGTGTGTGCCACCTCACTCTTTGTGGGCCACCTTTTGTTCCATGTTTTGTCCTACTAACCAAACAAATGGCAAGAGCCCTTTTCACCTTCATGAGCTGCAATATTAAAGAAAGAATATATACTTTGCAAGCCCATATCAATAAATTCTGCCTAATCAAACTTAAGTTCTTTTCATCATTAACTTATACCTTTAGTATTCATTCCCACATGTGTTCCCTAGATTTCTGTCTGTTTGAATTAGAAAAACTCAAGCAGTTCTTTTGGAGTGTAGTGTGACCTCCTCATGGGTCACAATTTATATCTCACCTTTAGAGGCTTGTTGCAATGTGAGTATAGTTATAGATCTAGAATCAAAGAAAAGTGGTAGGAGTGGGTCCTGAGGAGAATTGGCGTTGTCTTTCATGACTCTGGGGAGACCTTACAGTTTCCTCAGGCCATGCAACTTTAGTCCCTCAGATGGAATAGAGAGGCCAATACCTCTGGGGTGTGGATGCCAGTCTGCCAGGTGTCGTTAGGCTGCCTGAGAGTTTTCTCACACATCCCCATCCTAACTTACAGGATCTCATCATTTCCCAATCAATGCCTGCCCTTTAATGGTAGATACGCTGAAGTTCTGGGGGGTTAAATTGCTTTGTAGTTTAGCCAGTTGCACAATTGAGATCCAGCATTTGATTTTCAGCAATCTCAACTCTGTAGCTACAGGAGATAAGGGTCTCCCTTCAGAGCACATATAAAAGTTTTCAGGTGATTCATGTGGTAATTGAGCTGTGATTTCAAATCCCTGAGCTCATCTTTTTCTTTCACCACTTTGTCCAGTAGTATTAAGAGTAACCAGCCAACCTCATTGTATTTGCTAGTTTTCCAAAAATGTTTGAAAGTATCATAAACATAGTCACTCAGCTTCTTGCTTCTTATGAGTGGTTGATTAGGAATATCTAATGTGGATATTTTTGTATCTTTATTACCAGTTCAAGCCATGAACACATAGTGCTATCTTTATTATTGTAAATAAAGTTACCAGAATTTTATATCTAATTAGATTATAGAGCCAATTTCAGAAACCCCATAACCAATTCAGAAAATTTATCCTTAAAATTCCGTTCCTCTAGAATCTCTTTCAGTACCAAAATCTGTATTTTGTCAGAGTTCTTCAGAGAAACAGGACAAATGGTGTATGTGTGTGTGTGTGTGTGTGTGTGTGTGTGTGTGTGTGTGTGTGTTATAATGTATTTAAGTAGTTGATACACACAATTATGGAGGCTGGGAATCTGCTGTGTGCAATGTGGAGACATAGGAAAGGTGGTGATGTAGTTCCAAACTATGTCTGATGGCCTGAGAACTAGACCTGATGTTGTAAGTTCTGATCCAACTCTGAAGGCCTGAGAATCAGGGGCACCAAGTATAAGTCCCAGTCCAAGGGCAGAAGAAGATCAGTGTTCATCCCATGCAGTCATGTAGACAGTAAATGCTCCCTTCTTCTGTGTTTTTCTTCTATTCAGGCACTCAACAGATTAGATGATGCCCACCTACACTGGGAAATGCAACATGCTTTACTCAATCTACTGATACAAATGCTAACTCATCTGGAAACATCTTCACAGACACACATAGAAATAAGGTTTAACCAAATATATGGATGCCCCATGACTCAGTGAAATTAACATATAGAATTAACCATCACAGGTAGTTTCAGGGAAAGTGTTAAGGAGGAGAAAAATAACTAAGACAGAGCTCAACCAGAGGAATCTGGATAGGCAACATAAGGTGGGGTCCAGAGGCAATCATAACTTAGTTGCAAATTCCCATAGTAGAGTAGTTAAAAGTGCCATTATCACTTCTAGTTTATTATCATTGCAATTTTATTAGCTCTTCCTCATGTTCCATTTTCTTCCAGAACCCAGAAGAAGGTTTATATTTGGGTTCTGCCTCAACCATTTCACAGTATAACTCAAATTAACCTTTGATGGAGGAAGGAAAGAAATGAGGAGTAAGTGGAGGAGAAGGAGTGATAAATTCCACAAGACCAGGGAATTGAGTGGTTCTGGGTTCTATGTGGAGCAACAACTTGAGTCTCATATCCTTGCAATGCCCTAGGAGGACAGTGGGACCTCAGAAGGGAGAACCTCTAGGGTGCATCTAGAAAATGTAGAAGCCATGGTGTCAAACCCAGTAGTCAATTCATCTTACTTGGTCCATCAACACAGTCAATACATACCTCCTTCTTGAAACACTTTCTTCATTTGGTTTTAAAGATATCAGTCTCATGCTTACTTCTACTTCACTGTCTTCTACACCTGTGATGGACAGGTCCTATGTCCCCTCAAGTGCCCGCATGTCTTAGCTTTTCTACCTGTAATTTTCACTGGTACTCAGGAGTTCACTCAGCCCATACACAAGGTTTAACACCAACAGGAGCAACTCTCAATCAATGGCATATGAGATTCGGTAGATAAATACTTCAGCTTACTCATTCCTTGGTGAGAATATTTTGAAATAATTTTTACACAGTGCCTCAGAAGACCCCCAGAGAGATGGAGACTCAGTTGCCCCCAGCAGTAACCAACTCATTAATGCTCACTTTGTTGGGTTTTCTTTCTCTCCTACTAACCTTCCTCAGTCTCTCACAAGTGTTTCCTGAAATTATCACCTAATAAAAAATCTGCACCTAAGTCCTTGTTTCAAGGGAATGTAAGCTAAATGTTGGATTAAATGTTGGTTCTCTGAGGCTCTGTTCTTGGATCTCCTCTCCTTTTCTGTCTCACTCATTTTCTTGGGACTGAAGTCCTGTAGTCTAATGGCTTTGAATACCATATATGTGTAATGGTTTCCCAGATCATGTATCCAAGCCCAGGCCACTCCTCTAAACTTTTACTTATTATCTCCACATGGAGATCTAATAGGCATCAGAATTAACATGTCTAAACAGAGCTTCTGATAGCTCCTCTCCCAAAAACCTTCTCCTCTGGAAGACTTACCACAGTTTAGTAAATTTGATGTGTTTGAGGAAAGGAGAGAAAGCCCATGTGACGGCAATGGGTTGTTAGAGGACAAGAGTAGCATGAGATGAGGTTGGAGGAGTAGGCAGGGACCAGATCATGCACAGGCATTTAAGTCTAAGTAAGAAGTTTACATTTAACTCATGTGCAATGAGAAGCTCTCAAAGACCCTTTGGCAGGGTTATAACCTGATTTAAATTACATTTTAAGAGAGAAATGAGACATTGAGAATAATTGAAAGTTCATCAGGTAACAAAGTTGAAGAGAGCTTTTCCAACAGAGGAAAGAGGAAGCATGAATAGCTGTCAGTTCTGATTTGCCTATCTTCTATAACCCACCTTCACTAGACCTTTAATTGTTCTGTGTTTTAATGTGGAGGCCATGAGCTTTAAATGTCACCCTTGTAAAAGAATTATTGGGCATTTATACAACCAGGGCCACTCAAAAGTAATATCTTGGAGTAATAGAAATAGAAATAGGCCTCTGTTTATAGGCTCTGGTCCTTATCTTTTCAGATCCATAAACATGATGTTATAAATGCAATGAGAGTCTATTCATTAGTAATAACTGGGTTTAGCTACTCAGCCTTATAAAAAATTAGTGAATTATCATTTTATGAATTTAAAATAAATATATTATCTGGGGTTCTTTTGGTTGGAAGTACGAAAACCAACATAAGTCAATCAAAAACTTCAAAAAAATTATTATGTACCATACAGCAGTTTGTCACAGAACCCAAGGCCAGGAATGCCATTTGACCCCAGGAAGAGGCAAGGATGAGAAACCAAAAATACTTTCTGGGGTTTCTGTGTGTCTCATCTATGTTCCCCTCTGAGCATCTGTTTCATTCTTACTCATATATCTCTGTGGAAGGGCTTCCTCCGGTTCTCTGATCCATGTGGTAAAGCATTTTCTTTCCTTCTCTGAAGCTAGGTTTCTCTACCTATCTTCCCCTGCTACCTTTTAAATATTTATTAAAAAATTGAGCTACAATGGAACTGCGGGTTAGGATGCAGAAACACACTCCAGTGTCATTAGCAGTCATGGGATCCCATAGCCAGTATTCAAGAGTCTAGCTCTTTCTGTAGGCAATTTGTCTCACATTTCATATCTGAATAATGCAGGGTAAACATGACAAGGATGCCCTAAACCTAATGAATGGACAAGTTTGTCAGCAAATAGTATCAGTTCCATGCATTTCCTTAGGGACTCTTTTCAGAGGACCCCGTTATTCCATCATTTGAGCTTTGCAATGTCAGAAATTCATTCTCTCTTCAGTGTTTTTTCATCCTTCATTAAAACCTAGTGCTTTAAGAATGAATCCTCTAGGACAGGCAGTGACTTAAGGAATCACAGTTTTGCCTCCGGACTCCCAGCCGAGTGGTGGGCTCTCTCCCTCCCACTCTCCTCCTGTCCCACTGCACCCCTCCTCCCACTCTCTGTCTTTCCCTGATGATTGAACTGTTTTGACAGAATTAATTGAGTAAGGAGCCAGAGACCAGTGTGGTTCTGGGTTAGAAACATAAACACACTGGTTAGAAGGAAAGCAAAAAAATGTCAGATTAGAAAGGCATGGCATTAGAGTTGGCCTATCAGAAGTGTGTTAGCCTGAAGTCCAGGAGCAGCAGAACTGTCTTTGGGTACACAGGTTGGAGCAGAAATAGACTGGGAGACAGTTGCACACCCAGAGGACAGCTTTTTACACATATGGTTGTAACTGGAAGGTTCTCTTCTACCTAACCCTGTTTAAGAAACTGCCATAGAGAATCTGACACAGCTGCTTCTCTGTGGGCAGAAAGAGCATATCACACAGAGAGGCAATTGTTGAGACTGTGAAATCTGATTTATTAGATAAGTGTAAATGTGTAAATGTAGCCGTATAATAAGTACTCAGCCTAGCCTCAGAATCTAAAGTTGTCAATTTTTACAATCAAGTCTTGATTCTCTTATTTCTGTCTTGCCTCAAGCTTACAGGCCCCAAAGTCTCAGTTGATAAAGTGAAAATGATATTTTTCACTTTCGCTTGGCATAAGACACAACTTTAGCCCTCCCTGATCTCTTTCTGCCTCTTTCTTGACCTTTTCCCAGTAACCAATATATTTTTCTTTGAATAAAGTAAAATGTATTTTTGACATTCCTCTCATTAAATGTCAACCATGTTGGCAGGTTGTATAGGGATGGACAACAAAGATTTTTATTGGGGCAATCAGAGGATGAAACATCATTTTTTACACGTCATGAAAAGGTCTAGGATTATAGGACGCTGCTCTGCTCCTGAAAGAATTGTCTACCTACACTAAGAAATAACAGAATAGGGAGGTGTTGCTATTGTGGTCACCTGAAGCTTGAGGAAAAAAAAAAAAAGTAGTCCAATCAAAAGAATTCTAAACTTTCCCCCAAGTTGCAAGAAATTGTCTACCCACATTTTCTTTCAAATGTTCCTTTCATTGTTTCATTCCTTTAATGTTTGCAGACATAGATTAGTAATAGGACCTAGATTAGTAATGTTTGCAGACATAGACCTTAGTAATGGTCTGCACATCTGACCAAAGTGACAGGTTTGAGGATTCCAGGCAGCTTGAGAAAAGGCAGGAAAGGCCAGAACCAGTGTCAAAGGGTCAGGGTTGAGCACAGGATACATGGAAGCTCATCTTCCCCAGCAAGAGGGAACTCAACAGCTCACATCTACAGGCAGCAATGGGGGCTGCTTGTCCCTGAGAGTAAGGCATAAGCCCAGTGTTCAGACTCCTGAGGGGATGAGGGAGTAGTGGCTCAAGCCTGAGCCCCAGAATGAGTATGAGGATAATCAGGGCTCAGGAGAACAAGCAGAGGGCAGGCGGGGCCAGGGGGGCCAGGTCAAGCAACACCAGGATACTATCCTATAAAGAGAAGAGGAAAATGCAGTAAGGATGGGTATAGTCCAGGAAGGAATTATTCAGTTGAAACTCACATTAGCTAAGGGAGAAGACTGGGGCTCAACATAGGAAAAAGAGCTAAGCCATGTACAGATCCCACACTGATGTGAGCCAGGCCAGAACCTTGTGCAGTATCCCAGGGACTTACTCAACTAGCTCCATGTGAGTCACAAACAGTACTGACATCTATCAACATATCTTATCCTCACACAATCACAAAGTCTTTGAGGTAAACCGGACAAGTGTCTTTCTATTTCTACCCATGGAAACACTTAGGTTCTGAGGAGTTAAGTGACTAACATTACACAGCTTCAAAGTAGCAGCAGCCTGGCTCAAACCCTAGCCTCCTGCAGCTGTATTTATTCTTCTCTGGGCACTAACTGCTTCCCACATACCTTGGTCAACTATCAGTTCTTATCTAGTTCCAGAGTTAGTGGTTTAACCAAGTAGCCCCACATTGATTACACAATGGGGCTTCAGACGGGTGGCTTTTTTGAGTCAGCCACGCAGCGGCTGCACTTGCATTTTCTAACCCAAATTGGGAAAGGGCTTCTTCCTTCAATCCTCTGAAGAGTTCTACAGTTCAGGGCTGGTATTGTGGTCTCTCTGATAACTCTCTTATGGGCATTCTCAAAAAGCTCCCTACTGTAGTCCCACTCTCCCAGACTAGTTTAAAATCTAGGAGTGATGACAAATGGAATGAGGTAGAACCCTCTTTGATAGTTTAACTTAGAGTTTCAAGGTTAGGGTCATCCAAGAGAATAACCTTGGGTTGAGAGTAAAGATGGTTTATTATGGTTCTGCTATATGATTTGAAAGCAATTTTAATGCTTTTGAAGGTTGCTTATTTTCTCCGACTCTCACTTTATGTTTACTATGTTTAATATAAAAATGTTGGTGAAATAATTTTCAGAACGCCTCTTGTTTTTACATTCAATACCTGTATGTTCTCACGATCAATACGTATATAGTGTCAGCCCTACCTCTACCCACCAGCCCCAGGAATAAAACCTACCACAGGGCCTGGACTTCCAGCCATATCCCTGGAAGTACAGAGCAGGTGATGACTATGAGCAGCTTCATGGCGCTTGTGAAAATACCCTTTTCCCCAGAGTACACCCCCATCATTTCCTCTTCCTTTATCATCCTCCTTGCCAGCCCTTATGAACTCCATCTGTAGGACTCACCTGAGCAGATGACAGCCACATCTTCCTGGTGGGTGCAGTCGTGAAACCCCCAAAATCTGTGCTGGCACTGCTCCAGGGACTGCTCCTCCCCTGAGCAACGAACATTATCCAGCCAGATGCGGCCAACCCCAGGGCCATAGCATTTCCGGTCTCTGAAGGAGGGAGAGAGGGACTTCCCACAGCCCAGTTGCTTGCATACCACCTGGTCCTCCTTTTCTCCCCAGTTGTCATCACAGACAGAGCCCCATACGCCCTTGTGCAGCACCTCCAGTCGCCCAGAGCAGAGGTTGTCTCCTCCTACTAGTCTCAAGTCAAAGGGATCTGCAGGATGGGGGAGGAAGTCAGGGGTTGGAGACAGGAAGGGAAAGGAGAAAAAATAAGATCATTTATTTTTAAAATTTTTTCATTTTGTATTTTTTGTATGTTTGTTTTGAGACATCGTCTCACTCTGTTGCCCAGGCTGGAGTGTAGTGGTGTGATCACCACTCATTGCAGCCTCAACCTCGAGGGCCCTAGTGATCCTCCCACCTCAGCCTCCCGAGTAGCTGGGACTACAGGTGCATGCCACAAAGCTCAGCTTTTTTTTTTTTTTTTTTTTTTAAGAGACAGGGTTTTCCATATGTTGCTCAGGCTAGTCTCAAACTCTTGGGCTCAAGTGCTCCTCCCACCTCGGCTTCCCATAGTGCTGGTATTATAGGCATGAGCCACTGCATCTGGCCAAGAAGATCATCTACATGCTTACCAAGCCCCATCAGCACATTTGAAACTCTCCACATGTATTTCTGTGATTAGAGCTCCTTCTGTAGCTCTCCATCATGTTCTAACCTCTGTTGTCCAGGTCGACTTCTCTCACAAAGATATTTTCACTTCCCCGTCTATTTTATAAATCTAATATTTATAAATGACATTCTAAGAAGTTTTAAAAATTGAAGAACTTAACAGATACATAAAAAGATGTACCTTGTTCCTACAATATAGAATTCAAACTAATGAGAGTTCATGTTAATATAGTGCTTAATATTAAAAGCATTTTCAGATACAAAGTTGGGTATTATTATCTCCATTTGAAAAACAAAGGAATTAATTATCTGCCCAGTTAAATAAGTTTGCAATGGTCCTTTGGTGCGTTAGTAGCTCTTTGTAAATACTGTTTGAATGAGATTCCACATAATTAAATCCATGAATAAACCTAGTCTTTGGACGCACAGGCATTACCTTCACATTCGACCCACGTGTCTTCATCATGGTTGCAGGTGTTCTTCCCCCAAGGCCCAGAAGGGCAATCCTGAAGGGTTGCTTCTCGTCCTGAGCATGACATCTGGCTCAGCCAGATGGGTTTTCGGCCATAGGCATGCTTGTTGCAGCGTTTTTGAGTCAGTACAGCCCTCCCACATCCCAGCTGCCGGCACACCACCTTTGCGGCCCGGAGGCTCCAGCCTGTCTGGCACACGGTATACCACTGGTTCTGGTGCTTCACTTCCACGCGTCCCTTGCAATGCCCAGGGCCGTCAGCCAGCCTGACACCCTCTGGGACTGGGGAGAAAGAGCTCTCTGGGTCTGAGGGGAAAGAAAGAGAGCGTGTCTGTTCTCTGCCAGAACATGGTCTTCTCAGTAAAGGCGGCCCAATGGACACATCTCACAGTTCTTGGTGTTCAGTACAAGGCATGCTAAAGTGCTTAACACTGCCTCATAGATGCCTGCTGAAAGAATGAATGAGGGAATCAATGAAGAAAATGTAACTTCCAAATTCAAAGCTGAATCATTATCATTTCTGTAGCATTTTAATTTTTCAAATTGTTTTCATGTTCAACTTGTCATTTGATCCTCACAAGAGATCTTGTATAGACTTTTAAAAATAAATACAATAACATACAAGATATATCCAACACCAAATGCTTTTTGGTTCATTGTTGGCGTTATGAACTAAATATCTCAGATTAGTGCTCCCAACCCTCAATCTTTCTAAAAAATAGGACTGAGTCTTCAATGTCAAGGCAAAAAGTGACTGTTTCCCTAGAAACAAATTCTGTGGGCAGACAAAGAGGAGCCATGGACTAGCTCCTCAATCACATCGCTGTCTAATGAACAAAAGAGAAGAGACTACTCATACATATAAAGCAAGTATGTGGGGGGAAGTAAAGGAGCACAGATCCGTTTGTCTATGTATCTTTCTATCATCTATCCACCTGTCTATTAGATTGTGTTAGTTTCCTATGAGTATCTCCTTTCTACCTGATTAGAAGATAAACTCCTGGAAAACTGAAACTATTTTTTAAAAAGCATACATTATACTTTGTGAGCTCATTTCTTCCCCCATAACTCCATGCCCAGCTCCAGATACAGTATACTCTATTCAACAAATGTTTAGTGGTGTGCATGTTGGCATGTGTGTAAATAAGAGAAACAAGTTCTCATATAGATTGAAACTAAGATGAAAGCATTTGCTCAACCAAGTAGGAATTGCAGTTCTAGGTGAGGATATTGTTTATCTCCAGCACTGACAGTTGGGAAAGTATGAGATGTGGGGGGTGAGGGGCCAATTAGCCATTGTGTGAACGTCTATGGTAGGGAATGAAGACCAACAAGAGTGGCCGTGAGGGGTATGGCAGCTGGCAAGTGGTCCGGGACCCCTGCCATACTCACTCTCACACGATGCCCCAGCATCTTCATCATGTGAACAATCATAAACTTCTTCTTGCTCACACTGAGCCAATGTATCTTCTGTTCCTGTGCAACTGACTGATTGGATGAGGACCTTTTGCTCTTTTTCTGCTGGTGGCTCATACAAAATACCACTAGGGGTTCCGCTGGCAGCTCCACAGCCCAGCTCCCGGCACAACACAGCCACGTCCTTAATGTCCCAGCCGTCATCACACACGGTGCCCCACTGGCCTTTCTGTTCCACCTCCACCCGCCCTTCACAGCGGTGGAGGCCCCCCACCAGCCGCACTCCAGATGGAGACGCTGCAAAGAGACGGGTTGTTAGCTAGAGGCCTGAGAGGAGCTCAGAGGGTCCTTAGGCATGTACTCAGTCAATCTGGGACTCTTCCACCATTCAAATGGTGCAGAGTGTTGGGGAACTAGAAATAAGGGATCAGAAGAAAAGGGAAGGAAGAGGAGCTTCAGAACTCCGTGTCTGAGTTCTGGTTCTGCTACAGCCTTAATGGTACCCTGTCAAGAAACTCTACTTCAAGATACCTGGACATGACTGCTGGCATTTTCAGATTGAAGATTAAGGAAAAGAGGTTGGTTGAAGATCCAGCAGAGTTTTAGATTCTCTGGCGGTCAGAATCAGAAGGCCCTAAAGAGATCATAAAGTCCACCCCATTATTTCACAGATGAGGAAAATCATCCTCATGAAAGTTATGGTCCTATGGCTACATTGTCCAAAAGTGGAAGCTCCAGGCCAGAACAGAGGTGTAAAGAGAATATCTGTTGCGTTTTTCCTCTTCATGACTCTGTCTCTCTCCATGGAAGTCAGATTGAGGCAGAGTGTGTACAATTCGGGCTGAACAGCCTAACTATCTCTCACTCTCAGTGGCCAATCCATGCCCATACTTGCTGCTTCCTATGAAATTGTTCCTTGTTCAAGCGCCCATCTCAGGAGAAATACAGAGCATAGGGAAAGGGAAGAGTCAGAGTCTCAGAGCCCCAAGAGTTTGGTCTAATTCCAGGGACTAGAAGCATAAGAGAGGATTCATGGAGTCTCCAGATAAGTTGTGAGAAATCTAGGACTTGATTCAGTTTCATGACTAGAACTCTGGAAGTACAAAAGCTAACAGAGGTGGGGTGTGATGGCTCATGCCTGTAATCTTAGCACTTTGGGAGGCTGAGGCAAGTGAATTTCTTGAGGTCAAGAGTTTAAGACCAGCCTGGACCACATGGTGAAAACCTGTCTCTACTAAAGAAAATAAATAAATGAATACAAATATTAGCCAGAAATCGCTCAAACTCAGGATTTGGAGGTTGTAGTGAGCCGAGATCATGCCACTGCACTCCAGCCTGGGCAACAGAGCAAGACTCCATCTCAAAAAAAGAGAAAAAAAGAAAAGACTAACAGAAATTTTCTTCCTTCCACCAAGACATGCAAGGAGAGTGGAGATGGCTGTGTAGGGAGACCAGGGAAGAGCCTATTAGACAGCAAACATTTGTTAGGTGCGTACTACATTTCTGTTTTGTTTGTTTGTTAGTTAGTGAACTCAGAGAACAGTGATGAGTTCTGCCCTCAAGAAGCTTATATTAAGCTTGGCAATCCCACCAAGCCTCCTGCAGCCTCAGAGCAATATAGCAGAGGCTGAATTTGCCATGCTTACATGGAGAGAGACGGTTAGCTGAGAGAGTTCTTGTGCACCAGGAGAGGCCACGTTTGGACTGGAAGTCTATGGCCTATTGGAAGATGAACAGCTTAATAGGGGCCAACATGGGCCACATGGGATGACCCAGGTTGCATGCATGGATAGAACGTGACTGCTGAGGACCAGATTTCCCACAGACTAACTTGTCACAACTGCACACAAAGTCCCCAGAGTTTAGAATCAGTCCAAGAGAAGTAGTTCAGTGAGAAAACTCTAATCTAGCTATTTTTTTTTTTTTTTTTTTTTTGAGACAGAGTCTCACTCTGTCGCCCAGGCTGGAGTGCAGTGGCACGATTTCGGCTCACTGCAAGCTTCGCCTCCTGGGTTCACACCATTCTCCTGCCTCAGCCTCCCAAGTAGCTGGGATTACAGGCGCCAGCCACCACACCTGGCTAATTTTTTTGTATTTTTAGTAGAGACGGGATTTCACTGTGTTAGCCAGGATGGTCTCAATCTCCTGACCTCGTGACCTGCCCGCCTTCGCCTCCCAAAGTGCTGGGATTACAGGTGTGAGCCACCACGCCTGGCCTAATCTGGCTAATTTTAAACTGCATCAGGAAGCTTATGTTTATTTCATGCATTTGTTTTTTAGTTTCTTTCCTTTGCTTAAATTTTTTTGGGAAAAAATATAAAAATGGAGGCTAGAGATAGCAATTAAAAGTTAACCATAAAAAATAGGGCTTTTATATAAACCGTAAAAAACTAAGAAAAGTTTTCATTTTCACACAACTGAGTTTAAGGCTTATAGATCTGGGTAAAAATATAATGTAAGAGCAGTTATCCAGAAACGTTTTTATCTTCATGAGTAGCATGAACCGTAAATAATTTGGGGGTCATTGTATCTGACATTAGAGTTTGGATTGGCATTATTGCATACTCCAAGAAATACTAGCTATCAGGATTAACAGGATATTTTCTTTCCTTGCTGATTGCAAAATTCTCAATTTTTAATCAATTTTCATTTTCTATGGGGTAGAAGACTAAAATAGCCATGGGAAAGAAGAAATAAATAAAAAATAAAAAACAAAAAATAAGTAAACAAGAAATTCAGGGAAAGAAGAAATAAATAAAAAAAAATTACTTTTTTAAAAACAAGAAATTCAGCTTGAGGAAACAGAAGGGCTAATCTGAATGTCAAGATGAGAACCCAGGAAGGTTGCATCTATCAGGGTATAGGATTCTCCACACCAATAGCAATGTTTCTGGCTGCCCCTCTCTGGTAAAGTCTCTATGATCAAGCAGAAGGGGAGACTGGAAGGATAATATACAAGAAACTGATAATCCACAACCCATAGCCTCCCTCTTCTATAAACTCATTCTCTCTGTGCACCCTTTCCTTGGGTTTATCATTTGTGCATTACCCAAAGACTCCCCGAGCAGGAAATCCAGCCTATGCTCTGCTGGTCAAGCTATGTGCTGCAAGCAACAATGCATTTCTAATTCAAACAAAGACACCATTAAGCCTGGCAGGGGGACCTGGATATGCTGGAAACCAACAGGAAGAAACCAAAAGGAAGTTCATTTTTCAGGTATGCCCATAAGGCAGTGAAGTGCATTCTAGACCTGAAATGAACCCAGCTCTTACTTGGATGCTGGCCAAGTGGCCACAGAAACCAAGTGGGGAGAGGTACCCCCTGCCAGGATAAACCACCCAAACCCTTCTAAATTCTGGAGGTGGAAATCTGCCCACACAAGACTGAGTGGGTGAGGTAGGAAGCCAGAAAGGAAGTCTGCTGGGCCTGTTTTGAACAAGTCTTTCTCTGTGGCTCAAGAAGCTTCAAAATTTTCCCTCTCCTAAGCTTGAGGCCTCCCTCTCAGAAACCCCCAAAAATCTTACCTAGGAATCCAGGTCTGGTGCAAATGGCTGGGGAAGAAAGAAGGAAATGAGTGAGGTCAATTTCCAAGGCTTTATTCAAAGAACACAACTCTAGAAGGCCTTCACAGAACTGTGTGAGACAAGAGTGGTAGATGCAGAGCCTCCAATGTCAGTCCTGTTGGGACCTTCTTCTTCTGGGATGACCATCCTCCAAGGACACAGGGACACTGGCTAGGAATCACAGAGACCAATTCCACCACAGCTAACTGGTTCAGCCTGCTTTCTTCACACGTGATGGTGGATAGATTGGTTTTCTATTCTAGTCAATTAGATTGATTGGTTGTTACTGCCTGAAGAAAAGTGTGGTGATACAGCCTCTTGGCTCAACAGGAAAGAGTGCTGGAGGCCACTGGGAAGATGCACTGGCCGGTGGAGGTAAAGATGCCATGGTGGGCAGAGCAGAAATTAGGGCAAAGGGGCAGGATATGCCTGTGTTCATCGGCACAGCATTTAGACCAGGTAAGCAAACTCTTACTGTAAGAGGCCAGACAGTAATATTTTCAGTTTTGTGGGCCATACAGTGTCTGTTGCAACCACTCAGCTCTGCCATTGTAGCCTGAGAACAGCCACATATATGTATGCAAGTGAGGACGGCTATGTTCCATTAAACCTTTATTAGACACTGAAATTTAAATTTTTTGTCATTTTCATGTGTCATAAAATAGTATTTCTCTTTTGCTTTTTTCCTACCATTTAAAAATACAAACCTCATTATCAGCTTGCAGGCTGTTTTAGCTGATTTAGATGAATAGCTCAGGAAGTAGCTCTATATGTAGTTCCAAACCTCCAGATTCCAGCACCAGCCTGTCTTTAAAACATGGGGGTTTCTTCCTGCAGGATCTCTGTATATTTGGACTCCTTTCTCCATAAGGTCCCTCCTAATGCTGTAGAGAGTCCTGGGCCCTGTAACCTCCAGGAGTCCCTGAGGCCTATGCATTTTCAACTGCAAAACACCCACCACCCCCATCTTATAGGATTTTTCAGAAGGTGCAAATATCTTTGGACCTCCAGCCTACAGTTTTTCAGGCAGATTCAAGTAGTTCAGTGGTTTATCCTGGAATATTTTCTTTTCTTGGTTTCCAAATAACCTCTCATTACCCTCATTCCCTTAATCTTCAGAATGTGGCCACTCTCAGGCTCAATGAGGCCTTTTCTGCAACTATCCAAAACTCAAGGTTATATTATACATATGGGAATCATTGCATAACCCCAACCCAACATGTGTACATGTGAAGGAAAGTGAGCATGGCAAGCCTGATATGCAGGTGCAAACGTGATATAGCCAGTAAGTGACTTGGAAGCTCTGCAGTAGGGTGGGTAACTGCAGAAGGCACAGGCCAGAAAGGCTTCATGAAGCAGGTGGAAGTGCACATGAGCCTGGAAGACCCAGTAGTATATCCATGAGGGGCAGGACTAGCCGTTGAGTGATGTGGGGGATGCATGGATGTTTAAGATGTGGTCAGTACCTTACATTGAACACAAAAGTGTCCAGTTGAGAGGATTGTGTGGGCTTTGGTGATGTACTAGATCATCAAGACATAAAAGTGGATGTGATTGATTAGCATAGGGATTTACCAGGCATTGTTAGATGCTTTATATTAGTTATCTTATAAAAAAAAATACTCCTAAAAACCTCTGAGGAACATAATATTATCCTCACTTCATAGATGAGAGAGCAAAATTTCAGAGAGGTATGGTAACCTACGAATTCACACCGCTAAGAAATCAAAACGGCAGGATTGAAATCCAGGTCTCCTTGGCTCCACAATCACCAGATTAACTAGGTTAATCTCTAGATTACTCTAAGCAATGAGAAACTGAAGAAAACTAGAAAAACATTATATGAAACACTTTTCAGAGGAAACCAGACAATATGATCAATGAAAGGTGATTGTCTTGCAGTTCTACTTCCTTTCCTGGCTCTACTTGCTGCTGCCCGGTGCCCATTCATTTGTCTTCTTACTAATAGTACATTTAGGAACACTTATGTAAAAAGAGAAATGGGATAAACTATCATGACTCTGTCATTACAAATATAAGAAAATAGAAAAAAATCTGTTAAAGTGAATTACAAATGTGTATGGATTAAGCGGCTTTTTAAGGATTAGAATAGTTACCAAATGTAAAAAGGAGGAAGAAGCTCATCCTTGAAAAACATCTAAATCTGTTCCAGGTTGGCGGGGAGAAAGTTCTCCTAATCAAAGTGCCAGAAAACTCTGAAGCCTAAACCAACAGGTGCAGAGATACTCACCAAGGATCAAGGAGAATAGCAGAGCCATGACCAAGGCAGGTGAAGGTGATGAGCTGAAATTTAAGGCTAGAAGGAGGTCCCCAAGCAGCAATATTTAGTTTTAGCTGCAAGTATGTTAAGAGGAGGGACAAAGACAGGTCCTGAGTGCAGGCAAAGCATTATCAGATGATCAGAAACCAATAGACTCGGGGGGCAGAGCTGACAGAGCTGGACTTGCTGAAATCAGCATGTTCCAGAGGAAAGGAGGTGGCCAGAACTGGCGGAAAAATGCTGAAAACAAAATAGAAACAGGCTATCATGACTTGGTTCTGCTGTAAGTCCAGCTCCGTCTGTCTCTCCTACAGCCCCTTTGCTATGTAAACAGAGGAAACACCTCCCACAAGGAAAGGCAGGTGCCAAAAATATGGCCATCTCTCAGTAGAAGACAAGGCAGTACTTAGTCGCCAAGGATGGTTTGCAAGGGAAATAAGCCAATTTTGATTCCTTTACCCCAGAGGGAAGTGCCTAGAAAATTTGGAAGCCAGAGGCCATGGGATAAATGCAGAGTTGCCCTTGGAGGCATATCCCATAAAACATAATCCAGGGTCATGGTGCCAATCTCCACATACAGGCCTGGCTTTATTGTCTTCAAACCTGCTTTCTCACTGCTAAGCAGAGGGTCCAATATACAGATTTGTTATTTTTCTATGCTTGTGCTGGTGTATGCCCATCTTTGGAAGCTGGATGGAAACAGATCCCTGAGGTGAGGGGCATCATAATCATTGAACTCAAGTTGTCTGTAGGTCTAAGACATGATGGACAGAGATTAAGCAGTAAGACCCTCTCAGGCCCCTCTGCTTTGCTATATTATTAAGTATAGCTATGCTTCATGAGCTATTCTACTCCAGATTGATCAAGCAATCAATTTTGTATGCTGACATAATCTCTGCATTCCAAGCAGGGTAATTGTTCCTCTACAGTAATAATTTTTGCTTCTTTGTAATATTCAGGTAACTCAGCAGAAAGCTTGGTTCATTGTAGGCATTCATTTTTAATCCCACATTTCTTCATTTACTTAGTATTGTATTCAATGAAAAGTTTTTAGCACTCATGAATGCCAGGCAATGTGATGGGTGGAGGCAGTACATGAAGGAACAAGGGATAGTTTTGCACTGTAAAAATATATGGTCTAGTAATTGCAATAACATGTGGAAACCACTGTTAAGAGAGAAAAGTATAACAAACTTTGGAGGCCAGGCGAGGTGGCTCATATCTGTAATCCCAGCACTTTGGGAGGCCGAACTGGGAGGATAGCTTGAGCCCAGGAGTTTGAGGCTGCAGTGAACTATGATCAGGCCACTGAACCTCAGCCTGAGTGACAGAGTGAGATCACATCTCTAAAATAAGAAAAAGAAATGAAACCTTGGAGGAAATGGTTACTATGTTTGGAGCTAATCAGAGAAGACTTCACAGCAATGATGATACTTGAGCAGGGGTTTAGGATGAGTTAAGTGGAGAATCAGAATAGGAAAAGATTTTGCTATGCATATGCAGACAAGTGAAACAGCATTACTTATTCAAGGAACCACAGGTAGTTTGGAATGACTGGATTACAGCCTGCTTAGTGATCAGGGGCCAGGGCTTCTTGATGTTGAAAGGTAAAGACACTAGATGATATGCAAGTAGCAACAAGAGCCAGATAATGGAGGGTATATCATGAATGAGTTTGTAAATGCTAACTATTCACATCCTTCCCTCTCTAGATTCTGAAGTGACACAGTAATAGGTACAGAATTCAGAAAAGGTTCAAAATATCATCTTTACTGTTGATGAACTACATTAGACTGCCACTGGGATCTAAGGCTTTATGCATTTACCTCCATTCTTCAGGAGCTAGATGTGCACAACAGAGTTTACCCTTGGAAAAGAAAAGACTTTGTGTGGCTTGAGGGCAGACAAACCCATTAGCAAACACAGGCTTCATGATTCAGAAATATATTTTCCCCATTCCATGTGGAAAATTGAGTGAAAGAAGAAGAGAAAAGAAAAAGAAAACTTTTCCTCCCAATATAGTATTTTATGAACAGGCGTGAGAACATGAAGAAAGGAAAAGGAAGCTTTTTAGCCAGGAAGGACACTATCCCACAGGACACAAGAAGCCACCGAAGGGTGTTACACATTTAAGGTGTGTATTTTGGCTGCAGCACTGAGCAGGAATTGGGATGAAGACCAGTAATGGGTCATTAAGACCCATTAAGAGACCACTGCACCAGAGAGAGCAGAGGAGGACTTCAATAGGAGGTAGAAGAACGTACCTAAAACTTACTGTGTTTGGAGGATAAAAGTTACTTAATGTGAGCAAGTAGGCTGTATTGGCTGGCAGCTTCTAAAAAGTGGTAAAGGTCTGAAATAATCACTAAAAGGAAAGCGAGTCTGAAAAAGATAAGTAAACTATCTGTTTTCAGCACTGGGTAGAAAAACTTGCATTTGTAAGCAGCATCCATGTGCCCAGCTGTGGAATCTTCTCAGGCTGCAGACAGAAGGCTGGTGTGAGAGGCCCATAAAGCCAGAGATCAAGCTGAGGGGCCCGCCCAACTGGTGTATGAGGCTTAGAGAAGATCAGGACATGGGCTGATGTAAAGTGAAAACAGAAATAAGTTCTGGGAAAGGGAACCTCAGTGAGGAAGTGCTGGGGAAAAGGAGAGTGTTAGAAAGTTCAAGGTATAGGAAGTTGTTCAGAGATTTGGAGAGAAGTGCTTGAGGTTTCAGAGAAGCTGTTCTGGGCAATGACCAGGCACAAACCAGGGTATGAGAAGAGAGTGAAGGAAGAAGTTTCAGAAGCTGAGGGATTTAGGGAATTGAGAAGAGGTTATCAAGAAGAGGACCGGCAAGAAGAGGGAGGTGGAATGGGAGGCACAGGTTGGGGAAGCCCAAAGCTGTGCGGAAGTAGATACCTGTCTGGAGGACGTCAATACATGACACACAACAAAAGCTAGAAGACACTCTGAGGGGCCCTCTCAGGAAGGGCAAGCTTCATGTCCTGCTGGTTTGGCATCAAGGTGAAACCCCTTGGGTAAATAGTTGAGTATGTCAATTATGGCTCTGTGAGAGTAGAAAACCATCCAAATTGCTCCCCTTTATACATCAAGTGCTTAGAATGTAATAAATGATTGCTGACTCAACAAATGAATGCATGAATGATTGTATTGTGAGATAGAACATCACCGAGGCTTTAGACTCACCATAAATGCCATCTCTTGGCTCTAGTCCTTGTCCACATTGTGTTTTCTGGTGGCTGGGACTGACATTCTGAGACAGTTACAGAATGACTGGGCCTCTCCAGGGCTGATGTTTTATAAGCAGGGTTCTGATGGGTTTGGTTGCTCTTTCTTGTGTACATCTGCAAACACCTCTAAATAATCGCTTTGATTCCCTTCTGTTGCTCTCGCTGTGTCCCTTCTCCCTCCCCAATGGTGACCAAGATAGAAGAGAAGCTCAACATTATGTCATATGAGAAATAGATCCAGGACTTGGGGTTCAGGGAACATAAGCACTGTCTTCAGGCATTTAAAATAAAATTGTTTTGTGGGATTTCTGAGGAGAAAACACCACGTACGTATGGAAACTACAGTTGACACAGGTTTGAACTTGGCAGGTCCATCTACTAATATGCAGATTTTTTTCAACCAAATACAGAGGGCAAAATTTTCACATATGCAAGAACTGAGTATCCATGTACAATAAGGAACAACTATATATAAAAAAAAAATTTAAACCCATCATGAGAAAAAAAAAAGATAGAATAGGTTGCCCCAGAGACCATAAGCTCTCTATAACTGTAGACGCTGAGTCACATCACCTGTTAATAGATCCATAACTTATGGTTGGTTATTATTAATACTTTTTTTATATCACCAATCTTAGGATTGTTTATGGCAAAGAAAAATCCAATCACTCACGGAAAAGAGGTTCTAAGGGCTTAGGACTTAAAACTCCAGCACCAACCCTGTCAGCCTGGGCCCTTGTGGATGCTGCAGAGCGGACAGGACACCTGGGCTGTGGCCTCCCTCAGGGTCATGACAAAATAGCAATGGTTTTTCATTCTTCAGGTATCTGCAATGAGGGATCCAAGAGAGGACAGAGAACAGATGATGGCAGCCCAAAGACGGGAGTCCACAGGGAGGAAACTCAGCAAGCCTCCCTGTCTAGGGAGCCCGGGCTGAACCCAGACTTGCTGACCACATCCTGCTAGCAGCAAAATCAGCCCTAGCTGTCCTTGTGTCCCTGGTGTGCTCTGCCCTGGAACTTCTACCTGTGCTTTTCTGGACTTTCCTGGAACCATCTTTAAAAAGCAGCATTACAGTGCAGAGGCTATGAGCATAGGTTTTGAACGCAGGCAGACTTGGCTTCAAATTCCCACTCAGTAACTTACTAGCTGTGGGACCCTGTACAAGATAGATGGGTCCTTTCTTGGTAGCTTTGTTGACTAGATCTATACTTTTTTTTTTTTTTTTTTTTTTTTTTTTTTTTTTTGCTAGGATGATCAGTTTTCATTTCTTCCTTTTAAAAACTGAATGTTTAATTAATTTAATCTTGCTTAATCCACATTCATGTTGCTCTTTTAAATGGGAAATCATAAATGACAGGAAAGCAAATAGCTTACAGGGTCATGCCTCAGAAGCACTCTGGAAGCACCCCGCAAAGAGGCCAGCTCACTTCCAAAGGCTAATTAGCTTTGCCCAGGCATCATTGTGCCCCAAAGTAGGGTCATTGGATACATATTCATGTTGAAAGCCCACATTCTCATAATGTCAGAATAAATGGTTCAGTACAGAACCCGTGAATGAAGAGGAAAGAGGAGCTGTCCCATGAGCTGGCCTGGCATGGGAAGTATCATGAGGGTTACTAGACATCACTGCACTTTGCTGCCCCTGAATGGAAAACATTACACCAGCGCAAAATTTGAGTTTTGTAAGGAGTCACATGAACAGTTTTCTCATGAGCACTCCCTACTTAGCCTTGAGAATATTGTACTGTGAAATTCCAATCCTTCCTTACCAAGGAGATGATGATTTTCCTTAATCCGTGTGATTGAGCAAACCATCTGTTCTACCCAGACCCCCCACACCGATTTCTCTTCTTGAGGGTCTGCCAATCTTCTCTGTGTCCACATCATTTCTGTCACACGTGGTCTCGGGGGCAGGGGTAGGGTGTAGTTTCCTATTTTCAGCTCCTCACTCCTCTTTTATTAACTGGTGTTCATCACCTATTCTTGAAAACAGGTTGGAAATGGAATAAAGAGATAATAATGATACAGGAGATGGCTAAATGCATTTAGGAGGAGGGGGGAAAAGAAGAGCAGACTGGGGCTATCCTCCTTCACCCCTTATTTCAGTGCTCTCAAAGTTGGTAATACAATTTTTATTGAATATTACTAATTTAACCACAAATATTTAGTGATTATCTCTTGTGAACCAAGCACTGTCCTAGGCTCAGAAAAGAGGAGGACAAGAATTAGAGTTGGTTTAAACATAGTCTTTAACACACAAGCACCATATTAAAAGGCAGTACTTTTGAATGCTACAATATAAATGTAAGAAACTTGGGATGGGATGGGCGCGGTGGCTCACGCCAGTAATCCCAACACTTTGGGAGGCCAAGGTAGGCAGATCACAAAGTCAGGAGATCAAGACCATTCTGGCCAACATGGTGAAACCATGTCACAACTAAAAATACAAAAATTAGCTGGGTGTGGCGGCATGCACCTGCAGTCCCAGCTACTCAGGAGGCTGAGGCAGGAGAATTGATTGAGCCTGGGAGGCAGAGGCTGCAGTGAACGGAGATGGTGCCACTGCACTCCAGCCTGGGCAACAGAGCGAGACTCCATCTCAAAAAAAAAAATAAATAAATAAAAGAAAAAAGAAACTTGGGATAATTATTTACTCATAGTCCCTATTGTATTCTTGCAACTATTAGTACAGTATCTATTCTTAATATTTGTTTAATAAACATTCTAATCAATCCATACTTAATAATTAATTATAGACACTTCTCAAAAGAAGACATTTATGCAGCCAACAGACACATGAAAATATGCTCATCGTCACTGGCCATCAGAGAAATGCAAATCAAAACCACAAAGAGATACCATCTCACACCAGTTAGAATGGCGATCACTAAAAAGTCAGGAAACAACAGGTGCTAGAGAGGATGTGGAGAAATAGGAACACTTTTACAGTGTTGGTGGGATTGTAAACTAGTTCAACCATTGTGGAAGACAGTGTGGCGATTCCTCAGGGATCTAGAACTAGAAATGCCATTTGACCCAGCCATCCCATTACTGGGTATATACCCAAAGGATTATAAATCATGCTGCTATAAGGACACATGCACACATATGTTTATTGTGGCACTATTCACAATAGCAAAGACTTGGAACCAACCCAAATGTCCATGAATGATAGACTGGATTAAGAAAATGTGGCACATATACACCATGGAATACTATGCAGCCATAAAAAAGGATGAGTTCATGTCCTTTGTAGGGACATGGATGAAGCTGGAAACCATCATTCTCAGCAAACTATCGCAAGGACAAAAAACCAAACACCGCATGTTCTCACTCATAGATGGGAATTGAACAATGAGAACACATGGACACAGGAAGGGGAACACCACACACCGGGGCCTGTCGTCGGGTGGGGGGAGTGGGGAGGGATAGCATTAGGAGATATACCTAATGTAAATGATGAGTTAATGGGTGCAGCACACCAACATGGCACATGTATACATATAAAACAAACCTGCACGTTGTGCACATGTACTCTAGAATTTAAAGTATAATTAAAAAATAATAATAATTAATTATAATATTAAAAATTAACCATTATAAATAATGGTATCAATTCTGGCAGAAGCCCCAAGGCCTGGAAAAATAAGTGCTGGAGCATTTGTTCAGGACATGTTCAAATTTTATAAAACTGGTCACTGCCATCATTAGTCCATCTTGCCCATCTGGGCTTTGTTAGACAATGCCAAGAACTCATTCATTAATAAGAAATATGTATTAATTAAATACATATTTAATTTTCTTAAGTAAAGTTTTTAGTGTACTGTGTACTTTCTTCTACCTTCCCCTAAATGAACTAAGAGAGGGACTTGGAAAATCCATAAGAAATTTCTGCTCAGGTCCACTGAAGTTTAGAGGGACCTGGTCTGGTAGCTGGCTCATATCTGTAAGCATGTGAAGGTGAGCAGCTGGCTGGAGCTGTGTCAGGAATCTCCTGTGCACTCAAATTTATTTATTTATTTATTAATTTGGGACAGTGTCTGTCTCTGTCACCCAGGTTGGAGTGCAATGGTGCGATCACAGTTCACTGCAGGCTTGATCTCCCAGGCTCAAGTGAGTCCCCTACCTTAGCCTCCTGAGTAACTGGGACCACAGGTGAATGCCACCACAACTGGCTAATTTTTCTGTATTTTTTTTTTTTTTGTAGAGATGGGGTTTCGCTATGCTGCCCAGGCTGGTCAAATTTCACACAGGAAAGATGCATGTTTTCTAGGATCTTATGTGGACCAGACTGGATCTTCTTGAAGGTGACGCTACACAGAGCATGGCTGGGAGAGTGAGGTGACCCCTCAAGAGGAACTCTGTGAGGAAGGTCCAGGAGCAGTAGGGGCATTATAAGTAGTTGGCCAGAGGCATCATAGCATCAGGGAACAGCAGGTGGATGAGTCTCTGAAGAAGCTACAGAAGGGTTGCTAGAGAGGCAGCAGGCGACAGGGCACTCACTCAAGGGACACCAGCCCCACTGTAGCTGCCTTCTTAAGAAAGACTTTATCCTTCATTGTTAACCCTCTTGTCCTGCCCCTGCTCCTTCTTTAGGGACCCAAAATAGCAGCTAATGGGTTGGGAAGGAAGTGAAGCAAAAAGAGAGAGAAAACTAACAAGATCTCCTCTTTCTCTGCTGCAGGCTTCCAAGCAGAAGTCAGCCCTGTGCTGAGAGAGAGGCAAGAAGGAGGCTGTCATATGAGGAAGTCACCCTATAAAAAGAACCAGATTTGCTTTTTGCTTGCTTGCTTTCTCTTTCTGTTCCTCCCTCCCTCCTTCTCTCTCTCTCTCTCTCTCTTTCTGTCTCTCTCTCTTTCTTCCTTTCATTCCTATCTGAAGAGAAGACTACTTAATTAATACCTGAAAGTGATTGGAAATCTTACAAAGTTTGCTTGAGATTTCCTCTGGTAGTGGAAAATTTAAAAAGACTCAACAAAGTAAGTTAACAGGTAAGTTATTGGCTGATAATAGAATTACTTTGTGTTTGCACCCTACCAAATAATGTAATAGACTAAACTTTGTCTGTTTAGTCAGTAATGCTCTGTGGGGAGGAAGCTTCTTTCAGGAATGAGAAAAAGAGATGAGTGCTCCATCAAGCTGGGCTGCATGGCAACAGCCACCATCCAGGTTACAGAGGAGCAAAGGACATGGTGGTGATAATGTGACTCCCGTTCAAGGTAAAAACTCTAGGCTAATAAACATTTGTTTTGTAAACGTCTATCATCTGATATGGGATATAATACAAAGATAGTCTTAATGTCAGACATATGTAAAAGAGAGAGTAAAAACTTACATACTGCAGTGCAGATGTGCAAAAAAATTAAACTTTCATTTTTATCTATAGCCAACTACATATTATTTTTGAGTTCTCACTCCTGCTGATGTCATAAGAAAATGTAAGCCAATTAAATTCATATATATAAAAATTTATGCTAATTAAATATATCTCAGACTTGGCTAATTTTAAGTGGTTTCTTCTTTCCTAATTCAACCTCTTTTGGATACATAGTCAGTGAATTCCAAATTTAAACTCCCCAAATAGTTGTTTTGTTTCTTTCACAAGACGACTCCTTTGTTTTCCTTCTGAAGATGGCAGGTAGAAGTAGAGGAGGGAGGCACAGACTGGGAGTAGGGGAGGAGGCATAGAAGGCACTTATTCTCCTGAAGGTAACAGAGCCAGGCCTGTGAGCAATGAGTTTCCTCGTTGGTCTCTTTGGTGCTTGGGTGGCCCGGCCTCATTTTGGGACACCCTGGACTGCTGTCTGCTGAGGTGTGGCTAATTCTGTCCAGCCTTTCTGAGGTATTTTGCTGGCACCTACTGCCCATTTTTGTGATATCCACTATATCTTTTGAACTATTACTATCTCTTTTTCATAATCTGCAGCCTTTTCATCCAAGCCCCAGGCCTCTGCCACGGTCTTCTCATCATTTCTGGGCACCTGCCGCAGCCCTGGAAGTCCTGCATTTTTGATGTGCCCTCCCTCAGGCCCATTTATCTAGAAGCCTCCCTTGCACCTGCTACTTTACAGCTGCCACGATGGATGTGGCAAGGCCATGGAGCCCAGCCAGACCACTACTTCCCTAGGTAGGACTGTGAGAGTCAGGATCTGCCCCAGACTGCCACACAGTTGGAAATCTACTAAGGAAGATGTACATTCTCTAGACTTGAAGCCCAATCCAGGCCTTAGGTTGAGGTGGATGTAAGAGAAGGTGAGGGGAGGAAAGGTGAGCATCTTCCTCACCACACCTCCTCCCTACTCTGCTCTTACAGTATGTCTTAGAGATAAGTAAGAGTTCTCAAGTGGCAAGGCATAGACACTGAAACTTCTGAGAAAAATTAGCTATTTTGTGTTTACAAGATAATGGGACCATTTGCTTTTATGTCATGAAAGTGGGGAAAGTAGAGCAGGGACCAAAAAGAAATGTGTGGAGATTGAAGAGCTTCTCACAGCATGCAACACATGCAAACAGTTTTCAAAATCACTGCTTTTCAGTCCATGCCTATCTTTCAGCTCAGGCCAGCATACGGTCCTGACTTGTCCTGCTCTTCGCACTCTAGAAACTGAGATCAGCTTGGCCAGAAAAAGGAATGGGGTTGCCTCTCTAGGTTCTTGTTGGATAAGACCGTACTATTGTATCTTTAGTGACTAGATTGCAACACTTCAACAATAATCCTGCAGGACCACCTGGTCTGGCCTAGGCCTTCCTGAGGCTGCAGAGTAAGGAGAGTATGCATTAAGGGTGTTAATATGAGCTCATCTACTAGAAGGCCTAGGCTCCTTCCCAAATCCAGAATTCCTCCGAGTATCATTTCTTCTTTGTGTCCCACAGCTCCAAATTTCTTTGAGTTCTCTCTTCTGCACCAAACTAGCTCTGCATCAGATACAGTTCCCACAAATCCCATCTTTCTAGGTTCTCTCAAAAATAAGCACATAGACAATATTTCTTTTCACAGTTTTTCTACTATTATCTTTGATGCTGTCTAACTGCATAGTCACAAGGGAACTTCATGAGCACAGACTCATGATAAAGAGAAGATGGAGTAGGACTGCCATTTTCTAATTCAGCAAGAAGTCAAGAAGTATAGGATAGGTGTGAAGGATGGTGAGATCTGTAAATGTGTAAGCTTCATAACTTCTCTGTGACTTGCTTAGCTTTATTCTGTTTTTTTTTTTGTTGGCAAACTGTAGCTAAGCATGAAATAAAATAGAAGTTTTCAGGGTCAATGAGAACATTTTATCTGGCTACATAAAAAAGATGATTGCCTTTAGCATATTCGGTGCATAAACTATGTCATGTACCAGACACTATAGTAGGTGCTATGAGGGAATAAAGATGAGTACAACACAGTATCTGCTCTCAAGGAGGTTGCAGCTAGTTGGTGAGACTGATTCATAAATAGTAGATTGTAATAAAAGAAAAGTTGGAATACAGATGAAATGTGTTCAACAAGAGTAAAGTGAAATTACATCCAATTAGGAGGTTGTCCTTGAAAGATAAGTAGAATAGCGATAGAGGAACATGATGGCAGGGTATTTCATATTAAAGGGAGAGCCTTATCAGTATCAAACAAGGGCAGAAGCCTAAATATGCTTATAAAATGAGGAGGTGAGCCCCGTGACTCAAGTGTGGGGTATATAAAAGGATGTGGTGGGAAAGGAGTCTGGAGAGACAAAGAACCTTGGTTATAAGTACCATTGAGTCGTTGGGTAAGAAGTGTGGTCACTGATGTGTCATCATTTGGGAATGATAGACTGGCTTAAACAGGGAAATGGTATAAATAAAACCAGAAGATAACTCTGGCTGGCTGTGAGTGGTGGGCCAAGAGGAATAATATCCTTAGCAAATATTAATAACAGTCTGGAGAGAACAAGTGAGGGCTTGAGTGGGGAGCAACAAAGAAAAACAGAGAATCACTGAAATGATTTTAGTAGAACCAGAAGCCACTATATATGGCAGTATCATTCCTTCCCCCAAAGGAAAATCAGAGACTCCACTGTTGGGGCTACATTTATAGACTCAAAGAACCGACAAATGTCAAATCCAGAAGGGGTCCGTGAGATTATGTTGTTTTGGCAGGTGGAAAAACTGGGAAGCCAAGAGAGGTCTACTGACCCCAAGCTAGTACTGCATCCACTGCTCCAGCAGTTCCTTTAGTGTAAAAGCGTAGCTTACCACCCCTGAGGTCAAGGGCCAGTGAGGGCCAACATTTCATGCTCTTTTTAGGTTATATGTACCTTAATGTACTCAGTGTAAATGAGTTTTAGTTCCCATTCTTTTCTGAGGCTTTGAGGTCAGAAAAGATCTTCTTGAAAAAGGGATTAGAGAGGAAAGGATGTCTGAGTAAGAGAAGAGGTGCAGATGAGGAGATAGGTGTATTAGTTTCTGAGGGCTGCTATAACAAATTACCACAAACTGGTGGCTTCAAACAGCAGAAATTTGAGCTGGGTTGGGTTGCGGGTGCCTATAATCCCACCTACTCAGGAGTCTGAGGCTGGAGGATTTCTTGAGCCTAGGAATTCAAGGCTGCGGTGCACTGTAATCCTACCACTGCACTACAGCCTAACTGACAGAGCAAGATGCCATCTCTTAAAAAGACACACAAACACACACACACACAGAAAACAAAATCCACAAATTTATTGTCTCACAGTTCTGGAAGCTAGAAGTCCAAACTCAAGGTGTTTGATAGGAATAGCATTGAATCTGTACATTGTTTTGGCAATGTTTTTCACAGGCTTAGAAAAAACTATTCTTTTTTTAAAAAAATTTATTATTATTATACTTTAAGTCTTAGGGTACGTGTGCACAACGTGCAGGTTTGTTACATATGTATACATGTGCCATGCTGGTGTGCTGCACCCATTAACTCGTCATTTAGCATTAGGTATATCTCCTAAAAACTATTCTAAAATTCATGTGGAATCAAAAGAGAACCAAAATAGCCAAAGCAATCCTAAGCAAAAAGAACCAGCCAGAAGCATCATGCTACCCAAATGCAAAATATACTACAAGGCTACAGTAACCTAAACAGATGGTAATGATACAAAAACAGACACAAAGACCAATGGAACACATTACAGAACCCAGAAATAAAGCCACACACCTATAGCCATCTGATCTTCGACAAAGTAAACAATAACAAGAAATGGCGAAAGGACTATTCTATTCAATAAATATTGCTGGGATAACTGGCTAGCCATATGCAAAAGACTGAAGCTAGACACCTTCTTTTCATCATCTACAAAGGTTAACTCAAGATGGATTAAAGATTTAAATTTAGGACTCCAAACTATAAAAATCATAGAGGAAAACCTAGGAAATACCGTCCTCCTTGGCAAAGAATTTGTGGCTAAGTCCCTAAAAGCAATTGCAACAAAAACAAAAATTGACAAGTGTGACCTAATTAAACTAAAGGGCTTCTGCACAGCAAAAATCAACTCAAGATGGGTTAAAGACTTAAATGTAAAACCTAAAACTATAAAATCTCTAGAAGATATCAGAGGAAATACCATTCTAGACATAGGCCCTGGCAAAGATTTCACAACAAAGATGCCAAAAGCAATTGCAACAAAAACAAAAATCGGCAAATGGAACCTAATTAAACTAAAGGACTGCTGCGCAGCAAAAGAAACTATCAACAAAGTAAACAGACAACCTACAGAATGGGAGGAAATATTTGCAAACTATGCCTCTGACAATGTCTAATATCCACAATCTATAAGGACCTTAAACAAATCAACAAGCAAAAGACAACCCCATTAAAAATGAGCAAAATATATAAACAAACACTTTTCAAAAGAAGACATACATGCAGCCAACAAGCATATAAAAAAATTCAATATTACTAATCATTAGAGAAATGCAAATCAAAACCACAGTGAGATACCATTTCACATCAGTCAGAATGGATATTTAAAAAAAAATCAAAAAACAACAGATGCTGGTAAGGCTGTAGAGAAAAGACAATGCTTATACACTGCTGGTGGGAATATAAACTATAATAGTTCAGCCAGTTTACATTTCCAAACTGTGGTTTGGAGATTTCTCAAAAAACATAAAACAGAGCTGTCATTCAACTCAGCACTCCCATTACTGGGTATATACTCAAAGGAATAGAAATTGTTCTACCATAAAGACAAATAAGGGCAAATGTTTGTCCCAGCACTATTCACAATAGCAAAGACATAGAATTAACCTAAATGCCCATAAATGGTAGACTGGAGAAAGAAAATGTGGCACATATATACCATGGAATACTATGCAGCCATAAAAAAAGAACGAGATCATGTCCTTTGCAGCAACATGGGTGGAACTGGAGGCTATTATCCTAAGTGAATGAACACAGGAACAGAAAACCACCCCAATGCCACATGTTCTCACTTATAAGTGGGAGCTAAGCACTGAGTACACATGGACACAAAGAAGGGAACAATAGACACTAGGGCCTATTCAAGGATGTAAAGTGGAAGGAGGGTGGGGATTGAAAAAATATTTTTTGAGTACTATGCTTATTACCTGGGCAATGAAATAATCTGTACACCAAACCTCTGGTGACACACAACTTACCTATATAGGAAACCTGCACATGTACCCCTTGAACCTAAAATATAATTTGGAAGAAAAAAACAAAAATGAGATCAAGGTCTTGGTAAGGCCATGCTCTCTCTGAAGCCTCTAAAGGAGGATCCTTTCTTGCCTCCTCTAGCATCTCGCAGCCACAGAAGTTTCTTGGTTTGTAGATGCATGATTCTAATCTCTGCCTCCACCTTCATACAGCATTACCTCTATCATTTGTGTCAAGTTTTCTGTTTTCATAAGGATATCAGTCATATCGAATTAGAGTCTACTCTAATAAACTGACCTTAACTTGATTTCCTTTGCAAAGACTCTATTTCCAAATTAAGTCACATTCACAGGTATTGTGGGTCAGAACTTTAACATATCTTTTTGAAGAGTCATAACAGTGGAGCTCTGGAGACAAACCTGGCTGCACACTGTTTTTCCAGGTTGAATCTAGTAGTGGGGACTCTGCAAGAAAAGGGGTAAGACTGATTCACTCTCAGAAGATTCTCTCTCTTTGCCATACCTGCACGTCTGATCTGAATGTCAGAGGGCAAGCAAATGGTGAACATTGTCTTCTCAGTTAGGTAGCTGAGAATAGCAATGAGATTTACATCCTCCTGCAATTAAACAAAGCAACTGACTACTAGGGAAATCTTGGGGAAATTTCTGCCCAAGGAAACTAAGAAGCTTCATCCCATTAGGGCATGACGACTTGAATTTCAGATGCAAGGGGGAGATAGTGTGTATGTTTTTGTATCAGCTGGTAGCAACAGGGCAGTCCTTTTGCCCCATTTGTACAATATCCCCATGACGAAGGCAATTTTATTACTCTAAAATAAGTGAAACTTACTGAAATGACTAATAGACCTTAACTAGATGACAGAAGGTCAAGGTATAAATGAAAGATCCTTCCACATATTCAGAGTGTTGGAGTAGGAGGGAAACTTAGAAATCAACTAGCCCAGGAGTTTTCCTTCTGTAAGAAGAATGACCAGTTTCAGACCTGAATGAAGGAAAATGTTGTTGATACTGGGGACGATGTGTGGTAGAAGAGGAGAGAGAGAAAAATTAGTAGAGATTTTTGAGGCAAAGAGCCTTCCTCATGGTTCATTCATGACTATCCTTCCCTGCTTTGAAGGGGGCCTGATGGCAGCTTCTAGTCTGTGAATCATTCAGTAAGGACTCAATCTAATTCAGTTTCTTTCTCTTCAAATGGAAACTGAAGGCAAGAAAGATGCAATGACTTGGCAGGTGTCACACAGCGGGGTAGTGTCAGAGTTGCCTCTGGAACCCTGGATCCTGATTCTTTCTAGCTCATTGTGGTATCTTTCACCCACACCTTGTGACATAACACAAATCTGTAAGTGAGTCTTCCCAGCTTTTCATTAACTTCCCAATGTAATGAGAAGATTTTGATATAGTGGCTATGGGCACTGGATCAGGGAGCATTAATGTAGATTTCTGGAATCACGACCACCAATATCCACTTTGACTATCTTCCCTGTGTGTATTACAGCCTTCTTTTTGCACTGCTTTCTATAAGGACATTATATCAAGTGTTAATAGCTATTATATTGACATATTGCTTTACTGTGTGACCTTGAACAAATTAGATAATCTCTTTGGACCCCAGTTTTCTTTCTTGAACATTGACAAGTAATGTAACTGGTATATTAAACAAGCAAAACTCGTGCAACTTCTCTCTGCTAAGGTATGTTCACTTCTTTCCAAAAGTTGGCTCTCTCACATGGGTAACCTATATGTGTTCATGGAACACAAATTAAGCATTCTTTATTCCAATAAACTCTAGGAGAGCAAGGCCTAGAGGGTTGAATCATCTTAATAGCTTTATTCAGCCTTTATTCATGATTTAAAACAAAATAAAACAAAAAAACTCTCAATAAACTAAAAATGAAAGAAATTTTTTAAGTTGAGAAAGGATAATGATGAAGAACCTATAGTTATCACACTAAGATTAGGAAAGAATCAATAAATTCTATTCTCACTGCCTGTATTCTACATTGTGTTATCTGCCCTTGCCAGTGCAACGTGAAAAGACAAAAATTATAAAAGTCATAAAAATTGGAAAAATAAAGAGGTAAAACTGCCATTATTTGAAGACAACTTAGTTATGTTGATAGAAAATATATGACATTTATCAAAAAAACCTATCAGAAATAATAATTTATCAAAATTGGAGGATTTGAGGGCAAAATACAAAGTCAATTTCCTTTTAATAGGTTAGGAGCAAAGAAATGGGAAATAACATTTCAAAACAACACCATTTACAATAGCATCAACATATATTAAGTACCTAGGAAATGATCTAATGAAATATGTACAAAACTGCTGCACTGACAATGTCAAAGCATCACTGAGAGAAATTTAAAACCTAAATAAATGGGGAGTTATACCTTATTTGTAGATAGGCATATTCAAAAATGTTAGGAATCTATTCTCCCTAAATTGATCTATAGATTTAGTGCAATCCATACTGAAATTCCAGTATGCTTTTTTGAACATATTGAATAGCTAATTCTAAAATTTATTTAAATGCAAAGGTTTAGAATATCCAAAATAATTTTAAGAAAATAAGAAATGTGTAAAACGTCTTCAACACTCTGATTTCAAGACTTATTACCGTAATGAAGACAGTATGGTATTGACATAATGATGTACAAATAGATCAATGGAACACAACAGAGAATTTGGAAATAAAACCACATATAAACAATCAGTTGATTTTTTTCTTTTTTAAAATATTTATGTATTTATTTATTAATTTATTTTTGAGATGGGGTCTCACTCTGTCACTCAAGCTGGAGTGCAGTGGCACTGATCTCAGCTCACTGCAACCTCCACCTCCTGGGCTCAAGCAATCCTCCTACCTCAGCCTCCTGTGTAGCTAGGACCACAGGCACAGGCCACCACACCTGGTGAATTTTTTGTATTTTTGGTAAAGACGGGGTTTCACCATGTTGCCCAGGCTAGTCTCAAACTTCTGAGCTCAAGCAATCTGCCTGCTGCAGCCTCCCAAAATGCTGAGATTACAGGCATGAGCCACCGCACCCCAGTTGATTTTTTTTTTAAACCAAGCTGCCAAGTCAATGCACTGAGGAGAAGAAAGACTTATCAGCAAATAGTGCCACGTCAACTGCATATCTGTATGGAACAAATGAACCTTGGAATTTTTTCTGAATATAATAATAATAATAATAACAATTGAGATAGATCACAGACTTAAGCACAAAACACAGTTCCATAAAGCTTCTAGAGGAAAACATAGGAAAATGTCTTGCTGGCCTAAGGATAAACAGAGATTTCTTAAAAAGGAAACAAAAAGCTTTACTCATTTAAAGCAATTTGATAAATTGGTCTTCATCAAAATTAATTTTTTTCTTTTAAAGGACACAATTTTTAAAAGAGTAGCCAGAATAGAAAAAAGATACTTGTCCCTTGACTATTACAAAAAATTCCTACAAAACAAAGGTAAAAGATTATGAGCAATTCAGTTAAAAGTGGCAAAACCTTTGAACAGACACTTCACAAAAGAAGATGTGTGAATGTTCAATAAGCACGTGAAAAGTTACTTAACCTCGTTCGTCAACAGGGAAACGTACACTAAAGTTACAATGCAGTATATATCATATCCATCAGAATGTCTCTAATTGAAAAGATTGACAACACTAAATGTTGATGAAGACATACAGCAACTGGAACTTTCATACATTGCTAGTGATGGTATCAAATGGAACAGTAACTTTGAAGGACTGTTCAATATTTCCAAAATTAAACATACACCTACCCTGTGACCCAGCAATTCCCTTCCTAAAGTTTATTCCAGATAAATAAAAATTTATGTCCTAAAAAGACTTGTACAAAAATGCATATAATGATCTTACTCATCATAGCCAAAAACTAGAAATGACCTAAACGTTCGTTAACAGGAGGATAAATAAATTTCAATATATTCATATAGTGGTGAAATATTTAACAATTTTAAAAGGTAAACTACTGTTACATACAACAACATGAATGATTTTCACAAACATTATATCAAATGAAACAAAGCAGAACAAAAAAGAATACACTGTATGATTCCATTTATATGATGTCTAACATCAAGCAAAACTAACTGATAGTAGTAAAAATCAGAAAAAAGTTGCTCCAGGGTGAGAAATGTGTACTGAACAGAAGGAGGGATAAGAGAATTTCTTGGTGTGATGTATGTTCTATATTGGAGGGTAGATAGATAAATGGGTAGATACGGTTGGTCAAAATATAGATATAGGCATAGATAGATGTGGATGTATATATGAAATAGTGGATTGATTCCACAAATAATTATTGATCAGCTACTATGTACAAGGTACTGCTGTGGACACTGGGGATCCATTAGTGATTAACACAGACAAAAACTCTTCTTTCTCAATGGGGTTCACATTCCAGTCAGCATGTAATTAAATTAATTAGCTGCATTATTATTTGAAATAGGTAACAATTGGAAACAATCTTTATGTCCATCAAGAGGAAAGTTTAAATAACTTATGTTACATCCTTGTGATGGGATATTATTCAGCTATAAAAGTGAATAAATTTTTTATATACTGGTGAGAATAATCTTTAAGACTTCTTGTTTACTGAAGATAGCAAGATACAGTAAAATGTGTATAGTGTGCAGCCATTTGTACAAAAATGAGAAGCAAACATATATGTACTTAGCTATCTGTTTATGTATAAAATTTCTCTGAAGTATTACTTAAGCAATTGATAAGATAGGTTGCTTCCAAAAGATAAAAACTACAGGATAGGAGTGCATGATCTTTTATACATTTTAAGTTTGGAGCCATGTAAATATATAACCTATAAGCAAATAAATAAAACAAAAATTGTTTAAAATATTTTACAATTGGAGAAAGCAAACACGTATTTCTTTTTTTATTAAACTTTAAGTTCTAGGGTACATGTGCACAACGTGCAGGTTTATTACATATGTATACATGTGTCACGTTGGTATGCTGCACTCATTAACTCATCATTTACATTAGGTATATCTCCTAATGCTATCCCTCCCCCCTCCCCCACCCCATGACAGGCCCCGGTGTGTGATGTTCCCCACCCTGTGTCCAAGGGTTCTCATTGTTCACTTCCCACCTGTGAGTGAGAACATGCGGTGTTTGGTTTTCTGTCCTTGCGATAGTTTGCTCAGAATGATGTTTTCTAGCTTCATCCATGTCCCTACAAAGGACATGAACTCATCTTTTTATGGCTGCATAGTATTCCATGGTGTGTATGTGCCACATTTTCTTAATCCAGTCTAACACTGATGGACATTTGGGTTGGTTTCAAGTCTTTGCTATTGTGAATAGTGCTGCAATAAACACACGTGTGCATGTGTCTTTATAGCAGCATGATTTATAATCCTTTGGGTATATACCCAGTAATGGGATGGCTGGGTCAGATGGTATTTCTAGTTGTAGATTCTTGAGAATCGCCACACTGTCTTTCACAATGGTTGAACTGGTTTACAGTCCCGCCAACTGGCAAACACACATATTTCTAAAGCAACTTTAAATCCTCCATAGCCGGGGTTGACTAGGTACTGAGCGTGCCAGGCTCTGCAGAGTGGAGACTTAAATCCAAGGTCATGGCAAAACATCTGAAATTCACCGCCAGGACTGAGATGGTACAGGAAGGAAACGTGGAAGGTGCATACAGGACCCTAAACAGAATCCTCACTGTGGATGGGCTCCTTGAGGACATTAAATGTCCATGGTATAATGAAAAGCCATGCCGCCAGCGACAGAGGAAAAGCTATAAAAGGTGCTGGCAGATCTATAACATGGAAATGGCTCGCAAGATCAACTTCTTGATGCAAAAGAACTGGGTAGATCCGTGGCAGGGCTGCTGAGGCCTGTGGATGGGACACCCAGTATGAAACCCTCATCCAAATTTGTCTCCATCTCTTTTCTTTCTACAATCCCATTTCCTATTACCGTTCTCTACAATAAACTCAATCACATGTTTGCAAGAAGGACTCCACATATAGAAACAATCCCATTAGTCAGCAGTGGACCCTCTCTTATTAAGTGAAAGAAGAAACTGAGTCTGAAAGTAGTCTAGGAGTAGAATGGTGTTTGCTGGGGCTGGAGGAGGGGGCAATGAGGAGTTATTGTTTAATGGGCACAGAGTTTCAGTTTGGGAAGATGAAAAAGTTCAGAAGATGATGGCTGGGCATGGTGGCTCATGCCTGTAATCTCAGCACTTTGGGAGACTAAGGCGGGCGGACCACTTGAGGCCAGGAGTTCGAGAGACCAGCCTGGCCAACATGGTGAAACCTCGTCTCTACTAAAAATACAAAAAAAAAAAAAAATTAGCCAGGCATGGTGGCAGGCGCCTGTAGTCCCAGCCACTTCGGAGGCTGAAGCAGGAGAATCACTTGAACCCGGGAGGCAGAGGTTGCAGTGAGCCAAGGCCACGCCACTGCACTCTAGCTCAGGTGACAGAGTGAGACTCCATCAAAAACAAAAACAAAAACAGGAGATGGATGATGGATGGTGATCATGGTTGCACAAAAAGGTGAATGTGCTTAATGCCACTGAACTGTATACTTAAATGGTTAAGATGGTAAATTTTGTTTTACTACAATGAAAAATTTGTTGAAAGTAAAAAAAAAAAAAAATCCTCCATAGCTGATAGGATGGTGTAAATTCATTTCTGAAAAGTTGGCTCTGCCTCTCATAATAAGTTCAAGGATCCATTATAGTAGAATGCCCTCTGCTGTTACAGATAAAACTTATTTTTTTCTTTGAAAGATAAAGCTCAGCTGCTGACCCACCCAGGTGAGGGCTTCTGCTGGTTATTACTTTGCCCCTGTTCCTAGGTGATCCATATAGGGTCATCCTGGTTGTACGCTGCACAATTCCAGCAGAGTCAGTCAGTCCCATTGAGCACAATGTGAATGGTACCTACCCCAACTTCCCTAGGAGGTGTACATGGCACAAACTGCACAGCAGAATATGGTGTTCTGAGGCTACCCCTATTGTGAATGAGGACAAAGAAGAACGTGAGTCATGCCTAGTCACTACCTAAGTCTTCCGTGTGCACTTCCTCCTGCTTGAGTCCCAATCTTTTGCAAGGCCTGGAGTCCTAGCTCTACCACCTGGACATGATTGTTTTCCAGTATTACAGTCTTCTTGGGATCAGCCTGCTTCCACAGGACTGTCAAACTATCCGGGGTCTTGCTATAGATAGGATTTCAGGAATGTTTCTTCTGGGGAGTAGTCTGAATGGGTCATGGCCAATGACTCAGGTAAGGGGGCAGTGTTTCATGAATTCATTCAGCATTAATTCAGCACCTGTTAGGTGCCTTCGACTATGCTAAGATGTAGCAATTATATGGAGAATGTGATGAGATACGGCACTGGAGAAAGTTCCCACTGTAATCAGACAGGGACTTTAATAGAGTAGATAGACCAGATAAAGGGTAGAAATTTATGCCAAGCTTTGCTTAGGTACACTGAAACTGAAGAGCTGGTGGGACATCCCTTCAGATGCTGATTTTGTATAGAGTTTTAAGAGTTTCTTGGCTAAGAAGTTAACCTGTGCCCACTGCTGGGATTCAGCTAACTGGCATTTCCAGCGGAGTGATGAGACAGAAGTCTATTTACACACTTTATTCCTCTTTATGATCTAAATACATGTTGTTCTCTCTGTTGTTTCATTCTTCTTCATTTTACCTTCACAGAACTAATTAGTCCATGTAAAAAAGGAAGACAAAAAATCACTAAGGATGTAGAAAATGAACAGTACTATCAATTAACTTTACTTAATATTTATATAACACTACATTCAGCAAATGTAGAATGTATATTTCAAGTGGATACAGAATATATTCAAGACACATTCATTTTATGGTCCGTTAATTAAGTATCAAAGGATTTTAACCAAATTTCCTGCAAAGGAGATTTGTAGGAAACCTCCGCCTCCCAGGTTCAAGCAATTCTCCCTGCCTCTCAGGCTACCAAGTAGCTGGGATTACAGGTGCCTGCCACAACACCTGGCTAATTTTGTATTTATGTATTTATTTAGACAGAGTCTCGCTCTGTCGCCCAGGCTGGAGTGCAGTGGCGCGATCTCGGCTCACTACAAGCTCCGCCTTCCGGGTTCACGCCATTCTCCTGCCTCAGCCTCCCAAGTAGCTGGGACTACAGGCGCCCACAACCACGCCCGGCTAATTTTTTGTTTTTTGTTTGTTTGTTTGTTTGTTTGTTTTTGAGACGGAGTCTTGCTCTCTCTCCCAGTCTGGAGTGCAGTGGCATGATCTCTGCTCACTGCAAGCTCCGCCTCCCGGGTTCACGCCATTCTCCTGCCTCAGCCTCCCGAGTAGCTGGGAGTACAGGGGCCCACCACCACACCCGGCTAATTTTTTTGTATTTTTAGTAGAGACAGGGTTTCACCATGTTAGCCAGGATGGTCTCCATCTCCTGACCTCGTGATCCACCAGCCTCGGCCTCCCAATGTGCTGGGATTACAGGTGTGAGCCACTGCACCCGGCCAATTTTTTGTATTTTTAGTAGAGATGGGGTTTCACCATGTTGGCCAGGCTGGTCTTCAACTCCTGACCTCAGGTGATCCGCCCACCTCAGCCTCCCAAAGTGCTGGGAATACTGGCGTAAGCCACCTCACCAGGCCCACAGTTCTTAATAATGCATGGATCAAAGAAAAAAACCCAAGGTGAATTAGAAATTAAAAACACGTGTCAAAAACTTGTGGAAAGCCACTAAAATGGTACTAAAAGGAAATTTCACAGTTTTAAATATGTATAAACAGAAAAGATTGCTAGAATTTATTATCTAAAATTCTACCTTAATGTAGTAAAAATTCAAGTAAACCCAAAATAATAGAAGAACGGTAACAATAAAGATAAGAGTTGGTATCAATTAAATAGAGCAAAACAACAATAGAAAATAATAGTAAATCTAAAATTGTTTGTAAAGATAACTAAAATTAATAAATCTCCAGCAAAATCAAAAAAGAAAATATTCACAAATTACTAATGCACTATCATACTAATGTAAGAATGCCCAGAGCTATGGATGTAAAAAGGATAATAAGGAATCATTGTGAACAACTTTATGTCAACAAATTCCATAACCTAGATGAAATAGGAAAGGTCTTCATTGTCCACAGCCACACTCTGTGTGGCCAGTGTCCACCTGCTGCTTCTTTCTTTTGGGCAGCATTTTTGTGGCTTCTTCAGAGATTTCCCCACCGGGATCTTTCACTTGCGATTCCCTGACATTGATGAAGCCTGCTATAGCCAGCTTACTTAGAACATTCCCCTTATCCCTTGACTGCCAGCGGACTTCCCCTCAACATGCCCTCTGCTGAAGTCACCTCATCCTGCATCCTTGTGGACAAGGTCACTTTCAAGATGATCCAGTCTGGTTCACAGTGAACCATAGGAAACACGCGCCTTTCCTGCCAAACTCTGAGTGAGCAGGTTATTCCTGATGCAGTTTCATCTTTGCATTCTGTTATTACAGGGGGGTTCATCCAGTTACTCACATTTAGACCCTTTCAAATGTAAGTCAGATACCAGTACCAGGGCCTTCCCAACTCCAAAAAGAATGCGGTCAGCTTTGTAAGAGATTTTCTGTAACCTCCATCATTTTGTTTGAGAGAAGAGGGTGGAAGATGACATAACATATACAAAACTCTCTTAAAAGTAATTCCTTACTACCAATCTATTCTTAGAAAATTCTTGTCCTCTTAAAAATCTAGAGGCTTATATGGCAAAAGGCAGTTTTCCAATCTCTTAGCATTTCCGACACAAATGGTCTATGATGTATTTTCTTGCACATTTGGTCTGGTACTTATTTTTCTAGGTGTGCCAAAACCTCAATACTGCACAGAATAAAAATCACAACTAAAATTTTATGAGAGCAGTATATATTTTATTAATTATAAGGAAAATATAGGAGAGTATTACACCACCTCCACCCACAACAAATGCCAAAATAAATACTCATTGAACATTTTGGTTCTCCCTAATGTTCTCCTCCACAATGTGATATAAAACTAGCATTGACCCTAAGCTTGACAAACAGATGATAGATAGGTAGGTAGGTAGGTAGATGATACATAGATAGATAGATAGATAGAAGATAGATACTGTGGTAGATAATTTTTCATCAGCTTTAATTGCCACTCATGATAGATTGCAGAAATAAAAACAAATCTATTCCTTCATGATGTGCAACATCTTTGCAGCTTCTCCCTTCAAAAGATGGAATTTTTCTTCACTCCTAGAATCTGGGCTGCCTTAATAACTTGCTTTGGCCAATAGGATGGTAGCGGACATGTTGCAAACAGAGCTGTGAAAAGCATTTTCCCATTTAGGGCTTGCCTTCTTGCTGCTCTGGGAAGCTCTGCTGTGAGGTGAACAAGCCCAAGCTAGCTACTGAATGATGAGAGACATGTTGCCCACCACCTGTCCCTGTCACCCCCAGCAGAGGTACCTAACTGTCCTACAGCTGACCACAGACCCATGAGTGAGTCCAGCTGAGAACAGAACTGTCCAACTGAGCCCAGTTCGGATTGCTGACCTATAGAGTTATGAGCTAAACAAACAGCAGTTGCTGTTAGTTGCTAAATTTTAAAGTAGTTGGCCACATAACAATAGATAACCGATATGCCAGTTTTACATACCCTTAAAATACGCTCTGTTTTCAAGTATGTTGAGGAAAGATGAATTATTTATTTACACTAAAAATTACAAGGGTACAAGGGGGCTATAAACAAATTATTTTCCTCTCATTATACCTACACTATAGCATTACTAAGTTCTGCCTCTCTTTACAGATTCTTTATCCTGACAGAAGAATCATGGTTCATTCATGAGTATCCTGTCGCTCTCTTTCCATACAGCCTAGCACAGTGATTGATATACAGTTGATAATCAACAAATATATGTTGACTAAATTAATGGTGTTTGAATAAAAATAAAAAGAGACTTATTCTAAGTATTGAGAAAATTAAGAATGAAAAGAGATAGAGCATATTCTTTGTCTTTTTCATCTTAAAGCTTAAATTTTCTTTCTACATTTATTTGTTCATGTATATAAAAAACACTAGGATCTCCTCCACATATTTTCAGCCTACAATTCATATTATTTCATATCTTTATTCCTCATTTCAAAAAGTGGTGGCATGCCCTGAAAAAGGTGGAGAAAGTCCTGATACAGGAAAGTGACAACTCCAGCCCAAACTATATGGAATAATAATAGTGTAGGTACACAGAAAATGACCTGAAGAATCTGGAAGAAGTGGACTTCAGATAGGACTAGAACAGAAAGTATTCTCTTTGTTAATGTGAGTAAGGAAAATCACCATTTTCTTAGCAAAGAAAGACTGGAATTAAGCATCAGAAACTGCTGTATCATATCCTTAGTTGCTACATAAAAGACATATTTGAATTACTCTATATACATTTCATTACAGAGCATAGATTTAACCACTTGTAATCAATTCTTTCATTGGAGGGGCATAACATTGACATAAGTCCCGACAACACCTCTGACACATCTCAATCCTGCAAAAGAGCCCTATTTGCTTTTTTCTTTCCTCTCATGAGCCCCTGTACTAAACAGTTTATTCTGGAGTAACCAGAACAGGAGCTTTTTAACACGAGAATGACTATCTTAAATAAGGTCTACATTGAGATTAAGGCCAGTCAAAGAACCCACTTGGGGTACCACAGGGGCTTAGGCAATCAAGATTAATAAATAACCTGAATACACCATGACACAGTGGGTGTATTCAGGAATTTGAGGGGGGTTTGACATTGGAAAATATGTTAATATAATTTACTGTATTAATAGGTTCAAGAAGATAAATATAATTGCCTTCATAAATGCTGAAAAAGTCTGATGAAACCCAACAGCCATTCCTCATAAAAGTCTCTTAAGAAAACAGGAATTTATAGATGCTTCCTTAACATGTTACAAGTATATTTATCTAAAATCTAAAACCAGAATCTTATTTAATGAGGAAATATTAAAAGTAGTTCCACTAAAGTCATAAAAAAAGCAAGAATTCTCACTATTTACCATTGTTCTGGAGGCATTATTTAAAGTAGTTTAAATAGAGAAAACAGATATATAAGACATAAACAAGAAAAAAAGGCTATTGATATCTACAGATAACATTATAGTACATCTGGAAAACATTAAGAATAAATGGTAAAGATAACACAATAAAATAATTTAAGAAAGTAACAAGATATAAAATTAACCTGCAAAATTAATAAAATTTATATACCCAAATAATGGCACGTATTGTTGGAATTATGTTATTAAAAACATAAAACGAAAAAAATTTAAACAGCAATAAAAACACATAACACTTAGAAATAAACTTAACATGTGTACACCAAAAGTATCTGAGACAGGTCTCAATCAATTTAGAAGTTTATTTTGCCAAGGTTAAGGACATACAACACAGCCTCAGGAAGTCCTGAGAACATGTGCCCAAGGCAGTCAGACTATAGTTTGGTTTTATATATTTTAGGGAGACATAAGACATCAATCAGTACAGCAGTCCCCAACCTTTTTGGTGCCAGAGACTAGATTCATGAAAGACAATTTTTCCATGGACCAGAGGGGTTGTGGGGATAGTTTGGGGATGATTTAAGTGCATTATATTTGTTGTGCACTTTATTTCTCTTATTATTGCATTGTAATATATAGTGAAATCATTATACAGCTCACCATAATATAGAATCAGTGGGACCCCTGAGCTTGTTTTCCTGCAACTAGATGGTCCCATATGGGGGTGATAGGAGACAGTGACAGATCATCAGGCATTAGATTCTCATAAGGTGTATGCAACCCAGATCCCGCTCATGTGCAGTTCACAGTAGAGTTCAAGCTCCTGTGAGAATCTATGGTCACTGCCGACCTGACAGGAGGCAGAGTTCAGGTGGTAATGCAAGTGATGGGGAGCAGCTATAAATACAGATGAAGCTTCATGTGCCTGCCTGCCATTCAACTCCTGCTGTGCAGCCCAGTTCCTAACAGGCCATGGAACAACACTGGTTGGGGACCCCTGAATCAATACATATGAGATATACATTGGTTCAGTCCGGAAAGGCAGGACAACTCAAAGTTTTGGGGAGGGCTTCCAGAACATAGGTGGATTCAATTCTTATTGGCAATTGGTTGAAAGAGTTTATTTAAAGACCTAGAATCAATAGAAGGGAGTGTCTGGGTTAAGATAGCAGTTGTGGAGACCAAAGGCTTTTTTTTATGCAGATGAAGCCTCCAAGTAACAGGCTTCAGAGAGAATCAATTGTAAATGTTTCCTCTCAGACTTGAAAAGGTGCCAGATTCTTAGTGAATTCTCTCCTGGATCAGGAAGGGGATTCTCTACAGAATATAGATTTTCCCCAAAAGAGACAGCTTGGCAGGTCCATTTTAAATATGTCAAAAAAATATATTTTGGGGTAAAATACTTTGATTTCTTTTAGGGACTATCATCTGTCATGTTGCTGTCTTATTGCTACAGAGTCTGCTTTGTCAGTCCTAAGGTCTCTGTTTTAATGTTAATGCTGGTTAGTTGTGCCTGAGTTCCAAAGGCAGGAGGGTATAATGAGACACATCTGACCACCCATTTCCATCATGGTTTGTACTCATGTTTAGGGTTAAATTTGGAATGCCTTCGGCCAAGAGGAGGGCTCCATTTAGTTGGTAGGGGTGGGGGAGGGATTTGAATTTTATTTTTGATTTACACAAGAGATGCTCAAAACCTAAAATCACAAAAGTACACTTGAGCAAGTGGGAAGACATTCTTATTTTTGGTTAGGCATCATCAAGCTAGACAAATTCACACTAAAGTTCTTATGAGAGAGAAGAGAGGACTTGTGCTGGAATGGTAAATGGCAGTGGAGAGTGTTTAGGGAGTGCTGGAGGGGGAAAATCATCCTTTTTCACTATTGCTTTAAAGATTGGCTCAGGAAATCAGTGGAATACCTGTGGGATGAAAGTTTGATGAGAAGCAGGATACTTGTTTGGTCTTAAAGTGTCTCCTCACAAATTTCTTACTAGGTGCAAGTGGGGGAAAGTGTAACTACAGTGAGGAGATAAAAGACAGCACCTTGACTACATAATGGAAACTGACATTGTCAGTGAGGGGCAGATGGACATCTTGAGCCTTGACTTGTGATACACTAAGGCAACAGCATCACGTATGTCATTTTCTTGCTGGGAATTCATGAGAAGCATCAGACAGATTCAAAATGAGAAACACCCTTTTCTTAAAAAAAAAAAAGATTCAAAGGAACAATATACCAATTTTATATATATATATATGCATATATACACCTGTGGAAATACTCCAGATTAAAGGAGACTAAGGAGACATAACAGTTAAATTACTGTAGACTGTATCCTCCACTGGATCCAGGAGGAAAAAAATGCTATAAAAACCATTATTGGGTCAATTAACAAAATTACAATACAGGTGATAGATTAGATAATTATTATCTCTTTATACCATTTCCAGCCTCTTTTCAAGAGGCAGCATTCTTCAATTGATAAAAGAGAAACTAGGACCTTGAAAAAAGAAAACATATTCCTCTGCACAGACAAGGTGGAGGAAACACATGTGGATACACAGAGAGGATTGGCAGAACCTGAAGAAGAGAAATGGGCTGAATAGAACAGATGGTTCTCTCAATCACGTAGATTAAAAAATCATCTCCTTGATGAGGAAGGTTTGAAGTTGCACAGTACAATATTCCCAAGGCTAAGTAGAGAGCGCTCATGAGTAAACTGTGTATGTGTCTCCTTACAGAGCACTTATTTCACCATTAACATAACATCACCTCTTCAGGTAGCTCTGCTTTACTCTCTTCTTGTGAGCCCCATACTGACTCATTTATTTTGACATTAACAGAATAAGGGCTTTTAACATGGAAATTTATATCTTTCACAGGGCCTTGGTTTAGAATTAGAGATGTCCAGGGAATAAACTTTGAATCACAGAAGGGCTAATTAAGGCTAATAAGCAGCAGGAAGCAAGCTGGCCTCCCTACTTTCTGCTCCTCTGAGGTGTGACTCTGTAAGCTACTTGCTTTACTGTCACTTTTGATTTCCCATTTAAAAGAGGAACATGAATGTGGATTAAGCAAGGCTACTTAAATATTTAATAAAAGGTGGAAATGAAAACTAATCACCCTAGCAAAATAAAAAAAGCATAAATCTAATCAACAGAACTACCAAAAAAGAGCCAAAATATGTTGTTCAAGGCCACACAGCTAGTAAGTGACAGAGTGGGAATTAGAACTAGGTCTACCTGACCCCAAAACCCAAAACTCATGCTCTTAGCCTCTGCACTATAATGCTGCCTTTTTTTTTTTTTTTTTTTTTTTTGAGACGGAGTCTCACTCTGTCACCCAGGCTGGAGTGCAATCTTGGCTCACTACAACCTTCACCTCCCAGGTTCAAGTGATTCTCCTGCCTCAGCCTCCTGAGTAGCTGGGATTACAGGCACCCACCACTATGCCCAGCTAATTTTGTATTTTTAGTAGAGACAGGGTTTCACCATGTTAATCAGGCTGGTCTTGAACTCCTGACCTCAGGTGATCTGCCCGCCTCGGCCTCCCAAAGTGCTGGGATTACAGGTGTGAGCCATCACGCAAGGCCAATGCTGCTTTTTAAATATGGTTCCAGGAAAGTTCAGAAAAGCATGGGTAGAAGTTCTACGGCAGAGCACACCAGGGACACAAGGACAACTAGGGACGGTTTTGCTGCCAGCAGGATGTGGGCAGCCAGTCCGGGTTCAGCCAGGGCACCCTGGATAGGCAGGCTTGCTGAGTTTGCTCCCTGTGGACTTCAGTCTTTGGGCTGCCATAACCTGTTCTCTGTCCTCTTGGATCCCTCATTGCAGATACCTAAAGGAAAGAAAACCATTGTGATTCTGTCATGACCCCAAGGGAGGCCACAGTGCAGGTGTCCTGTCTGCCTTGCAGCATCCACAAGGGTCCAGACTGACAGGGTCAGTGCTGGAGTTTTAACTCCTAAGTCCTTAGAACCTCCTTCCTGTGAGTGATTGGAAATTTTCTGCACTAATCAACCCTGAGATTTTATGATTTTAAAAAAGTATTAATAATAATCAGCCATCAGTAATAGAATATCTATAAATAGGCAATGTAACTAAACATTTACAGTCATAGAGAGCTCATGGCATCTGGGTCAACTTATTCTATCCTCAGTTTTTCTTCTGATGAGTTGACAGACAAATGTTTTCCTGTAATTTCCATATATAGGTAGAGATTTCTCTTCAGGAATTGCACAGAGCAAATTTAATGTAAGTGTCTAAAGACTGTGCTCATGCTCCCTGAACCCTAAGTCCTGAATCTGTTCCTTGTGTGACATAATATGGAGCTGCTTCTCCATCCTGGTCACTGTGAGGCATGGAGGTAGGTGAAAAAATGAGAACAACAGAAGAGAATCAAAGCTACTATCTACAAGTGTTTGCAGATGTGCACTGGAAAGAGCAACCAAACCCACAAGAATCTAGATCTATAGCTCATAGAAAGCATATAGCAGCCTAGGAGAGGCCTGGTCATTCTGATAACTACCTCAGAACATCAGGTTTTGCCTTCTCTAGCCTAGAAAGCATACCCCCAGTGACTCTCACCGGTAGGCCCCACCCAGCTCCAAGGCCAATCAATCCTAAGCAAGACAAGTGCATATTAAGAGCCTCATCTTGGTCAAGAAGGAATGAAATGAATCTTCCTGGACTAATACTATGGTGGTGGGCCTCCTGAACCACCTGAAACCTATTAGCTCTCATGTCTTTGACGATGCAAACTCCATCTTGACAGAGTACTTATTTCCTGCCTTGTTCCTCCTGAAGACACTAGTGCCTCTAACTCCCAGCCCACACAAGACAATGTGAACATAATGGATAAGAAGTAGAACCAAAGTTGGCATTTCTGGTGAGTCTAAAGGCTCAGTGATGTTCTTTCACAGCTAATACCTTCATTCAAGCATTCATTGATTCAGTAACCATTTATTGCATGCCAAGCACTGGGATTATAAGGGGGAACAACTCGGATGGTTTCCTGCTTTCAGAGTCCACAGCCTAGTATTTGACATATGCAATCCATAGACATTCAGGTGAAAGAAACTGTGCTTACAGGACTCTGGAAGTCCCCCACCACCTTTAGGTTACTGTAATTAGGCAATAACATAGCTACAACAACAAAAGAAAAGTTCATTGGGAGATAACATTAGCTCATCCCAAGTTTGGGCCAGGGGAGCTCCTGAGGACTGAAACTTTGGAAACTACTCAAAGAGACTCGGGGGCAGGGGCTTCACAATGATGCCAAACAGGAAAAATGGGGCTCATTTTTCATTAGAGTACACTGCAGGGCGTCTTCTAGCCTTTAGTGTGTGTCTTATATCAATGTTCTTCAGAAAACTGTCTACTTCCAGACAGATTTGGGCTCTTTCCCTAAAATCCCGCACCATTTGTCTCAGCTGGCAGAGCCTCCTGTTACTAACCTCATCTTAATTCCCTGAACCCCGTGGCTTCTGAAACTTCCACCTTCCCTCTCTTCCTGTCCTCTGTCTTAGAACTCATCATTGCCCAAAAATGCTTCTCCTCCGAAATATGAAATGCCACCAGCCAAACCTCTGAACATAGCTTCTCATTTCTTGAGCTTTTTAACACTTTCTTTTTTCCAGCCCTTTCTCCTTGAGGTCCCCTATCCCCTAACTTGTTTCTATTTCCATTTTTTTATCTGACCATTTCCTGATCTTCTCTAATCCTGATCCATGGTAAACAACTTGAGATGGTCTCTCAACCACAGCCTAACTTGTCAGGTATTTGATTATGGAACAACCTGTCTTTTAACCCTCTTTACCTCAGCACATCCTCAAGAAAGCAATAAAGGGAACGTCTCCATCTGTACTTTGTTACTGTCAGTGCAAACCCTGATGGAATCAAAACCTGCACTTACTCTTCATCCGTAGCCTTAAATTGAAGCCAAATGTTTCATAAACACTCAAATCTCAAGATATCAATCCTAAACCAAAGGTATTGTAGACCTACAGCCAGTTATGACTCTAATGCCAAAACTCCCATAAATGTTGTCAGAAACACAAAAGTGAATTCATTTTAATACTATATCTATTTAATCCAAAATCACATGGAAAAACTTTCTAATCACGCAGGTACTTGATATCTCCTAGAATATATTTTAATGCCAACCCAAATGCTAATCTTAGTTACCATGCAACATATTGACTTTGAATATATTTGAATAATATTTGAATAATAATTCAAAGTTATTTCTAGATAATTTCTGTTCAATTAGATTTATAATCAGGTGTGCTGGATAAAAATATACAAAAAAAACATAAACTAAAGTGTATAATAATTATAACTTTTCTATGATGTGTATAATTAAATTTAGTTTCTATCTCTAATCTCCATTCTGCCTACTGCCAAATAAGTAAATAGATATTAATCTTGTCGACTCAGGTTAATTTCAATTATGTCAGGGTTTTCTCACTCAGCCCGATATTTCCCTCTCCCACTTTTCTCTGAAAATGACTCTAGAATAAGGGGCATGCATGCAGTGCAGAAAGGCACATGTTGGAGATCAGGTCCTTAGGAATCACTTTCTATCCATGTAGGCAACTGGAGCATGTCTTTTGGCCTTCAGGCTAGATCATTTCTCCAGGTTGATATCTGTTAAGGTGTCCATATCCTTGCAGGTCATTCCATGCAATTTGCTTCCTTGTCCCAAATATGGCCCCCAGAGATTTTATGGGGCTCCTTCAGGCTCACTAAATATAAATTCCTTAGGGACAGAGATGCTACCTAAGTTGTACACCATTGTTCTCCCAGTGTAGCATAATACCTAGAATATAATACATACACAGTAAATGTTTGCTGATTGATAGACTCTTTGTTCCTTGGTTCCCCCACATAGCAATCTCTAACCTGTTTCTAAGTCCTGGCAGAATACAGGATTTCTTGTTTGCAGAGCTCTGTATGTAAAGCAGGTATGAATTTGGAATTTCCACAACTTATATGAAGGTTGAGTGGAATGTGACACCCACAGCTCATTGAATTTCTTAAAACAGAGGTTGGGTATCACATGTCATGACACTACTGGATAACAATAAATTAGGTTCTGCTTTCTCATCAACATCTGTTTTGACAAGGTAGCACTTTCAAAAATACCAAAATTCAACCTCCAAAAGTTTTGGACAGTAACACAGACTTTTATAGACTATCTCTTGAGGATACAGAAAGTTTGGGGAGTGATATGATGGATATTATAATACATGGCACAATAAAAAACTTTTTAAAATTATCCTTTAGAAATATCTCTTGTCAAATGTAGTCATCATTGCATCAGCTCACCCTAAATCTCTTATTTTTCCCAAATTTTCAGCTTCCTTTTCTCACTCTAGACCTCCTATCCCAATTTCCTTACTCTCTTGCCCCTCCTCTCACCACCCAGAGCCTTCTTTTATATTTTGTCTTTGGGTTCCTTCAAGTTCCCTCTCTTCATTAGAAAGAACCTAAAAGCTGTGACTTCAAATCCAGGAGCTGACATTCAATAAAATAAAATATGCTGCATTCAATAATATGCTAAGTAAATATCTATTAGAGTTGTGCTCCTGCCAGCTAAAATATAAAGAGAATTTGAAAAGCAATTAATTATTAGAACCCAGTCTAGTGGCAAAGAGGCCTGGTGGGAGATGGGTGAGGGGTGCTCATAGCCTCAAATCAGACTTGAAATGTTAAGATGCCCTTCAAATCCAAGGACACTGAGTTGCAAGTCCATTCCATTTATAGGACATGGATTTGAAGTCTCTACTGGCACAGAAACCATAAGACAAAACACAACTTATTTTTTTACAGTTTTGTGAAAAACAATCCCAGAAGTCTTGCTCTAGGTCTCATGCCTCAACCCAAAGTTCAGGTCTCTATGAAGCATCAGTGCACTGACACTGTAAAGTCAAGGTGCCCAGCTGGTTATGACAGAGACTTCTAGTTGCACATCAATTATTCAACGCCCCCCCCTTCTTATCTGGTAAATGCAGAGGATGGCCATGCGACCAGATGAACATCCAGATTTCCCATCCACCTCTTTGTGGATAGGGGTAGCCACATGACTGCATTATGCGCAATGATATGTAGGTTGAAGTTGTTGGGTGGTACTTCTGGGAAAGCTTTTGTGAACCTCTTTGAAACAATTCAGTCTTTGCAGGAATAGCTATCTTTTAGGTGAAAGAAAAACAAGCTCCTAACGTATTTAAGCCATCATCATTCAGGTTTTTGTAACTAGCAATTAAGCAAATTCCTAATATTTACTAACTCAAAATTACATCGAGATGCTAAAATTTTTTTTTAATGATTAAGGGGGCTTAGTTCAATGAAGATGAAAATAAGAATTGAGATGATGAAGTAAACACATATTAATATTTTTCTACTTATTGAAAAGTGACCTTTGGATATTTAGTGTTTTGAATATTTATAATATTTAAGATAATGTGGAATATTATAGTATCTAATAAATTAGCCTTGAGATTCCAATTTTTAAAATGTGTAACAAATAAGTTATTTAGAATTGTGGGGGGAGTTGAGAGGAAAAACAATCAACATTTACTTGAGCTCTAATATGTTTTGCACATGTTTCTGTAAAAGTTTTCTAATTAAGAAGGAATTTTCATTGTATCCTAGAGAAACAGTTCTAAATACTCTAAATTATCAGCATATTTTCTTGAAGAGAGTATGTTTTCATAATACTCCATGGCTTCAATATGATAATCTTAAATCGATGACTCTTATTTTTTATGTTTCTCTTCCTTTTGGTTCTCCTTTTCCTCTTCATTTAATAATTTATACAAGCTCTCATTTTTCTGTTTAGTATAACAAAGAATAGAATAACCAAATTCAGTAAGCGCAAAAACCTTATCTCAGTGTTTAGAAAAATGCGCAGTGGTATGCACAGCAAACAACTTGCCAAATGCATTAAACATTGAAGAGCAAAGGACCGTTAAGAGAAACAAGTATCATAACTAAGAGTGTCAGAACTCCAAGCCTCTGACAGGAAACTTCTTTGGTTAAAAACACGGCAAGCATTATTAGTAGCAGCATGTAATTATACCAGCCCACCCTGATGATGCTCTATCTATCTCCTAACCACTGATTTAGAGAAATCACAGCACATCTGTCTATTTTCATGACATGGCCTCATAAGTGACCAATTAAATAAACCATACCACTGGATGGTTGAGAAAAAAAATTGTTCAATAGAATTGTGGTTTGAAGTTAAAATTTATAAGAGAAATGTACTCAGTTTGTAAACATAATTGAGAATTTAATAGTCACCCTATTTATAAGTGCAAGTTATTTGATTTGTGATTACTTAAGTACATGAGAAGATTTGTTAGACAATTTGCTGGAAAAGGAAATCAAATACAGTGCATTAAATTTAAAAATGCGGTTTATTGCGGCAATATTCATAATAGCAAAGACTTGGAACCAACCCAAATGTCCATCAGTGATAGACTGGATAAAGAAAATGCAGCACATATACACCATGGAATACTATGCAGCCATAAAAAAGGATGAGTTCATGTCCTTTGCAGGGACATGGATGAAGCTGGAAACCATCATTTTCAGCAAACTATTACAAGGACAGAAAACCAAACACTGCATATTCTCACTCATAAGTGGGAGTTGAACAATGAGAACACATGGACACAGGGAGGGGAACATCACACACTGGGGCCTGTTGGGGGGTGGGGGGCTGGGAGAAGGATAGCATTAGGAGAAATACCTAATGTAAATGATGAGTTGATGGGTGCAGCAAACCAACATGGCACATGTATACCAATGTTACAAACCTGCACATGGTGCACATGTACCCTAGAACTTAAAGTATAATAATAAAAATAAAATAAAAATAAAAATAAAAATAAAAAATAATAAAAATAAAAATGCAGTTGAAAATGTCTAGGAAATTTAATTAACTAAGCTATTTAAAAATTCCCTTTTCAAAATATTTGTTAAATTTTCATTCTTGTAAACTTATATTTGGAAGTATTGTTTTAAACTGTAAGCATCTGAAAAGTCTTGTGTGTGCCTCCAAGCCACCCTCAAATACACTCCAAACCTCACATTGATACTCTCCTTTGGTTATACGAATCAGCCCAACTGAGCAGTACAAACAAGGAATTTTCCACAAAAGACAAGGATAGAGGAAATACAGAATATAAAATACTTTTGCTTTTGTCCCTGCCAACTTTTTATCCAGGGAAATTATTGTAATCTTTTCAAAGAGGTTTTTGAAATTTAATTGGGTCACTTTGGACCCTTGCAACTTCAAAGTTTATGCTCATCCTTGATATCTTGATAATATTTTGTTCTTACTGGTTTGCCTGGCTCCTCCCTGCCGCCCTTTGGAGTGATTTTACCTGGCTCAGCCTACAAATGTTTGCCAGAATTCTTTTTAGAACTTTAGATTTTGGAAATTTCTAACAGTCCTGATGGCAAATACATCAACAGATCTATCTGGCTGCTATCGTAGGAACATCTGCCTATATCATGCCTCTTGATAAGTGAGGATGGCATGTTCACAGAGCTTCTTTCTTAACGAGTGCCACCAGATGTCACTCTTCTCCATAACTAAGATCAGTGCCTAGGGTATCCTTGCCTTCTCAAATCCTGTGAAGTCCTGGATTTGTGATCAAGTCTGTGCCATCCATGGGGAACAGTGTCGGCATCACCTGGACCTTTCAGGATCTCATTTAATCTCCAATAATGTACCTCCCAGATTGATCAACCTGCAATCTTCCGGAGTGTGCTCATAACTTTGTGTCTTTCTCTACCACCACTACTAGAACCCCCATGAGTTTTTCTCATTTATGGTAGCATATGACCTCTAATTGTGGTTCCAAAATTTGTTTAATGGCATGCCTCACAACAGTCATTCAGTCCCTACAAGGCCCTGTCTTAGGTGCTAGTATAGGGCAGGAGCCTACCTAGAGATTTTCTCCTTCTAGGAAAGACTCTAATTTATTGGGAAATTGGATATTCATGGAAGTTGTGGTTTGTTTTTTTTAAAAAAAAAAGAGAGAGAGAGGGAGAGAAAGAAAAGAAAGAAAGAAAGAAAAAGAAAAAAGAAAGAAAAGAAAGAAAAAGAAAGTCTGACCTGTAGGGAGTTATTTTTTTTTTCCATATCAATGAACTCACCTAATGCTCTAAGTCTGGTTCTCCATCCGAAATACCCAGGTTGAAACTGCATTATTTCCTCAATGGGCATTATTAAGATGTCACAGTTTTCTTCACAATATCTCTAATTTTGTGCGGGATCGGGGGAGTATTTTGAGGAACATAATATGATGAGGATATATTCCTACTTATTTATGCCATAAGCCAGAGTGTGGTAGTCCTAGTGAAAGTTACCTCCTTCCTAACTATATTAGAAAAGAAGAAATCTTATTGTACGACACAAAACTGAATTTCCTCAGTATCTTTTTTTTACACCTTTTCTCTCAAAAATGCATTCACCACAGCACCTATTACTTCCAACACACTTTAAAAATCTCTTTCAATATTCTAGTTTTCCTACCTCTCTTCTTCCATTACCTCCTCTCCTATTTCTAACCTCCTCTCTTTTGCTTAAAATATTTTTCTTTTGCAGCTACTTCTGTGCCCTTTCTCATGGAAATTAATCACTTCATTCTCAGCTTCTAGTTTTCTTCTTATTATCTCAATCATGTCCAGACACTGAACGGAGCAAGCAAAGATTTCTATTTATAAAGAGAAACAGGAGAAAAGGCTGTATATTTATATTTATATATTTTTCTGGGCACAGTGTGGTTAAATTAACAAAAGTAAGCATAAAGGATAAAATGCAATTGTAGTAGGTCATTTGGAAATAAGTATATTGCTCATGGCATTGAAAAATGGTAGTTTTTTAGCAAAATAATTTCACAATATATGATAAGATCTATTCAAATTCTTTCTGACTCAGTAATCCCATTTTAGAAATATACCCCTAAGAGGAAAATAAATGTCAAAATCTACCAAGATGTTTGAAGCAGTGCACTGTGACATAAGGTAACAGAGGCTATCATAAACATTACATCTGATTTATAGCCAAAATCATTATAGAAGCTGTACACATAGGATGCAGCCACAGGATTTAAAGAAAAATAAAGTACTGCAAAACTGAGGCAAACCTGATTCAACAAATGATAGAGGGAATATGCCATGGCCTAGTTCTTCCCAACAGGAGTAACCCATCCAAAAGAATTATTTATAGATTTGTTTTGATAAGTCTTGGTAGCTCCCAATTCCCAACAAGGAATAGAAAGTAATAAGCTGGCAATCAGTGAGCTATCACCTTGGAAACTATGATATAAAAGAACTTTAAAAGTAAGATTAACTATTAATTGTTCTTAGCCAGTTTTTCTCTCTAAAACTTTTGATGGATATCAACTGCTCCAATCAGGCACCAACGCGCGCTGTAACTAGAGAAGTCTTTCTCAATTAATTGGATGTGGCAGGGATGGGCAAAGGTATATAGCAGGTGGAAGGTGAAAAAAAGAAGAAGAGAGCAAATTAGTCTCCCTGAGCTTCCAAGAAGACCAACACATTCCAACACATTTTAAAAAATCTGCTGCCTCCAGATTCTGATGACCAGCATTGATACATACCTTCAGGTCACTTAACCCCACCCTGCTTCAGCCTTAGAGAATCTGCCTGCACTAGAATCAGAAGTTAAACATGTGTCCATGTGTCTCCAACACAATCTGTGGAGGAGAAACACCCTTCTTAGCTGACAAAGGACAAAGTACAAAAAGTGTATATTTCCAGTCAGTGCTTCCCAAAGTTTTTCATATCATAATAATAGTTTTTGGGCAATCTGGTACAAAGTGGGGGATATTCAAAGGCCCAGGGGAGGATACTATAGTATAAGATTAATGGTCCAGGGATTTCAGCAGCCTCGGGCAACATCTCAATGAACTAAAGGCCCAGGGAGTCAATATCTCAACGTGGTTCAGTGTGCCACAGTGTAACGAGAGTTAAGAATGTCTGTATAGGGGAGAGGGGACAAAGACCTACCACAGCCCCAGTGACTTATTATAAGCCCTTTACTCTGATTCTATGTTCATTAAACATTCTAGTGTTTGGATTAAACACCACAACACAGGCTGTGGGAGGGGCAGATCGATTCTCTGTTCTTCCTCATTCTCATGGAATGCTCTGTGGCATGACTTCATTGCAACCTCTACAGAGAAGACTTTCCAGATAAGTGGTATGCCTGTTTTTGTGCCCTTGCTGTATTTCTTCATGACTTGATATGATCAAGACCAGCATGATAACGCTCCACATCTCCACTTTTCTCACTTCCCCTCTCTTTTGCCTGTATTGACTTGAGTATTTGCATTCCAAATAAAGTGTTAACAATTTAATCCGTCTCAGGCTCTGATTTCTAGAAAACTCAGACCAAAACAGTCATTGCATTCTCTTTCACTTTTTCTCTTTTTTTTAACCTAAGCTAATTTGAGTTTCTGTCACTTGCAATAAAGAATTCTAACCACTACAAGTCCAATATAAGTGTTTACCCTATTTTATTTGCTTATACACCCTATAAATTTCCTTTGAGGCACTTAACACAATTTTTAATATCTGTCTTCCTGTGTTAAATCATAAGCTCCATGGAAATAAAGATTATATATTTTCGTGCTTCACTCAAGAGTCAGCCTCTATAATAGAATTCAGCATAAAGTAGACAATGGATAAATACTCACATTTTTGAATGAGTAAATAAATGAACTAATTCTATTTGTCAATTATCTTGGTACCAAGAAAGTGGTATTGTGTATAGGTCAACCAAGTGTTCTGAACCTTGAAAGATATACCCAATATATAAAACTTATAAATGAGTCTTCTGTGAGTCTGGATAATGAAAACTAATTCAATCATGTGAGATCAGTCATGGCACCAATACACTTAAGTTATTAAATCTAAGACATACACAAATAATCTTCAGAAGCTATTAGCTCTGAGATTTGGAGTATGTCATTGAAACTCTCTGATTTGATATTTTCATTTACCAAATGGTAATAATAGTAGTGTTTTCCTCCGCCCATCTTATTGGCAGTTTTGAGAATCAACACTTCAAATGGTGTGAATTCTATTTCTACCTGTGAAGTACTGGGTGGATGCTGTGATGTCATGAGAATGATTCCAATAGGCAGACAAAATATAAGGAAGTTCAAGCCTGACAGACACAGCAATAAAAAAGTGACTTGTAATATTTTTGAAAATTATTTTTCCATGTTGTTTATGACTTCATTTATTTTATTACTAAGAAGAACTTTAGCCATTCTTCATCTTACCAGCTACCTGGATATAGTGGTAGCATGGGGTAGGGAAGGTGATGCCTTCTTTAACATAGGACAAACTGAAGTATTTTTCTCTAATAAAACAGCAGTTCTTTTCCTACAATAAATTTTGTTTCTGATATTGGTTTTTAAACAGTAATTTCTTCATAGACATGTAAGCGGATCATACTGTAATGCTACAGTATAACCTCATTTTGTTTACTTAGCTATCTATCACGTATATCTCACTACATCAAAAAATATTTATTTACTTCATATATAACTACATACTACTCCATTTTGTAAACATACAATAATTAATCCAATCAACTCCCTAACATTGACAGTGTTATTGTTTTCAGTTTTTCAGTATAATTAATACCCCAACAATGAACATTCTTTTGCAACCATCTTTGATGGGAAATTTTGGGCACTTTGATTTGGGGTTGAATGTAGGACACTCAGGTAGCTTAGACTTTTAAGTTAGGGATTTATAAACACAGAGACATTATATATAGCATCAAGCATTTAATCAGTATTTTTCTATGAAGAGAAAGCTGTAATAATTGCCTGAGAAGTATCTCTTTAAGAAATGATCCCTCATCCTGGAAATACCATCTACCTGATTACTAATGCCTCTCCTAAGGCATGCTTACCATCCCAGGATGGCAGTCTAAAAGTACATTTATCAATCTTAACCAATAATGGCCCTGGCTCTAAGATCGTCATGAGTAGTTTCTATACCAGTGAAAAGGGAAGAAGTAAAGGAACTGTAGAGCCCCTGGGCTTCCGCCTTCATAGATGGCCTCTCACAACTCAGAAATCTCCTTCCTTCTTCTGGGAAGCCACAGCAGCTTTATTCAGAAACACATAAGTTGTTCACTGGTTCTGTATCCACACATTTATTTCCTAGGGGTAGAGAAAAGGAAATGATTTCAACAGAGCCCACTGATATCTGCAAATCTAGTCTGGTCTCCTCTGCACATGCTATTCTTTGCCAGTAATTCATTTGTACTGTCTTCTCTCCTTTCTAGACACACTGCCCTTTCTCGTTGGATCTAAAGTAATATGGAGCCTGATATAAGCTGAAGTGTGATCTCTTTGCAAGTGAGTGAAGTAAGAGTACAGTAAGATGGCACTCTCATGCCCTGATAGTATTCATTATTTGCACTTATAGTTACTGCTTACATATACCAGGCAACATGAGGCATGGGTGACATAACAGCAAGAAAAAGAGCAAGTCTTTGCACTTGTGTAGCTTAAATTCTAAAGGGGAAAGAAAAGATAAATAAAATATATAGTATTTCATGTATTGATAAATGCTGTTTTAAAAAATAAAGTAGGTGGAGGAGAGGGTTACTTCCTATATGAGTTAATCAGGCAAGATCTCACTAACAAGATAAGAGTTGAGTAGAAATGTGAAGAAATGAAGGGATGAGCTATATCGTTCTCCAGAGGGAACTTATTGCAGACAAAGGGAGTAGCCAATGCAAAGGCCCTGACGCAAAAGTGCACTAAGCATTTTCAAGGAATACCAGGAAGGCTACTGTGGCTATAGCTGAAAGAAAAAAAAAAAAGCAGTAAGGAATGGGGTCCAAAAGGTAGCCTGGGTAGCCAGATAATGTAAGTAGGACCTGATCTGGAAGACTACTGTGAAACAATTTAGACTTTTACTCTAATATGAGATGGAAAATGATTGAGATGGGGTGTTGTGATGGTTAATACTGAGTGTCAACTTGATTGGAATGAAGGATGCAAAGTATCAATCCTGGGTGTGTCTGCAAGGGTGTTACCAAAGTAGATTAACATTTCAGTCAGGAGTGTTTCACCCCATAGGTGAAACACAGCGGAGGCCTGGAAGTGGTATGTATATGATCGGGCTTGAGTGGGTCCTGAAAGTACAAGTAAGTTACATGAGGAAGTGGCTCAAATGCCCATGGTCTACACTCCTGCCACCCTGCCTTCTCTCCCCCAGCCTGCACCAATGGCCTCATGGGCCATTCTCTATGATCAGTAGACAGAGAAAGAGAAGACTAGGGCCTGGTTCATAGATGGTTCTGCATGATACACAGGCACCACCCAAAAGTGGACAATGCAGCACTACAGCCCCTTTCTAGGACAACCCTGAAGGACAGCAGTGAAAGGAAATCTCCCCAGTGGGCAGAACTTTGAGTAGTGCACCTGATTGTGCACTTGGCATGGAAGGAGAAATGACCAGATGTGCAATTATATGCTGATTCATGTGCTGTAGCCAATGGTTTGGCTGGATGGTCAGGGACTTGGAAGAAGCATTATTGGAAAATTGGTGACAAAATTTTGGAGAAGAGGTATGTGGATGAACCTCTCTGAGTGGTCAAAAACCGTAAAGACATTTGTATCCCATGTGAGTACTCACCAGTGGGTGACCTCAGCAAAGGCGGATTTTAGTAATCAAGTGGATAGGATGACCCATTCTGTGGACACCACTCAGCCTCTTTCCACAGACTCCCCTGTCATTGCCCAAGGGGCCCATTAACAAAGTGGCCATGGTGGAAAGGATGGATGTTACACACGGGCTCAGCAACATGGACTTCCACTCACCAAAGCTGACCTGGCTATAGCCACTGCTGAGTGCTCAATTCACCAGCAACAGAGACCAACACTGACCCTTCAATATGGCATCATTCCTTGGGGTGATCAGCCAGCTACTTGGTGTCAGATCAATTATATTGGACCTCTTCCATCATGGAAAAAGCAGAGGTTTGTCCTCACTGGAATAGACACTCTGGATATGGGTTTGCCTATCCTGCACGCAATGGATCTGCCAAGGCAACCATCCAAGAACTCACAGAATTCCTTATGCACCATCATGGTATTCCACACAGCATTGCCTCTGACCAAGCCACTCACTTTATGGCTAAAGAAGTGTGGCAGTGGGCTCATGTTCATGGAATTCACTGGTCTTACCATGTTCCCCATCATCCTGAAGCAGCTGGATTGATAGAATGGTGAAATGACCTTTTGAAATCACAATTACGATGCCAACTAGGTGACAATGCTCTGCAGAGCTGGGGAAAAGTTCTCCAGAAGCCCTGTATGCTCTGAATCAGCATCCAGTATGTGGTACTGTTTTTTTCATAGCCAGGATTCGTGGGTCCAGAAATCAAGGGGTGAAAGTGAAAGTGGCACCACTCACCACCTCCACTAGTGATCCACTAGCAAAATTTTTGCTTCCTGTTCCTGCAACATTACATTCTGCTGGTCTAGAGGTCTTAGTTCCAGAGGGAGGTACACTGCCACCAGGAGACACAACAATGATTCTATTAAACTGGAAGCTGAGATTGCCACCTGGACATTTGGGGCTTCTCCTACCTTTAAGTCAACAGGCTAAGAAAGGAGTTACAGTGTTGGCTGGGGTTATTGACCCAGATCATCAAAATGAAATCAGTTTACTACTCCACAAGGAAGATAAGAAAGAGTATGCATGGAATACAGGAGATCCATCAGGACACCTCTTAGTATTCCCATGCCCTGTGATTAAGGCCAACAGGAAACTACAACAGCCCAATCCAGGCAGGACTACAAATGGCCCAGACCCTTCAGGAATGAAGGTTTGGGTCACTCCACCAGGAAAAAAAAAAAAAAAAACAAAAACACAACCTGCTGAGGTGCATGCTGAAGGCAAAGGAAATACAGAAAGGGTGGTAGAAGAACTAGTAGTCATCAATACCAGCTATGACCACATGACCGGCTGCAGAAATGAGGACTGTAATTGTCATGAGTATTTCCTCCCTCTTTTGTTAAAAACATGTTTGTGCACGTATACACTTGCACTAAGAAAATATCTTGATTTTATTTCCTTTTTCCTTTATCATGTGAGATATTTATTGACTTCATATCAGCATTTAAGTATTGTTAACTTTATGTAATAGTATTTGGGGATTGGTGCATTTCCAATTGTACGAAGGATAGTTGTATTATATTACGTGTAATTATGACCTTATTATTGTCTTTATTTGAAGATTATGTATGATCTGAGGAGATGTGTATGGGTTCCAATTGTCAAGGAGTGGTTAATACTGAGCTTCAGCTTGATTGGATTGAAGGATGCAAATTATTGATCCTGGGTGTGTCTGTGAGAGTGTTGCCAAAGTAGATAAAATTTCAGTCAGTGGGCTGGGAAAGCCAGACCCACCCTTAATCTGGGTAGGCACCATATAGTCAGCTGCCAGTGCATCCAGGATATGAAGCAGGCAGAAAAATAAATGTGAAAAGGCTAGACTGGCTTAGCATCCCAGCCAGCAGCTTTCTCCCATGCTGGATGCTTCCTGCCCTCAAAATCAGACTCCAAGTTCTTCAGCTTTGGGACTCAGACTGGCTTCCCTGCTCCTCAGCTTCCAGATGGCTTATTGCGGGACCTTGTGATCGTGTGAGTTAATACTACTAAATAAACTTCCCTTGATGTGTATATCCTATTAGTTCTGTCCCTCTAGAGAACCCTGACTAATACAGGTGTTGAAGACAAAGCTAACAAAATCTTTTTCAATCCATGTTCAACTACCTGAGTAGAGTCTTAAAGTAAGATAATGTGTAATTGTAAAATTGTTTAATTAACCAATTTGACAAAATAGATTAAGAGCCTTAAAATGTCCAAGACCAAACACTAATAAGAAATTGCAATAGAAAAAAGATCCTACAAATAAAATAGAAAAAAAAGTTAATGTATCTAGCAATAAGGCTAGCAAACCATTGAAGAATAAACATAAAAAAATTTTATACTCTCATGAATAAAATAAGATTTAAATAGTAATGTAAACTCTATTCTTAGTCTAAATATTCTATGTATGTTAAATATTTGTGCATTTATTTACATGCATATTATATAGTAATTTATTTTTTATTTATTATGTATTAATTATTTACATTTACAGATTCATTCTGATTCCAACAAAAATGTAACCATAATTTTGGTCTTTTGTACTTGACAAGCCTCATTCTAAACTTCATATGAAGAAACAAACTTATAATGGTGATGAGAGAAAGTCTGAAAGAGCACTTAGAAGTACAAGCCCTGCGATATATAACAGTGTATTTAAAATCATGGGAATTAACCCACAATTAAAGTTGAAGACTTCAAAAACCCCTTGTCATCAGTTGACAGAACTGCTAGACAGAAAATAAGTAAAGAAACAGAAGAACTGATAAACACTGTCAATCAACAGGATCTAACTGACATTTGTGGAACACAACACTAAACGACTGCAGAATATGCATTCTTTTCAAGTAGTTATGAGACATACACCAAGATAGACTATTTTCTGAGTTATAAAACAAACCTTAACAAATTTGAAATAATTGAAATCATGCAGAATATATTCTCTGATCATAACAGAAAAAAAACTAGAATAAATAACAGAAGAGTAACATCTTCAAAGAAGTGAAACTTAAACAACAAACTAGCCTCAATGTCACAAAGAACGTTTACAAAAAATTTCAGCTAACATCATACTTAATGGTGAAAAACTGTTTCTCCCTTAAGATTGGGAACAAAACAAGGGTATCCACCCTAATCATTCTTATTCAATAATACTGGAAATTTTAACTACTGCAATAAGGCAAAAACCAAAAAGACTTGGAGGTTAGAAAGGAAAAAATAAAACGGTGTCATGTGCAAATGACATGATTGACTACATAGAAAATTCTAAGAATCTACCAAAAAAAAACCTCTTAGTGCTAGTAAATGAATTCAGTAAGGTCAAAGAATACAAGATTTGCCACAAAAAAATTAGTTGCATTTATGTATGTTGGCAAAAAACAAGTGGAAATCAAATTTTAAAACACAACACTATTAATAATTGCTTCAAAGAAAATGGGTATTAATCTAACAAAATATATACATAATCTATATACTAAAAGTTATAAAATGCTGCTGAAATAAATCCAAGAAAACCTACATACTTGGCAAGATCTATCGTGTTTATGGAATAGAAGACTCAGCATAAGAAAAATTTCAATTCTTCCAACATTGATCTATAGGTTTAACAAAATTGCTATCAATATCTATGAAAGGGTTTTTGGTAGACATAGACAAGATTTTTCTAAAATTTGTGTGAAAAGGGAAAGGCTTTAGAAGAGCCAAACACAGTTTTGAAGAATCAAGTGGAAGGAATCACTCTTCCCAGTGTTAAGGGTTGCTATATAGCTATAATAAATAAGACAGCATGAAATTGCAGAGGAATAGACACATAGACTGGTGGAACGGAATAGAGAACCCAGAAATAGACCCACAGCAATATGTCCAATTAATATTTGATAAATGAACAGAAAACTGAATGAGAAGGAATAGTCTTTAAAATGACATTCACAGGCAAAAAAATGACCCTCAACCTAAGTCATACAACTTATACAAAAATTAACTCAAAATCAATTATGGAGTTAAATATAAAAGTAAAACCATAAAACTTCTAGAAGAAAAGGTAGAATAATATGTTAAGGACCTACAGCTAGAAAAGAAATCTTAAAGTGATACTAAAAACACAATTCACAAAAGAAAAAATTGACAACTTAGACCTCATAAAAATTTAAAACTTTTGCTTTGCAAAGGATACTGTTAAAATAATAAAAATGCAAGCTCCAGACTGGGAAAGAATATTTGTGAATCACATATTCAACAAAATACAAGCATCTAGAATATATTTTTAAAACCCCAAAACTCAATATGAGAAAAACGAAAAATCCAATTTAAAAATGGGCAAAAGACATGATATAAACAACAAAGCACAGGCAACAAAACCAAAAGTAGATGAATGAGATTACATCAAACTAAAACTTACACCCAAGGAAACAACAGAGTGAAAAACAACATATGGAATGAGAAAAATGTCTGTGAATCATTCATCTGTTTAGGGATTAATATTCAACATATATAAGGAACTCAAACAACTAAATAGTAAGAAAACAAATAACTCAATTAAAAAATGAACAAATAATCTGAATAGACATTTCCCAAAAGAAGATATACAAATGGCCAAGAAGTATATGACAAGTGCTCAAAATCATTAATCGTCACAAAAATGCAAATTAAAACCATAATGAGATATCATTCCACACGTGTTAGAATGGCTTTTATCAAAAAGATGAAAGATAACAAGTATTGGTGAGCATGTGGAGACAAAAGAAGCCCTCTACACTGTTGGTGGGAATATAAATTAGTACAGCCATTATGGAAAACTATGGAGGTTCCTCAGAAAATTAAAAATGGAACTACCATATAATCCAGCAATTCCACTACTGGATATATATCCAAAGAAAATAAAATCGGCACATTGAGGAGTTATCTGCACTCCCATGTTCTTTGCAGCTTTATTGATAATATCTGAATATGAAATTAACCTAAGTGTCCATCAGTGGATGAATAGATTTTAAAATGTGGTATAAATATACAATGGAATACTATTCAGCCTTTAGAAAGATGGAATTACTATAATTTGCAACAAGATGAACCTGGAAGACATTTATTAAGTGAAGTAAGCCAGGCACAGAAATACAAATACTGCATGATCTACTTATATATGAAATCTAAAAGAGTTAAACTTGTAGAATTGGAGAGCAGAATGATGATTATCAGGGTCTGGGTGTGGAGGAGGAGAAAGTTGGGGAGATGCTGGTCAAGGTATACAAAACTTCAGTTAGACAGAAGGAATAAGTTCAAGAGTTCTATTGCACAACAGGATGACTATAGTTAATAACATACTAGTTTTTGAAAATTGCTGAGAAAATAGATTTTAAGTGTTCTCACCACAAAAAGGAGGTGAGATAATGCATATGTTAATTCACTTGATTTAGTCATTCTTCAATGTACACATATTTCAAAACAAGTTGTATGCAATAAATACATACAATTTTTATTTGTTAATTAAAATAAATACACTCACAATTTTTAAATGGGCAAAAAACATGAAAAGACATTTCTTTGAAGAGGCTATACAAATGGAAATTAAGCACATGAAAATGCATGCAACATCATTAGCTACTAGAGAAATACCAATCAAAACCATAGTGAGTTATCCTACACACCAATCAAAATGGCTATATTAAAAAAAATACTCACAACACAAAAATAGTGGTAATAATATGCAGGTAAAAAGGTGGAGAAATAGTATTACTTACAGTATTGTTGCAAATGGGAATGTAAAATGGTACATTCACCGTGGGAAACAGTTTGGTAGTTTTTTAAAAGTATGTATATTAAAAATAGGCTTACCATATAATACAGCACTTGGACTCTTGGGCAGAGGAGAAAACTTATTTTCAAGCAGAAATTTACACATAAATGTTTAAAGCAGCTTTATTCATAACAGCCAAAACCTATAAACTATGCAAATGTCCTTTAATGGATGGATGGTTAAACAGTGCTTCATTCTGTGATTAAAAAGGAATAAACAACTGATACAGACAAAAACTTTGATGAACTTCAAGGGAATTACACTGAATTAAAAAATCCAATCTCAAAAGGATACACAGTACACAATTTCATTTATACAGTATTTGTGAAATGACAGAATTCTACAGATAGAAAACAAGTTAGTTTTTGCTAGTGGCAAGGGAATGGATGTGGTGTTGGTGGCTAGAAATGAATTGCACCAGGGATCCCGTGATGACAGTACTGGAAGTATCTTGGTATGATATGGTTTGGATCTGTGTCCCCACCCAAATCTCATGTTAAATTATAATCCCCAATGTTGGAAGTGGGGCCTGGTGGGAGGTGATTGGCTTGTGGAGGTGGTTTCTAATGGTTTAGCACCATCCCTCTAGTGCTGTCTTATGATAGAGTTCTCACAATATCTGGTTAAAAATGTGTGGCACCTCCCCCACTCTCTCTTCCTCTTGTTCCAGCCATGTAAGACATGCCTGCTTCCCCTTTCCCTTCTGCCATGATTGTAAGTTCCTGAGGCCTCCCTGAGCAGATGCCAGCATTATGCTACCTATACAGCCTATAGAACCATGAGCCAATTAAACATCTTTCCTTTATAAATTGCCCAATTTCATGTATTTCTTTGTAGCAGTAAGAGAATGAAGTAAAACTTGGTGGTAATTACAAAAAGCTGTACATGAGATACAATTGCATAGAGCTACACACACACCTACACACACACACATACACACACACACACAAATCAAATAGTTGCATGTTTAACTGGTGAAATCTGAATACATTTTGTGGATTATACCAGTGCCAATTTTCTGGTATTAATAGGTACTATAATTATGTTAACATTGGTGAAAGTTGGACAAAGGATGCGTGGGAACTTCCTGTGCATTTCTTTGCAATTTTGTAGGAATCTATAATTATTTCTAAATAAAAAGTAAAAACAACAACAAAATATAAAATGATGGCAATTAACTTCGGTGCTAGAACATGAGTAGACACACCAATGAAACCAAATAGAAATTCCAGAAACACACTTTAACATATAAATGATGAAGTAATATATGTTAACAATTTAAAAAGCAGCATCTCAACTTAGTGGACAGAAAATTGACTGCTCTCTAAAGGTCTTGGGACAAATGACTGTTCATTTAAAAAAATAAATCTAGATCCCTACTCAATAGTTAACAGAAATGAGCTCCAAGTGGATGAAAAATTAATATACGAACAGAAACTGTACAAGTACTAGAAAAACGTATGATGGATTTTTTTAATAATCTAAGATGGAATCTGTCTTTCTAAATAAAATTCAAAAATTTTAAGCTATGAATGCAGAGCCTTACATTTGATGACAAGAACAGTTTTTTAAAAATGCTGGTGGAGTAGTCAGCCTCCAACATGATTCTCAATAACCATTGACACTTGGTATTCACAACCTTTTGTAGTCATCTCCCACATACTGCAGCAGGATTGGTCTGTGTGATCAATAGCATTGAGCAGAAGTTACGGTGTGTTACTTCCAAGACTGGGTTATAATAGACTATGCCTCCTGTTTTGTGTGCTCTCTTATTTCACTCACTCTGTGAAAGAGCTGGCCTGTTGGCAGGAGGTCCGTGTGTTGAGGAATTGAAGCCTACAGACAATGGCCAGTGAAGACCTAAGGCCTGCCAACAACCACCATGCGTGAGCTTAAAAGAACATTCTTCAGCCCCAGTTAAGCCTTGAGGTGATGGCAGCCCTCATGAGAGACTCTGAGCCAGAGCCACCCAGCTAAATTACTACTGGATTCCTGACCCCCAGAGACAGTCTGACATAAAAGTTTGTTGCTATAAGCTGCTAAATTTGGGGGCAATTTGTTACACAGCAATAGATAACTAATGCACTTGGATAGCAACATGTAAATTAAAAATATTTGCAAGAATATGACAAAGGCTAATTTCCCCAATATATAAAAAAACTCTTAAAAGTAAATAAGCAAAAGACAACCCAATACAAAATGAGGCAAAATAAATGAATAGGTAGTTCACTGAAAAAAAATAAGAAAACTGATTATTTATATACACCTGAAGGATACATGCACCTACTAATAACTAAAGAGACACAAACAATAAGGAGGTATCCCTTTTCATCTGTTAAACTTGCATACCTCAAAATTTGACTGCAGTTCCACTTCTGGTTTGGATGTAGAATATCACAAGATACTATTCCTCTCACTCTGACAACCAAAATAAGCCAGGTCAGCCACAGAAATGTAATAGTCAGGGTCCAGTCAGAAGATAGAACCCAACCAGTGATTTAACTATTAAAAGAGTTAAGGAGAACTCTAAGGTGTAATAGAAATAGCAATTGCTAAAACAAGCTGTTATCCTCAGGGTTGAGGGAACAGATGAACCAGGAAAAAGCTAGAAATTTAGAGAAGAGGCTCACAGGACTGAGATCCAGACCTCTGAAGAGAATGTGCATATGACACAGGAATGCCAGTCACCATGAAAACCCTATCTAAGCCACGTCGGCCTTCTTACTACTTACTTGATGTCTTTGTATTAGCTCTTTCCCCAATCTGGAATGCTTGTCCCTAGACTGGCTCCTTCACAAGGCCTTTATGTTATTGACATCATATCATTAAATATCATATCATGTCAATATCAATATAATTCATATATTATTATATTATTCAAATATCAATCCCTTCAATCTCTATGGCCTCACAGTATTTTATTTCCACTTAGGCACTTTAACACTTTAGCATTGTCTAAAGTTACCTTATTGTTTGTTTGTTTGTTTTTTAATCTTTCTTCTCTATGTAGAATGAAAGCTCCATTAAAGGAGGACTTTACCCATTTCATAGAATAATGTCTGGCAAATAACAGATAATAAATATTTGTTAAATAAAAATATTTAGGGCCGGGCATGGTGGCTCACGCCTGTAATACCAGCACTTTGGGAGGCCGAAGTGGGCGGATGATCTGAGGTCAGGAGTTCAAGACCAGCCTGGCCAACCTGGTAAAACCCCGTCTCTACTAAAAATACAAAATTAGCTGTGCATGGTGGCGCATGCCTGTAATCCCAGCTACCTGGGAGGCTGAGGCAGGAGAATCACTTGAACCTGGGAGGCGGAGGTTGTGGTGAGCCCATATGGCGCCATTACACTCCAGCCTGAGCAACAAGAGTGAAACTGTCTCTAAATAAATACATACATAAAAATAAATAAAAATTCAGTTATGTTAGTAAGGGGGGCTTGGGTTTTTATTTAGTTTAAGAAAGTTTTCTTTTATAATTCTCTCCAATATCTGAATTTAATTATCTGGAATATGAGTTAGGTTGTGATTTTTCCCATATCTACTTGTCTTCCTCACTTTCTCCTCTACATTTTCTTAATCAAAAGGAGAGAAACCATTTTCTCCTTAGTGCCTTTTTTATCAGCAAACTTTTTCTAGATGTTTCCAAAGAGACTTCCCTACATGTCTCATTGCCCAGGACTGAGTCACCTGCCTCTTCCTAGTCCAGCCACTGGCAAGAGAAATGGAACTGCTTTGACTGGCTGGCTAATGTTAAATAAAACCTATCTTCCTGGTGAGGGATTGAGTGGGTTACTTTTCTGTGTGCCTGGCATTGTGGAGGGGCACAAATGTGCCAAAAAAATTGAGTCTATGCTACAGAAGGGAAGGGGAGATTAATTTTGGCAATCAGTCAACACTCTTGACTGCAGTCCCATTCTTTCAGTTCCTTTTGTCTCCCCCTATTATTCAAAGGTGTTCGAAAGTTATGGTTTTTATCAGAGTAGCAGCATACTTGGTGCAGTCCCTCAAATTCCCATTCCAACAACTCCCTAAAAACAGATATTAGTGGACAGTCAAGGTCTTTCCCAACACCTCAAAATTGAGGGTAAAGCCAAAAACATTATTTCTGATGGTATGTTATTCTATTATTTAGTAAGTTAATAAATATTCATATAGTGGCTTATGATATGTCAAACACTATTTTAAGCATTTTTTGGTGTTAAAGGGTTACCAGAACAGCCCTGACGAAATAGCTGGAAAAATTATTTTTCTTACTGTTTCTCGTTAGTCCCTTATTTATAGGCTCAGCTGCTTAAAGAAACCAGACAGCCCAGGTTGGCACCAGAGCTTCATGACTCCTGACCAGATATCAGAGGGAGATAATGTTATGGGATCCTTGGAGTGTGGCTTCTCCAGCCAGAAACTCTGCAGCCAGTGGCGCCTTTGCCTGAGTTTTGCTTTCTATGGCAATGACCGGATGACCTGGAAGTTACTGCCTTTTTCCTAGGAATTTCTGCATAAACCCCCCCTTAATTTGCATATAACTAAAAGTCCCTGTTCCTAGTTCAAGCAGCCTACGTGGAAGCACTTCCTAGAGCTTAACCTCTGGGCCCAGAGAGGTTAAGCAATTTGCCTAAAGTCACACAGCTGTTAAGCAGTGAAGGCAAGATTCACACTTCAGCTTCAAAATCAGTGCTCTTAGCCACTAAATGCTAGCTGCTGGCTCCTCTGATCTATTTTTCAAGCTTCAATTTCCCCAGTATGCTGTATAAATTCCTGAGGCCGTATGTCTCCCTAGGGATCATAGAGGCTTCCATGCCTCAGCTATTGTAAAACTGCGTATTCTGGCCAACTCTAAAAATACCTCCCTATATTTGAGTTAATTCAAATAGGAAACTTTTAGAATCGAAAGTATGGGATTTTTTTCCTGTAACTTTAGATGCCTTTGTTCCCTATAAGGATAAACTTGGAATTCACAAGTAAATTGATTAGCCAACACAAATATGCTCTTAATGATTCTGCTATTTAGTTTCCAAGAGAACATTATACCCACCAACTCTAGGAAGTGTTTCCATGTAGGCTGCCTTGTTAGAAATAGGCAAAATTCTCACATCTGTATTTTTTAATTAAACTTTATTTTGAGATAGCTGTAGATTCTCATGCAGTCATAAAATAATAATATAGAGAGATCCTGAGGTAGGAGCAGAGACTTGACTCCAGAGGCAGGGCTTAGGCATGGGACCAAATTGAGGACTAGCTAAAATAGACACTGCAGGGGAAGCAGCTTTCCATAGGACATGCCCACCACTGTGCCATGTCAATTTACCATTGCCATGGCAACACCCAGAAGGTACCACTCCTTTCCATGGCAATGACCAGATGACCTGGAAGTTATTGCCTTTTTCCTAGAAATTTCAGCATAAACCGCCCCTTAATTTGCATGTGATTAAAAGTCAGTATAAATATGACTGCAAAACTGACTGAGCTGCTACTCCAGGTACACTGCCTATAGGGTAGCCCTGCTCCATAAGGAGCAGTACCTGTGGTGCTGCTGTACACTGCCGCTTCAGTGAAAGTTGCTGTTTAACACCTCCAGCCCACCCTTGAATTCTTTCCTGGGCAAAGCCAAGAACTCTCCTGGGCTAAGCTCCAATTTTGGGGCTTGCCTGCCCTGCATCAATCCCATCTCCTTTTTACCCAGTTTTCCTCAATTGTAACATCTTGCTAAACTATAGTACAATATACAGCCAGGATATTGACATAGATACAGTCAAAAAACACAATATATCCTTCAGCACAAGGATCCCTCAAGTTGTTCTTTTATAGCCACACCCACTTCCCTCTTGTAAACCTCCTTTTTAACGCTTGATAATACAAATGTATTCTCCATTTCTATAGTTCTGTCATTTCGAAAATGTTACATAAATAGAATAATGTATTTCATAATTATTTAGATGTTTTCTCTTTATTCAACATAATTGGTAGTTCATCCATGTTGTTACATGCATCAATAGGTTTTTTTATTACTAATGTATGAGTTCGTTTTCATGCTGCTGATAAAGACATACCCAAAACCAGAACAAAAAGAGGTTTAATTGGACTTACAGTTTCACATGGCTGGGGAAGCCTCAGAATCATGGCAGGAGGCAAAAGGCACATCTTACATGGCAGCCACAAGAGAAAAAGAAGGAAGAAGCAAAAACAGAAACCCCTGATAAACCCATCAGATCTCGTGAGACTTATTCACTATCACGAGAATAGCCTGGGAAAGACCAGCCAGCATTATTTAATTACCTCCCCCTGGGTCCCTCCTTCAACACATGGGAACTCTAGGAGATACAGTTCAAGTTGCGATTTGGTTGGGGACACAGCCAAACCATATCATTCCACTCCTGGACCCTCCAAATCTCATGTCTTCACATTTCAAAACCAATCATGCCTTCCCAAGAGTCCCCCAAAGTCTTAACTCATTTCAGCATTAACACAAAAGTCCAGTCCAAAGTCTCATCTGAGACAAGGCAAGTCCCTTCTGCCTATGAGCCTGTAAAATCAAAAGCAATCTGGCTACTTCCTAGATACAATGGAGGTACAGGTATTGGGTAAATACAGCCATTTCAAATGGGAGAAATTGGCCAAAACAAAGGCATTACAGGGCCCATGCAAGTCCAAAATCCAGCGGGGCAGTCAAATTTTAAAGCTCCAAAATGATCTCCTTTGACCCCAGGTCTCACAGCCAGGTGACATTGGTGTGAGAAGTGGGTTCCCATGGTCTTGGGCAGCTCCACCCCTGTGGCTTTGCAGGGTACAGCCTCCCTCTTGGCTGCTTTCATAGGCTGGCATTGAGTGTCTGTGGCTTTTCCAGGTTCATGGTGCAAACTGTTGGTGGATCTACCATTCTGGGGTCTGGAGGACTGTGGCCCTCCTCTCATAGCTCCACTAGGCAGTGCCCCAGTAGGGACTCTGTGGGGGCTCCAACCCCACATTTCCTTTCCACATTGCCCTAGCCTAAGTTCTCCATGAGGGCCCTGCCCCTGCAGCAAACTTTTGCCTGGGCATCCAGGCATTTCCATACATCTTCTAAAATCTAGGTGGAAGTTCCCAAACCTCAATTCTTTACTTCTGTGCACCCGCAGACTTAACATCACGTGGAAACTGCCAAGGCTTTGGGCTTCCACCCTCTGAAGTCACAGCCCAAGCTCTATGTTTGCCTCTTTCAGCCATAGCTGGAGTGGCTGGGACAGAGGGCACTAAGTCCCTAGGCTGCACACAGTACAGGGGCCCTGGTTCCAGCCCACGAAACCACTTTTTCCTCCTGGTCCTCCAGGCCTGTGATAGGAGGGGCTGCTGTGAAGGTCTCTAACATCACCTGGAGACCTTCTTCCCATGGTCTTGGGGATTAACATCAGGATCCTTGCTACTTATGCAAATTTCTGCAGCTGGCTTGAATTTCTCCTCAAAAAATGGGTTTTTCTTTTCTACTGCATCATCAGGCTGCAAATTTTCTGAACTTTTATGCTCTGTTTCCCTTTTAAAATGGAATGCTTTTAACAGCACCCAAGTCACCTTTTGAGTGCTTTGCTGCTTAGAAATTTCTTCACCAGACACCCTAAATCCTCTTTCTCAAGTTTAAAGTTCCACAAATCTCTAGGGCAAGGGCAAAATGCTGCCAGTCTCTTTGCTAAAACATAACAAAAATCACCTTTGCTCCAATTCACAACAAGTTCCTCATGTTCATCTGAGACCACCTCAGCCTGGACCTTATCGTTCATATCACTATCAACATTTTTGTTAAAGCCTTTCAGTAAGTCTCTAGGAGGTTCCAAACTTTCCCACATTTTCCTGTCTTCTTGAGCCCTCCAAACTGTTGCAACCTCTGCCTGTTACCCACTTCCAAAGTTGCTTCCACATTTTCGGGTATCTTTTCAGTGACACCCTTCTCTACTGGTACCAATTTACTGTATTAGTTCATTTTCATGCGCTGATAAAGACATACCCAAAACTGGGAACAAAAAGAGGTTTAATTGGACTTACAGTTCCACATGGCTGGGGAGGCCTCAGAACCATGGCAGGAAGCAGAAGACACTCCTTACGTGGTGGCAGCAAGAGAAAAATGAGGAAGAATCAAAAGTGAAAGCCCTTGATAAACCCATCAGATCTCATGACACTCATTCACTATCACGAGAATAGCACAGTGAAGACCAGCTCCCATGATTCAATTATCTCTGGCTGGGTCCCTCCCACAACATGTGGGAATTCTGGAAGATAACAGTTCAAGTTGAGATTTGGGTGGGGACACAGCCAAACCATATCATCTAAGTACTTTACTATGTATCACTAACCATTCACTTGTTGAAGGACATCTAGGTTGTTTCTAATTTAAGGCTGTTACAAATAACGTTGCTATAAACATTCCTATAAAGTTTTTTATGCAAACATAAGCCTTTATTTGTCTTGGATAATTGACCAATAGTGCAATTTCTGGGTCATATATAAGTAACATATTTAGATTTTAAGAAACTGCCAAGCTGGTTTCCAGAGTGGCTGTATCATTTTACATTTCTACCACCAGTTTGTGAATGTTCTACTTTCTTTTTATTCATGCCAGCATTTGATACTGTCACTGTTTTTATTTTAGCCATTTCAATAGGTAGGTAATTATATGTCATGATGATTTTAATGTGAATTTCACTAATGGGTAATAATGTTGAATATCTTTTCATTGCTTATTTGCCATCTTATATCCTCTTTGCTGAAATATCTCTTCATATCTTTTGCCAATTTTAAGTTGGATTGTTTTGGCATTTTTTTAAACTCTTGAATTTGAGAGTCATTTATGTAGTCTAGATACTGGTTTTTGTTAGATATTTGGTTTTCAAATATTTTCTCTCAGTCTATAGTTCACCTTTGCATCATTTAAGTAAAGTATTTTGCACAGCTAAATTTTTAAATTCTGATGTTCAATTTATCATTTTTTTTCATATGGATTATGTTTTTGGTAACAAGTCTAAGAACTCTCTGTCTAGCCCCAGATTCTGAAAATTTTCTCCTAGGTTTTTTCTAGTTTTTATAGTTTTACATTTTACATTAACAGCCATGATCCATTATAAGTTAATTTTTGTATAAGGTGTCAAACTTAGGTTGAGATTTATTTTTTTTCCTATGGGTGTCCAATTGTCCCGCTACCATTGGTTTAAAAGGTTTCCTTTCTCAAACAAATTGCTTTTGCACCTTTGTCAAAAACAGCAGGGGATGTCAAGGAAATGATGAAGTAGGAAGCATCAGGAATCTGTCTGTCCACCTAGGCAACAATTCTACTAGCAGAAATTGTCTGAAGTAACTATTTCTGATGCTTAAGTGAATTTGAATGCTTGCAGCTTCCAAAAGAAAGGTCAGCTGCTAAATTGCAGTTAATTTCTATCAGTCTTAGCTTTCCCTCAGTAGTGTCTACCACCTCCCAGTCTCCAATTCTGTACCAGGTAGCTGTGAGGATGAAAGCCCATATTCTTAGTATAGCTTTCTGGAGCCTGAGTGGGCAATAAAGACCTTTCCCTACAAATACTGGAGTTGTGTGTTCTGATTGCAGATTATGGCTTTTGATTGTTGAGGTGCAAGTTGGGATATTCAAGTGCAATCACATATACGAAAGAATTTAGAAAGCCATCACACATGCCCAGAGAAAGATATAAGCTCAGAAAATACCTGAGAATACCTTAAGTCTTCACCTCAAACTGAGGCCTGGCACAGAGACGACCTGCAATATTTTTTTTAATAAAACAGCAAACCCTGTGGAAAGGGGACAATCTGCTTTCCAGAGTTACCACATTACGTAATTTAAATGTTCAGCTTTCAACAAAAAATCACAAGGCAAACAAAACAATCAGAAAAGTATGGCTCATTCAAAAGAACAAAACAAATCAATGGAAGTTGGACTTACTAGACAATAACTTTAAAACAACTGTTTTAAAGATGCTCAAAGATCTAAAAAAGAAAAAACATTTAAAAAGACAGGAAAACAATGTATGAATGAAATGAGAATGTTAATAATAATAGAAATTATTCTTTTAAATAGCAAAAATGAAATTTGGAAGCTGAAAGATATAATAACCAAAATGAAAAATAAATCCCAGAGCTGAAAGGTAAGATAACTGAAATGAAAAATTTACTAGAGGAGTTAAAAAGCAGATTTGAATAGGCAGAAGAAAGAATGAGCAAACTTTAAGATGGGACGATTAAAATCATTGAGTCTCAGAAATGGAAAGAAAAAAGAAATATAAATAGAGCCTAAGGAACATGTGAGACATCACGAAATAAACCAATATGTCTACTGTGTGAGTTCCAAAAAGAGAAGAGAGAGAAAGTGAGTCCAAAATAATAGATTTTAAAGTAATGACGGTGAAATCCCCAAATCTGATGAAATATATGAATCTGTAAGTCCAAGAAGCTCAACAAACTCCAAGAAGGATAAACTTAAAAAGACCCACAATAAGAAATACTATAATCAAACTATCAAAAACCAAAGACAGTAAGAGAATAATTTTATTTTTTAATTTTTAAGTAACAGCTTCACTGAAATATAATTTGATGTTTTATACATATATACATTGTAAAATGATTACTACAATCAAACTAATTAACATATCTTTCACTTTATATAGTTATCATTTCATTTCCTTTGGCTATGTACCCAGAAATGGAATTGTTGGATCACATGGTAGCTCTACTTTTAATTTTTTGAGCAATTTCTATACTGTTTTCAATAATAGCTATAACCAATTTACATTTTCACAAACAGTACAAGGGTTCCCTTTCCTCCATCCTCACCAACACTTGTTATTTTTTGTCTTTTGGGGAATAGCTATCCTAATAGGTATGAGGTGATATCTCATTGTTATTTTAATTTGCATTTCCCTGATGTTTGGTTATACTGAAATTTTTTTCATATACCTGTTGGCCCTTTGTATGTCTTCTTCGGAAAAATGTCTATTCAGTTTCTTTGTTCACATGTACAGAATCTTGAATGCACCAAGGTGGAAGCAACTTGTAATATAAAAGAATCTTAAATAAGATTATCAGCCAATTTTTTATCAAAAATCTTAGAGAGCAGAAGAAAGTAGACAGATATATTCAAAGTGCTTGAAAAAAAAAAAAGTCAAGTAAGAATTCTATTTCCAGCAAAATTGTCCTTCAAAAATGAAGGAGAAATTAAGACATTCCCAGATGAACAAAAGCTGGGGGAATTTGTTACTAAAATACCTCCCCTGTAAGAAATGCTAAAGGGAGTCCTTCAGGTTGATATGAAAGGAAACTACACAGTAACTTGACAGTTTGAAGAAAAAAAGGTCTTTCATAATTGTAAACACATGGGCATTTATAAAAGTTAGTATTCTTGTAATTTTGGTTTGTAACTGTACTTTTCATCTTCTACATAATTTAAAATACAGATGCATATAAAATCACTAATCTATGTTTCTGGGTGTAAAATATATAAAGATGTAATCTGTGGTATCAATAACAGAAAAGGGGAGCAGACTTGTATTGAAGCAGAATTGTTGTGTGCTATTGACATTAAATTGATATAAATTCAAGTTAGTCTTATAACTTTGCATGTTAAACATGACCACATAAAACACAACCACAAAAAAAGCTATAGAACATGAAGAAAAGAAAATAGGAAGGAATCAAATGTTTAATACAAAAAAAAAACTAGGCTTCTGGATTCCAAGATGGCCGAATAGGAACAGCTCTAGTCTGCAGCTCCCAGTGTGATCAACGCAGAAGATGGGTGATTTCTGCATTTCCAACTGCGGTACCTGGTTCATTTCATTGGGACTGGTTGGGCAGTGGGTGCAGCCCATGGAGGGTGGGCCGAAGCAGGCTGGGGCATCGCCTTACCCAGGAAGTGCAAGGAGTTGAGGGATTTCCCTTTCCTAGTCAAAGGAAGCCGTGACAGACTGTACCAGGAAAATCGGGACACTCCTGCCTTAATACTGTGCTTTTCCAATGGTCTTAGCAAACAGCACACCAGGAGATTATACCCTGTGCCTGGCTCAGTGGGTCCCACACCCACGGAGCCCAGCAGTATGAGATCAAACTGCAAGGTGACAGACTGGCTAGGGGAGGGATGTCCACCATTGCTGAGGCTTGGGTAGGTAAATGAAGTGGCTGGGAAGCTCAAACTGGGTGGACCCCACCACAGCTCAACGAGGCCTGCCTGCCTCTGTAGACTCCAAAGGCAGCAGAAACTTCTGCAGACTTAAAAGTCCCCGTCTGACCCCTCTGAAGAGAGCAGTGGTTCTCCCAGTATGATGTTTGAGCTCTGAGAACAGACAGACTGCCTCCTCAAGTGGGTCCCTGACCCCAGTGTAGCCTAACTGGGAGACAACTCCCAGTAGGGGCTGACTGACACCTCATACAGCTGGGTGCCCCTCTGAGATGAAGCTTCCATATGAAGGGTTAGGCAGCAATATTTACTGTTCTGCAATATTTGCTGTTCTGCAGCCTCCACTGGTGATACCCAGGAAAACAGGGTCTGAAGTGGACCTCCAGCAAACTCCAACAGATCTGCAGCTGAGGGACCTGACTGTTAGAAGGAAAACTAACAAACAGGAAGAAATAGCATCAACATCAACAAAAAGGACATCCACACCAAAACCCCTATCTGTAGGTCACCATCATCTAAAACCACAAAGATGGGGAGAGACCAGTGCAGAAAAGCTGAAAATTCTAAAAATGAAAGTGCCTCTTCTCCTCCAAAGGATCTCAGCTCCTCGCCAGAAATGGAACAAAGCTGGACAGAGAATGACTTTGATGAGTTGATAGAAGTAGGCTTCAGAAGGTCAGTAATAAAAAACTTCTCCGAGCTAAAGGAAGATGTTCAAACCCATCACAAGGAAGCTAAATACCTTGAAAAAAGATTAGACAAATGGCTAACTGGAATAAACAGTGTAGAGAAGACCTTAAATGACCTGATGGAGCTGAAAACCATGGCATGAGAACTACGTGACACATGCACAAGCTTCAGTAGTTGATTTGATCAAGTGGAAGAAAGGGTATCAGTGATTGAAGATCAAATTAATGAAATGAAGTGAGAAGAGAAGCTTAGAGAAAAAAAGAGTAAAAAGAAATGAACAAAGCCTCCAAGAAATATGGGACTATGTGAAAAGACGAAATCTACGTTGATTGGTGTACCTGAAAGTGACAGGGAGAATGGAATCAAGCTGGAAAACAGTCTTCAGGATATTATCCAGGAGAACTTCCCCAACCTAGCAAGGCAGGCCAATATTCAAATTCAGGAAATACACAGAACACCACAAAGATACTTCTCGAGAAGAGCAAGCCCAAGACACATAATTGTCAGATTCACCAAGGTTGAAATGAAGGGAAAAAGGTTAAGGGCAGCCAGAGAGAAAGATTGGGTTACCCACAAAGGGAAGCCCATCAGACTAACAGCGGATCTCTCAGCAGAAACTCTATAAGCCAGAAGAGAGTGGGAGCTAATATTCAACATTCTTAAAGGAAAGAACTTTCAACTCAGAATTTCATATCCAGCCAAACTAAGCTTCATAAGTGAAGGAGAAATAAAATCCTTTACAAACAAGCAAATACTGAGAGATTTTGTCACCACCAGGCCTACCTTAAAAGAGCTCCTGAAGGAAGCACTAAACATGGAAAGGAAAAACCAGTACCAGCCACTGCAAAAACATGCCAAATTGTAAAGATCATCAATGCTAGGAAGAAACTGCATGAACTAATTAGCAAAATAACCAGCTAACATCATAATGACAGGATCAAATTCACACATAACAATATTAACCTTAAATGTAAATGGGCTAAATGCCTCAATTAAAAGACACAGACTGGCAAATTGGATAAAGAGTCAAGACCCATCAGTGTGCTGTATTCAGGAGACCCATCTCACGTGCAGAGGCACACACAGGCTCAAAATAAAGGGATGGAGGAAGATCTACCAAGCAAATAGAAAACAAAAAAAAACACAAGGGGTTGCAATCCTAGTCTCTGATAAAACAGACCTTAAACCAACAAAAATCAAAAGAGACAAAGAAGGCCATTACATAATGGTAAAGGGATCAATTCAACAAGAAGAGCTAACTATCCTAAATAGATATGCACCCAATACAGGAGCAGCCAAATTCATAAAGCAAGCCCTTAGAGACCTACAAAGAGACTTAGACCCCCACACAATAATAATGGGAGATTTTAACACCCCACTGTCAATATTAGACAGATCAACAAGACAGAAGGTTAACAAGGATATCCAGGACTTGAACTCAACTCTGCACCAAGCAGACCTAATAGACATCTACAGAACTCTCCACCCCAAATTAACAGAATATACATTCTTTTCAGCACCACATCGCACTTATTCCAAAATTGACAACATAGTTGGAAGCAAAGCACTCCTCAGCAAATGTAAAAGAACAGAAATCACACAACAAACTTTCTCTCAGAACACAGTGCAATCAAATTAGAACTCAGGATTAGGAAACTCACTCAAAACCGCACAACTACATGGAAACTGAACAACCTGCTCCTGAATGACTACTGGGTAAATAACAAAATGAAGGCAGAAATAAAGATGTTCTTTGAAACCAATGAGAACAAAGACACAACGTACCAGAAGCTCTGGGACACATTTAAAGCAGCATGTAGAGGGAAATTTGTAGCACTAAATGCCCACAACAGAAAGCAGGAAAGATCTAAAATCGACACCCTAACATCACAAATAAAAGAACTAGAGAAGCAAGAACAACCACATTCAAAAGCTAGCAGAAGGCAAAAAATAACTAAGATCAGAGCAGAACTGAAGGAGATGGAGACACAAAAAGCCCTTCAAAAAATCAATGAATCCGGGAGCTGGTTTTTTGAAATGATCAACAAAATTGATAGGCTGCTAGCAAGACTAATAAAGAAGAAAAGAGAGATGAATCAAATAGACTCAATAAGAAATGATAAAAGGAATATCACCACAAATCCCACAGAAATACAAACTACCATCAGAGAATACTATAAACAGCTCTATGCAAATAAACTAGAAAATCTAGAAGAAATGGATAAACTCCTGGACACATACACCCTCTCAAGACTAAACCAGGAAGAAGTTGAATCCCTGACTAGACCAATAATAGGCTCTGAAATTGAGGCAATAATTAATAGCTTACCAACCAAAAAAAGTCCAGGACCAGATGGTTTCACAGCCAAATTCTACCAGAGGTACAAAAAGGAGCTGATACCATTCCTTCTGAAACTATTCTAATCAATAGGAAAAGAGGGAATTCTCCCTAACTCATTTTATGAGGCCAGTGTCATCCTGATACCAAAGCCTGGCAGAGACACAACAAAAAAAAGAGAATTTTAGACCAATATCCCTGATGAAAATCGATGCAAATATCCTCAATAAAATACTGGCAAACCGAATCCAGCAGCACATCAAAAAGCTTATCCCCCACAATCAAGTTGCCTTCATCCCTGGGATGCAAGGCTGGTTCAACATATGCAAATCAATAAATGTAATCCATCACATAAACAGAACCAAAGACAAAAATCACATGATTATCTCAATAGATGCAGAAAAGGCCTTTGACAAAATTCAACAGCGCTTCATGCTAAAAACTCTCAATAAACTAGGTATTGATGGGACATATCTCAAAATAATAAGAGCTATTTATGACAAACCCCCAGCCAATATCATACTGAATGGGCAAAAACTGGAAGCATTCCCTTTGAAAACTGGCACAAGACAAGGATGCCCTCTCTCACCACTCCTGTTCAACATAGTGTTGGGAGTTCTGGCCAGGGCAATCAAGCAAGAGAAAGAAATGAAGGGTATTCATTTAGGAAAAGAGGAAGTCAAATTGTCCCTGTTTGCAGATGACATGATTGTACATTTAGAAAACCCCACTGTGTCAGCCCAAAATCTCCTTAAGCTGATAAGCAACTTCAGCAAAGTCTCAGGATACAAAAATCAATATGCAAAAATCACAAGCATTCCTATACACCAATAACAGACAAACAGAGAGCCAAATCATGAGTGAACTCCCATTCACAATTGCTACAAAGAGAATAAAATACCTAGGAATCCAACTTACAAGAGATGTGAAGGACCTCTTCAAGGAGAACTGCAAACCACTGCTCAATGAAATAAAAGAGGACACAAACAAATGGAAGAACATTCCATGCTCATGGTTGGGAAAAATCAATATCGTGAAAATGGCTATACTGCCCAAGGTAATTTATAGATTCAATGCCATCTCCATCAAGCTACCAATGACTTTCTTCACATAATTGGAGAAAACTACTTTAAAATTCATATGGAACCAAAAACAGCCCGCATTGCCAAGACAATCCTAAGCAAAAAGAACAAAACTGGAGGCATCACACTACCTGAATTCAAACTATACTACAAGGCTACAGTAACCAAAACAGTGGGGTACTGGTACCAAAACAGAGATATAGAACAATGGAACAGAACAGAGGCCTCAGAAATAACACATCTACAACCATCTAATCTTTGACAAACCTGACAAAAACAAGAAATGGGGAAAGGATTCCCTATTTAATAAATGGTGCTGGGAAAACTGGCTAGCCATATGTAGAAAGCTGAAACTGGATCCCTTCCTTACATCTTATACAATGATTAATTCAAGATGGATTAAAGACTTAAATGTTAGACCTAAAACCATAAAAACCCCAGAAGAAAACCTAGGCAATACCATTCAGGACATAGGCATGGGCAAGAACTTCATGACTAAAACACCAAAAGCAATGGCAACAAAAGCCGAAATTGACAATTGGGATCTAATTAAACTAAAGAGCTTCTGCACAGCAAAAGAAACTGCCATCAGAGTGAACAGGCAACCTACAGAATGGGAGAAAATTTTTGCAAACTACCCATCTGACAAAGGGCTAATATCCAGAATCTACAAAGAACTTAAACAAATTTACAAGAAAAAAATCAAACAACCCCATCAAAAAGTGAGCAAAGGACATGAACAGATACTTTTCTAAAGACGACATTTATGCAGCCAACAGACACATGAAGAAATGCTCATCATCACTGGTGATCAGATAAATGCAAATCAAAACCACAATGAGATACCATCTCACACCAGTTAGAATGGCCATCATTAAAAAGTCAGGAAACAACAGGTGCTGGAGAGGATGTGGAGAAATAGGAACACTTTTACACTGTTGGTGGGAGTGTAAACTAGTTCAACCATTGTGGAAGACAGTGTGGCAATTCCTCAAGGACCTAGAACTAGAAATACCATTTGACCCAGCGATCCCATTACTGGGTATATACCCAAAGGATTCTAAATCATGCACCTATAAAGACACATGCACACGTATGTTTATTGCAGCACTATTCACAATAGCAAAGATTTGAAACCAACCCAAGTTTCCATTAATGATAGACTGGATTAAGAAAATGTGGCACATATACACAATGGAATACTGTGCAGCCATAAAAAATGATGAGTTCATGTCCCTTGTAGGGACATGGATGAAGCTGGAAACCATCATTCTTAGCAAACTATCACAAAGACAGAAAACCAAACACCACGTGTTCTCACTCATAGGTGGGAATTGAACAATGAAAACACTTGGACACTGGGCGGGGACATCACACACTGAGGCCTGTTGGGGGTGGGGGGCTGGGAGATGGATAGCATTAGTAGAAATACCTAATATAAATGACAACTTAATGGGTGCAGCAAACCAACACGGCATGTGTATACATATGTAACAAACCTGCACGTTGTGCACATGTACCTAGAACTTAAATATAATTAAAAAGAAAAAAAAAGTCAGGAAACAGCAGGGGCTGGAGAGGATGTGGAGAAATAGGAACACTTTTACACTGTTGGCGGGAGTGTAAACTAGTTCAACCATTGTGGAAGACAGTGTGGTGATTCCTCAAGGATCTGGAACTAGAAATACCATTTGACCCAGCGATCCCATTACTGGGTATATACCCAAAGGATTTTAAATCATGCTACTATAAAGACACATGCACATGTATGTTTATTGCAGCACTATTCACAATAGCAAAGATTTGAAACCAACCCAAATGTCCACCAGTTCTAGACTGGATTAAGAAAATGTGGCACATATACACCTTGGAATATTATGCAGCCATAAAAAAGGATGAGTTCATGTCCTTTGTAGGGACATGGATGAAGCTGGAAACTATCATTCTCAGCAAACTATTGCAAGGACAGAAAACCAAGCACTGCAAGTTCTGACTCATAGGTGGGAATTGAACAATAAAAACACCTGGACACAGGGCAGAGAACATCACACAGTGGGGCCTGTTATGGGGTGGGGGGATGGGGGAAGGTTAGCATTAGGAGAAATACCTAATGTAAATGACGAATTAATGGGTGCAGCAAACCAACATGGCACACGAATACACATGTAACAAACCTGCACATTGTGCACATGTACCCTAGAACTTAAAGTATAATAAAAATAAATAAATAAATAAAAATAAAAATAAAGTAGCCTACTATATAGGACCTTAAGTCATGAAAAGACCTGGATTTAGCCTCTGGAACAAATGCTAATTACCCACTAAGAAACAGCTAAACCTATTTAAAAAAAAGTCAACATCAGATGAACTTAAAAGATGTATCTTAATAATAAACTGAACTTTTCTGATAGTTGTCAGAATCATAAGGTAGAATTTAATTCCTAAGTGAAAAGCTGAAGTAATTTCAGGGAGATAGGAGTTTTAACAAAATCAAACTAAAATATATTTAACATAAACATCTATTTGGCAGGAGGTTTTTTAAAGACAAATGAAAGCTAAATTTTAACAATTTATAGAGAGAAATGTATAAATTTAAAAACTGATATTTAAAATCATGCTCAAATTACAACAGATTAACATCATTACTTAGCCTAATTAATTCAATTAAGTTACTTTTCACCATTCAAAAAATAATAACTAAATGAAGAAGAAGGCAGTAATGGAGAAACTGAGAGACAAAAAAAGCTATAGGCACATAGGAAACAAATAGCAAAAGAGCAGAGGTCTCTCCTTATAATAACTTTTACTGTAAGTAGATTAAACTCTCTGCTATGGTTTGAATATAATTTGCTCCCCCACTAAAACTCATGTTGAGGCTTGATCTTCAATGCAATATTGTTGGGAGGTGAAGCCTAGTAGGAAATGTTTGGGTCATGGGAGTGGATCCCTCATAAATAGCATGCCATGTCTTGGTAATGAGCTCTCAGTCTCATGGGACTGGATCGGTTACCATGAGAGTGGGTTGTTGTAAAGCAGGGCTGCATCTCATATTTGCACTTTTTGCACGTCTGCCTACTTTCTGCTTCACCATAATATTGTGACACAACTTGTGGCCCTCACCAGAAGCCCAGCAGATGCCAGCCAGTACCATAGTTTTGGACTTTCCAGCCACCAGAATTGTGAGCCAAATAAATCTCTTTCCTTTATAAGCTACATAGCCGCAGGTATTCAGTTATAGCAACACTAAACAAAGACAGAAAATTGGTACTGAGGAATGAGGTGTTGCTATACAGATATCTAAAAATGTGCAGTAGCTTTAGAATTGGGTAACTAGTAGAGGCTGAAAGAGGAACAGTCTAGAAAAAGCCTAGATTCTAATGAAGGCTTAGAAGACAAGAAGACTAGAGAAAGTCTGGAACTCCTTAGAGATTCATTAAGTGGTTGTGACCAAAATGCTGACAGAAATATGGAAAGTAAAGTCTGTTCTTTTGAGATCTCAGATGGAAATAGGAAATATCTTATTGGAAACTGCCATAAAAGGCATTCTTGTTACACATTCATAAACAAAGAAACAAAAAAAACTTGGGTGCATTGTCTCCATCCCCTAGGGCTTTATGGAAGGCAGAATTTAAGAGTGATGAACTAGTATATCTAGAGGAAGGAATATCCAAGCAGCAAAGCATGCAGGAAGCAGCATGGTTATTTTTAACTGCTTACAATGAATTACAGGAGCAAAGGATAATCTATAGGCAAAATGTACACTTAAAAGGGAAATAACATAAAAATTTGGAAAATTCTCAGCCTGGCCATGTGGTAGAGAATGAAAGAGCATATTTAGGAGAAGAATCCAACAGTGCATCTGAGAAACTGGTTGTTAAAGGGATTAGTACTGATAGACAAAAAAGCCAATAGCTAATTGTGAAGACAATGAGGAAAAGACCCAAAAAGTATTTCAGAAATCTTAAGAGGTTGCCCCTCCCATCACAGGCCCAGAGGCATAGGAGGAAAGAATGGCTTTGGGAGATGGGCCTAGGGCACCTTCCATAGGTTTGCTGCCCAGGGTTGCCTTGGGATGCTGCTCCCCATATCTTGACCATTCTGGCTGCTCCAGCAATGTCACAAGCAGCCCCAGGTATGGCTTGGGCCACCACTCTAAAGAGTGCAGATGGTAAGCCTTGGAAACATCTACATCCATGTGGTGCTAATTCCGAAGGTGTGCATAATGCAAGAGCAGCAGAGGCATGGCTGCCTCCACCAATATTTCAAAGGATGCTGCAGAAAGCCTGCGTGCCCAGGCAGAAGCTTCCCCCAAGGGATAAAGCTGCCACAGAGAGTCCCTACCAGGGCAATGCCTAGTGGAAATGTGGGAGTGGGGCCACTGCCCTCAAGACCCCAGAATGCCACCAGCAGCATTCAGTGCCTACCAGGAAAAGCTACAGGCACTGGACTCCAAGGTGTACAAGCAGCCACATAAGGTGCACCTACCAAAGCCATAGGGGTGGGGCTGCCTGAGGCACTGGGGGCCCAACTCCCATCTCAGTATGTCCAGCAGGTGGCACATGGAGTGGAAACTTATTTTGGAGCTTTAAGATTTGTCTGCCCTGCTGGGTTTCAAATTTGCTTTGGGCCAGTTATTCACTTCTTTGGGCCTTCTACCCCTTTTTGAAGTGGGAATGTTAACCCAATATGTATGCTACCATTGTATCTTGAAAGTAAATAACTTGATTTTTTATTTTATGGGCTCACAGCTGGAAGGAACTAGTCTTGAGTCTCAGATGAGACTTTGGACTTTGGACTTTTGGGTTGGTGCTTGAATGAGTTAAAACTTTGGGGACTATTGGGATGGGATGAATGTGTTTTGCATTGTAAGAAGAATGTGAGTTTTTCGGGGGGAGGGGGCAAACGCATTGGTTTAAATATGGTCTGTTCCATATTCATATCAATGCAGCAGTGCTGGGAGGTGAAGAATAGCAGGTAGTGTTTGGGTCAGGGGGGCAGATCACTCATTAATGGGTGAATGCTGTTTTGCAGGAGTGAGTTCTCACTCTTGCACAACTGAATTAGTTACCACGAGAGGGGATTGCTATAAGGTGAGGCTCCCTCTCATGTTTACCTTCTTTGCACATGCCTGTCTATCATTCTGCTTCTCTACCATGTTATTATGCTGCACAAGGCCCTCACCAGAAGTCAAACAAATTCTGGCACCAGGTATTTGGACTTTTCAGCCACCACAGTTATAAGCCAAATAAATCTCTTTTCTTTATAAATCATTCAACTTCAGGTATTCTGTTGTAGCAACACTAAATAGACTAAGACAATCTCCAATCAAAAGATAAAAATTGGCAGAATTGAATGAAAAGTAATCCAACTATATGCTGTCTACAAAAGATTCACTTTAAAACCAAAGATGTAAATAGTTTGAAAGTGAAAGGATGATAAAAAGATACTCCATGAAAATTGTTATCAAAAGAGAGCTAGGGCAGCTACACTAATATCATAAAAAATAGACGTCAAATTTTTAAGGTTTACAAGAGAAAAATAAGGACATTGTATGATATAGCAAGAAGATATAACCATGTTAAACACTTTGTGCACCTAATAATAGACTGTCAAAACATATAAAGCCAAAATTGACAGAAATGAAAGGAGATATAAATTGTTCTACTTAATAGTTGGAAACTGCAATAATATATTTTTTATAATGGATAAAACAGACAAGAGATAGATAAGGAAATAGAGGGCTTGAACAACACAATAAACCAACTACAGCTAACAGACTTATACAGACATATGCAGAACAACCAACAAAAGCAGAATACACATGTTTCTCAAATGCCCATGGAACATTCTCTAGAATAAACCATATGCTAAGTCTCTGTAGATTTTAAAATATATATATCATATAAAGTATCTCCTCCAACTACCTCAGGATGAAATTAGGAATCAATAACAGAAGAAAACTGGAAAACATATGAGCAAGTTAAACAACACACTATTAAACAACTAAAGGATCAAAGAAGAAATCACAAAGGGATTAGAAAATACTTTGAGATGAATAAAAAGAACAGCATAACATACTAAAATGTATGGGATGCAGTGAACACAGAGCTCAGAGAGAAATTTATAGCTGTAAATATCTACATTGAAAAAGAAGAAAGACTTCTCAAAATATTTCAAATAATTGAAGAGGAGGGAAAACTTCTTAACTCATTCTGAGGCCAGCTTTACTCAATGTCAAAGTCAGACAAAGACACTGCAAGAAAAGAAAACTACAGACCAATATCTCTTATCAATATTGATGCAAAAATTTTCAACAAAACACTAGCAAATCGAATTCAACAGCACGCTACAAGAATTATACACCACTTCCAAGTGGGATTTATTCCTGGAAAGATAGTTCAACAAATGAAAACCATCCATGTAATATGCAACATTAACAGAATAAAGCAGGGAAAAACAGCTCGGGATCATCTCAATTGATGCAGAAAAAGCATTTGATGAAATTTAACATACTTTTATGATTAAAAAGAAACAACAAACTAGAAATAGAAAAAACCTACCACAATATAATAAAGGCCATATGTTAAAAACCCACAACTAACATCACACTCAATGGTAAATAACCGACAGCTTTTCCTCTAAGATCAGGAACAAGGCAAAGAGTCCATTTTTACCACTTCTATTCAACATAGTATTGAAAATCATAGCCAGAGTAATCGAGCACTAGAAAGACGTAAAGGGCATCTAAATCAGAAAGGAAGAAGTAAAATTATCTCTGTTCTTTGACAACGTTATGTTATATGCATAGAAAATCCTAAGGATTTTACCCAAAAAAAGTTAGAAATAATAAATGAATTCAGCAAAGTTACAGGATACAAAATCAACATGCAAATATCGTTGCTTTTTTTTTCTTTTTTTGTTGGAGGAGATAGGCTTTTGCTCTGTCAATCAGACTGGAGTGCAGTGGTGCGATCACAGTTGACTGCAGCCTTGAACTCCTGGGCTCAAGCAATCCGCCCACATCAGCCTCCTCGGTAGCTGGAACAACAGGCACACACAACCATGCCTAGCCAATTTTTAAAATTTTTTGTAGAGACAGGGTTTCATACTGTTGCCCAGGCTGGTCTAAAACTCCTGCCTTCAAGCAATCCTCCTGCCTCAGCCTCTCAAAGTGCTGAGATTACAGGCATGAACCACTGTGCCTTACCTCAGCTGCATTTTCATATACTAACAATAAACAATCCAAAAAGGAAATTAAAACACAACTCCAACAACATCAAAAAGAATAAAACACTTAGGAATAAACAACCAAGGAGGCAAAAGAATTGTACACTAAAACTAGAAAACATTGCTGAAAGAAATTAAAGAAAACACAAATAAATGGAGAGACATTCCATTTTTATCATTGGAAGACTTAGTATTGTTAAGATGTCAATACAACCCAAAGCAATCTACAGATTCAGTACAATCCCTATCAAAATCCCAGTGAGGCTGGATGCAGTGGCTCATACCTGTGTTCTCAGCATTTTGGGAGGCTGAGATGGGAGGATCACTTGAGCCCAGGAGTTCAAGACTAGCCTAGGCAATATAGAGATAATGTGTTTCTACAAACAAACAAACAGCTGAGTTTGGTGGCATGCACCTGGTGTCCCAGCTACTCGGGAGGCTGAGATGGGAGAACTGCTTGAGCCCATGGAGTTGAGGCTGCAATGAGCCATGATTGTGCCACTGCACTCCAGCCTGCATGACAGAGCAAGACTCTGTCTTAAAATAAATAAAATACAATAAAATTTCATATACACTTTTTTGAAGATACAGAAAAATCCATCCTAAAATTTGTATGGAATCTCAAGAGATCCCAAATAAGCAAAACAACATTGAAAAGAACAAAGTTGCAGCTCTTAGATATCCTGGTTTTAAAACTTACTACAAAGCTACAAGCAATCCAAACAGTATGGTATGAGCATAAACACAGACATACTGACAAGTGGAATAGAATAGATATCCCAGAAATAAACCCTTATGTATACAGTCAAATGACTTTCAACAGGGTGCCAAGAACATTCAATGGGGAAAAGATAGTCTGTTTAACAAATGACATTGAAAAACTAGATATCCACACATAAATAATGAAGTTAGATCATTACAGCATATATAAAAATAATTCAAAATTGATCAAAGACTTAAACATAAGAACTAAAATTACAAAAAATCCTAATATATAGGAAAAAAGCTTAATTGCATTGGATTTGTCAATAATTCTTGGATATGACACCAAAACCACAGGCAACAAAAGAATAAAGATAAATTATAGTATATCAAAGTTTACAATTTCTATGCATCAAAGGTCACAATCAACAGTGAAAAGACAACTCATGGAATGAGAGAAGATATTTGCAAATTGTATATCTGATAAGGGATTAATATCCAGAATATATGTATATAACTTTTACAATTTAACATAAAATGAACAATGTAATTTTAAAATGAGCAAAGAATTTAAATAGGCATTTCTCCCAATAAGATATACACATGACCAGTTAGCATATGAAAAGATGCTCAATATCAATATCACTCATAATTAGGGAAATGCAAATTAAAACCTCAATAAGACCACTTCATTAATGAGAATGGCTATTATAAAAAAAAAACAGAAATTAACAAGCATTGGCAAGAATGAGAAGAAACTGGAACCCTTTTGCATTGTTGATGGGAATGTAAAATGTCACAGCAGCTATTGAAAATAACATGGAAAGTTCTCCAAAAACTGAATATAGAATTACCTTATGATCCAGCAGTTCCATTCTGGGTATTACAAGATGGTCCTCAGATAGCCTTGGCCAACCAAGCTTTTTCCCTCTTCTTGTTCATAGCTCTCAGAATAACTGTAGAATGTGCTGGGAATGCAACGTCTTGAGATAGGGAGGGAAGGAAATTCCACAAGATGGATGAATCTTGAAGACATTATGCTAAGTGAAATAAGCCAGGCACAAAAAGACAAATTTTGCATGATCTACTTATATGAGGTACGTAAAGTAGTCAAATTCATAGAGACAGAAGGTAGAATGGCGGTTGCCAGGGGCTGGGAGAGGGGAAAATGAGAAGCTGTTTAATGGGCTCAGAGGTTCAGTTGGGGAAGATGAAAAAGTTTGGGAGATGGATGGTGATGGTTGCACAACAAGGTCAAGGTACTAAATGTCACTGAACTGTACAGTTAAAAATGGTAAAATAATAAGTTTTGTTATGTTTATTTTTGCCACAATGAAAAGAGAGATTTTATAAAGGGTGACTAAATTAAGTCACTATATAGTAAATGAACACATGCAAAAAAGAAAGGGAGGCACCTCCTTACTGCCAGACAGGGGTGGAAGTCCAGGCTCATCATAAGGTCTCCACTGACAACCACTAACCACCAGTGATGAAAGTTGCTGTGCCCTACTCAGGCTTCTCTGACACCACTCCTGTGAGGGGTAGAGTCACTTCAACAATACCGACTCACAAGGGTGGAAGTATAGGCTCTCCACTCCTCTCTTGTTAGCATGGGTGGGAATGGGGCCACAGTTTTTTCTGTAGCGTTTGGCTGGAGTAGAGTTGTTATTGTTTTAAAGTGTTCTGTCTTGCTTGGCTGTCCTTTTTCTCACCCTTTGGCTAGAGCACAGGCTATTACTGGCACCTTTTTATCTGCACCCATGGGTGTTACAGGTGGCATGGAGTTTTCAATTCCAAGTGTAGAATATACGAGAACAACAACAAAACAACCCAGGGAACTCAGCACCATGTTGTTTTTTGGATATGGGGATTCCTATCTGGTCTTCCTTCTTTTCTCTATATTTCAGTCTGCTTGTGATTATCGTATCCAGGGTTTTTAGTTGCATTTTGTAAGAATAGAAAGAAGTATATCTACTCTGTCTTCCCAGAAGCAGAAGTCCATGTCACGTTTAGATTATTGATGTCTTATAAAAATCTTGGACTGTTAAATATGGGACTTTTAAGTTTTAGGGTTCCCTCCTCCCCCTAATATCCAGGTAATTCTCTCCGAGCTGGGAAATGTTGCACTTGGAACAGAATCATTCATTGTTTAAACTGAGCCCTGTATCTTTTAGCAGCATATCAGTTAAGCAGTTCAAGTTTTTGCCACTGCCAAAGCAAAATTTAGATCCACCTGGGGGAGGCCCTGCTTACTCCACCCAATCACCTGGGGCTTGTCATTGACTCATTCCCTTGAGCCAAAGTCTTCCTTTGCTTTCAAAATATCCTCACAACATTTAAAACTCACCAAAATTGAGCCTGGGTCTGTGCAAAACTCAGTATTTAATCCCCAGAGGCCATAACCTCAGACCTTGTGATGGAATCAGACCAGATTTTAATAATAAAGAACACTGAAAATTACAGTAGCCCAGTGTCTAGTACCACATTACATAGCTTCCTGAAATCTTGACTTCCATATTTCCTTATGGTTCTACCAGTCCTGGGAGAAGGAGACTTTTGTCTTGCCTGAGTTGACTTTTTTATTTGATGGGGGACTAAATCAGCATAATGAAATGCTAGAATGAGGCATTCCCCATATAGATGTTAGGGGTTTTTTTAGAACTATGGGGTCATTTCCCAGACAACTGCAACTTGCTGACATGTTCTGGGGTGGTTTCCCAGACAGCTGGAACATGCTGACATGTTCCCATTTACCCTCCCTGGCAGCAGAAAGATGGCCATGAACACCAGTTTAAATCCTTTAACTTTGTGTTGGGTATCTCTACTCTTGGGAGCAGTGCTTGGGTATTCCCTGTTCCAAAATGACCTCAACTTCCTGGGCAATCAATACATGCACCTGCTTCTGCAGCCTGAATCAGAGTCTTTGTGCTTACACTTGTACATTTTCCTGATCATTCTCAGTTCTGGGGCAAGACAGGAGTTCCTGTTAGTGCAGAGGAACATTAGAAAATTGATGATTTAGGATATTACTAAATAGCAGTCATGAATATGACCCAGTTATAGTGACTAACTGCACCCTGGCTCTCTCCATATGCATGGTAGGCTGATGGCCAGACCTAGCATACAGCTGGGAGATGCCCAGCACGACCATCACCCACCTGCCAAATGTACCACAGATTCTAGGCTGATCCTTCACAGGCTATGCTAGACTTAGAGACACCACCCCACTTCACTGTTTGAAAATCATTCTATGTCAGTATTAACAACCTTTCTATGTCAGTATCAGTGATCAGTCATATGGGGTTCAGGATACCAGTGAGATGCGCCATTGGAGGCCAGAAAGTCTGCCACCCGCAGTACTGCTGGAGGTCCCTTGGGGACCTTTGATTGGAAAAGTAATCTTTCCTAGGACCTCCAGCAGTACTGCGGGTGGCAGACTTTCTGGCCTCCAATGGCGCATCTCACTGGTATCCTGAACCCCACATGACTGATCACTGATACTGACATAGAAATGTTGTTAATACTGACATAGAATGATTTTCAAAGAGCGAAGTGGGGTGGTGTCTCTAGGTCTAACACAGCCTGTGAAAAATCAGCCTAGAATCTGTGGTACATTTGGCAGGTTGGTGATGGTCGTGCTGGGTATCTCCCAGCTGTATGCTAGGTCTGGCCATCAGCCTACCATGCATATGGAGAGAGCCAGGGTGCAGTTAGTGACTATAACTGGGTCATATTCATGACTGCAATTTAATAATATCCTAAATCATCAATTTTCTAATGTATCTCTGCACTAACTAAGTGTTGTTTCACATTTGATTGGATTTGTTGCCTGAAGCTCCACAGTCTCCCCGCTCCAGTAGGAGTGACAGATCTCTTGAACATGGCTCACCACCAAGGGATGTTACCTCAGGACTCTTCCCATTCTGCAGGCAATTTCCTCCAGACTGGAGACATGAAGGAAAGACAGCAGGGCATGCATAAAATTTCTCAAAGGATTGCAAGATTTAAAGTATAAGAAGTCCTGCCTCGGCTAATCTCAGAATCTTCACCCACTAGTGTGTATGTAGTTAGTTATGTGGGTTCCTCTTCTTTTTATTCTTTCAAACCTCTGGGTCTATGGTATCAGAGGACAGAAAACTATTAGATGCCCATTTCAGTGACCACTGCCTGCCCTTCCCCTTTTGCCAAAGGCTTCAGGGATGAGCTCTCCTGCTTTTCCCGGTGTGAGATCTTCCTGTTCTGAGGATATATCAATCCCTGCCCTGACACTTGCCCATTCTCCTGGGTGAACAAATCCTCACTCAACCTGGGAAAGCCCAAAGCTGGGAGGAAGACAACACACCTATGGAGGAAAGGGTATCTGTGGAGTTGAAAGATGTTGGAAGAATCCCTTTACGGCAAACTGAAAGATACTCCAAGATTTCTGATTTCGCCAGTGGGGTGTCCTCTCCAGAGGATGCAGGATGCTCTAGAGAACAGAAGCCATAGCAGATCTGAAATCTGAGAAATCCTATATTCTCAGCTTGGTTAATAAACTGGCAAAAGCTCACCATGTTTCCCCTCATGGCTTAAAATTCTAACATAATTAACAAAGAAAAGAGTCAGCTTTTACCATCCACTGCAAAAGTCATATTTTTCTGGAACCTGTCCTTTGAAAATATAATTGATCATCTCTATCCTGCCTTGTCTTTGCTGCTGTACAGAAATAGGCTAGTGGCTCTTATCTGATTTCCCTGGACCACATCTGAAAGTGTTTGAACCTCCAAAATTGCCTGAAAAAAACCTTTTTACCTTTGTATGTTTGTAGTATTTGAAAGGATAAAGTGTCTGTATATTATAACACAATCTCAAAGGAGCATGTTCAGAATGATGAGCCATGATTCCAGATAGTACCAAATTTGGAGTCCATCTGCTGCTGGACAGACCCATGTCTTATAGTTTAAGCCTTGGTTCTTGTTTGAAATATCCCAGTAAAATCATTTCTTCTCTGCTTCTAGTCCTGCAATTTATTCCCTTCTTGGTCACAGAATCTTGTTCTTTCTCAAACATGCCTTTGACTTAAACCATTTAAATTTCTACTTCTGATTGAAAGCTTTCTGGGAACATTTACTTGTCCACTGTTCTAGAGGGTGAAACAACAAAGGTATTACAAGATAAAATGCATATGGATGTGATTTCTTCAGTACCCTCTCTTCTCGCACTCATGCAGCAAGGCAAGCCTGGAGTGTGTACCTTCATATGTCAACCCTCCTGCTTCTGCTTCCCCACAGACCCCAAATATAAACCCATCAGCAGAGAAAGACTTTACCTGGTAGCCTAGGCAAGTTCTGGTTTGCTTCACCTCTTATGCTCACATCTTTACTCCCGGGGTAGAATGACTGAGGGAGAAGAAGTTTGTCAAGTCATGAAGGTCTACAGATTAGACTAAAAATAGCTACCTGTAGAATTCTGGTCTGAAATTGCTAGTAAAAAAGTGTTAATTTGCAGTGTTTATTATTTGGTCAGTATTCCTTTCTAGAGTGGCTGACTGAAGATAATCAAGGTATTATGTTTGCCTGACCTTAATATCTTATTCTCACCTAAACACCCCACACACTGACAGCATTGGGTGGGAATGGGAAGATTCCAACATGGGAAAATAAAGGCTTTTGCTGGGAAGGAGCTCCTAGCACTGGTGTAATCTCTTTTTCCACATTGAGGACTACACTGGATATTCTGCATTAGAGCCACCCCATCCCACTCCCCCACCACATCCATTCTCCTTCATCCTCTGCTGCTCTGTGCCCTAGGAGCTATGCCCTATGGACTGCATCAACCAGCCTCTCTGGCTTACAATTTGGCTCCATCAATAGGAGGCACCAACGAGGGACCAGACAGCAGGAAGGAGAGAGGTCAAGGTATTTCCCCCCTTCCCACTCTCCCACCACCTGTTGGCTTAGCTTGGTGCCTTATCTCTGGCAGGAGCAATGTCTTCCACAATCGCAATTCCACCTGGTGGCCCCTCCAATTCTCACTGGGCTTTTGTAGCAGTCCTTCCTCTCCTTGCTCCTTCAGCTCTGAAGGTGGTGGCAGCTTTCCACCACGGCTGGTCTCTGGATGGCTCACTGTCTATAGTCTATTATTTAAGTCCTGTCCATATCATTCTAGGTAGTCCTTTCATTAAAGTCATTTTTTATTCATTAGGGTGGATTCTATTTCCAGCCTGATACAAGGGATCTCTTCTAAAATTTAATCTTGAACTTTGGACCTGATCTCTCCTGAGCATGTTAAGGCCCTTTACATCACTGCACTGTAGTTTGGAGCTAAAGCTTCAGGTAGCCATAGGGTGTGCATATTACCTCATCCTTTCTGCATGTATCTGGCTGGAACATCTCATGGGCAGAGGTGACTTGAGTTGGGCAGGATTTGTGTCTTCCTGAGTCCCTGGACCACACACAACACCTCTAATATCATACCAATCCCATCATCATTTCTGACAAATGCCTGCTTGTCTCTTGATGTAGTCTGAGTAGACCTCTGCAGAGCAGCATTGATGTGGTATTGACATGGTGTCACAATATTAGAAATTGTGTAACAAATCATGCATCTTGAATGGTAAAGGGGTTTTCCCTTTGAAACAGACCAAGCAAGTGACTTGAATCTCAGAAGGCCCAGAACTCGGCGTTCTCCACAAAGTCAAAATGAGTTGGAAAGCTTAGATATAGGATAAAGACACTTGACATTTTATGGAGCATTTCTGATCAATACACAAACATCTGAGCAAGTCTGTAAAGGAGAAACAATTTACTTTCTCCTTATCCATGGGAGTGGGGAAAATGCTGATTGACAGAGAGCTTTTCTACTTCCTTTTTTCTATTTTATATAATCCCTACTGAACCACAGGGCCAAATCCTGGCTTCACGGTCCATGCAGACAAACAGCTGCCCTAAGGACCTAAGCTGCACCTGACAGTTGCTGGTAGAACTTCTTGCCTTAGCCCTTATGCTGCTCTGGACACTACTTCTGGTCATTGGTGGGTAGAATGCTAGAGCAGGACTGAGGTGGGCAGAATCACCTGTCCCTGGGCATCCCGGAAGCTATTCTTGAGCACATTCTTTCTGCTGGGATGAGTACGGTGGGCTTCAGCTCCTAACTCCGTAACAACAGATACTATGCAAATGGGTATTGAGCAGAGCAGGGTTCCTAGGAAAAACAAAAAACTATGAATCTCTTTACTAAATATTCATTACTTCTCATTTATTTAACATCCATTTCTGCTTTGATCTCTAGGAAAACTGGAAAATTTATTAAAAGGACATCAAAGAAATTTTCTGTCAGGGTGAATTCTAGTTCCAGCCCACATAAATCCTACTCTGCCCTAACCCCCACTTCCACTCTAAGCTACTACATATCTGGCTGAACTCTTACTTCCCTAGACTTAGATTTCAGAGAGGCTTCAAATCTTGCTAACCGTAGAGGAGATCATGGCTTCTGCTGATAAATATGTCTCTCTTATATGGACTCAAACACAATGTTAGGCCTAGAATAGGAATGGAAGGATAAATGGTATCAGTGAAATATGAGAGGACACTTCCATTTCCTACATGGGCCTTCTGGGCTTCATGTTGCCCCCCAGGCAGGCAATGTATCTCAGACAAAATAGGATACTTTAAAAAGAGAAGATAAGGCCAGGCGCAGTGGCTCACGATTGTAATCCCAGCACTTTGGGAGGCCAAGGCGGGCGGATCATAAGGTCAAGAGATTGAGACCATCCTGGCCAACATGGTGAAGCCTTATCTCTACTAAAAATAGAAAAATTAACCTGGCATGGTGGCGCGTACCTGTAGTCCCAGCTACACTAGAGGCTGAGGCAGGAGAATCGCTTGAACCCAGGAGGCAGAGGTTGCAGTGGGCTCCGTAGGAGCGTTGTTTGTTATTGATGGAAGGAAGAAAGGAAAGAAGGAAGAAGGAGGAAGAGAAGGAGGGGAAAAGAATAGAAGAAATGAGGGAGGTAGGATATAAGGGCAGAAAAAGTGGAGGTGGGGGGAAGAAACAGAAAGAAAGTTGGGGAAAGATAATTGTTGGAAAGTTCTCAAAGGGCTACAACTTTTTAAAGAGAGTAAGAATCCTGGTCCTGTGGTAACCTCTCTGACTCTGTTCCCTCATAGCTCCTGTCACCTTCCAGTCAGGTGAGTGGCTCTTCTCTTTGTTCTTTTAGATCTCTAGGAATCACACTCACTCTGCTAGGTATGAGAGGTACTTCCAGTTCTAGCCTCTTGGCTGTGGGCTGCAGGGATTTGGGCCAGAACTAGGGTGAAATGAGCTGGGGTCCAGTGCTTTACTCACCTCCCTCTAGTCCTGGCCATGGCAGGGACACTCCAGTATCACATTCTTCTCCGCTTTGCCACCTCCCTGCTTGATGGGCAAGAAGACCATGCCCTGACTCTCTCAAGGCAATGAATTATCCCTTTACTATTGAGCCTTGGGACAGAAAAGGAGAAGATAACTGTGAATGGAAAGTATATCATTCTCCTGGTTCTGGCCACAGGTGCTCAAAGGCCCCCACTGGAAGCACTGGAGGCAACGATGGGAAACATATTTATACTAGAGTGGCAACTAGAGAGCTAAGGAGATGCTCTGCATTAAATAAGAATGCCCCTGTATCTTTTACTTGGATTGTAAACTATCAAATACCTAACTTGTTTTTCTTCTTTTTACTGGAATTCTAATATAATACAGAAAGCTTGGTTTCATATTAGACTGGAAAGTTATATTTTCTTCTTTAATCATGTCTATAATCATTCTATAATCACCTATAAGGGAGGTGATGCTTGTGTACCTAGCTTGTAATTTTAAGCAAGAGTGTTTTTAAAGTGGCTGGGGGAGGGTGGTCTCTGGAGCAGTGTCATGAGATCCAGCAAACTCCCTGAAATTATGACAAAATGTGTATATATGCACAATTGTGCCTTCCACTAGGGAATGAGCCTATAAGTAAATGTCAAAAGTTAAAGGCCACCTATCCAGGCAATTATAGTCAAATCCTTGTTCCAGACTCAGTAATAACTGGTGCCAGCATTTCTTATCTATCTCTAGCCCTGTCGTTATTATCAATTTGATTACAAAAATCTTATTCCTCAAATATTTCCTAAATCAAACTGATTGCATCTTCCTCATCTTCACTGAAAATCTTGCCCAGTCTCAATATAAAGGAAGAGAACATTTGGCCTCCAAGAGGGCTTAGCACTGCTTTCTCGTTATCAATACTTATGGCTCCCACTGTCCACACCTACTTTCTATTCTAATGGTAGAACTTTCAAAGTGGTTAAAAGGTGTAGAACAGTTGTCTTTAAACTTATCTGATCACTTGTGCTATTGAGAACAAAAATTTTGAGCATGTACCTCCAATGTATTATACAGACACTGATACAAATCCTACATTGAAATGTTGTGAATGTGCTAAAATATACACAAAACAGAAAACTTTTAAGGTTAAAAAGTGTTTAATATAATCTGGAAGTTCTCAATGCCTTCTCCCCACTTCCTTATGGATCCCATTTTGAGGACTGTGGATGTAGATCTGGTGAGAGGATGGCCTCTCTTCTGAGACAGGACCCTGGGAGCTACCCCTCCTCCATGGTCTCATGGCTAGAGGGATAGGCTGGGAAGACAATCTAAACAACTTTCATGCCCTTTTTCTGTATTCCATTCTTCCCCCATGTATGACACTGTCTTTCATTACACTGAAGTTAATGATTGAAGGTTCAGGCCTTGGGGTTAGGCTTTTTAGCAGAATGACAAACATTTTTCCAAAGGCTTAAATGCCAGGTCTGAACCCAAGCTGTTATTCTCAGTTCTGGAATAACCCCTTTGATACTCATAAATATCTGGAGAGGAGAAGATTTAAGGAATGTTTACAGCTGTACATGACACTGTTCAGAGCAGTTTAACATTTAGTCCTAGTAGCAACCCTATGATACAGTACTACAAATAGCACCTGTAAAGTAGGTAGTATTATTATCTCCATTTTACAGATGAGGAAAGAGAAAGCATCGAGCTGTTAAGTGGCTTGCCCAAGGTAACTCAACACATAGAGCTGGAATATGAACCTGGTCACTCAGGCTCCAGGGTATGTGCTTTTAACCACCTTGCTACACTTCCAATCTCAACTGTGCCAGTGAAGAGTGGTACCAATAATAGCTACCATTTACTGAACCTCTCCAAAGTGAGGGGTACTTGTATCGCATTTCATCTCCATGAGAACTCTGTAAGGTAGACATGATTATTCACATTTTATACTTGAGAAAACTGAGAACCAGAAATAGCAATTGATTTAGCAAGATTGAGATCCAGAGATAGTAACTGAGTCCATCCCCCTAACCCATGCTCTTCCTACCACTCCTGCTGCCCATGTACATCTGGAGATCAGGAGATGATGAGATTTCTGTGGGCTGCGGTCATTCCAGAGGGCAAAAGAATGTGGAGGAAGTGCAGGGTAGGATTGTTATGGAGCATCAAACAGCAAGGTGGTCCTGTGTAATGTTCCTCAGCGTGCTCTCTCGCTATTAAAAACACTCAGGCAAGTGAGGTGGACCCTCTACCCAAACATTTAGTTCCACCAACCCCACTTGCCTTAATGCCCAGCAGGTGATACTGGCTTCCATCCAGCCCTGCCCTCCTTCACAGCTGGCCCCTCCCTGTGGTCTCATTTTTACATAGGGATCCCTGTGTCTGGGGTGCTCCTGGAGACCCAGCCCTCAGGGGGCCAGGCGGTTGAAGGGGAGACGCTGGTCCTTGTCTGCTCCGTGGCTGAAGGCACAGGGGAAACCACGTTCTCCTGGCACCGAAAGGACACGCAGGAGAGTCTGGGGAGGAAAACTCAGCCTTCCCCAAGAGCAGAGTCGGAGCCCCCTGCCATCAGGTAGAGCCATGCAGGAGGATACTACTGTACAGCAGACAACAGCTACGGCCCCGTTCAGAGCACGCTGCTGAATGTCACTGTGAGAGGTGAGCGGCATGGTCTGAATCTGCTAGCCGGCGGCTCCCTGCTGGGGTCAGTTTCCTTCTGTAGCAGCGAGGATGCTCCAAGGTGACGACAAGAAACAGGGCGTGAGGAGGGTAAGAGGCCCTATGGGCACTGTAGTCTTGTGATGGGGGAGGTGGTGGCAGCGGCAGCGGTGGCAGAGAGCTAGAGGAGGGTGAGAAGGTGGACGCGGGGCCATGTATCCCGAGCTCTTCACCAGAGCCCAGCACAGCTCTGCCGGAAGCACCCCTGCAGGGTTAGACCAGCAGGTGCGAGGTGCGACGTGGGAAAGAGTCCAGGGCCGGCGGGGTGCTATGAGGCGAGGACTTCCTGAGCCGAGGACCGGGTGGGTTGTGAGTTGCGACCAGCCTCGCTGACGGACCCTACTACCTCTTTCAGTTCCAGTGTCGCGTCTTCTCCTCAGCTTCATTGCTCCTGGCGCCCTGGCCTTCATTGGCCATGTGGTGGAGCTTCACTGCGAAGACAGGAGAGCGTCTGCACCCATTCTGTTTTGGTGTTACCATGAAAATGTGACTCTGGGGAAAGCCTCAGCACCTTCTGGAGGAGGAGCGTCCTTCAACCTCTCCGTCGCCGCAGAGCATTCTGGGAACTACTCCTGTGAGGCCGACAATGGCTGGGGATCCCAGCGCAGTGAGGTGGTGGCACTCACGGTCACAGGTGGGACATGGCAAACAGCTCCTTCCAGAGAGCTTGTTGCAATTATACCAAGCAATGGCTGGTGCTTCCTTTCCTTCGGAAATTTCTGCTCCTCGAGGAATCAGAGTTCCTCTAGAAAGCGCCTTAATGCTCCAGGGCTCTCCCTGTAATTGGGTTTTTTGTTTGTTTGTTTTGTTTTTTGTTTCGGCTTTTGTTTGTTTGTTTTGAGGCGGAGTCTCGCTCTGTCGCCCAGGCTGGAGTGCAATGGGGCAATCTCGGCTCACTGCAGCCTCTGCCTCCCGGGTTCAAGCTATTCTCCTGCCTCAGCCTCTGGAGTGGCTGGGATTACAGGCACCCACCATTATTCCCAGCTAATTTTTGTATTTTTAGTAGAGACTGGGTTTCGTCATGTTGGCCAGGCTGGTCTCAAACTCCTGATCTCAGGTGATCCACTAGCCTTGGCCTCCCAAAAGTGCTGGGATTACAGGCGTGAGCCACCGCGCCAGGCCTTGTGTAATTGATCTTAACAGCAGCATTGCTGGCGAACCCCTGGTCTCTCCTGTTCCCTTTCACTGAACTAGTAAAACGTGTGAAATAGATACTGGGTATTGGGCACTGTGCTAGGGTCAAGTCAGCGTTGGGAGTCAGGTCGGTAAGGCAAGAAGAAAGGAGGAAGACTTCCCTGAGAAAAATAAGGAAGTATCTTGCACATGCAGAGCTCCAGGGAGGGAGGAGGTACAACTAACCCTTGTAAATACAAGTAGAAAAACCGTGAACAGACTAGATTCTGGGATTTAAAATTTTACTAGAATTATCTCACTTAATCTCCATAACAACTCTCATTTGACAAATGAGGAAATAAAATTTAGATTAAGTAACTTGCCCAAGTTTACATAGCAAATAGGTACAAAGATGGAACTTTAGGCCAGGGCTGCCTGAATCAAGAAACTGTGCTCTTAGCCACAAAGTTAATATATTATGACCGTTCTGTACATTTTTTTCTTCAATCCATTATTGTGGAGAACTGCATTAATAGATGTCCTAATACGGAACAATCCTTGAATTTCCCCTATAAACCCTTCTTAGTCATTGCAGGTAGTAACTACATAACACTTGCTAATATTTTATTTTAAATTTTAGCATTTTGTTTATAAGTGAGTTTTCTTTTCTAAATTCTACTCATCTGGTTTAGGTTTCAGGGATAGGTTAGCCTCATAAGAATAATTTCAGAAGTTTCCATAGTTTCTGTGCTCTGCAACAATTGAAAACAATATTGGAATTATCTGCTACTTAGTCTTTGGAACTAGCCCAAAAACTTTCTGAGCCTGGTGTATTTTTCTCTCCATTGTCAGATCTTTTTTTATTCACTTTTTTCAAATTTTTCACCCTTTTAAAACACAATTTGAATTCTTTCACTCAAAAAGTTGGGCATTTTCTCTAGATTTTCAAATTTGTCACATAATGTTGACCATAGTATTATTTTCTTCTTCTTTTCCTCCTCCTCCTCCTCCTTCTTTTGACGGAGTCGCTCTGTAACCCAGGCTGGAGTGCAGTGGCACAATCTCGGCTCACTACAACCTCCACCTCCTGGGTTCAAGCAGTTCTCCTACCTCAGCCTCCCAAGTAGCTGGGACTACAGGCATGCACCACCACACCCAGCTAATTTTTGTATTTTTAGTAGAGATGGGGTTTCACCATGTTGGTCAGGCTGGTCTGGAACTCCTGAACTCAAGTGATCCACCCGCCTCGGCCTCCAAAAGTGCTAAGATTACAGGCGTGAGCCACCACACCCAGTCAACCACAGTATTTTCATCTAATTTTTTAAAGCCCTCTAGTTTGTGATTGTGTCCTTCTCATTTCTAACTTGTTTGTGTGGTCTCTTTTCTCTTACCAGATTTGCCAGAGGTTCAGCTGTTACATTGCTCTTTTCAAATACCTAGATTTATTTTTATTGTACAAATAGAAAATTGTTTTATCATTCAAATATATTTGGTTTTGGTTTTCTAATTCATTTATTTCTCCTTTACTTTCAGTATATTCTTCCTTCTTTTTATTTTAAGTTTATTTTATGTTGCCTTTTCTTTAATTTCTTACCTGAAATGCTTATTCATTTTTTATCTTTGTTTTCTAATGAATACATTTAAAACTGTATGTTTTCCTCTAAGTACACTTTCACATTATCCTAAAAGTTTTAATGAATATTTTCATTTGTTTAATATCTAAAGTGTGTGTATAATATATGTTTTCATTTGTTTTTCAACCTGGCAAATTATTATAACTATTATAAAATAATTTCTTATGAATAGATTTTTTTCATCCTTTATTTTCTTAGTTTCTCATAAAGTTCTTTGTTATCCTTGTATTTAACATTTTTTCAAAGTGGCCTGTATAAGTTTTACTTTTTGGGAACTTAGTAAGAATTTCTTTATGGTCTAACATATAGTCAATTTATATAAATATTCTATACAGAAAGTGAAAAGAATATGAATTTTCTGTTAGAGGTACACAGTATATATTTTTCTATAAAATTAAGCCAGTTGCTTGATTTATTCATTCTCTGTAGAGTCTTACATATGTCCTGTTTAATCTATTAATTTTTGAGAATAATATTCCCATTATTGTCTATAATTCTGTTAAGTCTACCTTTTCCCAGGGGCTTTGCTGTGATCATAGTAATTGTGTGAGATGGGGCATTTTGGTTGCAAATGACAGAAGTCCCATACAAACTGGCTTGAGGGAAAAAAAAAAGCAAAGTTGGTGAGAGGGGTCAAGAATGGACAAGGCTTTGTGTGCAAGTGGATGCAAGGTCTCTGTCTTTGTTGTCCACCTTCTTTCCTCTGCTTTCTGCCATTAGCTTCATTCTTAGACAGGCAGAGCTGGCCACTGATAACTCTAGGCTTACATCTCTCCTTTCTGCTAGAGATCCTAGAGAAAAGAGTTTCTTTCCAATGACTGTAGCTTAAAACCATAAAAACAAGACAGGCAGATGTTAGAGATTAACCAGTCCGTGTAAATGTGTCCATCCAACTCCTACCACCCCCTTCCCCAGAGAAAATGGGCCTGCCATTGGTGAAGTCATCAGTGTCATACAGAGCAGTTTTTAAAAGGAAAATGCATAACTCAGTTGACCTTAGGCCTTTCCTACTCTAGGCCTCAGTCTCTATCTCTAGGAAAGATCTAATTCTAGCCTTCTCTGTTTCTAAGCTTTTTTGAGCTTGTGAGAACCAAACCATAAGTCTCTATGTCCCCACGTCCCTTTATCGTCAGAGTGGAAGCAAGGGCTCCTTTTTAGGTATCATTGAGTGGGGGGCATTGGTGGGGCGAGATGCTCGTAAAATGGTGATTGGGATAGGGCAGATCTGAAGCTCTGTACTTCCTTATTTTTGCAAGTACCCTAAGCCCACATCACACAACATCACCAACACCAACATCAAACAACCTCTCTTAACACTGGGAGCTGCTTTAAGAGTAAGTTCCTGAGTGTGCTCTTACCTCTTCTGTTTGCAGAGCCCCCGACCAAAGTCCGTTTGATTAATGGTCCTCACCACTGCAAAGGAAGAGTGGAAGTGGAACAGGAAGGTCACTGAGGTACCGTGTGTGATGACAGCTGGGACATGAAGGATGTGGCCGTGGTGTGCCAGGAGCTGGGCTGTTGAGCAGCCAAGCACACACCTGCTGGCATGTTGTATTCAAGAGTGGCAGAAGAGGCCCAACCTGTGTTCATTCAGGTTGCCCTGTGCCATAGGACAGAAGAGGCACTGGCTGAATGTGAGCAAATTGAGACCTTTGACTGTGGGCATGAGGAGGATGCAGGAGCAGTGTGTGGTGTTGGGTAATGGCAGGGCTTGGGGAGTGGTATTTGTGGGCTAGCCCATCTCCAAGATCCTTCCTTGTGCTGCCACTTCCAATTCTCCTTACTACTCACCATTGCCCCCTCCTTCTTCAGAACCACTCAACCACTCTACGCAAAAATGTGCTCAATGCAACACCATTACTTCACTTAAGCTGGTCCAGAGTTAAAGGGCTCTCCTATAATCTATGCTAATATTATTAGACTTTATCTGTCATCTCAAAAGACAAAACACTGGTATTTTTTGTGACTGTGGGTTGAGGCATAATGCTAGGAAAATAATTATAAAATCATAGAATTATACAATTTGAGTGATTTTCATCAAGATCACACTGCTTATATTGTTCTATAATCTCTTCAGCTTTTCTCAGCTCTCTCCCCTAAACAACTCTGCTCATCAAAATGAATCTCTGGATTCTAATAGGGACTAGGAGGAGTTGGAAGAACACAGAGTCTGTCAAGAAAGCCAGGCCACAAGCTGTAAAAGACAGAGCTACCTAAGGGTAGAGGTAAAATGAAGAAATTCTGGGACCACTGCAGGTTCCAAAGCCTCCATAGAGCCTTGACTGGAGTGGAAGCCAGTAAGATTGACTGCTCTCTCTAGCTGCAGCCCCAGCCCCAGGCTCCCATGGAGCCCTCCAGTCCCATGGGCCAGAGCTAATGAGTGGCCTTTCAGAGGTCCTTGGTGAGAAGAAAAGTCTTTAAAACACTAGGCCAATGCTGAGCTTTAGGACCTAGTAAGAACCTGTGACTTGTTCAAGGAAATTGACTCAGTACTGGGCACTAGCAAGGATCCAAGATTTGGAGTCAACTGTTCAGAGCTAGAGGTTTACCTCCCTGACTAGCCAGCCATGTAGGTAGCAAACTTTTCCAAAGCTTATTATCTTTGTCAGAAAAGTGGGATACCATCTAGCCAAATTTCCTCACAGAGTAGGACAAGATCAAGCAAAACACACTCATAAAGACCTCTTGTGGAGCAAAGTCTGGGAAGAAGTCCCTGGGCTGCTTTGGGATGGTCCGGATGAGGGGATCCAGTCTGAGGCTTGGGGCCAGGATCCATCCTTAATCTGGGCCTCTCTTCTCCTGGGAGATCTTATAAGCTTGCCTGAACAGTACTTTACTGGGTCTCCCCACCTTACCACCTCTCCCCCTTTTCTCTATAGCATTCTTGCTTAATACTCTTTGAAGATCTGGAGACTGGGGATCAGCAGGCCCATATCCTCACTGGCCTCACAGGCCTGGAGAGCACCACAACCCCAGATGGACTTTAAGACTTTACTTGTGGCTCCCCCATCCCCTCTGCAGGACTGTAAACACCACTCTCCTGAGCCAGTCTCAGCCCCACCTGCATTAAGGGAAAAACCCAACTCCCAAAGAAGCTGAGCTTAGTGAAATTGTCCCCCACATTGGCATCTTGGCCAAGCAGGCTTTTCTAGTCTTTTCCAGAAGTGCCTGGCTGGGAATCTCAGTTACTGTCTCCTTGGCAGCCTGAGATGGAACAAGCAAGAAATAACCTGAAATGGGCCCTACATCTGGTAGAAATGTGGACATATAAAACAGACAAAATTAAAGAAAATATGGGTATTTAATCTCCTTTCTTTTTTTTTTTTTTTTTTTTTTTGAGACGGAGTCTCGCTATGTTGCCCAGGCTGGAGTGCAGTGTCGCAATCTTGGCTCACTGCAAGCTCCGCCTCCTGGGTTCACACCATTCTCCTGCCTCAGCCTCCTGAGTAGCTGGGACTACAGGCGCCCACCACCACGCCTGGCTAACTTTTTTGTATTTTTAGTAGAGACAGGGTTTCACCATGTTAGCCAGGATGGTCTCGATCTCCTGACCTTGTGATCCACCTGCCTCGGCCTCCCAAAGTGCTGGGATTACAGGAGTGAGCCGCCATGCCCGGCCTTAATCTCCTTTCTTAATGGCTTGGAAATAAACTAGGTTTTAAAAAAGTTATTTTTTCAATTTTTTAAAAATTACAATGGTAAAACACATTGGAAAAAAAGTGGTATAGAAGAAAGAAAATAAAAGTCAGCCAAAATTCTAACACTCAGAAGTAACTGCTGTTAATGTTCTGAAACTTCCTGAAGGTCATATAAGGAATAAAAATAACACTTATATATTCTTCAGTAAAATAATATATAAGCATATATTAACACATATATTTGAATTTATTGTACCATAATCTATATATTATTTTAGTGTTTATTCAATTTAACAATGCAACATTAGCAGACATTCCATAGATATAGAAAATACATACCACATGCACATATATGTATATATGTATGTATGTGTATTTACAAAACTTCCCTCTCAAGAAGATAAATATTGATTCAAAAAGGCCCTTTACTAGCTTTGGGAGTGCAGACTTAAGGGAAGGTAGAAGCCACATGCTTCATGATGCAACACACTCTATGAGTCATCAAAACTCATTTACTGTTTAATCAGAGGTACATGTTGAATTTTTAAAACATCTTCCCAGTGTTATTTTTGTTTCCTTTTAACAATATGGTGGATTACATTAACATCTCCTAATAATAAATAATTGTTTCAACCCTACCTGGCTGTGATGTATATTAACATCCTGCTGAATTCTCTTTGGTAGTATCTTATATAAGACTTTTACACAGATATTTATTTATTTATTATACTTTAAGTTCTAGGGTACATGTGCACAACATGCAGGTTTGTTACGTATGTATACATGTGCCATGTTGGTGTGCTGCACCCATTAACTCATCATTTACATTAGGTTACACAGATATTTATAATGAGGATTTGTCTGTAGCCTTTCATTCTTTCTTTGAAAAACTTTGATATCAATGCTATATTGATTTCTTATTATGTTAAAAGAGTTCTTTATGCTTAAAAACAATTTGAATGCTACTAAATTTTATCAATTCCCTTGAAGATTTTTAAAAAGTTACCATGAGGCTGGCAGCGGTGGCTCACGTCTGTAATCCCAGCATATTGGGAGGCCGAGGTAGGCAGATCACTTCAGATCAGGCATTTGAGACCAGCCTGGCCAACATGGTGAAACCCTGTCTCTACTAAAAATACAAAAATTAGCTGAGTGTGGTGGTGGGTGCCTATAATCCCAGCTACTTGGGAAGCTGAGGCAGGAGAATTGCTTGAACCCAGGAGGCGGAGGTTGCAGTGAGCCAAGATTGCTCCACTGCACTCCAGCCTGGGTGACAGAGTGAGACTCTGTCTCAAAAAAAAAAAAAAAGTTAGTATGGAATCATCTGCCCTGATATGTTTAGAGGTGTGGCTCCCTAACAGTGCTTCAATTTTTTTCATGACTATTATTCTTTTTATTTAACTGTCTCTTCTTACATAAAATTTAGTAATTTATATTTTTCTAGAAAAGTATCCATTCAATGTAGGTGTTCAGATGTATATTTATTCATTGCCACTCCTTTCTTGATTAGGCTATTCAGTGGCATATCAATATGCTTTTCATGGAAAAGCTTTTGAGTTTATTCATATTCCTTATTGTGAGGGTTTTTTTTATTTTACTCATAATGTCTGCCTTCATCTGAATTATTTTGTTCATATTTTTGTAAGTTCTTAAGATTAATACTGGGTTCATTTATTTCCATTTTTTCTTGGTACTCATTCCAACTGTTTCATTAATTTTCCTGAGAACATATTTTAGTCATATCCTTCAGGTTTGGATATGTAGTGTTTTGGTTATTACTATTTTCAGTCTGCAACATCAATTTTATTTTCTTCTTTGATCTCAAAGTTGATTTAAAGGGTATTTTTTATTTTTTATTTTATTTGGTTTTTTTTCTTAACTTTTATTTTAAGTTCAGGGGTATATGTGCAGGTTTGTTATATAGGTAAACTTGTGTCATGGGTGTTTATTGTACAGATTATTTTGTTAGCCAGGTATTAAGTATTATTACCCAGGTATTAAATATTATTTTTCCTGATCCTTATAGAGGGATTTTTTTTTAATTACCTGGTGATAATCTTTTCCCCTAATTTTGTGATTTAAAAAATTCATTGCATTTGTGATTTTTAAACATTTTCTTTGTGACCTAAAATATGGTTAGTTTTTGTAGGTGTTCCATGAGTAGTTAAAAGAAAGTGAATTCTCGGCTGGGCGCAGTGGCTCATGCCTGTAATCCCAGCACTTGGGGAGGCCAAGGCGGGTGGATCACGAGATCAGGAGATCGAGACCATCCTGGCTAATGCAGTGAAAACCCGTCTCTACTAAAAATACAAAAAATTAGCCGGGTGTGGTGGCGGGCACCTATAGTCCCAGCTACTTAGGAGGCTGAGGCAGGAGGCTGAACCTGGGAGGCGGAGCCTGCAGTGAGCTGAGATGGCGCCACTGCACTCCAGCCTGGGCGACAGAGGGAGACTCCGTCTCAAAAAAAAAAAAAAGAAAAGTGAATTCTCTGTTGCTAGGATCTATTGTTCAATATGTATCTATTAGGAACTTATTAATCATATCACTCAAATCATATGCTTCCTTATTTTTTATCCACTGGATCTTCTAGGTCTACGGGTGTCATTTGTTATTATCATTGTGCTCAAGTTTGTTTCTGTTTTTATTTCTGTTTCCTCCAGTCTATGTGTCGGTTATTTTGATGCCAAGATATTCAATTTCAAAGATTTTTGAGGCCTAGAGACTTCTCATATATTTTAACCTCCTCCACTTTCATTTGGTGCTTTTTGCCTTGATATGACTTTGTCCTTTTTTTTTTTTTTTTTTTTAGAGACAGAGTCTCGCTCTGTCACCCAGGCTGGAGAGTGCAGTGGTGTGAACTCGGCTCACTGAAACCTCTGCCTCCTGGGTTCAAGAAATCCTCCCAAGTCAGCCTAGGATTACAGGTATGCACCACCACACCTGGCTAATTTTTTTTTTTTTTTTTTTTTTAGAGATGGGGTTTCACCATGCTGGCCAGGCTGGTCTCAAACTCCTGTTCTCAGGTGATCAGCCTGCCCCAGCCTTCCAAAGTGCTAGAATTACAGGCATGAGCCACCACACTCAGCCTTCCATTCTTTTACTTTTAACTTTCCTGAGTCACTTTCTTTAAGATATGCCCCTTACACGTAATGTAGAGTTGAGTTTTGGTTTTGTACTGAATATAAAATTATTTTATTTTATTAAGCGTGCTTGCCTTTTTATGCTGTGTTATCTGTTCTCTTCTTAATGCTTCGTTTGTTTTTTGTTTGTTTTGTTTTGTTTTACTTACTCTTCATTTTGTAACCTCAGACATAGAGTTAATCCCTCAGTTCATGGCTCACTCACTTTATTGGTCCATATGAATTTTCGCTCTAGTTTATTTATTTCCTTGTGTCTTTACTTACTATTTCCATTTCCCAGCCTCCCAATAACTTCATGATGATACACATACATGTATCATTTTCCTTGAGACTTTTTAATTTACATATGTTATTGGGCATTTTTCTCTTGGCACTATGTTTTGACCCATCTATTTTGTTATGTGTACATCTAGCCCATTGCTCCTAACTTCTGCAAGTTGTTCCACCATGCTTCCCTTATCTAATCCCAGTGAAGGATATCTAGATTGTCCCCAACTTGTTACTACTACAAACACTGACACCTGCTTTTTCATGTCACACCATAGACCTGTGTGAGAATATCTCTGGATATATACCTGAGAGAGTGATTGATGGAAGAAGTAATGCCAAGTGGTCCCCAAAGTTACTAGTGCCCCCAACAGGGCAAGAACATTCCCTAACCCCACATCCCACTCAACCCTTTAGTGTTCTAACTTTACCAATCAGATGAGGATAAAGAGAGATCTCAGAGATCTAATTGGTGTTTTATTTCCATTTTTCTAATTATCAATAGGCATAAGCATCTTTGCATGTGCTTGTTAGCCTTTTGAGTTTCCTCTTCTATGAAATAACCATTTTGTGCCCTTTGCCCATTTTGTTAATATAATTTCTGGTTTTTCCTATTTGGTATATAGGAGCTACTGCTTTTTCTATATAAGTTTCTTGCTTGTTTTAGGCTTTGCAAACATTACCTCCTACTCTACCATCAGTCAACTTTGTCCATAGTGTCTTTTATTGAGCAGATTTAAAAAAAAAAAAATTAAGCTATAGGCCGGGTGCGGTGGCTCACACCTGTAATCCCAGCACTTTGGGAGGCCGAGGTGGGTGGATCACGAAGTCAGGAGTTCAAGACCATCCTGGCCAATCTGATGAAACCCCGTCTCTACTAAAAATACAAAAATTAGCCGGGCGTGGTGGCTCACACCTGTAGTCCCAGCTACTCAGGAGGCTGAGGCAGGAGAATCACTTGAACCCGGGAGGTCGAGATTGCAGTGAGCTGAGATCGTGCCACTGCACTCCAGCCTGGTGACAGAATGAGACTCCGTCTCAAAAAAAAAAAAAAAATTAAACTATAGAACTCATCCAATTTTTGCTTTTAACATATGTTTTTAGAGTTTTGTTTAGTCCCTCTTGACTCCAAAATCGCAAAACTTCCCTTAATTTTATAGTTTTACTTTTTATGCATTGGATCTTTTGGAGTCCAACTTTACATTTGATATTAGGTATAAGTCCAAATTGTTTTCCCTTAGAGTAATCTAGCACCATGTACTAAATAGGCCAGGTCATGCACTCCCCATTATTTTGTGATGTCAACCTTAAGTGTGTGTGTGTGTGTGTGTGTGCACCCAAGGTCTATGATCTCTCTACTCTGTTCCACTGATTTATTTATTTGATCTTGCACATACATTGTACTGACTTAATTGCCCTGGACTTCTGATCTACCTTAATATCTGATAATATAAAACCACTCTTTGTTCTTTTTTATCAAAGTTAACCTGGACTTTCATAGATTTTTATTATTCTATAAAATTTTAGAGTAAGTATATTAAATGGCTAAAAAAAATCCAGGTGAACTTTTTATTGGGATTTTATTACATTTATAGATTAATTTGAAAGAACACAGGGAGAAATTCCTATCACATCCTCCATTCAACTCACTTATTTGGTTTGTGCAAATGACAGGTGTATTTTGAAGAACAGCAATTGCAGTGGCTGCTCCAGATGTGGTTTTGTTTGACAGAGCAAATCATCTTGCTACTAGCACTCACCATGCAGCTTTTGACCTGGAAAATGCCTTTTTTTTAACCTCAATTCCTGTTAATTGAGACCACCAGAAGCATTTACAATACACTTTATTGTCCTAACTTTGAGCTATATCAGCTTTTCAGCCCTCTGTCATAGAATCACAAAGACCTTGATCAGTTTCTCTTCTTCATAGGACATCACACACTCATCCATTAGATCAATGGCATCATACTGATTAGACCAATTGAGCACAAAGCAGCAACTCTAGACATCTGGGTAGGAAATATACATGCCAGAAGGTGGTAAATAAATCCCATTTTGGTGAAATTTCTAGTGGTCCAGGGTTCTTAGACATGTCAAAACATATTTCCCAGGGTGAAGGACACGTTTTGTAGCAAAGCCATGTCCACCTTTGTAGATATCTAGTCTCCTTTTGAAAACTTAACTTCTGACTTGCTACTAAGTCCTAATAGAGACTGAACCCTTGACCATGGGCCACAAAGTTGCATGTGACCTTAGCTGCCTATCATGAAGTGGTGTTATTTGACTTAGTAAACCAACATGTTGGCATGCACAGAAGCACTCCATTATTGTCCCCTGTGGCAAAGAGCAGAGCAAGGGCAAGGTGGAAAATGGATCTGAGGGCAAAGAAGCCCAGGGTCAATGCAACAAGCAAAGAATTTCTCTCCCCTAAATAAAAGAGAATATGTTGGGACAGTGAGGAATGAGAGGGGTGATGGAATAAAGAATCTGTTTCAAATAGAATTCAAGTGAGTTTTACTAGAGAATGCAGATTAATACCTGAAGAACCCTGCATATTTGCCTTTTTCTCCAAGTAAAAGAGGAAACTCAAGTTAAGAAAAACCCCACTTCTGAATGAAGAATGAGCTTGGAGAGGGAAAAGCATAAGTTTCCATGGGAGTTGTGGCATCCCATGAAAAGTGGTCAGGCAGATGGGTCTCCAGACAGAGAAGTGGTCAGGCAAATGGTTCCTGTGGCTAATGTGGAAGCAGAACATCTTCAGGCACATTGAGGGCTGTGCCTTCTTCTCCTATAGACTCAAATTAGAGGAACTTGAAAAAAGTGAACAGATTGATCTCAAGGCCACACAGTCTATCTCTGATGGAGACACCGCAGCTCTGTGATACCTGGAGGCTCGGGTAAGGAGGAAAAGTTATGAACTACTCTGACTTCCTTAAGATGAAAGAAAGAGTTTTTATTTTAGTAAAAAAAAAAAAAAAAAAAAAAAACCTCAGGCTTTGACAAGTCAATCACAGACCCTAGTGACAAACTCAAGTACCACTGCAGGACATCTCAAAATCTCAAAAACTTCTAAACAATGAGGCTCAAAGCTTAGGGCAAGGCTAACTCTCTTCATGGGCCTGGGCTGGAAGAGGGAGTGGACTGGTTTATAGAGAAAGAGGTGCTGACAAGAGAAATCTCTTTGATTAGCACTCTCCCAGATTAGTCTCCTAAAGAGATATGTGAGCCATGGGTCGTTGTGTCCCACGGGCTGTATGGCCCATGTTCTAGTGCTGAGGACACAATGCAATTCTTACCAGAAATTTGAGCTCATTGCCCTGGGAAATGTGTTTGAATCTTCTCTAGAACTTATTCAACCTTCTGTCCCAAAAGCCAGATACTAGTATCCCATGGAGGAGAGCTCAGGGACCAAATTCTTCCAGATATGAGAGACTCAGCTTCATTTTGGCTTATTTAGAAATGGCAGAGCTCTTAGAGCAAAGCTGATGCAAGTCCAAGAGCTTCACAGTCTGGAGACAGAAAAAAATTAAAGGTTCTTTGTGTACTGATGTCAGAGGGAGAACACGAAGGACACAGGGTATAGGAAGAAAGTCAACAACCCCAGATTCAAGTAAATAATGAGTGTCAGAGGGACCTGTCTGCCAGTTTGAGGGCTAAGCAGAAGGGAAGGGAAGGGGACAGATATTTGTTTCTTCTTTTCTATTTTGTTCCTAGAAACAGGGTTCCTCTTGAAAGCAGCTAGGTCCATTAGTCATCCTGGTGTCCTCCATTTCCCAATGATGCAAAGAACTGGGATGGTTATCATGATATTCCATAAATCCCAAGCTTTATAAGGCCTCTACATCTCTATATCCTTCTTCTTCCAGTCGGTAAAACCACCAAATATTTACACTAGGTAATTATGGGGTGCCCATCAGCTAACCATAGAGGTTGTAGGGGAAGTCAGTAGGGTAAGTGAACTGATCTCTTCTGACACAAAGCTGATAAACAACTGGGAAACATGGTCTACAAACCTGGAACAGTGCAAAAGAGAGAGATTAGTATGGGCTGAAGCAGAGAGAAGACAGTGTCAGGGAAATCATTATGCTCGAGATAAGTCTGTACACATGAGAAGAAAGGGGGATTTATGATCTTCGGTAGTGATCTTCAAGTCAGGGTTAATATCCTCCAGTATCCTCCCTCAGAGCTACCCAGTGAGCCCCCAGACACATGCCCTATGGTGTGTCAGGATTTGCCCACCCTAACCTTTCTGAGTTCCCAAAGTGATCTGCATCTGGAGGCCACATGTTCCTGCATGAAGAGGCAGGGATTTTGCCCTCCTCCACAGAAATATGTTCAAAATTGACTCCTATTTTACGTAATGGATTCTGTGATGCGCCACCCAGATCCCCTGTCAGGAATGGACTTATTGTCCCAGCTGCTAGAATTGCTGCCAGCAGATAATCCTATTATAAGCCCTCTTGGGAAAGGCTTTGGCCACTCCATCCAGGGTCATCCTCCCTTTCCAGAGCATTGTATCCAGTGGCTGTCCACACTAGGGTATAAAGGCAGGGCCCCTAAATCTCAACCCAGGACCACTTTGAAAGATCATCCTAGACTCAGGGTGTCTATAGGGTTGGCTGAGACTTTTGTGGAGATGGCATCAAAGCCCAGCTTCTCCTTCTGTACAAAGTTGTTTCCTTCCTTTCGAGAGTTTTTGATACAGAGATCACTCCATAACAGATTTCCTACATGTTCATTTCTATCTCAGCATCCGCCTTCCTGGAAACCCAGCCTGTGATATCTTGTGTTCACTCAGGGGTCCCCGTACTTACATTGACCATGAGTCCCAGCTCATTTCCCTCCCTAGAGTAGGGTGAGTGATTGAATAATGCTCTTCTTTGGCTCCTTGGTGTCTAAGGTCCGAGGGGACACCACATTCTCCTGATACAGAGAAGGCACAGGGAAGGTTTGGAAAAGAGCACTAGACATTCCCAGAGAGTAAACAGATGACCTCTGTTGTGAGTGGGGGTGATGCTGTTCAGCTGCGAACAGCCAAGGCTGTATGTTTAGTGGGCAGGTAAATATCAATATGAGAAGGATATTTACCTTCATTCATCTCAACCAGCAAATCTCAAAGTATGGTCAATATCCCCAGAGGCATCATGAGAATGTTTCAAGGAGGACCCAGAAGCCAACCCTATGGAGAACAATTAGCCACTTTATGTGGCAGAGCCTGGGAGATAATTTGCCAGCTCCATGGTGTTGCTATTGCTTTTGGTGGTGGTGATGATGACGGTACTACAGAGTCCTAGAAGGATAGCCATGAGGGATTTATGGGAACTGAGGATTCAGGACAGGTGTATGGAATGTTGCTTAAAATTCTTCAGAACAGCTCTGGGGGTGATTCTTCTGAACGTAAGATCAGGAATATGGGGATGTTAGATATGAGAATGGGCTGTTTACCTGTTCTAGCCTCCTTGAGTAGATGGATTGATGGGAAGACTGTGGAAGCAGCAGGGGCCTTCTCTGACAGTCCCATTTTCTCTGTCATTTCCAGTGTCTAACTGTCTCCACACTCTCAGAGCTCCTGGGGTCCAGGCTGACATGGGGGAAATGGTGGAGCTTCACTGTGAGGCCTGAAAAGGATCTCCCAATCCTGAGCCACTTTTTTAAATTTTATTTTTACTTTTGGAGACAGAGCCTTGCCCTGTTGCCCAGGCTGGAGTGCAGTGGTGAGGTCTTGGCTCACTGCAACCTCCACCTCCTGGGCTCAAGCGATTCTTGTGCCTCAGCCTCCCAAATAGCTGGGATTACAGGCTCCCGTCACCATGCCAGGCTAACGTTTTGTATTTTAGTAGAGCTGGGTTTTGCCACGTTGCCCAAGGTGGTCTTGAACTCCTGAGCTCAGGCAGTTTACTTGCCACAACCTTCCAAAGTGCTAGGATTGCAGGCGTGAGCCAAGTGCCTGGCCCCTGAACCACACTTATCACAGGGATGTCCCCTTGGGCTCAGCTCCCTCTGGAAGAGGAGCATCCTTCAACCTCTTTCTGAGTACACAGCATTCTGAAAACGTTTCCTGTGAGGCTGATGATGGCCCCAGGACCCAGCACAGTGAGGTGGTGGCACTCTTTGTCACTGATTGGCTGCTCACCTGTCATGGGCCATAAGCCACTGAGCTGAAACATACTTTCCAACCCCATGGTTCAAAACTGCTTTCTGATTCCAGAATATATAACAGTGTTTCTGATGAGCTACCTGCCTGTGGGATATCCAGGAACAGAATTTCTCAGCATGGTAGTTCTACCTTGTGTCCTAACAAAGTTTCCAAAAGGATCCTTTAAGCCTGGGAGGCTGAGGCTGCAGTGGGCTAACTGTGCCACTGCACTCCAGCCTGGATGACCAAGCAAGACGGTCTCAAAAAAAAAGTTTCCCTAGTCATGCTTCCCTATGTCAGTCAGATTTCAATAAAAGAAACAGACCTACTAGGCAATATAAATAATAAGGGATTTATTGTAGGGATTTGGCATTACACAACTGTGAGATATAGTTAAACAGTCTACAGAAGGCTGTTTCTTCTGTGTCTGGTGTGGCAGCCTGAAGTCCACAGGGCAGGCATTTGGGAAAAGCAAGGATAACCTGGAACCTGCAAGAATGAATGGAACCCATGAGCATGAGCTGGAACCTGCATTAGTCTCTCAGCATCTCCAGGTGACAGCCTCAATGATGAGGATGTCCTGCTTATCAATGAGGACAATGAGGATGTCCTCATCAATGATGAGGATGAAGGTGGCACCTTTCACTACTAAGCGAAACATGAATGAGGCCAGGAGTCAGAGAAGCTGAAGAAGACCCTGCAGAAGCTTGAGTCGCTGCAGGCTGCTACCCTATGCCAGCACAGTGAGCACAGTAAGCTCTGAGAGTCAGCTGCAACAGGGCCTTGGGTGTCGAGGACTCTCCAGGAAAAACAAGTACATGGCTGCTACATCACTTCTACCTTCCAAATCTTGCATAAAAATGTCTCTTGTGGCCCATAGTAATTTGGAACCATGCAGGGCAGGGAATTCTAGGAAATGTAGTTCCAGTTTAGCTAAAATGACACAATAAAAGTCCAGCACGCTTCCTATCCTACACTACCGCTACTCATACTTTCATTGGGAGAAAGCACTATGTGATGGCAATATCATGAAATATGGTAGTCAGATAGACTTAGGTTCAAAATACAACTCTGCCAGATATATGTCTTTAGGAAAATTTACAAATCTTGCAGAGCCCCTCAGCTTCCTCTTTGATGACATGGGCATATTAATTCCTATTTTGTTGAATGGGAGATGGACTTAAATGTAAACACATTCCCTTACTAAGTATTTGTTCCCTTTCTTTTCCACAAATTTTTGGCTCTCTCGGAGGGTAGCAAGGATTGAATAATATCTTTATTGCTCGATCCATACCTCATGTCCTTTCCTTCTGACAACTTCTCAGGACTTCACCACATTCTGGGGAACAACAAAAGGAGCACATCCTGTATCACTCAAGACCAAGCCATGGTCTTCTGTGTGCAGTCCTCAAGCCCACCCAAAGAGCCCTTAGAAGTCTGCATCTCATAGGCCTCTGTTCCTTGTGGACTTCCCAATGTGGCTGGGCCTTTGCTGCCCGATGGACTTTCAGAAACTCTGTCTGTTTCCTCTGGCCTTTGGTGGATGGATTTTTCTTTAGATTGTTGGTTCTCCATTTTGCTGCACATTGGAATCACCTGAGGAGTTTTCTGAAGTCCTGATATTGGAGTTCTACTTCCAAATTCTCTAGGAGTCTGGGGTGATGCCGGGACATCAAGATATTTTCCTTCAAATTAACCCTCAGGTTATTACAGTATTCAGACAAACTGAAAACTACAGCCTTAGTCTTACAGGCCCCCTGCATTGATTGCTGCCCCTGTGAAGAAATGTGGCCATGTTCATTATGGTCTTCCTCTCTGCTACTGATATTCCTATTTTCTTTGGATTCCAGAATAAAAATGATGGGTAAATTATGTTTGGTATTTTTTCTAATTGCTAGAGCTGCCATAACAAAGCACCATGGATAGGCTGGCTTAAACAATACAAATTTTTTTTCTTACAATTCTGGAGACTGAAAGTTCAAGGTCAAGATGTTGGCAGGGTTGGTTTTGTGAAAGTTGTCAATATCAAGATGAAGTCACTTAGGTCACCCTAACAAAAAGTCAAGATTTTAGGAACGGAAGGCCTTCACACACACATTTATGATAAGAACTAGCACAAAGACTGTCTGGAGGGCTCTTATGCACACATACCTGTCACAGAGCTTTTGGTAAGGACTTTCTAAACTGCAGCTTGCTACAAGAGTCACAAGGACAGCCAGTGAGATGCACAGGAACACTTGCCTGACACACTGCCTCCACTAATGAACTGGTGTCAGCTCCTGTGATGTACATGTACTCCTCCTTTTGCCTTTAAAAGCCTCCCCTTGCCTCAACCACCTCAAATACGCCCATAGTTTACTATGGCACACGTGTTCCACATTGCAATGCTTCCCCCAACTAAACTTAGTACTTTTAGAGGTCTCTCTATATTTGTTATTTAGGTTGACAGTTTCTTCAGAGGCCTCTCTTTTTGGCTTGTTGATGGTCACCTTCTCCCAGTGTCTTTACATGGTCTTCCCTCTGTGGGTGTCTGTGTCTTAATCTCCTCTTTTTATCAAGATACCAATCATATTGGATTAGGGCCCACCTTAATGACCTCATTTTAACTTAATCACCTCTTTAAAGACCTTATCCCCAAATACAGTTGCATTCTAAGAAAGTGGGGGTTAGGACTTCAACACATGAATTTTGGGAGCATAAAACTCAGCCCATAACAGGCCTCTTCTATTATATCTTCTTTGACCAATTTAAAGCTTTCTCATGAGCACCTAACATCTGACTACAGGAGTCTGATACAGGCCCCATGCTTTCCTTCTCTGCAGTAATTGACTTAGTTTGCATCCTCAATTTTCCTAGTGACTTTTCTCCCTAGCTCCCACAGTCAGGGCTCAATCTCACTCTGACCTCACATTTGCTCCCCATCCTCGGAGCTCTGTCCTCCTTGGACTTCTTTCTCCCTTTGCATTAAGTGCTTCTCAGGACTTTATTCTTCCCTCTAACTTTTCTACTCCCAAGAATCACATCACCATCAAAGCTTTAACTACGGCTTCCAAGAAAATAATTCAAAAATCTGTATCTCCTCTCTGGGCTCCAGGTTGGTTTTTTAAAAACAGCTTTATCGAAGTATATTGACAAATAAAAATTATGTATATTTAAGGTGGGCAACTTGATGTTTTAATATACATGTACATTGTGAAATAATCACCATCAAACAGTAATCAAATGAAAATAGTTAACATATTATGTCACATTTTTTTCTTCTTTTTTTTGTGGTTAGAATACTTAAGAGCTACCCTTTATCAAATTTCAAGTATGCAATACAATTGTTATCCATAGTCACAATGCATGCTGCTTATCAGATCTCCATCCTGAGCTTCAGGTTTAAAAACTTTTCCACTACTAGAGATTTCTGTTCCATGGTTACTTCAACTCAATCCATCTAAAATCAAAAACTTCTTCTTCCACAGAACTAGTTCCTTTCCTCATGTTCTATTTCTGTCATAGATTTCAACATTCTCTCACTTCCCTTTCTTTACTGCCAGTCAGCAAGAACAGCATCTATCATTACCTCCTTATTGTAGGCTCTCATAATTTTCCTTCGTCACATTTCTCCCCACTTTCCTTTACCATTGTCACTCCTGGAAAAGTGTTCTCACCAGCATAGAGGCTGAAGCTCTCTCTCAGGAGATCAGAGAGTAGAGTCTGACTGTGGTCTCGGACACCTCAGAGCTCCCTTGAATAGACCTGCCCTCTTCCTGTGCAAACAGAGAAAGAAACGCTTTCTTAAACAGAACTTTGCTCCTCATAATTCTGCAAGCAAACTGCACCTGAATGGACACCCAAAGGGAAAGCAATATTTTCAGCACTGGTGGAACACTGCTAAACTTCTGCGGGATGTTCAGAACTGACCTATCAACCATAAATCCCTTGCGGCAGTTGTTATTAAACCTCTATTATATAATATGCTTGACATAAGGCATAGTGGGAGAAAGATTAATCAGACATAGTCCTTTACTCTGAGGAAACTGCAGAAATTTGTATGAGACACATATGTAGAGTCCTCTTTGAACAATACATTTACTACTATGATGGAGGTACAGTCTATCATTATAGATGGTAAGTTTTATTGAAGTTCGCTATAGATTGAATGTTTGTGTTTCCCCTGAATTTATATGTTGAAATACTAACCCCTGAAGTGACAGTATCAGGGAATGGGGTCTTCGGAAGGTGTTTAGATCATGAAGGTGGAGCCATCATGAATGGTATTAGTAACTTTATAAAAGAGATCCCACAGAGTTCTCTTCTCCTGTTCACTAGGTAAGGACACAGCAAGAAAATGGTTGTCTATGAACCAGAAAGCAGGCCCTCACCAGACACGGAATCTGCTAGCACCTTGATCTTGGCCTTCTCAGTCTCTGGAACGGTAAGATATAAATGTTTGTTGTATATAAGCTACCCACTTAATGGGAGTTTGTTATAGCAGCCTGAACAGACTAAGACAAGGTTCTACAAAATTACTAAGAATAGCTCTCTTAGGGCTTGCTATGTGCCCACAGTGAACTGTGCAACTTTACAAGCATTATCATATTAATATTTAATCCTCAGAACTACCCTCTAAGGATGATAATGTTCTCTCCCTTTTATAAAGTCAGGAACCTGTTCAAACTCTCCTAACCCAAGATGATGGGGCTGGGGTTCACACTCAGGCCTGTTCCCCACACTGATAACCACTGCTCTCTCTAGCCTCCCCAAAAGGTACATTTTTAATTGGGCAGCTTAAGAAAAGTTCAGTGTATGGCAGACAGGAATAGGATATTACCACTTTGGATGGGCAGGAGAAAAGCCACAGGCATATGAGACATCACAATGTGTTTAGAGATTAGTGAGTAAATTGATATAGAAACACTAGAATGGCTTGAAAGAGACACTGGAACATTGCACCTTGACTGTAAAGGGCACTGAATGCTTCAGCAAGGAGTTATTTTGTTAGTGCCAGGAAGCCTCTGAGGTTGCTTAATCTTATTTTCTGACATTCCTGTTGGTGGGTGTATGAAGGAGCATCTGAAGGGTAAACAAACTGATGAGGAGGTTGGGAACATGGAAGAGAGACTTCCCACACTCCATACTTTTTCCATGCCTAGGCTGGCACTGCAGAGTCCACGAGACCCCATTACAGTCTTCATACACTAACCCACGTTAACCCATGTTTCATCTATGGGAGGAAGGCACCAGCACAACACACACTTGGAAGATTCCCTGACTTGCTGGGCAGTCAGGCATCGGACTCAAACATCAGCACAGTTTTGGGATAGGGCAGCTTTTGGGACAGGGCAGCAAACAGTGGGCACCACAGTCCCCTTTCCATAACCAAGAAGACTCAGAAATCCCAGAGAATTAATTTTTACTTCCTGTATTTAATCAAAGCAATTGACCTATCAGGTGTGTGACAAATCTTTGAAAGAATTGACCTGTTTTTTTTTTTTTTTTTTTTTTTGAGACGGAGTCTCGCTCTGTCGCCCAGGCTGGAGTGCAGTGGCGCGATCTCGGCTCACTGCAAGCTCCGCCTCCCGGGTTCACGCCATTCTCCTGCCTCAGCCTCCCGAGTAGCTGGGACTACAGGCGCCCGCTACCACGCCCGGCTAATTTTTTGTATTTTTAGTAGAGACGGGGTTTCACCTTGTTAGCCAGGATGGTCTCGATCTCCTGACCTCGTGATCCGCCCGCCTCGGCCTCCCAAAGTGCTGGGATTACAGGCGTGAGCCACCGCGCCCGGCCAAGAATTGACCTCTTATATACATCCTTCAAGAGTGAAGGGGAGATACCAGATGTCTTTTCCATAACAAGACTCAACAAGACCATTTTCCTACCTCACTTTTTTTTTTGCACAAATGTCATTGCAGAGCTTTGTTCTGCTTCAGGAGGATGATTCAGAGAGAAGTATGGTTTTCAAGTCAGACAAGGATCAAATCAACCAGAAATTCTGAAAACAGCAGCCATGCTGTCTTTGCCCATTCAAGGTTTTCCATGTGCAACTGATTGTTCACTTGTTATTCAGAAACAGACTGCCAGTCTCACCCTTAGCTGGGCTCTGACAGCCAGGACCCGAGGGTCCTCTATTGTGAAACTGTCCTCCTCCAGCACTTGCCATGGTGGACGGCCCATATGACCATAAGATCTAGTAACTCAGAGCTTCTCAACTGAAGTCACCATGCAAGTAACAATTGTGTTTTGACAGAGAAGGAACAAGGGGGATTCTAGACCAGCTAGCAGGTCCAAAGGGAAGAAGTTTTCATGGGCTCTGAATATTGAAGCTGGAAGGAATCTTAGAGACTAACTTGGTCAAGGATCATCACCTTTGTGGGTAGAAAGACAATACTAACCCCAAAAGCATCATGATAGACCATAAGTCCTACTGATACGTGTGGGGAGGGGACAAGAAAGATGTATCGGGCTTGTGAGTCAGTGGAACCTCCCCATGATTGACCCTTTGAATTGCTAGATGGATCTGAGGGTACTATTATCACCATGGCTACCAGCTTGCAATAGCACCATCAAGGACCCTTCCCTCTCTAGATGAAGAAAGTGAAGGCCAGAGAGATGAATTGACTGTCCCAAGCTCACATTGTTTTGTGGGAGCAGAGCCAACACTAGTCCTGTAACATCCCAAAGTGCTTTCCAGCATTTAGGATACTTTCTAATCAATCATCTGGATTGTAAGCTCCATATAGGTACTGTCACATCTGCCTTCACCACACCATCCCCAGCACCTGACAGAGGTCCTGGAATATAGCAGAATCCCAGCAGATGTTTGTTGACCAACTCTCATATGCCCTTCATGGGAAAAGAATAGTAGCCAGCATTAATGAGAACTTAACATATGACAGGAAGTGTTGAAGGCACTTTATTTGTATTAATTTATTTAACCCTCAGAATAATCCTGAGACAGTGTTTTTATCATCTTTGCCATCTTATATATGAAGACAGTGCAGATCAGGGAACTTCAGTCCATTGCCCAGGTTTACACAGGAAGCAGCAAACCTGTGACTCTAGCCCGGGCAGAATATTCCAGGTCACACTCTCTTAATCACCACAAAATACTGCCTCCTCATTCATCTCTTCTGTGTCCCCAGCCCTAGAAGAGTGCTAACATACTCAGCACTCAATAAATATTCGGAGGATGAAATGACACGCCGGCAGACAAGAACCCACGTCAGCTGCTCTTCCAGCATCAGGCAGTCCTGCCAGAAGCACCATACAGGTGGCTGTTGTTCCAGCTCTGAGTAAGGCAGCCAGGACCCCTCTGGCTGTGAAGAAGGGCTAATTTGGTTCTTCCTGATTGAGGCTAAGTCTTCCTTCATAAGCCCAGTCTTTCAGAGCAAGCCCAGCCTGTTAGTAAGGAGTGCCCTCTGCTGACACAGACACATTCCTGCTGTCTCGATCCCTGGTGTAAATGGAAAGAGACCATCAATGTTGCAGTGTGAGCTGTGAGAATTCAGCCAGTCCCAGCCTGAGCCCTCTGGCTGGGAGGGCTTCACCTTCTATTGCTGCATCCAGATTAATTTTAAGGTCAAACCAGATGGAGATTTGTGGTCACTGAGTGATGAGCACCCTTTAGCCCTGTGTCCAGTTGCCTGTCTACTCTCCAAGCTGAGATTACCCCTCTGCCCTCTTCCTGTTCCTCCCCACTCTAAGATCCATGTTCAAAGTTCCCATATAAATTGTGTCATCTCATTATCCATGCAGGGCCTTTGTTTTCCTGACAACTGAGTTTCTGAGATTCTCTTTCCCACCCCCTTTTCTTCCCAGCTTCTATTCCAGTCTCACTTACTGTCTCAGTGAACATCTTTTGTTTTTCCTGCTGTCAAGGCATCCACTCAGCCTGAGATGGCTCCCAGCTCTCATCCACCCCAGTGGAGCTGCAGCCAGTGTGCAGTAATGATAATGGTTCCTTTAGGGCTAAACTTCCAGAACTGGACCCAAGGAGGAAGGAAGATGTGAGGAAGGCACCAAGTGAGTGAGGACTGAAGGGGTCTCCTAATAACTCTGGCCCTGCTGAGATTCTTAGGACAAGAATAAGGACACGTGATATTGATGTCACTCATCAGAGTTCTGTTGAATTTTTTTTTTTTTTTTTGAGACGGAGTTTCGCTCTGTCACCCAGGCTGGAGTGCAGTGGCATGATCTTGGCTCACTGCATCCTCCACCTCCTGGGTTTAAGCAATTCTCTGCCTTAGCCTCCCCAGCAGCTGTGATTACAGGCAGCTGCCACCACACCAGGCTAATTTTTTTTTAATTTTATTTTAAGTAGAGACGGTGTTTCACCATCTTGGCCAGGCTGATCTTGAACTCTTGACCTCTTGATCCACCTGCCTCGGCCTCCCAAAGTGGTGGGATTACAGGCATGAGCCACTGCACCTGTCCTAATAATTTTTAAAATGCTATAAAAAAGGAATTAATGGTGAAAGGAGAGAAGAATTGGAAAATATAGCAGCTGGGTGCAGTGGCTTACGCCTGTAATCCCAGCACTTTGGGAGGCCAAGGCAGGTAGATTACCTGAGGTCAGGCATTCAAGACCAGACTGACCGACATGGTGACACCCCTTCTCTACTAAATACAAAAAATTAGCTGGGTGTGGTGGTGCATGCCTGTAATCCCAGTGTAATCCCAGCTACTTGGGAGGCTGAGGCAGGAGAATCACTTGAATCTAGGAGGCGGAGGTTGCAGTAAGCCAAGATCGCACCATTGCACTCCAGCCTGGGCAACAAGAGCAAAAATCCATCAAAAAAAGAAAGAGAAGGGGAGGGGAGAGGAGGGGAAACAGAGGGAGGGAGGTAGGGAGGGAGGGAAGGAGGGAAGGAAGGAAGGAAGGAAGGGTCTCCCCAGCAACCGTGGTCCAGATACAGCAGGACTAGTCAATGACTTGTAGACAGGAGACCATGTTTCCATACCTAGACAGGTCCAGCCCCGATCATCCATGTTAGAGGACTGAGGGAAGGAAAAGGGAAGAGCTCCATGAGGCAGAAGCCAAGAAAGAGGTCAGTGGAAGGAGACCTGATGTGTTTTCTAAATCTCTCTACTGATTTCACCCCATTCTTCTCCATCCCCAACCAGGGTGGAGTAGAGAGAGACCCAGATGCCTGTCTGTTCTGCTCCCTATGCCCATCATGACGCCCCATGCCGAACTTCCACTCTAATGGAAGTCAGTGGGACCGACCAGAGGCTACATCCTGGACCACTCTGCTCTGGGACCTTTCAAGATCCAAGACTCATTCTTTTCATACTTTATTTCCAAAGAGGGAACAGATGAAGTTCTCTCAACTTCCCTTTCCTATCTGATCCCTAATATTGTTCACAAATGCTAGTTGTGCTTATCACCATTCTTAGTTTTTAATATTATTTCTCCATCACTAGACTATAGGCAAACCAAGGACAGAAGCTTCCTCTTGTCCTCTCCTATATCACCTGTAACTAGGACAAGATCTGCCTCATTGTAGCTATTCAATAATTGTGGATGGAGATTTGAAATGTTTGCTCAAAAATAAGTTGACCCTTAGGCTGGGCTCTGTGCTGTTCTGGGGGCCCATTCAAGCACACATTCAAAATCACTTGAAGCTGAAGGTCACATCCCCTGGAGACAATCTGCTCAGGGTTGCCCATTCAGCTTTGCCAAAGAGCAGTTGCCGGGCTCTCCTGTGAATGGACCTGCTCAGTTTTCATCCAGCCACAGGAGCTAAGTTGCCTTGTGCATCATCTGCTTAGGACGGGTAACACTCCTGGTCCCTCCTGGAGAGTGTGGAAGGGGCCTTGTGGCAGCCATAATGGTGCACCAGTCAGATCTCCCTTCAAGGAAGACCCTGCTTCAGGAGTGTACTTAGCTATCAGCCTCCAGCTACATCACCTTCAGGATCTGCTGCAATGTTTGAACCAAAGCTAAAGTCTCCCCAGGCAGCCTCGGCCACTGAGCACGGCGGGACAGCAGGGGTACTTTCTGCTCCACATGGCCATTCTCCTAACATAGACTCCTCTACTGGCAAACTCCCTGGAGCTTCCCACTGGGCTGGATGAGACTTCCTCAGAGCTGCATCAGGGTCAAAGTCTCTTCTTTCCCAACCCTCTTGCCTCCCCGTCTCATTTTACAGGCATCAGACCCATATCACTATCTGAAGACTTTCCCTGACTCCTTTTGTTCCCTCTCTCCCATCTTTCAAAATCTCTTGACCTTACAATCTCTTGACCGTCTTTAGTAACTGCTTCCCAGAGGACCTGAACTGATACAAGCCCTCTTTCCATTGTGGCTTTAATGCTGTTGCACTCACACCATTACTGACATGGTTTGTGTGCTGAACCTGTGAGCCACATAGAACCATCTTCTGCTTAAGGATAATGACAGAGAGAAATCACCCTGTCAGCTGAGGTGCTATTTATGTTTCTTCCTAACAGACCATCCAGTGAGATGGAATACAATAGAAAAAAAAGTGAGATAGAACAGTCTAGCAACTCTGGATCTAGGAACCACCACATGTGCTTGCCCCCACCCTTACATGGCTCAAAACTCATTTCTCTTTGTAGCTCTGAGAGCCTTCCTTCTGAAACCAAATGATAGCTTTATGGAAGGTTGATTAAACCTATTGAATGTCATAGCTAAACTTATGAATTAAAATAAAATCTGGCTAGACACTCCTAGCCTTGTCTCTTAAAGCTTCACATGAAATATCTATAAAGTTCCAGGAAAAGACAAACATAATAATGACACTAAAAATGAGGACTTTTAAAAATCAACTATTGTCAGAGGCAAAAGGAATTTCCATGAACTTTAAGGTCATTAGAATTGAACTGAAAAAAGAAAAAAAGAACAGAAGAGAGGGACACCTTGGGTATGTTGGAAAAAACAGAGCAGGTGGCTTATCTGAAAGTAAATAGAAAAGGTCACTTTCCCATCTCCATATCACACTCCCCTCACCCAGTTACAAAATGCTGAATCTATACCAGAGACCTGGACATCCACTTCTACTGTGTGGGAGCTGCCTTCTGAGAAGTGACAGTGAGGCCCACCCACCACCATCATCAATCTTTTCACCAAAAGAACTCTCTTGAAGGCTGACTTCAGATTTCTCTACACTTAGTTTTCAATGGAAAGGATCTAGAGTACTGTGGAAAAAGAGTTATCCCCCAAGAATGTGTGCCCAACCAAATTGCTCCCTTTATGTGGGAAAGAAGGAAAAAAGCAAACATCAGAAATGAAAGGGTTCAGAACATACACCTGTCATGCATCGGCTAATCTTGAAACAAATCACTTGAACATATTCTCCAGTCAATAAGAGAGAAAGCAAAGTTTAAAAGTAGAGAATGGAGATGTCATGGAATGAAAGACTGATGGATCTTCCCTTACTAAAATTAGACTCAAAACCAAGAGAAACAATGGAACAATGTGCTATCAAGTAGCTTTGCCAGCCTGAGGTCAAAGTCCGGCCCTGTATAGTTCCCAAGATTGTCTTCTGCTTTCCTGTAGATTCTATTTTGATTGTGCTTCCCCCTCCCAACGAAAAAAAAAAAAAAAAACAGTTTACAGATAATCTCTTGCCAATTTGATAAAAGACTACATAAAACACTAACTGGGTCTGTTCCAACTTTGATTAGCATGGCCAAACAATTTGTATGGTTGGGATGCCGAGCCAAGATAGTTATTAAACTAAAAATCTTTGTTTTCACCCCCTTTCTTCCATTTCTCAAAGCAGAAGTGCACAAAAGAGCATAATGACTATTTTCATTACTAAAGAATATTATTAATGACTTTCTACATCTTCAAAGCCAATCAGTATAGCCTGAATCATTTTTTAATTAAACAAGACTAATAAACCACCAGGTGGAAAATGCATGTCACTAAAACATTTACGTAAAATCTGCCAACTAAATTTTACGAGTGTTCCTTTGTTAACTATGATTAAAATTCAAGACACATAGTGTGAGATTATGCAAACAGGTAATTTTTGAGGTTTTATGAAAATATACTAAAATGTAACTAGGTTGTTTCTTGGTGTGGAATTCTAAAATGCTACTTTTTCCTTCTTTGTATTTTGTTCTGTATTTATAGGTGTTTTCTCTAATATGCTTGACTAGCTAGTGTATTCATATATATCAACATGTACAATTTTATGTTTACCACATGAGCACAATTAAATTAAATTAAAATTTGTACTGTAAATAGACTGGTAGGAAATATACTGAAATATTAATTTTGCTTATTTTCAGCTGCTGAGACAAGAGTGCTCTGTTTTCCCTACTATTCAGTATTCCCAATATTTCTGTAATTAGCATTTATTATTTTTCTAGTAGGGGAAAAATTTTATTTTAGGACTGGGCGCAGTGACTCACACCTGTAATCAGCACTTTGGGAGGCCAAGGCAGGCAGATCACCTGAGGTCAGGAGTTTGAGACCAGCCTGACCAACATGGCGAAACCCCATCTCTATTGAAAAAAAACAGAAATTAGCCAGGCATGGTGGTGCATGCCTGTAGTCTCTGCTACTCAGGAGACTGAGGCAGGAGAATCACTTGAACCTGGAAGGCGGAGGTTGCAGTGAGCCAAGATTGCACCACTGCACTCCTGCCTGGGTGACAGAGTGAGACTGTGTCTCAAAAAAAAAAAAAAAGTGTTATGGTGGAGGTAAACACAGCACTTTCAAGATCCCAGAGATCAGTCATTGTTCTAAGTAGATATTCAAGATTAACTTCCTGGGTAGATGGCACCTGAACTGAGTATGAGTTGAGTTATCTAGGCAGAGATGCAGAGACAACACTGACCAGAAGTAGAAATTCAGTGCAACAACACAAGACCTAAAACCAGAGACTTGAGTACCGTTGATCCTCCCTCTCCTGGGAGGGAGATAGTCCCAAGAATAGTCCCAAGAATATTCCCAAGAATTTAGAAATGATGGCACCAATACCAGACTTTGGAATGCTCAAAATCATTGCCTTGGGTGTGTTTCTGATTCTTTGACAGCAGGATTTGGAGAAAGAGTCCAGTGAGACTGTCTGCCAGAGACGGTGAGAAAGATCTGCAATGCAACATGTTGCAGCCCAGGGAATGGAGACTTTACTAATTAGACTCCATGTGTAAAGTGATATGAAGTTTTATTCCCATTACTGTAATTGCCAAAGGTGCTGAAGGTTGTGAGAGAAATGGCAATAGTTTGTGTGGGCAGGAAGGGTGACCTATATCTCCCAGGGAACAGAATATAGCCAAAAAAAAAAAGCCACAGGTCTGGAGGGGCGTGTGTGTGTGTGTGTGTGTGTGTGTGTGTGTGATCAGCAAGGGAGAGCCCCACTCTAGGAAGATGTCTAACAGGGAGAGACATACATAGGAGAGCTCAGCGGATGGGGGAAAGGAGAGTTTGTGAAAATTAGAGGAGAGGGAAGGATTTGTTCTGGACCTTCTGCCTGGCAAAGAAGAGAGATTGAAACTAAGAGGAGTGTCTAAGGTGGACTGCACCATAATAAGTATCTCCTGAGTAAACATTTGAAATGCTTTCAGTTAGATTTTTCTACTAGCCTACCATTTCTTTAAATGTGACTTGACGCAGGTATAGCCTTAAAAAGTAATATTCTGGTCATATTTTGTATGGCTGCCTCCTCCCTTTTACCCTAAGGATTTATAGTCTGGGCCAAGAGTACTTCATGGGATTGCATACAGTGGTTCACACCTGTAATCCCAGTACTTTGAGAGGCCAAGATGGGAGGATCGCTGGAGTCCAGGAGTTTGAGACCAGTCTGGGCAACATAGCAAGACCCTGACTCTACAAAAAAATTAAAAAAAATTAGTCAGCCATGGTAGCACATGCCTGTAATCTCAGCTACTCTGGAGGCTGAGGTGGGAGGATTGCTTGAGCCCAGGAGTTTGAGGCTGCAGTGAGCCATGATCACACCACTGCACTCCAGCCTGGATGACAGAGTGAGCCTCTGTCTCAAGAAAAACCCCCAAAAAACCAGTCCTTCATGAGGTCATATGACTGTCAGGCATAGTGATCTGTGAAGGCCTAACTCAGTGAACAGGAAGATGTGGAAAGCAAGCCCAATTTGCAAGTTACAACCCAGTCAATCTGACTGAGTTGTAATTATGTGCACAACTGTTCCTGGGCTGCCTGCCATTATATAAGGGTGGCTAATGTGCTTCAGGTTAAACAAACATTTATTGAGAACCTGCTGAATGCCCCACACTGGGTCTTGTTCAGGCCTCTGATCAATAGGCCATGAACACACTCAGAGCCCATGAGGTGCCAACTCTAGAGGTATTCCTGGTAAAAAGGAAGGTTAACAAATTCGCCATCCCTCAAAGGTCCCTTCTGGGAACCTATTTGTCCTAATCCTAGCCTTTCTCTCTGCATTCTGTTGACAAAAGGGGTTTCTGGAAAAGTGTCCTAGGGGAAAGGATCACATCTTATAATGTTTTGCTTACTTAAAAACCAATGAGTTAGTGCACAAGAATATAAGATAGATGTTCAGTATAGTGTTATCTATAATTGGGATGAATTGGAAACAGTTAAATGTTCATTAATAGGGGGCTAATTCAGTAGATCATCATACATGCACATGGTGATATATATAGTGGAAATACTGAACCATTTCGAAAAGTTTGTGCTGCTTGAGTAAAAAGATCTACCCCACTGCCACGGAACACAGGCATACTCAAGTTCCCCAACCTTTCTTAAGACACCCAGTGAAAATAAGGAAATACAAAATCATAAAGAGGAAGCATTGCTTGCTGTTCTAGGCAGTACTAAAATCTCTAGTTTAAGAAATGATCATGGGCCGGGGGCAGCGGCTCATGCCTGTAATCCCAGCACTCTGGGAGGCCAAGGCGGGCCAATCACCTGAGGTCAGGAGTTCGAGACCAGGCTGGCCAACATAGTGAAACCCCATCTCTACTAAAAATACAAAAATTAGCCGGGCGCCATGGCACACGCCTGTAATCCCAGCTACTCGGGAGGCTGAGGCAGGAGAATCAATGGAACCCAGGAGGCAGAGGTTGCAGTGAGCCAAGATCATGCCATTGCACTCCAGCCTGGGAGACAGAGTAAGACTCTGTCTAAAAAACAAACAAAAAAAAAACAAAAAAAGGAAGAAGAAGAAGAAGAAGGAGGAGGAGGAGGAGGAGGAGAAGAAGAAGAGGAGGAGGAGGAGGAAAAGGTCATGAACACAAGAGAACAAAAAGAAGTAATAAGTGAGGAAAAATGAGATACATTTTTTTAAATGAGGTAGAGGTAGATCTCCATACAGTGACAAAAAAATATGCCTGAGATACAGTAGTTTGCTTAGAAAGAAAAGCAAATGGTAGAACAATATGCATATAATAATCTTATTTGCTTAATACAATTATATATGGAGACTGTCTTTACATTTCAGTTTGAATGCCAAAGCTGAAAAGAGTAGGTAGTAAATCCCCCTACATTCTAAAGAAAAGTACAAAACACCCCTTGTTGAATTTATGAAAAGAGGACAAAACCTGTCCTGCAGCCCTTACCCAGTTCCAACCCCCACCTTATAGGGGAGGCTATAAATTTAAAGGGACGTTTAGGTTACTCATGTGAGTAGAGTCGTGTGAAGGGAAGGGGAAGTAGGGGGCTTCTCTGCATCTTAAACCACACAGAGGGAAGTCCCAAAAGAATCACTGCCTGAGACTGGAGGTGCCTACAGGAATAGAGGCTGGTTACTTTCTCCTCAACTGCAGCAACCTACAGCTCACCTGGGTGCACCACTGCACAACTAGGGGAGAGTTCTGGGCAAATGACAGCTGCCTACTTACCTTTGGCTGGAGCCACACATGATAGAAGGTGGGAAGAGAGGGGTCGGCCGATGGGTAAGCTGTACTCCTACCATTTGGTAGGTCAAAGATGCCTGAATTTCCCGAGAGCCAAGTGGATGTTGTGGGAAGTAGCAACACTAAAGCTGTTTTGATGAGATTCAACCCAAGAAGGCTGCCTGCTTGGAGATGGGACACCACCAGTAAGTGGCTGTAGATTGTACCTGTAGGGGCTGGACTTGAGGAAGGGTTACAAGAGGTCAGCCAGGAGGAAACAGCAATTAGAAGACTCCAGGTGATAGACCTCCCAAGAACTTGCTGCCATCCTAGAGGGTGTGTAGGTCAACCACCAAGCAAAGAGAGAGCTACAGAGGGCAGCCCCTAAATAAAAAGAGCTTTATGTATCTTTCTCTGCCCTAAGTGGGAGGAGATAGAAGGAGAATGAGCGACCCCACAGCTTTCCCACTACAGGTTTCTGAGCCACAGTTCAGGCCTAAGATTGGGGGATGAGAGGAGCTTTGAAATGGATGTGAGATTCAAGTTTTAAATTGAACTGGACTGCACTATTTTTCCAATGCCTAGAAATGGCCAGAAAGCTATTGTGTCTGCTCAAGCCAGTCCTCAGGGGCAAGTCAGAGGGATTCTATGTAACATGATGGATAGCAGGAGCAGAGGTAAGAGAAAAATAAAGTGGTTTCTTCTTTCAAGTTCAGCCCCATCCAGTAAACCAGTAGACATATAAAATAACGATTTTTCTATCTCTACAAAAGAGTTCAAGAGAGAAACAAACAGAAATGAGTGGATATCTCTGCAACGAGGAGGGATAAATGGACAGAGACCTTTACTTTTCAGGTTTTTTGTCCTGTATTATTTCAATGTTTCATAACAAGCTTGTATTACTTTTATAACTAAAAGAATTAATTTTCTTAAAATGTGGGTGTTAACCACATGTCAAGCCCAGAATCCTGTAGTGTTTCCCTCAGTTAGTGAGTTTTAGGAGAAGACAGTTTGCTCAATGATGTGCTGGTAAATGCGCTGCAGGGTGAGACAGTATGGTGATTTGTAGTGTCTGCTGATATTTCCATGGCATAAAGACTCCCACCACGATTGATTTCAAGCTACCAACAGTTTGACAAGTGGCTCACAAAATTCCTGGATATTCAGCAGCTTAACAGCTGGCTTGCCAAATTCCTGGATATTTAACCATTGGCTTTACCAGCTGTAGCACACCAGAAAAGCATTGTGTGGGAGGCAGTGGCCAGAGCCCTTTCTCTGGCAACTCATATCCAGACTCTGTTAATTACCAGCTGACTGACAGGCCAGCCTCTGCCCAGGAGTAATGAAGGGTCACCTGTTTCAACAGCAGAATGTCAGGGCATTCCGGCAGGCCAGCCCTGTGACCCAGCAAGCTGCTCATCTGGGCCAAGTGGAAGGTTCCGGGAGGGTTGGAAGGACAGAAACAGGCAGAAGAATGTGTCAGAAGAGACAGAGGAGAAGGGCAAAACCAAACCTCAGACGTCAGTGACCTTCTGCAGCTGCAGAGCCCCTTCCACAGCAAGAAGTAAAACAACGTGGGAAAGTGACAAAGTCAAATATTCTTCAGCACACCAATAATTAGAAAAAAATCTAATTATGACTGTAATGACTATAACTACAATGTATTGAATGCTCACTCTGGGTATGTGTTTGTGCTAAAACACTTTACGTCAAGTTCTTCATTTACTCCTCATAGCCATCGCACAAGGTAAACACTTTCATTTTTCCACTTTACAGCAAAAAACACAGCGACCTAATCAGATTAAACAACTTACCCAAGAGCATCAAGCTAGTTTCCGGTAAAACTGTGATTCAACCTGATGTTTTACTCCAAAAGAAAGCTAGATTTCTTTACAGTTTCACTAAGTGAGGCAAAGTCCCCCAACAGTAAACTGGGATCCACCTGTGGATGTTACGATCCGACCTGAAAACATTTAGGTTTACTTGTCACCTCCGTAGCTTCATATAGGAAGGAGGTGTTTGTTCTGGCTGCACCTGCTTGAGGGGCTAGAGTAGAGGTCCTTCCTGAATTGGCTGTATGAGCTTTGGACATAACATTTCATCTCCCCTAGTCTCAGCCTTTCACTATAAAAATAGGTAATTAAGTTAATAATCTCTAAGAATGACAGACCCACATGTAGACAGGCCCATTTTTTTCTGTTAGTCCAAATATCTAGAAAGCCTGGGAAATGAGAAACTTCTTTATGTAACAGCCCTTCCACACATGTGCATTACTAGGTTCTAGCCACTATTCTCAAAGGTATTGAGGATATAAGTCTTTTTATACAAAAAGTTGAGTTCTTCAGGAACCAGGAGATAGAAATAAACCAGTGGAGGAAATTAGCAATCCCACACATATATTGTGTGCTGGATATTGCACAAAGTCTAGGAAAACCACTCAGAAGTCAGACTGCTGCAACAAGAAAGATAAGGTTGACAGGGTGCGGTGGCTCACAGCTATAATCTCAGCACTTTGGGAAGTCAAGTCAGAATTGCTTGAGCCCAGTGGTTCAATACCAGTTTGGGCAACATAGTGAGACCTTGTCTCTCCAAAAACAAACAAAATTAGCCTGGTGTGGTGGTGTGCGCCTGTAGTCCTAGCTGCTTGGGAGGCTGAGGTGGAAGGATCACTTGAGCCCGGGAAGTTGAGACTACAACGAGCAGAGATCACGTCACTGCATTCCAGCCTAGGTGCTGAGTGAGACCTTGTTAAAAAAAAAAAAAAAAAGAAAAGGAAAGAAAAAAGAAAAGAGAAGGGAAGGGAAGGGAAAGGAAGAGAAAAGAAGAAAAGAGAAAAGAAAAGAAAAGAACAGAAAAGAAAAGAAAAAAGAAAAGAGAAAGGTAAGGCCAGTGGAATCAGGCTGACCTGGGTGGAATCTTGACTCTGTCGCTGTGTAACTCTGGGCTGGTCATCTCTGAACTGTTTTGCTATAAGTCAGTAAATGATAGCTATGCTTATTATGAAAAAATAATGTCCTATTTTATCAAGATTCCACAGGCACAGTTGTTCAGGAATGGGAAGAACCTATATGGCCACTTCAATGGGGTCAGAAAGTAGTGAAGCTCCTGGGAGGAGGTAAAATAGTGTCATTTACAGGACTCAGCAACACCTATACATTGCACAGGTCTGGGCACCTAGAGGTTCCAGAGCCCCTTGGGAGAAGGAGGAAAGAAGAGGATATCACTGTCAGGCTTTCTGGGGCTCCACCGAGTTAAACACACATTAGAACCCCTGATGCTCCAGCTAGCTGAACAGGTGGGGAGTCTGCCCTAGATACACCCTTAAGTTTTGAGAATAACAAAGCTAGACAAAACACAATGCAAGCTTCCAGACCTTCACAGTCCTCTGTTCAGTACTCCAAACCTCAGAGCCCTGAGACTCATGGTGTCTAGGGTCTTCATATTATATCCACCCCTGTCTAACCTCCGAGGAGAAGGCCTAAATTTTTTCAGGGCTTTTTCCTCCCTCTTTATCAAAAGCTACTCATTGGCTCCTCATCCTCGCTCTCAGGAAAGCAACACTAGGGAATATACTCTCATCAGGGTGGCACATCAAAGAACTGTGGGATCTCCCTTGCTGCCTCCCACCTAGAGGTTAGAAAGCTTCCCTGGGAGCTGGAAGTTCTCACATGACAGAGTTCTAGACCATGAAAGCAAAGGAGATGTCTGCTAGGGATTTTCTGGAAAATCTTTTGCTTTCTTGACATAAGTAACAGGAGCATTTGATGCCAACTCCTTCCTTCTTTCTGCCTTTAATAGTTGTGTGACACCTGGAGTTGCAGTAGCTATCTTGTGGCCTCAGGTGGCGGTCGTGAGGATCAAGATGCTAAAGATGATGAAGATGATGTTGGAGCCTGGGTCCTTGTTTATGCTGTTGAGATGACATAGACTGCCTGTGTCTGAAATGGTTGTGCATAAACAATAAATGCTCTTTTGTCAAAAGCTAATGTTAGCTGAGTATTCTATTTCTTGCAACCAAAAGCATTTCCAAGGGATAAAATTGGGTAGGCTAGTGATTGAAACATGGAGTATTAGAGAAAAAGAGGCTTAGAGCCAGGGAAACCAACTTGTCCTATTTTGCCCAGGTAGTGATACAGGTAGTGATCAAGACATTGGACCATAAGCCAGATTCCTGACTCTAAATCCAAGGCTTTGTAGTCATGTTGCAAAGCCATGTAAATGTATTGTCCTTCCCAGGAAACAAAATTACCAAAATTGGCCAGGCACGGTGGCTCACGCCTGTAATCCCAGCATATTGGGAGGCCGAGGCAGGTGGATCACCTGAAGTCAGGAGTTCAAGACCAGCCTGGCCAACATGGCAAAACCCTGTCTCTACTAAAAATACAAAAATTAGCTGGGTATGGTGGTGAGCACCTGTAATCCCAATTACTAGGGAGGCTGAGACAGGAGAATCTCTTGAACCCGGGAGGCAAAGATTACAGTGAGCCAAGATCATGTCTTTGCACTCCAGCCTGGATGACAATAGCTAAACTCCATCTAAAAAAAAAAAAATTATCAAAATTACCCCGTTCCATTTGAAGGCATGTGACTCCCTGCGGCTCCTAATTGGAATCTGCTCCATTCTGGCATACAGGACATGGCTTCTGTGACGCTGATGCATTTAGAGGAATGTGGCAAAGCCGTGCCTGTGAAGAGCAAAGCTGGAGGGAGCAAGACCACCTCCTGGCTTCTGGAACGCTGGGACTGTGTCAGAGCCTTCATTCAGGAGGTGTTGTAGCGCATGTGATGATTGGCTGCCAGTATATTCATGTTAATATAGGTCAGTAGTCCCAGGACATGAGGGGACAATGAATCAGCCCGCTCCCTTTCATGGTTTCAGATTCAACAAACGCTTACTCAGGCTGACTGTGAGTTGAACACTGGGGCTGGTGGTTTCACTCATGTTATCTCACTTAATTTTCAAAATAGATGTGTGAGGCAGACACGACTGTATTATGCCCACTTTACAGATGAAGAAGAATTCCCTGAAGACACACAGCTTGGTAACTCCAAAGTCAAAGTCCTCTGTTCTTTCTATTTTATGTGTGTATTTTTCCCTTCTGTATGACCTTCCCTTCCTTTATGCTCAGTCCCCTTGGCCATTCCCCCTCTCTGCACTCTTCTCCTGGCTCCCATTCACCAATCTGCTTCTCCTGCCTTGAGCCTTGCTGACACAGGAGAGCAGATGCCAACTGCTGGCTGTGGCTGTGCCTGTAATATGTGACTCTTAGCCATATGAACCAGACTCTGGGTGACCTCACAGAGAGACACTGAAGCTAGGGTTTGCGTGGAGAGAAGAAAGTGAGATCTCTCCTAAGCACTGACTTTAATATTTCACACTCTGGCATGAGATGAGTCAGAGCTTTCAGATGCCCTTGCAGTACATTCCCGGCTCAATAGCCACACCCCCAAAGTATGATATCATTCATCCACACTAATCTGTGGATTGATAAACCACACTGATACTCGGTTTCCGCATCTGTCAAATGAGGTGGGATTATTTACTGCACATGTCACTATGGGAGAGTACGTAACAGAAACCAGTCAGCAAGATCACCCTCATTCTCTGGAATAAAGGGATAGTAGGCTGGGCATGACAGCTCATGCCTACAGTCCCAGCACTTTGGGAGGCTGAGGCAGGAGAATCACCTTAGCCTAGGAATTCGAGACCAGCCTGGGTTACATAGCAAAACCCCGTCTGTACAAAAATATTTTTTATATTAGCCAGGCATGACACCTGTAGTCCCAGGTGTCATGGGACTGAGCTCGGAGGTCAAGCCTGCAGTGAGCTGTGATTGTGCCACTACACTCCCACCTGGATGACAGAGTGCTCTCTCATAGATAGATAGATAGATAGATAGATAGATAGATAGATAGATAGATAGAATTTTATTCCTAGTAGCCTCTTCCTACAGGCTTTCCAGGAGCTCCTGCCACCTCCATAGGACAGGCAGGGAGGTCTTCAGTGCTTCTGTTTGTGATCAAAGCCAAAGGGCACCATGCCCACTGCCTCAGACCTCCCCCAGCTCTCTGACCTACCCTGGGAGGGTCTGGTTTGACACTCTGTGGGGACTTCACCCCTTGGGAATCAACCGTCTTTTCCCTTTTGTAATCCATTTTCTTCTCAAAGATAGTTATCTGTACCTGCTTCCTTTTATTTTATTTTATTTTTCCTCCAGGAACCTATCATATTAGCCACCTGCCTACAGGAGAGAGTGAAAGGGATTGGATTTAGGAGGGAGAGGTGGACGGTATGTGGAAGTAAGAGAGAGACATGGTAAAGAAAATCCCAGGCCAGGCTGTGGCTCACGCCTGTAACCCCAGCGCTTTGGGAGGCCGAGTCGGGCTATCTTTTGAGCTCAGGAGTTCAAGATCATCCTGGCCAACATGGTGAAACCCCGTCTCTACTAAAATTACAAAAATTAGCCGGGTGTGGTGGCGTGCACCTGCACTCCCAGCTACTGAGGAGGCTGAGGTTGGAGAATCGCTTGAACCCGGAGGCGGAGGTTGCAGTGAGCCGAGATCGTGCCACTGCACTCCAGCCTGGGCGACAGAGGGAGGCTCTGTCTCAAAAAATAAATAAATAAAATAAAATAGAAAGAAAATCCCGCCCTGGCAGTTAGGGCAGCGGGTGCCTCCTGCCAGCAGATGGCAGCACCACACCACAGAACCACAAAACCTGATGAGCACTGAGCGGAGAGAAGGGGAGAAGCAACCCAAAGTGTAGGATGTTTGGAGTGGGAGTGCAGAGTTGACAGAGAAGCTGTAACAGGAATGCACAGCAGAAGAGCCAGCAGGGAGACTGCCAGATGCAGGGTCTAGACTCCAGAGTTCCATCCTGGGATGGAGTCTGCAGGATCTGGTCCATCCATGCTAGCATCCAGTCCTTATTTCACCTGCTATTTGGATGACTTTGGACAAGCCATTTCTCTGCCGTGAGCCTTAATTTTCTCACCTGTAAAAGGAAGCTGTCTCATCAGCTCAGGCTGCAGTAACAGAACGCCACAGGCCAGGTGGCTTAAACAACAGAAACTTATTGCCTTATGGTTCTGAAGGCTGGAAGTCCAAGATTAGGGTACCAGCATGTTAGGTTCTGGTTCCTCTCTTCCTGGGTTGCAGGCAGCTGCCTTCCTGTTATGTCCTCACATGGCCTTTCCTTTGTGCGCGTGAAAGGCAAAAGAAGGAGAGAGAGAGTGAGAGAGAGAGAGAGAGATCTGATGTCTATTCTCTTCTTATAAGGACACCAGTCCTGTAAGGATTAAGGCTCTACCCCTATGAGCTCAGTTCACCTTAATTAACTCTTTAAAGGCTCTGTGTCCAAATAGTCACACTGGGGTTAGGGCTTCAACATATAGATTTAGGGAGGACACAATTCAGTCAGTAATAGAAACTCACAAGAATACCTACTTGACAAGGTTGTTATGGGAGCACATAAAAACGTGTGAATAAGGTAACAAACCATATGGCTCTGACCACTCTACGCAGTGATTAGAAACCTGTTTCAAATTCCCTGAGACCTAGGGAAGAACAGAGCACTGTGCTTAGGAACAACCTTGTTTCTATCTTTTCTCATCTCCCAACTCACCTCAGGCAAGCCCAGGCTTTCCCTTCCTGGAATACAAGTTGCTCAGTATCCTATGCTTCTTCTTGACCATTATAGCAAAACTGCTTGAGACTAGACTTTAGGAAGGATTTCCTGGTGGGCAAGACAGTAAATTATCTCCTGTGTCTTCCCATTGGAGATCTAAAAACTCCAATGGGAAGAGGAAGCCATCTTGCTAAATCTTTCTACCATCTGGGCAACAATTGGTATTGATACAAAGGTAGAAGACCTTATTTAACTGGACTAAACCTCAAGAAGTCAAGCTAATCTCCTTAAACTAGAGGTCTGGGAAACACATTTGGAATCTGTAGGGTCTTCCTGGAAGGTTATGGGCAAGTCAGGTGTGGCTTGGGATGGATCTTCAATAAGAGGGTGGGGCTTGGTGCTTGCACCTGGATTTCCTTTCCCCCTTAACTTGACTCCTCTCTGGTGAGCAGGCCCAAATGCACTCCTCCTCCATCCCAACATAAGTGCCTCTCTCCACTTATGGTATCAGTTAGACTCTTGAGGAACCTTAGAGATGTGATCACCTGCTTCCACTGTCTTTGGGGCCTGGGGAACATGTGGGACAGAGAAGAGAGGCCATGGTGTGATGCTGAGGAAGTCAGCCTGACAGCCATCTTCATGAGCATCCTCCTATTATCACCATCATCAACAACAGCCCATGTTCATTTAACTCACTGTGGGAAAGGCTCTGGGCTAACTTTCATGGGACCATGTTCACTGGGGTCTGAGTCCTGGTGCTGAAGGAGCACCTAGTCTAGCCAGGGGAGCCGGCTAATCAATGGCATGTGTAATGTGCTTCATGTGTGCATGGTACTTTGCAAGTTTTCAAGAACTTCATGGAGGTCGTGAACGTAGCTGAAGTAGTGTAAGAAGGCTTCATGCAGAGATGGGCTTTGAGCTGAAAGCTGAATATTAAGTAGCAGTTAGACAAAAGAAGAGAAGGGCAGGCAGGCAGGAGGAGTGCCACGAGCAAATTCTTGGGGAGCGGGGGAGATATGTGAGATATCAGCCCCCGTGGCGCTGCTGAGATAAGTAATGAGTGATAAGACTGGGAAGGAATGGGGACAGTTCCTGGAGGATCTTGAATGTCAGGCTGGGGCATTCAGATTTCCCCACTAGGCCCCGGAGAGCTAGTGAAGCTGGAGTCTGTCCTCGCTCTGCCTGGAGCTAAGACCTAGCATTTTCAGACCATTCTCTTAATACCTATTTCCTTCCCTCACTGTCTCCCCAAAGGTTAGACTGGGGACTAAAATCCTCCTGTGCTGTAACATCAAGCTGACTTAGAGCAGACGGCCTTTCTACTGGGGCCTGCATCCAGAGGCCTCCACTTCCCCTCCCCTCCCCGGCCTTCACATTCCAATTCCCCGGCTGCGAACTCATGTGAGATCATAAGTCACAGTACCATAAACCACTCCAGAGTGTGTAATAAGTGAATTATTTACCAATGACCCTGGCTAAATGTTCACAGGGATAAATGATTAAGCCGCAGATCTGTCAAAAAGTTCCCATAAATAAGTAATTCTGTGCCGCCTTAATGGGCTTTGTAAATTACTCATTCATGCCACTGCTGGATCACTCTCTGGGGTAAATTCCTCACACCTGCTGATTTACTGCTGAGGTCTGCACACGGTGATACAAATTCTGCTAGCCAGCTGGGCAGACACCCCAGGTGCCAACCCACCTGGCTGAGCCCCCAGGGATGAGGATACCAGAAACAAAAAGTCTCCCGCGTCATCTGACAAAAATGTGGGGTCCAAGGTGGGCTGACCTTCTGGGCCACTTGGAGTTTGTCCTGCAGGGCAACACTGCAGTGTCAGAATCCTTCTCCTACAGGCATCCATTCAGTGAGCATGTACTTAGCATGTCCTGTGTCCTAGGCTCTGTGTTAGATGCTTAGACCCCAAAGACACAGAAGTGTGCTCCAATGGGCTTGGTCACGGGAATGAAAGAAGACTGGACATACAGTGTAACTGATGCCATAGCAGAGTGCTACTTGAGCCCACTGGGGGAATATCCAGGACAGCTGGAGAAATTGAGGAGATGGCAAAATATGGGGTTTGAGTTTCACTTTGTGCTAAAAAAGCCTCACTCCAATTCAGTCAAGATGGGCTGAGCCCTGTTGCTATGATAGTGAACAGCCCTACAATTTCAGTGGCTTACAACCACAAAGGTTTATTTCTCATTATGCAATCTGGAGGGTCAGTTGAGGGCTCTGTTCAACCCCATCATCATCCTCCCCCTAGGACCTGGGCTGATAGCACAACATCACCTAGGTTATTGCCAGTCGCTGTGACCAAGGGAAAAGAGAACATGGCAGAGCATAACTTGGTTCCTAAAACTTCTGGCCAGAAGTGACACTTCCACTCACATTTTATTGGCCAGACAAAGTCCCATAGTCATGCTTTAACTCAACTGAGACAGAAAATTCTAACCTGGGGAAAGAGAGAAAAAAAAAAGGATTTGTGAACAATCTTAATGACTACTCCACATGCAAATTCTGGTCCTGTGAATCTAGGAACTGCTGTGGACTGAATGCATGCATTCCCCAAAACTTTATTTGCTGAAGCCCTAATCCCCAATGTAATGGTATTTAGAGGTGGTGCCTTTGGGAGGTGATTAGGTCATAAGGGTGCATCCCTCATGAATGGGATTAGTGCCCTAAAATACACAAAAGAGATTCTCTCTCTCTCTCTCTCTCCACCATGTGAGGACACAGCAAGAGATCCAGCAAGAAGCTCAGAACCCATCTGCTGAAGCACAGAAGAGGGGTTCAGGACCCATCTGTTGAAGCTCAGAGAGTGGCTCAGGACCCCATCTGCTGAAGCTTAGAGAGCGGCTCAGGACCCCATCTTCTGAAGCTCAGAGAGGGGCTCAGGACCCCATCTGCTGAAGCTCAGAGAGGGGCTCAGGATCCCATCTTCTGAAGCTCAGAAGAGCGGCTCAGGACCCCATCTTCTGAAGCTCAGAAGAGCGGCTCAGGACACCATCTTCTGAAGCTCAGAGAGCGGCTCAGGACCCCATCTGCTGAAGCTCAGAGAGCGGCTCAGGACCCCATCTTCTGAAGCTCAGAAGAGCGGCTCAGGACCCCATCTGCTGGCACCCTGATTTTGGACTTTCAGTATCCAAAACTGTGAGAGATACATTTCTGATTTTTAAGCCATCCTGTCTATGGTATTTGTCATAGCAACCCAATCTAACCAAGAATCTAGTGTATATCTGTGGGCAGGTTCCTAAACTTATCTTTCGTTTTCTTCAGCTATGGAACGGGGTAAGAATAATAAGAACAACCTCTTAGAGGATTAAATGTGGTAATCTGTGTAATGCACTGAGCACCATGTCTGGCACATAGTAAGTGCTCAATCGCTCTGTTGGCCTTTGTTATTACCATTATTATTATCATTAGGTGTGACAGCAGCAGTAGTATCCTGTAGAAGTGGACCTCTGAAGTTGAGTATTGAAGAGCAGGTCACACCCACAAACACGTATGCACACTCACCTTTACTGGTTAACCTGGTCTGAGGTAACAACATCCTCTCCAATATCCCCTCTCCATCACCACCACCGACATCTTTAGTCAGAAGCAGGTGGCAGTGATGGACATTGCAGCAGGCCTGAGCTGCCACCATCTTCTCTCTTCTCTACACACATGGAGCGTTTGCCTCGCTCAGGTCACTCACCCACCTCAGGCCTCAGTTACTTCACTACAAAACCGGAGCAATAATACTATTTAATGACCCGAGAGCTGGGCCAGAGAGTCCTTCAACTTCCCCTTCCGTGCCAACGCCTTTGATTCTTTTCTCCAACTGTCATCACCCCCACTCCTTGTAGCCTTCCTGGACCATATCCCTGAACTGGTCCTACATGACTCATGGCCTGGGTTCCAGGTGGCCTGGAAAGAAGGGGAGGAGCTTCAGATGTGGCCTGAGTTTCCTCTGCCTCCCCAGAGGCCAAACAGACATCTGTTCCTGTGGCTGTCACGTCAGCACAAAATGTGTGCCAAGGGAACAGCAGGAAGAAGAGTGTGTAAATCGGCTGGTTTTCTGTGTGTGTTTCAAACTGCCTTGTAGAGGCACAGAGCCATTGTTGGGAGGAGATCCCTGAACGGTTGTTGACCACTGAGGCGCCCACCCTCCTTCATCAGCTTGCACAGGGGACTGTGAGGCTTAATAAGCTGATTGTCATTTAGATTATCAAGGGTACAATTCTGGGCCCACAGGTCACAGCTCTGCCTGCTCTGCCTGAGCAAGCCTGAGGAGGCTGGGAAGCTTTATGTTCCACTCTAGAAAAGAAGACATGATTTCCCATCTTTCATAATCAAACCAACTCATACTTATTCACAGCTTGGCAGGCTTTCAGCACTGTGTGAGCATCAGTCAACTCTTCATTCGATTCATTCCCTGGCAAGCCTCTGCCATGAGCAAGAGGCAGGTCCTAAGACATGTTTACTGTGCAGTCTGTGCCTTCTAGAATCGTACAGACTATTAGGGGAGATAAGACAGAGGTGCTGCAAAAAGATTGTGTAAAACAACAGGTATTGAATGTGGTGAGGGTCAATTGAAAAACAACAGCTCTCTGATGACAATCAGCAGACAAAGAAAAGACTTGTTACATCAGAAGCTTTCCTTACCCACTTTCCAGCCTGGTGGATGTGGTCTTAGCCTTGGATATGGCAGATGCTTTAGAAAGAGGTCAGGGTTCTGACCACTGAATCAGGGTGAACTGGACAGCTATGGAGGTGAGAAGAGTGCAGTAGGAGAGAGTAAGGATGATACTCACCGTGTAGGTCTGTGAGCCAGTTCGACTGTTTCTAGCACATTTATAGAAGCAAGGAGAGCTGGCCTGGTGGGACAGAGCATAAAGATGGGGAAACTGTGAGGCTTTTTGCTCCTCTCTTGTAAGATTTCTGATATTAAAATCAAAACAAATATTCATTGCAAACCTATTTATATGTGTCATGCACTGGGTTAGGGACTTTCATTCTGTTATTTAATTTTCTCCTCACCGCAGCCCTTTGGATATGTTTTACAATTCCTACTTCCCAGATTATTAAATTGAGGCTCAAAGAAGGAAATGATTCATACACTGGTTAAGTGTTGAGCCAGAATATACAGCCAGGTCTTCTAAAACCTGCCTCCAAATTTCCTCCCCTTGACCATCCTCCACTAGGTGGCCATAGTGAGCCACTTGAAACACCAAATCCCATCATATTGTTCCTTAGCCTACAATCCTGCAGTGGCTCCTGGTGTTGCCAGGACAAAGTCAAAACCCTGGGTATGGCATACAAGACCTTCTACATCCAGCTAATTACATTTTCAATCTCATATTCCATCTAATCCCTGCCTCACTGTCTGCACCCAATGATAAGAAATGCTATCATTTATTGAGCATCTACGATGTGCCAGACACTGTCCCAAGCACTTCACGTGAATTGATTTGTTTCCTTCTCATGACAACCCTATGAGGCAGACACTATGATATTCCCCACTTTATGACTGGGGAAACTGATTCACCTAGTGGTTTAGTAATGTGCCCAAGGTCACATATCTTGCAGAGAGTCTGGGAGTCACACCCAGGCAGTTCAGCTCTTGAAAAGAAATGCTGCTCTCTTTGTGATTTCCACACACAACAAGCTGTTTCAAGCTTCCATGATTTGATTTATATTCTCCCTTCTACTTGAAATACCATTCCCTTCTTTCTTCCCCTGGATAAAAATCACTTATCTTTCAAGACTTGGTTTAGGACTTATCTTTTCAAAGTATTTCTGTTAGTCCATTTCACATGGCTGTAAAGGAATGCCTGAGGCTGGGTAATATATAAAGAAAAGAGGCATATTTTGATTCATGGTTCTGCAGGCTGTATAAGAAGCATGTTACTGGCATCTGCTCCTGGTAAGACCCCAGGAACCTTCCAATCATGGTGGAAAGTAAAGGGGAAGTCAGTGTATCACATGGCAAGAGAAGGAGCAAGAGAGAGAGGGGAGATAGTGCCAGGCTTTTTTAAACAACCAGGTCTCATGTGAACTCACAGAGTGAGAACTCACTCATTGCCACAAGGACAGTATCATGCCATTGATGAAGGATCTGCCTTCATGACTGAAACACCTCCCACCAGGCCCACCTTCAACATTATAGGTCACATTTCACCATGAGATTTGGAGGGGACAGAACATCCAAATCATATCTTTCAGACCCTGGCTCCCTAAATTTCATGGTTTTCTCACATTGCAAAATACAACCATCTTTTCCCAATAGTCCCCAAAAGTCTTAGCTCATTCTAGCATCCACTCAATCAAAAGTCCAAAGTCTCATCTGAGACTCAAGGCAGGTTCCTTCTATTTATGAGTCTGTAAAACCAAAAACAACCTATTTACTTCCAAGATACAATGGTGATACCAGTATTGGGTAAACATTCCACTCTGAAAGGGAGATACCAGCCAAAAGAAAGGGACAACAGGCACCATGGAGTCTGAAACCCAGCAGGGCAATCCTTACCTCTTAAAGCTCCAAAACAATCTTTGACTCCATGTCCTGCATCCTGTGCACATTGATGCAAGAAGTGGGCTCTCAAGGCCTTGGACAGCTCCACCCCTGTGGTTTTACAGGGTGCAGCCCCTGTGGCTGCTCTCACAGGTTGGAGTTAAGTGTCTGTGGCTTTTTCAGATTCAGGGTGCATGCTGCCAGTGGCTCTCCCATTCATGGGTCTAGAGGACAGCGGCCTCCTTCCCACAGCTCCACTAGCCAGTGCCCTAATGCAAACTCTGTGTGGGGGCTCCAATCCCACATTTCCCCTTGGCACTGTCCTAGTAAAGTCTCTCTGTGGGGGTTCTGTCCCTGTGACAGGCTTCTGCCTGGGCACACAGGCTTTCTAATACATCCTCTGGAATCTAGGCGGGAGCTGGCAAAACTCCTTCATTCTTGCATTTTGCACACCTGCAGGCTTAACACCATGTGGAAGCTACCAAGTCTTATAGTGACACCCTCCAAAGCAGCAGCCTGAGCTGCATCTTGGCCCCTTTGAGCCAAGGCTGCAGCTTGAGTGACTAGGATGTGGGGAGCTGTATCCTCAGGCTACACAGAGTAGCAGGGCCCTGCACCTGGTGTCCAAAACCATTCTTTCCTCCTAGGCCTCTTGGCCTGTGATGGGAGGGCCTGCCTTAAAGATTTCAGAAATGCCTTTGAGACCTTTTTCCCATTGTCTTGGATATTAGCACTTGATTCCCTTTTAGTCATGCTAATCCCTCTAGCAAGTGCTTGCTCCACAGCCAGCTTGTGTTCCTCTTCTGAAAATGCTCTTTCCTTCTCTACCATCCAGGGTTGTAAGTTTGCAGAAGTTTTATGCTCTGCTTCCCTTTTAATTATAACTTCTAATTTTAAGTCATTATTTTGTTCTCACATCTGATAATAGGCTGTTAGAAGCAGCCATGTGCATCTTGAATGCTTTGCTGCTTAGAAATTCTGCCAGATACCCTAGGTCATCAGTCTTAAGTTCAACCTTCCCTAGCTCCTGGGCCCAGACACAATGCAGCCAAGTTCTTTAAGGCATAACAAGGATGACCTTTGTTCTAATTCTCAATAAATTCCTTATCCCCATGAGACCTCATCAGCCTGGCCTTCACTGGCCATATTTCTATCAGCATTTTGGTCAAAACCACTTAACAAATCTCTAAGAAGTTCCAAATCCCTCTCATCTTCCTGTCTTCTTCTTAGCCCTCAAGCTCTTCCAACCTCTGCCTGTTACCCAGTTCCAAAACTGCTTCCACATTTTCAGGTATCTTTATAGCAATGTCCTACTTTTTGGTACCAATTTTTTTGTTAGTCCATTTTCCATTGCTATGAAGAAATACCTGAGGCTGGGTAATTCATAAAGAAAAGAGGTGTCTTTTGGCTCACAGTTCTGTAGGCTGTATAAGAAACATGGTGGCAGCAACTGCTCCTGGTAAGGCCTCGAGAATCTTCCAATCATGGTGGAAGGCAAAGTGGGAGCCAGTGTATCACATGGCAAGAAAGGGAGCAAGATAGAAGGGAGGAGGTGCCGGGTTCTTTGAAACAACCAGATGTCAGGTAAACTAATAGAATGAGAGCTCACTCATTACTGCAAGGACAGCACCAAGACATTCATGAGGGATCCATTCCCAAGACTCAAACACCTCCCACTAGGCCCACCTCCAACATTTCTTTCTTTCTTTTTTTTTTTTTTTTTGAGACAGAGTCTTGCCCTGTCACCCAGGCTGGAGTACAGTGGCATGATCTTGGCTCACTGCAACTTCCACCTCTTGGGTTCAAGTGATTCTCCTCCCTCAGCCTCCTGAGTAGTTGGGACTACAGGCACACGCCACCATGCCCAGCTAATTTTTTTGTATTTTTAGTAGAGATGGGATTTCACCATGTTGCCTAGGCTGGTCTAGATCCCTCAACCTTGTGATCTGCCTGACTCAGCCTCCCAAAGTGCTGGGGTTACAGGCATGAGCCACCACACCCGGCCTCTAACATTTCAACATAAGATTCCGATGGAGCAAAACATCCAAATTAGGCTAGAGTTTCAATTCTCTCTGGGGTGCATTGGTACAGACCCCTGTAAACAGCTCTATGTCATCTCTTCTGCCCATGGGTCTGTCTCCCGCTAGACTTAATGGCAACTTGAGAACAGACCATACCATATTCATCCTTATTTCTCCAATCTTAAAGAAAAAATCTTGACCCCACTTCCCTCTGTAGTTACCACCCATTTATTTCCTTCTTTATACAGCATAATGTCTCACACCATTGTCCATACTCATTGTTCCTCATGTGTTTCCTCACATTCTTTTTTGAACCCACTTCAGGCAGGCCTTAGCCCCCACTACCCCACCAGGAAGGTTGCAGTCTTTGACACAGCTGACCACTCTTTCCCCCTTGAAATTCTTTATCTCCTTGGTTTCCAGGACACCACCCTCCCCTGAGTTTGTCTCCACTCTCCTTCAATGTCTCCTTTGCTGGTTCCTTCTTGTTTCCCTGACCTCTAAAGATTGGAGCGCCCCCAATTTCAATCTCTGGACCTCTTCTCTTTTCTTATCCACACTCACTCACATCTTAGGTGATCTCATTCAGTCTCATGGCTTTAAATACCATCTATATGCTAATGACTCCCAAATTTATAACTTCTGCTCAGAATATTCTTTCCTGAATTCTACATTCTGTTATCCAACTATATAGTAGCACTCTCCACTAGGGTGTCTAAGAGATACCTGAAACTTAACATGTCAAAAAACAAGTTCCTGTTCTTTCCTCATGCCCCTCACCTGCTCCTACTGCTTTCTTTTCTGTCGCAACAGATGACACTGCCTTCATCCTTCCAGTTGTGCAGGCTGAGATCCCAGGCATCATCCTCGACTTTGCTCTTCCCATACCTCATGTCTAATCATCAATAAATCATGTCCATACTGTCTTCAAGAGAAATCCAGACCCCAGCTCTCATCCTAACCCAAGCCACTCTTCACGGATGGTTGAGCAGTCCCCCCCATGGCTCTCTGCCTTTGCCCCTTTCCCTTTGCCCTCTATCCTTGACATGGCAGCCAAAGTGTTCCTGTAAAAGCATAAGTCAGGCCATATCGTGATCATCCCTCTGCTCAAACCTTCCATTGGTAGCACATCTTATTGATATTAAAAGCCCAGAGTCGGCTGGGAGCAGTGGCTCACTCCTATAATCCCAGCACTTTGGGAGGCCGAGGCAGGTGGATGACCTGAGGTCAGGAGTTAAAGACTAGCCTGGCCAACATGGTGAAACCCCGTCTCTACTACAAATACAAAAATTAGCCAGGTGTAGTGACATGTGCCTGTAATCCCAGCTATTCAGGAGGTTGAGGCATGAGAATCGCTTGAACCCAGGGGGCGGAGGTTGCATGAGTGGAGATGGTGCCACTGCACTCCAGCCTGGGCAACAGAGCGAGATTTCATCTTAAAAAAAAAAAAAAAAGAAAAAAAGAAAGAAAGAAAAAGAAAAGCCCAGATCTCTACAGTGACCTCTATGGCTGCTAATTGCCGTTCTAACCACTGCCTTTCTGATCATTTACTATTCTCCTCACCCTCTGGGCTTGAGACATCTCCTGGTCTTTGCTGTTACTCAAACACATTAAATGTGCTCCTACTTCACAGACTTCACATTTGCTGTGGCCTCTCTAGAATACTTTCTCCAGATTTCTGGATGTCTAACTCCCTCACGTCCTTTAAGTTGTTATTAAATGTCACCTTTTCAGTGAGGCTTTTCCTGGTAAACCCTTCCCACCTCCCAATATGTTCTTTCCCCACTTTCTTCTTAGTCCCCTTAGTACTTAATATTACCTAACATAGTATGCATTTTACTTATTTATAATATTAACTGTTTATTTCCCTTTCATAAAGTCAGAGATTTGGGGGATTCTGCTTTTATCACTGCTGTTTCTTCCGTGCCTAGCACAATACTGAGCACGTAGTAGGCACTCAATAAGTGAATGAATGAATGAATCTTTGTGGCTTTACACGTACCTCCTTTGTAAACATTTGTTGAACTGAACAAATTCTCCAAAGTCCACCACAGAGTGGTGTTTCTTTATTGGCAGCAAGCACTGCAAATTTTCCAAGCATCAGACGCTACTCCATTCACATGTAAATACAGAAACATAGCCCCTAGCCAGAGAGAAATTGCTTCTGTGTTCTCTCTTATATGTTGATTGCCTAGGCCTCTGTCCCATCCATCAGAGAGAAGAACAGACAGTTGACTGGAATGTGGTTCACTTACAAATAGAAGAAATGACTGGAAAACCAGCTACTTGATGAGCAAAGTTCTGGAAAATGCTCTGTTCAGAAGGAGAGAGGCAGTTTCTTGCTCACCTGGGAGGAAATTTTTGGTTTATTGTGTTTCTCTCCAAAGTTATAGCTTTCCAATCCTGCCAGAAGCCACCAAGGGAGCACTGCCTTTCAGAGTGGGGCTTCCAATTCTGAAAAATTAATTTTAAATAGAGACACATTACACCTCCCCACAGAACACTTAGCAAGAAAGTGCTACTTAGACTGGGCTTGGCTGCCAAGACTGCTCAAGCTGGGGTACTGATGGTAGGTGGCTCTTTGTCCCCTAGCCCATCCCCATAGGCCCAGCCCTGGCCTGGCTCCCAGCTCCTCCTCCCTTCCTGAATGTATACCCACAGTTCTGCCTTCTCTTTTGCCCCTCATCAGTGATTTAAATTCCACGAACATTTATTAAATGTCTGCTTTTTTGCCTTGCACTGTGCTAGGTACAGGGAAAGAGTACGAAGCAGAATGAATGTTTCATCATTTCATTCATTAGCACTGAAAAAGATACATTTTAGAGGCTGGGCATAGTAGCTCATGCCTGTAATCCCAGCACATTGGGAGGCCAAGGCGGGAGGATCACTTAAGGTCAGGGGTTCGAGACCAGCCTAGCCAAGAGAGTGAAACTCCATCTCTACTAAAAATACAAAAATTATCCGGGTGTGGTAGTGCCCACCTGTAGTCCCAGCTACTTGGGAGGCTGAGACAGGAGAACCTGGGAGGTGGAGGTTGCAGTGAGCTGAGATCATATCACCACTTCCCCTTTCTCCCTACATAATGAGTTCTAGACCACCGGGCTACTTATTGCCTACCTCCCCTCTCCCCATTACCATATTCCAGCTTCCACATCTTTCTTTCTGCCCAAATTTTTGACCTACAAAACTGTGAGCAAGTAAATGTATATTGTTTTAAGCTGTTATATTTGTGACATTTTGTTACACAGCAGTGATAACTACTACAAACAGGAAAAAAAAATTGGCCTTTAAGGTTTACTTCTAATCTTAGCCCTTTAACTCAGTGATATCACCAGTCCCAGAGATCTTGAACCAGTAAAGCAGTATCCAAGAAATGTGCCTGGTCTGAGTTTCCGTAGGATCTTTTTCATATAGAAGACTCCTCAGAGCAGAGCAGCCATATCTTTCCCATCAATTTGAAACACCCAATGCCAGAGACCACATCTCCTGTACTTTTGGATCCTTTCTGCTGTCCCTTCTGCCTTCCCCTCAGGCCCTGATATTTCCCAGGTGTTAGGAAGCCTTGGTGGATTAAAGTTTTCAAGATACTCCTCTTAAGAGGACAGGCATAGGAAACAACCCAAGTGTCTGTCTATCGGGGATTGTTTAAATAAATCATTTTACATCCACATATTGAAATACTATGCAGTTATTACAGAAAAAAAGTGAAGCCATCTGTATAGATATGGGGAAACCTCCTGGATATATGGTTAAGTGAAAAATGCAAAGGGTAAATCAGTGAATACTAGCATTTGTATAAGAAAGGAGGAATATACATATATGCATTTGCATGGGCTTCTATTTGCATAAAGAAACACTGGGAAGACACAGCAGAAGCTAATTAAACCTACTCCCTGTAAGGGGTGGGGTTGGAGAAGAAACGGGGCAGGTGGAGGTGGTAAGAAGAAGACTCCTCTATGTTTTCAGTTTTGTGTCATTTTTTGGAAACTTTGAACTAGTCAAAATATATTATTTAAAGGCACTGAAACACTGGGGGCGGGAGGGGGACGGGAAGAGATTTCTAAAGGACCAAAGAAACTGAAGAGCTATGATTCTACAATAGGCAGCCCCCACATCACAGAGTAAGAAGCCAGAGGCCAGCTTTGCTCTTAGGAGCAGGAAGTTGGTAACCCTATGTGCTAGGTTATACTTGCCAGCTTACTTGGGCCTGTGTGGCCAGGTAGTTCTGAGAGGGCCTGAATGTGGAGGGAAAAGTGGAAAAGGTGTTAGGGTGTGTTGGTGCATGTCACAGCATCCAGTCTAAGGAAATCCTATGACCTGCAGGATTTGGTGGCAGAATGTCTAGACATATAAGGCGTTATGGGCTGAATTGGGTCTCCCAGAATTCATATGTTGAAGTCCTAACCCCAGTATCTCAGAATTGACTATATTTGGGGATAGAGTCTTTAAGTTAAAATGAGGTCATTAAAGTGGGTCCTAATCTAACTGATGTTCTTATAAGAAGAGGAAATTAGGACACAGGTATGCATAGAGGGAAGAACGTGTGAGGACACAGCGAGAAGAGGCTGTCTATAAGTCAAGGAGGCCTCAGAAGGAACTAGCCCTGCCAACACCTTGACCTGGAACTTCCAGCCTCCAGAGCTAGGGGAAAATCAACTTTTTTGTTTGTTTGTTTGTTTTTGTTTTTTTGAGACAGAGTCTTGCTCTGTCACCCAGGCTGGTGTGCAATGACATGCGTGAGCCGCGCCTGGCCCCGAGCTCCTCTTTTCAAAGCACCCACCCTTTTCATTTTGTCACAGGATCCCCTGAGCTGTGCTTCCCCAGTGCCATCCCAATACCACCCACCTCTGTCCTCCAAGCTCACCCCTTTCCTAGCAGAGCAATTTCCACTGCCTTCCAGTTCCCTTCTGCATTATAATAATTTTCTAGGGCTATGAGAACAAAGTAGCACAAACTGGGTAGCTTAAACAACAGTAGTGGCTGGGCGTGGTGGCTCATGCCTGTAATCCCAGCAATTTGGGAGGCCAAGGCAGGTGGATCACCTGAGGTCAGGAGTTCAAGACCAGCCTGGCCAACGTGGTGAAACCCCTGTCTCTACTAAACATACAAAAAATTAGCTGGGCATGGTGGTGGGTGCGTGTAATCCCTGCTACTTGGGAGGCTGAGGCAGGACAATTACTTGAACCCTGGAGGTGGAGGTTGCAGTGAGCTGAGATGGCGCCACTGCACTCCAGCCTGGCGACAGAGGGAGACTTCGTCTCAAGAAAAAAAAAAAAAAAGAGGAGCTAGGAACTTTGTGTATGAAGGGGGGTTGCAGAAGACAGAAAGTTTCATTTCTCTCCCTTAAAATCTCATTTTCCCCTGGGCCAGCCCATTTTCCCCAGGGCCACACTCTCAATGTGCCTCTGTTCTGTTCAGGGAGCAGAAGGTTTGGCTCCAAGGAGAGTGTAGAACTGCCCCCGCCCCTCCCCGCCATCTGACAGCCCATTGTGTCCACAGAGTTGGGTGGAGTGATTCCGAGGGGAAAAATTCCCTCCTGCTCCGGGAAGTCCACTGGGTCCCCCGGCTCCTCGGTGCTAACTGGGGGCAAGGGGTGGGCGGCTCTGAGGCTGGAGAGGGGCAACAGTCTGGGGGCTGCAGGCCAGGGATTTGCAGCGGCCTCAGCTGGCGGGGCCTCCTCCCCTGCTTTCGCCACCCGGCGCCTCGCCCCTCGACCCCGCGGCAGCTGGGCCCGGGCGCTCTGCTTCCCTCGGCCCTTTGTGGCTCTAGTTTATTTTCCAGTTAATGAAATGGGAGACTGAGTCCCTGCCGCTGCCCCTGGAGACGCCGGAGTTCTGAAGGCATCTCCTCCGCGAGACTCCAGCCTGCTTCCCTGTCCCCTTCCGCCGCCCCAGGCTGCCGTTGGGTCACACCTGCCGAGCATCCGCTCCACACAGGGCCTCAGTCCGCCGGCAGGGAGCGACTGCGATAGGGCCTGGGCCGAGGCCGGTGTTTGCTGGTGTGGGAGGGAAAGCCCTGCGGCCTGGAGGTCTAACTCTGCCATTTGCCCGCTGTGCATCGCCCAGCAAGTCACTCAACACCTCTGAGCCTTTGCTGCACCCTCTGTAAGACATGCCTAGTAAGTGGGACATTGCTCTTCCTTCTGGAGTCAGGGAAGATGAGGGAGACAGATAGAGGAAACAAGCTTTGCAGCCTCCCAGCTGAATAACCGTGGGCAAGTTACCTAGCATTTCTGGGACTTCAGTTCCTTCACATGTAAAATGGAGACAACATAGTCATAGAGGAGTAAATGAGAGAACTCATGTAAAGCCTTGGGACAGTGCTGATGCATAGCAAACTGTCAGGAAAGGTGAAACCATTGTTGTTATTGTAGTTATTATTATTATTATTATTCAACACTACCTTAATAAAATACCAATGCTGGCCGGGCGCGGTGGCTCAAGCCTGTAATCCCAGCACTCTGGGAGGCCGAGGCGGGCAGATCACGAGGTCAGGAGATTGAGACCATCCTGGCTAACACGATGAAATCCCATCTCTACTAAAAACACAAAAAATTAGCTGGGCGTGGTGGCACGCACCTGTAATCCCAGCTACTCGAGAGGCTGAGGCAGGAGAATCGCTTGAACTTGGGAGGCAGAGGTTGCAGTGAGCCGAGATTGCACTCCAGCCTGGGCGACAGAGTGAGACTCCATCAAAAAAAAAAAAAGAAAAAAACAAACAAAAAAACCCAATGCTGTGGACAAAGTTGAATCCAATTTTATGGGGCCTGAAACTTACACTGGTTGGAGGGAGGGTCTCCCATAAAGGAAAAAAAGATAAAAGTATAAATGCAAAATTAGATACATACTTGAAAATTTATTTTTAAAATGCGAAGAGGAATCATAACAAGTTGCAAATTAAAGAGTTGGCAAATCAAAAATCATTTAGAATCCAGAAAAATAACATAGTAATTTATATTAATTAACTGCCTAGCACATTTACATAGTATTTTTTTACTTTTTCTGGCAGCATGCTCTTTGATGGATTCTTCATAATGATTTTGTCATTTTTTTATAGAGAGAGCAGAAAGATAATTTAGTTTTCCTCTAGCATGTTTGATGAAAATTTTTATTATTATTATTATTGATAGTATGTAAAAATGTGTTTCAACGTTAAAATTTTGTGAGGCCGGGCGCGGTGGCTCACACCTGTAATCCCAGCACTTTGGGAGGCCAAGGCGGGCAGATCATGACGTCAGGAGTTCAAGTCCAACTTGGCGAACATGGTGAACCCCATCTCTACTAAAAATACAAAAAAAATTAGCCAGGTGTGATGACACACACCTGTAATCCCAGCTACTGGGGAGTCTGAGGCAGGAGTATCACTTGAACCCAGGAAGCAGAGGTTGCCATGAGCCAAGATCATGCCACTGCACTCCAGCCTGGGCGACAGAGCAAGACTCCATTTAGAGAAAAATAAATAAACAAATAAATAAAAATTGCTCTTGGTAATACCACATATAATTTTAGGGTAGGCCAGGAATGGTGGCTCACACCTGCAATCCCAGAATTTTGGGAGGCTGAGGCGGGAGGATCACTTGAGCCCAGTAGTTTAAGGCTGCAGTGAACTGTGATTGTGCCGCTGCGCTCTATCCTGGACAATAGCAAGACTCTGTTTCTATTAAGAAAAAAAGAAATTAGGATTGTCAGATTTGAAAAAGAAAGCTATGCAAATTTTTTTTCATAATAGAGCTGTAAGATTTCAGGACAGTTCAGTCTTTCTTTTGTAGTAACTAATCTTAAATACTTGTTATAAAGGATAATAGTCAGTCAGTTTGTCCTAGATGTAGTGGTCTATTATGAAGTTTATGAATGTTATTTTTATCAACCCACCAAGAAATTTAGAACTTTTTGCAGTGTATTCCTATGAATTACTCTTCTTCATTAATTGAATTATTAAACAATCCAAGATCTTATTAGAAATCTATCTCTTCCTCTTACTGCAGTATCTCTTTGAGGATAATCTGAGTTTTATGTTACAATTCACTTCTTAATGTCAGAATAATTTCTATCTAACAATTTTATATAAAAATCAATGGGGAACATTTTTGTATGGTATGTTTATAATTGTATATCCCACCTTATTAAACATATTCCTGAGGGGAAAAACTTCCATTTTGATAAAGCACCAGTGAGAACCCAATCCACTGCTTGCAATGTTACATGACTAGTGATTAGGAGAATTTTCCATGGACTGGCTTCTGGCTTCATACAGTTCAAATACTACTTCCAGGTCCAGGCACTAGAGGACATGTTCTTGCTACCATGACCCTCAGGTTCTGAATCTTTATGTCATGATGATACCTGAATCAGTCAGCTCAATGGCTGTAGGAATATTCCTGGAAGCCATTCCTATACCAGAAGTTAGCAACAACTATACATGCAGGTGATCATGGGCCACATCACATACCCCTTTAATCAAACCTAAATGTAGGCTGGGCGAAGTGGCTCAAGCCAGCATTTTGGGAGACCGAGATGGGTGGATCACTTGAGGTCAGGAATTCAAGACCAGCTTGGCCAACATGGTGAAACCCCGTCTCTACTAAAAATACAAAAATTAGCCAGGTATGGTGGCACACTCCTGTAATCCCAGCTACTTGGAGAATTGCTTGGAGAATCCCAGCTACAGGAGAATTGCTTGAACCTGGCAAGTGGAGGTTGCAGTGAGCCGAGATCGCACCATTGCACTCCAGCCTGGGCAACAAGAGCAAAACTCTGTCAAAGAAAGAAAGAAAGAAAGAAAGAGAGAGAGAGAGAGGGAGGAAGGAAGGAAGGAAGGAAGGAAGGAAGGAAGGAAGGAAGGAAGGAAGGAAGGAAGGAAGGAAGGAAGAAAAAAAACCTAAATGTATTTTCAACTCAATTTCCACTTAGGCAGACCCCCAAAACACCCATGGTTCCTTCCCCACCTAATATGAGGGGAGGGGGGGCAGAGAGAAAATTATAATGGAAAGAGACATCAGACTTAATGAACTGTAGTTACAATATCTTACTCTTGCATCTTTTATGCAGAACCACGTGAACATACTAGCAGGGTGCCTCCCAGGGCCTTAGGAGGGCCCTGAATGAGTGAGCTTCATTAACTTTATGATAAGTCTGCCTCCGGTTGTAGACTCCATAATTTCAAGGGCTGTAGAGGTCTCTCTAGTACACCTCCAAAATGCCTCCTTATCAAGTATAAGGGTGTCTATAATTACACTGTCAGAAATGTATTCCCTTGGTTACAGCATTGTGCCAATGCTAGCTCTCTTATAAAATACGCTTTGGTAGGGGGTATGAGGGGAGGCAGGATAGGGAGTTCCTCACATTTTAGTATGAATGCATTCACCAGGAGATGTTTAGAACTGTAGGAGAATTCTCACGGTTGTAGAATAAAGTATCAAGAAAGAGAGACCGTATCACCAAAGGCAAACTTTCTTTACTTCACATTTTGTGTGTAAAGTGGATGTGCTGCGTCCTACAGCCAAATATGGGATTACAAGTGGCCTATGTGAGGAGATAGAGTGAAAGAGAACCCATCTAGCATACAGCATTATTTTTAGTCACTTTTCAATTATGAGCAATAATAGAAAATAATTATTAATAGTATTAATAGCAATTTCTCAACAAAATCACTTTGCTTGGTAAGTATTTTGGATTTTATTGAGTGCTTTAAGCTGCGTGTTGGTGACTTAGTTCAGGCTGAATTGGAGAGACATAATTTTTCTAACTTCCTTTGGCTTGCTTCCCCCGCTGCCCTCTGTCCACACTGCCCAACCTCAGCTTAAGAGATCCTGACTCAGGGACCAGCCTAGCTGAACTCTCCCTACACCTACCCCATCCACCTTGGGTGATTTCCAGGCCACACTTTCCATGAGCTGAGCACTTGGTGATGTGTTTGTGAGAAGGAGAATCTCAGTCCACCTTGCTTCTCTCTCCATTTAGACTCTAAACAGAGGTAGGGGTAAAATCATCTAAGAAAATCCAGGGTCAGAGGAGTGGAGACTGAAGAGGAGAGCCCTTGTTGTGAGCAGCGAGCGGCTGGCAGGTGAGTGTTTATCTCTCTCTGAGCTGACTCTGAGCTTTCTTTTCCCTATGTAAATGAAGCAAGGGAGGTGAAGGCCCCCAGAATACAGACAGGGCCTGGGCTGCCTTTTTCATAGCAGTCATTCTCTGAAAAGTTTCTTCAAAAACTCCACTTTGATAACCCCAGTGCCTGAGCGAGCCGCATTGGAACTCTCTGTGAAGAGGCAGGCTCTCAGCTGGCTGTGTGCAGTGTCTTTGAGAAGAGAATACAAACCCTGGGATATTGGATAGAAATTAGGCTGTGGAACACACAGCCCAAGGTCTCCAGGAATAGAAGAAACATGATGGAGTTTGACACACTGGGTGAGCATCCTGTGGTCACATTCACATACTGTGTGCCTTTGGGCAAGCTGCTTAACCTCTCTCTGCCACAATTCCCCTATACAGAAGTGGGAATGATAATGCCTATCTTGTCATTGTGAAGATTGAAACTAATGCCCATAGCATGTTCAGCATAGTGTCAGACATGTTGGAGATGCTCAAGGAGGACTGGGTTGGCAGGAGGGACAGATATTTGGTTGAAAAAATGTGCCCTGAGCTTCCTCCCTGTGACAGGTCCTGAGCAAACCCTTAGGGAGGAACTAAGATGTGTGGGGAAGGCTTTCAAAGTTTAAGGAGGAAACAAGCTATGTAAATACATGACTGTAATAGTAAACAGGTGGCCTCCAGGAGTGGAGAGTCAGTGGCTTTGGAAAGAGAGAACTAAAAGTCATGCCCTCACATCAGGCAGCTCAGGGAGAATGTCGTGTCTGGGTTGGGACTTGAAGGAGGAGTTTTGACCAGAGATTATGGTAGAAAAATACATCACGTAAAGGGGAAAGCATGAACAAAGAAGTAAGGGAGTAAAAACCTGAAGACTTCAGAGAAGAACTAATACGTTGGAGATTAGGATCCATGTGACATACGTGAATAAAGCTGGAAGGTAACAAAGCTGTCCATGAAGCTAGAAGGTAAGTTAAGGCCAGAGGGTTTGCGTGTCTTGAATGCGCAGCTTAAACGTTCAGAATTCTCCAAAAAGCAAAGAACCATTGCACGTTGTTGAATACATATTTTGGAGGAATGGCTCCGCTTTTCAGAGTAGCCAAGTATCCCCAGAGCAGGTGCCTGGCCCAGCCATCCTGTTTCATCAGAAGAACAAGGAATGTGGCCACCACTGAACAGGGAAATGAGGGAGGGCAGGCAGGGAGAAGTACTAGTGAGTTACACCGTTATAAATACACTTTAGGGCTGTGTGAGTTGGCCATAAATCGCTGCACTGTGCTCAGGTGATGTCACCCGACGCTCGGCTGTATTTATAGCTTTGTTCACTGTTCCCTGGGATTTTTTTTCTTGGCACATTCGAGGTAATATGTGTCTCGCCCCCACACACTCATCCTGAACAACAGAAGATAAACTTTTATGCCACTTCTGCTCATCTTCTCCCAGCTCCTTGGAAGGATGATTTCCTGGACTTACCAAGTGCCTGCTTAGTTGGGAATATCCTCTTGCAGTTCAATTGCTAGCCCCCTGGCTTTGTACTCTGAAATGGAGCTCAGCCTCCTCTCTACTCCAGTAAATCCTTTGTGGAACTCAGAATCAGAAATATCTCCCTTTTTGCCAGGCACTCTGGTAACAACAGTGAACAACACCAGTACAGGCTCTACCTGCACAGGGCTTATGATCAAGCATGGAAAACAGACATTGAATACTTAATTAGAAGGGAGATGAATGTTACTAGTGGAAATAGAAGGTGCTTGAAGGCAATAACAAGGTGATCTAGCTTGTCTGGAGGAATTAGAGAGGCTTCCATGGAGAAGTGACATTTAGTGTGAGGTCTGAGGGATGAGTAGGACTTAGCTTAAGGGGCGAGGTTGGGATAGACCCTGGGCGGAAAGAACATTGCAGGCAAGAGAACCCCATGTGCCGAGACCCCAAACAATGAGAGAAATATGGCCAGTCCCTAGAACTTAGAGAAGCCAGGTGGAGTTGGAGTGTAAAGGATAAGAAGGGGAGTGGAGAGCAGTGGGGTTGGGAGGGAAGGCCAACGTACCCCAGGCAGGCTCTAGGAACCAACGGGAAGGTGCTGTATCTGATCCTAAGGGCAATGAGAGCCCCAATCAGTTTTAAGCAGGAGAGTAATGTGGTCAAATTTGAGCTGGAGAAAAATTATTAGGCTTGGGCTCATGCAGAAAGGCCTTGCTGGTGTTGAGGCAGGAGATAATACACATGGAGCAGGCTGGTGACAATGAAGATGGATGCAAATTAGGCCACTACCTGAGAAAGCCAATCCACAGGATTTGGAGACTGTTTGAATGTGAATGGGGATGGAGAAAGTATGTACTCGCAGATGTCTGGTCTGAACAATAGGATGGAGGTTGGTGCCATTCTTGAAAGAGGACTGCTGAAGGAGTAGCCAGGGTTGGTTGTTGCTTCATTTTGTTTTTTACTTGGGGGACAACATTTTCCTCTGAATTTGCTTTCCTCTGGATCTATTCCCAAAGCCTAGACTAGGGCTTTGCATGAGGAGGACCTATGGATGGGGGAAGCATTGAGGCTCATGGCTAAGGGCTAGTAGAAAAGGGGAAACTGCCAATGCCTGCAAGAGGTGACTTGGTACCAGGACCTGTTTGCTGGCTGTATCTTGGAAGCTGGAACAGAAGCACTGGAGAGATAGTAAACCAACATTCTCCATCTGTCCATTTAGGAAATGCCACCTGAGCCAGCAGCCAGACCCTGCCTGGCAGGTACCACGAGGCCTGTTCCCTGGCACAGAAGCCAGAAAGCCAGTGGAAGTAGAGAGGAGTTCCATTGTCCTGGAGCTTGGCTGTCACAGGTAGGAAGGCACCAAGTCAGGTGAAAGGAGTGGGAGTCAGAAAATTGGTCCCCAACTCTGGACCTGGGGAAGAATCTTGGCTCTGGTTCCTTGAGAGGAAATGAGCCAAAGTTTCCAGAAGTAGTTCTCAAACACAGAGAATTTACAGAATACCCTATGGGCCCTGATGGAACCCACTAAAAGGCATCCCCAGGGAATATCTCATAACTCAATATTAGAGACAAAGAATATTACAGTACCATGGGGGCATCAGAGTTAGCAGGAAATTGAGGCCAGAGAGGGGAGCTATCTAATCTAAAGCCACACTCAGACTCTAAAGATCCTGAATCTCCATTTCTAGGAAACTTTTCTTGATGCCTGCAAGCTGAGTTGAGTAACTTCTGTTTTGCACTAAAAAAAAAAGCATTTTTCTATATGCACTTCCCACCTCTGTTGTAATTATCTGTCTGTATTTACCACTAGACAATGAGCTTTTGGAAAACAAGGGGGTGTGCTTCATTCTTCTTTATATCCCACGTGCTTCACCCAGTGCCTGGCAGAGAGTGAGCTTTTAATACATGTTTGTGGGATGAATAGACGAATGAATTGGGTGAATGGTCTAATTACTTAATTAATCTCAACCAAAACCCTTAGCAAATCTCTACTGGGGGTTATAACGGTTGGAGTGACATTGTTAAGAGTTGTGCTTTAAGTTAACGGGCTCTCTTATAGTTAAGGTTAAGTAAACTTAGCCCTTATATTTCCGCTCATATGAACCTTATTTAATTTCACTCTTCAACTGCCATGATGTTCAGTGTCCTTAATAGAACTTCAGGCCATAATCCTAGCTGCAAACTCAATCTCATCTCTAGCTTGGATGAAAACATAAACCATAACCCTCTAAACCAGTTCTGATACTAAATGAATCTAATGAATGGGTGGTTTTAGGTGTTCAAGGAAGCACTGGGGAATGTTAAAGGCCAAGAAACTCTGGGCTTGGGGACAGAATCCAAGAAAACTAAAACCAAGAGCCAAAGGAAGATGAGAGACTTCTCCCTTTTCCTCAGTATCCCTTGCTTCCTGCTCACTTTATTCTCTGATTTCCAGACCCCTTACAGAAGACTACAGCCACATAATGGTCAGAGCCGTTTAGGTATCAGGAGTGTCTTTGCTGATAAAAGCATTTGGAATGAGACTGGGGTGCAAGGGTGGGAAAGATGGAGTTAGTGAGATACATAGGTGAATCCTGGCCTGAGAGGCCTGGGTTCTAGTCCCAGGTCTACTGTGCCTTCCCTTGCGACCTTTGACAGACCATTTTGCCACTCTAAGGGAAATGAACTTCATGCTGTCTCCAGTTGTGCAGCTTCCCATTTGAGTTATTAATTCATTATTACTGTCTCCATTTTTTCCAAAAAGTCTATTTCCCACTGCCCTCCCCCCCACACACGTACCCACTCCCCATCTCAACGCCTCTGCGCAGAGTTGCTGAATGCTAACACTCTTCTTTTTTCTGAACAGGTCTCCTGAACCAGGCTACTCATTGGAAGCAGGGATCTTCCAATCCCCGTGACTCAGGCAATGAGACATCCATTAAGCCTAATAAGAGATAACTGGTTCATTTAGTACAAATTGCCCTCCCCCCGACACTTCCCCTGCCCTATTGGAGCTGGAATATGAAGCAATGGAAGGGGAAGGGCTGAAAATGGGTGGTGTGGAATGGATCCCAGTCATTCGCAGGCAATGCTGGCACACGGTGGATATATACACCGGGAACCCGTCTTTGCCAAGGTCATTCTTTCTAAGCCCCTGCCTCTGAGCAACTTCAACCCACCCAAAACATTTCTCCCTAAATATTTTGGATACTTCTCAGTAGACAGTCCTTTATGGTGGCTAGCCTCTGGTCTTTCTCCTTCAATAGCAGCACTGCTTCCTAAGTGTCCTCTGACACCCATGCCCCATCCATGGAGCCTGACCTCCTTCGTCTACCATCTTCCCCTTCTGTAGGAGGCCTAAGATGGCCACTTAACCCCACTGCTGTCCAGGGTACCTAGTTTCTGTTGCGTGTCTTACTGGCATCCTCATGTCTTAATGTATCAGGGATCTGGGCTTCCTTGGAATATCTTCTTTGCTCTGCACAGATGTCAGAGAGGGTGAACAACTATCATTTCAACTGCTGAGACCCCTGTTCCTTGGCAAGATATCAAGCATAGGTGGCAAAACTGAGATGAGGAAACGCCAGTCCCCAGGCCCAGAATTCTTCTTCACTTTTTTTACAGGGCCAGATACTCTTTACAGAGAGGCCAGCCTAGCTGGACCCAGGCTCAAGGCCCCCTGGCCACTAAGGAGAGGTCTGGGGTACTTAGACTGATGCTGTCTTTCCTCTTGCCCCACTCTCCCCTCAGATTGCAGATTAAAGACTTTTTCCACTGCCATATGGCGGTCCCCTGCCCCTGCCCTTTTTCTTGTACATCTCAAAAGCTGGGCAACTTAAGGAAAAGGAGCAGAAGAGAAATAAACTGGTATAATAGCAGGAAATCTCAAGGCTGAATATCTGGAAGGACTTATGCAGTACCTGGGCTGTGAGATACAAAAGTGGAGAAGGGATGAAGAGCCCCCTTTGCTGGGAGGACTTTGGAAGAAGGGGTACATCTCTCACTCTCACTGCTCTGGGCTATAGTCTGCAGCAGGGGAAGAGACAAGGTGACCTCTGGTGATCCCTTGCCCTTGGGGACTCAAGGTTTCCTTTAAGGTCAGGATTATTTTCCAAGCTGAGAATAAGGATCTCACCCTTTCTCTCCTCTGTCTCTGGTAAGCAGCAGGGACACAATACTCCACCTCTCTAGGGGGGAAAAGGACAATTTATAGAATTGTTCTGCTGTTCTTAGCCCTCATTGAGACAAAGAATTCATTTCTGTCTCTCAAGGTGGCTTCTCCTGCTTATGGTCATAAATTGCCTTCCTGCTCACTCCCTGACCTCTTGATCTTTTTGCTTTTGTGCTAAAAAAAATTATTAATATTTCTCTTAACTCCATATATAACCTTTGGCTGTTTCTCTCCTTTATTCTAGGTGAAGTAGCATCCTTAGGGATTACTTCCTCCGCCTTCGCGCCTGCCTGCTTCTGTTGGGGCAGGGCTCTGTGCATGAGGATGAAGACAAATCTACAGGAGGAAGATTCAAAAGATCTCTGTTTGGGGAAGCTCTAAAACTGAAAAATAATCACAGCTAACATTTACTGAGCATATGCTGCATGCCTAGTATTGTTCTAAGGGCTGTATGGATATGAACTCAATCCTCACAACTACCCCATAATGTAACTACTATTATTATCCCTGTTTTCATATGAAAAAAACAAGAACTAGAGAGGTTAGCTACATAAAATGTCCAAGGTCACACAGAAAGGAAGGGAAAGAACCTAGATTTGAATCCCTGTCTGGTTTCAGGGCCCATGTGCTTTGCTGTCAACTACTCTGCAAGGTACCTCTCTGATAGGGAGGGACTTACCCAGCTTTCGCTCTACCCTCAGGGAGCTCCAGAATGGTGTGACATGCATATTCCTTGCCCCTCAAGAATCCCCAAGTTTGATAGGGGAGGCAGATATCCTGTCCTAGGAAGATATGTCCAGTCTGATGGAAAAGACACAAGCTTTATCTTTGGATCATCTGACTAATACTAGGGACTCAGCCCCAGGATGTCTACAGTTTGATGAGTTATGTTATTAGATTCTAAGAGACTCAGTTAATTCGACTAGACAAAATTGTGAGCCTTAGTGTTAAAGAGACGAGGATGGAGCAAAGTTAGGGCAGCTTAATTGGGGTTGCCCCAGGAGGGGAGGGTGATACAAGATTGGCAATAAGCAGAAGAAATGCTAGTGGAGATAAGAGGGCAGGACACTTGTGTGGTGTGCAGACTTGCTGAAGACAATGTCTGGAAAGCAGGGGTTTGCTTAGTTTAGCAGCTCTCTACCTTGGCTGTCTACTAGAATCACCTGGAGCTATGTCTAAAAATACTGATGCTTGAACTTCACCCCAGAACAATTAATCTTTAGGGATGAGGGCATGGCACTGGTGTTTTTAAACAGCCCTCAGGGCAGGGCATGGTGGCTCATGCCTGTAACCACAGCACTTTGGGAGGCTGAGGCGGGTGGATCACCTGAGATCAGGAGTTCGAGACCAGCTTGGCCAACATGGCGAAATGCTGTCTCTACTAAAAATACAAAAACTACCCAGGCATGGTGGCACACACCTGTAATCCCAGCTACTTGGGAGGCTGTGGCAGGAGAATCACTTGAACCCGGGAGGCGGAGGTTACAGTGAGCTGAGATCATGCCACGGCACTCCAGCCCAGGTGACAGATCTAAACTCCATCTCAAAAAATTAAAAAATAATAATAATAAAATTAAAGGCCCTCAGGAGGTGCTATGCACAACTGGTGTTGAGGACCACTGGCTGGGGATGAGGTCTATGGTGTCTTAAGCTCTGAGATCTGGGATGCTGGATGACTTATGTGGAAGAAATTCTAGAGACATGAGTTTGCTATGAACTGAGCTGGTGAAGATTTGGAATTAAAGGAAAGGGGGAGGGAAAAGAAAAGCTAAAGGACCAGAGGAGACAGGCCAGATTGTTGTTTTCGCTGTTAGTGAGCTAGAGAAACTTGGTTCCTCTGTTTCTAGGCTTTTGAGGCAAAATAAAAGGCCCACAAAAATCCAAAAGGTCTGATAACCCAGTCCCTTCTCATAAAAAGAATAGCTATCAAGCCTGATATCAGACATGGAGATTAGGCAGGAAACACTGAGCTAAGAATATTCCCTTCCTTCGATTAAAGACCTTTTTTTTTAAATTAATGCTCTCCTAGGCCGAGTGTGGTGGCTCACACCTGTAACCCCAGTACTTTGGGAGGCCGAGGCAGGCAAATCACTTGAGGTCAGCAGTTCAAGACCAGCCTGGCCAACATGGTGAAACCCCATCTCTACTAAAAATACAGAAATTAGCTGGGCATGGTGGCGGGTGCCTGTAATCCCAGCTACTCAAGAGGCTGAGGCAGGAGAATCGCTTGAACCCAGGAGATGGAGGTTGCAGTGAGCCAAGATCATGCCACTACACTCCAGCCTGGGTGACAGAGTGCAACTCCTTCAAAAAAAAAAAAGAAAGAAAAGAAAAGAAAAGAAAACACACACACACCAAAAATAATACTTTCCTAAGTCAGGGTCACCCTCGCCTTCCCCTCCATACACCATCATGTGGAGTGGAAAGGAGAAAAGGCTGTCTCGCTGACATGTCCGGAGCTCCCTACCTCAGGGTTTTTGCCTTTGCTGCTACCATCTTCCTGCTGCATTCTTCCCTCAGACGCCTGAGCAGCTAAACCCTCAGTTCCTTCAGGTCTGTGCCCAAATGTGGCTGTAGCAGAACAGCTTTCTTTGATTACCTGTAAGAACAGTAATTCCTCCCTCTCTCCCTCTCCCTAATCTTTTATCCTGCTTTATTTGTCCCCCATAGCATTTACCATAACCTAGTATATTTCATATTTTTTTCTACTGCCTCTGACTTTCCTCCAGAATGGAACATTAAAGGGAAAGACTTTGTCCTTTTTTTTTTATTATTATTGTCTCCCCAAAGCCTAGAATGGTGACTGGAAAATAGCAGTCTGGAGCTGAAAAAATATCTGTGGAATGTATGATTAATGAATGAACAAATGAAAAGCCTTATGTGTCTGTGTGTTGGTGTCTTTCTGTGTACGTTTGGGATTGCAGTCCTATTTCTCTGGCCAAAGTATGGCTCTATTCTTAAGCTGTGCTTGCCTGTGTTTTGGAATATATGAAGAATTCTCTGGGTCTGTGCATATGGGGCTTCTGCATATGAGCTTGGGTGTTTTCCTGCCTTTCTCTGTCTTCTAATTGTGTGTGGATGCGTCTGGACCACAGGCTGGTGTTAGTATCTGCGGAGGAAAGAGGAGCTGTGGCCGCTACACATCAACAGAGGGCACCAGAGAGCCACGCACCTACTTTCAGGGGCAGAAATTGAGAAAACTTGGCGGGGAGTGTTAGAGACCCAGGAGATCTGGGATCTGGGAGGAAAGAAGTGGAGACCTCTTTGGACCAACACATTACTGTAAAATTGTGCAATTCCAGCAACTTCTCTGTCCATTCCCTAGGGTCCAGACCTCTGGCTACCCGAGCAATCCTGTGAGCAGAAGTATCTGGTCAGGGGTGAGAAGAGGAGCTGGTTGCCAAACTGGGCCCTTAAGAAAGTGGAGATCCCTCCTGAATGCTCTCATGATTCTCAGGAATTCCCTTCCTTCCTAGTTCCTCCATGTCCCTACCCCAAAAGATCTCAAACTCCAGCGTGCTTAGAGATCTGACTGGTGGCTGTCTTCTCCTCTGGCTTGCATTCAGGGAGGTGAGGCCAGGTCTTGGCCCTTCAAAGCCATCCAGTTGGCTACCTTCTCCTTCGGGATGGGTGGAAGGCTAAGATGAACAAAGGAAGGGTCAACTGTGCCTCTTCCAGGCCGCTGAGTCCTCCAACGCCTAGCTGTGCTCAACCTTGACTGGGTGAAGCCAAGGCAGGGCCTCAAGGCAGGTCCAAGAGGCAGCTCCCATTCTCCAGTTCTGGGTTTTATAGGTGGGGAGAGGCATGTATGCCCCTCCCTTATCCAAGCATTCATTAGTCAATTGAGAATTCTTAATTTGGGGAATCTAGGGGCTAGACTTTGGGTGTGGAATTTAAAAAGAAAGGTCTTTATGTTTATTTAACTCCCTGCCCCCCACCCCACTCCTAGACACACACACGGAAACACACACACACACACACACACACACACACTCCCCATCACATCCTCTGAGCTAGAGGCTGATGTCCCTCAGCCCATGTTCCTCCTCCACTGCTTAGTTCCATAGCCCGCGACCAAGATTGCGTCTATAAATAGGAGGGGGTGGGGTGGCCAGGGGTCCCGTCGTGCCTGCCCCAGAACCCACGACGGTCACATTTTTCACCCCCTTTTGCCTTTGCCCTCAATTCCTTTCCCTCTTTGCTCTCCTTCCATCTCAGTTCCAGCGAGGGGGGTATGTGTGTGCGCGCGTTGTGGGGGGGCAGGGGGAGGGCTCGTGGAGGGAGGCGCCGTCGGAGGGAGAGTAGACGTCAGGCGGAGGGAGGGAGGCAGGCAGGCAGGGAGGCAGGGAGGGAGAGAGGGAAGGAAGAGAAGGGGAGAGAAAGGGGGAGCAAAGACCGAAAGAGACCCAGAGAGATACAGCTTGAGAGGAGAAATAATTAAAGGGGGAGGGCGACCAGGAGGAGAAAAAGGTCTGGGAGGAAAGAGAGATAAAGAGAATCGGAGGGCAGGGAAATGAGTTTGTGCGCGTGAGTGTGCGCGCGCGCGTGTGTGTGTGCAGGGGCGGGCGCGGGCGGGCGGGGGGCGGGCTCCCGGGCTCCCGGGCTCCCCTCCTCCCCAGCCCGCTCCTCTGGCTCGCTCGCCAACTCCGGGCCCCAGCCGCGGGCGGGCGCACGGCGGGCGGACAGCATGCTGAGCCTCCTCGTCTGGATCCTCACTCTCTCCGATACTTTCTCCCAAGGTAAGGGCCCCCAGCCCACCCCCGGACGCTCGGCTTCCCCCCGGGGCCGGGGCACTGCTTCCCCGGTGGGAGAGTGCTGGAGTGCCCCGCGGCCCGCGGCCAGTCCCCGGGTCCGGACGCCACGAGGCGGGGGCTCGGTCCGGGCGCAGAGCCCTGGGGGAGGGGGCGCGGAGTAACGAGGGGCTGGGGAGAATGAGTTTGCCGTTGATTTGCCCAAGTTGTTTCCTCTGGCTGCGCGGGAGAACCGAGCAATGGGGCCGCGAGGGCTGGAGGTCCGAGTAAAACGGGGAACCGAACGCTTTCTCTTGAGCTTCTGGCAGCCCTACCGACCCTCGCCCTCTGAGGCCGGGGTTCCGGACGCCTGAGTCCAGCCTAAGGGCAAGGCTGGGAAGAGGGTGGGATTTCGGATTTCGGGCGAGGGGGTGAGCGAAAAGCTGGGTCCCACCTCCCGAAGATGTTGCCAAGGGGATCCCCCTACTCCAGCCCAGCCCCTCGGGGGTCTGAGTCTGAATCACGGCTCCAGCCTGCCTGGGGCTGCCCCCTCTAGAGGAAGGGAGGGGTGTCTCGGCGCCTCTAGTGGGGATTTGGAACCCCTGCCCACGGAGGCTCTGGGTGGAGAGTGGAGTTCCACATACAGCTTCAGGCCCGCTTGATACAGAGGGGGGGAACTCACGGGGGCGGGGGCAGAGGCGGTGGGGGGAGGGGGCTGACACTCTACTTGGGCTCAGGAAAGTGTTGCTGTCTGGGGCTTATTTGACACTGGCAGGGGAGAGGCTGGGAGGTGAGGGAGGTGGTTGGGAGAGATGAGGATGTCAGTGTATCCTGGGCAGGGCTGGGGTTGGGGGAGGGAAGAGGGCTGAGGGAACCAAGGGTCCAGACTGCAGCAGGGACTGGGGTCTGTGGGAGTTGGTTCTTGCCTCCCAGGTCTGACTCTAAGGAAGACTGAATCCTGCTGAACTCCTTCCCTCCCCAAAAATGGAGCTGACACACAGAAATTGACACACAAACACCGTAAAACACTCACAGACACTGAGACAGACTACTCACCTACTGAGAGAGAGACATCCCCACAAACATCCCCCACACTGAGACAGACACATATACACAAAGACACGGAGACATCTGAGGAAGACAGATTCCTCCCCCAGATCGGCACACACTCACGCATTCATCCACCCGAACGTTACAACTATACACAGTACATGTATGCAGGCGTTTACAAGGACAGGACACACGCTCTCACAGAAACCAACCCTCTAGCAAACAAAGAAACTTGAACAGACATTCATATGGGCAGACACCTATGGAGATGTACAGACTGCAGATGGAGGAGGTGTCCTCTTTTAGGGGGTGTCTGGGAATGGATCTGGGTAGAACAGCCTCAGGCATTATTGCCCTGCTTTCTGTTCCCTTCCTGCGTTTGTAGGTGGTGTGTTATGCTGGACCTTTCCTCTCCTTGTCGGGTCTCTTCCCAGTTCCGAAGGCAAAGCCTGGCTGAGTTGGTGGGGGCACGTCTTGATTCATTTCTCCCCACAGGGCACCCATGCCAGCCCCCCAGCACACACTATGATATGGGAAGGGCACACATCTGTGGTGTGAGCCAGGAGTGGGAGGTGGTGCTAGGGGAAAGGAGGAGGCCTGGCCCTGGGGTTGGCAGGCCAGGCCAGCCACTTGGCAGAAAGTTGGGAAGATGACTTAAGTTCTGACTTTGTTCAGCCAGGCTGTTGGTGTCGGGGAGGAAGGGGGTGGGCCATGGTGGTGGTGGAGGGGGGTCATGTTGGTGGTGGAGGAGGCCCCTGGGTCAGTATTGGTCTATGTTGGGGGCAAGCTTATGTCTGTCCCTTTCTTACAGCCCTTACATGTCAGCATCATGGATACAAATGAGTGTTAAGGAACAAAAGCAGCAGTTAGCAAACAGGAGAGACATGTGGATTGAATTGGGGACAGAAAGAATTGTGTGTTGTGTGCCTTTCTCTCTTTGGAAAGGAGCGAGTGGCTAGGGAATGCTGAGCTCCCACTTCTCTGCTCCAACAGGGGTGAAAGCAGGACCTGGTGAAAGTGTCTGGGGTTGGGGGAGAGGATACCAGAGAAAAGAAAGGGAGAGACTAGACAGGAGGGGAGGGGAAATCACTAGTGAGTGTTGGGGGAAGCTTGGCAAGGGACTGGGGAGGAGGCAGAGAGGGAAGGAGTAGGGGTCTGGGGAGACTGGGACACACATGGGGGTGGAGAGCTTGGCAGGACCCCCTTTCCTTAGCCTCCATCCTCAGAAAGGAGCTCTAGGTCAGGGACTGGGGCAGTGAGAGAGGAAACGGAGGGGGGCGCTACAAAAGGGAGGAGGAATGATGGTGGGGGAATAGGGATGGGGGAGTAGGTGTCAGCAGGAAGCCATAGAATTGAGGGGAGCAGAGAGGAGAGGGGAAGGGGAGATTCAGCCTAGGCTGAGAAATAAAAATCGCATTTTAAAGAATTTCAATGGGCTTCATCAATCTTCATTTTTCACTAAATAATTTTCTGTATCTTATCTAAATGAAAACCATTATCCTTCCCCCCGTTTCCATCATGCGCCGGCTCCACAGACTGATTGCGCCGAAAATTGAAATATTTATTCATTTTCTGGGAGATTTTCTCGCTCCCTAGTCTCGGGGAGGAGAAATTGAAAAAGAAAGATTATAGCTAATCAGAGCAATGTGGGATGACAGGCCGGCTCGGGGAGGGAGCTGCCTCCGTGGGGGGGATGGATGTGGGGGCAGGAGAAAAATAAGCCCACCCAGCCCCCAGAGCTCCCCCTGGCATTCCTGCCACAGCTTTTGAGGGGAGTAAAGGGTAAAGGGAGGAGGCCCGAGGGCCTCCTAAATTCCCAGGATTCAACTCCCTGAGTACAGCTGAATCCTGGCAGAGAACAGCAGGTCTGGAGAGTAACTGGACTCTCCCCTTTCGGTGCTACACATAGACACATATACACACTTTAGATGTCCCACTTCTGCCCAGAGCAGGGCGCTGAGGTTGGGGAAGAGTCAGGGGAGACATGGCAGAAACCAGGACACTGGGTTCCTCTCTTTGACCTTGACTGAACTCCACTTTCTGCCTTCTACTCACTTAGACCCAAAGGGAGGGTGTGAACCAAGTACTCAGTGCCTCAGCCCTGGGCCCCAGAGCACCTGGTCAGGAGGAGGAGGAGGAGGCATCCAGGCCTTCTCGCCTCTGCTCCTTCCCACAGCTGAGTGGTTGGTTGTTCTGGCTCTGCCTTTGGCGCTCCAGTGAGATGGGAGGAGGAAGCCCCACCTCTGCCCCCCTAGGACCTCTTTACACCCTTACAAGGACTAAGTCTTAATTTCTTTTATCCTATAGTTTCTGGTGGTAAGTGCCCCTTAAATATCTGATCAATTGATTGATTTGATGAGCGCGCTGCAGTGCTGGAAAGAGGCAGCATTCGATGGCGATTAAATCACAGACTCGCATCCAGCTCCCACCTCCACCATTTGGTAGTCGTAAGCTTGAACAAGTCATGTACATTCCCTGTGCCTCAGCATGCTCTTCCAGAAGTGAGGATGGAAGTAATACCTCATAGGGTTGTGGTGGCACTTGAATATGTTAATCCATGTAACGTACATGGAACAGTGTCTGGCACAGCGAGAAGTGCTCAGTAAATGCTTGCTATCTTGGCTTTGAGGTGAGACATAGATAGACAGGCAGTCAAGTTGTCTGCGCTTCCTTTTCTTCTCCCTATGATTCTTTGTGGGGTGTGTGTGTGTGTGTGTGTGTTTTCTAGCTCCAGCTCCCCAGATTCTTGGTCCTGGGCTTCAGTAAGTGCCTTCTTTGTATCTCTCATGGAAAGAACTATGTTGTGGCAGACCCAGAAGGGGAAACTGACCCCCTCCTTGGAGACCTCAGAAAAGATCTGGGGAAGGGATTTGAGGAGAGAGAGCAAAAGTGGAAGAGGTTGGCACTTGAGTGAGAAGGAACCAGAGCTCTTGTGTGAAATGAGGAGGGACACTAGCCCCGAGGTGGCAGCATTTCAGAGTCTGGAAATAATATGGATCATTTATTGAGCCCTGTGTAACTACTTCATATGCATTATCTAATTTAATCTATGCTACAGCCCCCTGAGATTGGCTGTGTAAATTATCCCCATTTCATGGATGAGAAACTGAGATTTATTTATTTATTTTTTTAGATAGGGTCTTGCTCTGCTGCCCAGGCTAGGGTGCAGTGGTGTGATTATGGCTCACTGCAACCTCCTCCTAGGCTCAAGCCATTCTCCTACCTCAGCCTCCTAAGTAGCTAGGACCACACACACCTGGCTAATTTTCTTTTTTTTCTTTTGGAGAGATGGGTCTTGCTAGGTTGCACAAGCTAGTCTCAAACTCCAAGGCTCAACCGCTTCTTACATCTCGGCTTCCCAAAGTGCCGGGATTATAGGTGTGAGCCACTGTACCTGGCCAAGAAACTGAGGTTTAGATACATTAAGTATCTTATTGGTAGTTGTAGGAACCAGTGGATCCCACAGCCTGCACCCTTCTCCTTTGCCAGATCCTACATGCCAGCAGAGACTGATGCTGGACTGGGACAGGGATTTTCCTGGTCCATAGCAGAATGAGAACTAGGAAGAAAAGGGAGTGAGTATTTCATAAAGGTAAACTCATTCAAATTTAAAAAACAATCCTTTATTCTGAGATTCTGTCCTACATTTTTTGGTGTTAAATTGTTTTTCTTTGATGATATGATAAATCTAGTAAATGACTTTTTTCAAGGACTTGGCAAATAAAAAGGTTTGTTTCTAATATTAAACACAGCCTTGTTACAGGTCCATGAACTACAAATTTGGGAATTATTCTTGTTCCATGCAAGGCTGACTCCTGGAGAGGCCCAGAGCCATACAGAGGCAAAAGAAGCACTGAGAAGGGGTCTAGGGGATAATCCTGAGACCAGGATCTCCCCAAGTGTCAGCTTCCAAATTTGTCTGGTCCCTGGTAGTCTGGTAGGATTGGAGGCTAGGGTCTTAGATGGCTTGTTCTAACCCGCCTGGGGAGGCTTTCAACCCTCCTTCTTAGCCTGTGCCCTGGGGAACTGCCTGGCCTTGGGTGGTGAAAAGTGATTGTAGGAGGTGAACTCCATACCAAAGCATCAAAATTACCTTTTATTGAATTCCTACAGTGTGCTTTTCAGGTTAATGTTACTCCCATTTTATAGATGAAGAAACCACAGTTGAGAGTTTAAGTAACTTGCTGAAGGGCATACCTGAGGTGTTAGACCCCAGATTCAACCCCTCTTTTGTCTCCCTCCTAAGCGCCATGAGTGCCCTTCAGCCTGCCTAGAAGAGCCACACCCTGCCTTTCTTAGAGTTAAGGCAGCTGTGGAAGGACAGGAGGGAAGCCTAGGCCTTTTTTCCTCTCCTGGTGCCTCACTCAGCTCAGCCCCCTTCCCTAGTTCTCAGCCCAGAAATTCCAAGGACACATCTATCTCCCTGCCTTGCTTTGATGATCATTTGTGAAGCAAAACTTAGATGTCAGGATACATGTTTTAATCAGTGGGGCTGGGACCAGTAAATAATGCCCCTTGTCAGAAGGAGGTTTGGAAAGCCTCAATCCTTTTCCTCCCACGTTTAGAGTCTTTTATCTTTGTACCTGTATGGTGCTTGGCAATTTTAGCAACTTTTCACATGTACCATTTGATAGAGAGATACACTCATCCTATGGTGTAGGCAGGAGAGTTGTTTCTCCATTTAATAGATGAGAAAACAGAGACCTAGAGAAGTTAAATAAATTGCAAAGGGGTGGCAGTTGGTATGGAGGGAAGGGATGGGGACAAATTCCTTAATCTCCCCAATTTCTGGGAGATGTTTCCATCTGAGGCTAGAGACATTTCTCTTCATATGTCCAGAGATGAGAAAGTTATGCCCCTTCCCGACCTACCAGTTCCTGTCTGGTTTCTTCCCAGGGCCTCTGGACCAGTTTACTTGGCAATCTCCTGGAGGGTTCTTTGACCTGGAAAAGGATGGGGGTGTGGGGGTGGGTTGTCAGCAGTAGAGGAGAAAGAGGCTGTCATGTCCTTGATCCTCAAATGTGAAACCAGGGAGGAGGAAGAGGCAATTTCAGAAATCAGGAAAAATAATGGGCTCTCTCAGAGTGGGGGAGAAATCCGTTCACTTTTGTGAAGGGCAATTTTGTATTTTACATGCATTAGTAACTAATTCAATACTGACATAATTGTTGAAGTTAGGTGTTATCCCCATTTTACAGATGGACAAACAGGGATCCAAAGAAGTTAAGCAGATTGTCCAAGATGATCCAGCTAGTAAGTGACAGAGCCAGAACTAGAACCCAAGCAGGAAAGATGGGGTGGGGGCTGAGGATAATTCCTAGAAGGAAGACTGCACACCTACCTGTTCTGCATTACTGCTGCATGCAAGCGTGTGGATGCAATCTCACTGCATGCATATGCATATGCATATGTATTCACACATGCCTTCATAGTGCAGCTATACATGCACCCACTTCTTATCCCCATCCCCATACACATCTGGACAGATATCTCTCATCTTTACCCAAGCCTTTTCAGTCACCAGAGCACTAGTGTGCAACAGTAGTACATTTTTGTGAGTCATTTTTCTTCCAGCCATAGCAGCCCTCCTGTGTCTTTAAAGGCACTACTTTTTGCCTTGCCTTGCATGCCCTGCATCCTCTCTGATAGATGCACAAACTGTGAAGTTATGAAAGTTGAGAAAGAAGCTTGGGGTTCCTCATTCTGTAACACTGGTCCCTCTCCATTCTGTAGCTCCAGCTCTTATACCTTCCTACGTCTGATTGTCAGACAATGCGAACCTAATTAAGTTCTTGGAGCATCCAGGATAAAAGCTGCTGTAGCTCGCAGACATCACTGAAGTATGACACTTTTGTTTTTTCTTTCTATCCCACTTACTCTCCCTCTATCAGCTGACTCCAAGCTCCCAGCTTGTCCTTCCCTCCATATTTAATTTATTCAGCCACTTTTATTAACCTCTGTTGTCTCCAGGGGCTGCAGTCCTCATCCCTCTCTGCCCTCCTTGAGCCCATTTAACAAAATAGGCATCGTATTGAAATAAATGAGCCTTGCAGCCAGTCAACCTCCTCAGGATTAAGGGTCTTAAATCCAGGGGTAGAAATCTCCAGAACTCTCTAGCAAATTCCATTAGTTTCCCAGGAGAGAATGCTGCCGCTTCATTCCTTTTGCAATCTGGCTCTGGAAGGTGATGGGAGACTCACCCAGAATGCTGTGGGTCTTGGGTTTTGAGGCAGGGAAGGGATAACAGGAACCCGAGTGTCTGGAGGTGTACTCTGTGCCCAGCAGGTTTATCCCAGGAAGCTGTCCCATCCTAGGTCCGCTTCAGAATCGACTAGGCCATTGGATGCCTTTTCTTTTTGCCCCTTCTTTCCTTCTGAGGCAGTCTGAGGAATATATCTTCACTGAAAGATGTGTGGAAAGAGGAAGGACTTTTGTTCCTTCATTCAGCGGAAGAGAATTGTGTGCTTACTGTGTGCTGGGCTCCAGTGTTGCAAAGTGAATAATGTACTAGATCTCTGCCCTTGAAGGTCTCACTTTGTGATTTCAGTGCAAATTACTTAATCTCAGTAGGCCTCAGTTCTCTCTTTCACCAAATCAGGAGAATTATTTTTTTAATCATCAACTGTACATTATTATATGCAAAACATACTGGTAGGCATTATGTGGACCAAAAAATATGACAGCAGGTGGTCCTTCCCTTTTAAGAAACTAAGATATACACACATGAAGACTGCTGGTGGTGCAAGGTGTGGAGTCATTGGTGCCGTGATAGCAGTGTGCAGGTCAGAGCTAGAGAGTCCAGAGAAGGGACTTTGCTGTGGGCTGAAGTGACCAGGAAGGGCTCCGTGGAGGAAGTGGGGCCCAAGGATGGACAGGACATGGATGTGGCAGGAAGAGGGAGAGCCTTACCAGATGGGCCAGACTTCCGGAACCAAGATGTTGCTGGTGGGATGTGTGGCGGACACTGAGGCCAGTTGGACTGAGGATTTGGGTTGGTTTGGGAGAAACAGATGAGATGATCCAGAACGGCAGAATGGGGACAGACCAGAGGAGGCCTGGAAAAGCCAGGCCAAAGACTTCTTGCAAAGACTCCCCTGTAAGAACTGGGGAGCAATGGATTTCTGTTTTTTAAGCAGACAAAGGGTGTGTTAAAAACAGGTATAATCCCCATCTCACTTCTCACCAAAGCCTCCCCTCCTCTTAAACACCTCTTCTACTGGAGACACTATGGAAATTTATAACCCCTCCAATTAAAAACATGAAAAAAACAGATAACCAAGGTTTGGCCAGGCAGAAGTGAGCAGAAAACCTTAGAGAAATACCAGCTCTGCCTTGGGAAGTCTCAGATCTGTGACTTGAGCCAGAGAGACTTCGGAAGGATGAGGAAATCTTTTCCTCTGAGAATACTTCAGTATAAGATAAAGATGCCTGGAGGCAGAGTTCAACGGCAGTAACTGCGAGGAGAGCTCTGCAGCCTGACTCTGAGGCCAGGCTCTTTGTTACCTGTCCCCCCCAAGCTTGGGCCATGTCTACACTGCCCAGAGTCAAGGGGAGCCATCTGGTTCCATCAGAGGGCCCATCCGGGTTTAGTCCCTTCAGGGTCAATTCTGGGCCATTTCCACTGGTCTGTGGCCTTAGATACATGTGCATTTAGGAGCTGAGCCTAAAGATTCTTAAAACCTCTGCTAGGAAGTGAGCTCTGGTTTTTCAAATGGAGTCCTTTGAAGAGGGTCCCACCAGGGGGGGTGAGAGCATGTGTTCAACTTATGAGCATTGTTTTTTTAAATGGCTGTGCTGGGCCTAGGCCTGGGAATGAAAAGGTAGGTAAGATTTAGTCCCTGTTCTTGAGGCACTCTCAGTATGGTGTGGGAGATGGATGTATAAACACATATTGACAATTTTATAAGATAAAGGTTGTGAGAGAGGTATGTGAAAAATGCTGAAGCCTAACCGTCCAGTGAGGGGGAGTGGAGCAGGGAGCAGGGGCAGGGAGGGGGCCACAGATGTGAGGCTCAGGGGCTGCGGGGCCTCTGGAATGTGGTGCCACGAGATATCCAAGCTCTGGACAATCCCCGATTGTACCCCCTGCTCCGGATGGAAGGAGCCGAGGAATCCGAAGGAGTGAACCCTGGTCCCTCCCAAGGATTATGATTTCCAGGAACAAAGGCAGTTTATATAAAGCACACTTCCCCCAAATCGAATCTCCCAACCTCTTGTGTCCAGTTCCGTACTCTCCACCCCCCACTCCCACCCAACAGAGCTGATTTCTAAATTAACTTTGTCCTTGTAATCAGCTTAGCTGAGTTTTTTTTATTATTATTATTTTTCCTCCTCCTTCCTGAATTCTCCCAGGAACAGCCCGGGGCCTTGCTCGCTCCATTACCCAGCATTGTCAAGCCATGAGTTGCTTTTAACTGCTTCTTCCCATTCGATTCGCTTAACTGGGAGGTTATTAAAAGGAAAGGAGCAGAGATGGGCAGGCAGGGCAGAGGAGGAGAGAACATAGTAGAGAGAGAAGGCATTTCAAAGGAGCAGAAACCCAAGGCTAGGCAGGCTGGCAGAATGAAGCCTCTGAGAGAAGTTGAAGTTTTCATCTCTACTCCTGAGTCATCCAGAAGGACATTTCATCGAGACAGTGGGACTCCTGGGTTTTAATCCAAAACCTTGAGGAATTGACTTGCTCCTCTTTGTCTCAGTCCTCCCCACCACTCCCCACTCTCCCTGGAAATCTACCAGCTTGACACTGTGGGATGGGATGGGGGACTCCCAGAGGTCCCACACTCCCCTTGATGCCTGACCCTCCCACACACACACACTCGTGGCTGGCTGTGCTGCCAGCGCCAGAACCCTCCAGCATTCACCCCCGGGGCAGCTACATTGTGGTTGATGTTGGATCCCAGACTGACGTGCCTATCACACAGCACACATCTGGGAAGTCTCCCTTCACCAGGCAGTGGGCGAAGTGAGAATGCAAACTCATTTTAATGTCAGTTTGAGCCAAATATAATTAGAAAGGAAAATCTCTGACTTTGAAAAAAAAAAAAAATCTAATGCATTTCAAAGCCAAGTTGAAATGACTTCTGGATTATCTGCACCGCTGCCACTCTCCATTTATGCAGAAAATCGAGAGGGGAGCCTGTAAAGTCTGTGCCTGAGGGATTTAGTTTGCACACATTGCCTTTGGTTTCATGCCAGGGTCATGTTTTAAGACTGGCCTTTTTCAACACAACCCGGTTCCTGGAATTGGGAAGCACCTAGAGTGACCTCCTCACCAGGGGGCCTGTGGCAGAGTCAGCCTCTTTCTCAGAGGGGCTGCTTCTGTGTGATCATGACCAAGTCACTTACTTGGAGCCTCAGTTTTCTCATCTATAAAATGCAAATGATTACGTCTATCTTCTAGGGTTGTTGTGAGGATTGAATGAGAGGACCTATATTAAGGAACAGTATCTGAAATACAATAAGTACTCAATAAATTATAGTTGTTATTAATATTGCACAGTCCTTGCTTTTTACAGTTTAGTCCAAGGCAGATCTTGAAAAAACAGACAATAGAAATGAGAGATGAACAAAGAATAGGCCAAATACAGATCAGACTGTTAACTGGGCCAAGGAGGGTGACCAGTGATGTAGGTAATCCTTGAGCTCTGTTCTCTGGGGTTCAGTGCAGTGGGAGCTTTAGGAGGCAGCACAGTGTAATGGAAAGCACTCTGGTTTAGAATTAGGTCTGTGTCTTGGATCTGGAAACTGAATGCTGTTTTGCCCTTTATGAGTCTCAGTTTCCTTATCTGTAAAACAGAGTGATAGCACCCACTTTCCTCTTTTGTAAGTCCTGGAAAAGCACTCTCAGGACGGTGTACAGTAAGCTTAACCATCATTTTAAACCCTGTCTTTCAGCCAGGCATGGTGGCTCATACCTGTAATCCCAGCACTTTGGGAGGTCCAGGTGGGCGCATCACTTTACATCAGGTGTTTGAGACCAGCCTGGACAACATGGTGAAACACCGTCTCTACTAAAAATACAAAAATTAGCCAGGCTTGGTGATGTGCACCTGTAGTCCCAGCTACTCTGGAGGCTGAGGTGGGAGGATCACTTGAACCCAGGAGGCGGAGGTTGCAGTGAGTGGAGATGGTGCCACTGCACTCCAGCCTGGGCCACAGAGCAAGACTCTGTCTCAAAAATAAATAAATTAATTTTAAAAACCCCTTTCTTTCCAGGTTTCAACCCAGTGTGTTAGAACAATGATTCTCAAACTTTAACATGCTTACAAAACATCTGGGGATCTTGTTAAAATGCAGATTCTGACTCACAAAGTCTGGGGTCAGATGGAAGTTCTGTATTTGCACCAAGCTCTCGGGTGATGCTGATGCTGCTTGTCCTAGGACCACACCTTGAGGTGTTAGGGGATGCTTTCCTTGGGGAAATAGATCTTCAACGTTCTAATGAGAATCAAAAGAAAATAGAATTCATTTAACTGAATTCAGTTTTCAGCCAGCTTAGTTGTATAACAGCCCTGATGGATCATTGATTTGGGAGCATTGATATGTTTGTTTTCAGGAAGCAGCTGGTGGGACAAGAGAGTGCACAGAGCTTGCCAGCACGCCCATCCTTAGCCCCAAGATTGTCTTATCTAAGCCCCTCCCTGCCACCTCACTAGCTCCATGCCACCCACCCCACCCTGCCAAGTCTTCACTCAGGCTGCCAGCTGTGGAGTTGAAAAGCAACCTGCTGGTGTGCTGGTGGAAACTCATCCATATCGGAGCCAGTCATTTCCACTTTTTTTTTTTTTAATGAAAAAAGTCCTCATAATTCATCTCTCAATGGGAGATGTGGGGGAAAGAATTTTGACAGAGCTTCTGGTCTGGGCCTTGACCCTGTTGGCTTTGGCTTAAAAACTGGGTCATGAGCAAGTTGCATGATTTGGGAAGGAAGGTAGGTCATAGACTTAATTGGGTGCATGATTTGGGGGAGCAGTGGGGAACTGTCTTCCGGGCAGGTCAGCATCTCACACTCACATAGACCTCATAATTGTTCAACCCACATGATGAGCGAACTCACTCTCTCCCTCCCTTCTCTGCGCGCAGAACCCCAGGCTGTAGAGGGAGATCCACAGGCCAGAGGAGAGAGACTGCCTGCCTTCAGGGTTCCCTGGTTCTGTGAGAGAAGCCTGGTCCTTATACTTAGGGAATCCTGTCCACTGGGGGAAACAGGATCTCCCATTAATTTTCCTTCACCTGCTCTTCTCTCCCAGAAAATCAACACACATTTAGCTATCTGCAAGTGTGAATGAGAACACAGGCAAAGTACAGATGGGGCGAGATCAATAGATTGGGCTTCTTGGAACACAGAACCTGTGGTGAGAAATGAAAGTGGAGTGATGATTCCTTAAGAACCTCAAAATGGACTCTCAAAATGTCTCTCTTTAGGTTGGACTAATTTGAACCAACCCAGAGACATCAATGTTTGTCCTTTTTCTGAAGAGAAAGGAATTCATTAGTACTCTCTGCTCACTCACTTTGATTTCAAATACTCCCTGGCAAGCAGGAAGTTCTTCTTTGTGTCTAGCCTGAACCTTCCCTGCTCCTGCATGGAAATTGTCTGATTGGGTATTGTAACTGAACACGTCTCCAGTCTTCTCTGTGTCTGGATAAATAACATTTTCCACAACAGGTTTATTTTCTCATACTTCAAGGCAAAGCTCCTTGTAATAGAGAAGCAAGCCCAGAGAGGTCATAGGCGAGACTGCCTCCTGGGCCCCGCGTGAGCCCAAGAAGTTTATCTTGTTAGGGGTCAGATTTGCTTTCCAGCAAACCACCAAGGCTGTCCTCCTACAGTATCCCCAGCCAGGACCAGGAGAATGATGTTCACAAGAACCTGGCTGAGTCACTGTGCCCTTACCTGTCTAGTGTCCCCTTCTCAGCCGCTCAGAGCAGCTGGGGGCTGGAGGACTCTGGTGTCCTTCCCATCATTTCTAGCCGATGGCCTGAGGGACCCTCCTCCTCTCTCCACGGGAGCCAGGCTGAGAGCAGTGCTGACATCTGCTGCTGAAGCCAGCATGTAGGAAAGTGGGCATGGGGGTGATGGCAGAGGTGGGCCTGCCTCACAGCCAGGGCCAGTTTTAGCTTAGGAGCAGGAATGTTTTCCTCTTGGAATCACTCAGAAGTGTCCTTGTCCCGCCTTGCCAGGGTGGATCCCAAGAGATAGCAGTGTAAGCAGAGAGAGGAGGGGATGGGGTCTGTGGGATGGGGTGCCTGCCTTTGGGGATCTCCTAGTCTGATGAAGGAGTGTGGGCATTTTCCTGGGATACTGAACCGTATAAGTGCAAACTCAACTGTAAACTTGAACTTGAGGCAGGAGACTTGGTTTCTGTTACCAGCTAGCTAACTATAATGGGGGGACATGGGTTCCCATCTTCCCCAGTGTATAAACACCTATAAAGATCATTTAAATAAGGGAAGATTTTGGACCCTGTTGTGCATCTGCACAGAAGAAGATAGAAAGAGACACTGGAGCTGGGTCATCAGCGAGGGACGTTTCCTCAGAAGGGGTGGAGGGAAGGGAACCTGGGCCCAGGTGGAAGGAGGACACCAGGTGGAGCCCATGAGAGAAGTGAAGACGATTCTTATAGGGGGTCTAATAGAATGGGGTGGGGCCGGAAGGAGGTCGCCCAGTGAGGGCTATGTGGGCTGGAGGGTCTGGAGGCTGAGAGCTGCGGTATGGCTTTGTCAAATGTGGTCCCTGCAGCATTCACACTGGCCAGGTGACATGCTTTGCACACACACAGGCAGAGCCCCCCGACACCTCAGGAGAGGACTGGGGTGGAATGTAAGCCCTCTGAAGAAGAAGAGCTCGTGTGTCTGGGGGGAGAGTGCAGCATGGGCAGCCTGTCCTGGAGTTAAACCGGGCTTCAGCTTGGAGCCTGCTTGTGGGCAGCCTGGGTTTGCTTGAGGATAGTGCACCCTTTAAGGGTAGGAGGGTAGGACAACTATGGCCCGGAGTCCTGGAAGTGCAGCTAGCCCTGCAGCTGGCCATCCACCAGCAGCCCCTGTGCCCTCGCTTCTCTCTGCCCCCGAGCCGGATGCTCCCCGCTCCTGCTGTCCTTCCCTGTCTGTTGGTCTGTCACTCTGCAGGAGTGAAGTGCGCCCTGCTCCTGAAGCATTTGGAGCTTGATAATTTGTGGATTATAGCTAACTCTCGATAAAGATTCCCCTAATTGCTTGGCTCACCTCAGGTTCTATCATCAAAGCAAAGCCGGGAGGCCCCCCTCTCGCCCTCCTTTTCTTTTTATTATCTCTTAATTAATCATTCTGGCTTTCACACTTAGCAGATAATTACAGTCTCCTGGGCACGCAGCTCATTTTCATAACCTCCTGCTCCTAGCCGGCAGCGAGGGGGGTGGGGAGGAAGAGGGAGAGAAGGGGAGAGTGGGAAGAGACATGTTGGAGGAAGGGGGCGGGGCGCAGTGAGAAGAAAGGGACACTTGGGGTGGTAAGGCAGCCTGGGAGCCAGAACCCCTGGGCTGCCCAGCAGGCCCCAGGGGTCTCTGCCAGAAGGCAGGAGGCTGTGCCCCTTGGGGAGGCCTCACCTGGTCCACAGTGCTGGCTGCTGGCACAGGCTTTATCCCCGGAGCTCCCCTGGCCTGCCCTAGGGGTACAGCAGGAGATGTGTATAGGTTGGTGGCCAGAAAGCTTAGTGAAGAGCAGGAGATAGTCCCCAGTGAGGTTCAGTCAACCGTGTGCTGGGAAGTCGAGAATCGCTGTGATAGGGAAAGGAAGGGCAGGGCCACCATCACAACAGGACCTGGACCCTGGCCTGGGAACTTTTCTGTTTGTGGGGAGCAGGACACCTCTCCTGAGGCTTGAGCCCCTGGAAATGACCAGGGAATGATCACTCAGTAGTAGGATCAGATGAAGAGAGAAAGGGCTCACCTTTACTCAGCACCATGTGGGAGCTGCGCCAGGTGTTTCACAGTGTGCTCATCATGCCCGTTTTAGAGATGAAGAAAACCATGGCTCAGAGAGCGCCTGTCATTTGTTCGAGTCACAACAAATTAAATCCAGGTCTGTCTGGTTAGTTGTAAAGGTCATGTTCGTACCACCCAATGGCCCTGTCTCCATGGGGTCAGCACAGGACAGGATGTAATGGAAAAAGGGAGGGAGGGGACACCATTCCTGCTGGGCCCTCCCCTCTGGACCCAGCAGATGGTCAGCTCTGCTGTCACCTCGGGGCTTTCCTTGGGCTTTCATCCCAGAGATAAACAGAAAGGACACCCGTCCAGATGATGAATTGAGAGGCCCAAGAGACAGAAACCTTTGCCCGTGAGTTGGACACACAGTTGGACCAGGGGACCCTAATCTCTAGTGTGTCTCGTGTCTGTCCCTCGTTCCTGTTCCTCAGCAGTTCTTTGTGCCCCAAGCTTCTTCAGGTCCCCGAGAAGCGGATGGGGGACATGGAAAAGTCCTTCTTTCCCTGGACATATTGAATTTTCTTTCATGACCCTAGTCCAGTGTGCCTGGTTTTTAGAATTAAATGAGGTGGATCCTACTTCTTTGCCATTAACTAGCAGTGAGATCCTGGAATATAAACTTTGAGTCTCAATTTCTTCATTGGTAAATGGGAATCTTGAAAAGACTGGTGACAGTATATGCAAAACAGAGCCTCTGACCCATGATAGGTGCTTAACAAATGGTGGCTGTTGTTACTACTACCATTATTATTACCACCATACATGAAAGCACCTGGCTTAGCAGACAGCACATAAAGCAAGTTAGTTTCTTAACAAGTTTGTGAGGGAGGGAGGGTCCTTTTGTTCTACTTCCTCGAAAAAGGAGGGAAGGCACACAATTTCTACCTTGTGCTGCTTCTAGGGTGTGCTATTGAGAAAAGTCATGGCAGCCTGTTCTGGTATAATTCTTCTTTCCACAAATAAATTGCCTGTTCAAGCTGGGGCTGCTTCTGGCTGAAAGCTCATTGGCACCCAGCTCCAAGCAAGGCTGATCTTGCCTCTGCCGCCTGCCAGACCTCAGATTGCCCACCTCAAGCCTGTGTGCCAAAGGGTTAAACATAGCGAGTTAAACATAAAAGGGTTAAACATATCACATGGCTTGCAACTTCTGACTCAGCTTCTGGTTTCCTGGGCATTACAATAGGAACATCTATATTCAGGAGGCAGTATGGAAAGAGCACTGGATTGCAGGTCTAGATGTGGATTTTAGCCCCATTTGTGCCTCTACTGGAGAGACCTTACTCAGTGACCTGGGCCTATTTTCTTATCATAAAATGAGAAGGTTAATTTCCAAGATTCTTTCTGGCTGCACAGTTTTCCAACTCCTTCCTATCCGGTAAGAGTTCATGAAAAGGACTGGCTCTTCCCAAATGAGGCCCTGGATCTCTCTGATTTGGTTTATAAGCCAAGGCCAGAGGTACTGATTTCAGAGGGCCAGAGCAGGGGTATCCCAGGAGCAGCGTTTGCTCAGGAACCAGGGTGGAAGCAAACATTTCATGCATCTTCAGATCTGGTCTGAACTTGGGGTAAGGAGAGCAGGAGTCCCCACCATAAACACACACACACACACACACACACACACACACACACCCCACACAGTCCTGAGAATGTCACACACATGCATACACACACACACACACACACACACACACACACACACACACACACACACACACACACACACACACTGTCCTGAGAATGTCCCAGCCTGCCCTGGAAGGTGGGGACCTGGACCAACGGTGTGGGTGCTTGTGTATGCATGTTGATAAGAGTTTCTCCCCGAAGAAACATGCTCTGGCTTTGCCCTGAACTTTAGCTTTGGTCTATGAAAAGGTTTTGCTGAATCTTGTGGGAACATAAACATTCGGCAGATTTCTTTCCCTGAAAGCTATTTCTTCTCTTTTTCTGGGAACTTTTGCCAGCAAGATCAAGGGCCCTCCACCCTTCCCTCCTCCCTCCCCTTTGCCTGAGACACCCAACCCCCTTTCTCCTCCTCTCCTAAATGAAAACAAAGTTAACTGGTGTGTACTGGGAATCATTTCAGAGCAAACTGGGCCAGAAGAAAGGAGTAAAGCAAACAGATAGCTCTCCCAAGAGGAGAAATTATAAGAAGGGAAGGGAGGAGAGAGAGAGAGAAAATAAGCCAATGGCATCAGTGGTGAAAAGTGAATTCCAGACATTTAAAATTCTTTTGGTTTTAATCATCTCAGAGGCTGACCAGAGCTGAGCTGTGGGGGCAGGGAAAAAATGAAAACCAGGGCCCTCTACTTGGAGCGGGCTGGAATCTCAGATTGTCTGCAAAGACCGACAGCCTTCCTATGCAAGCTGCTCACTCTTCTCAGCCCAGGCCCTCATGACCTCCTGTGTCTGACTGCAGATGGTTTACCGCCTCCGGAGAGCCCATCCTGACTAACCCTCTCTTTTTATCTCACTTTACACTCGGTTTTCAAGCACTGACCTTTCAGTTTTCCAACCGGATTGCAAGTTCCCCAAGGCCCTGGATTATGTTTTGTTAAAAGCAAAACTAACAAACGACAAACCAAAGCCTCTTTCATAATTATGCCTTGGTCCCCTGCGTGAGGGTTGGACCCTCGGAGAAGCCCCAAGGCCTCTTCCTCATCTGTAAAATGGGCTGAAGAGCTGAGCCCAGCCTTGAAGAGACTCTAGAAGGAACCGGAAGCTGGGAGAAGCCTAGCGGCTGGTGCCTCCTCTGTGCTGTGCTCTATTGGGCACTTCAGGATTCTCTCAAGGCTGCCCTGTGGGAGGGGTTGGAGGCATTTCGCTGAGGCCTAGGGGAAGTAGAGGGTCTTATTGTCCCCTTTCTCAGGGGTAGGTCTGGTTGGCAGTGGGTGAAGCTCCTGGACACAGGTGGCTGGGAGATGGGATGGGGGATTCCAGGCTCTCTCCTTCCCTGGGCCACAGTGGGTTTTAAGGTGAAGGAGGGAACCAGGAAATCTTGCCAGCTGTGGAGAGGTGATTGGTGGGAGGACCGGAGGGCAGCAGTGGGGGAAGGAGCCTGGAGGAGAAGCAGGAGGCCAGGCAGTGGCCACGAGGACGTAGTCACACGCAGAAGCCTCCTTTCCCTGGACCGGGTCCCCTCTGTGGTCAGCATCTTTCTTCTTTCTGAGCTCCCTCCCCCAGCTCTTCCCCCTCAATGTTGAGCTCTCAGTTTCTTTCTCCATCTGGAGGCAGCTCTCTTCATTCTCATGACCACCAGCTGTTTCTCCCACTTTCCCCCTCCCACTTTCCCTCAAACTTTGATTCCTGGGCCTTTGGACTTAGGTCTGTTTTTCATAGTGTATCTCCCACCCCTGCTTCCCTTCCCCAATAAGATTAAAAAATGTAGAGCTTGAGGGTAGATTAGAGTTGACCTTAGAATAGGAGTCAGGTGACCTGGATTTTAATCTCAACTCGTCTTATTGGACTGCTTTCTCTTGGGCAAGACATGTGCTTTTTTGGGGCCTTGGTTTATTCAGTAGTAAAATGAGGAGCTCCGTAAATGATGCCTGAGGCCAGATGCTTTTCACCTTCTGGAAAAAAGAGCAAGATCTGGAGTTCAGACTGCTCAGATTCAAGGACCTGTCACCTCCTACCCGTGTGACCTTGTGCAAGTCACTTCACCTCTTTGTAGGAGAACAGTGGCATCTGCTTCATGGAATGATGATAAAGACTGCATTAAATTACCTGCATAGAATGTGTGGCTTGGTACCTGAGACACTGTAAGCCAGTGGTATAAGTTAGCTCTTATTGTTAAATACTAACCTTTTTTTTGGTGTGGTGTAATAAAAAGAGTCCTGGATTTGTAATCAGGGACCTGAGTTCACATTCCATCTTCCTTTCCAATTGTCTGTGTGACCTTGTGCAAGTCTGTTTCCCTAATGCTTTATAACATGGAATTCATAAGTCCTGTTTTGCCCCTCACTGGGAGTTGTGAATATAAGTTAATGTAAAGTCTATAGGGGCAAGGGCCTTCTTTGTCTCAGCCTCCCATTACCCGCCTAGTGCATGGGCACTCAACAAATGTGAGATAAATGATAGTGTAAGTTACTAATCTATGAACAAAGAAACTGAGTCCCAGAATGGGGAAATGACTTGCTTAAGCTGGACACAGCTAACCCTTTGTTGTGGGGGCTGTCCTGTACATTGGAGGATGTTTAGCTTCATTCCTGGCCTCTACCTACTGGAAGCCAGTAGCACCCCAGTCTCCAGGTGTGACAATTTAAAATGTCTTCAGACATTTCCAGATGTCACCTGGGAAGTAAAATTGCCCCAAGTGAGAACCACTGAGCTAACCAGAGGAAAAGCTAGAACTGGAAATGAAGTCTTCTGACTCCCCTTCCATAGCTTTTTCTAAAATGCCACACTGCTGTCCATTTCTCCCTTTATCCCATACCCCATAAAATTTAGAGAGAGAGGTTTATGTTGTTGAGGATGAAGTAAAGTATTTTGTCTTCTAGCCCATTTCAGAGATAATTTCCACATAAGCTGCGACTGACCTGTCTGTCCTGGGTTAGGGCTAAGGAAGGAGGCAGGTGGCAAAGAGAGTCACCTGGGCAGTCCACTAAGCAGAGTGGACGGAGGACCTGACTTCCCCTAGAAGCATGCCATGTTTGTGATGAGGATTCCTGGACGATCTACCACATCTCCACCCCGAGCAGATAAAAGCAGACTCCTTGTGATGCCAGACAGAACTGTTTTGGGTTTCAGGTGCCTACGGCTCCCCGTTTCTTCTCACCTTGCATACCCCACCCCATGCCCCACAGTAGCTCTGAGAGGACCTAGGGCATCGTAGAGTACAGTTTGAAAATTACAGATTTATTCCAACCCTTGAATGTTACAAATGAAAACCAAGACTCAGAGGGTAAGTGACTCGCTGCCCCACAGCAGTGACCAGAGCCACAAGTTCCACCTTAGTCCCCTGCCCTTGCTCCGCAACCAAGGTGTGTGTACACCTCCCGCCGACTAGAAAACTGCCACTTCATCTAGGCTGTCTCCACGGACCTCCCTGCCTCCCCTACCATTCCCCACTGCACAGACAAAAATGTCCTTTCTGGGGTGGGGGTGGGAGTAGGGGTGGTGACTTAAGGAGCTTACTGTCCATTAATTGCTAGAGGAAGGTGGTGGTCCCTGGAGGATTTTAGGTGACACTGCTCCTGGGACTGTCAGCAGATCCCCCACCTTCCCTAGAGATGCCCTTGTTTTTCAACCTCTGCCCCCATCCCTCCTAAGGGGCCTATTCTTGCTGTCATGGCAACCAGGGGATTAGGACCAGTTTGGAAGCCCAAAGATATGGGAGAGGGCTTAGTAAGAAGGCAGGTGGAAGGAGGAAATGAGAGAATGAGGTGATGATAAAAAAACAGAGCTACGTGGGGGAAGTGGAGGGCAACGAGGAAGGTAAAGGGAAGGGGGAGATGAGAGAGACCTCACTAGAGTAAGAGAGAAAAAGGAGGGAGGAGGGGGAGGGAAGAGAGAGAGAGAAACCTCAACTTTTATTTAAAATCAGAGAGCAGTTGTAAGCCTGGAGTTGTTGCCATGGCAACAGCAAAGAAAAGAAGATAGAGAGCTTGTGAAGCCATGAAAACCCAATAGGGGTAAATGTTTAAAGCCAGGAACAAAAACCATTCAGAGATAATTAAGTAACCGGCCGCAGGTTCCATACTCCTGCCCATTGTCCGGGACTCTGCCTGAGATCCTAGCCTCCTTCCCGTCTTGCCTTCTTCTCCCACCCTTTACTCCTTCCCCTCACTCACAAGGATTTCAAAGCAGCAGCCAGGGAACACCCGACCACCCTCCCTGTAATCTTCTTTCCTTTAGCGAGGGACTGACCTGCTTACTCCGGTCCCAGTCCCTTAGACCGACACTGGGCGAGCTTTCTCTCCTTCACTATTAAGAGAAATATAGTCTTTATGGGGGGGGGGGGGCGGGGGGAAGGAGGTTTTAGTCAGATAAATGGAAGAACTTCTTGACGCTGAATTGCTACATGGATAACTAAGTTGTGGACTTTTCTTTCCTTCCTTGGATACGACAGGCAAGGCCCACCTCTGTGTTAACTGCGGCCCTCTAGATCTCTGAATTGCTAGGATTCTTGGGGTCTTCCTCGGAAGGGGAGGTGCGTTCTCCTCCTTCCGGTGCTTTACTGGGACTATTTAACTGTGTTTAATGCTACCACTAATTCCTCTTTGAATGCTTCTTAGGATTTTTCCAGCAGGCTTAATCTTCCCAAGCCTCAGGATGGCCACAAGCTAAGCTGATACTTTGGGGGTTAGGTGTACTCTGAAGAAATTTTTTTTTATTGCCAAAGTACTCTTTTGTTTTTTAAATGAGTTTCATAAAGTCACCTTACTCCTACCCCAGACATCACAACAGCTGGCTGGCCCCTCACCCCATCTCCTTAGGGAAATAATCTTTTGAGTCCTGCCATACCTTCAGTGTCTCCTAAGAAACTGTGAGTATCAGAGAGGGCTGTGATGTCCTTTTCTTCCTCTCATCTCTGATGCAGTTCTGAACTGGGGGCCAAAATAGCTAAGTAGGAAGAGTCCTGTTTTGCACCTGCAGCACTCCCTCGCTCCTGCCCGCTGTTATCACCCACCTCCAGTCCCTTCCTGCAGATACTCTCAATGTTATCCTCAGACTAAGCCAGACCATTGGAGAGTTGGGAACCAAGATGGAATGGTTTTGGCCCCTTAAAGAATTGCTTTTACTGAACTGAGCATTTGGTGCTGTGCCACCAGCCCTCACTGAGGAATGCTTTAAGGAACAGCCCTGTGAGACTCCTTACTGCATTTATGGTAGGAATGTTGTCCAGGACATGGTTCAACACATCACAGTGTCCTTTTATGAGGATCCACAGGAGAAAGTTCCAGAGCTACTTTACCTAAGCTTCTGGTTCATTTTTTTATGGTTACTGTAAATTGTATCATGAATTTTGAAATTTTCCTCTTTGCACTGACTGCTTGGAAGCTCAGAGCTAGACCTTGTAGTTCATCTCTGATGAGGCACTTAGGATCTTATGGCATATATTTAGTATATTAGTTTTACCCCAACCTCAATTTATTTCTCTTGTTTTTAGTCTCTTTCCCTGCTTCCCTAATCTCCACCATCCCCATCCCAGTGTCTAGTTTCTTCTCTTATTTTTAATATCATTGACCGAATCTATGTATGCTGCTTCAGATTTTCTATGAAACAAGTAAACTAATTGAGTTAAGATCTATAAAACATAGAGCATAGTGCCTGACAAATATTAAGAAAGCAGGCTGGGTGCGGCGGCTCAAGCCTGTAATCCCAGCACTTTGGGAGGCTGAGGTGGGTGGATCACAAGGTTAGGAGTTTGAGACCAGCCTGGCCAACATGGTGAAACCCCATCTCTACTAAAAATACAAAAATTAGACAGGTGTAGTGGCGTCTGCCTGTAGTCCCAGCTACTCAGGAGGCCGAGGGAGGAGAATGTTGTGAACCCTGTAGGCAGAGCTTGCAGTGAGCCGAGATCGTGCCACTGTACTCTAGACTGGGGGACAGAGCGAGACTCTGTCTCAAAAAAAAAAAAGAAAGCAAAGAAAATGTCAACTACTATTTTAAGTAAACAAATAATACAAATTGTTTCTAATCTTTATTTTAGAGATGTTGCAAATATGGACCAGAGACTGCAGAAAGCTAGCCAGATCAAAGGCCAGCAGTTAAAGGCAGTAACTATAGTTAACTCCCAGTTGACCCAATAGAAGGAAGAGCCTTGACCCGAGTAACACCCAGCCACTGATTTTTTTTTAATCTTTTCTTTTTAACTTTGGGATGCATCATGGTGATAATAATGATGATAAATAATCAGATTTGCCTTGCTTATTAGAGTTGACTTGGTCTGCTATTTAAATGAGTTTCTAATTCCCTGCTCACACCAGACTGACAACCGAAACCTTCTGGGTGGCAAAGGGAATCAGCCTGCCTGGGATTAAGATTTTTCCATGGTTAATCTCCAAAGTGAGGAACCTACGTGTGAGTAATTGAGAGCTGACAGCATTTCGTTGGATCAGTTTTGCCTAGTCAGACAGGGAGAGGGCTAAGCCTTGGAAAGACAATAGGGTAAGACAAGAGGAAGTTGACAGAGTGTGACTTCTATCCATTTCTCAGCCTTGCTTGCACAACCTGCCCTAGCTCAGGTGAAGTTGGCCCTGCATTCTTTGTCTCTTATTTGCTCATTTCCAACAAACCTTTCATTTGGTCCAAGGGTAAAAAGAAAAAGAAAAAAGTCGCCATGACATCTCTGTTTTGTTCAACCCCACATTCACGGAGCATTTACTATATGTTAGGCACTGTTAGGTGCTCTGGATGTGTCAAGTCCCTGCGAGCTCCCTTTCCTGCGGAGGGCAGGTTCCAGTGGAGACACTCATCATTGCACGCACGGCCCAGGAAATGGGCATCTCCCTGGGCAAGTTCTCCTCATTTTCCTCCTTTCCTGCTTCCTCCTGCGTTTCTCAAGGGCTCTCTTCCTCTCACTCTTCTCTGTCATTCCCTCAAGGTCTTTCTAGCCCTTCTTAGTTTTCTCTCCTACCCTCTTTACCTTTCCCTCCTTTTTAAGATCCTTCTTTTCCTTTTACATTTTCAAGGGCTTTCTCTCTTTTTTTTTTCCTATTAAAATACATTTTTTGCCTAGCGCAGTGGCTCACGCCTTTAATCCCAGCACTTTGGGAAGCTGAGGAGGGCGGATCACTTGAGGACAGGAGTTTGAGACCAGTCTGGCCAACATGGTGAAATCTTGTCTCTATTAAAAATAATACAAATTAGCTAGGCATGGTGGTGGCGCCTGTAATCCCAGCTACTTGGGAGGCTGAGGCAGGAGAATCGCTTGAACCCAGGAGGAGGAGGTTGCAGTGAGCCGAGATTGCGCTACTGCACTCCAGACTGGGTGACAGAGTGAGACTCTGTCTCAAAAAAACAAAAATAATAAAAAATAAATTTCTGAGAAAGAAAATAGTTTCTTTTTTTTTCTATTTTTCTGTTTTTTTTAAACCTCTTTCCTAATTACTTACAAGGAAAAAAAAGAAGGCAGCCCTCCCTCTCAATCTCTCAGTTCTTTTGCTTAGAAGACAAAAGATCCTTCAGAATTAGAGAGGAAGAGGGGAAAAGAAAAAAAAAAAGATTCCAGTTAAAAATCTTAAAAATCTTCATCAGGGTCAAAAACCTGACAGAAAAGCTTTGTTTGAAGGGAATGTGAAGGGGGAGGAGGAGGGAACTGGCAACCGGCAACTCTCAACCTCAAAAGGCAAAATATCTTGAGAGTTGAAGGAAATCTGGAGATAGTGAACACTCCCATTGAAGTAGTGGAATAGCTTTGATTTCCTTTTTAGCCAGAGAGTCTTGTCCTTTTGAGGCTGGTGGAATATGCTGAGAGGAAGAATTGGGGGGGTGGGAAGCAGGAAACTGCCATTTTAATTTCACCCTGGGTCAGAATTGTCAGGAGTTAGGGTGACTGCAAAGAAGCCCTAGGCCTGAAGCCTCAGGCTCTGGTGTGCCGCACCACACCACAGGTCCCAGCCTAATACTTCCCAGAAAGGGAATGAAGCAGGGAGTAGGCAGAGTCAGGGGGCAGGGGAAGGGCTGTGGGAACTGATGTAGAGGGCTGGTGATGGTGAAGCTGGTGAAGCCCCGGGAGAGACCTGTGGGCAGGTAGGAGGCAGCTCATAGCATGGCCATGGAGCCAGGAGGCATCAGAGCGTGAGATGGTGCCAACCTGGGAATGCAGTGTGGCCTGTAGGGAAGCAAGGTTCTAATTGGTCAGCTGCTCTAGGACTTTGAGGAGAAAAGACTCAGAGATGTCCCTTGATTGGAGGAAGGGCGAAAGCAAAAAGTAGCATGGGGCATTATTGAAAGGGTGTCAAGAATGGGACTGCTAGAATGAGGAAGCAAACATAAAGCTGGACACCCAGACAAGGAGGAGCCCTGGAAAAAGAGGGGAAGGGTAAAGAGGGGGCCTCCTTCCCTGGAGGCCATCTGATGAGGGTCGATGGGCCAGTTTGAGAACCATTTGTGGCAAGCGTTTAAATCCCAGGCTGCTTTTTGCCCCAGTACCTGGTATCCAGCCATCGATTGATGTGCTACGAGAGAAGATGAACCAATTTTATTATTAGCCTGAACAAAACATAATTAGGAGGAGAAATTTGCTTCTGCTGTTGCAGTTGCTGCAGCAAAGAAGTTACATAAGGTTCATTCGGATGACTTGGGAACACCTTCCCTACTTCCCTATTCCTGTTCCCGTTTCTCTGGCTTGAACCAAGTAAATAGAGGTCCAGAGCCTCCACTCTGCCCTCTAGAAATTCCCAAGACAGAAATGTGCTCAAGGAGCAGATCTAAGACCCTCAGCCTATAGCGGACACGGAACAAGGGCACAAATCGAATAAGTCAGTGCATTGTCATGATGAACATGTGGACAAAGGCAAGAAAAGGGAGAAGGGACAAGAGAGAGGAGCAGACTGGAGGAGAAGGAATAAAGAGCTGAGGCATAGCTCTGCTCCTGTGATGTTAGAGGAAGGGAAGGTGGAAAAAAAAGGCATTGAATTATTCTCAGACAATTTCAGAAGGACCAGATGGATTCTGGAAGGAATTAACTCTGTTATGTCCTGTACTAGTATCATTACTACACTCTAAGATGGGCAAACGAAAGGATTTGGAGCATTTTGGCAGATACTCTTTGGGTGATTGAGAGGGGGAGGTAGGAGGGCATGGCTGTTGGGGTGACTATATGGGGGTCGCATTTGGGCTGAAAGTTAAGGCCACAGACACATCCCAGGCTGAGCTCCACACTGACCCCCTTAGACTGAGGCTTTCACTCAGGGCACTTAACTTGGGTGGAGGGAGGCAGGAGTGGAAACTCCAGGCCTAATTGCTAGGTCTCTCTCAGCTCTTCCAGGGAGCACGGGGCAGGAAATTCCTCAAATTCCAGGCTTGTAGGATCATTGCTGAGCTTAACCGCAGAGCAAGAGAAAGAGGCAGGAGAGGCAGAGAACTGCCTTCTCTCCATCTTTTTTTCCCTTGCAATTTTAAAGCTGCAGCAAATCAGAAGGGTTTGGAGGGGCTGATGGCTATGAGAGAGGCCCCAAGCATAACACCCCCGACCCCGGTAAAGAAAGTCCCAAGTCTGGGAATCCCAGAGAAATTAGTCCTGAATTGAGTAAGTTTGAAGTCAAAAATAGACTGCTGTGGCCCGGGATAAGCATTTTTCCCAGGGTGAATTTTTTTAGTTCTTCAGAATAGCCAGTGGAAAGGAAGTTGCTTTAGGAGCAAGAACTGTCTTGCTGAAATAAATGATGGCTGTGCAGGGAGCACATTGGAAGGGGTCTTGGGGTGGACAGAATTTCCTTTTGCTCTAAGGGTGAAACCAGTCAGGTCTCTCTCTTTCTGAGCTCTCCTCCCAGAGCACCTGGTCAGGATATCCCAGTCATCACCTCCGGGAAGATGATGTTCCCTGGATAGCCCATACATTTTCTCACCTCCATACCTAGCTAACACTGCTGCATCAGTCCCAATGACCCCACTTCCCATCCTTTACTCTCTGAGATCTGGATTTGCCTTCAAGATGCACCCCCCATGCCACTTTCTTAAGGTAGTCTTCTCAACTCCCCCCAAAGAATGAACTATTATTTTTGGGGGGCTTCCAAAGCAAATTGCTTTGAAATTCCAAAAGATCATACATTCTGTTTTAATCATAGTGGGTTGTTAAGCTCCTGCACTAGACTATAATGCTACTTGTGGATAGGGACTATGATTTGTTTATATCTGTAACTTCCGTCTCTTGCCTCTTTTCCCCAGCATAGAGCAGAATGACTGCCATACAGTAAATCAAAAAAAAAAAAAAAAAAAAAAGCCGTTGAGTGAATATCCCAGTTATTTGAGTGTGGATTATCCACTTGGTAGATCCCTATAATTAATGTTTAACTCAAAGTCTAGTTTCTCTTCCAGCTCAGCTCCTGGTACTATCACGTAATATGTGCTCAGAGAATGCAAACAGTTTTTAAATATTATCTTCAGTACGACATAATTAGGTGCTGCTAAAAATTCATTATCATGCTTTCCAAAGCCAAAAAGAAATAACTTTTGTATTATCCACTCCACTGCTCTTCCTCAGTGGTGTGGATAACTGAGACATAAACGTTTTCATCATAATTGATGATGGGACCACCTTACAGGGCCGCTGGATTTATTGGGTGCCAGGAGGAAGAAGCAGTGGCCCATATCTTCTGTAATTCTTTCTTCTCCAGTTGCTAAGCTCCTTGGATTTGCACAGAGCACTTAGAGTTGATGGTCCCACCCTCAGCAGCAACCTAAAAATGGCCAATGTGGGCTGGCATTGAGGAAGTATCTCGACCAAAACCTCAAAAATTCACAGTAAAAAATGCCGTATCCTAGGGCTCTTAATTTTTTTCTTGGTGGAATCATAAAATCCTTTTGGTTGTTCTTCAGACCTATTTGTCCCTCTTTTGTTATCAGAATTATTTTCTGGTGACCCGGAGAGATTCTTTCACTGCACTATATTGCAGATTCTCCACCAAAAAAGCAGAACTCAGCTGGCTGCATGATGCCAAAATGACTCCTTGCTTTGGCTAATTCAGTCAGCTGGTGAAAGTATCGTGGTATTATGGAAGGAGCCCTGTTTGAGGCATTACCCTCATCTTAGTTTCATTCCTGATTCTGCTACTAATAAGCTGTGTGACTTTGAACAGGTTGCTTAACCTCTCTGGGCTTTGGTAATCATAATCCCTAACATGTGGAAGTTGGGCTAGGTAAAAGCAGAGGCTCTTTTTAGCTATAACTCTATGTGTAAGTCTGTAATTGAGGTTAAGAAGAAATGTGCATATACATGACTTTTGACTGAATACTATTTACTTTCTATAACAGGTTACAGGATATATATAAAATTATGTTTTCAGTCTCCCTCCCTTTCCTGGGAAAGACTGAATAGGCCCTAGAGGTTCTGGGGGTGTGGCAGCTGTGGTGGGCTTTACAAAAGGGGTTTTTTTGGTTCCTTCTGTTCACTTGTAAGGTTTCAAAGAAAATTGTGCCTATACTTATCAGGATATATGTAAGCAACTGCAGAGAAATGCCATGTAACCTGAGGTGTTAAGTACTGAAGGGACAGGAAATAATACTGGGTGTGGTTATGGATAGTGCTAGTTTGGCCAGGCTTCCTTAAAGAGGTAAATCTGGAGCAGGGCTCAGCAGGAGGAGACATGGCATGGATTGTAAGGGGAGAAAGAAATCCACTCCAGGTGTGTGGGTGGGTGCGGTTGGGGTGGGGCTCGGTGGGTAGTTATTAAAGCTTTATGCACCTGGATTCCTAGTAGGCAGCTATTTTGGGTTCTGGAGAAGTGGGTCAACATAATGAAGTTTGGGAGGCTGCATTCTGATTTCTGGGCACATAAACCTGGGGAAGGCATGAAGCAAGGAGGATGCTGAAGGGCCATTATCATCCAAATGAGACCAGTGGGATGTAAAGGATAAGAGCATTATAAGTATCCCAAAAAAGAGAATCTCAGAATTATTTCTATTTGAGCATTTAACTTGTGCTAAACACCTACTATGTTCTGGGATGTCCGTTCTGGAAAGGACCTTAGAGGTAATCTGTTCTATGAATTATGAAACTGAAGATCAGAGAAGGGATGCAAACTGCCCAGTGCCACCCAGCGGATTCTGACAGAAGCAGAACTAGAAGCCCTGATTCCTTACTCCCACCCTACTGTTCTTCTTGCTACAGCTAAAAAACACCCATATTCTTTGACTTCACTTTCCCTATTGAATTTACATCTAGTGCCAAAGGGGCACCACTGGGAACACCCAGGACCCCTACTATAGATGTGCTTCCCACTATGGTTAAAAGTTAGGACTTGTCCCAGATCCTTTGCCAGCTGCTGAAATCCAGGCCCTGAGATTTAAACTCCCCAAACAGCCTCCAGAACAGATTGCATAATAACTTAATCGGAAGGGCGGGAGAGAGGGTCCAAGTGTTCAGGCAAGTACCACTCTGCCAGCTCCTCTCCACATCTGCATCTGTGGGCCTTCTGCTAAAGTGCCAGCGCCCTAGCCTGTTTCCAGCCTCTTCCTCCCACACACCTGCACACCCGCACACTCTTACCTGTGTATACTCAGTCTGGGTGCAAATGAAGAGAGACCTGGGGTTAGGTCCAGGAGCAACTAGAGTGACCACCCTGGGTGATGTGAGGGTCCACGGGTGTCTTCTGAAGTTCTTTTTGGAGGCCTATGTGGCCCCTGTTTTCTCCTCTCCACAGGTTTTGGCTGCAGCCATGAAGCAGGCCAAACAAATGCAAAGGTCATGGCCTGGAAGGTTATGCCTTTTTCTTCGGGCCTTGGAAAGGGCAAAAAGTGCAAGTTGTGTCCCTAGGCATCATTCCAGGCCCCATTTTCCTTTGGGAGTGGTGGGGAGTGGCAGGAGAGAGCTGGCCCCCAGTGGACTGGGCCATGCCTTATCATTCTTGTCTACAAAAAAACTCCCTCACCCTCTTATTGATGGTGAGGGCTCTGTAGTTTTAGACGGTCAATAGTATGTTTTCATTTCAGTTAGTTTCAATTCAGCAAGCATTTATTGAGTGCCAGGCACTGTTCAGTGCTGAGGAAACAGAGATGAATACAATATGGTTACTTGCCTTCCAGTTAAGTAAATTTTCACTTAAGAACAATAATACCAGTCTCAAATATAGCAAAGAGACAGACTACAAGGGAAAGTATTTTGGAGTGAGCATAAGAGGCATAATTACAGGAATCCCCACACCAGACAGGACCATCTATTCTCCATTCTCCGTTTAAAAGGCAGCTGGGTACCATGGAAAGAGCACAAGTAGGGGGACCGGGAGACTTGTGTGTCTTCTACCAGCCTTGCCATTAATATCCTGGGTGCACCGGGAAAATCATTTTACTGCTCTAACATTCAGTGTCCTAACTCTAAATTGAGACAGGATTAAATAATTTCTTAGATCTCTTCCAGCTTTAAGATGGAGTCAATCCAGGACGGCTTCCTGAAAGAAGTACAATTTCAGGAACTGTTTGGAAAGTGGAAAGAAAACGTTAAGTTATTGTGCTGCGAAAGGTGTCCTGTTGTCAAATATCTTGGTAAAATGGAGATAGGAATGTGTGGTAGTGGGAGGGGATGGAAGAGACACAGGGTTTTTATTGTTGTTGTTGTCGTTGTTTTCTTTTGACGAAGTCTCGCTCTGTCACCCAGGCTGGAGTGCAGTGGCATGATCTCGGCTAACCACAACCTCTGCCTCCCGGGTTCAAGTGATTCTCTTGCCTTAGCCTCTCAAGTAGCTGGGATTGTAGGTGCATGCCACTGCACCTGGCTAATTTTTTGTATTTTTGGTAGAGACGGGGTTTCACCATGTTGGCCAGGCTAGTCTCGAACTCCTGACCTCAGGTAATCCACCCACCTGGGCCTCCCAGAGTGCTAGGATTACAGGCGTGAGCCACTGCGCCCGGCCTGGTTTTGTTGTTGTTGTTGTATTTTTTTTTTTTTTTTTTTTTTTTTTGAGACAGAGTATTGCTCTGTCTCTCAGGCTGGAGTGGAGTGGTGCGATCTCTGCTCACTGCAACCTCCACCTCCTGGGTTCCAGCTATTTTCCTGCCTCGACCTCCCTAGTAGCTGGGACTATAGGTGTGTGCCACCACACTCGGCTAATTTTTGTATTTTTAGTAGAGACAGGGTTTCACCATGATGGCCAGGCTGGTCTCGAACTCCTGACTTCAGGTGATCCACCCACCTCCGCCTCCCAAAGTGCTCCAATTACAGGTGTGAGCCACTGCACCCGGCTGAGACACAGGGTTTTGAACAGGTATTGTTAACAGGTAGTGTAGGAAGTGGTAGACCCAGAGGATGAGGGTGGGAAGGCCCTTGGATCCAACTGTAGAATGCCATACCTGAAAACATAACGGTTTATAGAGGAGAACTTGAAACAGATCTGGCAAAGGGGATCGTGGTGTTTTCCCTGTGTCCCTTCCCCGACCCAGTTCCCCAGGGTCCACCCTGACCTCAGAATTGAAGCAGCTCAGCACCAGTGGCATTTTTAGAAGGAAGGGAGGGGTGCGGAAAAACCAAATTAAGTAACTCCTTGGAGGTGGGCACTTCTTGCCCTAAGCTGAGGAAACCAGACCAAAAAAAGAGATCCTCCCTTCCGATTTCTTCAGCCACCACTGTGAGCAGCCCAAGTGTGGCTGGCAGACATCCTGTCCCCGAGGGACCCATGGACACTCAAAGCCTGTTCCTTTGTAGCCGCCTCCTCTGTGTGGAGAAAGCATCTTCCATTTTCTTCTGACCCTGCAAACTGACCTGTCACTGGGTCTCACATTCTGGACTAATGCGTGGATTGAATGCAGGGGAGCGCTTTGGATGAGAAAAGTCAGATGGGTCCTCCTCAAGTTCCCCCCATTCTCTCTTCCCACCGGGAAAGGGAAAGAATGCATGCACAGATTTCTTTCAGGGTGGCGGAGACACCGAGTGGAGCAATGACAGGCCCTGTTAGGCCCAGGAATGAAGAGGAATGGAGTAAGAAAAGGGGAAAGAGAAAACTCGGGGAAACGACAGAGAAAGGGGAGCTGGGAATAAGCAGAGCAGAGGCCAGAGGTGAAGCAAAAGGGCAGGAGAAGCAAGGAACTGAAGACTCTGAGGAGGGACAAAGGCTAAGGGTGCCCCAGGGAGAAGGGCATCGGAGACAGGATCTGAGAAAGGAAACAAAGGAGAGAGATGGGGGTGGGGGACGGCCAAAAAATGGTCTAGAGAGGAAGGAAGAAGGAAAAGTCCAGAAGGAAAAACAGCCAGAGAAAGAAGAGAGAGAGGAGAGAAGATAAACAGAGCAAGACGAGGCCAGGCGGGAAGAGATGCAGCCAAGAGCAGCACCGAAGAGGAGAAGCAGAGGCCAGAGGGTGAGAAGATGGGAGAGGAAATGGGAGCAAAGGAGATGGAGAGGAGAGGGCAAGCAGAAGAGGCAGAACCCGGGGAGGGAGCCACAGAAGAGGCACGCATGGCTGGTTTAATGAGCCACTCTTCTTTCCCACTCCCCAGGAGAGGCTGCTGCTAATTATGCCTTCATCCTCCTGGGCAGGAGGAGGTCAGGATGTCTGAAGAAATGCCCTCCCCCAGCAGAAGGGCTGGGGGAGGTGGCGTGAAGGGAGGATGGGCTGGGGCAGGGGCAAGTAGGAGTGCTGAGCTGGCAGGACAGCAGATGGGACCCCTGCCCTGGTTCCTGCAGGCCTCTCTCCCTGCCAGTCCTGGTGGGGTGGTGGGAGGGGGCACACCTATTTGACTTGGCACTCTGGCACTGCCTTCCTCTTGACTAAGTCATAAGAAGGCCAAAGGCTGAGTGAGAAGCAGAGAAGGAGCTGCAGGCTGGGGTTTCTACTCCCCAGCACCTCCATGGGGCCTTTTTCTTTGCCCTGTATTTCTGTCTGGTACTGATGCTTTGCCCTCTGAATCTCAGAGGCACAGAAAGCACACCAGGGGTAGGTGGAATTCCAGCCTCTGGCCGGTGTGGCTTCTTCCCTCTTCCTGTCCTGCCAGGTAATGTATAGAAGCTAGGTCTAGTATATCTTCACTGTAGACTTGCTTATCTGGGCTCACTGACTGGACATCCTCTAGGCCCCGTGGAGGACCCACCACTGTTAACCTAATGAGAACATGCAGGAGATGGGGACAGCATACTTAGAGAAATACAAGGGAATGGGACGCTATGTGGAAAAGTGGAAACAACATGGTTTTGAAGGGAGACATACTTGGTTATCATCCCAGCTATATCACTTACTAGGTCTTGGGCAAATGTCCAAGCATCAGTTGCTTTATTAGCTAACCAAGTGCCAGATACCCTTAAAAGTGATATATTACTTTATGTGATCTTCCCAATGATCCTATGAGGTAGATATTTTATCATCCCCATTTTACAGAACAGGAATCGGAGTCACAGAGAAGTAACTTGTCCAGTCTCACAGCTAAGATGTGACAGAGCAGCTGGGATTGGAGTCAGACAGTCTGGCCTGGAGACTATGCTCCTAATCTCCATGCTCCAAAGCTGAATGAAAAAAAGCAAACTGTTTTTCCTCTGCTCTGCACCCCCCCACCCCCTACAACAGTCAACACAGAAGACTTCTGTGACCAAATGTGTGGGGTTTTCCCTGCACTTCCAGCAAGCAATCAGTCTTCCAGTAAGCAAGCAATCCTTTAGCAGACTTGGGCTGGGTGTCCTTCAATTCAACTCTGACACTATCTACCTGGAGATAGCATCAGATCCCCCAGGTTGAGGGCTCAGTCCCACAAGACTGTCCCCCACTTCCAATATCAATCGCAAGCCCCGCATTGTTTTACCTGCGCTTCTGACTGGCTGGCTACAAATTGGGGTTCCCAAGACCCCATCCTGAGGTTTTATTCCTTTTCTCTAGTGGCTCAAAGAGGTAGGAAACACATTTACTGGTTTTTCATAAAAGGATAGTAGAAAGGATATAGATAAAGAGAGGCACAGAGCAAGGCACGTGGGAAGGAATGTGGAGCTTCCATGCCTTCTCTGGGCGTGCTACCCTCCAGGAACCTCCCTGTGTTCAGCTACCTGGAAGATCTCGGAATCCTGTCCTTTTGGGGTTTATGAAGGCTTCATTACATAGGCATGATTAATGAAACCATTGGTCACTGGTGATCAACTTAACCTTCAGCCCCTCTTCCCTCCCTAGAGGTTGGGGTATGGAGCTGAAGGTTTCAACCCTCTAATCCTGCCTTGGTTTGTCTGGTGAACACCTCTCATACTGAAGCCACCAAGGGGCTGCCAGCCACCAGTCAATTCATTAGCATACAGAAAGACACTTATCGCTTGGGAGATTCCAAGGACTTTAGGAGTATATGCCAAGAGCCAGGACCAAATATGTATTTCACAATATCACAAAAGTCTTTCTCAGAAATGAGGATAATACACAGGTGTGTGGGGAAAATTAGATCAGCTGAAAGCACTTGGCGCATAGTAGGTCCTCAATATGTTTGTGTTGTCTCAGAGCAAAGCAGTAGATGTTAAATTGCCTTGTGAGTAGCATAGCCAGGAAGCTCCCAGCAACAAATTACTTCTTATTAGGGTGCTTGGAAAAGGATTGACCTTCAGGAAGAATTAATAGGATTTCAGTCTTAGGGATAGTGCAGGGGCAGCCCCAGGGAAGGAATGATAGAGACCACTTCAAAAAAGACCCACGCTCCCACCTCCCCATTATACTTCCCTGCAGGTTTTAATAATGCTATTTCTCATCACCTCCCTACACAACTCCTCCTCCGCTCTCCCACCCTACCATGTCCCTGAGGTAGGGTCTGCTCATTCCTGCCCCCAGGCTTGGAACATGCCACTGTCTCTGCCGGAATGCCGTCTCTCTCCACAACTAACCTTGACCTTCATCTTCTGCCAAAGCAGCTGCAGTGGTCTGCAGGAACTGAGACTTTATTAGCCTTGTCTGCCTGCGCAGGGGCTGTTGGGCACCTGGGTCCTCAGGGTGTACCTTTGCATGGTAATTTGCACTAGTTGGTCTGCCCTTGAATAAACCCTCCCTAATGTTGGGGAGTGTGTAGCTGTGTGATGTGTCCCATCCAGAATGGCTAGAGAAGGGTTAATGCAACTTAAATGAAATTTAGGGAGAATTTGGGTTGCTTCTTTCCTCTTTAGTTGTTCCCAAAGCTGGATGCAAATTCTGCTTTTAATTGTAGCAACTAGCTTTTGCAAGGATCTCTGGAGTATTCATTCCATTTGCGATGATATACCAGGCCTTTGCAAGGCATAGGGGCCATAGTTTCCACTGAGGCTGGAAAGCCCAGGAGGCATTTTCCTGGGATGCTTCCACATCTTAGGGATTTGCTCAGTTGTTATTTTTTCAATTATTTTTTCTATTTTTTTAACTTATGTAACTGAAAACTACATAGCACTTCTCAGTTTACTAGGGATTTCACAGTCTCTTTATTTAATTTTCACTACAGTCTTGTGAAGTAGGTATTATTATGTCCATTTCATAGGTGCACAAGCTAATAACTGAGAGGCTAATTCTCTTGCCCTGGGTCTTGGTAGAACCAGATAAAGTCAGGATGCAGAACTTGACCTTCTCCAGGTATTAGTGTACATTCCACTGCACAACACTGTCTGGTGAAAATTCCCCTACCTAGAGGGCTCATATCCCTTTAAGTTGAAATAAATGACCTTTATCTTTGTGGTCATCTGTTCAAACCTTTATTAAACACATAATTGCGTCTGGCTCAGTGTGGATGTAGTATAAAGAGATACGTATGGTCCAGCCCCTGCCTTTGGGGCCTGCAGTCTAAGCCAGAGGCATTGACATGGAAAAACCTGTACAGGGCATGTACAGCAGAATGAAAACAATAACCTATCGTGAATCAACAGCAAAGTATTTACAAGACTGTGCAAGGCAAGGGTAAGCGCATTCAGGCATAAGACAGAAGGAATAACTCTTGCCAAGGTGCCTGGGCAGATCTCCACAGTGCTAGACCACAGAGTGCATCTTCAATAGCTGCCCTAATTCTCTCTCCCTATTGCTGTAACAAAAACCTGTGTGTGTGTGTGTGTGTGTGTGTGTGTGCACGTGCGCGCGCATGCACACATGCATGCATGTGCATATATGCACGTATGTATAATGCACATAAAATATGTATAATTTTAAAATATTATTCTTCAGGCTGCCAATGTACAATTGGGTTGGTTAGAAGGTGAATAGTTATGGGAGTCTTATATTTAGATAATGATGGGGAAACTTTTAGCCCTCCTGTAGCAGTATAGTGAAATTTATTCTCCTCCGATGTACATCTAGTTTATCTCTTAACACTGAGCCTTTATGAGATGGAATGAGCACCTGTAATATAGGAGAGAGAGAGAGAGAAGCAAATAGCAACTCTGAAATCAGAGAGATACGAACTTTAATCCTAGACCTGCTAATGTTCAGACACAATTGTGACATTGCACAATTTATCTGAGCTTACTGAGTCTCAGTTGCCTCACATGCAATTGGGAAAATTATCTCTACCTTGCAGGGCTGTTCAGAGAATTAAGTGAGATAGTATAAGTAAAGCACTCTATAACCTGATGGCTTAATGTATTTTTGTTAAATTTTTAATTTTATATTTTTAGTAGGTAATGTACGTAGTACAAAATATAAAAACTACAAGAAAAATAGTGAAAATAACTCTCTCCCATCATTATCTTCTAGCTACCATTTCTCTTAACCTTAAGTATTTTGGTCCTTACAAAATCCCTGTGTATAAGGCAGGTCAGGGTTTTTGATTTTTATTTCTCAGGTATGGAAATTGAAGCCCAGAGAGATTAAATGGTTACCTGAAGTTACCCACATGAAAGTGGTGGGACTAGAACCCACATCTTCCTGTTAGTACCCCAGCTTGTTGTATTTCATGTTTCACACTAGAAGATGTGGTCAGAGATGGACCCCAGGCTGCTGAATTTTGTGACTTTGGGACCATAAACTCTTTTGAGAATCTTATGGAAGTTATGGATCCTTTCTTTCTCACCCTCACATACACATGCCATTCAGACTTGCATATATTTTAGATGGTTTCTCAAACACTAGAATTTCAAAAGTCTAAACCATCCCAATACCTTTATATCATCACCAGGGTTTTAGCTCTATAGGACTTCTCTGGAGAGCAGTGGAGTGTGCTCAGTGACCTGCAAACCGAACCTGCTCCCCAGGGAGCCCAAAGTTCTGGAGTCAGAAGATCTGGGTTCTACTCCAGGCCGTCGCATATCTTAGCTTTGTGACCTTGAGTGAGTCCTTCAATTTCTCTGACCTTAATTTTCTTTGTCTGTTAAATGGGGTTGGTATTCTCTGTCCCCAGGAGCTGTGAACTAACATTTATAAAGTCATTTTGCAAATTGTGAAATTACAAACAAATCTAATATATTATTTCTCCCTGCTAGGCCTGGAGCAGGTGAGAAAACCAGAAAGAAGTAGTCTCATACCTGGAATTTCATCCAGTAGCTGGAGTACCTGTCCTATGTGGTAGAGGCTGTCCAGCCATGCACCCCCTCTCTGGATTTGGTACCCAGAGTCAAGATCCCCAGGAGTAGGTGTGAGTGCTGACTCATGTTGCACTGAACATCCCATCATCAAATCCCAGCTCCATCTGCTCATCCTGGTCCAAAGTGGACGATAATCCCATTGTTAAGACATGTCTCATTAAGACTTCTCTAAGATGGAGCCAGCAAACAGCCCAGTAGCATCGAGGCTGCTGCCTGGGAAAGAGTCCCCTCCTCTCCCCTGTTCATTAATGATTATGGGAGGTTTTATTCCCCCCAACAAAAGTGTTAATTAGACATCATCGGAACAGGGATATTACACAAATGAATTAAACTCAAACCAATCAACAAGCTGGCTCTGTGCTTCAGGTCCCCCGAACGAAAAGGGAATTGAAGGCTGTAATGGGAAACAAACGGTAAGATGTCTTTCCTAATATCAAATAATAACTAGGAAGGCTGCCTTTGCTTCTAGAACTTGTCTTCTTATTCTTTTCTTTCTCCCCTCCACTAAACACACACACGCGCGTGCACACACACACATGCACACACACGCACTGCCATGAGGCTTGGAGAGTTAGGGTTCCATTCTTGTGACTGAAACTGAAACTGGCTGGGACTGCCCAGTGGTACTTCTCAGGTGCCCTCTAGGCTCAGGGGCCAAGTGGGATGGAAGGAGTCAGAAGAGCCCAGTTCCAGTCCCTCTCTGTCACTCACCACCTTCCTCATCAGAGAATAGTGTGTGTAATGCTCAGGAGTTCACAGGGATGCAGTAGGTACTCAATACTTACCTGCTGTGTCCAAATGGCTGGGCGACTTCTGGAAGCATTCTGTGCCCTGGCAGCAAATTCCTGAGGCTGATTGACCCCTGTGGGGAGAGTGGGAAGAACTGGAGGGAAAAGAGTTTTAGTCCTTGTATTTTGAGGGATCCCAGTTGCTTGGAGGGATAGATAAAGAAGATTGAAAAGTCTTCTAAAAATGGACAGATGAAGCCAGTGCAATGGCTCATACCTGTAATCCCAGCACTTTGGGAGGCAGAGGCAGGAGGAGCACTTGACCCCCAAAATTTGAGACTAGCCTGGGCAACAGGGTTAGAAACCATTTCTACAAAAGAAAAACAATTAGCCTGGTGTGGTGGTGCATACCCTTGGCCCCAGCTACTTGAGAGGCCAAGGTGGAAGGATTGCTTGAGCCTAGGTGGCTGAGCCTGCGGCTGTGATCACACAACTGCACTCCAGCCTGGGCAACAGAGCCAGATCCTATAAATGAGAAAAAGAAAAGAAAAGAAAAACAAACAAACAAACACACTTGCAAATGAGAACAAGATAGGACAAAATTAAGTATTAAGAATTTAATGTATGATGGGAACTGGGGACTGGTGTCCATGGGGGAAACTAGATCAGGGTTGAGAAGTCAGGGGCAGGGATTCTCATGGCTTCCACAGGGCTGGGAGATGGCTGGAGAGGATAAGGAGGAGCTGGGCCTGTCTGGCTGAAGCAGGAAGTTCAGGCTTGGGAGCAGGGAGATGAGGTTGGGGTAATGAGAGGCTGGCTGTGTGTTGACTCCCTGAAGGCAGGGCTGACTTTCCTCTAGCGTCTCAATCTCAGGAACATAGTAGGTGCTTGAATGCCTGTATGAAGTTGGCTTCTGTGCAAATAAATGGGCTGTAAGGGAACTTGTCTCTGGAATTAGTAGGAGTCAGAAGGCAACTGAAGGCAGAATTTAAAAACTATTTTTCTTGGGAACAGGATGCAGAGGGTGGAAGTGTGGAAAAGGAAGTCCATTCAAAGGTCTCCCTGCAGGTCTGAGAAGAGATGAGCTCTGGATATCCCTTCCTTTAACTCCAGGTGTGTCCCAGGCGTAAGAACCGCCCCCCACCTCCCACCTTTCACTGCTTGTCCCCAGCCTCCTTATAAATCATTCCCAGCCTGTGATGGGGAATCCCCACTTTCTTTTTCTTTTTTCTTTTTCTTTTTGAGATGGAGTCTTGTTCTGTTGCCCAGGATGGAGTGCAATGGCACAATCTCGGCTCACTGCAACCTCCACTTCCCGCGTTCAAGCAATTCTCCTGTCTCAGCCTCCCGAGTAGCTGAGACCACAGGCATGTGCCACCACAACTGGCTAATTTTTGTATTTTTAGTAGAGACGCGGTTTCACCATGTTGGCCAGGCAGGTCTCGAACTCCTGACCTCAAGTGATCTGCCCGCCTCAGCCTCCCAAAGTGCTGGGATTACAGGCCTGAGCCACTGCGCCCGGCCGGGATCCTCACTTTCTTCTTTTTGAGACGGAGTTTCGCTGTTGTCACCCAGGCTGGAGTGCAATGGCGCGATCTTGCTGCAACCTCTGCCTCCCAGGTTCAAGCGATTCTCCTGCCTCAGCCTCCCCAGTAGCTGGGATCACAGGCGCCCACCACCATGCCCAGCTAATTTTTGTATTTTTGGTAAAGACGGGGTTTCACCATGTTGACCAGGCTGGTCTCAGACTCCTGACCTCAGGTGATCCACTCGCCTCGGCCTCCCAAAGCTCTGGGATTACAGGCGTGAGCCACCGTGCTAGGCCCCGACTCACATTTGAGAGTACCCCCACCACTATCCCCATGCCTCACCTTTAAAGGAAACATCGGGGCTTTCCATGAGTGGCCGCCTTCCCTTTCGAGGAGCACCTTGCAGTTCTGGGCTGGATGGTGACTTTTTGGCATCAGTGCTCCACAGTGCCTTCTCTTCCTTGCTTTGCAGCTCATTTTATTGCTCCTCATGCTCCCACTGCCCCAATCAGGTTGTTTGATCCTTGTCTCAAAGCCTACTGCTGCAGAGAGTCCTCTTTCTTGTTTCGCCCTTGACTACATATCATGGAGCTAACATTTCAAAGATAGAAAATGAAGTTTTCGGCCGGGCATGGTGACTCACATCTGTAATCCCAGCACTTTGGGAGGCCAAGGCAGGTGGATCACCTGAGATCAGGAGTTAAGACCAGCCTGGCCAACATGGTGAAACCCCGTCTGTACTAAAAATACAAAAATTAGCCAGGCATGGTGGCACGTGCCTGTAATCCCAGCTACTGGGGGGCTGAGGCAGGAGAATTGCTTGAACCTGGGAGGCAGAGGTTGCAGTGAGCGGAGATTCTGCCACTGCACTCCAGCCTGGGCAACAAAATGAACTCCATCGGAAAAAAAAAAAGAAGGCTGGGCGCGGTGGCTCACGCCTGTAATCCCAGCACTTTGGGAGGCCGAGGCGGGCGGATCACGAGGTCAGGAAATCGAGACCATCTGGACTAACACGGTGTAACCCCGTCTCTAGTAAAAATACAAAAAATTAGCTGGGCTTGGTGGCGGGCGCCTGTAATCCCAGCTACTCAGGAGGCTGAGGGAGAATGGCGTGAATCCAGGAGGCGGAGCTTGCAGTGAGCCGAGATAGCGCCAATGCAGTCAGGCCTGGGAGAAAGAGCTAGACTCCGTCTCAAAAAAAAAAAAAAAAAGAAAAAAAGAAAATGAAATTTTTCTTTATCCTTCTCCTCTTTGATTTTAGATGCCTCAGTTTCCCATAGATTCCCCTTTCCCAATTTTCATTCCATTTTATATCCAAGTACTTGGCATTCTTTATATCTCTGAAACCCAAGCTTCAATAGGATTCTGAGCATGACCAAAATGGAAGGGTGTTGTTTTCTAGTCTCTGTTATCCAGTTACCTGGACCTTTTACTTTGTAATGTGACTTAGTGAAAGTGTGTATTAGGAGTCAGATGTGGGTTCAAGTTCAGAATCTCCTCTCGCCAGCTGTGAGACCTTAAGAAAGATATGAAACTGAGATTCAGCTTCCTAGGGCTGAGTTTTTTGTGGCTGAAGAAGTTAAATGAATATAAAAGTGATTTTTGAATTGTAAGCTGTTCATAAAACATAAGGGATTGTTATTTCTTGCTAATTCCATCTTAGCGCAGTTACTTAGGCAATAGGGGTTGAGGGACGGGAGACCCTGGTGATCCACAACTTCGGTAGCTAGGGTAGACATATTTTTGGATAATGTGGGGCCGTCTAGTTATTACTGAAAAATCACACGTTTATTTCTCATGCTACCAGATATAAATGTGTACTTTTTTTATTGAAGAAATTGAGGCAAGCTAGAAAAAAAATTTTTAAATTCTCTCTATATTTTCTATTTAACAAACATCTTTACTGAACTGGTTGTGTGTGTGTTCATGTGTGTATATGTGTGTGTATTTATTTTTGCCATTGTTCTGTTTTTCTTACCTCCTTTTCTTCCACCTCTTTGGGTATGTATTTTATCTTGGAATCTGGGAATTGAAGCAGGAACTGGTAGGAGCCATTCCCTTTGCCCCCTGGCTAGGTAGCTATTCAGGCTCCCTCTCTGCCTCTTTTAAGAGATCAATTACTTACCATCCGTCAGTTTCTTTTATCTTTTGGAAGGAAACCTGTTTAGAACAGCCCCCTTGGGACTAGGGCCCCAGGCAGCGAGTGTAGTAGAGAAGTGAGGTCCAGATGCTGTATGCTGATGTAAAGTTGCGACTGCCCTCATGGAGCCTGACAGCAAGGACTGCAGAGTTTTTTCCCCATCTCTGGCATCTTTCCTCCATCAGCAGAGGGTCCAGGGTATCAGGATAATGACAAGACCTTGCCCTGAACAGTAGAAGGGTAAATACAAAGAAAGGAGAGAAATCAAGGGGGAGACAATTCATATATAATGAGCACCTATTCTGCACAAGACACTGCTAGATATTCTACTTACTGTTGACCTATTTATTTTAATTCTCATGGAGCCCTGTTAAATAAGAATTACTCACCCTATGTTCTGGATGAGGTGTTAAGGCTCAGAGAAGTGAAGGTGGAGCTGGGATTCAAACCCAGGCCTGTCTGACCCCAAATCCTAGTATTTTTTTTACCAGTCCATGATCTGTCGGGGCTTTAAAGAACCACTTTGATGGAGACAGGCCATGCCCCTGCTATGTGGAGACCATGTGGTTAATAACAGTGATTGGATGTTTGGGTGATTTTAGCCACAGTCTATGTCCTAGTAGCAGTAGTGTCAATAATTTGGGAGGAACATACCTTTGCCCCTTAGAAAGGCATTTTACTACCCCAAAGTCCCAGAAACCTACAGAGCCCTACAGAACTACACAGAGCCAGGGGGAACTGGTATTTCCAGGGGTGGATTTATGCATTGACAGAGTTTACCATCATCCTTCAATTCTCAACAAATGCAGAGAACCAGAGTGTGGACAGATACTTTTCCTAAACCAACAGTCAAAACCCAGGGATACTGGGGATTACTAAAAGTGTTGTAGTTTGTTTGTGTTTTGATATAGAAGGGACCTTGGGCCTTGACATTACAATGCAAGTAGACTACGGTGCAAATGGCGCCCCCTGGAGCACAGAATTAGAATACAGAATTTCCATTTATTTATTCATTTATTCATTTCTTTATTTATTACTGTTCCAGACTTATTTTCTGGTTGTAACTTATTCAGATAAATACTGCAACGAACTTGTAGCACCAATTGGACAGATCAGCTGGAGGTGCTGGGCAGTGATAGACAGTTTAGGTGGCTTAGGGAGCTAAACTAACGTGGAGAATATGCAGCTTTTTTGCAGACTGAGTAATAAGGGGACATGCATGATGCTTAGGTAACAGAAAGCAGTCCACTATGTAACCTGTATTTACAAATGCGGAAAGGACATGGAGAATGAGAGCAATTCGAGAGGGCTTCTAGACCTTTCCAGGTTTTGGCAGGACCTTCAAGGAGAGCGGCAAGGTTCACGGAGGAGGATGGTGTAAGTTCTCTCAAAGCAGTCACAACCCGGGAAAGAGAGGCGCTTGATGGAGGAGATAAACATCCATGGACCGCGATGCTTGGTGCAGTCTCGGTCAGCTCACTGGGTCTGATGTCCTCCAGTCTACAGTGAAGGGCTTGGGCTGGATTATACCTGAGGCCTCCTGATGCTTATGGTTTTCATCTTTTCTGGCCTGAAGTAGGGGATAGAGAGGGCAGTTTGGGGTGGACAGCAAGCTGTCTGGAGAAGAAAGACTGGGAGAGCAGATGAATGAGGGCCGTTAGACAGGAGTGAGGACGGCCGATAGCTGGGCTGTGGGCTTTAATCAGCCAGAGGAGCCTTGGCGGGCAGGTCTGGAGTGAACCACCCGGAGTCTTGGACTTCGATGGAGCCTGAGATGGGACAGTCTCAGCTGGGCCCTTCAGGGCCTCCCGTGTCTCCTTTGGTTCTCCTATGTTAAAGAAATCCCAGAGGCTGCTGTGGGCCCATGGGTGTCATGCAGCAGCGAGTCCAGATTTGGAGTCCTGGACACCTGGGTTCTAGTCCCACTGCTGCCACGACTAGCACTGGACCTTGGCCTAGTTGCTTCATCCCTCTGGGCTTGTTGAAAGGGGTCAATCGGCCGGGCGCCGTGGCTCACGCCCATAATCCCAGCACTTTGGGAGGCTGAGGCTGGTGGATCACAAGGTCAGGACTTCAAGATCAGCCTGGCCAATATGGTGAAATCCTGTCTCTACTAAAAATACAAAAATTAGCTGGGCGTGGTGGCACATGCCTGTAGTCCCAGCTGCTCGGGAGGCTGACGCAGGAGAATCACTTGAACCTGCGAGGCAGAGGTTGCAGTAAGCTGAGATTGCGCCACTGCACTCCAGCCTGGCGACAAAGCAAGACTCTGGCAAAAAAAAAAAAAAAAAAAAAAAGGAAGGGGTCAATCACACCTACTTCTCAGGGGTCGTGAGCATTAAGTGAATCAATGTCTATAAAATGGTTAGCAGCATGCCTGGCTTATATACGTGTTCAATAAATGACCATTATTTTAATTATTATTAGCTATCAAGTCCCATCTCTCCTTCCAAACCCTGATTGTAGCTCCCTCCTCCAGCAAGCATCCTCTGATTAAGCTCACAGGTCTCCAGTTGCTCGTACACACTGCACCCAGGCTCTTGCAGCCTCACTTTGGGGTTTCCAGGTAGCAGTTGGCTTGTTGTCCTGAGTGTCCTAGGAACATGGTCTTTAGAGTGGGGACCTGTCTCCTTTCCTCCCCAGATTCCTTACTGCCCATTGCAGATTTTGGCCCTCAGGGCACTGGGCTGAGCCCAGGGTGCCTGGCTGATGGACTTCCTGCGACTCATAACTATTTCCTCACCAGGAAACACCCCCAGGCCCAGTGTCAGCTAGACTCGGGGCAGGACCAGCCTGCCAGCGGCTCAATGGCTCTAGCTAAGTTAGGGTCTGGCTCTGTGCCCACGACCTTCCTGGGGAGCTCGTCTCAGGCCTGCCACCCATCTGCCTGGCTGATGAGGGAGGAAGGCCAGCTATTTCTTCCTGCTGGAGGAATAGAGGTCCGTGTGGTGACTCCATCCGTTCTCCTCATGTGTGAGCTGAGTCCTGTGCATTCATCCGTTTAGTTCTCAATTCAGCAAATGTTTATTGAGTCTTCCACTCTGTGCCCCGCACTGCTCTGGTCCCTGGGGACCTGGTAGGGGTCACTGTAATGAGGCTTTGCTCTCACAGCTGCAGGGGGTCAGTCAGTGGTGGTGGGAGGGGGCAGAGGACAATAGCAAGTAAACAAGAACATATGGACTGTGAATGAGTGTTATGATGTTAAAGATGAAGCAGAGTGGCATGAAAAAATCTGGTGTCTTCCAGTCCTTTTACAGGTGGCTCTTCCTCTTTTTTTTTTTTTTTTTTTTTTTTGGAGGCAGGGTCTCTTTATGTTGTCTGGGCTGGTCTTAAACTCCTGGCCTCAAGTGATTCTTGCCTTGGCCCCCCCAAAACACTGAGATTACAGACGTGATCTACTGTGTCTAGCCATTCTCTTCCTCTTTTAAGGAATGCTTCCTAGTGTGTGGTAGGAGTGATTATTCTTAGCCCTGGGAGATCTCACAAACTGACGACTGAACAAAAATAGGGTTCCAAAGGGTCTGAGGAGACGTGAAAAATTCTGTGTCATGTCAAAGAAACAGTAGACTTGCCCACTAGGGGCTTTGTTTTGTTCACGGCTGTAACTTCAGAATCCAGAAGAGTGGTACGTAGTAGGTCTTCAATAAACATTGATTGGCTCCAGAGGGCTAAACGAGGATGAATGGATGTGAACGATACAGAAAGGCAGAGTTCCACAGACTATAAAGAACAGCTTTTTAATAGCTGTAGCTGTCAGCAGATAGAGAGGGCTGCTTCATGAGGCAGTAAGCCCTGCAGCCCGAGAGGGTTCAGGAAGAGCCAGGCTGACCACATGCTGGGCACGCTGGACCGGAGACTTCTGATTGAGAGGAAGGTTGGACAAGGTGACCGCCATTATCCTTTCCAACACTGAGGCTCTGCCATTTCAGCACCACCCCTTCCCAGGCCCAGCCTGCCTATGATTTTGCATCATAAATGCCTGGACTTTGCTGACAATGCCTATGTCTTGCTTGCCATAGAATTGTCCACGAAGAGGAGCCCTGACTGCTCAGCAGTAAAAGGGAAAATCACTTGGAAATGTACTTCCCTTTACTGACCCTGCAGCTCTGTCCTCATTTTATTTTTCTGTATCAAATTGCCAACAGTAAAATTGCTGGATGCATGGCATGTGCTGTTTGCTTCCTTTATGGCCCCTCATTCCCACCATTTGGCCAGTAGAGAAAACAATTAGTGGTATTGGCTCGAGTCTCAAGCTGGAGGACACAAAAGCAGCAAAGGCTGAGCGGGATGTGAGAGCTGGGCAAGCTGGGGTGACCAGAGCCGGGATGCGCCTGCACTCACATTACCGTATGTCTAGAACCTCCCACCCCACACTTACTCATCAAGCCAGCTTTTTCCCCAATCATGCCAATTGTTCCTGAACCTACTGTCCTGCAGGGACCTCTTTGCTTGAGCTCAGTTCTTTCCTTTTCCTCCCCACTCCTTCATGTCTCCTATCAGGCCTGTGATGTAAATACAGTCTGGTCATGTATTGATTGTCTATTTCTAGGTCTTCTTTCCAAATGGCCTAGATGTTGCTACCTGTGTTGGTGTGTTGGTCTCAGAGGGAGGTCCCAGAAGGGAGAGAGCTTGTCTGTCTTGTTCTTTATAGGGAACTGCTCTTGCCACCTCTGGGCGTTGTTGTTATGTTTTTCAGTTTGTTTTGATGTGTTTGGTTTTTTGTTTTTTGGCAACCATGCCATCTCCTTGTGGGCTGTTGATCTACTCATAAAGCAGAGCTCTGAGGAGAGGAGAGAGTTGATGCACAAGGGGTTCTCCAGTGGAAAGCATGAGACTGGGCCTCCCTTGCGTATTTTTCCTTTGCACAAATTGTTGCTTTCCTTCATTATTGCTCATGTCTAGGGGCATAACATAATCCTCAGTTTGTTCATTCATTCATTCACTCATGCATTCACTCACTTGTTTGTTCAATTAACCACAGTTATTGAGACCCTTATGTAAGACCATTCCTGGGCTTGACCTCCAGGATGTAGATATAAGTAAGAACCAGCCTCTGACCATACATCTAACTGGGGAAAGAGACATGTGGGCTGAGAAATGCCATAAAGCATAGCAAGCAAGTCCCATAATAGAGGTCAGAGACATGGAAAAGAAAAAAACTGTGACTTTAGAGTCAGACAGACCAGGGTTGAAATTCTGACCCCAGGTTTTATTGTTTTTATACCTACTCCAGCAAAGGTTTGATGGAATGATAACATCTATCTTCCAAGATTGTTGTGAGGGAGAATTAAATTAGATAATGCATAGTCAGCACTCTATAAATATGGATTCTTCCTCTCCATTGTCTAGGAGAATACAAAAGGAGTTACTCACTTTGCCTAGGCAAGTTAGGAGGGCTTCACAGTGGAGGTGGTTTTTGAGCTTGATTTTATAACACAGAGCAGTTTTCAGGTGAAAATGGAGGGGAAAAACATTTCAGAAAATGGGAACAGGCATTTCCTTAATATCAACCCTAGTAATGAAAAGGCTGGTCTATTCAGAGGAGGAGGGCTGGAGCGTGTGCTAAGATGGTGGTTGGTGGGGGGCTGAAGATAAGATGGAAAAGAAGTTGGGAACCTGGTTATGAAGGGCCTTGGGTGACCAGCTAAGGATTTTGAACTTTATTATCAACAACAAGGAAATAATGGAGGTTTGTAAGCAGTAAGTGATGTGAATCAATCTTGTGTTTTAGGATAACTCTAGGGGTAGGGGGAGCTGGGCATGTGTGGAAGTAGGAATGGAACAGAGGAGAGAGAGCAGGTAGATGTGCATCCAGGAGAAACTACAACCAGTCAAGCAACAAATGTTTATTGAGCAGCTATTATGTGCCAGGCACTCCACTGAGCATTTGGAATACAAAGATGAATTGAATAGGATCCCTGGGATAGACAGATAAATAGGGAACACAATAAACTGTGGTAAGTTGTGCTAGAGGGGAGAACAGGTCCTGTAGAGGCCTTGGGGAGGGTCAGCTAATAAAAGATGCTGTGGACAGGCCACTCATTTATCCGCATAGGTGTGCATACATCTCACAACTCCCGTGTGCCACTCACAGACAACTTCGTAAGGTGGTCCTGGTCTTGAAGTTATCCAGGAGAGAAAGATAGGTTTGAACCAAGGGAGAGACAATTCAGGAGGGGAATCATTTAATTCAAAAAGTATTCTGGAGTTGGAATTGACAATAGATTTGAGATAAGGATTAAGGGAGAGGAAGGGATCCAGGCTCATAACAGTCCCTCTGAAGGTGCTGAGGCTTGAGTGTCTAAGGAGAAAGGAAAACCAGCAGAGCAGCTAATGGGAATGACCAGAAACCTGAGGGACCCCTGCCCTCTGAGCCTCACTTCTCCTTATCTTAGAACCTAACCCAGAGGGAATCACTTCTCTCCACCCTCGCTTGGGCTTTCCCACCTCTCTCTTGAGATTCCTATCTCAGTCCTCTCCCAAAAGAACCAGGTTCAAATCTCAGCTCCCTTACCTACTGTGTGCGTGATGGTGAACAAGTCTCCCCTCTGGTTTGTGCGGTGGGAGAATGGGGGTGCTTGGTACTCTAAAACCCTAGGCTGATGCTAGGACATTAACTTTCATCATTGCAGGCAGCAGGTTGACTTGGATGGAGTGGAAGGGCATGGATTTGGTGAGCTAGAGATGGCGAGGAGGGTTAGGCAGTTGGTCTGGTTCAGAGATTTCTTTCTGGGGAAGGAGGTGAGAGGAACAAATTGGACCTCAGAAGTTCAAGGGCCTTCACAGGAACTCAGAGAACTTGCTACATTGCCTGAGCACTTCTGGAGCTCAGAGAACTTGTTCAGAGAACACTGTTACATTGCCCGAGCACTTCCAGAGCTCTCGATGTCACAGGAGGCTTGGAGGGAGGGACAAGAGAGGAAGAGAGCTCCTCCAACACCAGAATGGAGGTGGGCCCAGGGCCATGAGTAGCTGCGTCGTGTGGGTCTTCTCCAGGGTGTGTGTGTGTGTGTGTGTGTGTGTGTGTGTGTGTGTGTGACTCAGACCTGGTAACTAAATAAGGTTTCCAGGTGAACGTGCAGGTAAGGGGGGCCCGGCCTAGATGCTCCCGGCACCAGTTGAGAGTGACCTTTGTGCCCTCCTATTGCTTCAGTTTTCACTGGGAGGCAGCTAAGATATTTGGAAGAATCTTTAACATGAGCCCAAAAGTATTTGCTTCTTTGGTTATGCTATTACCTCATTCTCTGTTACCTGAGCCTCAGTTTCCACATGCGTAATATGGGATACCAGTCCCTCCCTTGCAGAGCTATTATGAGATGAGGTGAGATTATGGAAGCAGAGCTCCACACTGCTGTAACACTAGCTAGTGTTTACAGAAGCCAGGCACTGGTCTATGTACTTTACAGATGCATGTTGCCTCATTAAAACCTTCACAACAACCTGAGGTAGGTACGACTATTCCCCAGTTTTGCAGATGAGAAAATGGATGCAGATTGGCTGTTCTCTGGCCTGTGCTCTTAACCACCTGCTGCACCCTCTGTGATGTTATTACTATGCCTTATAAATTAGCTTTGCCGGCTGGGCACGGTGGCTCACTCCTGTAATCCAAGCACTTTGGGAGGCCAAGGTGGGAGGATCATGAGGTCAGGAGATCGAGACCATCCTGGCTAACACGGTGAAACCCCGTCTCTACTAAAAAAAAAAAAAAAAAAATACAAAAAAATTAGCCGGGCGTGGTGGCAGGCACCTGTAGTCCCAGCTACTGGGGAGGCTGAGGCAGGAGAATGGTGTGAACCTGGGAGACGGAGCTTGCAGTGAGCGGAGATTGCACCACTGCACTCCAGCCTGGGCAACAGAGCGAGACTCCATCTCAAAAAAAAAAAAAAAAAGATTAGCTTTGCCCTTCATCATGAGGGTGGGGGCACTCCAACACCTACTGCGAGGAAGCAGTGCTGGAGAGAGGGAGAAGCTGCTTGCAGAGTGGACTGTGAGATCCACACTGGGAGAGGCTACAGATGGGAAAAGAGAGTGGATGGAAAGCTCCTGAAAACTGAAAATGGTGACATAGGCATGGGATATTTTTGCCCCAGCCAGCACCTCATTCCCCCCTTATGGAAAGAGTGGCGTAAGAATCCTGACCCCACCCCTCCTCCATTCCTGCTCAGATGTGCTCAGCCCTCTCTTGGCCCGGCTGCACGCCTCCCTTCCCCCAACCTGTGGCCTCCACCCCAGGCGGGATCAGATATGGTCTTTGTCTTTCTGCCTGGCTGCTCCCTTTCAGGGGATAAAGGCCTCTGTGTCTGGGAACACTGATAGTTCAGGGGAGTTTGAGGGACAGCTTGGGAAGTCTGACAGGACTCCCTAAATAAACGCCTTTCCTCTCCACCCAGTGGCCATATCTCCCCATTACCTTCCCCTAGGCTGGGTACCCCATTACCATGAGTTCTAGGGGCTGTGGAGAAGGCCTCTGCTTTCTTGGGCCCCTGCTTAGGGGGAAAGAGGAAAACAGAAGAAAATGTGCCTTCCTGGGGCACAATGAGACACTGGGGGTGGGGGTGCGGCAGTGGTGGGCTGTGCCATGGCAGGGAGCCGTGAACAGCAGCATCTCTGTGAGAGATGCTTTGACGCCACAAAGGACCCCATGTTTAACCCTATTTTTCCAGCTTCACCCTGCAAATTACTAGCTTTGTGACATTAGGCAAATTACTTAATTTCTCTTAGCCTCCACATTTCCATCTGTAAAATGGGGTTAATAATAGGTATCTTAATGGTAGATGTTGAGGATTCAGTGAGGCAATCCACATAAAAGAACAAGCTCGGTGTTTTGGACATTCATTCATTCTTTTAGATGTGAACTGGATGCCAACCGCATACCAGGGACTGTGCTGCATGCCAGGTCTGCAAAAGTGAGCAGCTGGACATGGCCCCTGCCTTTGTGAAAAAAAGCAATCTCTGCAAGGCATGGTGGGTGCCAGATGTAAGAAGCATTACATAAAAGGCAGCTGTAAAAAAGTGGCAGAAGGAGGTGAGCCCCCTTCTGTCTGCCTCCAGAGCCAGGTCAGGCTTAATGCAAGGTCCTGCATCTGGGAGGGGACAGTCATCTGTACTGACTGGGAGGTCCATGCCCAGAGAGAGCTTCCATCCTCTCTGGACACTCACTTTAATGAGAAGCGGACAAACTGGACTTCCCTAATGGAGGACAGTGGTGAAGCTTCCAAAAATTATAACAGATTTATTTATTTATTCAATGTTTTTAAAGTATTAGGCATTTTTTGTTTGTTTGCTTGTTTGTTTGTTTGTTTTGAGACAGTCTTGCTCTGTCACCCAGGCTGGAGTGCAGTGGCACGAACTCGGCTTACTGCAACCTTTGTCTCCCGGATTCAAGCGATTCTCATACCTCAGCCTCCTGAGTAAATAGGATTACAGGCATGCGCCACCATGCCCAGCTAATTTTCGCATTTTTAGTAGAGATGGGGTTTAGCCATGTTGGCCAGGCTGGTCTCGAACTCCTGGCCTCAAGTGATCCGCTCATCCCAAAGTGCCAGGCCCTTTTTCCAAGTGCTGAGGATACAGCAATTAACACAAAGAAAAAAGAAAATCTCTACCCTCATGGACCTTATATGGCTTCTGTCAGAGAGAGGGACAATAAGCTAATTAATAGGTAAAATATTAGTTAGTTGGATATTGATAAAATGGAAAATAATTAAGCAAGGGAAGGGGAATCCGGAGTCTGGTGGGGCAGTGGTCCAATTTTAAGTAGTGCAGTGAGTAAAGAACTTACTCAGAAGGTGATAACAAGAAAAGATGTGAAGGAGTTCAGGGAGTAGGCACATTAAGGGGAAGAAGCATTCCAGGCAGAGGGAACAGCAGAGGCAGAGGTCCTGAGGGGAAAATGCACCTGGTGTGTTTGAGGAAAAGCCAGTGTGGATGGAGGGAGGTGAGCAGGGGAACTGGTGATAGAAGTGAGGAGTGTGCCTGCACATGTGCACAAATCATGAGGGGCTACAACACTGCCATACCTTCCCCTAGGCTGGGTACCCCATTACCATGAGTTCTAGGGGCTGTGGGAACGCCCAGAATCCACAGGTTAGGTAAGGGCACAGTCCCCAACAAGGACTGCCCTCGTTTCAGATGTCAGCTTCAAATTTGGGAGTCCCCAGGCCACCTGGACTTCTGACCAAGTAACTACAAATTCAGTGGTTCCCACAACCCCTTTGGGATCAATAATTTGACAGAATGACTCTCAGGACTCAGGAAAGTGCTATACTATTACAGTTTTATTACACAGGATATAAATCTGGATGAACCAAATGAAGAGACACACAGGACCAGCTGTGAGAGGGTCCCAAGCATGGAGCTTCCGTGCCCTCTCCCTGTGGAATCAAGACGTTTCACCCACCCTGCACATCAATGTGTGTACCAACCAGGAGGTTCCATGACTCTAGGAGTCCAGAGTTTTTATTGTAGTTTTATTATCAAATCATTTTGGCATGTGATTGAATTCAGTCTCCAACCTCCCTCTCCTCTCTGGAAGCTGGTGTCATGTGGCTCAGTGCCCTAACCTTCTAATCACGTGGTTGATCTTTCCAGCATCCTCAGCCCCAATCCAGAGTCACCTCATTAGCATAAACCCCAGTGTGCAATGAATAACAAAGACATTCTTATCACTTGGGAAGTTCCACGAGTTTAAAACTTCTGTCCCAGGAATGTGGACCAAGGCCAGAAAAATTCTTCCTTATTGGACCAGAGCCTTGAAGGAATCACAGGACTTAGGCTTTTACTTTGAATGAAATGGGAAGTCACTGGTAGATTTTGAGCACAGGAGTGACATGGTATAATTCATGTTTTAACAGAATTGCTTTGGGTACTGTGTCAAGAATAGATGGTGTGAAGGAAGGGCAGGAGCAGAGAGACCCATTAAGCAGCTACTGCAGTAATCCAGGCACAAGATGATAGCTTGGGCACCATTGGCATGCCTAGAGTCCACAAAAAGTGGTCCATTTCTGGGATTATTGGGAAATGAGAACCAGCAGGACTTCCTTATGGATTGGACGAAGGGTGAGAGGGAAAGATCAGTCAAAGATGACATTGAGGCTTTGTCTTACGGACCTGGAGGAATGAAGCTGGCTTTGACTGAGAAGACCAAGTTTGGGGGTGGAAGATCGGGAGCTCAGTTTTGGACACATTAAGTATGAGAGGCCAATGAGACAGCCAAGTGGGGGTGTCCAGTAAGAAGTTTGAGCGATGCCACTGCAGCTGGAGGGAAAGGTCTGAGCTGGGATAGAACATCAAGTTAGAGATGATGTTTAAAGCTGTGCAACTGGTTGAATTTAACAAGGGAGCGAACCAAGAGGGAGGGGAGGGCCAGTCAGGACCCTTCAACAAGAAGAGGAGGAGGAGGTTGTGGAGCAGGCAAGAGAGGAGGAGGAAACCCAAAAGACTGTGGGGTCCTGCAAGACCAGGTGGGGAAGGTCTTTGAGGAGGGAGGGATCATCTGTAACAAGTGTGCTGATCCATTAAGCAAGATGAGGACGAAGATGAGGGCCAGTGTTGGATTTAGCAACTTGTAGGTCATTGGTAACTCAGCACTAAAAGTTCTGGTGTGAGTTCATGAGTGAATGGGAGGAGAAGGATTGTGTGTACTACTATGCTTCAGTGCTTTTGCTATAAAGGAGAGCAGAGCATGGAGGGGGTTGCTGGGCACAGGGTCAACAGAGAGGTTTTAAGAGAGGAGAGAATGCAGCCCCTTTGTATGCAGATGCCTGTGGAAACAACAGGTTAAGAAACTAGGGATGTTTGGTCATGAGAAGAGGAGACTCCAGGGATATGTCATAACTCTCCTCACGTGCTTAAAGGAGTGTCATATGGAAGAGAATTAGATTCATTTTATGTGACTCCATAGAGAAGAACTAGGACCAATGGCTACAAGCTACAAAGAGGAGGATTGTAGCACAGCCTAAATAAGAATTTTGTGCATCCATGTATTTGCTCATTCAGGAAGTCAGTATTGAATGCCTGCTGCATGTCTGACACTGGCCTAGGCACCAGGGGTCGTCATGATGAAGATTCAGCCCTTTCTGGCTAATGGAAGAGAGCAACACAGACAAACAATGATTGTGCCATGTGGAAAGTGCTGACAAGGCCCCTGTGTCTGACTGGGGTGGGGAATGGGGGTTCAGGGGAAGGTCAGGCTGGGTGGAGAAGTCATCATTGTTGGCTGAGGATATTCCACCTTCTGATAACCGAGAGCCTATTTGGCCTAAATAAATGAGACTTAAAAAGGCACTTGAACCTCAGTTATCAGGTCCATTTTCTGGATGGCTAGGCCATGTAGATGCAGCCTTCATAAAAATGATACCTGATATATGGGCGGTGCTTTATCATTTACAGAGAACTTCTAATCCTCCCCACAGCCTGCCAGGATCATTCTGTTGTCCCTGTTTTCTAGTTGGGTTAACCAAGGCTCAGAGCAGTGAGCCTTGCCTAAGGTCACTTCATTATTATAAAGATGGAGCTGGGGCCAGAACCCGGTTCATGAGTCCCTGGTCCAATGAACACACCCTCCCAGAGCTGTGAAATGCTGACTATAATTTGCCGTCTCCCTTCTCTGACCCATGCACAAAAGTACTTTGGGGCCAGGATTTGGGTCTCAGCTGAAACATTTCCTAACCTCATGCCCCTTCTCCTGATTTCTTGAAGCTTTCCCCAGTCTGGTTTCTGCAAAAGAATCTGCTCTGATGAAGCCAGAAACTTTTCCACCCTCTGCCTGGGGCTTTCTCCCCTGCTCTTTCTCTCTGGTTCCAACCTTTCTCTTTTGCCTGATCTTACATCACATTCTCTTACTTTAAGAAGATCTCTGGACCTCATCGTGGTCTAAAATTGTTAGAGTCTTCATACTTTCTAGGCCAGCAGTCCCTGGGTTCCTCTGATGTTGGTGAGACCTATTGCGTCCAAAAAATTAGGGGAGTTGGATATCTAAACACTGTAAATAAGAAGGATGGAAGGAAGAAGGATAGGGCAAGAATAATAGTGATTATTAAAACTTACATCAGGCTTACTACCTATGAAGAATTATTTATGTTATCTCCATTTTACAATTGAGGAAACTGAGGCACAGAGCACTAAAGCAGGTTGCTCCAGGTTGAGTAGCAGAGCTGGTTACCAAGTGGCCATGCTTAGCTGCTGTGCTCCACTGCTTCCCTTAAGAAGGAAAGGAGGAGAGAAACAAGACTAGGAAAGGCGTTTTTTCAGCATGATTGTTTTGAGCCAGCAGTGTGCTGAAGCTGTGGGGGAAGAAATAGATCTAGTCCTTGCCCACAGTGAACTCACAGCTACAGAATTACAGAACATCAAAGTTGGAAGAGACCGTGGAGATGTCATCCAAATTGGGACACAGGGAGGTGAAGTGAAACACCTACGAAGGAAAAGGGAACGCATACTTTTGCACACATACAAAAATAGCATAAAACATACAAGTCAGCGGTTCAAGGCAGGCCATTAACAACTGAAGTTGAGCACCTGTTACAGTAAATACATGTCTGGATGCTGCAGCAGGAGTGAAGTAAAGTCCTTGCCCTCCAGCTGAGGGGAAATTGCGAGAGTAGGAAATAGGATGACATTGACCGAGAGAGTGTAAAGTATTTAAAGTGTTTGAACAATAACAAGCAGTCCAATTTGGTAGGAGTTGAGCTCACTTCTGAGAGAGAATTGAAAGGTAAGGTGGAGATGCTAAGGGAGGTAGTACAAACTGAGCTCAGAGAGTCCAGAGAAGCAGTCAGGTGGGGCTTATCGGGAAAGGCTTTCTGGAAGAGGGAGCATTTGGGTTGCACTAAAGAAGAAAAACTTGCATTTGCAAGTGTGGAGACAGAACGAATAAGGTATTTGTAGAAGGTGGTGTGGGAAGTAGAAAATGAGGCAATTAACTTTTGGATTCAGTTCAATTCTGCAAATGTAAGTTGAGTGTTTACTAGGAGCCAGACATCCTTGGTCAGTATAAAAATGAATTTAAAAAGTAGTGCCTATCTTCAAGGAGCTTATAGTTCAGAGCTTCACAGAGTTAGAGGATGCACAAGTACTATGGGAATTCAGGCAGGGCCCTTGGCTCAGACTGAGGGTTTAAGGGAGGTTCTGGGGCCCTAAGCTGGAACTGTGTCTTGATGGATGGAGAGGAGTGAGTCAAGTGACGGGAGCACAGGAGCATCCTGAGGGGGTGCACCCGCACTGAGAGGATGGTTTGGCGTGTGCACACGCCTCTGAGAGTCTGGGATTTCTAGAAGGTAAAGTGCACGTTGACCAGGGTCTAACCGAATTTGAACTTCATCTGAAGTCAATGGAGAGCCATTGAAAGGTTTTTCATAGGGCAATGTTATCATTAGATTTGTGTTTCAGAAAGATCATTCTGGCAACTTTGTTGGGAATGGACTTAAGAGAAGCAGGCTGGTGACAGGGGAAGCAATTAGGAAGTTATTGCAGTAGTCCAGGGGAGTGAGGATAAAGACCTTAAGCAAAGCGACAGGGTGGAGAGGAAGGGATAGAATCCAGACCTATTTAGGAGGGATATTTAGTGGTGCCTGCTATGAGGTAGGAGAAGAAAGTCTGGGATGAGCCCCAGGTTTAAATGAGGGTAGGGAGGTAGTGGGGTCGGTGAGCAGAAAGACTACAGAAATGCAGCTGAAAAGACCCGTATTACAGCAACCATGGACCCTCAGTGAATTGGGGAGGGTCATCAGAGCCAGAATCCACAAGTTTTGTGGACTGAGCTGGTCTTCAAGTGATGGTGAGCAATTCCTGGAAATCCCTGGATGAGGACCAAGGACTTGGCAGTTTTTCAGGTTTAAAGTAAAAAATCAGTGTCTGGAAGTGGAGACTGGAGGAGAGAGGTGTGTGTGTGTGCACATGCCTGTGAGATGTGGTTAGAGATTATCTACAACATTTGGCGAGGAATTTCTGGGTTCCAGGGACTACAGCACTTCTGAAGTCCCAGGTGGCAGTACTGCCTCACCCCGACAGCCTCCTAGCGTGAACATAGACTCAATCCAATTCTCCCCATCCCAGAGTTCTGCAGGGGGTTAAGGAAATTTCCTTGACTCCTTGATTTAATCCAATCCTCTTATTTCACAGATGAAATACCTGAGGCCCAGAGAGGTGAAGTGAATTCCCCAAGGTCACACAGCTGGTCAACAGTAAAGCCAGAATTGTAACTCTGGTCTCTGTGGACTTATAATGAGGTGCTATTTTCACTCCCCCCTTTCCTCCCATTCACTATAAACATCCCTCGAACATTAAACATTGGAAATTTCCTTGACCCCTTGCAGAACTGTGGGATGGGGGAATTAGAATGTGCCCATTAAAGCCAGAAGCCACTTGTTTAAGGGACCACTGAGCACTGCAGTACAATGTGTTCAGTGTTCCAGGGACCTTAACCATGAATGGGAACTGGGGAGGAAAATGGGGAGTGGAGATGGCACCTGATTAGAAGTCCAGAGAGACCACAGAGTTATCCTTCTGGCTTTACTACTGACCAGCTGTGTGACCTCAGGAGATTCACTTCATCTCTCTGGGCCTCAGGTATTTCATCTGTGAAATAAGAGAATTGGATTAAATTATCTCATGTAGATTTCTTCCAGGTCTCAAATTCCATTATTCTGAAAAATGCAGTCAGATATTTGCTCTAAGATTAGTCTATTTGATCCGTCCCGGTCTCACTATCTACACTTTACCAAAATCCTACTTTTTCTGGATTCTTGAAAACTTAAGAGCAGGAAGTTCTTCTTCATGTCTACCTTCGGTTTCTCCTGCTTCAGCATAAACCTTACTGGGGAGAAAAGACATCTGTCCACTGTTGCTCAGAACGAAGTTCCCCTCCTCATACTTCAGTGCTGGCTGCATTGAATCAACTGTTCTGATGGTGGACGTGGTGCATGGAGGCCGAGAAGCACATGGGCAGCCCAGTGTAGTTGCAAGGTTTGCTCACACTCAGTGCATACTCGGTGCCTTCCCCTGTCCCCTTGCCTTTGTGCCTGTGCTTATGCTGTTCCCTGGAAGATCTTCCTTTCCTTCCTGTGGTCTTTCCTGAAGCAAGGGCAGATACAAGAACCCTGACTCCCAGATCCTACTTCTAGTTCTATCATCTATAATGACAGATGATCAGTTATTCTTATTAGTGGTTCATGGTCACACAATGAACACCTATAGACGACAGAAGTGGCATTATTGAAATAATAACAGTGGCTAATATTTTAAAATACTTGCTACATATATATTTCATTTAGTCAACACTACCAGTAACCAGCATGTAGCCGCATCAACATCAACACTAGAGTAACTCACTATATTTAACTTCTTGTTTCCTCCTTTTTGTAGAGACATAGTGAATGGATACCTGCTCTCTTCTCCCTTCCACTCTCTTCCTTCTTCCAATTTAATTCCCCTCTCTTGCTTACTCTTTTCCTGGGAAAAATGCAAGAGTAATTTTTCTAAAATCTTCTCTTCAGTGGGTCCCCATCATCTACAAGATGAAGTTCATACTCCTTGGAATGACCTTGGATGGCCACCAGGCCACTTGCCATTGACTTCTGCCTCCCCATCACCACACCCTTCTTCTCCAGGATTCCTGTAAATGCCTTCACCTCCTCTTTGGTTACCCAAACTGAAAATGACCTCCCTTCCTCTCAGCTTCCACCTTCTCCTAATCATTAAATCCTGTTGATTCTACCCCTTCATTTATTTCATACCTATTCCATTTCTCTTTATCCACTGTCTTAGTTTTATATCCTTATAATTTTTCTCCAGGAGCAGTACAGCAGCTCCCTGCTGTACCTACCCTCCCTCTAACTACTGGCAGAGTGTTCTGCCTTATCACTTCTCTTAACTACTCTGATAAAATCCAAACTCCTGATCCAGCATATAAAACTCTACATGATCTGGCCCCAACCTACCTCCCTTACCCCATCTCTCTTCCCTCTCTTCTCTTGAACTCTAGTTAATCAGAACCAGTTGCATATGCAGCAGTCCACAAACATACATGGCCCCTGAGCCCTTGCTAACATTTATCTCCTGCCTGGAGGAACTGTCCCGCTCCCAGCCAACCCACCCAACATTCCCCTTACCTGCTTGGTGAACACCTATTATATTTCAAATCTTAGTCTAAGTGATATCTCCTCTATGAAGACTACCTGACCACCAAGCTTCCTTACTTTTATCATTGTACCTTGTATTAGTCCATTTTGTGTTGCTATAAAGGAATACTGGAGGCTGGATAATTTATAAAGAAAAGAGATTTATACAGGGCGCGGTGGCTCACGCCTGTAATCCCAGCACTTTGGGAGGCCAAGGCAGGTGGATCACGACGTCAGGAGATCGAGACCATCCTGGCTAACACACTGAAACCCCATCTCTACTAAAAATACAAAAAAAAAAAAAATAGCCGGGCGTGGTGGCGGGTGCCTGTAGTCCCAGCAACTCCAGAGGATAAGGCAGGAGAATGGCATGAACCCGGGAGGCTGAGCTTGCAGTGAGCCGAGATAGCGCCACTGCACTCCAGCCTGGGCGACAGAGCAAGATTCCATTTCAAAAAAAAAGAGAGAGAGATTTATTTGGCTCACGGTTCTGCAGGCACCAATATCCACTCAGCTTCTGGTGAGGCCTCAGGAAGCTTTTACTCATGGCAGAAGGCAGAGAGGGGAGCTGGTGTGTCACATGGCGAGAGAGGGAGCAAGAGAGAGAGGAGGAGGTGCCAGCTCCTTTAAACAACCAGCTCATGTGTGAACTAACAGAGAGAGAACTCACTCATTACCCTGGGGAGGGCACCAAATCATTCATGGAGATCTGCCCCCATTACCCAAACACCTCCCACTAGGCCTACCTCCAACAATGGGGATCACATTTCCACACAAGATTTGGAGGGGACAAACTTCCAAACCATATCACACCTATAACTGCATGTTGTGTTTATGTGTGTAAGTCTGTACTCACCTCTACGTTCCTTGAGAGCAGGAGGCATGTGGGATTCTACTTCCTGTCTCCATCCCCCAGTACAGCACCTGACACACAGTAGGGTGCAGGTGCATTAAATATTGAGTGGGTAAATGAATGAATGACATTCAAGATTTGGCACAATCTGGTCAGAGTCTAGCTGTCCTATCTTTCATAAACAATAAAAATGCAGCATCTTAAGGTTGCCATGCACAAGTAGCTTGCAAGTGTATTTAAGGGGATTATCACTTTTAATCCTTACAACCCTGCCCTTCCACAAATACCCAGTGACTCAGCCACACCAGACTCTTCCCCAGACACACCACAGGCTTCTCTGCTCATGTCCTTTCTGTTCTTTGTGCCCAGAATCCCTTTACTCCCACATTTCCTGGTTTGAGGCTTAATTTTGCCCTTTACAGAGACCCTTTTCAGATTCACCCTCTCCTCTTTTCCCATTGTTGGAATTGATCATTTTCCTCCTAAACACCAGAGCTGATGATTGACCTGAGCCTCATATTTAGCTGAAGCTATTTCATGTAAATTCCTCAAGGACAAGGCTATTCCTTATTAATCCCTTATTCTATGGGACTGAGCATAAACTCTGGCACATAGTAGGTCCCCAATGCTTGTTTGCTAGTTAGAATAGAATGGAATTGAGCTGAATTGATTGTTTAGGTTTCAGAGTTCTTCCAGTTTTTGCTGGAACCACAGGACAGAAGGAATCAAGAAAGTGGTGGGGATGGGCCGTGTGCAGTGGCTCACACCTGTAATCCCAGCACTTTGGGAAGCTGAGGCGGGTGGATCACGAGGTCAGGAGTTCCAGACCAGCCTGACCAACTTGGTGAAACTTCATCTCTACTAAAAATAAAAAAATTAGCCAGGTGTGTGGTGGTGTGTGCCTGTAATCCTAGCTACTCAGGAGGCTGAGGCAGGAGAATTGCTTGAAGCTGGGAGGCGGGGTTTGCAGTGAGCTGAGATCGTGTCACTGCATTCCAGTCTCGGTGACAGAGCAAGACTCCATCTCAAAAAAAAAAAAAAAAAAAAAAAAAGAGAAGAAAAAGAAAGTGGTGGGGATGGGTTGAGACTGAGGGTGGGTGAGGGCAGGACCAAAGGGGAGGCTGCTTAACCATGATGGGATCTCTTTCATAGAAGTTATATAAACAAAATTTCTTGCCAACAAGTTGCCTGTGGATATTTATGGAACCATCATCATTACTATTATTTAATTTTTTATTATCCCAAACAGCATGCTGAGCTTTGAGTAAAGTGCTGATGGCCAACCTATGCCTGTACCAGGAACTTGTAAGGACATTTTCTCAAAATGGTTCTCCAAGCCCTGTCCCTGTCCTCAAATAACTCACACCATCTTGAGATTTGGAAGGCATCTTCCATGTCTTCTGTCCAACCATTCACTTTACAGATGGGGAAACAGGGCCTACAGCTGTGTGCCTCACCCACGGTCTCCCTGGCAGTAAGTGGCAGAGCTGGAGTTCAGATCCAGTTCTGATTTCCAGCTGATACGTTTTGTTGCTCGCTCTACTAAAACCTGCCTCTACCAAATTGTCATTAGAATTCCTCATATTCTATCTCCCTCAATTCTGTTCAATTCAACAAATATTTATTTTATCAAGTACCTACTCCTGCAGAGAGACCTGTGCTGGGGGATGTTGAGACAATAGAGCGACAGGGAAGATGGAAGTTCCTGATCTTGACAAGTTTACTACCTACACTGTGGGTGGAGGTGGGAGGTGACTGGGCGGTGCATTTTTATTGAGCACGGCACCAAGCATCTTCAGACTCATTTCTTTGGGCTTTCTTGCTTCTTCCTTTTTTGGGCCATCCACCATCAATCACCATTTTACCATGGATGAAACTGGGACTTAGTGAGGCTGCACTGGCACCTGATTGACACTAAGCACCTGCACTTGGGACTCTGCTGCCTGCCTTCCCCCTGAATGAATGAGAACAAAGAAGCCTGGGGTTGCCTAGCTTATTCTTGGCCCACCTGAAGAAGGTGGGAGCATGGAAAGAGATTAAACCAAGGAAGGGGAGGCGGCCTCCCCAGAGCTCCTAGAGCCTGACTTTCGCTGTCATGATTAACAGCTGTTTGCATCTTGCCAGCTCCACTTTCTTTGGTCCCTCTGGCCCCCTCCACTCCCTTCTGGTAGAAACACGGGTTAAGTCCTTTACTTTTGCAGCTCTCACCAAGCAGGGGATTTGAGAGAGATCAGCTGGCAGGTGTGGGGGACTCGAATATGGGATATCTTTGTTAAGAAACAGGTGAATTATGTATCAGTAGCCTCAGTTTCCCCAACCTCATGGGCAAGAGTGGCGGCCCCACTTCCTGTGCCCTGGCCGATGTCCAAGTGCCATGTCAGGAATGCCAACATGTCATGAATTTGTGTGCCTTGCAAATGCTTTATTGGCATCTCGTGGTGTTGAAAGTCATGTAATTATGAGCAGAATTTATATGTCGCCAGGGCTGCCTAGGCGCCCTCCCTGCGTCTCCTTCCGGGCACTGCAAATATTGAAGGCTGGCTTAGAAAAGAATCAAACCTACCCACCTTGATATCTATGCACCCTGTAGATAAGGTTTTAATTGAAAATCGGTTCATCTGTTCCCCATGCCTAATTACAAGGTGCCTGCACTGCCAATGGAGCATAAGGACAGGAGTCCAGCACCCTCCAGGAAGGCCTGGGGTTGTGGTCCCACATGGGGACAGCAGTAACTTTGGCAGCTTTACCTCTTCCGCATCTACCACCTGAGGACTTCTGGTTTCTTACCCATGAGCAGGCACTGGTGTTTGCAGGGAGGACACTCCCTCAGCCCCATCCCCCTCCCTCTCTGGCTGGTGCTTCTGCAGTGAGGACAGGATGCAGCTCACTGCCTGCTTCCTCCCTTCTGCCCTGCCAGGGATACACTCCTCGCCCCCCCTCATCCTGCCCTCTCCTTTCCTTTCAGCCCAAATGGGCAAAACCAGTCTCTGTTTGTCAACACCATTCCCTTTCACCTCTGGGCTTGCCTGGAGGCCACTCGCCCTCTTCCAGGGCGCTCTTTCCCCATCCTGCTTTGTACCCTCCTCTCCCGAGAAGCCCCTGCAGTGGTGATGACAGATCTTCTGCCCTTGTGTCTGTCTCCCAAGGACTTGCCTTTCGCGTCAGGCTGGAGCATCCACCACCATCTGCAATTCCTCCTCACAGGGCAGGGCAAGGTTCTGCACCTGGGGAGTGATCAGCAGGGGTCTAGGGGTGAGGGAGCAGGCCAAAGAGCCCCCAAAGGCTGATGCTCATGACCAGGAGAGGCAGGGGTCAGGTTGGCTGTCTTGCCTGGTTGGGGCTTAGGAAAAAGAGGAGCACCCAGCACCTGCCCCAGGTGTGTGCCTATGGCCTTCACCCTCAACCACCTCTCCCTTGGCCCTGGTCACGTGTCACTGCTGTCACATTTGGCTCCAACAATAATTCCCCTGCTTGGAGAGCAGGAGGAAGAAATTCATTTTCCAGCTCCAGCCGGGCGGCTGTGAAATATGATTTCTAAAGTGTTAATAATGCATCACGTTTAGATAGCACTTTACATCTTCCAGAGCAGCTGGCTGGGCGGGGGTGCTGGCAGCCTGGGCTTGGAGCTATGGGGCTCACTCCTGGGTTTCATTTCTGAACTTCTCATGTGGAACATGTGCCTACTCCTTGGTGCCTTAGTTTCTCCTTCTAAAACAGGGAAGGAGTCATTCAGTCTTTGCCTTCTGCCAGGATATGGAGGTGCCATATCCCAGCATCTTTGCCACTCCCATCTCCTTCTTCCAAACCTTCATTTATCTTTTTTTCATCTTCTCCTAGGAGGACCCCAGCATTCCTTCCTTCGTTCATTCATCAAACCCTAATGAAGTGCCTGTTGTGTGCCAGGACCTGAGGTGCAGAGATGTTACTGCCTTTGGGGGCTCTCAGGAGTAGATGGGATAGAGGTGTGAGTCCCTGCCCCCAGCACTGTGGCCTAACACGAAGAGAGCTGAGGGTTGACACCTCCACTCAGCTTTATTTGGGGTTTGGGGACACGTGGGATGGTCTCTGCAGGATGCCAGAGCTTCCAGGAAATCCCAGCCAGCTCTTTCTGTTATCCCAGAAAGGAAGCCCTGCCTTGTCTTTGGTGGTCTGCTCAGAGCCACTAACCCTTTAGGGCCCTTGACTTCCTAAGACCTGGAATCTTTCTCAGTCCTCTCTCCTGTGCCTTCATTTGTGTGCAAGATAAGTACTCCTGTCTTTTAATTTGTCTCCAGGGCTTTTCACAGACATAGAATATTCCTCTCTATTCATGCCACTGAGCTCTTTCCCACCGTCACCTAAAGGCTTGGGAACTGTTTCTCCATTAGTCAGTTCATATCCATAGCCACTGCTTCCAGGAAGGCCTCCTAGGATGATCTGAGGAAAAGAAAAGATGTGTAATATTTTTTTGGGGTCGCCCCAGGTTTCCCGATTGCTCCCACTCAAAAGGCAGTTGCTCTTGAAATGCCAGAGTACCCAGGTACTCCACTCTTTGCAGCAGTTGGTCCCCTGAAAAGTATATGGAAATTCTGCTTTTGTAGGTAAAATAATATTAATTTCCAAGAGACCTGGATTTCTAGTTTCTAGCAGTCCCGGTTCTGCCACCAACTGTCTGCAGTGTCTTTGGACCTCAGTGTCCTTATCTGGAAAACGAGGCCATTGAAAAGGTAGTACCTAGGGGCTTTCTCTAACCTTCTTTGATGACACTGCTACTTCAAACAAATCCTTGGTGAATTATTAGGTAAAGAGAAGAAGCCCTTTGATAAGCATGTAATTGCCTTCCAGTTGATTGATTTCACTGGGTGAGTTGGGGGCTTGCGATTTTCTGGAGGGGAAGCTTGGCTGTGCTCAGTAATGTCCTCATAGATTGCTTGTATCTTCAGCTGCGTCTGTGGCCTGCGGGTCTGGTCCAGAGTGGAAGCTCCCAGAGGGCCAGGCCTCGGGTTCTGTAATTCTGTTGGCACTTTGTCCTGCACCACCACTGACTCAAAGCTTTGTGGTGCCTGGGATGAGGAAGACACTTCCTTCCTGCCCTCAGCCCCTCTGACTCCTCTAACTTCCTAGGAAGACAATTCCTCACCAAGTTTTCCCAACAGGTTGCGCTGCTGCTGCTGTTCAGCTGACACCATAGCTGACGAGTTATTAAAAATCCTTCATTATTATTCTGTGCTGTCTCTCCCTCCTCCCTCCCTGCCCTGCCCCAGGCTTCCAAGGCCCATGGCTGTCACTGAGAAATGCCTGGAGGCCCCTAGCCAAGAGCTGAGGCAAGCTTTTCCACCCCCTCCCTCAAAGTGACCCCCATGGATGTTGGCAGCCAGCCAGAAGCAATGGGTCTCACCCAGGGTTAGGAATTCTGACACCTAGGTTTCTGATCCTGCTTTCTGCAGGTCTCGGGGAGCTAGTGCAGGTACTTTGCAGCTCAAAGGTCTTTATAGCAAGAAATAGTTGGAAGCCAGAGAGGGATTTTCAGTCCCTCGGGGATCTTGGTTAGGGAGACATCTCTTAGGTATGCACATTGCAGACGACATCTGGGACCCGATGCTTCATCCCCTGGGGAGAGAGTGACAGGCCAACTCCATCATCCCATTCCTGAGCTGGGGGTCCAAACCCAGCTCATCCATCACCCATCCTGATAATCAGATTTGGCTGCGGCAAGAACAGAACATAATACTGAGCTCCTCTCCCAGACGCCGCAGCCGACATGTCCTGAGAGATGTGGAGGGCCTTGCTCTTTGGAGATGCAGAGAGGGAGTGGCAGGACCCGGAGGGAGAGATCCCTGCTCCTGAGTTGTGGGGCAGATAGGAAGTGTCTACAGAGCAGTTCCACACCCTACACAGCACCCTTCCCACTGCATGTTTCCCATGGGCACCCAATAGAGCACTCCTGCACCCTGTGTCTGGGCAAGGGATCCCAGGGTCAGCGCTGTGGGTGGGAAGATGTTTTGGTTCTGCCTTCCAAACTGGAGTCCTTTCACTTACTCCCTGTCAGATTTCTCTCTGCAGGAACGTGCCTCTTCAGATCTAACTCATTCTATTGTTGTCTAAAGCATCAAGTCCCTTTTTCCGGAGCCTCACAGCCTTGGCCCAGCCCTCAAACCCACGTTCAGCCCCAGTTTCTAGCACCCAGCCTCTGGGACAAGAATAGGACTGTAGGGGAGAACGCTCTGGGTGTCTGGGTTAGAGACAAGGGTAAGCATCCACAATTAGCTTGAGAATTCAGGGGCCAACATGTCCACCCTGGCTTGGCCTCCAGGTTGAGTTGACACTTTTGTTTGTCTCTACCTTTGTTTGCCTAGATGAATTCTAACTGAGGGCCCTCATCTCTCCAGAGGTGGGGGCAGAAAAAAACTGGGATTAGAGTTAGGCGAAATGAGATTGGGGTTAGGAAAGTGGCCTTTAGGATTAGGGTAGGGAATACTCACCTGGGGTGTGGGATTTACTAGTGCTCAGTATGAGCATCAGGGTAGGCAGGGGTGGGGGCTCAGGCTTGAAGCAGCGATTACTGTTAAGGATAGAGGTAAAGTTTGGCTTATTATGTTCTTATTTATTCAATAAGCACCTATTGATCACTTATGCTGTACCTGGCTCTGAGGGGACTTGAGATGCTGTGCCTCTTCAAGAGCTCATGTTCTAGTTAGGATTTGGGGTTAGAGTGATTGCTAGGATTAGGTATGGATTGGAATTAGTGTTGAGGTGGACATTGGGTTCGGGGTTACTGTTTGGGGTTAGGGTTGAAGTGGGAATACGTTTAGATTATATGTAAACATACAGGTTGGTGTGAGGTTTCTGTGAAAGTTCCTTCCTCCAAGTCTCTGCTCCTTAATTCTCTCCTCCTACTGCTTACCCAACCTTGTCTGTGCTGTCTAAGGCTTCCTGGACTTACTGGAATCCGTTTAATGACAGCGACCATCTGCCACCCCTGCTGGTGATCAGCCCCTTCCCCTTTCCTCTCTGCTCCTCCTTCGCCTTTCCCAGCAGGGAGTCTGCATCCTGCATTCCTGGGCAGGGTTCTGATGACATCTGTCCTCTTTCACAGCTCACATTCTGGGGATCTCTGACCTTTGCCCCTCCTTCTCAATCTCCCTGTCTGTAGCCACCAGGATGAGCCAATTTCACCCATTCCCACCCTCGTTCCCTTCTACTATTGCCCTGCACAGCTTAAGGCCCTCACACTTCTATCTTTCATGCATGGGACCCTTCTGTCTTTAGCTGAGTTCTGCTTATTACTCTCTCTCTCCTCCTTTGCTCCCTTTCCCATGTCCTTCCAGAAGTCCCCTGGTCTCTTACTTCAATCTGCCTGTTCCGCCTCCACTGAGACTTTCTGCTGCGCCTTCCTCCTCCTTTAACTCCCTTATGAGAGGACTCTCGACCCATTCCTCCAACAGCCTCTGCTTGCCTCTTGGGCTGGAGAAATTTCTTTTCATCTCCCCTCATCAGTCATATGGGGCAGATCCCTCAGAATTCCTGCTCTTCCTGGCAGCCCAGCCAGGAGCAAGTGATTTTGTAGGAAGAGTCATTTCCATGCAATACAAGGTATTGAGGAATGCTGGAGTCGGGGCTTGAAGCAGGGAAGTGTCCTTCCGCTCTCATCTTATTCCAGGGTGAAACAGCATGACTCCGGTGCCGTCTCCTAGCCCAGAGTTTAGGGCACATTTAGGGGGTGGCTGGATGAAATACCCAAATTTCAAGAGTGGTTTGGGAAGGAAGTTCCAGAACTACCTGAGCAGAGGTTAAACTGCTCCTGTCCCCACCTTCCATTTCAGAGAATTCTGCCTGTAAACCCACTGAGGGCTGAGTTTCCGGAGGCTTCCCTGTGCCCTGCTCTGTCCTCTACCTCTTCCTTGTTCTTGGAGCCCTCCTGTGCCCCCCTGAGAACCTAACCCCCCATCCATCCATCCATCAGAGGTTTGTGAGCTTGATTGATTCTGATATCAGGAAGCAAAGGCTGCTCGTTGGAATGCATGGCACCCTGTCCCTCTTGCTGGGAGTAAATCGAGAGGGAATATTGCCTGGTCCAGGAAATGAGGTGCTAAATTTGTTGTGAGATAGGTGTCACAAGCAATCAAAACGAGCCTTTCTGCATCCAGCCCTGGACAACTAAATGAGAAATCATTAGGTTATTGCAGAGACCAGGGACAACAGAGGCGGAGGGATGAGAGATCCCCTCCCTATTCCTTGGGGGTGGGCAACACAGGGAGATCAAAAAGGGAAAGGAAGACTCAGAGATGGAGTGAAAGAGTGTGAGAGAAGAGGCAGGCTGCTTTCTCAAGGTTTCTCCTACACCTGGATGTGGGGTATCCTCTTTGCCACAGCTGCATCCAGCTCCTCTCTAGGCAGTTTTGTGTGAAGCTTTAGTGGACACCTTCATCAGTCACATGTTTCTGGCCTCTCCTCTGGCTGGCATCTAGGGTGGTTCTGAGGCTGAGATGTACTGACACAGGACAGAGAGACAAGTGAGCAGAGTTGGGTGCCCCCAGATCAGCAGAATTTGGGGTGAGTAGAAAAGCTGAGACAGGCTCATGTGGGAGGCTGATGAGGGCACAGTTCAGGGTGGCTGGTTTTTGTAGGATGGGAAAGGAAACTGAATATCTCCTTTATAGCCCCTCTGGGAAGACTGCCTGGAGGACGGGGATTTGAAGGTTGCATAGCAGGCTGTGGATGGATGTAGGTCTGCTAGGAGATGGTGGAGTGGCTGGCATGTGGACAAGTAGGTTGCTCTCTCTTTCTGCTAATACTTGCCTCCTTCATGGAAATGAGGGCACAGAGCTGCCCTGGTGTTCACATGCTTTGGGGTCCCAGGAACAGTCATCAGTGTGCATGCCCTAAAGAGAAAGTTTCTCCATGTGCCCACACCACAGACTTGCAATTGGTCACTAAAATCATGTCCCCCACCAATATCCTGTAAATTTCTGAGAGTGGTAAGATGAGTGGTTTTGGCTTCCCTGGCCTCTGCTCTTGGAGCATTTGTTTTCTGCCTGACAAGGAAACTCAGTCAGGCAGAGCAGGGAAGAACAAGGGCTCCAGCGTCATCAACCCTGAAGTTCTACCTCTGGATGCTCCCTCCTCTATGCAAGCCTCTGCCTATTGACTGCTGCCATATTGAGACCTGCTCCTACAGCTCTTAATTATGGAGCCTCCACTCCAGGCTTCCTCAGCTCCCTGCAGCAAATTAACATTCTGTGCCCCCTGTACGTGTAGAATGAACCGAGTTAGATGGATCGATTCAGCAGCCGGTTGGAACTGCTTTTACTTTACGCAGAATTGATCCAGATGACCCCAACCTGGGGATTCTAGGAGCGCCTTTGCAGGAAATATTTTTAATGGAGATTAATTGGAAAACTCTAGCATGTCCTGCTTATGTGCAGAAAGTGCCTCGTTCTCCCTTTTGGTGGCTGTATACCAACACTAGTATGTTGACGTGTGGTAACACACTCACGCTTACCTAGACAGGTGAATGCAAACAAGGACACATGTGTCCCCCCTTGCACGCAGATACAAAACACACTGACATCACCATAGGCAGCCTCTTCCTTTCTGATTCTTCTCAAGCCTGTCCCCAAACATTATCAGGCTGACACACATGGCCCTGTGCAGCTTAGATGTGCCACAGCTTCCACTTTCGTCTTTCTGAATCTGGACCTCTTTCTTTGTCTATGTCCATTCTCTCCATAGCCCAGAAGTTTCTGGAGTGCAGAGCCAGAGAAATGTCCAGAAAGAGAAGGCATTAGATTTTTAAAGATGCCTGATCATGATTCCAATTTATTTATGTGCCTGAAACCCAGCCACTTCCAATTGCTCACTGGACTTTTATGTTTCTGTGTCTTGGCTCATGCTGTTCCCTTTGTGTGAAATACTCTTCTCCCAGTTCTCTGGCTGTCGAAATATTTCTTGTCTTCAAGGCTCAATGCCATTCTGGCCGATAAATGTGCATTTATTGAATACCTACTCTGTGGCAAGCAAGACCACCTATGTCCAACTTACGAGGCTATAGTAAGGGCCCAGAGCTATAAAAGGCTAACATGAGTCTCAGCCCAAGGGAAGACCAGTTTGGAAGTCAGATAAGAAAAAAATGCAATGTATTTGTTCATTCAACAAACATCAATTAAGATATTCATTCAACAAGCATCTATTAAGGCTGTAAGCTCCTGAGTGGAATAAGACCCCCATGTCCATGCCCTCAGGAGTATTCAGATTGCATGGGTTCCCACATCATTGCCCCCCATCAAGTCGGCCCTGATTTCATCTCATCAGCATGGGCTACCACTGCATGACACTGGTAGTCTTTCAGCACTTATTTGTTAACTAATTTGTCTCCCTTGATAGAATGTGATGAGCAGGCAACTTCCCATTTTCCAGCTTGCCCATCCCATCAAGCACACTGTTTGGCTTCCAGGAGAGCTGTGCTCAACATACCAGCCAGGCTGAACTGTTTCTAGGATCCTAAAAGGCCTCACTTTCCCAACTTCACACTGCTGTCTATGCCCTCTGCCTTCCCAGGACAGTTTCTTCTCCCTTCTCTCTCTGCTTACCAGGAAAACTCCTACTCATCCCTCGGATCTTGTCAAAGACATCACTTCCTACAGGATTCGTTCCTGCACCTCAGGTACTTTCCTCCATGTTGCCCCATCATGGCCGCTGTCGCACTGTATGGACTTGGTGCTTGGGTATGTCTACCAGACTTGAAGCTGGATGATGGCAGGACTAGGTCTGTCGTGTTCACCTTTGTATTCCAGGGTCCAGGACAGTGTACAGTATGGTAGGCATTCAATAAGTATTTATTACATGAATAGATGTATGTTGAATTAAGTTTATTTTCTCTGGAGGGTGGTGTTTTATACATTCATCCTTAATTCAGATAAGCAAATAATAAGCTTTTACTGAGCACCTATGGTGTGTGTGGATGATGCACGACTAAGATTACATTTATTGCCTCAAGAAGTTTGCCATCTATTCGTCTGGAAAAGGAGCCAAAATAAAAAAAGTTATAGCTGCAGACTAGACTCCAGGTCTGAATCCATATGATTATGTTCAAGTCCCATTACCAAGTCTTTGGCGTCATGGTTAACTGCCATGGGGAAAAGGTTTTACTTATACCTTTGACTTCCATCCTAGACTGTTTTTTGACCTGTTCTTCCCCCTTCAGATGGCCCTGTTTAAAGAATTCCTTCCTTTAAACTTTGAGTCCACCCTAATTGACCTGTTACAAATTGATTATTTGATGGGTGTAAGTCCAAAGTAAGAAGAAAATTTATGGTGTGTAAATAGAATTCTAAAGCATCAGAGTTGAAAGGAATCCTAAATATTACCTAGAGCCCTCCGGAGCATTGCTGCCAGGTGGCCATCCAGCCTTATCTTGAACACCTCTAGTGATGGGAAGCCTCTGCTATGTGCTATTAGAAAATTTTATGTGAATAACAATATCTATTCCTTGGGATCTACAACTGTTAATGTCTATCCTAGGGCTTGTATGGAAGGGGCAGTGATGGGGTCTGGGGACACACCTGTGTTATGGGCATGTCTAGTGTCTGCCAAGCCAGCCTTTCTTAGAGGCACTAGTGGAGAGCCAGGGAGGGTTGATGTCTACAGCATTCATCAGAGCCCCATACCTTCCCGTATTAGTTGCTCACCTGGCTCATAGACTCAGATGGTTCATCTGGAAATTCCAGCCTCTGGAAGGAGAATAATGTCTAACACCTAAACCTGCTGGTCTTTTTTTTTTTTTTTTTTTAATTTTGAAGTGGGAAAGAGGGGCAAGAGTTGGGGGGTGGGAGGTGAGGAGGCATAGAAATGTAATAAAGCTTTTAAAATTAGAAACAGAGAGGGGTCCTTCAGAGTGCTTGCCTGGTATCAGAAGATCTGGATTTACTTCTGGTTCTTTGGTTTCAGGGTCAAGGAGAGAATGCCCTCCTCACTGTTGCCCAGCTCTTTGTGGATTTCTGAGTTGAGGCTGTTTATTCAGGAGACTGTTCCTAAAAGTGCCAGGAGACCTCTAGAGAGGGTCTGGGACAAGCCTGCATTTCTTCCTGGGCTTCCAGCCTGTTGCGGGGACCCAGGCACCATTCTGGCTCTTCTCAGATTGTGCTTAGAAGCTCTGTTGGTAACAGTGGTAACTAAGAATGCTGAAGTAAGCAGTGGGAGGTTTTCAGAGCAGAACTTGCACTTGCCTTAATTATGGAGCCTGTAGGGAGGTGTCGTGCCCAGAGGGGATGGCTTTACTAAAAGAAGGGAATAGGGTTAGACTCCAGGAAAAATTTTGTGCCTGCCCAGGAAAAGGCAGGATGGCAAGAGATGAAGGAGTAATTGACCTCTCTTCTAGGAGGTGAGGTTAGAGAACCCCTTGAGGACGCCTGCAGAAGGGAGGTGAGCTGTGAGCCAGCCTTGGTTTGTGGGGAGACACAAAGGCCCTGTCCTCTGTTGCCTTCTGTGTTACCTCATATATAGCCCACCTCATTCTCTTCTCTCCCTCCTTGGCTAATCCTTTCAAAGCTCCCTTCCATTTCCCAAAGACGTCATTCCTTTTCTTCAACCTAGAAGCTCAAGACCTTCAGATGAGGCCAGAGGGTGGGAATCGCAGCCCGGATTTCTGCCTGTGAGACCCCACTGTCTCTGCCGCCTGCCCTCTTTCCCCTCAGCTTTCTCCAGTTTCTTCTCTCTTGTTCTTTTGTCCTTCTTATTTTCGTTCTCATTTTCCTCTCCCAGATGGTCTCCTTACTTTATTTCTTGATTCTCACTTCTCATTTTTTATCAAATTTCCCAACCTTCTTTTCCATAACTCCTCTCTCATCACCTTTTTTTTTTTGTTTCTTCTTTCAGTGAAGGAGGGTTTCCAGGAAGAGCCTCTTCTTGCCCCACCATCAGTGCAGGAAGAGTAGGCTTTGGGATGTGCCCTGCCTCTAGAGAGGGGCCCTCTGTCATTGTGAGGCTAGTGCCAAAGCCACCGGGAATTTGGAGACATGCCAACTCCACATCCCTCCCTCCCTCCCTGACCCTCAGCTCCTTCAAAATAAAGAATGTTGGAGTGGCGACCATCAAGGCCTTTCCTACCTACCTCCAGTCATCATTCTAATTCAGTTCTCTTCTCTTCCCCTTGCTTGTCTCTCTGTCCTGTCCTCTGTTTCTTTCATACCATAGTGTCCTCTTAGCACCTTTCTTCCTCACCTGACCTTAAAACAATCTTTAACAGCCTCTTGCTTACTTTTCCCACAACTAGCTTTCTCTTTTATCTCCTTTGCTCTCTATTTCTGCCTATGACTCTTTCTTGTCATCTTTTTTCTCTTCCCAGTCTGACTTTGCACATTGAGGCATCTCCTTCAGTGTCCTGCGTCTCAGTTTCCTTCCCTCCCACTGTGTGGACCCTGGGAATTGCTGGAAAGCCAAGCCTTGGACCCTGCCTCCATGTGCTCCTGTAGGTCAGGGAGGCAGGTGCAGGGCCTGGATGGAGAGGACAGAGGCTCCCCGTCCCTTTCTGCTTTCCCACCCCAGCTTCTGGTGCCTTTCTCCATCTCTTGCAGCCTTCTCTGGCCCTGGCCTAGTTTCTGCTCTCTCGCCTCCTTCCCGCTCTGTCTTTTGCTCTCCTTCCTCTTAGCCTCCTATCTGAACTAAGTCCCTACCTGCCACCTGCCTCCTGTCTCCCCTACCTCCCTTCCCTTGCCCACTAAAGCCAGATTAAAATTCAGGTTTTCAGCAGAACCATCCATCAGCCCTACCACCCCCTTTCTGCTCCCACCTGTCTGTCATACCTGCTATAGCCAACACATTTAGGCTCCCCATGCCATTGTCCTTCCCATAAAACATTCTCAGGAGCCCTTGCCAGGGTACATTTGCATAGAGCTGTCCTACTAGGTCTGGCGCAGGTGCCCTGAGCTGGAGGTTCAAATGGGGCAGGTGGGAGTGTTTCCAGCATCACTTCCAGCCTTTTCCATGTAGAGCTCAAAGTCCTGTGAGTGGGCCTGGGCTGGCAGGTCGCTTCAGGGATCTCAGCTGCCTGATCTCTATCCTCCTTGCACCACCATGAGCCCTAATGGAAGGGATGTGAGAAACTCTGATGGGAGCTTCTAATGGGAAAGGAAAGGATGGCCTCTCTTCTCCTATGCCGGATACCTCATCTGGGTCCTCAGCCTCTGTCTTAGTGACACACACCCACAGACCTCCCTCCACATCCCTGCAGGATGAGGGAGGAAACGCCCCAGGGAGGAAATGCCAAGATGGGCCCAGGTACACTAGTTCCTCCCAGCAGTCGGTGCTGAGTCCTTAAGTGTCCTCAAGGTTTGACCGAGGCCCCAGGTCAGCAGGAGGCAGGGTTGCAGTCTGAGGACATTAGAGATGGGAAGGCCCTTGGGGGCCAAGTGAATCTTCTCCTCCCTTTTACAGGCTAAGGAGCCTGAGACCCAAATAAGTGAAATGAGCTCTCCAAGTCACACAGCAGGTTGGTGGCAGAGCCAGGACCAGACAAGCCCACGTCTCCTAACTTCTGGCTTAGAGTACTTCTGTCCCTTCCTGGCAGGACTGTGCTGGGCTGATCCCGCTTGCATTTTTCAGGGCTCTGTTCCTGCCTCTTGAGGTGACTAATCCACAGGCCCAGAACAGTAAGCCTTCTTGCCCTGTCACTGTAAGCACCAGCCAGCCCCTCCAGCCAGCCGCTGCAGCTGGCCTCTGTGGTCTGCTCAGATGCAAGGAAACCAGGCCAGACCATGGTCACTTGTAAAATCCCATCTGGTCCCTGGAAAGATTCCCCTACGGCTGTCCCTACCATACCCCCAGCCTTAGAGACGGACAGAAGGGAGGCGGTGGCCAAGCTGCTTGGATGAGGGAGGAGAGATTGATTCTTCTGTCCATGGCTTTGGCTTCCTGGGATGAGAAAGGACCAGCAGTGGGAAGGCGGTAAAGGTGGATTCAGTCTGGGCATTTGAGGCTCCTACTGTTCAGTGTCTTTTTCACTGCAAACTGTGAAATGAAGCCAGAGAGCTTTGGTCGGCAGAGACAGGAGGTGATAATAGTCCTTAAATGTTTAGAAACTTGTCTTTGGGGAATGCCGTTTGTCATTTCTCTCTCTTCGTCTGATGTCCATATCACCTGACATCTACGTGTAGTCATTCCTCTGAGATTATCCACTGAGAGCAAGGCAATGGAGTTTTCTGACCTCTGATGCCTCATCTGTCAAAGGAGGGGGTTAAGGGTCTCTAAAGTCAGTCACATCAAAATTTGACATTTTAGGATTCTAGGCTGGGCTGTGTATAAGGCAAAATCAACAGACCCAGACCCCTCATCCGCAGTAGCTGGGCAGGCACAGAGCTTTACTCTGGGGAGCCTCTGCCTGCCTCCATGGCCCTTGCCAGGTTTCTTTCTCTGGATCTGTCCTCACCCTGCCCAGCCCCAGCTCAGCACTCCCCTCCCTTCCTCCCTCCTTCTTGCCTTCTCTTCTCCTCTATCAGAAGTGCCAATCTCTCCCTTTCTTCTCTCCTTCGCCCTTCGATGGCCCAGCCTAGAGAATTGAAATCCTCTTTCTCTGAGAGAACCCAATGTGAGGGGACCTCTCTGGCTGTTGTATTTTTCATAGAGCAAGAAGGGAATGACTGGGGTTGGGGGGAAAAGAGTCCTGCGGGGGTGGGGAGAGCCAAGATGTGAGAGCAGAGAGGGAGGGAGAGTGGAGTGTGGAGAGATTTAGTTCCATCTGAAAGCTGTCGGTGCGAATCAGAGGCTTCCCTTTGAACCAGCAGCACGATCTGGAGTGGAGAGCGTGGGGACTGCTCTGGCCCAGGGGGTTCATTACTGCTCGTTTGATAAATCCGGGGAGACAGGGCCTGTCCTCCACCACCCCCTACTTCTGCCGCCTGGTCCCCTGGCATCTCATGTGCTTGGCCCCATTCCCTCTCTGGTTCCGGGCTGGCCTGGCAGCCCAGGCTCTGGGAACATGACCATCAGGGCACGTGTGCAGAGACACGGAAGCAGACGGGCATCCATGGGTGCAGAGACAAGTACTTGAATGTGGGAGGGGTGTGTGTGCGCATGTGCTTGCTGGTAAATGCATGCGCTTGTGTGTTATGGTACATGTGTCCCTATAAGAAGTGTATGACGTACTTGTGTGTGTGTGTGTGTGTGTGTGTGTGTGTGTGTGTGTGTGAATCTAAGCATTTCCAGCCCCTCTAGGATAGATTTAGAGGTCACTTCCTAGTTCTTTGTCAAAAATGGGATTCGACCTTGTTGTCCTCCCGGTCTTTGCAGGAGCAGGAAGTGTGTTCACACACAGAGACTGGCCTAGCTCTGGACCCCAGTGCCCTGATGAGGATGGAGCAGGGAGCTGGAGAACAGGGATAGTCGCCCCAGGAGGATCAGTGTTAAGAGGGAGAGAGTGCTCCAGGTGAGGGGACAGTATTAAGGGGAGGTGGAGAAACCCCTGGGGACTGGTTTTGCACAGTGACCTGAATCTGAGCTGGGAGGTTCCAAGAGAAGACAGCAGTGGCCAGGCTGCTGAGATGGCATTCCAAGGGAGCCAGTGGCCTGGCTCCTTGCTGTGCTCTCTGTCCGATACTTACCAGCTGTGTGACTAGACGGAAGTTTCTTGATGTCCCTGAGCCTTAGCTTTTTTTATTAAGGATAGTAATTGTGCCTACCTTATTGGGTTGTTGTGTATAAAAGTGGCAGTGGATTAGTGAGCTGCACAGAACAGTCATTGGCCCTTTATAAGCAGGGGCTACTTCTGCTGGTAGCCACTGGTGGCCTGAAGGTTGGTGCTTTATGAATCACCAAAACCTCTCTGGATGCTGTTGACAGTCGTTCCAGCCTTGGCTACCGCTCCTCCCTTCGTGTAGGGACATCTAGACCAAGTCTTCTATGTTGGTGGCAGTGTGTGGGGCAAGTCCTGCGTGGCTATAAAGTGCTGGCCAGCCCAGAGCTGAAGAGTGCAGCCTCCCAGGAGGTAAACAGGGTTAAGATGGGAGTGTAAGCTGTAGGGCAGGAAGAAGGAGTGGTAGATGGCAGAACTTAACTGATAGTTCTCTTCTGGGTAGAGGTCATGAATCTCGTCCATTCTGGAGAGACACCCGGGATATCCCTGTAGCAGAAAATACCTGAGTTCACATCCCATCTCTGCCACTTAACAGCTGTACCTTAAGCACCCTCAGCCTTATTTCCCTTTTCTATAAAACAGAGATAATAATAGTGGATTATTATGCAGAAACAGTGTCTACAAGGCATCTGCCTCGGTGCCTGGCACATAGTTGGCATCTTATAATTGGGAGTGTTTATTATTAAGGAACATTGCTGGGGTTGAAGGGTCAAGGAAGATAAATCAAAGCATCTCTGTTATCCAGGGGCTCCCAAGAGTGTGGGGGAGACAGAAACACACACATATGGGTAACTTTTAATCCAAGGCAGGCTGTGATAAAGTGTTATAACCAGAGGCCCCAACAATGCAGTAAGAGAAGAGGGAGGGAATGATTCCCAGTCTGAGGCTAGAGGGGCTTTGCCTTATGGGGTGTGTGTGGTGAGGGTTGTGGGCTAACCTGAAAGGACGGATGTCTGAGAGAGAGGCAGAGAGGATGCTGGTGGGCGATTAGGGTTACCTCACCTCTCACCTTGCCTCACCTGGGGAAGAAGCACAGAGCTGCCACGCCAAATTCCCTATTGCTCTCCTAATTTCTCCCCAGGGTCCCTCTGTGCTCCTCTCACCCCTCAAGACTCTGATCTCCTCCACCTAATTAGACTATTCACCTGCCTGCAAACCCTGGCTGGGCCTTCTCGTAATTTCCTATCCAGTGAGAAAAACGGAGTGTCCAACCCTGGGGCAGGAGATGGGGTGCTGCCAGGGCCCCCAGCTCCCCTCCCACCTCTGTCTTTCTCCTGGTCTCCATCTCTCTGCCTTCCTTCCCCCCTGCTTTGCCTCGGGTTTCTATTACTCCATGGGTGTCTTTGTCTCACTGGCTCCTCCTGGCACTTTTCTCTCTGGATTTCTGTCGGCCCGGCCTGCGTCTTTTCCACGCTGGGCTCTTTCCTACAGAGCTCGCCTCTTCCCTTCTCACTCTAGTCTCCTTTCCCTCCTCGCTCTCCCTCTGCCTCTGCGTGGGTGTCTGTCTTTGTCTCTGTTTCTCAGCGTTGTCTACGCCTCTGTCAGCCTTCTGGGTACGTGTGAGTGCGTGTGAGTATGTGTGAGTGTGCGTGCCCTGGCACACAGGTATGCTGCTCAGTTTTTCTCTGCCTGTCTTCACAATGACTGCTTAAGAGCTCACCACAGCTGTGATGGTGTCTGAAGGCAGGGAGGGAGCAAGATCAAAGCAGATGGGAATACACTTAAAACATACGCGCAGAATCTCACTGGCTGGCCCCAGACTGGAGCTGCCAGAATTTGACCCAGCAATGGTCTGTTTTCACTGTATGTCTGTGGTCAGGACCTTCCTGGTTCCCCTCCCACCTGGCCCCCGGGAGGCCACCTTCCCACCCCACATAGAGCAGTTTCCTTGTGTTTCTGTTTGGCACTGGTTTTATTTCCTGGAAGGGGGCGCAGGCATAGGGACGGGATTGAAATGTCATCCTCAGTCCAGGGCAGGCTCTGCTCTGTGGCGTGGATGGTGGACGGCCAGGCAACCAGGACCTGAGAGGCAGGTGTGCACACAAATGTGTGCCTAGGACACTTGCTAGGCCACTTGTCCTGGGTTTTTAGTGGCTTCTTGACACTCAAGGGCAAACCAACACCTCATCCCCCTTTTACATTGTAATGCTACTGGGTCCCCTCTCCCCTTCCTGCTAACTGATCAGCCATGCCCTGTCCGAGGCCTGCACCTCACTGCTCACTTTCTAGGCTTTCTCCTCTGCTCTCCCACATCCCCCTCGCCACCACCATATGTCAGAACCGTCCAGAGCCTGTTTCCCTTGCCCTTCCCTTCTCTGCTCCACATTCTCTTTTTCAGGGAGCTTCCCAGGACCGACTCCAAGTTCCACCCAGCATTGTTCCTCCTCTCACTGAGAGGAGGGTGCTGTCCTCTTCACCTGCCCAGCCTGTCTCTACCTCGGTGGAAGTCTGTGAGCCTTCTGGGGTCAGGGGCATGCTCTGCCTCCTTTTCTGGATGGTGGTTTCACAGGCAGGACTGTGGACTCGGATTTGCTCACTCTCACTCCCTCAGTCAACAGACATATTTGGAACACCCGTAGTGTGCCAGGCAGCAGGCCCTGCACCTGGTGATGGGCTTGACTATAAGTGGCACAGTCCAGACTCCTGGAGTTGCCCCTGGGGTAACAGCAGGGATGGGGTGGCCAGTGCAGTGTGGGCCCTACTACAGCAGAAGTGAGACGTGAGTAGGAAGACCTTGAGGGAACTACACGAAAGTCACGGGAGACTTCCCAGAGGAGGTGACTGTTTGAATCCCGAGGGAGCAGGGGGAGCAGTGTCCACCCCAGGGAAAGGCCTGTGCAAGGGCATGAAGAGGTGACAAAGGCCTCCTCTCAGTGAGAGGAGGAACAATGCTGGGTGGAACTTGGAGTCGGTCCTGGGAAGCTCCCTGAAAAAGAGAATGTGGAGCAGAGAAGGGAAGGGCAAGGGAAACAGGCTCTGGACAGTTCTGACATGTGGTGGCGAGGGGGATGTGGGAGAGCAGAGGAGAAAGCCTAGAAAGTGAGCAGTGAGGTGCAGGCCTCGGACAGGGCATGGCTGATCAGTTAGCAGGAAGGAAGGGGAGAGGGGACCCAGTAGCATTACAATGTAAAAGGGGGATGAGGTGTTGGTTTGCCCTTGAGTGTCAAGAAGCCACTAAAAACCCAGGACAAGTGGCCTAGCATCTGGGTACAGATCAGAGAGAACAGGACTTGGTGAAGGGAGACTTGGGGCGTTCCTGTAATCATAAGCCAGGTCGGCATAACCCAGGGGCATCTGAACTATATTTGGGATTCTATGTTGGCTGCAGGGGCTGTTTTGGGACCAGAAAACATTGCCAGTGGCTTTAGTAGGCCCAGGGTCTAGGCTGCCTTTCCATCCAATTAAATTCCCGAGATGTCTTTACTTCCCCTCCTTTCTGGACTCTCTGCAAGGTTATTACTTCCATGCCCCTGTGTCTGGACTGAATTGCTTCAGTCAGGCCTAAATCAAGAGGAAACTTCAAAACTGCCAGAAAGTCAGATACCACCTTCTTTGTCATGTTCCTATTCAGGTTTCCAGTTGTCCCTCTAATTGTCTAACTGTTCAGGAGAAATAATGATCATAGCTGCCATTTAGTGCATACAGGCAAGGGACTGTACCACGCATAGCATACACCTCATCTCATTTTACTTTGACAGCAATCCAGAAATAGACATTAACATTCCCCAGTTTACCAGGCAGGAAAATGAAGCTTAGCAAATAACTTGGCCAAGGTCACTGGGTGAGAAAGCCACACAGGCAATATATAAACCACAGTCTGTCTCCTAAACCTGTCCTCTTAGTATTTGGGCACAGAGGGATTTGGCGTTCCTCAGTCCAGGCTTGTCATTGTACAGGTGAGCAAATGGGGGCCCATATGAGGAATTGACACACCCAAGGTCACACCACTCCTCATCTCCACAAGACCCCCGTTTCCTGATTCTTACTTCAAGTGCTTCCCATCTCCATCTTGCCGCAGGGTCAGCTGCTTCTTCATTCCAAGTGGACAAGGAGCCAGCTGCTCACTGTCCTTGAGAGACTTCAGCGAGAGACCAGGGTGTCCAGGCTCCATGCAGGAAAGCCATGCGTATAAATTCCACCTCTGAGCCAGGGCTCACCAGCAAGCCCACTCTTAAGCCCTTGACTTGGGCTCCAGGGGCCATGGGAAGGAGAAACGTGAGTGTGGAGAGTTTGCAGCATATAGCTGCACTAGAGAAATGCGCAAGGATATGAATAAATTTGAATAATAATGAGGACAATGCTTGAATTAATAATGTTGGCTGCTCACCTGACCCACCCCTCCCCCAGGATCTCAGCACCTGCCACCCTGATCACTCAAAAGGGATTATCCTTTAGAAGACATGAATGAAAGGTCAGGTCAGCAGACTTGAGGAGCCACTCATGGAGTATGGGAGAGGGAGCCTGTTTCTAACTTCCTGGCCCCTGCAGACCCAAAGACCTAAATTTGCACACTTAATCAAGAGTAAAGAGTCTGCCTCATGCTAGATCACATTCTGGTTATCAGTCCACTCTAGGCCCCAGCTACCTCTTTTTCAGACCCCTTTGTGTGCAACAACCAGTGGGGATGGATGTCGGATGTTCAGGAGATTCAGATGGGGGAGAGAGCTTGGCCCTCTGCCTTAGAGGAGATGTTGGCATTCTGCTGGAACAGATAGGGCAAATGTCCTCACCTACTAGTTGCCCTCTACCCTGTGACAAACAAAATCATGGACATTACCCCTGATCATTTGAGAGAGGAAACCCCGTACATAGTGATAACAGCAGGGCCGAGTGACGCGACCGGTTATATTTGCCCAAGAGGCCAAGGAATTGGGCTAGGAGGGCTTCCTGGAAGAGGGACATGTAGAGCAGGTTTGAGGAAAAAAGGAGAAATGGGGCTGGTGAAGAGAAAGGAAGGAAGGGGATGAGACTAGGATCCCACTTCTGTGGTGGCTTAGAGGGACATCTTGGAGTGGCGAGGGGTGAGTTAAGTTTGCTTACACACAGGAGTGATGATGGGGCAGATAAATTTTAGAAAGCTCTGTTAGGAAAAGGTCAGATTTGGGGATTGTGGCCTCTGCAGATTCATGAGCTGTGGAGGGAAAGAAGAAGGAGGAGGCCGTGACTTTTGGGGAGAGCCGATTTCAGTTACCTGGTATGACAGGTTGGGAGCATGGCAAGGAAGTCCCAGAACTCTCCTTTGCTGTCCTTCAGTCACTCCCTTGTCCCCCTTCTCCTTTCCCCACAACTTGGCAAAGGAACCTGAGCCCCATAGCTCACATAGCTCTGCAAGGAGCCTAGGCCTGCCCCACCACTGGGGCCGACCAGTGCTGGTTGGAGCCAGTGGGTGGGAGTGGTGGGGGAGAAAAAACCCGCAATGCAATTCCCTGCTCCATTTAGGCTCCACAATTAAAGGCAATTACTCTGCAGTTCTCTAATCAAATGCTCCCGGCCGAGCTGCCAGCCGGGCAGCCATGTGTAGCTCCCACAGCCGGAGGGAGAGTGGAACAAAGTCACGTGGCCTCTCAGCTCCCACAGTGAAGGAGGCGGGGTGTGTGCAGGTGTGTTCATGTGTACACACTTAGGCCCCCCTGCACTTGGGAGCGAAGGATGAACACACAGAGCAGGGCACATGTGCCAAGAAGTGGGTTCAGAGCTACTTTGTTTTGGATACACTTTCCACCCAGGAAGCTTCTATACACACATGTGGACATGCTGGCTTTATAGTATCTACCCTGATGTATTCGTGGAGGAATTGTACCTGGCATAGTTGCACATGAGTGTTGGTTCACATTGACTCCCATCAGCTCACATGACACGCGTCTAAGTAGGAGTCATTAATGTGGGGGTGGGCTGGGGCAATGGGTAGTAGAGGAACAGCTAGGACCTGGATGCAGGGGCTCAGGTTCTAATCCCAGCTCTGCCATTAACTTGCCCTTGAGTAAGTTACTGTCCTCCCTGGAAGTCAGGGTCCTCCTCTGTAAAATGAGAGGGTTGGACTAGACCCATTTTTAAGGCCCTTCTGTAACAGTGCACTATTTTCTGTGATTGCTGAGCACTTCAGCTCCTGAAATCCATTCCCATGGGTCTCAGAGGGAGGAAGGAATAAAGGGTAAGGACGTGGCATCTTGAAACAAAGGGGTTGAGGCTGAAGGGGGGCAGGGACCGGAGAGTCCCCATCCCCAACTGGAGGCTCTCCCTCCTTCCAGCTGCATGGTGAGGGGGACCTCTTAGAGGAGCCCCTCTCCTTACTCATCTTACCCAGTGCTGGCTTTGGCTTTGCAGGGACCCAGACCCGCTTCAGCCAGGAGCCAGCTGACCAGACGGTGGTGGCTGGACAGCGGGCCGTGCTCCCCTGTGTGCTGCTCAACTACTCTGGAATTGTGCAATGGACCAAGGACGGGCTGGCCCTGGGCATGGGCCAGGGCCTCAAAGGTGAGTGCCTGGCTACCCAACGTCCAAACTGTCCCATCTTCTCCGCCATTCCCCACTTCCAGCATAGATTCCTGGACTCACCATCCCTTAGTTCCCTCACCACCCTCCTCTGTGCCACAGCCTCCCCTCTGTCTCTGCTACTGAGCTCCATTTCTACAGCTTTCCCACCCTGCAGCTCTACCTTTCCTCCCACTGAGGACTGACTTGAGGAAGGCAGTACGAAGCCTGAGAGGTCAAGGGAAACCAAGAGACCTTTATATAAGAGAGTTTCAGGCAGACACAGACCCTGTGAGGGGAGCTGCAGGCAGACAGCTGTCTAGCAGGAGGTGCTGGGAGACTCCAGAGTCTGCAGCAAGGGTAGGAGAGGGCACAGGCAACTTCTGTGTCCCGCAAGTGTCTCATGCCGGCCTGGCTCGGCTCCAGCCTCTCTCCTCCCCGCTGCCCAGGCGATGTCTGCTCAGAGGCCAAAAACTCATTTTAATATCAGCCTGAGCATTCATTTATTTATTCATTCAACAAGCCTTTATTAAGCACTGGCTATGTAGCTGGTGCTGAAGCAAACATAATGAGTCAGTCAAACACAAAAAAACCAACTTCCTATATTCTAAAGCAAGTAAAGAGACCTTTGGAAAGGCTGCCTGGCAGAGTGGACACCTGGGTTCTAGTCCTGCCTCCGCCAGCTGGGTGACCTTAGGAAAGCCACTTCACCTCTCTGGACCTTCATTTACTGTGTGAAGCAGGCATAGTGGTTGCAGGCCGGTCTGCCTTAGAAGTGCATTTGTGAGTTTTGAGCCAAATGGGAGAAGAGATTTGTAAAAACATATTTTAGCTTTAAAGCACTGTAAAGAAGTAAGTATGGGTGTGGGGGATGGGCTGTATATTTTTATTCTTATAATTGTTGAGGGAGTTGAGATTATTTGCTGTGAGTTCCATGTGTTAGTACAGGTAGAGGAAATTCGTCTGTGTAGAGCAATCCATATAAGGGAAAGAGATGGGTCTGGTAGATCTATTGATGATAGAAAGAGAAAGAAACTGGGAGAGAGAGTGAGATCAATAGATATGGAGTGAGAAGAATCGATAGCCTCTGGACAGAGGGAGATCATGGGAAGGAGCTGATGGTGGGAATGTGAGGGGAGGCTGGGAAGCAAGAAGCGGGTGGGGGAGCCTGGAGGAAGGAGGGCAAGGCCCACTGCCTCAGCCACTGCTTCTGCAGGAAACCAGGACTCTTTGGTTTAGGAGCTCCTCTGGGGAGCCAGCGGTCCCCTGCCTCATCCTTCCTCCCTGGGCCTGCCTTGGGCTTCCCTCTGCCTTATGAGTCCTGCAGAGGTGCTCCCATGAGCTCATGTCTGTGCTGCGATGCCCTATATTTCCTGGCGCCCACACACTCGCTCTCCCTCTCTCCCCCTCTCCTTTGCTCCCTGCTGTGTGCCTTTTTCTCTCCTCTTTCTCCCCTATTATTATGAGAGGCATTTGTCTGCAAACAGCCTTGGAGATTTCATCTGCTCCTGCTAGCCTCCCTGCTTCAGCTGCCCTCCTGTCTGCTCCTCCAGCTGTATGGCTCCCAGCCTCGCCGTGAGGTGTCGTGGCATCAGGTGTCTGTGTCTGGGGCCTCACCTTCTCACCTGTCAGTGGTGTCCCAGGAGAGGGCAGAGGGAGGAGTACTGGTGTGGGATGGCTGAGGATGTGTCCTTGTTTCAAGGTTGGGCCTCATTCTTTCTGTTTCTGCAGCCTGGCCACGGTACCGGGTTGTGGGCTCCGCAGACGCTGGGCAGTACAACCTGGAGATCACAGATGCTGAGCTCTCTGACGACGCCTCTTACGAGTGCCAGGCCACGGAGGCCGCCCTGCGCTCTCGGCGGGCCAAACTCACCGTGCTCAGTAAGGACCCCAATACCCTTCAGTACTTCGAGGCCCTGTCTCTCTGTATCCTGGCAGTCTCTCCCACTCTCCAGTTCCCTCTTTAATTTCCCAGCTTCTCCCTCTCTGTTACTGGCCTTATCCCTGCCCTAATGCTCAAGTCCAGGTAGAAGAAAGTAAACCAGGCATGTGGGAGACGTGGGGTGCTGGCGGGACGTGAGCTGTGTGAGGCCCAGCATCCTCTCTGCCGCAGCCAGTGCCTCGGCCACTCAGGGACAGGGCCTTCTGCCTTTTAGAAACAAGGCTGTGGAGACAAGAAGCAGGGACGTATGGAGTGATGGAGACCCGGGCCCTCCTTTCCCAGCTGTCCTGGCTGGCAGGCTTGTTGGTGAGGGGGCGTCTCCCTTCCACTTTCCTCTCAGCTGCCTCGGAGACCCCAAACGGCCCCCGTGCCCCTCCTTCCACCTCACCCTAGCCTCACACAACCCTTCTTCCCTCAGCTGCCTCCTTTCCTCCCTCAGTGCTCACCCTTCCTCTCAAATTCACCTGGGGGCCTCCTCCAGGAACAGGGGAATAGGACTGGAAGGAATGGGCCTTGAGGCTGAAAACTGGGGTGAGGGGTGGGAGGGATGGGGTCCTGCTGTGTCTGGATGGCTGCTGGCTCTTGGAAGCCCTGCAGCTCTTGGAAGCCCTGCGCCAGCCAGGCAGCCACCCACTGGGGGACCGAGCAGATGTCCCTCTATGGTAACCCCCGAGGCCATTTGCATAATGAGGGGACTCTCTCCTGCAGCAGTGCCACAGAACCGGAAGGAGGCCAGCTTCAGCACACCCCTTGCCCCCCCTCACCCACTCAGCCCCCAGCCTCTCTCCAAGCCTCACTCTTGCAATACCTCTGAATCTGCCAGTCTTCCTGTTCTCTCCAGCCCTGTTGTCTCACTGGGCCTCTGCCTCTGTTGTGCTTTCTGTCTTGGGCTTGGACTCTGTCCATCTGTGACTCTCTTTCTTCCCTATTTACATTGACTCTGTCCCTTTTTTTTCTGCCTCCATTTGATATGTTTTGCCCCTCTTCCTTTCCTTCCTTCTAACTTGAAATCACTGAATTTGCGGGGAGCCCCCAAGATGGATGGGAGAAAGGAGAGAGGAGCTGAGATGAGGGAGTTTGGGTACAAGGAAGGTTTTCTGTTGTTTGTTTGGTTGGTTGGTTGATTGGTTGGTGTTTTTTGAGACAGAGTCTCTGTCACCCAGGCTGGAGTGCAGTGGCATGATCTCGGCTCACTGTAATCTCCACCTCCCGGGTTCAAGGGATTCTTGTGCCTAAGCCTCCTGAGTGGCTGAGATTACAGGTGCCCGCCACCATGCCTGGTTAATTTTTGTATTTTTTAGTAGAGACGGTGTTTCACCATGTTGGCCAGGCTGGTCTCGAAATCCTTACCTCAGGTGATCCACTCATCTTGGCCTCCCAAAGTTCTGGGATTACAGGCATGGGCCACTGTGCCCAGCCTGTTGTTTTGTTTTTTGTTTTTGCAAGGAGGGAGGTGAGAACATAACAAGTCCTCAGAGCATAGTGGAAAGAGAGAGTCCTAGACTGCTGGTGGTTAGGAGACCTGGGCACTTTGGCCATTTTGGCATCATGATCCTAAAGAGGTGACAACCTCTGGGCATGAGTTTTCTCATCAGTAACATGGCATAATGACACCAGCCTTTTCTTAGCAACTGCTGCTTTGCTTCATGGAGACTTGTAAACTGTGAAGGTCTGGGCGAATGTGAGATGTCAGAATAAGTGAGGACTGGAGGGACCCAACAGCCAATTTCATTGGATGTAAAGGCCCTGAAGGACCAGGATTCAAGGCTGCTGGATGATTTGCTTTTCCTCTCTAGGACTAAAATGGAAAGAATTAGCAAGGAGCAGGAATGAGGTTAGACAGCAAAAATTAGACGGTGATCTTGAATGCCAAGACATCATCTTTCATCCCTCACTGAGGTGTGTCAGCCCCATGCTCAACCAAGTATTCCGAGGAACCGTGAGACTCTTAGGAAACCTTCTTCTTTCTTTTTTCCTCCCTAACTGCCTCTATCTTAGGCCCTAGAAGGTGCTACTGCTGCCCTGGAGTACTCGCTTCCTAATGAGTGGACCTTGATACTCTTCTTTCTGCTACCTTATCACAGAGATAGAGAGAGATGAAGAAAGGCCAGCTAAGCTACTAAGTGTTGCAGTAACAATGTCTTATAATGGCACCCAGTGGCTTGGTTCAATCCAGGAAGAACCTGGAAAAGGAGAATATCAAGGGGAACCCTAGATGGAAGAGTGCCTTGTTTAAAAGCTTGCAGGCCAATGAAGGAGAGCTACATAGCAGGAGAGCCGACTGGCTTGTTTCGAGGGCATGGTGGGTATTGAAGGTATGGTCCTTGCTGGCCTGCCTGGGTGACTTGGGTGGATGAGAGAACAGGGAGAGACCCCAGGAGTAACTTTAAGCTGAAAGAGAGACAGGGACGGTTAGTGCAGCTGGAGGGGCTTTACACGCCTGGGCAAACACCTGGGCATGGTGTCTCCTCGGGGCTCTACCCATCCAGGATCTTCCTCCCGGGTGTGGCAGCAACATGTGACCTTAGAGGGGCCTGAGCAGACCAGGAGGCCCTTCTCCCTTCACTCTTTCCTCTCCTTGTCTTTCTCTTAAATTCTCAAACACCCTGCCACCTGCAGCACACGGAGGCAATAAGAAGGCATGACACTTCCTGCATCCCTTCCTGCGTACCTGCTTACCCACAGCCTTTGCTCATGGCAGCTGGGGGACCCAGAGACTAGGCAGGGCAGAAATGAGGAGTGGGCTGTGCCCAGTGCCTGGTATCAGCCTCCCTGCATGATGTCAGCCTTATAGACTCCTCTCCTCCCCAGCCATCCCCCTCAGCAGCCCCCCAGCTCCCCAGGCCAGGGGCCCTCTTCACAAAATGGCCTCTGTCATTCTTCCTTAGGGTAGGACTTTGAAAAGAAGCCTCCCACTCCCCCGCAGATGCAGACATAACATAGATATACAGACCTCCAAAACCATGGTGATGAGCATGACTTCTGGGTCAGGCAAGCCTGGTCCACATCCTAGCTCTGCCCTCTAACTCACTCTCCTGTCTCTGAGCACATTTGTTTATCCTCTTCGAGCCTCCGTTCCTTATCTGTAAATTGGGGTTAATATATTTACCATGAAAGGAATAATGAAATATACTTTGTGGTAGGGATTAAATGAAGTCATATACAGGAGGCACTTTGGCTGACACAAGGTGAACGTTCACTGAGTGGCAGAAGTTATTGTCGATCCCACCACCATTTACAGTTGGCTTCACCTTCTTGATTTTGTTTTGCAAAATCAGGGGAGTAGGTGTCCATTGTATTTTTGAAGTTTTATAAACAAGGAGACTGAGGCTTTTTTGACCACAGACTCAGGGGCACATGAGTTTGGGGAGGCACATGAGCATATTGATATACAGATTTAAGTCACAAACCATAAAAACTTGCTTATAAACACATGCACACATGGACACATGCCCTTTAACAGCTGGCTCAGCAGGCACCTTAACAGCTTTATTGTCATTTGTCCCATATATGAGGGACGAGCTCATATATGAGGGATGAGCTCACGGAGGATGGGCAGAGAGTTTGGAAAATTCAGAGAAAGGTAGACTGCTGGCAGAGGTGACAGATGGGTAGTCTTTGCATGAACAAAGGGGCAGGAGGCATTCCCAGGGTAGAGGAAGCTGATGCCTTCCCAGCGGAGGGGCTTCACACACCCGGGCACACACCTGGGCATGTTGTCTGCTCGGGGCTCTGCCCATCCAGGATCTTCCTCCTGGGTGTGGCAGCAACATGTGACTTTAGAGGGGCCTGAGCAGACCAGGAGGCCCTGAGCAGCAGCTCTTTATTCATTTCTCTCCACCTTTCTCTACTTTTCAAGCTGCTCCCCATCCCCATCCTCAAACCTGTCCCCATCTGGCATTGGAACCAGATACACCACAGAACAAGGAGGAAGAGCCAGGGATTCAGAGGATAATTAGCCAGGCAGGAGTTGGAGCCACTGCTACTCTCGTCCAGGCAGTAAGGCTAATACATTCCATACCTCACACATGCCCTGCACATCATAGTCTATGTATAGTATCTCATCTGACCTTCATGAGGCTCTAGTGAGTATGGTTATGTCTTGGTTTCTTCTCTGATGAAGAAACTGAGACTCAGTGATTTTAGGAACTCATCCGAGATCACACAGCAGGTAAACAAAGGTGCCAGGATTTGAAACCAGGCAGTCTGAATCTAAGTTTTATTCTTTTTCCACTATACCACTAGGCACACATGAGTTGAACAGAATGCTAAGACAGGTTTCGAGTAGTTTCTACTGGAAACCCCAGCATAGAGACCTTCATTGTGTAAATTCTAGAACAGCCCTGTCCACCACTGGGCACCGTGGGTCTCCCAAGATCTCCTCTTGAGTGTTCCCTCTGCACACTCCTCTCGAGTGTTCCCTCTGGACCCTCCTCTGGGTCTTTCTTGTCTTTCCCAGAAAGAAGCAAACAAAATCTTTTATCGGTGGAGCACGCTGGCTCATGCTTGTAATCCCAGCACTTTGGGAAGCTGAGGTAGGAGGACTGCTTGAGCCCAGGAGTTTCAGACCAGCCTGGGCAACATAGCGAAACCTCGTCTCTACAAAAAATAGAAATTAGCCAAGCATGATGGTGTGTACCTGTAGTTTCTGATACTTGGGAAGCCGAGGTGGGAGGATTGCTTGAGCCCAGGAGTTCCTTTCTCATTTATGGTTGATGAACACTGGGGGGACCAGAAAAATTATAATCAAAATCCTTCTGCCTTTATTTCATCAGTATCCATTCATTAATTCAGCAAATATCCCTGAGCACCTGTGATCACCCAAGCCCTGGGCTAGACATTGAAGTGTTGATGGTATATCAGAAGCAGCCGCTACCCTCAGGGAACTTACAGTCTGGTTTGTCTTAGAAGCCTATGGAGATAGGGGAGGGAGAGCCCCCCTTGTTTGCAACATCATACATCGGTCAATTGAATTCTTTAAACATTTAGCAAGAGCCTACTTGGTCACATTCTAGGCACTGGTGACCATATAAATATTAGTGAGACAGGGTTGCTGTTTTTCCAGGGGATCACAGTTTTGGTTGGGGCAGGGTTCGATAACTGTTATAAGTAAACAAAATCCAAGGCGCTAAGAGCTCTGAGTGACTGGTGGGGGCCACCATGGTGGGGGTGGGCTACAGCATGGAAAGCCTTGTGCATCAACTGGGATTTGAACAGGATAGGAAGCACTTCAATAGAAGCTGTGGGAGAAGGGCATGCCATATGGAAAGCACTGCAATGCAGGTCTTGGCTTGAGGACCCTGAACAGGAGGCCGAAATGCTTGGAACTTATGCCCTAGGCAGTTGTAGCCATTGAAGGTGCTTGAGCAGGGGAGTGGCACATACTTAGCTGTGCTGAAGGGAAAAATAACCTGCTAGCAGTGTGACATGGAGGTTACTGTAATAGGCCAGCCCATCTGTCTGCTCCAGGGCAGAGGAGCAGACAGGAGGAAGGATGGGAGAAGTGCTATGGAGGTAGCCACCTTTCCGAGCCAGACTCCCAAGACTATGAGCTGTACTCAGGGCCTGAGATAGCCCAGCCCTTTCTTAAGTTTGAGGCTTCCATCTGTAGTGTGCAGCTCTGAGCAACTGTAGGGGTATGGAGCCAGGCACAGTGGTTCACGCCTGTAATCCCAGCACTTTGGGAGGCTGAGGCAGGTGGATCACCTGAGAGGTCAGGAGTTCGAGACCAGTCTGGCCAACATGGTGAAACCCCTACTCTCTACTAAAAATACAAAAATTAGCTGGGAGCAGTGGTGGGCGCCTATAATCCCAGCTACTTGGGAGGCTGGGGCAGGAGAATCGCTTGAACCCAGGAGGTGGAGGTTACAGTGAGCTGAGATGGCACCACTGCACTCCAGCCTGGGCGACAGAGTGACACTCCATCTCAAAAACAAACAAACAAACAAACAATAAACCAGTAGGGGCATGGAGTACCAGAAAATATTATAGGCCAGGAAAGAAAAGCAGACAAGGACTGGGAAAGATGTGTGAGCTGAGGACCTAGAGGAAGCCACCACAAGAGCAATGAAGACAGTGGTTGTAGATTAGGGGGTAGGGTGGTACCGCCTACCTAGAGGCGCACATGCAGGTGGAAGGATGCTTCCAGAGGCAGGAGTTTTGGTCTTCAGGGAAGTGTTAGCCACACCCTGCACTGACTTTGCTCTGCTTTCTCCCACAGTCCCCCCAGAGGACACCAGGATTGACGGAGGCCCTGTGATTCTACTGCAGGCAGGCACCCCCCACAACCTCACATGCCGGGCCTTCAATGCGAAGCCTGCTGCCACCATCATCTGGTTCCGGGACGGGACGCAGCAGGAGGGCGCTGTGGCCAGCACGGTGAGCTCCAGCCAGCTCCCCCAGCTCCTCCTGGGCCTAGCCCAGCTCACCTCTCCTTTCCCACAGGGGTTTCACCACAGACTCAGGAGCACACAGACATGAGAGGGGTCTTAGAGGTCATCTGGTTCAACCCTCTCATTCTACAGTTGGGAAAATTGAAACCCAGAGAAGAGAAATGAATTCCTAGGTTTACTGTGTCATTCAGTAGCTGAACAGAGACTAATAGTAATAATAAGTTGCCATGGATTAAGCACCTACTGTGTGCCAGACACCGTGCATGCTAAACACTTTATGGACAGTCTCTCTTAATCTTCATAGGAGTCCCATAAAGGAGGCATTATTTCCAACTCACAAAGGAGGAAACTTGCGCTCAGAGAGGTTGAGTGACTTGTCCAAGGTCACACAGCTGGCACAGAGCGGGGGTTTGTACCTGGGTCTGACTGTGCTTTCTCTCCACTGATCACTTCTACCTCTTTCCTTCAGCGTCTGGTTGTCAGATTATTCCAGTCATCACAACAAAGAGGCTGGGGAAGCAGAGATCCTTGTATACATTTTATAGATGAGGAAGCCATGAAAGATATCAAGTGACTTGCCCAGGATTACATAGCAAAGCGGACAGTACAGCTGGAATTCAAAGCCAGATTTCCTGGTTGGGGTTACCCTGCCAGTTGTGGGTAAACATATGTGTATTCAGCCCTTTGCTGGTGCTGCAGGAGCACTTCTCAGTGTGGAGACAGAGATGTTCCCATGCTCCTCAGCAAGCAATCCCAGGAATACCTGGCTTCTGGCTTCAGTTCTGCCCTTAACACACTGTGTGACCTTGGATAATTCGCTTCACTTTTTTCTGGCCTTAGTTTCTCATTTGACAAATGATAATTCAGCCTCAGTGGTACTTAACCTTTTCACAACCAAAAACTGTGATTTTTCTTCATCAGGGCTACATGTTTTTAGATATTTTGGCAACCAAACAAGTTGGTTTGTTAATATCCATTTGTCATCTACCCCCATTTTTCATATTCATTAAAGACAATGGAGCTTCAAAGCAGCACAAGGGAGCCAGTGTTATTGCACTGGCCCTCAACTGGGCCTGTCCAGCAAAGCTGCATGCATGGTGGTCAAACAACGGGGTCTTACTTTGATTAATAATATGGCTTCCCTCAGGCAGTTTGCAATATAGAAAACAGATCAAGGGTTCCTGTGACCATATTTAGGGACCCCTGGCTGTCACTGAGCAAGTGTAAGACTTCGAGCCTGTGAGTCCCTTCCCTGCCCTCAAGGAGTTTACAGTTTAGCAGAAGAAACCCAACCCTGAAACACGCACACATGGTGCCTACAAGCAAGGTTGGATGTGTCTAGAGCTGTGAGCAGGACACACTGACTATAAGGGCATAAATTCAGTCTGGGAGAGAGTTCTGAGGGCTGGGCTGGCTGAAGAAGGCTTTCCAGAAGAGAAGGGATTTGCGCTGGACTCACAAAGAGTGAACTCTAATATAAACTGTGGCCTTAATAATAATATATTAGTTTCGGTCCATCAGTTGTAACAGACTTATCACTCTAATGCAAGGTGTTAAGGTGTTAGTAATGGGGGAAAGTGTAAGGTCGGGGAGGAGGGTATATGGAAACTCCCTGTACTTTCTGCTCAATTTTTCTGTAAACTTAAAACTGCTCCAAAAGATAGTCTGTGATGTGGGCATGATGGCACACTCCTGTAGTCGCTGCTACTCAGAAGGCTCAGGCAGGAGGATTGCTTGAGTCCAAGCTTTGGAGGCCAGCCTGGGCAACATAGCAAGACCCTAAAAATATATAACTTTTAATTAAAAGATAATTAGTAGTCTATTGATTAAACACACACACACACACACACACACACAAGGGAAGAGGTTGTGGGAGTGAAGGGGATTGAGCTTTAAGTTAAAGTACCCCTCCAGCCCAAGCCCATCTCTGAGTGAGGTCAACTTAAGAGCAGAGGAGGGGGCTTTTAGCTTAACCATATCTCCCACCCTTGTCATGTTCCAGGAATTGCTGAAGGATGGGAAGAGGGAGACCACCGTGAGCCAACTGCTTATTAACCCCACGGACCTGGACATAGGGCGTGTCTTCACTTGCCGAAGCATGAACGAAGCCATCCCTAGTGGCAAGGAGACTTCCATCGAGCTGGATGTGCACCGTGAGTGGGCTGGGGGGAGCAGTCTGGAGCAGGGGGGTGGAAGAAGGGGTGTGTTTGAGAAGCACACTCTTAGTTTGAGAAACACAAACTAAGAGTCCCCCTATGGTCCCCAGGACAAACGCTTGCCTTCTTCACATCTTTCATTCCCTGGATTGAACCATGGGGACTAAGGGCTGGTAGAGCATTGGCTGTGGAGTCAGGCAGTCCCCAGGTCTAAACCAGCCTGTTATTAGTCAATGGTTTACACTCTCTGGGCCTCGGTTTCCAGTTCTGTATACTGTATATTGCAAAAGATAAAATACTGGCCTACAGTCCCTTATTCAAACTAAAAGTGGTTCGATGGTGCAGCCTGAACCAAGGCTCTTCATAGTCTTTTATTTAATTTAGTCTTAAGTTTCACTGCAGATGTATTCATATGTGTGACTATGGGATGTGGCCCAGATGCTGCTGGGGATCTTACACAGTAAACGCTCTATGCACAACCATTGCCTTTCTAAATGTGAAAAATTCTAAATTCTGAAATGCATCTAGTCCTAAGGGTTTCAAATAAGGGATTGTGGACCTGGACCTGCTTCCTGGGGTTGTGAGCATTAAATGAGATATAGCAGAAGAGCATCTAGCATGGAGTATTCTTACCTGGTAGGTGTGTAATAAATTGTCTCTCCCCAGGGAACCATGGGGGTGTGGGCAGCAACTGGGGATGCCCACACCCCATCCTTTTTAGTGAGCCAAGCAAGCTCACACTGACGCCTAGTGGCCACAGTGGGTCATTAGTCCATTGAGTTATTTGTCCCTTTGGTGCCTTCATTGGTGGTCACCCTAGCAGGCCCCCTAGAGGCTCCATGTGCAAAAGGTGAGGAAGACAGTGTGTTAACTGGAGCCGATACACTGCAACCTCAAATTCCTAGATCCCCGCCAGAGTGGTCAGGTCTGAATGTACGTGTTAGGGAGGGAAAAAGAAACTCAAGGGACAGAAAAGACCCTGACTCCCTGTGCTCTACTTTGCAGACCCTCCTACAGTGACCCTGTCCATTGAGCCACAGACGGTGCAGGAGGGTGAGCGTGTTGTCTTTACCTGCCAGGCCACAGCCAACCCCGAGATCTTGGGCTACAGGTGAGGGGGTCAGAGGCTGGGAGCGCTCTGGGGAGTGATAAGGAAGAGTTCGGGGTTAGAGGCTGTACTGGGGAGGCCAGGTGTCATGGATGTAGTTGAGAGGGTCTGAGGCCTGATCCCACCTCTGTGTTGCCTCCTCCCCTAGGTGGGCCAAAGGGGGTTTCTTGATTGAAGACGCCCACGAGAGTCGCTATGAGACAAATGTGGATTATTCCTTTTTCACGGAGCCTGTGTCTTGTGAGGTTCACAACAAAGTGGGAAGCACCAATGTCAGCACTTTAGTAAATGTCCACTGTGAGTAGCTGGGAGGGCAGGGACGGGGACAGAGAGCAGGGGCCCCCAAAGGGCCTTGGACAGAGTCGGGGACTGCTCCATGAATGGGGAGGTAGCAGGGCAGGAGGAAGATTGATTGGAGTTAACCCCATGAGCTTGAGACCCTAACGAGTGGCTTCTTTCTCCCTCACAGTTGCTCCCCGGATTGTAGTTGACCCCAAACCCACAACCACAGACATTGGCTCTGATGTGACCCTTACCTGTGTCTGGGTTGGGAATCCCCCCCTCACTCTCACCTGGACCAAAAAGGACTCAAATATGGTAAGACTCTTACTGCCTGTTCTTTTTTTTTTTTTTTTTTTTTTTTTTGAGACGGAGTCTCGCTCTGTCGCCCAGGCTGGAGTGCAGTGGCGCGATCTCGGCTCACTGCAAGCTCCGCCTCCCGGGTTCACGCCATTCTCCTGCCTCAGCCTCCCGAGTAGCTGGGACTACAGGCGCCCGCTACCACGCCCGGCTAATTTTTTGTATTTTTAGTAGAGACGGGGTTTCACCTTGTTAGCCAGGATGGTCTCGATCTCCTGACCTCGTGATCCGCCCGCCTCGGCCTCCCAAAGTGCTGGGATTACAGGCGTGAGCCACCGCGCCCGGCCTTACTGCGTGTTCTGAATGCTGGGAGGAAGGGGTGCGGCCACAGATGGGAGTAGATGGGGGGCTGCAGCATTATCTTTGAACCTGGGCTATTTCTAGGGTCTTGGGATTTGGAGGAGAAAGTGCTTACGGTTATCCCCACATCTTCTCACAGGAAAGCCCAGTTCAGAAGCACTGGGGGGACAAACTCACCTGTGCACGGGAAGCAGGGTGGGGTGGGAGGAAGGGAGAGGGCCTGGGGCGGGCCTACTGCAGTGGTAAAGGTCTGGTAAATAATGCTGCACAGGGAGGTGGGGAAGCTGAGGCGATTCACTAAAGAAGGCTGGAGTCTACAGCTCTGCAGAGACCCCCATTAGACCATTTGGGCCAGAACTACAGGAAGAAGAATTTCAGAGTAAAACGTCCTATGTCATTTGGCAATGAAAACACTAGAACAGATCATCAGAAGAGGCTGCGTCCTCCTAAAATGATTGCAGCCTTCACCTGCCCTCTCTGGCCTCCACCCCATCCCTGCCCACACCTGCAGAGATGGTGTGTTTACGTGCCAACCTGTGTAGAGTCAGAGCATGGACCAAAATGGACTCGGGAACCCCATTTCCCTTCTGGGAATTCACTTGTGGCCCTTCCTGCTTTCTTTCCGATGCCTCCGATGTGGGGCCCTCATGGACCTAGGGGCCCAGGCCTCCTGGCTCCCCACCCGAGGCTGCTCTCTCTGCCCAGGTCCTGAGTAACAGCAACCAGCTGCTGCTGAAGTCGGTGACTCAGGCAGACGCTGGCACCTACACCTGCCGGGCCATCGTGCCTCGAATCGGAGTGGCTGAGCGGGAGGTGCCGCTCTATGTGAACGGTGAGTGAGTGGCCTGAGAGGCAGCCGGGCCTGGGCGGGCTGGTACTGCAGTTTTTAACTGGTTCTGACTTGTGTCTTCTTGCTTGCAGGGCCCCCCATCATCTCCAGTGAGGCAGTGCAGTATGCTGTGAGGGGTGACGGTGGCAAGGTGGAGTGTTTCATTGGGAGCACACCACCCCCAGACCGCATAGTGAGTGGCGGACCTGCCTGCGGACAGCCAGCCCTCCCTGCTTCTTTGCCCAGGCCCAGCCTCCTCTCACTTCTGCTGGTTTTGCTCCTTCAACTTCCCTGTCCCGTTTCCATCCTCGAATCTTCTGCTTTCTGTCCCTCTGTCCCTTTACCTGCTCAAATCCCACCTCCTCCCTTACTTGTTATGTGTCCCTGAGCAGATCACTTAATGTTTTGAACCTCGGTTTATTCATCTATAAAACAGGGCCAGTAACTCCTACCTAATAGGGTTGCTGTGAGAAGTCATGGCAGCAACAGGTGTGAGATGCCTAGGCCAGCACTTGATTCATGTTAGTTCCCCACTCTCTCCCCTGGGCTAACACTTCCCCTCTTTTCTCCCTCATCTGCCTGTCATTGACCTCCTGCTCTTTTCTTTGCTCCCTCCCCTTCCCTGTCTCCTCCTCTGGCTCTTGCCATCTCTCTCCCTTCCCATCAGTTCTCCTACCTGCCTGGCCCACTCTTCTCTCCCTCCTCCTGCCTTCCTCCTACCAGCCCCTTGCCTTGCCACTCTCCTCCCTCCTTTCTCCTCTCCCCCACACCATGAGCCATTAATTCCTTCCGTGACTATTAACTGTCAAACCCCTCATCACATTTAATGACCATTTGGCTAACTCCAGGGCTGCCCAGGGACACTTCATTACCACGGCCGCCCGGGCAGCAGGCGGCTGGCCTCCCGGGGGGCTTTCCTTGCAGATCTAGGAGGATTGATCCCTGGAAAGGAGCCAGTTCTCGGCTGCTCCCCCTCCCTTAGGCTCCACTCTGAGGAAGGGGCCACTCAGGGGAATGGTCCGGCTGAGAAGTCAGGGATGGAGGGGTCCAGGAATACCCCGTTGTGGGTTCTGCCTATTATAAGTCTGTGGATCAGTCTCAGAGCCAGCCAGGCAGGTCGTGTGGGTTGGTTAAAGGTACGCCTAAAGATTGAGTTATGCTTAGTTAGAATCACAGACTATCAGAGCTGGAAGAAATCTTGAGCATTGTCTAGCCCTAGCCTGGTTCTGTCATTGTATAGATGAAGAAAATAAGGCCTAGAAAGGGACAGGGAGGCCACACAGGGGCTTGATGGGGAGAGGAGCCCAGCGTTCTTGAGGACAAATGCAGAACTTTTTCTACAACATCTGGGAGGATTCCCAGTGTCGGTTCAATGGATCCGCTGCATCCACATCACATGGGATCATGATGAAAATAGAGATTCTCCTCCTCCCTGGAGATTCCTATTTAGGACATAAGTCCCAAATATCTACATTTGAAAGAATCTCCCTAGGTAAATCTGATGTCAGCCATGCTTGGGAGCCACTGCTTCTCCTTGAGTGGAGTGTCAGTGCCGAGGGTGTGAGGTAGCAGGTGTGACTTAGGTTTGTTACAGGGAGGTGTTAGGCTGGGCTTGTGGGGCACACATGGCACATAGGGGTGAGGGTGCCTTGAGGGTGGATCAGGGGACACGTGGGCATGGGCTTCTGCCCCCTGCCCCTTTCTTACCTTCTTCCTTCCCTCTCCACCACAGGCATGGGCCTGGAAGGAGAACTTCTTGGAGGTGGGGACCCTGGAACGCTATACAGTGGAGAGGACCAACTCAGGCAGTGGGGTGCTATCCACGCTCACCATCAACAATGTCATGGAGGCCGACTTTCAGACTCACTACAACTGCACCGCCTGGAACAGCTTCGGGCCAGGCACAGCCATCATCCAGCTGGAAGAGCGAGGTGACTGGTAGTGCTGCCTGCCAGCTGGGGTGCAGAGCAGCCTGAGGATTCTGCTCCTTCTTTTCTCCAGGGGCAGGGCTCAGCTGCTCCCCTTCCCTTGGGCTCTGCTCTGAGGGAGGGGACACACAGAGGGATGTCCTGGCTGAGAGGTCAGGAGTGAAGGGGTTTGGGGCTACTCCCCTCTGATTCCTGCCTATTGTAAGAGTCTGTGCATCAGAGGGAAAGAACTCTCTGGGGCCTTCCCTCCAGAACCTGGCCTCCATGCTCAACTGGGGAAATGCCCTCACTTCGTTAAAGTGTACTGAGCATTTGCTATGTGCCAGGCTCTGCCCCAGGGGCTGCAGAAAGAGCTGTGAACAAGACACAGTCCCTGACCTCAAGAAACTTTCGGTGTAGTGGAGGAGGGACTTACAGAGTGGTAGTAAATTAATTCGGATGGAGAAGAATCATATGAACTGCAAAAGGGAATAACACGCCCATCTCATTGGGTGGACGTGAGGATTAAATTAGAGAATATTTACAAAATGCCTGGCATACAATAGGTGTTCAGTAAGTATGGGTTCCCCTACCTCTTCAAGAATTGTCACTCTGATAGCAGAAAAGTGTTCTCTCCTTTAAGGCACTTCTCACATGATAAAAGAGGTATTCCTTTGACTTTTTTGGAAGCTACCAAGTCCAAGGAGGAAAAGATAGCATTTTTTTGTTGTTGTTTTATTTTTTGAGAACTAACCATTTGACATAGGAGATGGAGAACCACATGGAAAATGACAGCATCCCATCACTTCAGTCTTTTTTTTTTTTTTTTTTTTGAGATGGAGTCTTGCTCTGTCGCCCAGGCTGGAGTGCAGTGGTGCGATCTTGGCTCATTGCAACCTGTGCCTTCCGGGTTCAAATGAGTCTCCTACCTCAACCTCCCGAGTAGCTGGGACTACAGGCACCCGCCACTACGCCCGGCTAATTTTTTGTATTTTTAGTGGAGACGGGTTTTCACCGTGTTAGCCAAGATGGTCTCGATCTCCTGACCTCATGATTCACCCACCTCGGCCTCCCAAAGTGCTGGGATTACAGGCATGAGCCACCATGCCCGGCCTATCACTTCAGTCTTAACTAAGGATGCCAGCAAGGGGGTTGGGGGTGGGGAAGAATGGAGTAGATACAGTAACGTGGGGCTCCACAGGGAAAGATCTCAGAGGGGAAGAGCTATAAGCAGGATCTGGATTCAACTAGGGCTGCTAGGAAGACAGAGAAGGCTGGAAGCAGGATTCCTGAGCTCTTCCTCAGCTCTGGGAAGCAGAGGAAACCAAGGAAAACTGTTGGAGCCCTGAGTAGATAGGTGAACATTCGGCAGTCACAGTGGTATTATGGATGGCACAGTGGTGAAAGATGTCGGAACACGGGTGGCAGATTGGAGAGTTTGGAGACAGCTGACCTCAAAGAAGAGCGAGGGGCCAAGCATCATAGTCAGGTGGGCTGAAGGACAGGGATCGACAGACAACCAAGACCAGGGGCAAACTCCTGCCCCAGCTGCAGGGATGAGACATGACCATGATCTCCATTCTGATGGAGCTGGAGCACAGACCAAAATCCAACCACAATGCAGACCTTCCTCTCTAATCCAACCTTGACTTAAACCTAACACTGTCCCCAGGCTCAGTCAAAACTTAGCCCTGTACACAAGCCAAGGTTGCCTCTGTGGCTGTGGCCTAGCCTTTAGCCAGCACTGAGCTTAGCTCCCAGTATAACTCCAGCCTCACCCCTCCACCTTTCCTTCCCCATCGAAAGAGGTGTTACCTGTGGGCATCATAGCTGGGGCCACCATCGGCGCGAGCATCCTGCTCATCTTCTTCTTCATCGCCTTGGTATTCTTCCTCTACCGGCGCCGCAAAGGCAGTGAGTATGGGCCCTGTGCAGCCCACAGCCTTCCCCTGGCTCTTCCAGGGCCATGACAGGCAGTGCTTGGGGTGGATGGGAGGTTGGCCCTTGAGCTCCAGCCCAGAGGGAGCCAGAAGCAGCCGCTGCAGAGACCAGCAGGAAGCACTTGTTCCAGGCTGCCTCTCCCGTCCCAGGTCGCAAAGACGTGACCCTGAGGAAGCTGGATATCAAGGTGGAGACAGTGAACCGAGAGCCACTTACGATGCATTCTGACCGGGAGGATGACACCGCCAGCGTCTCCACAGCAACCCGGGTCATGAAGGCCATCTACTCGGTGAGGGTCCTGCTCCTCTCTGGCCTCCTGCCTTCTCCACCCTCTGAGGACCAGCTCCATCCCAGATCTCTAATAACCGCGGTCATTCTCTCCTTCCTCAGTCGGTCTTCCCTGGTCCTGCCACACACACTCTCCCACACTCACACACATTCTCTCACACACGCCCCAGGCTAGTTTCCTCCAGCAGAGGATAGGCAGCTGGGATTGTCCAAAGACTTCCTTTGCCCCACAGTGTGTGAAAGTTGGAAGCCCCCAGAGGCTTTCTGGTCCATCTGCCTCATTGCTGAGATGAGGAAACAGCCCTGGAGAGGGGCAGTGACATATACAAGGTCACATTACATGTTAGCAACCAAACTAGTGCTCGAACCAAGGTCTCTGGCCTCTTCCCACCACATCCCAGAGCCTCTGCTGAGAGGACCAGAACTCAAGTCTGCCCTTGACCTCAGACCCCACCCATGAGCAGGTGGCCTCTGAGCGTGGGGAGGGGTTGGTGAGGGGCGAAAAGAGCAGGGCTTCCGTCTGCTGACGTCCCACTCCTGCTGCTCCACAGTCGTTTAAGGATGATGTGGATCTGAAGCAGGACCTGCGCTGCGACACCATCGACACCCGGGAGGAGTATGAGATGAAGGTGGGAAAGGGGGAAGGGGCCAGGGCATGAGGGCTGGTGGGCCAGTGGGTTTCTGAGGTCCTGTAGCGGGGAGGTGAGGTGAGGACAGACTTGGGGAGGAGTGGTTGGGAGGGTTTTTGAAGGAGCAGAGGAGGTGGAATGCTAGATGGGGACATAGGGAGAGCTGGAGGAAGAGGCCCAGAAAGCCATGGTGAGACTTGATCCCCACCCAAGAGGGAACACTGCCTCCATCCTCTTCTCTCATTGCCCCCAGGACCCCACCAATGGCTACTACAACGTGCGTGCCCATGAAGACCGCCCGTCTTCCAGGGCAGTGCTCTATGCTGACTACCGTGCCCCTGGCCCTGCCCGCTTCGACGGCCGCCCCTCATCCCGTCTCTCCCACTCCAGCGGCTATGCCCAGCTCAACACCTATAGCCGGGGCCCTGCCTCTGACTATGGCCCTGAGCCCACACCCCCTGGCCCTGCTGCCCCAGCTGGCACTGACACAACCAGCCAGCTGTCCTACGAGAACTATGAGAAGTTCAACTCCCATCCCTTCCCTGGGGCAGCTGGGTACCCCACCTACCGACTGGGCTACCCCCAGGCCCCACCCTCTGGCCTGGAGCGGACCCCATATGAGGCGTATGACCCCATTGGCAAGTACGCCACAGCCACTCGATTCTCCTACACCTCCCAGCACTCGGACTACGGCCAGCGATTCCAGCAGCGCATGCAGACTCACGTGTAGGGGCCAGAGCCTGGCTGGGGCATCTCTGCGGGGCAGAGGAGAAGGCTTTCACAGCTGTTCCCTGATATTCAGGGGCATTGCTCATTGCTCCCTTCTCGGACCAGCCTTCTTCCTCCCACCATGGCAGGTGGGGAGCAGGTCTCCCAGAAACACCCCGTCCCGAGGATGGTGCTCTGTGCATGCCCCAGCCTCCTGGGCCTGCCCTTCCCTCTTCTTCGGGAGGATGTGTCTCTTCTGACCTGCACTCTTGCCTGACCCTAGAATGGGGACAGGGAAAGTGAAGGTTAGGGAAAGCAGAGGGGGGCACTTTTTAGCATTCCCTTTCTATCCCACCCCTCTGATCTCCCATAAGTGGAAATGGGGGTACCCAGGGATGGGCAGGCTTTGGCCTAGGGACATGAAGTATGGGAGTGGGTGGCTGTGGCACAGACAGGTGGAAAACGGGATAGCCTGGCCAGTCCCTCTGTTGTCTGCATTCGTGCCCTGGGTGCCTCTCTCCTTCCTCAGGGTACTGCAGAAGGGAGCGAACAGGGTACTGTTCGCTCTTGTCTACAGAACAGCCCTGGCACTGCATTCAAATCCAGTCTTCATTCAGCTGGGATCAAAATGCCAGTCACCTTGGCTACCCACTGTGGACAGCTGTCTGTCAGCATGCAGAGGGATCCAGGAATCCCCCCGGCAGCACGGCCCGCTTTCCTTCTCCTCCATGCTGGGCCAGCCAGATAAGTCAGGGTCCTGGTGGAGAAAGAAAGGCTAGGACCATGTCCTCATTGACCCAGATACTGCTGTGTGCTGCACAGCAGTGAACCAACACTAGAGGGAGCCACACAAGCCTCCTCTCCCCAGTCTGCCCCACTTCCTGGCTTTAACTCTTGAGCTGGTTTGGGGAGTGGTGAGGTAGGGGTGGGGGTGCTGTAGGCTCTTTTTCAAAGAAAACAAAAAACAATGAAAACCTCATTTGGGAAGAAAAGCTGTAGGGATTCCCCCACCCAAATACAAGTCCCAGTGGAAAGGAAAGGTAGTACCTATTCTTCTCCATGGGGTTCCTAACACCCTCCATTACTCTTTCAGTCTCCAAGCACTTTGAATCCATTTTTAAACATTCAGGTTGCCAGACCTGTCACACAGTGGACTCTGATAGGGTTACGGAGGGGGCCTGGCTCTCAGTCTCTACTCTCCTATGTCCCATCAGTTGGTTGGAGGCCACCTTCCAGGGGGTATGGGAGACAGGTTTTGGTTTTTAAGTGTCTTTTTTTTTTTTCTTGGACCAATCAGATTCCTTCTTCCACTTTCAGTGCCTTGAGTGTCAAGCTTTGGATGACCGACCCTATGTGGGCGGTTGTGTGGGGAGTGGGTACTTGTGAGCCTCGGACACACTGTTAAGTGTTACAGTGTTAGGAGAGAGATGGGTGAGGGGACCTGGAGAGGTAAGGGGCCTGGAAATGGCCCTGACAGAGAACTTGTGCTGACCGGGAGAAGGTGGTGCGGAAGGGCACCGCAGGCATTACACAGGCCATTTCTCCTCCTCCATGTGCACGCACATCCAACACACACCTTCCATGTGACTGCTTCTCAGCCACCACTTTCTGACCAAAGAGAACAGGCGCTCCAAGGAGAACCTGTACCCCTGCCCCAGCCTCGCCTTCCTAAAAAGCAGTGTCTGGAGTTGGCTGTTTCCCGCCTCCCCAGCTGCATGTCCAGCCCAGTGGGAGACAGGGCCTCTGGTGCAGTTCCCAAAATGTTCCTCGCCCTTTCTCCGTGGTCACCATTCATAATTCATGTTCGCTTTAATGAGTTACATGCTTATCAGCCACAGGCCATTACCACCCTTATGGATGGGTCTGGGGGGCGACATTCCTGGCCAACCCCTTGTAGGAAGGACCAGATAATACCCAGGAAGCAAGTAGCTCTAATTTTAACTTCACAGGAAGTCTGTGCATCCTCCTTCATTTCAGCAGGGAAAACTCCTGTGGAGTGGGCCCTATCTGGGGCATTTACAGGCTTCCAGCTGTATTCCATCCCTGGAAGCTGATACCTTTCTATAGAGTCCTTTTATGAGAGCTCAGTGGGAAGGTCTGTCAAGAAATTCAGGTTCTTGTACAGACAAATTCATGCAAATTTCTATTATTTTCACAAAAACCAGAAACCATGGGGGAATCCAAAGACTTGAAGTCTAAAGATGGTGGCTTTTAAAACATGCATATTCCAAAAAGAATTCATTTTTGTTTTGGGTTTGGCTAGATTCTCTTATTTATCCCCTTTTAGCTTAAGTATTAGTTTCATTCTACTGAAATGATGGAGAGAGGGCCTAAGGTTACTAGGTAATTGAGCTGATGGTGCAGGGAGAATTGTTGAGAAAGGAAGCCTAGTTTCCAGAAGCCTGACACAGAGCTACTTCACTGTCCTCTACTCCTTAACAAGGTAACTGGAGCCTCTTGGGTGTCAAACAAGCACCCTGGAAGGCACAGGGAAGCATCAGCAACCAAGGTAGTCTCTGCCCTCTGTAACTTACGTGTTGGTGCATCAGAATCTGAATTGGAACCTACCTGATGGGCCCAGTGGAATAGCTTTTCTGGGGAGTGGAAGGCGTCCTTGATCACAGAGCTTTGCTGTCGAATCCTGGAGTCCTGCAACATGGTGATGCCTCAGTAGTTGGTGATCCTGATCACCTTTGGTGGCTTGTTTTAGTGGAAAGAGCAAGGGACTAAAGGTCAGGAGACCCAGGACCCAGTCCTGAAGCTGCAAAGGTTAGATCTCGGCCTAACTTTCTGTTCATTGCCCCCAATTTGTCTGGCCTGTAAAATGAAGGGGGAGGGTTGCATAAACCTAAAACTATTCTGGTTTTGTTATACCCATAGGGTTGGGGGTAGGGATGGGACTGCCCATTGCTGGCAAGGAACTGGGAACAGTAGCAAGCATGGTGAGGGCTGGAGAGCTGGCTGGGGGGGTTCTCTCCTGTTCAAAGAAGCTTTCACCATGGGCTTCATTATCTTGTCAGAAGTGAATTAGTTTCCACCAGGGACCCCTTTATCCCAAACAGCAACACAAAATACACCCTAAACCTCAGAGTAAAATTGATGTGGGGCTATCCTTTGGCTATCGGGTCATCTGTGCTGCTCCCCACTCATTTCTGATGGGTTTGCAAAGGTGCCTTTTGCCAGGGCAGGACATAGTATGCACATAGGGATATTGTTATGTGCCTAGGTTTCAGGCACTCCTTCTGTAGGGGAAAATGGGAGGAGCCTTCCTCCACCCTGATCCTTAGGAACATTCCTCTGGCCCAGGGACAGCTTGTTCTTCTCACCAAACAGGTGAAGCCTGCAGTCCAAGGTGCCTGGAGCCAGAGGTCGGGGAGTAAGCACAGCTGCCCCTGCCTGAGAAGGAGCAGCTTGCAAGGGGAGCCGGTGGAGGGAAAGGGGTACAACAGCTTTGGAATACATTCTGGATCTTGAGGAGGATCTTGTGATTTTGGCTGAGCCACGGTCACTTCCCTCGTGAAGGACCCGCCCTATATCCTAAATTCTGGATCCCTCAAAGTCCAGCCACAGAGTTTGCATGAAGCAAAAAGCCTAGTAAGTGAGAAAGGAAAGGGGCCAGGGATGGGAGCAGTGCTGTGCTGTTATCACTGTCTTGCTTGGAATGAAAACATCTGAGCACCCTGTCTTCAAGCGGTACGCTCTCCCCTTATTCCAGCAGGGCTACTTTCCTCTTCACTCTGATGAGGGGAGCTTTATCTGCTTTCAAAATGGAGCACGTCGCACTGGAGTTTCGTGCCCTCTCGTTAACCTGTCAGGAGCCACAGGGCTCCATAAAACGGAATCAGTGTCTCAATATACATGACCTATGTTCATAGCAATGTTCAGCCATTTGGGTTTGAAGAAAACCACATTAAAGCCAAGACCCGTTTGGAGCGAACTGCCTTGTTCTTTGCTGTGTGGAAGGTTCTGTCCCTACTGCTGAACTCCAGTTCCTCCCCAAGCACCCTGGCCTCAGAAATCCTGGCTTCCCCAAGTTAGTGCTGTCTGACCTGAGCCAGGCCACTGCTTGGTGCCTCTACAGGCCACTGTGCATGTTGAGAATTGCCCAAAAGGATTAGTGAAGCTCCTGACCCTGGCGAGGCCATAATGAACACTGAAGTGCACAGGCCAAGGGATGTAATTGAAAGGCATTTATTTTTGTGAAGATGCTGTAAAATTAGCATTTAAATATCCCATTCCCTTCTCTTGGCCTCCTCCTATCCCCCTATGGTATTTCTCCTCCTCTCCTCAAGGCCAGGCTTTTTGTGAAAGGCATTGGCTCATCTTTGTCAGCGTGGTCCTGACGTTCACCTCTGGGCTGCTGGAGAGGACTGAGAGATGTGTGGTTTGGTAGGAAGGGGGTGTGTGTGGGGGTTAGTGGGGAATCCCATTTTTTTGCATCACTGTGAGGTAGCTTCAGGCCCTGTCCCTGGAGAAATAATTGCTGCGCAGAAGTCACAGGCCATACTGGGCAGTTCTGGTACAAACCTGCCCTTATTAATAATAACAATAATAATAATAACTCCATTTGCATAGAACTGTCACTCATTCCTGCCAGTCTGCTGTCCCTACCCTGGTTTTTTGCTGGCCCCAACCACTGGCCTTGTTGAGTATCGATGGGCCCTGAGCTCTTCTGTTTGCTTTTGGAGCTCTTCAGATGCTGTCCCCCCTGAGAATACCCTAACTCTGGGGAAAGAGCAGCCAAAATCCCAATACAGTAAAACTCCACACAATCTTGTTAGCAACAGTGACCCAGAAAATTTTGAGAAGTCCAATTTCACCAGAAGAGGCCCAGGGCTCCCTGTGGTCACATTTTCTACCCAGCCATTCTTGGCATTGCAACCTCCATTTCTAGCTCCTGTTGAATTTTCTCCACCCAGACCCCAAAAATAAATGGATCCATGATGATAATTAAGAGAAGAGAAAAAAAGATATTATTTTTGTTAGGACAAACCATTGTAGGTTTTTAGCAATGTGTATCTGTGTGTCCCTCACACCTTTTCCTATTCTACTTTTTTTTCCTTTTTTTAAAAATATTATGTACTATATTTTTAGTCTCAAACACACTATATATTATATATATTTAATTTTTTTATATATATAAATATAAATGTTTTAAAAAGTACCATGTTTTGTGTTATTTAATGCATTAACGGCTAGTTACTTAAAAGCCTGCCTGGCTTTGGGTGTTAGTCCTGGTTTGGGGAAAAAACAGGTTTGGATTGAAATTGCAGAAGCAATGTTTGTGCCACCTCCAGGCCGTGGGGCAAAAACGTATTCTCTAGTTTGCCACTTGTGCAGAACCCTGAGGCCAATTATGGCAGTTCAGGGACAAACAGCTGGAGGCTTCTGCTATTGGAAAACAGCATCCAAATGTTCTGTGCCAAATCGCATTATGGGAATGGGAAAAGGGGAGACTTTTGAATCTGAGATCTAGATCCCAAAGGAATTGGGACAAGTGTGTAAGAATGGCTGGTTTTGTTTATTTAAAACGCTGTGGTTTGGGTAAAAAGCAAAGTTACAAGGTCTCCAACCTTTTGAACTTGTAGTGAAGCAGAATGAAAAAACAGATGGTGCAGCAGTGCACACACACAGAGGCCATCCTGCTGAGAAATCCTAAATTCTCTGAGTTGAGTTCCCAAGGGTTTCAGTTTGCTCATTTCTCAGGAGTGTTTGCAGATACCTGAAATAGTTTTCAGATAATGTTTTGTTTTATTTTGTTTTGGACTTTTATTTTGTTTTGTTGTAGAGGCTATGTTGCCCAGGCTGGTCTTGAACTCCTGAGTTCAAGTAATCCACCCACGTCGGCCTCTGGAGTCGCTGGGATTACAGGTGTGATCCACTGTGCTTGGCCCAGATAATGTTTTTTAAAGCTATAAATCATTAGAGAAATAGGGTTTATTGTTTTCTTCATCCAGTTAACAACGAAGCAAACTCAAGACAGTTTACCGTAGCCTTTTTTGTACACAAGGGACACCCAACATAGTCAGAGAGGAAGACAGGATGTAAGAGCTGAAAAAATACTTTCGAAATAATGCAACCCATTTCCAAGAGGGCTAGAAGTCACGGCACAGGAGCTGCAGCTGAGGAAGGGTGCAAGGTGCCATGGGGCCTGGGGTTTGGAGGCATGTAGCCAGGACCAAGAACCTATAGGTAGCCCAAGGTGAATCCAATCCAGATGGGAATGAGAGGCCGACGTACAGGTATATTTGGAGGCTGCATTGAGGTAAGTTGCACTGGCATAGGTAAAAATGGCATTGATAGAATACAAAAGCAAACAGAAAAGAGTAGGGAAAAAAGACCAGGAGAGGAAGCAAAGTTGTGCAAATGTGGAGGCACAGGTGAATACTATTAGGCCAAGTGGTGCTGGGGCGCTTCCTATGTTATGTGTCCACCTGGGATACATTTATTCATCTCCACATCCCCAGACCCCAGCACAGGGCCAGCAGGTTCTTTGGGACGAGTCTGTATAGGGCACTACATAAGGCCCCAAGGGCCTAAACCAACTCTCAGCCACAAGAAAGGCCACAGGACTTTGTCCCTGTGTATTAGGCCTCTTTCTGTGATGGGAGCCCCAGCCCCTCTAAGTCACCTCCAGCCTGAGGATAAGTAATAATGACACAGCCCCTTTATCATCTGGCTTTGCAAAGTTGTAAAAGCCACCCCCTCATTGTGAGGCATTTGTGTCACAACAGGAGCTATTGGCCCAGGCATAAACACACTCCTGTGTGAGTTCAAATTTCTCCATGAGATGACCCCACATCTTTCACTTACTTCACAACCCTCCCTTTCACTTACCCTACATTTCAACACAGTTAAATGGAATTATGCCTTGTTTGTGGTATGCCCCTGAACTTTCCTCCCTCTGTGCTTTTGTCCAAGCTCTTTTCTCTGCCTGGAGTCCCTTTACTTTCCCATTTCTAAGTTTTACTTATCTTCAAGGCCCAGCCCAAAGGCCATCTCCTACAGGAAGCCTTGCCTGACTCATTACTCACCTTCTATTCCTCTCTGGAAGTCTCGTGGGTTAGCTATTATGTCACTGATCTCATCTCATTTATAGCCCTTCTGCTTTGATAACAGGATGTTGTGTATGACACATTAGCACTTTCCTCCTAAAAGAAGGTCACTGAGAGGCAGAGAGCATGTATCATTTATTTTAGTATCCATCACCCAACAGAGTGCATGTAGTTTCTCAGCATGTGCTGGAGGAATGCAGGTATGGAGGGAAGGAAAGAGGGAGGAGAAGCAAACCATAAACACAATACATAAAAGGAATTTATCCTAGGGGAGTTTTTCATGTGCATCTGTGTGAAGAGACCACTAAACAGGCTTTGTGTGAGCAACATGGCTGTTTATTTCACCTGGGTGCAGGCAGGCTGAGTCCTAAAAGAGAGTCAGCAAAGGGTGGTGGATTATCATTAGTTCTTACAGGTTTTGGGATAGGCAGTGAAGTTAAGAGCAATGTTTTGCGGGCAGGGGTGGATCTCACAAAGTACATTCTCAAGGGTGGGGAGAATTACAAAGAACCTTCTTAAGGGTGGGGGAGATTAAAAAGTACCTTCTTAAGGGTGGGGGAGATTACAAAGTACATTGATCAGTTAGGGTGGGGCAGAAACAAATCACAATGGTGGAATGTCAGCAGTTAAGGCTATTTTTACTTCTTTTGTTGATCTTCAGTTACTTCAGGCCATCTGGATGTATACGTGCAAGTTACAGGGGATGCGATGGCTTGGCTTGGGCTCAGAGGCCTGACAGAGTTCATGCTTGATAAAGTAGTATAGCATGGTGATTAAAAGCATGGACCTTCAAGTCGGTCTACCAAGCCGATAGACATGACCAGTACTTATTCATATTGAATTCTCTGAGTTCCCTGGCTGTTAGACAAGGCCAAGCTGACTATAAACAGAAGTGGCATGTCACTTCCAGACCAAAGCATTTAATTGCTCGTGTGAGATCCTCCAGCATTGTCTTCCTCTGCCCTAGCGACAGGAGCCCATTTATTCCAAATGGTATGGCTTTGTCATAGTGGAATCTGTCTGGCTGGGTCCCGAGCCCTTTAGCCAACCCATGGTGAATATGTAGTTTGAGGGAGAAATGAATCTTTGTTAAGATATTGAAATTTTGTGGTTGTTTGTTACTGCAACACAGTATATCCTATCCTGATTAGTACAGGTAGTGCTAAAACCCTGCCTTCTCCATTTGCTCCTTGGGTGAGTTACTTTACCTCTCTGCATGTCTCTTTTCTCCTCTGTGAAGTGGACTAGTAATAGTTACTATCCCATGGAAAATGCTTAGCAGAGTTCTTAGCAAGTGAATACCCAGTAAAGGTGAGCTTTTGTTAGCCTAGAGAAAGGGAAGCAGTGGCCATCTGTCCCTTTCCCTCCTTTGCCTCTTCCTTAGAGACATCAGGAAAGATGTCTCCGTTTGCCCAAGGGGTATGGAAAGAACAAGGATTTTGGAATGGGAAGATCTAGCTTAAAATCCCAGCAAAGCCTCCTGTAACTGCAATGCATGGCAGGTCAGCACACCTTTTTGAGCTACCATTTCTTTATATTTAAAATGGTGTAAAAACTCAATGAGATGAGATAGACAAAAGCCTTTTGTAAATTGCTAAATGCTATTCAAATGTGAGTTGATTACTTTGGTCTATTAACTCTCTGAAGCATATTACCGCCCTCCCACCCCACCCGCCTCACTCTGTAGCATCCCACGCCACACACCTCCCTGCCACAAACACAACATGAACGCTGCTCTAGCAGTGACCTGATATTAGGAGAATGTGCCCATCCAGCTGGGCATGATAGAGCCCATGTTGCCAGTCCCCAGGGTTCTAAAACCAAAAGACCAGCTCTTTGTAAAGCAGGAACCTGGGGGAGGAGAAAGATCACTTCATTGGCACTCACTTTCCCATTTCCTTTACTCATTGTAATTAGCTACACAGAGGCAACCTCCCGGGGAGAGCAGAGCCATCAGCTCCCCAAATTGAACCAGGGAGCTTTGTCTTTTTGTTCCTTTCCATATAATACTGCTCTCCTGGTGGTCGCTATGCAAACACATCCTGCATTCATTTGCAAACTGGGGAATATTTCATATTTTGAGGATCAGATTAATGTTCTACCTCCCCAAAAGAGACACTGGTTGGGACTTCTAGTCTAACAGTATCCTGTCAGCACTCCTAGCAAAGGGTCTGGCTCCCAGAATCATGTGATCGCCTGAGGGATGACCAAAACCTTGCTTTTCTCAGAGCCTCTATGATTCCCTCACTAAAATAGATCATTAACAGTGGATAATCGAATCTCAAAAATTGAAGGCACCTCTGGGGTCACCTGGCCCTGTTATGGACCTGAAGCAGAAGCCCCAATTCAGCTTCAGAGACAAATGGGCTCTGCATCAAGACCAACAGGGGACCAGAAAGCAGGGTGACTCTTTATGGGGGCTGGACTTTGGGATCTGAATGTTCGATTCCCCTGAGCTTCTGCAGGCACCAACTCTGTGCCTTTGGGGAAACCATTTGCCTTCTCTGGGCCTCGGTTTTCTCAACCATAAAAATCTTTCATTCATGCAAAAAATATTTATTGAATATTTTCCATGTGTCTGAAACTACATCAAAACCTGGGGATACAGCAGGAAACAAAACAACATCCCTGCTTTCATGGAACTGCGCACCTAAAAGGAAGAAGCTGAGGCAAAATTAATACACATGGAAAGTTTATCTGAGCCAAGCTTGAGGATTGCAACCCGGGAGCATAGATGCAAGTTGCCCTGAATATACACTCCAATTAGCAGCAGTTACAAGTGGATTTTTAATGGCAAAAAAAGCTGACAGGGAGTGGACTGCTACAAAGTTTTTTGTCAGGAATTCTTAATGGTTTACAGAAATAACATTGGTTAGTGATTGGCTGTAAATTGTTAAACTATACGACGTGGGTTATAGTGTTGTGTATGGCATTATTAGGTTAATTTATAGCTACTTGTGGCAAAAGTAAGCAGTCTCAAGAGATGAATACATAGCTCAAAGGGAAGAGTGAGGCATGATTGTGATCTCTTTTAATGTCTCTCTAGGTCTGGTAATTAAAAGGACTTGCATTCCTCAAATGAAAGTTCTTTTCTTTTCTCAGAACTTACACTGTAATGATGGGAGATAGACAATGAACAAACAAATGAATGTCAGAGAGAAGTCAGGAGAGACACAGGGCTGGGTAGAGTGGGACACTGGGAAGAGAGATGTGCTATTTTATGTTGGATGGTCAAAGAGAGTGTCCAGGATAAAAGGACAGGTAGGCTGGGTTTATATCTAGGGAAAGAATATACTAGTCTGAGGGAAGAGCACCTGCAGAGACCTTAGGCAGAAATGAGTTAGAGAGTCAATGGCCAGCAAGGAATGTGGCTAGGGGAGCAGTACGAGCAGAGGGTGGCGAGAAATCCGGAGAGGGTGAGATGGAACAGATCCTGTGAGAACTGCAGGCCATTGAAAGGGCTTTGGAAATTACTGTGAGATGAGAGGTGGTAGTAAATCACGCCATATGAACTGTTTTTATGGGTCAAAAATGGGTGAACAGCAGCAATTTTATATGGTTCAACCTAATACATGTAAACGTACAGTACTGTTGATTTATTATTACCCCCTTTAAAAAACAAGCCTTTCTATTATGTTGGCAGGATTAATTGAAAGGCATTTCTTCCTCCTATTGAGGCTGAGCGGGCCTCTTTATTATTTTTACCCAGTGGCTGTAGCTCTGCCTTCAGGACAGTGCTGTCTGGGTAGTCTCCCACCCCCCTCTCCCTCTCCATGCAGTTCTTTTGATATTGAAATGTAGTTGTCCTGATGTCATGTCTCTTCTAAGAAGTTTCTTTTCTCAGTTAAATATTTCCGATTCTTCAAACCCTTTCTCTTAGGATATGGTTTTTGGATTCTTCCCGTTGTGCTCACCCTTTCTTCGGGGTGAGCTCTGAACACACATTAAGAAATTCAGCGTCTCCCACTTCAACCTACCAGTCTGAGGGAGAGTTCCCCATCTCAGCCCATTAAGATCCTCTATGTTCCTTCACCTCCTAATCTTCCGTAAATATAGACACTGAATTCTGGCTTTTCCCCAGGAGGGAGTTGTGGCCCCTCTACCTCCCAAAGGTCCTGATACATCCCTCCACTGAAGTAGGAGATGGTGCCAGATTCTCAGGCAGAAATCCCAGGGAGATGAAATAAGAGGGGTTCCCAGGCCCAGCAGCTCAGCTATGGCCATGCCAGGCACTACAACCTAGATTCTCCTGGGGTATCCCAAGACTTAATGTGCTCTATGTATTGGGTCTACTTGTAATTTTTTAACAACACGGTCAGCATCACAATGACCCAGATCCTTTCTGCTCTCAGAATCCAGATCTGTTTTCTCTTTGGTTTTTAAATCAAAACATGAGTTCTAGTCTAAACTCCACTTATTAGCCATTTGACTTTGGACAAGTTACTGGAAATTTCTGGGTCTTAGCTTTCTTATCCATAAAATGAGAATAATGATACTACCACACTAGCAGAAGGAGGCGCTAGCAGAGACGGGTATTGAGCATGTAACCCAAATCCTACCACTGCACAAGGCCTCCATTGCTTTCCCCAAGTCCAAGGGTCCATCAGCTCTCCCTCGACTCCTACAGTGGCTAAGTGGTCTCTGCTTCCAGTCTTTGTGCCCCAGGGGTCTCTTCTCCACAGCAGGGCATTGGTAGCAATCCCCTACCTATTGTTAGTTTCATTATCGATACTAAAATTCATTAGGTTTTGTCTTAGTCTGTTTGAGCTGCTATAACAAAATACCAGAAGCTAGGTGTCTTATAAACAGTAGAAATTACTTCTCACAGTTCTGGAAGCTGCAAAGTCCAAGACACTGATGGCAGCATCAGTGTTTTCACATGGTGGAAGAGACATGGCAGCTCTATAGGGCCACTTTTTTTGTTGTTGTTTGAGATGGAGTCTCGCTCTGTCACCAGGCTGGAGTGCAGTGGCACGATCTCAGCTCACTGCAGCCTCTGCCTCCCGGGTTCAAGCGATTCTCCTGCCTCAGCCTCCCGAGTAGCTGGGATTACAGGTGTGCACCACCATTCCCAGCTAATTTTTGTATTTTTAGTAGAGACGGGGTTTCACCATGTTGGCCAGGATGGTCTCAGTCTCTTGACCTTGTGATCCACCCACCTTGGCCTCCCAAAGTGCCGGGATTACAGGCGTGAGCCACCGCGTATAGGGCCTCTTTTATAAGAGCACTAATCCTATTCACGAGGGCTCCGACCTCATGACCTATTCATCTCCCAAAAGGCCTCTCCAAATACCATCACCTTGGAGTTAGGATTTCAACATAGAAACTTTGGGCAGACACAAGCATTCAAACCATAGAAGGCTTTAACAACAATAAAATACAACCTTTTTGTATGACAACAACAGAGTAATCCTTTTAAAATGTAAATCACATCACATCACTCCTCTGCTTCAGACCTTATGGTTTCCTATCCCACTTAGAATAAAATCCATACTTCTTTCATTTCCTGTAAGCCCTACCTTAGCTGGCCCCTGCCCACCTTCTCTCCATTCTTACTTTGTCACCTGCCATTCCAGCTTCACTGACCTTGCTGTCTGTGACATTCTATCATGGGATAAAATGCCAAACCCTCTTATGGAGATGCTCAGGTTGGGGGCTTGCAATAGGGAAAGAGTTAATATTTAATAAGTGAGCCAGGCATTTTCATATATGTGATTACATGCAATTTTCAGTATAATGGGCCTCTGAAGTTAGACCTTACAGGGAATTCCCCTATCCTCCATCCCCAGTACCCAGTGAGCCAGCTAGAAGAAAAGCTCAGCAAATAAACCTGAGAGGCTTCCAGCCTCAGGGCCCCTGAAGCTCCAACTTTCTCCTCCTCATAACCTAAAGGGCTATTAACAGTCTCTTCACTTATTAACACAATTTTTTTTGTAGACTGTCCCTTAGGTCTTGGCTACATGCCAAAAAAAAAAGCTTGAAATCCCAGATCCTCCTTTTAAAAGGACAGCCCCTCATCAGGGTACGAAAAGAAAAACAGACCTCATTGTTCAAGAATCAGTCTCTTTCTGATGGGAGGACACAGACCCTCACCTTTGGGCACGGGTTCCTCTTGCATTTAAAATCTTCAGAGGGGTAAAAGATCTTAAAGGCAAGTGTAGACCCACTGGGATTTTGGTAGACTGAAGAGAAAAAACAAACTAGTATTCAAGTTTAGGCCAATGGGCTGGTTACGCATGTCTAATTCAGGCGTGTGGGGTCCATCAATAACACTGAAGCACTCTCAGGGCAGGGAAACACCTGCATGTCTTTTTATCTGTAACAAATTGGGGGTCTGAAATTTAAAGGACTAGAATTACATTTTTAAAAGGGAATTGGATCAGTGATTTCTAATTTCTCTCTAAACACTAACATGTAGGATTCCATGATTCTGGTCTCTTTCAGGGATGTCAAAGTGGTGGCAACTAAGCCACTTGAATTTTCAGAAAAGTTCAATTCCAAATGTCCTGCACCAATTTTCCATTCAGAACTCAGTTTCTGTATCTACAGTGTTGATGGCAAATCAGTGGCAAGAGCAAGGATCTAGATCTTTTGGCACTAAGGCTTTCCCTCCACAGCTTGATTTCTTCATAACACGGATTAGTCTGTTCTCATACTGCTATAAAGAAATACCTGTGCCTGGGTAATTTATAAAGAAAAGAGATTTAATTGGCTCATGGTTCTACAGGCTAGCTTCTGCTCTGCTTCTGGGGAGGCCTCAGGAAACTTACAATCATAGCAGAAGGTGAAGGGGAAGCAGGTATGTCTTACATGGCTGGAGCAGGAGGAAGCAAGAGAGGGGAAAGTGCCACACACTTTTAAACAACCAGATCTCGTGAGAACTCACTGTCATAAGAACAGCCCCCAGGGGGAAATCCACCCACATGATCCAATCACCTCCCACCAGGTCACACCTCCAACACTGGGGATTACAATTCAACCTCAGATTTGGGCGGCGACACAGATCCAAACTTTATCATTTGGTACTGACTTTGTGCAATATCTCTTGACTGTTTTTGAGCCTCCATAACTGTCTTTTAAAAAGACAACTAGGCTCATTCTTTTTTCTTTCTTTTTTTTTTTGAGACATGGTCTTGCTCTGTCACCCAGGCTGGAGTGCTGTGGCACTATCATGGCTCTCTCACTGCAGCCTCGGCTCCCTGGGCCCAGGTGATCCTCCCACTTTAGCCCCCTGAGTACATGGGACTACAGGTATGTGCCACCATGCCCGGCTTGGCTCATTCTTTAGACTCAAATCAGGCATTATCTCCTATCTCCTCACAGAAGGTCTGTGCCCCACCATGCCAAATTAAGTGTCCCTCCTTTGTCGTCTCATAGTGCCACTCCCTATGGCCTCATGTGCCTCTGTTATTGTTTTTATACCCAGCACAGCTTACTAAGTTATTCACAATTTAAAGAGGAGTTGTAGTGCCAGCTGTCATCTACATCATGAAGTCATGCCCGTTTTTTTAAAAAAAATCTTGGCTGGGTGCAGTGGCTCACAGCTGTAATCCCAACACTTTGGGAGCCTGAGGTGGGCAGATCACTTGAGGTCAGGTGTTTAAGACCAGCCTGTACAACATGGTGAAACCCTGTCTCTACTAAAATACAAGAATCAGCCCAGCATAGTGGCATGCCTGTAATCCCAGCTACTGGGGAGGCTGTGGCAGGAGAATTGCTTGAAACTGGGAGGCAAAGTTTGCACTGAGCTGAAATAGTGCCACTGTACTCCAGCCTGGGCGACAGAGTGAGACTTCGCCTCAAAAAAAAAAAAAAAATTCCTGTTTAAAAGAAAGAAGAAAATGCCCTACAGCTAAGGCCCAATTTCTCTCCTTCCCTCCACATCTAAGCTTTTGGAAAGCCATTGTCTTTACTTGCTCATTTCATTTTCTCCCTTCTCAACACAGTACAATCTGCCTTCTGCTCATCTCAACCTTCCCAAAAAGATATTGTTCCAGTGGTCAAATTCAATGGTCACTTTTCAGTTATGTTCTTCTGTTATGGAATTTTTTAAACTTTTTTTTTTTTTTTTTTGAGACGGACTCTGGCTCTGTCACCCAGGCTGGAGTGCAGTGGCGTGATCTTGGCTCACTGCAACCTCCGCCTCCCAGGTTCAAGCAATTCTCCTGCCTCAGCCTCCTGAGTAGCTGGGATTGCAGGTGCATGCCACCACACCCAGCTAATTTTTGTATTTTTAGTAGAAACGGGGTCCCACCATGTTGGCCAGGATGGTCTGGAACTCCTGACCTCGTGATCTGCCTGCCTTGGCCTCCCAAAGTGCTGGGATTACAGGCGTGAGCCACCGTGCACAGCTAAACAAATTTTAAATCACAACTTTCATACAGATATAAAATGAACACGTCAAAAACTGCATTTGATCCATTAATTAATGAGGGTTCCAGTAACATATTCCAGCTGATTTCAAAGGAAAATTCAAAGTATCACGCTTATATAGGTCAACCAGGAATTTTGAAATGAATTTACAAATAGTCATAAAACTGGTTTATCCACAGGGCACTAATCAATTGCATTCCAGTAGACACAACTAATTAGCATTTATTTGGGCAAAAATAATCTGCATTATTATCAGTTTCTCCAACTTAAAGAGTTGTAAAATAGCTCATAGACAATGTAAGGCAGAGATAACCCTGATGGGTAAATTAGACCGGACACTCAATAATCTTTTTTGGTCCATTTTAAAGTCTTTCCTGACAATTTTTCCTGAGACTTCCTTGACCTATCTTCAGCATTTCACACTAATTACCATTCCTTCAAACTCCTCTTTTGCTCTGTGGTATCACCTCAGATTCTCCCCTCACCTCTCTATCCATCCTTAGCAGAAGTGGACTCCTCTTTTTCTGTCTGTCTCTCTCTTTTTTGTTTTTTTTGAGATGGATTTTCACTCCTGTTTCCCAGGCTGGAGTGCAATGGCACGGTCTTGGCTCACTGCAACCTCTGCCTCCCAGGTTCAAGAAATTCTCGTGCCTCAGCCTCCTGAGTAGCTGGGATTATAGGCATGTGCCACCATGCCTGGCTAATTTTTGTATTTTTAGTAGAGATGGGGCTTCACCATGTTGGTCACACTGGTCTTGAACTCCTGACTTCAGGTGATCCAACTGCCTTGGCCTCCCAAAGAGCTGAGATTACAGGTGTGAAACACCGCACTCAGCCAGTCTATCTCTTAAATATAAATATTTTCCAGTGTTTTCTCCTGGGCTCTCTCTCCTTGTACTCACACTTTTGAGGGTAATCTCATCTATTTTTTTGTCTTCAAACCACCGAAATCATGCTGATAACTCTTAAACTTCTATCTCCAGCACAGCTTCCTTCTGAGCTCAGAACCACATTTAATTTTTTTATATCCCTGCAGTACCTCAAAACAACATGCCTTACCTACAAAACACACTTTTTCTTCCCTGGGGTGGTATGACCTTTTACCCAGGTCCTTTGTTTTCTGTTTTTTGTTTTTTTTTTTTAAGAGACAGGGTCTTGTTCTGTCACCAAAGCTGGAGTGCAGTGGCCATTACAGCTCATGGCAGCCTCAAGTGAGCTCATGGCAGTCTCAAGTGATCCTCTAACCTCAGCCTCCTGAGTAGCTGGGAATGCAGGCCTGAGCCACCATGCTCGGCTAATTTTTGTTTTTTAGAGACAGGGTCTTGCTATGTTGCCCAGGTTGGTGTTAAACTCTTGGTCTCAAATGATTCTCCTACTTCAGCTTCCCAAAGTGTTGGGATTACAGGTGTGAGCCACCATGACCACATATCCTTAATCTAAACTCTTCGCAGCAGGCTTATTTCTTTCCCCTTCCTCACCCCTCATGTCCAATCAGTCACCTTCTGGTACCTGCCAATTCTGTCTTCTCGCTCACACTTCAGCCTGGCTGCTTCTCTCCATTTCTATTATGGCTGCCTTGGTTCAGGCTTTCTTCACTTCTCGTCTGGATTAATACCAGAACCTCCTATCTGATCTTTCTGTCTCCAGCCTGACCCCATGTAATCCGTACTTGACTCTGCTGCTTCTGAAATAATCCTAAAACGCAAATCTGATATGATACTCTCATCTCTGAAATCATTCCATGGCTCTCTGTCAAGGTCGGGATAAAATTAAGCCCACTAACAAGTTGGTTGAAGGCCTCCTTAAACTGACCTCAGTACCCCTTTCTGTGGCCTCACCTCTTGTTGAATCCCTTCATAGGGTTTTAGGAAGCCACCTGAGTCTACTTATAGTTCTCCATGATAGGGCCCATGCCATTTCTTGCCTTTCTCAGCTCCTTGGAATGGATCCTCGAAACACTTTTATCCACCCCCATTTATCTCTTCCTGACTCATGATCATCCTACAAAACTATATTGGGCTTCACCTCCTCCCAGATTTCCTTCTCTCCTGCTCCTGTCCGGATTGTCGGCTTGGCCTAGGTGCTACCGCCATCCTTGCACCCAAGTCACACACAAGTTTGTGGTTGTTGGCTTATCTCAGGAACAGCTGTGGTCCCTTGCTTTTCTCTTTCTATGCACTCAGCATACTGGGTTGTCACTGTCTACTTGCCTGGCTTCCTTATGAGAGTAGGAGCTCCTTGAAGGCAGGCACTGGGCTCAATATATACCCCTCTCTGCCCTCTTCAATGTTCTCCTTCTACACAGTTCCTGAGAATGTCTAAATCTCCTGAGGAGGCTTCACCCAAAGACCCTCAACCGTATATAGTATCTTAGGGGAGACCAGGAATTGCAAGAAGGGTATAATCGTAGGTGGAGGAGACAAACCTGCGATGTGTTGGTGATTCGAGAGGCTAGGTTCTTCTTTTAAAACTCATTCATTCATGCATTCGGTACTGGACACCGTGCTAAGTCTCTGGGGTATGGACAGAAGTAAATTATGGTTTCTGTCCTTTAGGAATGTGTAGTCCAATAGCAGAGACGTACCTGTATGCAAATAACTATAAACGTGATGTCATCGCTAAATACTAGGAGTCTGAACAAAGTGCTATCTTAGCAGGAAGAGGAAGCGATTACTTCTGATGGTCGAATTCAAAGTGAGGAGACTGTAACTTCCGAGAAGGATGAGAAGGGCAGCCGGCTTTTTCTCATGAAGAAAGGCATCCCGGGCAAAGGCACCGAGCTCTTGGTGTGGTTCTCCTGGGATAAGCCCACAGTCACAAACTTGTGCAGGAATGGGGGTACCGGGAAGCAGCCCGGTGTTCCAAGCCTTTTGAGATTCTCCGGACCTGCGCGCCGCCCGCTCGGCAGGGGGCTCGGCAGGCGCGGGCGGCGGGTGGGGGCGGGAGGCTCTGCCCGCTCGGTGGCTGCCGCGGCCTCCTCCGCGCTGCTCTCCACGCCTGGCTTATTATGCACGAGGCAGGCAATTTGCCTTCCTCCCCGGGGACCCATCTCGGAGACAAGAAGGTAGTTTGTTCTCTGTAATGGCTTCTGCTGGAGTGCGGCGGGGCCCAGGCGCGAGCGGGGGCACGGGCGGGGAGTTGGCAGCGAAGGATGCGCCCGGCGCCCCCCGGCGGCCGCCCGGAGCCCGAGGTCGGCGCGGGAGGAGCGCTGACTCCGCGGGCCGAGCCCTCCCCTGCCCTCCTCTGCTCCTCCGTAACTCCTGAGCTGTGGCCTGCCTTTCTGCTGCCTCCACGTCCCTACTCTTCCTTTCTGCCACCCCGTTTGCTTCTTAAAGGTTGTCCTTTGTTTCTGCCATTTCCCCTGTCTTTCAGCTTCATATTCGTTGGGTGCCCCCATCCATTTCTCCACATCACTCTCTTCTTAGTGCTGGGGACCTGGGGGTGAGGAAGGAGGCAGGAGGGATACAGGGATGACTAAAATAGGCATCTCTTCCTTCACGGAACTCAGCCTGGCGGAAACTTAGCTGGCTCCCTGCCTGTCCTAGGCCATCTCTCCTTTTCCTTCTTGTCTCTTCATCGTCTGTTTCTCAGTCGACCCTGGCCTCTGTCCCTATGCCCACAGAAAGACACCCCCATCACCCCTCCCATCGTTTCCGGGTGATGAAGATTGTCTGAGACAGATTCCTAGAATGAACAACCTTGTCTCCTGAGGTCTCGCCCGTTGCCTCCTCATTCACCAGAAATGTTTCCTTCCCTGAAGCAGAGAGAGAGAGAGAGAGACAGAGAGAGACAGAGATCCAAAGACAGCCAAGCCGGGCCAACATCTTCTGGGGAGTTCTTTGGAGTGTGGGGTGACTGATGCATCCAGTTGGCCGGTTGACTATCTTCCCAACTGTAAGATTCCCAGAATGGCTCAGAAAGAAGCTGAGGAGTGCACACAAACATTTAAAAAATTGGCCAGTCGTGGTAGCTCACGCTTGTAATTCCAGCACTTTGGGAGGCCGAGGCAGGCAGATCATGAGGTCAGGAGTTCGAGACCAGCTTGGCCAACACAGTGAAACCCCATCTCTACTAAAAATACAAAAATTAGCCAGGCATGGTGGCAGGCACCTGTAGTTCCAGCTACTTGGGAGGATGAGGCAGGAGAATCGCTTGAACCTGGGAAGCAGAGGTTGTAGTGAGCCGAAATCATGCCATTGCACTCCAGCATGGGCAACAGAGCAAGACTCCGTCTCAAAAAAAAAAAAAAAAAAGTAAAAAATTTAAAAAATTTAAAAAGGGGGCCAAGGGCCGGGCACAGTGGCTCACTCCTGTCATCCCAACACATTTGGGAGGCCGAGGCTGGCAGATAATCTGAGGTGAGGAGTTCGAGACCAGCCTAGCCAACATGGAGAAACCCCATCTCTACTAAAAGTACAAACATTAGCCGGGCGTGGTGGCAGGCACCTGTAATCCCAGCTACTCTGGAGGCTGAAGTAGGAGAATCACTTGAACTCGAGAGGTGGAGGTTGCAGTGAGTTGAGACTGCACTCTAGCCTGAGTGACAGAGCGAGACTCTATCTCAAAAAATGAACAAATAAATGAAAATTAAAAAGAACTGAGGATACCTGGCCTGTCTCCCAGGGGTCCTGTGTAGAATTATTCCCAGCTCTCACCCCCACCCATACCCTCACCATAACACCAGGCCATGGATGATGTGTCCGTGCAGATGTCTGTATAGAGGTGTATGAGCACTGAACGGAGTGAGTGGTGGCATGCCATTTACATACAGATGACTGAGCTGTGGGCCCTTGGTTACTTACCTCATCTCTCGAGTCTCAGTTCTCTTTTCTGTAAAATAAGGAGGTTGTATTCCATGGACTCAGAAGTCTACAACTGTGTTAATCTATGACTATGTTAGGGGTAGAGACCAAGGAGAATATCCCAACAAGAGAGTGTCCTCTGTGTCTTTGTGGACTTAGGAAGGTTCTCTATAGAAGAGAGTGGCTGAGTAGGCCGGGGGTAGGAAAGGAAAAGGAGCAGGTAAGGCTTGGGGTAGGTGTGTATCTAACAGATCTGGGCAAGAGGGGTTGGGCTGGAATGTCAGGGGAGCCACAAGAAGAATATGGAGACTGGGCTGGGCGTTGATGTCCAGAGCTTCAGGACACCCCAGAGGTGACATGCTCAATGCGGAAGAAGTCGAAAGGCTCTCAGGGAGCAAGGAGCTGGGAGGGAGTGTCAGGCAGAATCAGAAGGACCTGTGCTGGTTGGAAGAAAGACATCTGAGGAGCAGTGACCAGGCCAAGACTTGACCAGGGACCACTAGACCAGGAGCCTCCGGGACACATGGCTTTCAATGTAGGGAAGAGCTGTATTGTGGGGGACCTTGTCCTCCTGTGCTGAATCTCCTCCAAACCTGTTGACATGTGAGGACCCTGTTCCTTGAGGTTTGCTGGAATTTTCAATAGTACAGGGGGTGTCCTCCAAAGAACTTGTGGGTTTATCCTCAAGGTATCCATGTCCTTTATCCCTTTTTAGGAGTGCAAAAGTGGCTCCTCACTGAAAGGCCGGCAGTCCCCAGGTATGTAGGTTTGGGTGGGGGCACGTGTGTGCACAGTGACATCTGTGTTAGCGAATGGGCATATGTGTGGACTCGGCTGTGCCTGGATGGGAATTTGTGGGTGGGGGCCTGTGCAGGAATGGAGTTGCTGCTGAGGCTGAGTGGGGCTTGGGAACACCTGTGAAAGCTCAGCCCTTAGCTCTGGGGAAAGAGGGAGGAGCCAAGAGAAGACACAGGACCACAGCGAGAGAAGTGTTTCAAAGGGAGCCGGCCCAGGCAAGAGAGGAGAACGAATGGGCCCGACAAGGAGCTAGAATCTTTCCTCAGTTACAGATCTTAACGAGAACAAAGGAGCAGGGAGGAGGCACGGCAGAGAGGGAGAGAGAGGAGGGTGAGCAGAAGCCAAATGGAGAAGGAGGACAGAGTGGGGAGGGAGAGCAGGAAGGACAGGGCCAGAGGAGATTGGTCCAAGGAGAGGCCTGGTCAGTTCAGCTGTGGTTGTGAACCTGGTCTGTGCTGGGGGGGGCCTGCAGCTGGGGAAGGAGGAACCCATCCCTGCCCTTATGTCCAGGGGTTCTGTAGGGAACCGCATACAACCCCAGGTAATTTCACCATGAGCTGAAGGTCGGTGTGTGGGGTTGTGAGAGCAGAGATGTGTTGCTAATCTTGCCTGGGGTTTCAGAGAAAGCCGGAGGGGAGGATGAGCGAGAGACTGAGATACATTATATAGATATAGTGAGAGAGGGAGTCTGGCAGGGAGCAATCTATTTTGAGGGACTAGAAGAGGCCAAGCTCTGGGCTAAAGAAAATGGCCCAAGAGATAAGTATTGATCACAAAGCCTCCTCACTGAAGCTCTCCCTGACCCCCTCAGTGGATGACATCAATCACTCCTGCCTTGGTGGCTCCTCCCAGAGGACTCTTACATATTCAGCTCTTCTTTTTGATGATACAGACTAAATTATGTCATGCCCAGTGCCAGGCATTCCGTTGGTGCTTAACAGATGCTCCATGAATAAATGAGTAAATGAAGTAGTATGCCTTGCACCCAGGAAGAGCCCTCCCTCCAAGGAAGATGGTATTTTTTCCACTTAATTGATGAGGAAGCTGAGGCTGTCCTTCAGCTTTGGGAGGATTTAAAACTAAAACCTTAGCATCCCTGGGCTCCTGGAACAGTCTGTTTTTCTAAAAAAAAAAAAAAAAAAAAAGCTGAATATGCTTATAGGCTTGATTTATTTTTATTAGCTTCTATGTTGGTCAACATAAAATAATTATAAATTAAAAATTACTGTGAAGGCCTGGCACAGTGGCTCACGCCTGTAATCCCAGCACTTTGGGAGGCCGAAGCGGGCGGATCACCTGAGGTCAGGAGTTGGAGACCAGCTTGGCCAACATGGTGAAACCTCATCTCTACTAAAAATACAAAAATTAGCCAGGCGTGGTGCCACGCGACTGTAATCCTAACTACTCTGGAGGCTGAGGCAGGAGAATCACTTGAGTCCAGGAGGCAGAGGTTGCAGTGAGCCAAGATCCACCACTGCACTCCAGCCTGGGTGACAGAGTGAGACTCTGTCTCAAAAAAAAAAAAAAAAAAAAGAAAGAAAAAAAATTACAGTGAAAATTACTACCATTTAAATTTCTGTTTTAAAAGGTAGATTTGGAGGCTGTATATACCATCTTTCAGGTTTTCGCCCAGGAACATTTTTAAAAAATCTTACAAGGCAACAATAACAAAAATGGGGAGGATCAGGGAGAAGAGAGTAGGAGTGGAAAGAGTCTGGGCAGGAATCTAGGGCATGAGAGAAACCCGGTGAGAAACTAGAATTCTGTCAGCTCCTAGATCAGAACCAGGAGCGGGGTTGGTCTCCTCCACCCTCTGCACTGCTTCTCCCCCAGGGGGAGCTGCAGAGAATCCCGTGCCGGGGCAGCGCAGCCCTGAGTGGTCTGTTTCTGGTTCTGGCTTCCCACAAAGCAAACAATTTTGAACCAGGCACCAGCGCCCCCTGCATCTGTCATCCTTTAAGGGAGCCACTACTCAGTCCTGAGAAGTGTTTGTGCCTCAGTTAGAGCTCGCCCCAGTTCTTCCCGGCTCCTTAGTCTGCCCCAGCTTGCTGCCAGCTTGGCCCAGCCCCTCCCCTCTCGCAGTTCAGCACCCGCTGCCTTCCATATCCCCCACCCCCAGCCCCAACACACGCAGTCTGGAGGTTGCCATACTAGGAGAAGGGTAAGGCAGGGCACAATTTGTCTTCGTGTAATTATCTGTCAGGTACAGCTTGTGAAACCTCAGCCACCTCCCTGCAACCATGCAGGAAAATAAATTACACACGAGCACGCAGAGACACGGCGGCACCATCTTCCCCTGGGCCCCCAGCGAGCTTGGGGGAAAAAATTCTGCTCAGCCGAGCCCAGGGTGCTGATACCTGCACTGGAGTCGGCCACCCATCTTCCCCTCTTCGAGACCCTGCCGCTGAAGCTTTCATCTTTCAGCGTGTTCCTTGCTGTGGAGGAGGGGAAGTCCATCTGGCTTCTAAGAAGTCATGAATGCCCAGAGAGAAAGAAAACAAACCCTTGGCTATTTCTGATTAGAGTTGTTGGAGGTGGGAGAGAGGCCTTAGGATTGCCTATAATTTCTAAAATGGACTGTAATGCAGCTACACATGCAATATACTGAGTCCCTGCTCTGTGATAGTGATAGTGATGACAGCCACTTTTTAGGAGCCAGCCTGTGGGTCCCAGGCACCACGCTGAGCGCTTTACACATGCTTTCTTGTTGGACCCACACAATAAAACCCTGTGGAATGGATGTTTATCCTCATTGTGGTGATGAGGACTTGGAGGCTCAGAGACGTCGACTGACTTGCTCCCAGTCACACAGCTGGTTGTACCTAACTCGCAGTCCAATTTTTCACCATTAGCAGATGGGGCTCTATGGGGGAGTGGTGGGGGGTGGAGGTGGTGGTGAATGGGAGGCGGGGCCCTTGACTGCAGAGTGGGAGGGGGTGGGCTGGGGTAGCTGTTGCTCACTTCCTTGTGAGCTTCAGTTTCTTCTCTTGAGATCTTTTTGGATCTTTGTGAGAATTAAACGAAATAACAACTCTTGGTACTTATTGGAGCTCAATAAATTAGGTGACTCATCCTTCAGACCTCCGTTGCCCCACTGCACAGAGAGGAGCTTGGTGCTGGGAGCTTGGTTGGTCCCTGAGGACTCAGAGGAGCATTTTGGGTTAGGGGGTCCTGACTTTTTCTGTGTCCAGGCCCCCTTTGGCAGTCTGGTGAAGCCTGTGGACTCCTTACAGTGTTTCCAAATACAGAAGCTGAAATATATAGGATTACAAAGGAAGCCAATCTTACTGAAATACGTTATTGAAAGCATCAAAAAACAAATTTGTGACATAGTAATCTACTGCCTTCTTTAATAATGCATTCAATAACCAGATCTAGTGGCAGACCTAATAACTACTATAATTTCCAAGTTGTGATGAGTATAAACAATATTTCAAGAGACTACAACAACTGATAGAATATGGAAACATTTTGATTTCTATTAGTGACAGAGACACAGGTATTGCTAATACTATTGGGGCTTGTAATAAACATCTACTAAGTTCACTCAGAGGTTAGTGAAAATCTAGTCATCCTCCCATCCAAGTACTAAGAACCCTCAAAACGTATCCATGGATCCCAGGTTAAGAGTAGAAGTAACTGGTTGAAATCCATGTTAATGTAAATTTTTAAAGTACAAGCTAGAGGTATTTTTTAAAGGAATAGATAATTGGGGAGATCAAGTAAAGCCTTTCTTCAGACAGAGGGGATTTGACAGTATGAGTGCCTACCTTTTGCTTTGTTCTACCCCAAAGAGATTTTTGGAATATACAGGGCATTTTTATGGACCTGGGACCATTTTTATGGACCAGGCTGGTGAACTGTTCAAGAGCCCTAAGGGGTAAGCATTGGAAGCAGGGCTCAAACCCTTCAGTGCCCCTGACCCCGATCCTCTGTGAGCTCTGCCTCCCTGGGCAGGGTGTCTCAGGTCCCCCTCTTCCTCTGCCCACACGGTTGAGCCCTGCTCCCCTACTCCTGCACGCTGTGCGGTTCCTCCTGTGTGGCTCACTGTGACACAGCTGTGAGGAAACCTTGCTTGAGATATTTGTCTGGGTGGCAGTGGGGAGCCAGCCTCAGAGGAGCTGTGGCAGCCCCTTCAAGCTGCAGAGAAAGGCAGGGTTACCATTCATTTGGGACCAAAAAAACAGTGGCATTTACTGGGGATGAGGGAGTGGGGGTCAGAGGCCCTCTTGGTTCTCCTCTGGCAGATTGGGTAAATTGGGTTGAACAAAGCCACTCCCGCAGTTCAGCACCTGCTGCCTTCCAGCTGTGCTTCCAGTGACCAGAGCTGCCCACATGATCTCACTGGGAATTGAGGTGGTGTCTTCTGGGGTCAGACAGTGGAAAGAATGCAAACCTTAGACTCAGCAGATCTGGCTGCACCTCTGACTTGCTTTGAAACCTTCAGCAGGTTACTTTACTTCTCTCAGCCTGTTCTTGTAGAAAGAAGACTAGCTTCCTCTCAGTATTCTTAGGAGGACTTGGGATAATGTAGGTAAAATCATTTTTAAACTCTAAAGTGTTAAATAGGCACTCATTAACAGGAAAGTACAATTTTTCCCAAATCACATTTGTATGGCTGTCTTCTAGAACCATTTCACTCAGATTGAGCATTAATTGAATCAAGGAGACCAACTAAACTCCAAGGAACATGCTCTTGCTAAATCACTGCTCCTTTCTGAACCCAAGCCAGGCATATTGTTTTTTCTGCATATATTAAAAAGGATCTACCGATGTATGAAAAGGATGTAACTATTTAGCTTTTGCTGCCTGAGACAGTTACAGTAAGAAATACTGAAGGGCACTTTAGACTTCACAAAGATCCTTTCTGTCTCTTTCCTTAGCTCCTTACAATCCTATGAGATGTGTGTATTTCTTTTTTCCTCTCCATTTTACACAGGAGGAAACTGAAGCTCACTTACACAGGGAATTAGTGACCAGGTCAGTCTAGGAGTCCATCTTCTGACTCCTTCCAGTATCTAATTAGAATTAAGACAGACTCATTCGGCTGGGGGGCGTTGGCTCATGCCTGTAATCCCAGCACTTTGGGAGGCCGAGGCGGGTGGATCACTTGAGGTTAGGAGTTTGAGACCAGCCTGGCCAACATGGTGAAACCCTGTCTCTACCAAAAATGCCAAAAATTAGCCTGGCATGGTAGCACATGCCTGTAATCCCAGCTACTCAAGAGTCTGAGGCAGGAGAATCGCTTGAACCCGGGAGGTAAATGTTGCAGTGAGCCGAGATCGCACCACTGCACTTCAGCCTGGGCAACAGAACGAGACTCCATCTCAAAAAAAAAAAAAAAAAAAAAAAAAAGACAGCCTCATTCGGGAGATTCGGGGGGTGGAGGTAGCAGTGTTTAAAAAAAAAAAAGCCTAGGCAGGCATTACAATATGAAAATCATTCTTGCTTAAAGGAAGACTGGTAACTGGGACTCTGCATGGATGTGTCCCCTATTCCCCTATTCTTGGTGTTTATCATCCCCATGGCCGGGTCAGCTGCCCCTGTTTACTCATGGTTGGAAAATGTCACAGCTCCTAAAACAGCTGTTTAAGGGACACATCATCTGAAGCGACTTTTCCTGTTCTGGAAGTGCCCATTTTAAGAGCTTAATTTGGTTTTTGTCCTGAGCCCACTCTGCTGTTCTATTTGTGTGGGGTTTCTGCCCTCAGGTGGTGAGAGAGGTGAGCTACAGGTGCGCTAACAGGTTCTGGGAACTCAGCTGTTGCCGATGGGCACCTTACTGTGATGTGTCTAGTTGGACTTGTCACTCACTGTGTGGTGCTCTTGACACAGGGGTCTTCCCCAGGTACAGATGGGACCTTGTGTACCCAGATCTTGGCTTCCGGCAGGAAAGCATCTTTGTACTCCACAAAGTTTTGTTTCCCAGACACTAGATCTTGACTGAATGCCAGAGAAAGCCAAGAACTGCTCTGAGCTGATGTTGGAGAAAGCAGTGTTTCAAAAACCTTGCCTAGGCATTTTATATGAGGTGTCTTTTTAAAGCCTCAACTATCCTGTGAAGTAAGTGTTGTGTCCATTTTACAGATAGAGATGGATAAGATAAGGAAATTTAAACTAAAGAGTTTAAATCAGTGGTTCTCAAACTTTTTAAGTCTGCCTTTACAATCTTAAAAATTATGGAGGATCCCAGGCCAGGCGTGGTGGCTTACGCCTGTAATCACAGCACTTTGGGAGGCTGGGCGGGTGGATCATGAGGTCAGGAGTTCGAGACCAGCCTGTCCAATATGGTGAAACCTCGTCTCTACTAAAAAATACAAAAATTAGCCAGGCGTGGTGGCACGCACCTGTGGTCCCAGCTACTTGGGAGGCTGAGGCAGGAGAATCACTTGAACCCAGGAGGCAGAGGTTGCAGTGAGCTGAGATCACGCCACTGCACTCCAGCCTGGGCAACAGAGTGATACTCCATCTCAAAAAAAAAAAAAAAAATTATGGAGGACCCCAAGGAACTTCAGTTTGTTAGAAACTAACACTAAACTTTTAAAAAATACTTATTTTATGTAAAAATAACTATGATAAACTTATTATATATTAACAGAAATAACATATTTGGAAAGAAGAATAACAGTGTTTTACATGTTTGCAAATCTCTTTAAAATGCAACATGTAGTCTTTCAAAAGCTCTTCTGTACACTCATGAAAGAGAGTGAAAAACATATTAATATTTTTATTAAAATAGTTTCCATTTCATGGATCCCTTGAAAGGGTCTTGGGGTATCCTTAGGGATCCCAGAACCATACATTGAGAACCACTGGCTTAGGTAATTTGCTGTGGATGCACAGCTGGTATGAATGAAGGGTGGAGCCAGCATTCCACTCCCAGTTTCTCTGAAACACACCTCCACACTCAGGCCTCCCCCACTTACCCCTGGGCACCAGAGGCCTGTGTAAAGTGAGAGTGAAGTTCCGGGTGGGCCAAGGAGCTTCTGGCTCTGGCACTCCATGAGTCTGTCTGGATGATGGCAGCTCTGGGCAGTGCTGATTCTATGGCTGCTGCCCCTGCCCACTTAGGGAATCCACAGTTTTTGAGCTTCAGTGGGCTGGAACAGTTAGAGAGCATCTCTCAATCGCTTGAGAAGACAGCTCTGTGACTCCCAAACTTTTCTAGGTTTCTCACCCCACCCCCAATTTGTGGCATCACCTGTTTCAGCTACTGACCCAGCCAGCTGATGCTCCAAGTTAGGAAGATGGGAGTCAGCAAAGGTCCTTATTGGTATCGCCTGCTTTTTGACAAAGTTCTGAAGATGGACCCCTTTGAATTCAACTTCTACCTCTCCACACACACTCTTAAAAAACTGTTGAACAGGCTGGGCGCCATGTCTCATTCTTGTAATCCCAGCACTTTGGGGGACAAGGTGGGTGGATCTCCTGAGATCAGGAGTTCAAGACCAGCCTGGCCAACATGGCAAAACCCCATCTGTACTAAAAATACAAAAATTAACCAGGCGTTTTGGTGCACGCCTGTAATCCCAGCTACTTGGGAGGCTGAGGCATTAGAATCACTGGAACCCAGGAGGCGGAGGTTGCGTGAGCCCAGATGGCACCACTGTACTCCAGCCCGGGCAACAGAGTGAGACTCTGTCTCAAAAAACAAAAACAAAACAAAACAAAAAACAAAAAACTGAGCAGAGAAATATTTACAAAAGGGCAGTTCAGGTGGAAAATATAAACAGGCAAAGTCAGAGAAACAGGAAAGAACCAGGAACTATGGAACATTTTATGATAAAACTATAGCATTTTAACTTATCTTCTTGACTTAATTTCTCCCTATTTCTTACCAAAGGGTAATTAGGGAACTTTGGAAAGTTTTTGATAAAACTTTGGAAACCTTTATGATAAAACTATAGCATTGTAGCCTATCTTCTTAATTTTTCCCTATTCCTATTCATCAACCATGCCAGATTAACCTTGAGTGTTTATTTCATGTGTCACTTTCCTTCCCTGGCTCCCTCTAGCTTGAAATTGAACACCTTAGCCTGATATTCAAGGTCTCTACCATAGGCGAGTGCTATTTTCTCACCTGACTCCCCATTGTTTCCCTGCATGCGTCATGCAGCTGGCTCACTGCCCCCCTGTCATGCCTCATGAATTCCCTTCCACTCTTAAGTCTATGCTAGCTGTTTCCCTAACATTGCAGCTGCTTCTGGATGCTTTCCCTAGCCCACAAGGACCCTTCAGGCTTTAGAATGCCAACACCCCATCCTTGGCCTGTCTCAGAAACCACCTGTGGCTGCTGTTAGTCCAAGGGAAGCCCTTAGCCACATCTGGAACTAAAGCTCCTCAAAGAAGGGATTAACATCTCATTGCTCTTCACCACCTTCTCTCTGCCACCCATTGCTCACTGGCTGCTTTATGATGGTCAGTGCTTGTTGACTTGATGCCTACAGGTGCAGGAGCTGGAGCTGCCGACAGACCTCTTGGAGGGTGTTGGAGAAAAGCCATAGGAGGTAAGGGAGGCAGACACAAGGCACCCCTGGCAGAGCATCTCCCTAAAGAGAATACTATAAATTAATGCCAGCAGCATTTTAGAGCAAAATGATTTCTGATAGAGAAAGAAGAGCTTCCTCGAAGCTGAAAATGTCTTATTCCATGATGAATGCAGGGAGCAGCATGGGAGAGGAAAAGAATTCAGGCTCTGCTATGAGCCTTTGAACAGATAACCAGCCTCCCTGATGCTCCGAGCCTCAATTTTCCTTGTATAGGAGGGATAATGCCCTTTTCACAGCATAGCTAGGTAGCAAAAAGATACCATATGTTAAGAACCAGTGTATAATTGATGCTCAATATATAACACATGTTTTTAAAATTCTGAAATTTCCAACCCTGGAGAACTTCTGGAAAAGAGATTCCCATTATTGTGGATGACTTGATTATAGGCCTTTATGGAGGTGGAGGGAGGGACTGACTATCCAGCTGAGTCCCTTTGCCTTTGCGGGTGCTACAAGGACCAGGTTTGCTGATGTTTTGCTGCCATCTGATGGCCATAAGCTTACAGTGCAGCCTGGCCGGTTTGTCCTTAAGTCTGAATAATAGAAACAGAAGAATGTAGGCGGGGCTTGAGGAGTTTGGGGAGTAACTAAATCCTGGAGGATGGAAGGAAATGGCTTTGAGTTCCATGGGAGGAGGGGAACTTTGAGTCTCTGGGAAGTGTGAAACAATCTGGGCCAGGAGTCTTTTTTTTTGTTTTGTTTTTGTTTTTGTTTGAGACGGAGTCTTGCTCTGTTGCCAGGCTGGAGTGCAGCGGTGCGATTTCGGCTCACTGCAACCTCCGCCTCCCGGGTTCAAGAGATTCTCCTGCCTCAGCCTCCAGAGTAGCTGGGATTACAGGCATGCACCACCACGCCCAGCTAATTTTTGTATTTTTAGTAGAGACTGGGTTTCACCATGTTGGCCAGGATGGTCTCAATCTCCTGACCTCATGATCCACCCACCTCGGCCTCCCAGAGTGCTGGGATTACAGGCATGAGCCACCGCGCCCGCCTGGCCAGGAGTCTTTTAATACATGCACCTAACTAGTAAGTGCAGAAATGCACCAGCTGGAAGGAGCCTTAGAGATCTATCCCCATCCCCCCTCCACAGCTCAGTCACCAGTGATTACTGCCCACCAGGGTTCTGTGAGATACAGTCCCACCTATGTCTCCAGCCTCATAATGCTTTATTTTTGTGTTCAATTTCTGTGTTCCAGAACTGCTGACCATCTTTCTATCCCATTGACTGCTCCCTTCACAGGCCTTGGCCGGTGCTGTCTCTCTATCCGGGGGGCCTGGCCCTTCTTTTGCCCCTCACCTGTTTCTCATTCACTCACCCTTCAGTTCTCAGCCCAAGCATTACTTCCTCAGGTAAACTTTCTCTGTCTAGGTCAGATTCCTTTCATATATACTCTCATAAAGCCAGATTCCTTTTTCAGAGCACTTTTCTCCATTTATAATTAAAAAATCATGTATGCGGTTATTTCGTTAACATCTGTCTCTCTCACTGTGCTGTATGGGCTCTAGGAGAGAGAAGATGGGCACCTTTCTGCTATTCTTGTATCCCAGCATCCAGGACAGGGTCTGGTACACAGTGAGAGCTCAGTAAATATCTGCTGGGTGAATAGAGGCATCTGCATGATAGGAAAGAAAGATTTGAAGAGTGTTAGGAGTGCTGAAGATCTTTCTGCCAATTCTAAGACATGCACAGACCTTTGGTGGAACTCCTCCCCAACAAGGAAAGGCATGGAACCCATGCCCACTCATGTCAAGACACCACTCCCCATCCCACCCCTAGCATGCACTATTTTCCAAGCACACCATGCTTGGGAGGAATGCTGGTGGCTTTTAATAAAGAGGGCCTCAGCTGTCAGAGGCAACCGGGCTATGTCTTTCTCAGTCATGAGGCTTTTCAGTTTCATCTGCCAGCTACTTGGTGGTTTGTTTCTGCCAAAGCTGGTCAACCACAGAAACAAACACCCACCGCCACCATTGGCAACAGGCACTCCAGGAGGCAGGTGAGAGCCCTCACTGGGGTGGACTCCCCTTGGGTCTGGTAGCAACCCTAGCCTCTCTACAGCACCAAAGGACCAAGCTTCCAAATTTCTATGGGCTAAAGTGGGGGTGAAAGAGTGACCCATGCTTTGAGATGCAGAGTGCATGGCCACATACCCCGAGTGACTTATTCTTCCAGTGGCCAAACACAGTTCCATGATTGTAAGCAATGGAGGAAAGGTTTAGAGGGAAGGGGCCCTGGTTTAAGACTTCCAGAGTCAAATGCATGTGAGGGTTGAAGCAAGAGGACACCTGATATGATGCTTCTAAAAGGAAGGGTTAACAATAGACTGGGCAAAGAGGTTCTTCTCCTAGAAAAATATTCATTCATTTCAGGCAAGTAGTAAAATTCTCCCTAGGGTTACCCAAACCGAATTGAATAAGAGTTTGGTTTTTCAAAAAAACTGCCTCTTTAATTTGGATTTCATTTGAAAAAGGAGTTAACTTGCTCCAAATTCTGAAAGGACAAAAAAAGAAAAAGAAAAATTATCATTTTAGGATATGATATTTTAAAATTTTGTCAACCCACTAAGTTGGAGGGTGAGAGAGGAGAGAAAAATGTATGGTACTTCAAATCATTTCTTAATAAAAAAAATACATTTTACTCCCAGCATTAAGTGAAGAGGAGGAAAGAGTGTACCTACAATTCAGCAGAGAGTGAGCCATTTCATTTTAAGGATCTTCTGGAAATGAGCTTCCAGAATAGCTTCATTATATAACTTGAGATGCTGTGAGCTCCCAATAATTTCAATATCCCACAGTCAGCACATGCCCAATTTATAGAGGAAAATTTAGGCTTTGTAATCAATTTTTACTTTTCCATGTACTTGTTTCTTTCCTCTGTTAGTGCAGAAATCAAGAGCCATTTACTATTTCAGTCTTGAAGATCCACAAAAAAAAAAAAAAAAAAAAAGACATTCAAACTCAGAAGCTGGGACAAGCCAAAGAACCGCAGGAGGAGTGCATTATAAGAGGGATGGTGGCAGAGGAAGGAAATGAGGCCTGGGGGGACATCTGGCAATGGAGGAACAGGGTGGCTAAAGCAGCTCTGGCTCCCCTGGCTCTGGGCTCTGAGACAGCTCCAGTGGCCGTGCCTCTCTTGTACAATCAGGTCTTCACCTCAGTGGAGTCCCCACCAAGAGATCCAGATCTTTATGGCAGCCATGTTGCCTCCTTTCTTGGGTGTGTCTCTCTGTTCTTGTTGCTTTTGTCTTTGGTTACTTTCCAGACCAGGATGAGTAGAGTGACCAGAGTCATCAGGGGTGTAAAGAAGAAGAGAACATTTACCAGGCAAGCAGGATTAGATATGGCAGTGGTGAGTGTACCCTTGTCCCATAAGAAAGCTGGAAGTTGTGGGGAGGACATAAGCTTCCAAAAAGAGCTGAGATAGGTACGTGGTGCAAGCCGACTGCCCACACCACCAAGAGAATTGGGCTTGCTCTTGTTGTATCCTAGGAGTGGATATGGTACAGCGACCAAACATCTACTGATTCCATTCTTCACATGGGGCTATTCTCCTTTGGATGTAATGGAGAAGGCATAGACGTTTGCTCAGCAAGGCCAAACAACTGCTTCCAATACAAACACAGATGATAGTTCCGTTAGCAAAACTTCTGCATGGTCGGTGGGGCTTCTGAGGCTTTGTGATGTCACTGGAGGGTGAGACTAGGGCCTGAGCCAAAGGTTCCAGGCTGGAAACCTGTGCTCTCTGAGCACCATCTCCCCTCACGTATGGCCTCCAGATTGAAAAGGGGGTTCCCCAGTTGCCTGTGATGATGCCCCTTCAGTTCTCTTTTATTCTTTTTTTTTGTCCTCTTTTTAAAAACCTTTTGGATTTAAAATAATTTTAGACATACAGGAAGTTGCAAAGATACTTAAAAAGGGTCCTGTGTACTCTTCACTTAATATTGCCCTATAGTACACAATCAAAACCAGTGAATTGACATTGGTACAATGTGTAGTCTATGCCGTTTTATCATACCTGTAGATTCTTGCAGCCACCGCTGCAATCAAGATAACAGAACTATTTTATCACCACAAAGATCTGGCCGGGCCCAGTGGCTCATGCCTGTAATCCCAGCACTTTGGCAGGCGGAGGTGGGTGGATCACCTGAGGTCAGGAGTTTGAGACCCGTCTGGCCAACATGGTGAAACCCCATCTCTACTAAAAATACAAAAAAATTAGCCGGACGTGGTGGCAGGCGCCTGTAATCCCAGCTACTCGGAAGGCTGAGGCAGGGGAATTGCTTGAACCAGGGAGGTGGAGGTTGCAGTGAGCCAAGATGGCGCCACTGCACTACTGGGCAACAGAGTGAGACTCCGTTTCAAAAAAAAAAAAAAGATCAGCTGATGTCCATATTCTATCACTTCAATACAAAAGTAGAAACCTTACCTTCTTGTAAGTCCCTTGTTTTTTCCACTTATGATATAATTGTATTAAATATTTCATCTATATACATTGAGATCCACATTCAGGCCATGTTATACTTTTTGCTTCAGCCATCAAACAATTTAGAAAACTTAAGAAGATAAGGAAGTCTGTGTATTTACACAATTTAAAGTTATTCAGCTTGGGTCATTTCTTTTTTTATTTATTTTTTTTTTTTTATGAAGTCTCGTTCTTCTCCCCCAGGCTGGAGTGCGATGGCGCAATCTTGGCTCACTGCAACCTCCACCTCCCGGATTCAAGGGATTCTCCTGCCTCAGCCTGCCAAGTAGCTGGGATTACAAGCATCCGCCACCACGCCCAGTTAATTTTTGTATTTTTAGTAGAGACAGGGTTTCATCATGTTGGCCAGGCTGGTCTTGAACTCCTGACCTCAAGTGATCCACCCACCTCGGCCTCCCAAAGTGCTGGGATTACAGGTGTGAGCCACCGCACCGAGCTTGGGTCATTTCTACAGTTCTGTTTTCAAGTTCATGGATTCTTTCTTCTGTCCCCTTTGTTCTGCCATTGAACTCATCCAATGGATTTTTTTTACTTTGGTGGTTATATTTTTCAGTTCTAAAATTTCCATTTAGCTTCTATTCAATAAGATTTTCTATTTTTTGTGCCAAGAGTATTCATATCTTTGTCAGATAATTCCAATATCTGTGTCATCTCGGTGTTGCCATCTGCTGATTTTTTTTTTCATTCAAGTTGAGATTTTCCTGGTTCTTGGTGTGATGTGTGATTTTTTAATTGTACACTGGACATTTTGGGTGTTATGAGACTCTGGATCTTACTTAAATCTTCTGTTTTAGCAGGCTTCCTCTGACACCATGCCTGTTAAGGGAGGGAGTTTCATTTTGCTAATGCCAAGCAAGGGTGAAGGTCCAGGTTCTCCACTCAGCCTCCTTTGACTACCCAGAGTGGAGAAAAAGGTGCTTTACTGGTGGATATGGGATTCCAGACTTCCCAGATGGCCTCCTCTGACTTCATCCTGGCAGAGTTGGAAGGGTGCCTTGTTACTGCTGCTGGATAGAGAGCTCGTTACCTCTGGATAGGGATGAAAGTCCCAGCTCCCCACTCCATATTCTCTGATAACACCCTGGTGAGGGGTGGAGTCTGGGGAGGGTACCTCCTTACAGCTAATTAAAGGTGGAAGTTTAGGCTCCCCACTTGGCCTTTGCTAACAGGGGTGGTGGTAGGGCTGTGATATTTTTCCATGGTGTTTGGCTAGAGTAGGAAAGTTATTCTCTAAAAGTTTCTGCCTTGCTGAATTGCCTTCCTAGTGCTTTGGCTAAAGAGAACAAGCAGGCTTTTCTTGGGACCTTATTTTGTGCATGCTCTTTGGCATTTCTGGGCTGCTTCTCTAGCACCTAGTTCAGGATTTGCGAGGCAAAAAGAAAATCCACAAACTCACTGCCATTCAATTCTTGGGTTCCAAAATCAAGGTTCCAAGGTTGCTAGTCAGTCTGCTTCTTTTTCTGCACCTTTCTGTCTTTTTATGTTAGTTTTATATATAATGTCCAAGGGCTTTAGCTGTGTTTAGTTTAGCAGGAGGAATGGGAAGAAGTGAATCTACTCCAAGTGCATCCACTCTTCTTTGTGTAGAACCCCTTGGTGCTATACCAAGGGTCAGGCAAATGATGGCAGTGCGGGAGTTACAGGAATTGAAGTCCAAGGACTCAGATCAGAGTCTGGGCACTAGTACTTTACATGCTAGTGACCTTGGTTAGGTCATTTAGTGTCTCTGAGCCTCCATTTACTCATCTGAAATGGAATTATAGTGATAATACCAAATTTATAGGTTTTTATGAGAATAAAATGAGCTGATAAATGCATAATAACTTTCAAACCATAAAATTCCATACAAGTGTAAGTTATTTTAAATACGATCTAGGATGGAGGTGAAGGGAAGTGAACAGGGGGTTTCTGGAAAAAATAAGGTAGTTCAACTTTTCTCAAGTCAGTTCTCTCACTCTCTTATAAACATGCAAAGATCTATAAGTAAATTGCCCCCCACCCCCAGTTCCAAGGTATCTATGTCAATTCCCTAGAGCATGGGAATGTCAAAAGATGTGATTAAATTAAGGATCTCGAGAGGAGAAGTTTATCCTGGATGATCCAAGTGGGGCCTAAATATAATCACATATATCCTTCTAAGAGAAAGGAGAAAGGAGTTTTGAGAGAGACAGAACACAAAGGAGAAGGAGACAGAGCAGAGAGAGAGACACGGCCACAAGCCAAGTAATGACAACAGTCACCAAAAACTGGGAGGGGCAAGGAGTGGATCCTCCCCTATAGCCTCTGGAGGGAGCCTGGTATTTATATCTTGATTTCAGACTTTTAGCCTTCAGAGCTGTGAGAGAATGAATTTCTGTTGCCTTGAACCACCAAATTTGTGGTAATCTATTATGGCAGCCCCAGGAAGTTAATACGGGAACCTTAGAGAGGTCATCTATTCCCACTCCTTCACCTAATAGATGAGGAAACTGAGGCATAAAGAAGGGAAGTGACTAAAGTCACACAATTTTTGGCACACTAACAGGGTCTTGCTCTGTTGCCCAGGCTGGAGTGCAGTGGCATGGCCTCAACCTTCTAGGTTCAGTTGATCCTCCCACCTCAGCTTCCCTTGTAGGTGGGACTACAGGCGCATGCCACCATACCTACAGCTAGCACCACCACACCCAGCTGTTTTTGTTTTGTTTTGTTTTGTATTTTTTGCAGAGACAGAGTTTCACCATGTTGCCCAGGCTGTTCTCAAACTCCTGGGCTCAAGCTATCTGCCCACTTCAGCCTCCCAAAGTGTTGGTATTACAGGCATTAGCCACTGTGCCCAGCCTGTGTCTTCTTTTTAAAACATCTTTATTGAGATATATAATTCACATACCACACAGTTCACTCATTTGAAGTGTACAATTCGATGTTTTTTTATTATATCCAGGGGATTATTAAAACATCGCTATAATCTTATTTTGGAATATTTTCACCACCTACCCCAAGAAACCCCATACTTGTCAGCAGTTTTGTCTGAGTCCTTTCTGGTTCCCTGTTTCAGGCATATTGGTTTCTTCTCCCCAACCAGACTTGGCTTCGCAGTGCCTTGTCTTTTGTATTCCTCTCTCATTGCCTAGTCAGCTGCTTCCCATGAGGCCATGGTTTGACTGGTTGCCCCAAACTCCCTTTACACGAGGAGTTCATCATTCTTTCTGGCTGGCACTGAAGATTCTTTGATGGGGCTCTGGCCCTGGTAGTTGGACTGCTGACCTGTGGGAAAACCCCACAACACATCATCCGCTGAACCAACCCTCAAAGGCATCAAGGTTGACTTGTTCTTCATTTATGTCTAAAGAGAAAGAGTCTGGAAACTGAGTCACACTGAAGGGCCAGACAGCTTTGGCTCCCTCTAGTATCTTCAGAGCAAGCTCCACTGGCTCACCTACCACTCCACTGAGGAAAAGCTGACCACTGGTGAGGGCTGGCTGGCACCTCTGGATGACCTAGAGGGCTGTATCTGGAAGCCTAAGTAGAAAAAAAGAAATAGAACATGCCATTGGGGGAACACTTTCTCTACATTGCTGGTGTTTTCTTTCTTGGGGCAGAAACCCTATTAAACAAACACTCCTGGCCTCTCTAGGCTCTGGCTGTCACTCTTGGCCCCAGGATGCAGAAAGCACCCCATGCACCTGCTGCTTTCTGTACATTTCCCAGGGCTATGTCCCCAGGAGTGAGAGACCTGTGTTTTCCATCGATAATTATGTTGGGTGGTGAGTCAGTCCACCATGTTTTTTTTCAATCAGTTATAAAGGTGAGTTTTGCTATCTGCCTCATTTCTTTGTCTCCGCTGGTCCAAAACTTGGATGAGAAAAAGAGACACGTTTTATATTAAGGTGGAAAATGGAGACATTACGTACCAACCACTTAAACCTCAAATACCTGAGTCCTCCATGGACTCTGAACCAGGCCCTGAGTTTTCTCACCTTGATGATGGCAACAGAGTTCCAAGAGCGTCCCAGCTTCCAGTGTCTCTCATCCCTTGAGAGCATTTAATTTACATTTCTAATGTGGAAGAGAAGAGATTAAAGTTTACCGAACCTCCACTAAGATGATTTCCTAGGTGCTTTGACATGGTGTTTTATTTATAACAACAACTCTGAGAGATAGTAACAGCAATAATTTACTGCATTCTTTCTTTCTTTTCTCTTTTTTTTTTTTTTTTTTGAGATGGAGTTTCACTCTTGTTGCCCAGGCTGGAGTGCAATGACACGATCTCAGCTCACTGCAACCTCTGCTGTGCTGGTTCAAGTGATTCTCCTGCCTCAGCCTCCTGAGTAGCTGGGATTACAGGTGCCTGCCACCACTCCCGACCAGTTTTTTTAAAAAATTATATTTATTTATTATTATTATTATTTTTTGAGACGGAGTCTCGCTCTGTCACCCAGGCTGGAGTTCAGTGGCACGATCTCGGCTCACTGCAAGCTCCGCCTCCCGGGTTCACGCCATTCTCCTGCCTCAGCCTTCCCAGTAGCTGGGACTACAGGAGGCTGCCACCATGCCCGGCTAATTTTTTTGTATTTTTAGTAGAGATGGGGTTTTGCCGTGTTAGCCAGGATGGTCTCCATCTCCTGATCTCGTGATCCACCCATCTCGGCCTCCCAAAGTGCTGGGATTACAGGCGTGAGCCACCGCACCCGGCCTCCCGACCAGTTTTTGTATTTTTAGTAGAGAAGGGGTTTCATCATGTTGGTCAGGCTGTTCTCGAACTTCTGACCGTAGGCGATCCACCTGCCTCGGCTTCCCAAAGTGTTGGGATTACAGGTGTGAGCCACTGGCATTATTTCTTTTCTTATGCTAGCTACTGGGCTGTTATACCTGCATCAGCTCGCTTTGTCCTTTTGGCTAATTGAGGCTCAATGAGACTGAGTAATTTGCTCAAGTTCATGCAGAAATTAGTGCTAGAATCAAGAATTTAGTTTATGATTAAAAAAATTTTTCCAGCACAGTGCTTTTTTTATTCTCATGCTTCTTCTGTTGTAGTACTGTTCATGTATCTCTGAGAAATCTAGAGTCATTAGCTTTTTTCTAATTTTTATTTAAAAAATTTTTAAAGTAAAAATAATATATTTTTAAGGTATGCAACATAGTTTTTTTATATACATAGTGAAATGAGTACCACCGTCAAACAAATTAACATGTCCACTTCCTCACATACTTATCTTTCCTTTTTTTTTTTTTAAGTGGTAAGAGCCCATGAAATCTACTCTCTTAGCAACTTCCCAGTTTATAGTACAGTATTATTAATTATCACCAATGTATATCTTGTGCCATTGCAAACTCATTCTTAGGGGCTTGTAGTGCCTTCTACTAATTACCTGTTCAATTACTCCAGCCAGTGGTTTGTGTTTTTTTGGTTGTTTTTGTTTGCTTGTTTTTTGAGACAGAGTCTCGCTCTGTCGCCTAGGCTGAAGTGCAGTGGCGTGATCTCGGCTCACTGCAACCCCCACCTCCCGGATTCAAGCTATTCTCCTGCCTTAGCCTTCTGGGTATCTGGGACAACAGGTGTGCACCACCACGCCTGGCTAATTTTTGTATTTTTAGCAGAGATGGGGTTTCACCATGTTGGCCAGGCTGGCCTTGAACTCCTGACCTCAAGTGATCCACCCACCTCAGCCTCCCAAAGTGCTGGGATTACAGGCGTGAGCCACCGCACTGGGCCACAGCCAGTGTTTTCACTTGACTGCCACATACCTCTTTGCCCTGCCCTCTTTCCTTTTTCTATCTCAGAAGAATTCCTCCCACCTGGGACACCTTCCCTTCCTGTTCTTAAAGACAAAACTTAAAGAACAGGAAGGGAGGTGTCCCAGGTGGGAGCAATGAAGAAGTCAATGAAGACTGAGAAGGTGCTACTTTCTGATCACCCTAAATCAATGTTCTCCCAGTCCACAAGGCTGTTCATTTGTTCTTTCATTAATTCATTAATTTATTTATCCCAAAACATGTATTGAGCTTGCTTTTTTAAAAAAATTAATTAATTAATTTTTTTTGTTGTTGTTGTTGCCAAGGAGAAAGAGCCAGGAGCTCTGGAAGAAGCAATGATAAATCAGAGGTGAAATTTTGGGGAGCTTACATAATAGTATATGGCTGGGTTGTCAGGTTGAGGCAGGGATGATATCATAATCCTTCACTAGTGTAGGAACACTTGAGGATTAAGGCAGGCAAACAAATATGTAATGAATGCTACATTTTAAAAATTATTGCCAGCTGCGTGTACATTATCTCACTTAATGTCCAGCGTGTCCCTCCTTCTGGCTGTGTTCTGGGTCCCATCCCTTTGGCCTAAGGGATTCTTGCTTTCTCTCTTTCAGAGTCTCTTTCTCTCTCTCTTTCTCTCTTTCCTATGTTTGTAATGTCTTTCTTTCTGATAGCTCTTTCTCCTCAGCATAGAAATGTTTATTTATTTATTTATATATAAATTTTTATGATACTTTAAGTTTTAGGGTACATGTGCACAACGTGCACGTTTGTTGCATATGTATACATGTGCCATGTTGGTGTGCTGCACCCAGTAACTCGTCATTTAACATTAGGTATATCTCCTAATGCTATCCCTCCCCCCTCCCCCCACCCCACAACAGGCCCTGGTGTGTGATGTCCCCCTTCCTGTGTCCAAGTGTTCTCATTGTTTAATTCCTACCTATGAGTGAGAACATGCAGTGTTTGGTTTTTTGTCCTTGGGATAGTTTGCTGAGAATGATGGTTTCCAGTTTCATCCATGTCCCTACAAAGGACATGAACTCATCATTTTTTATGGCTGCATAGTATTCCATGGTGTATATGTGCCACATTTTCTTAATCCAGTCTATCATTGTTGGACATTTGGGTTGGTTCCAAGTCTTTGCTATTGCGAATAGTGCCTCAATAAACATACGTGTGCATGTGTCTTTATAGTAGCATGATTTATAATCCTCTGGGTATATACCCAGTAATGGGATGGCTGGGTCAAATGGTATTTCTAGTTCTAGATCCCTGAGGAATCGCCACACTGTCTTCCACAATGGTTGAACTAGTTTACAGTCCCACCAACAGTGTAAAAGTGTTCCTATTTCTCCACATCCTCTCCAGCACCTGTTGTTTCCTGACTTTTTAATGATTGCCATTCTAACTGGTGTGAGATGGTATCTCACTGTGGTTTTGATTTGCATTTCTCTGATGGCCAGTGATGATGAGCACTTTTTCATGTGTCTGTTGGCTGCATAAATGTCTTCTTTTGAGAAGTGTCTGTTCATATCCTTCGCCCACTTGTTGATGGGGTTGTTTGTTTTTTTCTTGTAAATTTGTTGGAGTTCATTGTAGATTCTGGATATTAGCCCTTTGTCAGATGAGTAGATTGCAAAAATTTTCTCCCATTCTGTAGGTTGCCTGTTCACTCCGATGGTAATTTCTTTTGCTGTGCAGAAGCTCTTTAGTTTAATTAGATACCAATTGTCAATTTTGGCTTTTGTTGCCATTGCTTTTGGTGTTTTAGACATGAAGTCCTTGCCCATGCCTATGTCCTGAATGGTATTGCCTAGGTTTTCTTCTAGGGTTTTTATGGTTTTAGGTCTAATATTTAAGTCTTTAATCCATCTTGAATTAATTTTTGTATAAGGTATAAGGAAGGAATCTAGTTTCAGCTTTCTACATATGGCTAGCCAGTTTTCCCAGCACCTTTATTGTAATAATATTTTTGAGCACTTACTATATGCCAGGCAGAGATACCATATGTGGTTAGTTGAGTAATAACCCCCCAAAGATGTCCACATCCTAGTCCCCAGAATCTGTGAATAAGTTACCTCATATAATAAAAGGGACTCTGCTGATATGATTAGGGATCCTGAAATGAGGAGACTGTCCTGGATTATTTGGGTAGGCCCAATGAATTCACAAGGGTTCTTAAAAAAAATCAGACATAAAGCAATGTGACAACAGAAGCAGAGAGAGGGAAGGGGTAGTGGGAGAGAGAGAGACAGACAGAGAGAGAGAGATTGGAAAATGGTAAACTGCTGGCTTTGAAGACTGATGAAGGGATGCAAACCAAGGAATATAAGAAGACTCTAGAAGCTGGAAAAAGAAAGGAAATAGATTCTCCCCTAGAGTCTCCCCGAGAAATGCATCCCTGCCAACCCATTTTAGAACTCCTGATCTCCAGAACCATAAGGCAGTAAATTTGTATTATTTTAAGTCAATAAGTTTGTAATAATTTGTTACAGCAGCAATAGGAAACTAATACACCATGCTAAGTCTCTCTTATTTAAAAACCAAACCAAACCAAACCAAAACACTGAACAGCAACTCCCTTGCTCCTGTGTTCTCTCCTACTTTCCATCAAAGCCAAGCTTCCTGAAAAGTGCTGCCTCCATCCCCTCCCTTCCACATGCTCTGAAACCCACTTTGATTTTTCTTCCATCCTCACCACTCAATTTTTCCCAGGGCCAACAACAAACAACTTCATCCCATATATAAGAGCACTTTCCAATTCTACCTTGACATAGCAGAATTGATCAATTCCTCATTCTCTAAACCTCTTTCTCCTCTTCGCTTCAGGGGTGGCATGCCCACACAATTTTTCTCCTATTTCAGCTCCTCCTCTGCCTCCTGCCTCCAGTTCTCCTTCTGTGTGTTTGGTGTTTCCCTAGTGTCCACCCTCAGTCTTTTTCACTTTTGAGATCCTCTCTGGGTTATCTCGCCCATTCTCATGATCTCAATGACAGCCTATGTTCCAATGGCTCTCTAACATATATCTCTACTCAGATTTCACTCCTAACTCCAGACTCATATAGGGAACTTCCCATTGTCTTGTCTAGTTGAATCTTCCCACAAGCATCTGTAACCCATCACACCCAAACCCACCCTGATTATCTTCTCATTCAAATCTGCTTCTCCTCCATACCCTACCTCTAAAACAAAGAACCTGGGATTCATGACTGCTCTTTCTTCGTGACTCTCTGCACTGATTCAATTTCAATGTCCTGTCAATTCCACTTCTGAGACACCCCCCATACCCATCTCTTCCTCCTTATCCTCATTGCTTCTACCTTAGTTCAAGCTTTCACTTCCTGGTCCTCATCAGTTCTTGCCTGGGTCACCACAACAGTTTACCAATGGTCTTCTTACTTCTAGTAGTCTTATTCTGTTATCATCCATACTATTCAATGTTAATGGAATAATACACATAAATAAGTCAGGCCACTTCTCTCCTCAAAATCCATCATTTGGGTCCCTGTTGCCTTTAATATAAGTCCAGATGCCACCATAGGGCTTATAAACTCTACATTCATGACATGCTTTTCTGTCCACTGCCTAGTCTGTTTTCCTGTCCTTCTTTCTCGGGCATCTTATATTCCTTTACAAAAGACACTTTACATCAATAGCAAGTTCCAGGTAATGAAGTGGTGAAGAGCAGTGACTCTGGACTCAAACTTTCTGGTTTGAGTCTTGGCTTCATCACTTGTTAAGAAAACTGCAAGTTTGTTCAATTTATGTAGTTAGCCCTTCCACGCCTCAGTTTCCTCATATATGAAAGGGGGCATAGGCCCTATTTCAAAGATTTGTGGTTGAGCTCTTAATGTAGCACCCATCCCAGGATAAGTGCTCAGCAAGGGCTTATGTCTATGATCGCCTGGCTTCTGTACCTGGTGTTCACTCTGTCTGCAATTCTGCATCACCTCCCTCCACCCTTCTCTGCTCGGTCACCCCAACTTTAAGACTAAGCCAGTGTTGTTTTCCTTGGGAAGCTTCCCCTGACCTCCTCCACTTTCTGGCCATAAATGTATAACCCTATCATAGTGCTTAGTGCTGAAACTGTTTCCGTCTTCTCACTAGATCGTGAGCAACTTGAGAGCAGGAATTAAATCTTTAAGTATCCACAGAAACTTGCATATAAATATTCCTCACTATATATTCATTGGGTGAACAGATGAGTGCAATATTCTAGATTAATTAATGTTTTATTTAATCCTGGAACTTTTTTTTTTAGACAAAAATGCTGCCCCTATTTTAAAGAACAAAATAGATAACCCAGGGTAGATAATATGGGGAGAATTTTATGTCTGGAGCTACTTCCTGGGAATGATATTCTGTTTCACCCCAGGGTTCTGAAGGCCAAGAGGCATTTTTTTTCTGGGGCACAACTGTTGCTTTCTGTTCCATTGTGGAGGTGTGGAGAAGAAGAGAAAGAGAAGGAATGACAGGCCCTAGCCCCTGAGAACTCTACCTTAGTGTCCAAGCATAGGAATATCCTTACTTTGGGGAAGTTTTCATCACTCACTGTGTCCCTAGTAGCATGAAGGGCCCCAGCTGGATGTACATTAAAGCCCTCTCAGCCCTTCCAGGTCAGTTAATATTAATAGTATTTTGTTGAACAAATAAATGGTGGAATGTTGCATCCAAAGGCTGTTGTGTAGTAGTAGAAGAAGCCATAATTTCCCTTTCATTATAGTCAGTTGGTGGGAAGGGAGCTCCTACTGGCTGAGTCAGGCTTTTTTTTTTTTTTTTTTTTTTAAGATGGAGTCTTGCTCTGTCACCAGGCTGAAGTGCGGTGGCACAATCTCCAGTCACTGCAACCTCCACCCCCCAGTTTCCAGCGATTCTGTTGCCTTAGCCTCCCGAGTAGGTGGGACTACAGGCGTACACCACCATGCCTAGGTAATTTTTGTATTTTTAGTAGAGACGGGGTTTCACCATGTTGACCAGGATGGTCTCGATATCTTACCTTGTGATCCGCCCGCCTCGGCCTCCCAAAGTGCTGGGATTACAGGTGTGAGCCACCCCACCCGCCCGAGTCAGGCTTTTAATTAACCAAGAAAAGCCTTGTGAGGAATGGAGCAAAAAGTTCAGGATAATACACCATCCTTAGCTGTCTCATAGTTTTCTCTTTTGCAAGCCTTTACAGGATGGGGTTGACCAAATAAATCTGATTTATAGAAGTGCAGATTCAAACATAGCCCTTGAGATATTCAAATATTTTTCTGCAAACATAATCTGATATGTGCAGCAGGAATAAAGGGCAGTGGCTCTCGAGGAGGAGGGAGCTGCAGGGATGGTGGTGTTATCAATAGGAGTCCAGGCTTTTTCCAAACACACACAAGCTCCCTCTTCCTCAAAACCATAAAAAAAATTCGTTCACAAGTTTAGTCAACTAATATTGTGTGCCTTTTGTACACAAGGTATTTTGGGTGCAAACATGAACAAAACGGGCTCACACTGTCTCAGCCCTCACGGGGCTTAGTCTAGTCTGGGAAGACAGACTAATTTGAAACATAATTGGGAAGCGCTGTGATGAGGAAGGCACAGGGAGCTTTGGAAGCAGAAGATTAGTCTCCTACCTTAGGCCTGGCAGTGTCTGGACTCCTTCCTGATAGTGGTGCTATCTACACTGAGACCTAAAGAATGAGGAGGAGCTAGCCACAGAAAGATGGGGAAAAGAGAGAAAGGGTTGAGGTGAGTGACAGGTGTGCTGGGCAAAGGAAACAGCATCTGTGTAGCAGAATGTTATGTATCTGGAACCCTGGAATTGTCAATTATGACCTCAAACTGAGGACAAACAGGAGCATTCACATAACTATGAAGCAGGACTAATCACCAATCCCACCATGGGCAGGACAGCAGAGATCGTCACTATGCTAACTGCCAGGAATAGGAATCCACACACTTCCGCCCACTGCATCCTGGCCTGAAGTGCTACCAGTGTCTGTTGGAGACACGCTCACATGCAACAAGTAATGTGAAGTGGCTTTAGTATAATACAGACAGGCAGCAAGGGACAAAAGAAGCCTAGGATCCATTGTGAGGCAGTCCTCAAGGCTCAAGACAGCTGTCTGGGAAGGTTGGAGTCTTGACTGTACATGCCCCCCACACAACACAGCTGAGAGGCCCTGAAAGGCAATTCCTCCTGAGTTACATATCTCAGGGGTCATGTGATTCACTGGGCAAAGCTGAGAAGGGTATCCTGCTTCTAGAGGAGAGAGGAATAAAGCCTGGGCTGTCCCAGGCAGCTTCTCTCTAGCTCCAGATGTTACTTTTTCTAGGAGGGACAGAAACGAGGCTTGGGCTGTTTCAGGCAGTTACTGCCTATTTTGGGTTTGTTTGTTTGAGAAGGTGTCTTGCTCTGTTGCCTAAGCTGGAGTGCAATGGTATGATCTCAGCTCACTGCAACCTCCGCCTCCTGGGTTCAAGCTATTCTCCTGCCTCAGCCTCCCGAATAGCTGGGATTACAAGTGCCTGCCACCATACCTGGCTAATTTTTGTATTTTTAGTAGAAACAGGGTTTTACCATGTTGGCCAGGCTGGTCTCGAACTCCTGATCTCAAGTGATCTGCCTTCCTCGGCCTCCCAAAGTGCTAGGGTTACAGGCATGAACCACCATGCCAGGCCTATTTTGGGTATTACGTTTTCAGCATATTCTACAGTTTTTTTGAGAACTGCAAGCAAGAAAGGGGGTGAGAATTAGGTCAGTCCAAGGCCCCCTGGAGGACTGTCCTGCGGTCACCCCCCACCAACCCAGATATCCCTCTTAGCAAAGCTAGTGCATTTCGTACGTCCACAGACTTCCCCAGATCTGGAGGTAGAGGTTTGCCTTGTCAGGCCGATGTGACACCTTCACTGACACAATCTTGGTGCAACATCACTGAGTGAGCCAGAGTACATTTTATTAGGCCCAGGAGTATTATAACCACAAGCAGGGTGGCTGTACCTGCCTGAGCAGTGACCTACCCAAGGTTCCAGTGATCCAGATAAGAATTCATTAAAGAGGCCAAAGAAGGATTCTTCAGTTGTCCCCACTGTCTGCAGCAAGGTGGGGCTGCATTCGGATCTCCCCTACCTGTGTCTCCACAATAACTATCTATCTATCTATCTATCTATCTAGAGCAGGAAGTGTTGGCAATGACATTCCTCCTGACTGGTCTGAAAGGAAGCCTAGAAGAATTCTGTTGTCCAAAACAACTTTCTTGAATAAGTTGAAGGATATCTGCTGGGCTGCTATGGCAGGGGCGGGGGCAGGGGCAGGGTCAGTGGAAGAAACAATATCTTTCATGGTCAGGGACAGATTTTTTTTTTTTTTCAGCTCTGACTCCTATGTATGGTACCAAAGCTCTCATAAAGGACATAATTCCAGAGTCAGCTCCTCCTCCTAGCAGGTCCCTAGGTAGCCTGGTGTACAAGTTTAGGCTGCTGGCCCAACAGTTCATCTCACCCCAAGGAGTGCTGTCTAGGGGCAACTCCAGCAGGCCCAATGTATGGAATCCCCTCATCCATCAGCTTTTCAGGCATGACATTGCCCCTCCCATATTTGGGTCACCTCCAGCTGCCCTCAGAGAAAGATGTAGCCCTCGGGTGCACACAGCATCCATTCCCGTTTCATTGTTCAGTGACCTGTTCATAGTACGTAGGCATTGGCATGCACCAGCTAGGCCTCATTAATCACATAGTTGTATGAGCTGAGTTCTCCCATTCGATATTGCTCATGAAGCCCTACACAAAGGACTAGCATTTGTTCAGTCCTTGTTTTTGTCATCACTGCTGGGACATTTCTGATCCAAGTAGTCAAAGGACTATGTTGCGTCAAAGCAGCAGCCCACCAAGGTTTTGTTAGATGTGGTTGTGACACTTTGAGTCAGTTAAGTTGTAACAGGCACCTCTAGCCCCCTCTTAAGTGGCAAGTGCCAGATCCTCACTCAGTAACCAGGGCTTGGATTCTGTTAGTGTACGTTGTGGCTTTAGGAATGCTGGTGTACTTTACCATTGGCAGGATGAGAGGGTCTGTGTGGTCTGCAACAGAACAAAGTCTGGGATGGAGGATCCAGCACTTAGTCAGGCAACCTGCAGTGGTCACAGCTTGGGAATGCCTAATGAAAGTGTTATGCTCCAGGCTTCTACTGCCATGTCCTCATGGAAGAAGTAGATTGACAGGTTACTTCCCCTTCCCCTTCCCTGAGGTCCAGGTAGTTCCTGCCTAACAGATAGGGGTTGGGCTGAGGTGGTGTAGTGATCCAGTCTGTCCCAGTTCCCAAGCTACCACCTCTGTAGGCACCATTACCCTTGTTGCTTGACCCAGGCCTTGCAGCCTCAGTTATCTAGCCCATGTAGGGAAATTACGTTGGGTACAAATTTGACATCTGATAACACTACCCACCTGACTGGAAAGATCAGACATTCCCAGTGCCAGTAGAGGAACCCTAACACCTGGTACTCCTTGATTCTGTCTCCCACTCCTGTAGTATCCCATAGAAGGGAGGCAGCAGGGGAAGTATCACCTGAAGATTAGAGTTGGGGAGGCCCTGTTCAGGGTGCCAAAATGGCCTGAATCTCGAACTTACCTCCAGAATATGCACTCTTAAGGGAAAACAGAAGAAGAATGGTTGGGAATACTGAGATTAGGATTTTCCAGGCATAGCCTAATCAGGTGGTTGCCTGGTTCACCTCCATCTCCACCAAGCTCAGTGTTTTCCCAACATGTGCTGCAGTGCCATGTTTCTTTTGCATTGGAGTGTAGAATTTAGTGTCCATTCTGCTCTAGTCAGATGCAGGTATTCCACACCAGCAGGCTGTCTTGATGTCCTTTTTTCATTGCTGTCTGAGCCAGCTAGCGATTCCAGTGTTCAATAGCTCCATTGGCCTGCACATAACAGGGTGCATGGAAAGTCCATGATACTCCCTAAGAGTGTGCCCATCACGTTCCCTGGGCAGTGAAGGATGTTCCTTGGTCAGAGTAAAGTCCCATGAAGTGTCCAAAAATATGACATAATTTCCTCTCAAGGGGCTCTATGGTAGTCCCAGCATTCACATGAGTGACATATATGTCTCCCTTCCAAGCAGCAAGCTGCTGCCATAGTCCTATTCCCCATACAAGGAATCCATTAATAGTCCAGTCACTTAGTTGCCATTCCTCTGACTGAATGGCTAAGTTGTTGGCAACAGCCCATAAATTTGTGAAAATATAGCAAGATACGATGGTAGAGGTGGCCTGGATGGCCATCATCATTTCCTGTAGTTTGACCCATTGGGCAGAACATTCATGTTCAGTCTCAGTCAATATATGACCATCCCTTGGCCAGATGGCAGCCACAACCTCGTGGACCTGTCTTCTTGTTTTACAGCTCCGTCAGTAAACCTGCCATGCCATCAGTAGGCAAGTCTCTGAGTCTTGGGCCCTGGATGGCCTCAGAGGGAGCCAAGCCAGCCATTCTGGAGCATTCAGTATGGCTAGCTTTGCTCCTTCTGATAAGCCAGCCATTTGTTTATGGAGCATACTGGTCCCCTGGGGTCCTGGCTGGGCTCAATCTTGAATGTACCATTTATATTTGATAACTGATATCTGTCATGCACATCCAATTGTATAGTTGGGGTTTGTGAGCCCTCAAGTGGGAATGGCCACTTCAGGTTACAGTGTCACATGTGTCCTTCAGGCTGTAAGATGTTCAGTCCCCAAGAGTGCCCAATAGCAAGCAAGGGGTTGAATTCAGAACAGACGTATCTGGTGGCTGCCTCAGGCAACTTATGTGTTTATTTATTTATTTATTTATTTTTTGAGACAAAGTCTCGCTCTGTTGCCCAGGCCGGAGTGCAGTGGTGCGATCTCAGTTCACTGCAACCTCTGCCTCCTGGGTTCAAGTGATTCTCCTGCCTCAGCCTCCTGAGTAGCTGGGACTACAGGCACACACCACCACACCCGGCTAATTTTTGTATTTTTAGTAGAGACGGTGTTTCACCATGTTGGCCAGGATGGTCTCTATCTCCTGACCTCATGATTCATCCGCCTCGGCCTCCCAAAGTGCTGGGATTACAGGCGTGAGCCACCATGCCTGGCACAACTTATGTGTTTAAAATGAGAGGCTGGTATAACCCAATGGCAGTTTTCTGTTGGCACAGACTCCAGTCAGCAGGCATGGGGGTTGTGGACCTCTAACTCCATTAAGCTAGCAGGCTGTCAAGGTTTTAAAGTCAATGCCTGGGCCACAGCTTTTTGAATGGCTTCCAAGGCCTGCCATTGCAAAGGGCTCTTTGTTCAAAGTGGGGAATTTGTTGGTCACTTTGACTAAGGGGGCCAGAAGGACACTTAGGTAAGGTACATACTGTTGTCAGTATCCAAAGAGGTTGACCAGCTGTTGGGCCTCCTTTTTATTAGTGGATGCTATGAGGGTTAAACATTTTTGCTTGACTTTATCTGGGATACTTCTTTGGCTTCCAGCCCAGATGGCCTTGGCATTCAGCCTGGGACAGTCCATTGTGAGTCTCCATGCCCCAAAGGCATTTCTGACTGGCCAAATTGGGCAGTTACACTGTGAAAGCATAGCTTATAACATTTTTATCTGTAGCAAGTTTTGAATTAGCTAAGTAATGTCCTGTTCTCCATTTAATATGTAATACTGCTTTTTTTTTTTAGTAACCCAATGGGTCCTGAGTAGCTTAGGTGGCAGGCAGGAGTGCCTATACCCCACTGTTAATGGCTTGAACTCTTAGCTGTGAAAGGACATACCCCCTCAGGCAGTGGTGATATTTTGTTCCAGAAGCAGCCAAAATGTCAGTGCCTACAATACACTTAGTGATGGAATCATGATCACTGGCACCTGAAATGGCCCAAAGGGCCCCACCCACAAGCAGATAAGCACCACAAGCAAATAGGTACCATGAGCTACCATATTCATTTCCAAACTTCCTGATGTCATCAGTTTAACTTTTTTTCCCCTAAGGGGACCTGGAAATATTGTAATGTGGGCCCCAGGGCACAAGAACCCCAGAAAAGTCTGAATCCTTCTCCTTCCCCCTTTTATCCTGACAGGAGTATGGAGCCATTGGTACTCAGTGGGGACCCAGAGACCTTGGCTCCATTTCTAACTGCACCATTCAGCCTGAGACATTTGGGTCTGCAGTGTCCTTTATCAAACACACCGCCCAGGCTGCGTAAGACTTCCCTGGCCTTCCTCCATATCCATCCTTTAGATAGGCGGTCTCCCCATCTGTGAAGACCCACCCTGTGTGTGTTGGTTCCCTCTCAGATGTTCCAGGGACTGTCTGAGGACCTCTTTCCCATTCTCTCTCAAGTGCCTCAGGGTCCATCAGAATACCCACTTCCCAAGCTCTCTGGCCTGGGAATGAGCGATTACGTAAGTGCCCAACACCCAGGGAATTGTACACTGCTCTATCCTGTTTCTACATTCCATACCCTCTCCTCGGTCTATGCAGCCAGCTCACTCCCATCTGCAGGGGAGGTGGGGAGACTATGTTTCGCTTATCATCCTTCCCTCCCCATGACTCATCCAGCTGCATGTCCCGTCAGTTCCTGAATGCCCAGGCTGACATCTCTGCCTTGGGTCAGATACAGGGGGATATCACCGTCCCACTTCACCAGAAAGCCATGGTTCTGTCAGATCAGACCCTGCTCATAGCATCAATTTTGTGAGGCAGGTTCACTAATAACCAATCCCAAGAGAAGACTCCCACTACAAGCAGGACAGCAGAGATCGACACTATGCCAATCGACAGAAATAGGAGCCCACACACTTCTGCCCACTACATCCTGGCCTGAAGGTCTACCAATGTCTGCTGGAGATACACTCACATGCAACAAATTTTGTGAGGTGGGATTATTACTTACAGGCAAGCAGCAAGGGAAAAAAGAAGCCTAGGATCCATTGTGAGGCAGCCCTCAAGGCTCAAGGAAGCTTCCTGGGCAGGATTGAGTGTTGCCCGTACATGCCCCATGTGCACCACAAGTGAGGGGCCCCAAAAGGCAGCCCACTATGAGTTATATACCTCAGGGGTCATGTGACTCACTGGACAAAGCTGGGAAGGGCATCCTGCTTCCAGGGGAGAGAGGTACAAAGCCTGGGCTGTCCCTGGCACCTCCTCTCTAACTCCAGATGTTACATTCCCTAGGAGGGACAGGAACAAGGAGGCCCAGTCTATTTCAAGCGGTTCCTTCCTTTCTCAGGATATTGTATTCCCAGCACATTTTACAGTTTTTCTTGAGAATAACAAGCAAGAAAGAGAGGAGAACTGGGTTTGTCCAAGGCCACTTGGAATATATTGTCCTGCGCTAACATCCTAGAGGTGCCATTAAAAGTGGAAAGTTAGTTCTGCTACCCCGAACCATACTACAGCTCCCCATCCTTAACATCTCCTAGATTTAAAACCATCCCCTAGAAGATAATATGGAGGTAAAAAGAGAAAGGGCACTGATGGAGTCGTGTGTACCCAGCCACGGAAATGAGTGATGTGACTTTTGTTCTCACCTCCTCCAAGTGAGGGGTCTCCAAGAGAATCACTCATAGAAATTGGTGGGCTGGCAAGAAGAGACTGTTATCTCAATCTCTGGTTGGATATCTGCTGATGAGCTTGTTGATCTGTACTCTGTGATCACTAGAGCAGGGAGAGAAGGATGACAGGGAAAGAGCTATCACTCTTACCACTTGGTTTAGCAAGGATGTGTGAGTCAAATGAACAGTGTGGAAATCGGTGTGAGTTTACTGTGAGTTAAATGAACAGTGTGAAACTCAACAGGGTGTGGGCCATCTTGCCGGTTCTCCTTCCAAGAGAATTGGCTGCCAAGCCAGGGAACCTAGTTATACCACCAAGAGCAGGGCTGAGGGGTTGTGGGAAGTAGTTATGAGGCAGGAGAATAGGGTCTGAAGGCAAGGAACCTAAGGCGGTTTCATGCCGACTTCCTTAGAACTAAATTGAAAGGAAAGCCTTAACTTTCCACGCCTAAGTAACAAAAGGACCAGAAGCTGCTCCCTTTAAAAACTCCTACCTTTTCTGCAGGGCAGATGGGAAACTGAAAGTACCTCTGATTGGTTGCTTTTTGCAATCAATCAGATGTTTGCATAGGAGTGTAACTTTGTAACTTCACTTCAGCCTCTGATTGGTTGTTTTCCACAACCAATCAGACTGATTGTGGGCCACCACTTCATTTACATGGGGTGAACACCAAGTGGCCGATGGGAAACCTCTAGGGGGTATTTGGACCCAAGAAAATGCTGCATCAGAGCCCTTGAGCCTCTGCTCAGCCTGCTCCCACACTGTGGAGTGTACTTCCACTTTCAATAAATCTCTGCTTTTGTTCCTTCTTTCCTTGCTTTGCTGTGCGTTTTGTCCAATCCTTTGTTGAAAACGCCAAAAATCTGGACAACTTGCAGTCAAGACCCTCTACCAGTAACAGTTTTAAGCTGCAGCAGATCTCCCATCAAGGAATTGTGTACTGGGGAGAGCTCCCAGGGAACTAACCCATGTGCCTATTAAGAACTAGCATTTGGGTACCTTCCAAATGGAAGGTATTCGTGACCAATCAGCCTTCAACTGAGAGGTGGAGAGAACCAACAGACAATTGCAATTAAATGCCCAGTTAGGCAAAATGACTTTTGGCCCTCACTTCCCAGCCCTCCCTGATTTTTCCTCAGGGTCCCAACACAATAAGTATTTTTGGGAAAGGCAGACTTCTATTAAAGGACAGAATACACCACTTCCCCAAACCAAGCTCCACTGCTCAAGTCTGGCTGGTGCTGAGGGGAAGGAAGGAAGTTTTGCAAATCTCACTGCAAAACTTGAAATGAGATGTAAGATTTTAAGTGGACTGCATTAGACTGGACTTCTAATAATTAAGTAAACAGAAAACTACAGAATCCGTCAGGGCTGGAAGAACTGAGAGTATGGTTGAAGGCACTGGTTAAAACCTCATTGAGAATATGTTCAGCAGAGTTCAGAATGTTCATTAAGTTGTTTCTACATGCAAAAAGTCTTTGAAGTAAGAGGCAGCCTGGTTTGTTAAACTGATAGTTTCTGAAGATGACTGGAACACAGAGGGAGAGAAGGAAGTCTGGAAGACTAGGAAGAAGTCAGGCAATGACAGCCTTGTTAAGGTGTTCGGACTTTATTCTGTGGGCCAAGAGAAGCCATGAAATATTTTAATGATCAAATTTGCATCTTAGAATGATCCCACAGCCGGTAGGGTAGGGACTAGAAACAGGGAAATCATTTAAGCAAGAGAAAATGGTATGGCAGTGGAGATAGAGAAATGGCAGTGTGGATGGAGAAAAGTGGGAAGATATGTAGGTGGAGAACTGTCAGGAATTGCTTACTGATGAGACGTGGGCTCGAGGGAAAGGCGAAGGAAGCTTCTCTTTCCCTACCTCTCCTTCCAACTGGCCCTAGAATTGCTGTCCGGTTTCCAGTCCCTGCTCACACTTCATTCAATGGTGGAGGAATGCCCAGCTGCTGTCCCATGGGGGTCTGGAGGTCTATGGGCACCAACAGTACCATTTCCACAGTCTTTCCAGCAGCGATAGGAGGCAGGCTGTGCCTCGAGTGTCATCTGGTTTGGAGGCCGAGGTCCCCACGTTTAAGTGACTTGCTTAAGACCCCACAGCTGGTTTGTTACAGAGTCCAAATTTCACTCTCAGCTTTAGGGCTCTTTTAATAACACTTCATTGCTGCATCCCGAAGTTAAGCAAAAGAAACAAAATAAAGATAAAAAGGAAAGCACTGTTCCAAATGCATAGCCTGGAGCATAGCAAAATATGTAATTAAAGACCCGCGCCTGATGTCGGGGAGCCTCGATGTGCGCATGCGTCCCAGGCTGAGGCCGCCGGAAGAGGTCAGGCGGTTCGCCGGCGTTCCAAGTTGGAGGCCAGCCCAGGACAAGGAGGGGAAGTGCGCATGTGCTCCAAATCATTTCCCGGCCGAGGAAATTGGCTAAGACCGTTAGCTGGTGGGAATCGGAAGAGAATGGGTCACTCGGGCTGTGCGCGGGGCACTATGGGTGTTGTAGTTTTTGCAGGGTGGTAGCAGTTTGTTCTTTTAAGAGGAAATCTTCGCGACTAGTTGAGTCACGAAGATTTTTGAGAAAATCATTTGAGAAAAAGTTGCTTGCACGGGGGAATCGAGTGTGGACTAGCTACGTGGGTGTGGCTTAATTCTGCTGTTTCTCTTTTGGATGAGACATTGAATGAAGTGTGAGCAGGGACTGGAAACCCGACAGCATTTCTAGGGTCACTTTCTGCCTTGCCTTCGTTAACGCTCAGTTCCTCCCACATCTTTGGCTTCCCTCTATAATACCTACAGATTCCCTTTATTATTTCATACTAGCTCCGACTAGTCTTAAATACTCTGTTTCTGTCCTCTTTCTCACACGCAGTTCCTGGAATCTTCATCCTTCTCTCCCTCGTGAGTACCTTTTCTTGTTTTTGTCCTAGACAGGGCTCCTCTAACACTCTGCCCTTGCCCCAGGAGTCACGCCAAGGACCCTAAGAAAAGGATCCCACAGTAAATGTTTTTAGGCACGAGCAGATCGGAACCATCCTACTTCATTTCACTTATTTCTGCTTCTCTTCCGATCCTTGTCTCTTCTGGTTCCACCTCTATGTTCTACCTCTCTGTAGCCTCTTTGCTTCTTTGAAGTCTGGTGGCCTTAGATAGGAACTCTCAGACCTGCCATTTTGTCTCTGGCCTCCACAGCCTGTCATTTAACAGAGGACCTAACCCTGGGTTGACTTCTAGGTCAGAGAGTGGGAAGTGAAACAAATTGGAAAAAGAGAGGAAACTGATGTATTAGGTTTGAAGAAGTCGTCAGGGAGATATATGGTGAAAGAGGGGGAAGAGAGAGTAAAACTTCTTGTGCCCTCAAAAACTCTTTAGTGCTGGCTGTGTGCAGAGGTCTGTGAGCTCTGTGGTGGGGATGCATTAGTTAGAATCTTAGATGCTGAGAGTTCAGTTGTAGAGAACACAGATATACAGGTGAGCAACATTGCAGAATGACATCGATTTATCTTTTACCTTTCTGTGTGTGCTTCTGCTCCTTCCCATACCTACCCCAGCTAATTCCAAAGTATTTTGCTTCTTCACATCTTTCTCTGTTATACACTCCACTTCCCATTCTTAAGGCCCCCTTCCCTTTGTTCTGACCCAAGCTATTTCTTTTGTATATCATGTTAAAGTCATATTTTAGTCTAGCTCTCAAAAACACCATGGTTGTATTTTCAAAGAACTTCCAGAATCTGCTTATTATCTCTTTCAAAGCATGAAATATGCAATAAAACCAATACTATTTTTCATTTAAAAAATATGTAGAGTAATAGTTGAAAGTGGAGAGTGATAATGGATGAATGAAAGTTGACCAGAACCCAGGAGTTTGAGACCAGCCTGAGCAAAATGGTGAAACCCCATCTATACAAAAAATACAAAAACTAGCCAGACATGGTGGTGACTGGACCTGTGGTCCCAGCTACTCGGGAGGCTGAGGTGGGAGGATCGCTTGAGTCTGGGAGGTCAAGACTGCAGAGAGAGCCATAATCATGCTACTGCACTCCAGCCTTGGCGACAGAGTGAGATACTGTCTCCAAAAAAAAAAAAAAAAAGAGAAAGAAGGAAGGAAGGAAGTTGGAAATTTGGCTATACCTCATTTTGGTTTTCTTCCTTTGTTTTGAATTCTCAAAAATGTTGGATTCCCATAATACTAATATACATTTGAGACATGTATTTTTTTTTCTTTTTTTACTCAGGTTTGGTTAGCAGGACATTTCCAGGGTATCACAGTATACTGAAATATTACAAGAAAGGTCCATAAATGCTGTACATCCTCCAATCTGTAAATTGTTCAGCAACAGGAAGACAGTGAAAGATAGACGGCAACTCACCAAGAAGAATATGTCAGTGATTTCCCCTAAGATGTGATTGTTCCACAGAAGCATTCTTCAGGGGAGTGGGTCTGTGCAGGCAGTAAGTGGGAAGATCTTCACTTAGTGTGCCGTCCTTCCTCAGCTTCAAGAGAATCCACTTGAAGGAGAAGTCCCATATATTATGTCCAATGCTGTGAAGCATCTTTTGGTGCCTTCATTTCATCCAACACCAAAATCCTCAATGGTGAAGAAATCTATAAATGTAGTATTGACCTTGAGAAAAAGTTGAGCACAACTGCGCCCTCATGCAGCACTGGAGAAACCTATACATGTAAAGAAGGACAGTTTTCATTTGACTCTCAGAGCTGATTGTATATTGGCAAACATATTTTTCTGCCATTGCTTAGGGATAAGAAATCTAACAGAAACATCAAATAAAATACTGAAGAGAGAAAAAAAACACTTTTTTTTTTAAGGCCTTCTAGAAGGGGCAATTGAGCATACTCCACATATGTTGGCTAGTTTACCAGGAAAAAATAAAAGGAGCCAATTTGAGCAGTGGACTCTAGGTGACAGTTCTGTTTGGGCTGATGAAATCGATCAGCCATGAATACTCTGTCAATGTCTCCCACTACGATTCTCTTGCCATTTTTTTTTTTACCCAACCTCCACTATTTGGCCTAAACATCACCTCTGTCAGTCTCAGAGTTACACTCTCCCTCCTGTATTCTCAAATTTTCACATAGTTGTATGTGTGATTATAACATCATGGTTTCAGCTGGTTTCATCCTCTGGTCCGTTTACCCACCTCTTTTGATCATCGCCTTTTGTCTGGGCCATAAGTGAAAGTAAAAAGGACATTAGGTGAGTAGGAAAGGAGATTTGTTCACAATGCCTTTCACCTTGGCATTTGCCTTGGCTTCTGACCTTCTTTACTCTGGGATGCTTTTCGTGACCTCTCACACCCCATGATGGGTTAAGGGGTCTTTCCTCAAGTTGGTTTGCCCCGACTTTAGTACTTAATTATGCTGTATTATGTCAGGCTTAGGTGTATATCCACCTTACTAGTTGTAATCTCCATGCAGACATGGAATATGTCCTATTCAGCATTGTGTTCCTAGTACCTGGCATACAGTCAGTATGAGTAGATGAGTGAATGTAAAGCTCTTGTTTTTGCTAAACCCCTTTAAACCTTCTTGCTTCCCTCTTCCCCGTCATTTTTTCACAGCTCTGTGCTTCCCGTCCCCCATTAGTCCCCATCATTTTTCCACAGATCTGAGTTTTTCCCCCACCATTTATGTTCATACATTTTGCTTAGTTAAACCCAGCTTGCTCGTCACTGGCTACATGGAAAGGTGCTGGATATGGATGATTGCTTTTAGTATCAAAATCTGTCGGAAGTGTCTATATATTTTTCTTCCAGCCTTAGGCTTATTTTATGAAATTAAAATAAATATGAAGACTCTGTAGGTCTTGAGTTAGTATCACTTGAAAATGGAATTTCTCTGAATATTCTCTGAATAGAATAGTTTCTTGCTTGTTGCTGATATTGAATTGTAGGCCATTTTTGTAAGGATGATCAACTCTGAGTCATCCTTACATCCTGTGAAGAGAATAGACTTGTGAAGAGGCTCATCTTTCTTTAGTTTGGGAGTAGTGTTTTCATTTGATTATATTTAATGTTGGGAATTCATACTACTTCCTAGCATATCACGACACCACAATGTGAAGTCCCCATTTAGGAGGCACTAGAAATCTTCCTCATTTCACTGCCTGTTCAATTTCTGCCACCCTTTAAGCTATATTAATTATGACATGTCTTCCCGGATAGATGTAGGTGCCCTGGAGCAAGGCACACCAAAAAACCACTCCTTGTTCCTCTGCCTAATTCATTGTAAAAGCATATTCTTTATGATGGCCTCAATATTGCCAGTATTTTCTCTTTTCATATTAATGTCTGAAAAATGGCTCTGGGATTCAGAAGCTGGAATTTAGATTCTTTGTCACTAAATAGTTTCCCTCTGTTCATTTCATTTTCACTTGAATTCCCTCATATTGGGAATTCCCTGGGGTTACACACCAACCTTCCTTTGACTCTCCCCAGGTGGCTCATACAACTCTATTTGAGGAAAAGATTGTTGGGAAAAGAAACTGTACAGCAGAAGGGGAAGCAAGAAAGGGAAGAACAATTTTACTCAAAATGGTACTTCTGAGTTTAGTTTTCTTTTCAGAGATGCTATGAAGTCAAGCGTACATTTTTCCTTTTGCCAGTTATTCATTTGTTTTATCCTCTTTCTTTTGGGTCTAAGGATTCTTTCTAGGCCCAGTGAAAACTTTTCCTAGATGATGTGTCCATTTGAAACATAGCATGTGCAGAGAATCCTGATAAGGTGCAAGAACGCGATCAGGATTGTTGTGAACAAGCTTTGGCAGGGGGAGGGGTGTGTGTGTTGGAAGCAGTGTGCAGGGGGAGATGTAGAAGGTCAGCTTCGGTTCCCTTTTTTTTTCCGATCAAAATGAATATGAGGAGGATGTTTAGTCCATTAGGAGAGTCTAGAGAGGAAAGGAATAAGGGAGGGTGAGGGAGAGGTAGAAGGGACTACAAGGAGGTCCATTTTACCTGGACTGTGTATTTACTGTACCTGGGGAGCATTACTGAAATGTACAAAGTTGCCTGTTAGGAAAGGGGTCCTGGCTGGTCTCCCTCCCACTGGAGGCACTTTGACCACAATTTTATAGATTGTGAAACAAATAACTTGTTCAAAATCTCACTGCTGTTAGTGACGGAGGAGATGAAAGAACCAAGGTTTGAGCGTTGTTTGACTAAAAAGCTCTTACTCTTTTCCTTATGTTCTGTTGGCTAAGGTATGGTGGGGTTAGGGTGGGGTGGAGTCACTGGCATTTCTGGTACATTCCTGGAGTTCCTCATTAGTAGGGAGGGGTTGTTGGGATGCAGATGTGAACATGGACATGCTAAATGAGGACAAATTATACTGCTGTCTCCTGTCCTTTTTCTTCTTGTGTTGTGACCCTTGATCACTCAGTCAGACATACCAGTGGTTACATACTCACACTACAGCACCTTGACAGCATGGACAAACATCGAGGCAAGGGAGGCATATTTGGGCAGAGTGGGAAATGATCTTGGTCCTTGGGAGTCTTTGGGGATTCTGCTGCTTTTCCTCAAGTACCCCATTTTTTTCTGATCATTTGTGTGTTTGGGGTGAGGTGGCTGGTGCCTAAATAGGCTGGTGCCTAAATAAGATGGGATATAGTGTTCTGGAACCTATGACTTCATCTGCTGCTTGATGTAGGCAGATCTACTCAGGAAATTCCCCCTTCACCTTCATTGAATCTATATTTTCATCCTCAAAATCCTGGACTACCTCCTTCTCTTTCCACTAAGAGTCTTTGCAGACAGTCTACTGGGATGGTTAAAGAGAATCAGCCAGCAGCTTGACTTGTTTCATTTGGTTCTTGGGTGAGCAAACCCCACAGGAAACCCACTCTTTCTCTTGACTTCATAGCGACGTGGAACAGACTTGCTTGCTCTGCTTTATCAGGCTTGGGTGATTGATTATAAATTGAGGTCTCTTACCCTTGGATTATGACAGCAATATATGTATATTATAGACATTTCAGAAAAATCATAAAATTATGAAACAAAAGTCACCTGTTTTTATCTTTACCTAGAGAAAACACTGTTAACATTTTAGAAATTGTTAACATTTTAGAAATTTCCCTTCCAATAGTTTTATCTGCACATATATAAAAATATATTAATATATACAGCTACATTTAATAAGATGTAAATTAAAAAGTTTAAACAAGGCTGGGGAGAAGGAACCAAAGTGTTCCTAATAGTTGTCTTCTTTTAGTGCTTTTTTCCTTATATAAACACTTAACATCAAATGGGACTGATAAAACAGGGTTGTAAAAATTGTAAAGCTACACTATAGATAGAATAGTAGAGCTTCAATAAGTAGAGCACAATTGCCTTAAGGCAGCACTGTTGTCCATGGTTATGTTTCCTGTACCTATTGCTGGGTGGCTGATGGGAGTGTCTTATCAGTCTGGCACAGGATGGGCAGCAACAGTCAAGGAATGAAGCCAGACATTGTTGAGTCAGGCCTGAGGGTTGAGTGAGGCTATGCACAATATGATTAGTCCCAAATTTAGAAGTTAGAATGGCTATAGAATATATAGCACTATCTAAGAGAAGTATAATGCAAGCCATGTGTGTAACTGAAATTTTTCTAGTAGCTATATTAAAAAGGTAAAAAGAACGAGGTACAATTTTATTTTTATTTTTTTAGACAGGATCTCACTGGGTTGCATAGGCTGGTCTCAAACTCCTGGACTCAGGCTCAAGTAATACTTGCCTCAGCCTCACGAAATTCTGGAATTACAGGTATGGGCCATTGTGCCTGGCAATAATTAATTTTAATAATATATTTAACCCAGCATATCCAAACTAATTTCTACATGTAATCAGTAGTTTAAAAATTATTAATGAGGGCCAGGTGCGGTAGCTAATGCCTGTAATCCCAGCAATTTGGCAGGCTGAGGCAGGCGGATCACAAGGTCAGGAGTTCGAGACCAGCCTGACCAATATGGTGAAACCCTGTCTCTAATAAAAATACAAAAAAAATTAGCTGGCCGTGGTGGCATGCGCCTGTAGTCCCAGCTACTCAGGAGGCTGAGGCAGAAGAATCTCTTGAACCTGGGAGGCGGAGGTTGCAGTGAGTGGAGATTGTGCCACTGCACTCCAGCCTGGATGTCAAGAGCAAGACTCCATCTCAAAAAAAAAAAAATTATTAATGAGGTGTCTTACATTACTTTATATATGTAAGTTTTCAAAATCTGCTATGTATTCTACACTTACAACACATGTCAATGCAGGCTAGCCATATTCCTGGTGCCAATGGCTGCCATATTTGATAATGCAGATCTGAAGAAAGTTGTACAAGTGGCTAATGGCTATGATATTGAGTAGTGCAAATCTAAAGAAAGTTGAAGTTTGTAGTGGAAAAAGGGATAGTGTAAGTGGTTTGGCACTAAGGTTGTGAATCATGTAAAGATGTTGCATATCTTTTAATGTGCTGCCAAAGTAGGAAGCATGAATTGTGCTTGTGAAAGGAAAATATCTTGGACCCCAAAATCACTAAGGGAAACTCCAGCTGGAAGCTGCTTAGGGCAAACCCGCCTCCCATTCTATTCAAAGTTACCCCTCTGCTCACTAAGATAGATGCATATCTGATTTGCCTCCTTTGGAAAGGCTAATCAGAAACTCAAAATGTAACTGTGTCTCACCTGTCTGTGACCTGGAAGCTCCTTCCCGACTTCAGTCTTCCGGACTTTGCTTCAAGTTGTCCCGCCTTTCCAGAGTGAACCAATGTACTTCTTACACATATTGATTGATGTCTTATGTCTCCCTAAAATGTATAAAACCAATCTGTGCCCTGACCATTTGGGGCACATGTCATCAGGACTTCCTGAGGCTGTGTTATGGGCGTGTGTCCTCAACCTTGGCAAAATAAGCTTTCTAAATTAACTGAGACTTGTCTAAGATTTTCTGGGTTCGCAGGCTTGTGATTTACAATGGACCATAAGGTGTAGGAATAAATAATTTGAGACAGTGTTGATGGCAGGCACAAACTGAGTGGCTTAAAACAATGAAATTTCTCAAATTTACAGTTCTAGAGGTAAGAAGTCTGAAATGAGTCTCACTGTGCTAAAATCAAGGCATCAGTAGGACATGTTGTCACAGGGTGAACCTCAAAACTGGGGCTCAGCCTGGGAGGCCACATGGCTTCTTGGCTTCACACAGAAAAGAATTCAAGATTGAGCCAACAGAGTAAAGTGAAAGCAAATTTAGTAAAAAGTAATGGAATAAAAAGTGTGGCTACCCCATAGGCAGAGTAGCCCTGAGAGCTGCTGGTTGGCTATTTCCACGGTTATTTTTGATCATAGCTAAACAAGAGGTGGACTCTTTATGAATTTTCTGGGAAAGGAAAGGGGCACGGAATTCCTGGAATGAGGGTTCCCTCCGTTTTTCGACCATATCTTTCCACCATAACTTTGGGATGTTGCCTGGCATTTGTAAACTGTCTTGGCAGCTGGTGGGAGTGTCTTTTAGCATGCGGATACATTATAATTAACATATAATGAGGAGTGAGGATGACTAGAGGCCGCTTTCGTCACCATCTTGGTTCTGGCTGATTTTGGCTGGCTTCTTTACTGTATGTTGTTTTATCAGTGGGGTCATTGTGACCTGTGTCTTAAAAACCAAGTCCTGCTGAACTCCTATTTCAATGTGATTGTTACCAAGTTAGTGAAGAGGAGATTTGGGTCAGGGAGGTATGGCAGGGAACCCGATCCCACAGGCCTTGTGGGCCATTGTAAGGGCTCTGAGTGAGATCTGAGCCACTGGAAGGGCCTCAGCATATGAATAATGTGATGTGACACATTTAGTTTCTTTTTTTTAATTATTTTTTGAGACAAGGTCTCACTCTGTCACCCAGGCTGGAGGGTAGTGGCATGATCATAGCTCACTGCAGCCTCAATCTACCCAGATTAAACAGTCCTCTTGCCTCAGCCTCCTGAGTAGCTGGGACCAAAGACACGCATCACCATGCCCAGCTAATTTTTAAATTTTTTGTAGAGATAGTGTTTTGCTTTGTTACCCAGGCTGGTCTTGAACTGCTGGGCTCAAGTGATCCTCCCGCTCAGCCTCCCAAAATGCTAAGATTACAGGCATGAACCCTATGTGTGACCTGACATATTTTAAAAGGCTCTCTCTGTGTTACGATTAAGAACTGTAGGATGCAAAGGTAGGGCAGAGAGGGAGACCAGTGAGGAAGCTCTTGTAATAGCCTGAGTGAAAACAAGAAAAAGGAAACCTGGTGATAGGGGCCCAGGTAGTTGTAGTAGAGGTGGTGAGCGGTGGTAGCATGTTGTTGGATATATTTTAAAGGTGGATTTGATAGATTTCCTCATGGGATGGATGTGAGCTGGAGAAAAGAAAGGAGGACATAACGATTCTGTTTTTTGCTTCAACAACTGTAGGAAAGGAGGTGCCAGTGATTAAGAAGAGAAAACTGGTATAGGGTAGGCCTGGCTCCTCTCCAGCGCATAATAATGTAGTAAATATGTGCACCACTGTGATCAATCCAAGTACCACAACTCTGTGAGGGGGCATTAATGGACTCCATTTTCCAATGAGGAAATTCAGATTCAGGAAGGTAGGGGTCTTGTGCAAGTTAACACAGCCAGTATAAATTAAATTTGGTGCTGAAACAAGGACTTGCTGGCTGGTCCTGTAGTTCTCACAAGCTCTCAGGCTTGCCTCAGCTTTTCACAGTTGATAGCACCACAATAAAGACACAAACAGGCCTCTAATGTCCTCTTATTGTTCATGACCTGACCTAACTACTTTATTTTACTTATCTATTTATTTATTTGGAGATGGAGTTTCACTCTTGTTGCCCAGGCTGGAGTGCAATGGTGCGATCTCAGCTCATTGCAACCTCTGTCTCCTGGATTCAAGCAATTCTCCTGCCTCAGCCTCCCGAGTAGCTGGGATTACAGGCATGTACCACCACGCCCGGCTAATTTTGTATTTTTAGTAGAGACGGGGTTTTGGCATGTTGGTCAGGCTGGTCTAGAACTCCTGACCGCAGGTGACCCACCTGCCTTGGCCTCCCAAAGTGCTGGGATTACAGGTGTGAGCCACCTCACCCGGCAGACCCAACTACTTTAGCTCCTCCCACATATCTTACCAATTTGCTGCAAATTATCTTTTCTCACCTTGTGATTCATAGTCCCTTCTGGCCCCCTCAGACCTGATTCTAGGCACTACTTGCCAGATAATAATCTTTTACCTTGTCATGGTTTCTTACATATGCTTCTTTGGAATCTACTGGGGTTTCTTGATTGGTAACTGGATATTTTAAAACACAGACTTAATAGGGAGCATGTGTCTCTGCTTTTACAGTTTGCATGTATAATTCAAATCTGGGTTTTTATATTCATATACAGCCTTGGGAAAAGTTTTTTAAAAAGATTAGTTTGTATACATATTTTATTCATATAGCAATTTTGCTGGGTCTGAGCTTTGAATGAGGGTGATATCTTTATGATCATTTTAGCTTCTCATAGATTTAACTTGACAGTATAAAGCTTAAAAAATCAGGCAGTTACCAAACAATTATATTAGGTGATAATTCTTAACTACAGAAAAAGATGAATCGCTAGGTTTTTTTTATATGGAATTTTTTCTCTACAGATGAGTATTTGCTACCAGATAGTTAGCAACTTGGCAGAGAAGCAATAAGGTAACACAACCCAAAGAGAAGATAAAACTTTGCAATTGGAGGTGAATCTGAAAGGCAAGCTAGAATAGCCTGAAATAGCAATGTGAATCTGAAACTAACATTTGATATTCATTAGGTTAATTTTCACTGAACTTCCTGAGATATACTCTTTATTCAATGAGATAAACTTGTGCAATTTTTGACTTATGAATAGTTGAATGCAATTATTACTTGGCGTTTAAGACCAATAATTACATTATTACTTGGTCTTAAACACCAAGTAATAATTGCATTCAACTATTCCTTAATTCAATAATGCTAGGCACTATTCTGAGTGTTGGAAGATATAGCAGTGGACAAAACTGATAAAACATCTCTGCCTTCATGAAGACTAATGAGGAGACATGTGCCCAGTGACAAAGTTTAGAGTCAAGAACAGGTGAGTCCGGGGAAAGAATAGGACTTGTTTGACTGTGGTTGGGATTCTGTGGTGGAAAGCTTTAAAGAAATGGTGAGGGACAGGGAGGCAGTTAAAATGAGAGTTCTGGGGGTGAGACAGGATGTCAAGATGGAAGGTCCCCAGCCTCTGGAGTAGAGCTCAGGCTAAGCACTTCCTCTTCCCAGGGGAAAAAGAACTTAAGATCTAGTCAGTGGAAAACAACTTAAGATTTACTCAGTGTTCATTAGGTATTTATTGCATTTTAAAAAGTTAATTTTTTTCTTCATGCCCAGAGAACTTATTTTATACAAATTTTTGTTTTATGAAGGACTTAAACAGAATTTTTTATCAAAGACTGCTGAAAGATTGAATTGTAGAAATATTGGAGGCTAGTTGTGTTATAGTGTGAGGGAGCTGTTTAAAGATACCAAATACAGGGTGGGGATAAATGAATACTTTTTTGAATGGAAAATAATAGATTTTTTGTGCTCTTAGTTGTCAGAAGAACACAGGATTTTCAATACAGATTAGTTCCGTGATCTTTCCCCTTCTTTGAAAGAAGCAGCAAAAAACATGCAGGGCAAGTCATGACACAGAAGGCATTGGTGTTGTGTCAGTGCTTCTTCAATAATTTTGCCAGGTGCCCCAAGTTCATAGATTACATTAAATTCTTTCAGTATTCAGTTGGAAAAGAGAGGGGTTTCAAATGGAAGAAAATTCTTACAAAACTTTATAGGTTAAAGTAAGTTATAGTGCAAAGCAAGCCTTTAAATAGAGAAATATAAAGCCAACATAATTTGGAAGAAAATAATGCAAGCTATTGTTAGCATTAGATTAAAAAAACATGAAGTACTAACAATAATATTTAAAAAACAAAAGCCTCTACATTTAAAAAAATCTCCAAAGGCTAATTGTACATAGACAAGATTATAGCTGTAATCTATGAAGTCATGCAATTTTAAAGTAAGGACTCAAAATTACACAGGCTACCTTGTTCAAAGTTACCAGCCACATACCAGGACAGGAATGAATCTCAGATTCATTACAGCTGATTTTCTGGAGACGCTTAATTTTAAGCTGCCGCAGCTGAAACAATGCCAGAAACCATTAGGAATTACATGTCTTGAAAGCCAAACAATAAACATAGTTTTATTATTGGGCAAATCCATGCTTAAACAAAGTAAGGACAGCAGAGCTAGAAAGAGAAAGGAGGCAGGATCTTGGTAGAAGATTGACTAGCCCTAAAAGAAGGGGAGGGAATTTTTATATATTTATTTGGGGAGCTAGATAAAAGGAATTGACCTGCTGAGCACAGGCTTAAAAGATTTTGAATTTTTAGCATCTAAAGATGAATACTAAGAAAAACGAGGGTACAGATGATTAGTGTATAAAACCAAGAAGAATATGGACCAAGCCTGGAATATTTTTAAGGGAGTATTTGCATTCTGAGGATTTCTAACCTAAGTGAGAACCATGTGACTAAGTCTTTGGCTCTCAATAGCTATTGGCTCATCTGGGCAACTCCTCTCATACTTCCATTGAAGCCAAAGTGTATTAGGTCCACAGTTTAACATATTTTAAAAGTAGGGCTTAATTAGAAAACATTTACTGAGTACTTGAGATGTGCCTGACCCTGTGCTTAGCACTGAAGATATTGAGATAAATGGAGAAGTCTCCATACTCCAGGAACTCACAGACTAGTTAGGGAGACAGGATGGTAGATAGTGGCAGTGTGATGAGAGCTGTAATAGAGGCATGCACATGATTCTATGGAAAAACAGAACTATCACTTAGCTCAGATTGGGTGAGGACTGGGGTTGATGAGAGAGGTTCCTGGATTAAATGGCGTGAGACTGATGAGTGACTTGAAATTAGCCTGCAGATGGGAATGGGTAGGTTGGAGAAGCTGGAATGTGTTACTAAGAGAAATTGGATTAAGACTCAGCTAAAAAATACCAAGTATCTACTATGTTCCAGGTGATTTATACACATTATCTAATCTCTTACATAAGACTCATATGAGATTCTGATTTCATAAATGAGAAAGCTGAGGCTCAAAGAGATTAAATGGCTTGCCCATAAAGTGGAAAAAAAAAACATGTTTTAAAGTCCTCTTTTAGTCCACAGTGTCTCCACTTTTAAAAAAGATATAGTTAAAGCTAATCTTCTAGCCCAATTTCTCTTAGTGTCACTGTGAAAAATAAAACTCTGTCATTATTGTTTGCAGGGATGTCTGGCCTCACTTTGGATAATCTGGACCTTTTCTGCTGCAAGCATACCACTAGATAGAAAAGAGGACCTGTGAAACATCTTCTCCACATTTCCCTTCCCTAGTGGGAAGCTTATTGTTTCAGAGTCAAGAACTTGGTTCCAGGCTACAGTCCCATGGCTACCATTCTCTAACTGTTACTTTGCACTTCTAAGGTGTGTTTTTTTAAAATATGATTAATAATGGTGCCTAACTTGTCAGGCTGTTGTGAGAATCAAAAGAGAAAAATAAATGTAAACTGCTTAATGTATTGCTGGCACATAGAAACTGCTCGAGAAATATTGGCGATTAAAGTGTTATACACTTTAAAGTGAACAGGCAAATTCACTTCCCTAAACTCAAGTTTCACTCATTGATTTGAACCTTGGTTGACATTTCATCTTCTCTGAAGCCTACACTGTGGATGTAGGCTGTGGATGAAACAGAAACTGACCACAGGGGTCAGGGCCAGGGCTCTGCCAGAGAAGCCAGCTAGATAGAAACTCAATTTTGATGCCACTGTGGAATACTATAGGCACATTTCTATTTGAGATGTGGGTGACTACCTAGTCAAGAGCTGAGAGAGGGATGAGACAATGAAGTAAAGAAGTGGAGGGAAAAAGAATGTGGAGAGGGAAGGAGAAATGGGATGACCTGGCTGGATACAGATGCAGATGAAGGGCAGATAGAAAGAGAGAAGAATGAGATAGGTAAATGAGAGTGGAAGAGGGATAGGGAGAGAGAGAAGAAGGAGTAGGAGGAGGAAGAAGAGGAAGAAGAAGAGGAGAAGGAGGAGGAGGAAGAGGAGGACGAGGATGAGAGTGTGATGGGGGAGAAGGAATCCAGAGGAATGAAAGATCCAAGAGATAAGGCAACATACAGTTTTTAAAAAATCTCTGCAGGTGTAGCTAGGTGTCTATTACATGAAACTTACTCTTCAGAGGCATTTGCTTTGTAAATTTGTGAGTCATGGAGTAGAAAAAGGAAGTTGACAAAATGACAAGTGCTTCCTTTCTCTCCTTGAAATAAAAATTGGAGTTTCTGAGAAGGCACCCATTAAAACCAGTTTTTCTCCATTTTTTGGGTTCTCTATGAGCTTTGTTCCATTTCACTGGTGGTTATTGTCCTGATATGTCTTAGATTTCCATCTTATTTGAACCATAGATCATGAAAGGTGAGCCCATGAAATTAAACTTTTGTTAAAAAGTGGAAGAACTTCAGAATTGGAAGACCCCCGTCCATGCAGTAATCTCTTCAACAGCATATTTGGCAGATGATCATCCAGGTCCAGTATGGATATCACTACTGGCAGAGTTCACAAAAATCAGACCATCCTTTATTGGGTAAGTCTAACAGCTATACAATTTTCAGTTGCACTAAAGTTTGCCTTTTGATAACTTTCACACATTGAGCTTAATGTCACTAACCAAAGCAACTGAAAAGTGATTTCCCATTTCTTCCTGACAGATCTTTAAATATTGGCTAGTCTTTTAAATTGTTCTTCCTTTTGATGATTTAAGACCTTTCCTCATTCTGTAGGGCCTCTTCTAGGAAGGTTGTAATTGTAAATGTTCTTCTTCAGTCAAAGTGCTCAAAACAATACAATATGAAACATCATAGTGGACAATTCATGGCAACAAGGCAGAGTAAGATAATAGAGACTGCCCACCCATCCCAATGCATACTTCAAAGACTTGTAAATACTGAGTGAAATGTAATCTAAAGATTTAAAACAACACAGCTGAGCTCAAGGGAGCCTTCCTATAACAAAGAGAAGTATTAAATAGTGAGCAGACAGAGCAGCAGCTCACGGTGTCTTGGTACTGGTTTTGCCTAGGTGCTGGGGACTGAGTTTCTAATGTCCATGAAGGGACAGAAGACTTTACCTTGGGATAGTGGGAGGTGACACTCTGCAAAAGAGGTCCCCTAAAACTATATCCTCTAATAAGTGTAAAGTCTATTACAAAGGGACAAAAAACCTTTGCCCACTGGTCCTGGGAAGTGATGAGAAAAATTGCTAGGGCTCTGGGTTAATGAAAAAGAAAAAAAAAAAAAAGGATCTGGGAGAAATGAAAACCCCAGGCCTGTAATATGCACTGGTTTGGGGGCCTCAGTATTTTGTTGTTTTCATACGGCGTGAACCAAAAGCTGAGAAACACAAGAACAGGTCCAGAGCCATTGTCATTCCTAGGGCCCTGGCAGAAGCAATTGCAAAGTAGTTCTACATGGACTTTTTCATAACCTAAAGGATGGTACTTCCACAAGGGAAGATAATGATAAAACATTAATAAAAATATCTATGAAGATGAGGACACAATAGAAAGCACAAGTTACATTGGGAAAAAGAGTCAACAGATACAACAAGATAATTCACATCCCAATAATTAAGGGTAATAAAGCAATATGAAAGAGGTAAGTATGCTTAAAATGTTTATTGACCAAAAGAAAGGAACAGAAACCATAGTGAAAAAGAAGACAGTATGATAAAAATAACAGAAAGATGTTTAAAAAATCATATTTTCAAGAAGTGAAAAATATTGACAAATCAATGGACAAGTTAAAAATAAATAACAGATCAGGGATAGTTGATGGTAAATTTAACAAAGTAGAAGATAGCTCTGAAGAAACTACTCAAAAATGCATTGAGTGATTATCCTAGTCCATTTTTTTGTTGCTATAACAGAATGCTTGAGACTGTCAAATTTATACAGAAAAGAGGTTTATTTAGCTCACTGTTCTACAGTGTGGGAAGTTCAAAATTGGGTGGCTGCATCTGAGCTTCTGGTGAGTGCTTTGTGCTGGGTCAAAACATGGTGGAGAAATGGAAGGGGAACTGGGCATGTGCAAAAATGGGCAAAACATGATAGGCAACCTTGCCTTATATGAACCTCCTCTTGCAGGAACGAATCTATTTCCACGAGAACTAACCTAGTCTCATCAGAAAGACATGAATCCATCTTAATGATTTTATAATTCTAAAATTATGTCTTAAAGGTGCTACCTAAAAACACTGCCACATTGGGGACCAAGTCTCAACATGAGTTTTGGTGGGGACAAGCCATATTCAACCCATAGCAGAGATAAACATAAGGAAATTATACAGTGAAGCTAAAGAGACATAGAGGATAAGATGGCAAAGCAACCATTAAAACAATGAGAAAATCACAAAACTAAAGAAAATTTTGGGGTTTAATTCTAAAAAGTACAACTACTCTTGGGTTAATATATGAAAACATTTTTGGTTGGGGTCATTACAAACAAGGTAGTTGTGAACATTCTTGTGCATATCTCCTGACACACGTAGACATGCATTTATGTATGTACTCAGGAGTGGAATTGCTAGGTCAGACTTCAAATAAACAATCTAATGATGCACCTTAGAGAACTACAAAAGCAAGAACAAACCAAAGTCAAAATTAGTAGAAGGAAAGAAATAGTAATAATCGGAGCAGAAATAAATGAAATTGAGACTAAAAATCGTACAAAAATCAATGAAATGAAAAGTTTTCTTTTAAAACGTTAAACAAAATTGGCAAAACTTTAGCTAGACTAACTATGAAAAAAAGAAAATACCCAAATAAATAAAATCAGAGGTGTGAAATTGCTAGGTCAAATCTAGACTAGATTGCTGTTTGATATATATATAGTTTCTATTTCAGTTTATGGTGTATAGTAGGTCTCTATCCACTGTGGATCTACAGAAGTGGTGTGAGACTCTTTGATCCAATTTTAGATTCTCTGACTCTGCTATATGACCTTAGCCTATAGGGCACATTTCTTCTTTGGTTACCTGTAGAACATATAAAGAGTATATCTACAGTGTTCATAGCTCCCTAGGCTTCTATTTTATCCAGCAATGCTTGCTATGCTTTTGATATTGTCATGTTACCCCAAATACTGTGTCTACATGCAGAAACATTCTCCACATATCCTCCCCCTACAAACATGCTTGCACTCACTATCTATATGTTTTAGTTTTGATTCTCCTAGGAAAGGAAGTTTCCTGTTTCTTCAGGGCTGAAGCTCTGCTTTCCCTCACTCTATCCTACTTCCTTCATCTCAAAAATATGTATTGAGTGCCTAAATTCTCCCAGGAACTATTCTAGGTGCCGAAGACTGCAGTGAACAAAACCAAGAAAGTTTCCTGTAGAGTCTTTTTTTTTTTTTTTTTTTTTTTTTTTTTTTTTTTGAGACGGAGTCTCACTCAGTCACCCAGGCTGGAGTGCAGTGGCGAGATCTCGGCTCACTGCAAGCTCCACCTCCCGGGTTCACGCCATTCTCCTGCCTCAGCCTCCCCAGTAGCTGGGACTACAGGCACCCGCCACCACGCCTGGCTAATATTTTGTATTTTTAGTAGAGACGGGGTTTCACCGTGTTAGCCAGGATGGTCTCGATCTCCTAACCTCATGATCCGCCTGCCTCAGCCTCCCAAAGTGCTGGGATTACAGGCTGAGCCACTGTGCCCAGCTTCTTGTAGAGTCTATACCAGGATTAAATAAGAAAATGGCTATAAAGCACTTACAATAGTTGCAGATGTAGGATATATGCTTGGAAATTTATCTGTTTAACAAATGTTTATTGAGTTCTTCTTCTTTTTTTTTTTTTTTTTGAGGTGGAGTCTTGCTTTGTCACCCACGCTGGAGGGCATTGGTGCGTTCTCTGCTCACTGCAACCTCCATCTCTCAGGTTCAAGCAATTCTCCTGCCTCAGCCTCCCGAGTAGCTGGGATTATAGGCACATGCCACCAGCTTGGTTAATTTTTGTATTTTTAGTAGAGACAGGGTTTCACCATATTGGCCAGGCTGGTCTCAAACTCCTGACCTCTGGTGATCTATCTGCCTCAGCCACCCAAAGTGCTGGGATTATAGGCGTGAGGCACCATGCCTGGAAGAGTATCTATAATGTTCTAATCAGTGTAGTAGGCACTGGGACCAGAGTATTAAGACCAGAGGCAAGAGATCAGTAAATAAACATGCAACATAAATGAGCCACTTAATTTCAGATAGTGATATGGGTGTATAATTCACATAAATCAGTGAGAGCAAACAAAAAGTAGTTTGGAGATCAATGGGAAAGTTTTATTTTAGAAACTTAAATCAAGCCAGCCAACTGAACAGTATGGCTAGGAGTAAAAAAAGAATCAAAATGTAATGCTGGTCGTTAAAAGAGAACTAAGCAAATCAACATATGGCAATCAGAACCAATCAGAATACAATCTAGAGAGACAGGGGACTTTGATGCCAGACAGCTAATCAGGAGTAAGCAGGTTGCACCTATTATTCCTCTCACTAATAAAATGAAAAAAAAATACACTGCCCTCATATTACTTGGGCTTCTTATACCTTAACTATTCAATGACAATTTGTATCTGTAGCTATTTTTACTCAAATCATTTGTAATTCTTTGATTCTAGTTCTGTCTTCCTCCCATCCAAGAAATTCTTATGCTCTCCTCCAGCTGTGATGGCCCAGGATTATAGAATACCAAAAGAAAAGAAACCACACCATTCATATCACTGACACACCTCCTCAGAGGGGAAGGTGCAACCTCAGAATGCAGCTATGAGGAATAAAATATGCTGGACCAGGAGTTAGAAGATCAAAATTCCAGTTCCATCCCCAAATCATTAACTGTGTGCTGCTTTGGATTTGTTTCTCTTTGATTTAGTTTCCTCATTTACAAATTAAGAATAGTAATCCCTGTCTCTCATAGTTGCTGTGGGGATTAAACAAAATGGTATATGTGAAAGGTCTTTGGAAACTAAAACTACTTTAAAAGTGAAGGAAGTGATTAGTAGTCTAAGGGCATAGATCACAGCCAGTCCCTGGGAAAAGCAGAAAGTACAGTGGATTGAGTTTGCTCCCACCCTGGGCTTTTTCTTAAAATGTTTTTAACAGCTTTATTGAGATATCATTAACATATACAAATTGTATATGTTTAAGGCATAGAATTTGGTATTTTGATATTTGTATACATTGTGTTAAATTAAATTTGACCTAAAGCTGCCTCTGTATGTAGTGAAGTATAACCTAACTTAATATGTAAACAAACAGCAACACAACTTAACAGTATACTCTTATGACAAGTAACCAGCAGGGCGTGGTGGCTTATGCCTGTTATTCCAGCACTTTGGGAGGCTGAGGCGGGTGGATCACTTGTGATCAGGAGTTCTAGACCATCCTAGACAATATGTTGAAACCCCATCTCTACTAAAAAATGCAAAAACAGTTAGCCGGGCATGGTGGTGCATGCTTGTAGTCCCAGCTACTTGGGAGGCTGAAGTGGGAGGTGGAGGTTGCAGTGAACTGAGGTTGTGCCACTGCACTCCAGCCTAGGTGACAGATCAAGACTCTGTCTCAAAAAAAAAAACAAAAAAAAATAAGCAAACAAGTAACCAAGCCTCAGCCAATCATAGCAGCCAATTATAGGCTGCAAACTGCTCAAACATGTTGAAATAAGGCAAATGCAGAGCTGTAACCAATCAGGCTATTTATGTATGTAATTTCCTTTTTCTTTCTATAAATACTGCCTGTCAATGTTGCTGGGTGGAGCTCTCTCAATCTTCAGTGGTTCAGGGTGCTGCCCAATTCATGAATCATTTCCTTGCTCAAATAAACTCTGCTAAATTTAATTTGTCTAAAGATTTTCTTTTAATAGATTGGTGTAAGAAGTGGGATCTGAAGTAGATGTCTAGTAACCAACAGGAGCACTGAGTTACCAAGTAAAGGTACTTACTAGCATTCAATGTGCCCATTGATCTCTCATAGCAACTGGGATCTGGATAAGTTCTTTCCCAGTTTCAACCTCCGTGGAACTGTGTTGTGTCCTCTTCAACTTTATTTGAGGAATTTTTACTGAACTGGATCCAGGATCAGATTGTGTCTGATAACTAACTAGATTGGTTCCAGTTAGAGACCTCGGGTACGTACCTTTTGAAATGAGTTCCTCCAAATCTAAGAAGCCTAGGACTCCATTTTTTGGGACAATAGCTAATGTTTTATACAAAAATTATGAGCTCTGAACCTGTGCATTTTTGGAAAAAACTGGTTAATTTTACTAAGAACAACTTAGAATTACAGTCATCACAATGTGGAAGTTTTAACCTAGTTAAAAATATTCACTTATGAGGTGCATTAGGAAAGAAAGGATCCAAAATGCCAAAAAAGAAAGGTGATACATTCTTTAATTGGTGCATAGAAGTATCTAAACATTTAAATTAAATCAAAGTTTGCCTCTTTAAAAGTTTCCTTAAAAAAGACAAATGAAAACAAATCTTAAAAGTCTTTTTAATAATTATTAGTCAAAAGCTTTAGCCATCTGTGCTGGAAATCTTGTTCTATGGTCTAGAAAAACAATTTGAGCCCAGATACTCTTTAATAAATTAGTGAGTTTGCATTATTGTACCTGACACATGGCTAAAATTTTTGAATAAAAGCTCTAAGGTCTTTTTCTGTCTAGATGTTTATGTATGTGATGGAATTATTTATATGTTTTTCTAAAAATTGAGCATTAATATAAAAATACATTGATACAAAACTAGAACTTGGTCCACCTGTTAAAACAACACAACTTTTTTGCAGTATTTATCTGCTCTGAATAGGAAATTGGGAAAGGTCTTCCTTTACCTTTTGCGTAATTGGCCCAAAAAACAAAGATTCCATGTTTTACCAAGATAATTTCCTTTGCTTTATGTTGTCTTTTTCAGGTTTTTGATTACTTAAGAACGCTGAGACTTCTCTACTAAAAGAGCTCAGGTTTTTCTATAACTATGTAACTTTCTATATTTGTCTTTGAAGTCTTTTAATATTACCTTGGTTAAATAAATGAATTGTTCACAGTGACCTGTGATCCTATTTTGATCAAATATTTTAACTCTTTGATATTTTTGATAAACTTCTAAAATCAAATTCTAAATTAATTCTTTTTCTGGACCTCAAATAAACTTTGGTATTTTCAAGATGAACTTTTGGAACTTTTCAAAGGAATACCTCTCCTGATAAAAAGAGAGATACTAAAATAACTGGGCTTATTTGACATATTAAATTATATGGGAAGCATTGTCAAATAATAAAAGTAATGCCAAATTTTCTTTGAGCCCTATTTGCATAGATATGTTATTGATGTGTTTCAGAAACTGTATAAAGTTTATAGAAATCTAATAGTCCTAGTATAACTCTAACAGTTATAATTCTAGTTATTATCTTAAAATGTTTTATGCAACAGAAATAACCAAAACACTTTGTCAATTGAATCATTATTATAATGAACTGTCATCATATCTTTAACCATGGACATTTCAGGTCTTGTCATTTACAGGTGGTTAATTGTTTACTCTGATACTTTCCTAACTATAAGCCTAAAGTGTTTCATCTTCATGGAGATTAATGAAAAATACTCTAACAAGTACAGGTTTCTGATAACTTCAAGATCATACCATTGGACTGGGCAAGAACTCCCAGAACTTTAGTGGAGCAAGTGACTGGTTCACAAAACTAACCCAATATCAGGCAGAACAAGAATTAATTAAATACCAAGGAAATGACCTGGCGGATTTTCCTACTAAGTCAGCCAGTACTGAAATTATTAAGATATGCAATTTGAATGAACTCCAAAAAGATTGAGTTAAGTCAAATTACCTATGATAACTTATTTAACAAACAATGCTATGCACCTGGATGGCTACCTGCTTCTTCCTGAGTCCTTAAAGTTTCCATTATCAAAAGCTCTGCACTCCATGACTTATCATGGAAGAGATAAAAGGATCCAAATTGTGAAAAAATATTGATGGGGCGACTCTTCTAAAAGTGCTAAATGTTTGGCTTGTCAAACCCATAATTCTGATAAGACAATCAAAAGTTTAGGTGGTGTATTTTTACCATTTGAGGGATCACTTGAACTTTCACAGGTAGACTGTGAATTTCGATTTCTACCCTTAATGAGGTGTCATAATGTTCTTGTAATACTTTGCATGTTTTCTGATTGTATAAAAGCTTTCCCATGTAGAAAAGCTGATGCTATGATGATAGTTAAGAAGTTATTAGTGGCTGGGCATAGTAGCTCATACCCATAATCCCAGCACTTTGGGAGGCTGAAGCAGGAAGATTGCTTGAGGCCAGGAGTTCAAGATCAGCCTGCAGCCTGAGCAAACATATAACTAATTCTCTTCTAATCTTAGCCAGCTTGATCACACATAAAATTCCTTTCACAAGATTCATCTTCCACAAACCTTCTACAACTTTTTCATTCATTCACTTTTTGTCCTATACTTTTACTCCTCTCATTTTAGAACAACAAACCATTCTAGTTTAAAACAAGATACTGAGAGCTCATCTCTACAAAAACAAAAAAAATTAGTCAGGCATGGTAGCATGACCTGTAGTCCCAGCTACTCTGGTGGCTGAGGTGGGAGTATTGCCTGATCCTGAGCCCAGGATTTCAGTGCTGCAGTGAGTTACAATTGTGCCACTACACTCAAGCCTGGGCAGCAGAACCAAACCCCCATGTCTAAAAAAAAAAGGACAAAAGAAAAAGAAAGAGAAAAAGAAGTTATTAGAAAATGTGTTCCCTTTATGGGGCATCCCTGGAAAAATATCCAGCAACAGAGGAACCCACTTTACTGATCAAATTATAAGTCAGTCAAATAAGATATTTCAAACACGATGGTATTAGGTACGGCTAACTGAATTGATTGAATTGCTTTATTCAAAGATGTTACCAGTTGATGGCAATTAGATCCACTACCACTGGAAAACATACATTGATCTCTTATAAAAGAGTTACTGAAATACCTATGCCCTTAATAATGGAAACTCAGGTATTGGCCCCTCTTATAAACTCTGACATGGCTGAATAGTGCCAGGCTTTAATGCATTATCCCAAAGCATATTTTCACCAGCTAAAAGAAACCCGTTGTGGCCTGTCAAATGATGATAATCAGATCTTTCACAGTCTAAAACTCAGAAATTGGGTCTTTTGGAAGTGACACCTGGGAAAGACTGCTCTTGACCTCTAGTGGAAGGGGACAATACCAAGTTTTCTGCAGCAAACTTCGGGGCCTTAAGTATTGGATCCACATCTCTCAGCTCAAAGTGGGCCCTCAAGACTCCTGAAACTGTACACCTATTAGAGATCTTAAGGTGAAACTGACTACAGAAGATTTGGCCATAAGCAGATGGCATTCTAGATGCGGACAGCTCTCCCAAGATTGATGATCAAGACTTCTCTGGTATCACAAAAGTCTTGTCTTTTTCATTGTGTTTCTTTTTATTCTAATCTCTTCTCTTTTCTTACAGGAAAATCCATGGGACCATAATCTGTGAATGGCTTTAGTGAAGGCTTATGCTCTAGCAAGAAACCAGAGCAATTTTGGGGTGTGTGGACTAATGCCCCCAAATGATAAAACAATTCCATTAATGCCAGTGCCTCTTTGTTTTCCCAGCGAGAGTCCACCTGAAATCTCAAAGGAAGAATGGAAAGCTATCCCTGATATTCTAGCATCACTGTTATTTGGCTTCCTGCACTCAATGGAAACAATACCCTAACCTTTCCAATAATTAACCTAATTACTACCAAGTATATGAAATCTATCCAAGTGATGCCTGCAGAAGGGATATTGTGCCTCCAAGTATTGCAAACTCAAGACCTGGGGACTACCTATGTGGGTAAGAGTAATTGCTTATATGATCTTACTAGATTAAATGTAGTGAGGTGTCTTTCCACTAAACGTGTTTATGTACCCTTACAGTATGCTATAAAAGGACCACAAAAAGGTCAGTTTCCCACTGGACCTTGTTCAGGAGCTATGCTCACTTATGGGCAGATAAATTTATTAATAACTTGACCTCTGCTCAAACACCACTAGGTATTTTTCACCTCATTTTCAGCCCCTGAGATCCTATATTGGGTCTATGGAGAAATTGTGTACTCTGTTGTACATTGCCTCCTTGCTGGCTTGGATCTTTCTGTTTGGTCTTGCTCACTCCTGCCTTCCAAAAAGCTCTGCCTGGAATTACCCATGGTACTCACAGGCCAAAGAGGTCAATAACTGAAATTAGAACCAACCTCAAAACAGATGAAGATCAGTTATTTTCTGTGGAGGAAAGGTTCCAATAAAGTTCCTGGGGGCTCACTGTTGGCAGCAGTGGGGTACTAGTTGTATGGAGTTTGAAACCAATCTGTTCAAGTTGGGGAAAAATCTTGCATTTGGAGCCAGTGAGACCTCCAGGGTTGCAGACACTTTCTAAAACATTTTTGTTTAACTAAACACTTAATGAAACATCTTATAGCCTTAGATCTCCTTTATGCCCCTATTGGGCATTGTATGTGGTGTTGAACAAAACTGAATGTTGCACTTGTCTTTTCTCTGATTTTACTACTATCTGACACTTACTTAAAAAGGTAGCTAATATTGCTGTTCCTCTAGATGCTGCCACCAAATACATTAAGGAATTTTTTTTTGTTTAGGGGAAAGACACATAATGTATTTACAGGAGCAGCTAACAATTGGTTTGCAGGCATCCTTCATAGTGGATGGCAAACTTGGCTATTACAAGGTTTTCTTTTTTTTTTTTCACAACAAAGTTATTTATTTGTTTTTCTGGATGCTGGAGACAAACATCTTTATTAAAGACACTACCAAAATTTTGGCAAACATTTCAAAACAGATTTGTAAACATAATGCTTCCCTTTTCAACTGGCAGCACTTTGAAAAGACAATACAATAAGACAATGCAAATTGAATCAGTATTAGTTCAAAATCCTTATATTTTTGACCACATAACTTATGTTCCCACATGATAAAACAAGTGACAGTTTAAATCAACGTCAACACATAAACTGCATGAAATGAAAGTTTGTGCTGCTTGATGAATCACAGTATGTTATGGTTAAATATATCCACTCTTTTTTATATTCCTGGCACCAGGATGAAAAAAAAATCTTTAAGTATACATCTTATGTAGGTAATAGCTTCTTTGCATATCTCTCTTCAAAAAATACTTTACAGCAGTATATAAATAGGTTACCTACACATTTAATTTTATAATTTTGTCCCAAAACTATAGATCTGTTTCATTTTCATGACATATCAATTTTTGCCCAACATTAATAAAGCTGACAAACTCGTTGAAATGGAAATGCTTTTGTCTTCCACAACAAAAGTTGCAATTTGATAGAAAAAACAAAACAAAACAAAAAAACACCCTACAGTAACACTCGTCAGTTGTTTAACCTGAGCGTTTGGCCTACTAGGAGTAGCAGCTTTTTTCCTTCATGCACGCTCACATCCACACCGCCTCTGCACACATACAGATTGAGCACACACTTCCAGATGCTGGTAGGCCAAAATATGCTTCCCATTGCTCTAATCAAGTGGGAAACAGTGTAGCTAGTGATTAACCACACTATATACACAACTAGCAAATACCTTAAGGCAACCATTGCAATGGGGGGTTAACTTGCAGGGTGGATTTAATGTTCTAGATCAAGTCAGCCTGTATATACATATGTGTATGTGAATCTATACACGTACACCTTTCTATTTTTTAACCCTCCAAGACAATGTTTATTTTTTTAATTTTGTGCAAATTTCTAAATATCCTACCATTTAAGGCAAAGAGTTTGCATTAAGAAAGGTCAGAAAATAGGCTTACGTTTATTCAAAAGCATCTCACCTTGCACACTACTGTTGTTGTTTTTTAAACACATACAACTTTTAAGTGTGGACACTGGATCCCCAATATCTAAAAAATTATTTCTAATAACAAACACAAGTTTTTGAGGAAAAAATGATTTGAAATATAGACAATGGATCCCCAATTCCTAAAAAATTATTTCCATTAACAAACACAAGTCTCGGTGGTGGGGTGGTGGGGAGAACCAGAAAGAGCAGCTTTGAAATGCAGGGAAGCAAAGTAAAATGGAAAAGAAAAAGTAACTGAAGTTTACTAATACTGAAACTTTCAACAGCCAAAGTTTCACCTTTTTAGAATCTAGAGCAACTCATTTGGAATTTTAAATAAATAAGCTTAAGTTTATTCACATGTTCTGGTCCAAGCAGAGTTCTAGGGCCATGACTCTGCCTGCTGTTGGTCAAATTCGCCTAGTAGCCTTTTGATGTGAGCCAGCTTGTTATGAAGATATTCACATCTGTATTTTTCTTCATGGTAATTGGGACTAGACTGCTTTATCTTCCGATATTCTTGTAAGACTTCTTCATGAACATTCTGATACTCTTTTGAGCCTGGAGAAAGGCGCTTTCTTTGTGCATCTAGTTTGATAAATCTTCTAGCTACAGTCTCCATCCTGGCATGCAAAGCTCTGTACTCATCATACTCTGCACTGACGTCATCTTTATAATTCCGGCGTTGCTCATAGGAGATGATAGCAATATATTTTATCAAATAATCTGGGAGTTCAATTGCTGAAGGTTCCATGGAGGCAGTGCAATCCTCTTTAGCTCCTCCACTGGAATTTGGACTGGAGTTATTTAGCTTGGCAATTTCCTCTTCTCTCTTAAGATCTTTCTCCTTTTCCTCAATAGTCTCAATGTCGTGCTTTTTTATTTGGTCCTTTTCCTTATGTTTTTTAGACTTCTTTTTGGACTTTTTGTGAGACACTGAATGGTTTTCTTCCATAGGCTTTGGACACTTTAATAGAACTGAACCAGGGGGTAAGGTTTCCAGAGAAGTCCTAGAGGTATACTTGTCTTGTTGGTTCTCATAGATACTATTGTTTTGACTAAAACTGTCAACAGGTAGGTCTTGAGCCCCCGGCCTTCTGGAGTGCTAGGGGAATTGGAGTTAGAATTTACAATCTGAGGAGGATGTGAAACCGGCAGATGGGTTGAAGGCAAGCGGTGGAGGGGTGGGGATGGCAGCAGCTGCAGGGGGCAGAGGGAGGCCTGCAGCAGATTTTTCACTGGTGGGATTCAAATGACCATTTAGTGTTGGTGGTACTCTGCTCGTCAGGTGAGATATTCGGGCTTTTTTATCCATTAAATGATCAATAAACTCTGAATCCAAAAGCCGTGTCTGAGGAGAAGATACAGCGTTTCTACTAGAACATACTGGAGATTCTGAACGGCTGGTGCCTGCAGCATTCTGAGATGGATTTAGTTTTCTAGAGAGCATTGACTCCAATGACCAAGTGTCTATTTCACTGTATCCAGGCCAGTCTCTCTGAAGCTCTTTAAAAACATAATCCTTTGAAGTATACGAGAGGTCCTTAGGATTCAGATTGGCTACCTGTTGCAGAATTGCTCCCAGGGAGTTCCTGTCTTTTTGATTGACACCATCTTTCTGGAGTCTAGCAAGTAGCTCCGGTTTCTTGTAGGCCTTCAGGGCCAGTAAGTGAACCACCCTGTCCCTGTATGGCTTCTGAGAGACGCTGCTGCTGCTGTGTGTCTATCGAATTGGATTTGCAGGGTTCATGGGGGTTGACCTTTTCCTCTCAGGAACTGTATCTGAAACAGCTTGAGGTGCTTTCCGAATTTGCACTCTTTTCCCTACATATGGTCCACCGGGTTTGATAACTTCTGTGCTTCGGTTGCGGGATTCCTCCTCTGCCTGGGTCGTTCTTTCTCGTGTCATCTGATCCGAGTCGTTTGTTGCACACACTGTAATTTTATCTTGTATAAATCCCAGGCAATTGAGCTGGGAGGCTCCAGAGCTGGAGAATGTTTGCTGGACGCAGTCAAAGCTGCCCTGAGGGTTGTCTTTGCCCACATTTGACAAATAAAAGTTAAAGTTATGAACTTCATTGAGGGGATCATTTTTGGGAATTTTGACAAGCTCCTGGAGTCTTTGGAACTGAATTGAAGGTCGAAAAGAAATTAAATTCTTGTGGCTCTGGTAAGTCTGGAGCGCCTGGATCGCCGACTCGGTGAGCTTCACATGCAGTACGGTGATGTTGTCCTGCCCCAGCCGTCCGCACGAGAGCCCATAGCGCTGCCCCGCGACCCCCCCACCCCCGACATCTTAAACTCCCAGAGGTGCCGCCGCCGCCAGTCCAGCTCCAGCCTCCACTGCGGCCGCAGCTGCTTGGGCTTCTGCAGCCGCCGCCACTGCTAGGGCCATCCCGCTGCTGGCGTACTGTCATATACTGCGCGGAGCCAGACCTCGGACTGCCATCGCCGCCACCTGCCCCACCCTCTGGCCCCGCGCCCCGCCCCAGGCTAGTCTCATTGGTCTAGTTCCCTCAGAACCGTCCTCATCGGCCGCCCTCCACTTTCACGGGGGCGGGGCCCAAAGTCGCTGGAGTTTTGCTCCTGGGACTGGACGTCCGAGAGGTAAGAGAGCTATCACAAGGTTTTCTAATCCTTATGTTTCTTTTAGTGGATCTCCAGGTTACTGTGGTTTGTATTATCAGGCTACTTACAAAAATGAATACCTCTTTAAATCAGGCCATTTTACAGCAAACTACGGTCCTTGATCACCATTATGCTCTGAATAAAGACTATGAGCAATTGCACTTGAATGCTGTTAAACTTTATTGACTGAACTTTGAATTGTTTGATTTTGATCAGGTTGGCTTGTGGAAAGTGCTATTAAGAAGAGTTCTTTAGTTCGTTGGTATTATCCTCCTGATAGCTATTATAAAAGTTTCCCTGATGTGTCCTCTCAAGAATCTTAAATTCTCATATGCAGCTATCCTTTGTACATTAAATGGTCTCCTTATGGTTAGGATAACAAAAACATGAAGAAAGCATATAAGATTCCAACTAATTTGACGTTGTGAATTGTGAATTCTGAACTGAAACCAAGTAAGTCCCTTATGATCAGGCTCCAAGGTTTTGGTCAGCCTCTCAAAATTGAGAGGCTGAAACCCTTTGACCAAAATTAACACATTTGCCCCTTCCCTCCAGCTCCTGGAAACCACTACCCTAACTCTGTTTCCATAAAATAGTAAACTATTTTAGAGTCCACATATAAGTGAGATCATGTAGTACCCACCGTGGGCTTATTTTAAGGCTCTGAGTAAATCACCATCTCTCTGTGCTAGGGTATTCTGAGTCAGTCTTGTTATAAAATATTTTGTTTAGGTAACATATTGCAAAACGTTTCATAATTCAATGGTTCCTTTCCCAGAAAAAAAGCAGTGAAAGTTCCAATAGCCAAAAAGTGTCTAACTCAACTGACCTTTGGGAAAAAATATCCGTATAATTCCAGATAGTCCTAACTTCTGAAGGTAATATAGCCTGGCCTCTGTTGATAAACAAACAAAAACAAAAAAACCACACACACACACACAAACCAGCTTCTTGTCTTTAAGTGTGCAAGAATGTTAGCACTTAAAATTTTTAAGATACACAAAAACTAAACAGAACTGTTCAAGTTTTTAAAGGGAGCTTGGAAATTTGAAGAAAGTAAAGTTAAAAATATTGCCCCATGAGTCATATAATTATTTTTCTTTTTATTTCTCATAGCTTCCCTCCTATCCATTATTTAGGCAATTTTGTATCCAAATTTAATAATTTAACACCTTATTTGTTACAAGAACACGTTACTATGTTATTTTAAGCTTTTTTGGGCAAATTACACATAATTAGATAGGCTGGGTTAGGGCTGTCTACAAGATCCCAGCCTAGAGTGTGGTGCAGTAGCCTATTTTCTCTAGGACTCTTGCTGCAACAGGATATGGGAGAAGGGAAACATTAACGTTAGCAGAATGGGAGGAATCAGATTATGGAGACATGATCCTTGCCTTCTGGCACCTCTCCAGCTGATTTAGAAGAGGACACAGAGGGAGACAGACATATGGCCATTTCTATAATTATAAACTCTGCTACATGCTGAGAGGATGGCTTCTCAAAGCCAGTTAGTGTACAAGCAGTGGAGGTTGGGACTGCCCTACTTCTCCTGCCTAGGGTCACACAGTCTGGCAGATCTGGAAAGACTTCCCTGAGAAAGTGACCTTGGAACTGATACCTTAGTGGAAATAACTAGGCATTGGGAGGGGGTGAGGTGAGGAGAAGGTCAAGAGCTTTCATGTAGAGGGAACTTTGTGCAGAGACCTTAGTCAGGAAGAGGTTTTGCATAGTGGAGGAACTGAAAGCTAACAGCCAGGCTACAGTACAGAGCAAATGATGCTGGGGTGTGAGGTGATGTCAAAAGGTAGACACCAGGGCTAGAGGGCGCATAATCTTGCAGGCCGTGCTAATGATTTTGTTTTCTACCCAAGAATGCTACTTCAGGAGATCAGTCAAAAGGTTAGGGTGATGGTGACGGTGGAAATATAGAAAAAGGAATTTATTCAAGAGGTATTCAAAAAGAAGTGAAATAGAGATGAGTTGGAGATAGATTGGATAAAAAGAGTGAGGGAGAGGGAGGTGTCAGGCTGCAGCCCAGGTTCTGAGTTGCCAAAGAGGAGTCTTTTCCTCCAGGTGAGCTAAGGCTTAGAACCACGATTTTTGGTCACTTTTTCTTATTTTCAGTGTGAGAAGTGGCGAGTTGGCTGTCCAGGTACACACTGTCATCTTACACTTACTGTTTAAGACAGAGGCGCATATTTGGAAAGTGAATGAGTCAGGAGCCAGAGGAGAAGGTATGCCGGCAGAGCCTAGGGCGGAGAGGAGGAAGAGAGTCTGGGGGCGCGTCCCCAAAAAGGAGACAGGGAAGACAGAGCAGAGGCCGGGGAGGGGAGAGCAAGGACCATGACAGGAGGAAAGAGAGGCTAGGGAACACTGAGGTGGAGGAATCCTGGGATATGACAGTTGTAAAGAATTGTAGCCAACCTAATCCAGTTCTCTCAATGTGCAACTGAGGAAATTAATTTTCATGCGTTTACTTTATTGTAAATGTGGTACTTGCACTTGAGAAATTTTGGAAAACATAAAGATGTAAAGCAAATTAAGATCACTCATAGTCTTTCCACCTAGAGACATGTACTGCTAAAGCAAGGACTTTGATCCTTTTTTCCCTTTGCATTTTTACCATGGTTGGAATTGTAACACAGACACAACCTTATGTCCTGCTTCCAAAACATAAATAATGGTTGTAAAGCGTCCCACACGTTGACCCAAAGTCTCCTTTGAAACAGGAAATTGAGACACGCCGGTTGTGAAACCTACTGAAGTGAGCGGCGGCGCCAGGATTCCTGGGACCCCGACCTCTTTGCAGCTCGCACAGCTAAGGGCGAGGGCGCCCTTCGGCAGAAGCAGCAAACCGCCGGCAAGCCCAGCGAGGAGGGCTGCCGGGGTCTGGGCTTGGGAATTGGCTGGCACCCAGCGGAAAGGGACGTGAGCTGAGCGGCGGGGGAGAAGAGTGCGCAGGTCAGAGGGCGGCGCGCAGCGGCGCTCCGCGAGGTCCCCACGCCGGGCGATATGGGGTGCCTGCTGTTTCTGCTGCTCTGGGCGCTCCTCCAGGCTTGGGGAAGCGCTGAAGGTGGGTGGAACGAGGGCGCTTGAGTGCACTCGCGGGAGGGCGGAGAGAGGGAGCTGGGTAGGGACGGGGAGGGCAACGCCTGATGGGGACTGGTGAGACCCGGGACGCACTGGCGCGATCTAGGTAGAAAACTCGCTGCTCCCTGGCTCCGGGGAGAGGCAGCGCGGCACAGAGTTCGCTGGCATCAGCCGCCTCCTGAAGCTCATCTCCTCTTGTTTCTTTCTTCCTTCTCTTTATGCTGGCTGCTCTCCCGGCCACTTGCTACACGCCTCCAATCTTCATTCTCTCCCAGTCCCGCAAAGGCTTTTCCCCCTCCGCTGCCTCCAGATCTCGTCCTTCGCCAATAGCAGCTGGACGCGCACCGACGGCTTGGCGTGGCTGGGGGAGCTGCAGACGCACAGCTGGAGCAACGACTCGGACACCGTCCGCTCTCTGAAGCCTTGGTCCCAGGGCACGTTCAGCGACCAGCAGTGGGAGACGCTGCAGCATATATTTCGGGTTTATCGAAGCAGCTTCACCAGGGACGTGAAGGAATTCGCCAAAATGCTACGCTTATCCTGTGAGCTGAGGGATAGGATCCTGGGCCGGTACCCAAGGGGAGAGAATGGCCACAGAAACTCAACTGGGAGACTGTGGCACCACCTGATGAGATTCTCTGCTCTGTCCACCCTCTTCTGATTTCCCTTCTACCTGGAGATGTCCCAGGCTTTGACTCCTCAAAGTGTCCCTCGTTCCTGCCTACTCCAGGTCACTTACTTTCCTTTCCCTGAAGTCTGGGTCCCCATTATAACCTGCACATCAATTTCTTCTCTTTCATCTCTCCCAGTCTTTTAAACCCTTCTTTGATCTTTCTCCATTCCTCTCCACAGATCCCTTGGAGCTCCAGGTGTCCGCTGGCTGTGAGGTGCACCCTGGGAACGCCTCAAATAACTTCTTCCATGTAGCATTTCAAGGAAAAGATATCCTGAGTTTCCAAGGAACTTCTTGGGAGCCAACCCAAGAGGCCCCACTTTGGGTAAACTTGGCCATTCAAGTGCTCAACCAGGACAAGTGGACGAGGGAAACAGTGCAGTGGCTCCTTAATGGCACCTGCCCCCAATTTGTCAGTGGCCTCCTTGAGTCAGGGAAGTCGGAACTGAAGAAGCAAGGTCAGCCTGCCTTCCTTACTCCCTGCATTCCACTTCAGGGCTCCAAACGGGCTTTTCCATTCCAGGGTTCTCATCCCTTTGAGCATTCAAAGAAGAGGAAGGCCCAGGAGGGGCTGGATAAGGGGTGAGGGTATTTATTCATTTCACAGACATCAACTGAGCACCTCTTGGGTTCTATGAATTCAATTAATGAACAACTGGGGGTGAAAGGTGTCAGGCAGTTAGTTAGGATCCCTGCTTGGTAGGGGGATGTTAATTAATGCAATGCTTGAAATAGGCTACATATGTTACTTCAAAACAAAGGGTGTTATAGGGGAACAGACAAGGGGCATTCATAGGAGGCTGGGACCAGAGAAGAAGAAGGAGTATCAGGGCAGGCTCCCTGAAGAAGGTGGGACAAATGGATTGAAAGTTGTGGGAGACTTCATTTCCAGAAGTGAACATGTCAGGGGCATACAGGAAGGAGGGAAATAAAGACCTGAAAGTCAAAAAGGATGATATGAGGCCTGGAGCCTCTAATGCAGAGTTTTCACTTTAAGATCCCCCCCATTCCCTTGTTGGATACAGTGAAGCCCAAGGCCTGGCTGTCCCGTGGCCCCAGTCCTGGCCCTGGCCGTCTGCTGCTGGTGTGCCATGTCTCAGGATTCTACCCAAAGCCTGTATGGGTGAAGTGGATGCGGGGTGAGCAGGAGCAGCAGGGCACTCAGCCAGGGGACATCCTGCCCAATGCTGACGAGACATGGTATCTCCGAGCAACCCTGGATGTGGTGGCTGGGGAGGCAGCTGGCCTGTCCTGTCGGGTGAAGCACAGCAGTCTAGAGGGCCAGGACATCGTCCTCTACTGGGGTGAGAAAAAGCTGGGCCCAAGCTGGAAATGGCAGGAGGTGGTCCTCAGGCATAGAGGGAGGCACTGGGGTGGGATGTGGCTTGATATACCCAGGTTAGAGGAGTTTCAGAGATGAGGCCCCCAGTAAAAGGATAGAGAGAGGGGTTCCAGACACAGGAAGGAGGGAAATAAAGACCTGAAAGTCTAAAAGGATTGAAATAGTGCTCTCTATATACAAGAAGAAACAAGACTACAAAACTCAGGGATCCAGAAGTAGGCAGCGAATAAACAATCCCAGGACGATTCATTCCTTGGCTTAAAGGGAGCCAGGCCTTTGGGAAGGCAGGTTAGCAAAGATAGCTTGGTTGGTTGAGTGCTCCCTGTGTAGGGGCCAATGAATCTGCATATAATATCTCATCTCATCATTCACAGTTTTCTTTGAAGCAAGTACTGCTCTTTTCGTTATATAGATGAGGAAATGAAGGCGGAGATAGGTTAACTGCCCGGAGCCACATAGAAAGTGGACGGGCTGGATTTAGATTCAGGTCTGCCTTGCTACAAAGCTGTTGCCCTTTCCCTCTATGCTACACTAGCAAATGTCAAAGTGGGCTGAATTTGGGATGCCCAGGCACTGAAAACAAGATGGGGAATCTAAACTTATGAGGAATAGAAATTGGGGTTTTAAGTGGAGGAGGAAATAAGAAGCACCTGGTACCCTCACACATGCCTAGACCAGGGGATTGGATATATGTAGAGAGGGGTCCTGTGCTGAGAGACAGCCTATGTTCCTCCAGAGCAGGTGGGAGCTACACCTCCATGGGCTTGATTGCCTTGGCAGTCCTGGCGTGCTTGCTGTTCCTCCTCATTGTGGGCTTTACCTCCCGGTTTAAGAGGCAAACGTAAGTCTCCCCTTTCCCTTTCCTCAACCTCTCTCCCCTTCATTCCTGGCTTCCCTTTTCCTTAATGGTCTTTCCCTTTCTATTCTCTCACAGTTCCTATCAGGGCGTCCTGTGACTCGCCTTGCCACATCTGTGTCTCTGGAACCCAGGACCTCTGGACCTCAGGTTCCTAAGACTTCAGTCCTGGTCTGCTCAGGAATTGAAGATGTAAGGAATTGAAGATAGGAGAGATACCTTGAAAAAGTAGAGAACAGTCATGAGGCAGCTTTCATCACACCCTTTTAACATTTATCTAAAAGAATTTAAATTCTTTTTCAAAAATTACACTACAAGTTTATAAGCCCAAATGGCTCTGTGAAATCAGAAGTGCAAAGGTGTGCAAACTTGTATCTGAAGACCTACCAGGGACAAGCAGGTAAGAGCTGATGTGAGTGTGTGTGATGGGATCTGTAAGGAACTGGAACACACATGTCCTATCCAAAGGAATCAGCTGCAGCTGCTTGTTGTCAAGTATAAAGTCAGGACCTGGCTTGGCTTTAACCGTTTTTCAAG